>NC_000008.11:89464222-90714222 GCF_000001405.40 Homo sapiens | reverse complement strand
CTTCCTGGATCACTGCAGGGTCCTCATGCGTGTCCCTGTCCAATCTTGCTCCTCCTTCCAGACTGCAGCCAAAGTGTGCCTTCAAAAATGGTGAATCTGATTATGCCTTCACTACTTATAAACTTTTTCAGTAGTCTTTATTGCCCATAGTTTCAAGCCCTTTGTCATCTAGCCTAGCTTACCTGTCCAGTCTGCATTTACTTCCATCTCTTGTAGCATCTCTTCCACTTCTCTGTCATTGCCTTTTCACAATGTATAATTCACTGAGCTACAAGTCTTTGGAGGGCAGTAATCACTACTCACTCACAGTAGTACTCCTAGTGCCTAGTACAAGGCCTATACCATGGTAGTAGAATTGGCAAATTAAATAAGGATGTCCAGTTGAACTAAAATATCAGATAAACAACAAAGAATATTTTAGTGTAAGTATGTACTAAGTATTCCATGGAACATACGTATATTAAAAATTTATTCATTGTTTATCTGCAGTTCAAATTTAATTGGATGTCCTGTATTTTTGTTTGCTAAATCTGACATCCTACAAGGTAGGCATCTGGGAAGCATTATAGTTTATGAATAACAGCATTCTGGTTTTACATGAAGTGAAATAGGTACTGTGGAGGGCAGAGGTTTGAGAATCAAGAAATAAATTGCTATTTAAAAAACATTGTTACACAGCTATTTTACTACTTTCAAAGAGGCAAGCAGAACAGAGATACTGTGTGTTTCACAGTCATTACTTTAGTTTCCAGTCTTTTTTTAAAAAGTGACCTCTCAATATGAGTAGTGTTTATATATAACAAAATTTTGAAATTTGTTCCAGTTATATTTTGCAGCTCTGTTCACTGTATAACTTTAATCATGTGGTGGAGAATTCATTCTTATATAGAAAACCCTGCTTTCAAACGCAGATTTTGGCAATGACTAAGCCCCAAGATGCTGAAGAATGCAGCATGTCCTAAAAATTAAAAACAATGCCATTTCTAAGTAGCCTCTGACCCCTGAAATGTACCTATCCTAACTGCTGAAGTCCTGAATCCACTAGGTTTATGCATTTAAAAGAGGGTGGAGCCATGGCATGAATGCAAGGACTGCAGGCAAAAGTAGCAAATTCAGTGTACTCAGCGGAACAGAAACTGTCATCTTCTGAAGAAGTTTGATGGAAATGTGAATGTCAGCTTATCAGCAGTGGCATGTGTTGATGTCATGCTGAATTTTTAAAAATAGGTCCATTGATCATTGTTCTGCTAGGCTGTCTAAGTTTCAGTGTAATGCAAAAATGAAGAATTTAATCCTTGGTATTAGATACTTGAAATACTTGACCTCAGCCACTGATCAAATCTGTGTGGTAGATTGTATTTCTCAAAGGTATCTCTAATAGGAACTCTTATCCTACATTTTCTTTTGTGATGTGAGTTTTCCACAATCCCCCATAAGTTGGTGTCCATGTCTCCAGCTTCTGAATCTGGGCAGGCACTGCAACTGCTCTAATCAATAGAACATAGTGGCAATGATGCCCTGCCAGTTTGGGCCATTGGCCTTCAGTGGCCTGGCATACGTGCTTTGTGCCTTATGGATGTCAGTCCCCATCTAAGGAGTACAAATACTCTGAGCTCGCCACGCTGTGAGAAGCCCACGCCATGTGGACAAACCTTGGAGGATGAGAGACCATGTGGAGAACAAGAGAGGTCAAGGAAACTGAGGTGCGGAATGTGTCATAAAGAAGCCTTCTTGAAAGTGGTTCCTCAAGCCCCAGCTGCGTTAGCTGATACCATGTGAATTAGAGACAGACACCCAGGCAGGCTCTTCCTGGATTCCAGACCACCAAAAATGTGAGCAAAATAAGACTACCATTTCAAGTCTCAAGCAAAAGGTCTGTGACACAGTAATAGATTACGAAAGTAAAGTGTGACCTCGGGTTACCTGTCTAGGTCTTCTGAGCCTCAACATTGTAGTCTAGTCAGCCCAACTTCTGACTTTGCAACTATCACCACCATTATCATTACAGTAGCTCTTAAAAATTGAAAAGTAAATTATTTGATGGAGTACTATTTGTACTTTTGTGGTTATAGGTTGCTGAGTTTTAGAATTTTGTGTTTAAATCCTTGTTATATCACTTAACATTGAAGTGACACTGGACAAGTCACACAAATTCGCTAAGACTCAATATACTTGTCTGTAAAATAAAAAGACTGTGGTTTCTTTTTGACTGTGTTGTGATGAGAATTTAATAAGATAATACATATAAGCCCGGGGTCCCCAACCCCAAGTCCACGAACTGTTAACCAGTCCACGAACAGGTAATCAGGCTTGTTAGGACCCAGGCTGCACAGCAGAAGATAAGCAGCAGGTGAGGGAGCAATACTGCCTGAGCCTCACCTCCTGTCAGGCCACCATTAGGTTCTCATAAGAGCATGAACCCTACTGTGATGTGAGGGATCTAGATTGCATGCTCCGTAAGAGAAACTAACTAATGCCTGATTTTCTGAGTTGGAACAGCTTCATCCCAAAACCTCCCTGCCACACCGCCCCCACCTGTGGAAAAACTGTCTTGCATAAAACCGGCCTGTGGTGCCAAAAAGGTTGGATGTAAGGTATTTATCAGAGTACTCAATACATTAATGAGAGTTACTGCAATTAGTAATATAATTTATGAAATTACTCCATAAAACTTCAATCTAACTTGAAAGATCACTTGCCAAAATAATAGCTGAACTTACAATGAAAGTATTTTGTATTTTCCTATGATGAATTTTCTTTAAATGAGTTTCAGGTAGAATTATTAATTATGATTTGATATCTTGACACCCAAAATGCTAACGCTGAACGTTTAAATGTTCCTTATGCTTGTAGATCACTGAACAATTTAAAAATATATCCAATTACATTATCTTGGTTTGATCTCACAGCTCTGCAGTGGAACTTCGGGGCAGTATCACTCACCCAACTTACGGATGACAAAACCAGGCCAGTAAGGATCGATGACCAGAAAGTGGAAGAGTTAAAATTAGGAAAGATGTTCTCATTTTGTTTTTCTCATCAATACTCCTTAGAGAGATAATGAAAATGTTCTTTCCTACTCTACCATTAAGAATCTTACCTATTCTAGATCAACTTTAATATCATTATCAGATTCTCTGTTGATATCCCCAATTCAGAAGAGATCTCCCTCCTGAACGCCCATACTTCTTCAGTTACATATGCTTATACCCTTCATGACATTTGACATTGCATGATAGATACATGTGTATCTCTGTTAACAAATGCCTGGGAGAAGTGCTGCAATGAGAGGTGCTAGAATCCCTTCCCTTCAAGGCTGCACTCTCTACAAGGATAGGAGCCATATCTGTTTCTCTCCTTGCTTTGCTGTTCACCTGGCACTAAGCACAGTATAGGTATCCAGTAAATACATACTGAAAGAATAAATGAAGGTGTGAATTTGCACCAGAGCTTGGGACTTCAATTCTTAGCATAGAAATATAGAAACTAAGTTCCATGTAGCCAAGGAGTATGTATATAGATATGTGGGAGATCTCTCAGTGTGAGACAGTGGTCTGGATTAAGAAGTAAAAGCTAGCTCAAAATGGGACTAAGCCAGCCAGAGGGCTAGGCAAGGTAGGGCATCTCTGGGGGCTGCCAGGATGAAAACTACTAGAACCAAGTAATGGGGAAAGGTTTCGGGAGTAAGAACATGATGTCCAACACAGGACAGGCAGGGTAATATACAGAACTGAGACCATGATGGAAATTTAATTCTGAGACTAGAGTGATATTCAAAGGAGCAAATCTACCTTCATAGGAACCCTGCTAATGTCCAACATTATACCCGTGTTCTAATCATGTAAGTCGTGACCGAGGGTGGAGAGTTACTAAATTTCTCTTTATTTTCAATAATGTCTTGCTCATATTAGAATTTCAATTAGTGTCTGAATAATAAATGAGTTATAGAAAAAAACTTTATTTTAGGGCAATTACAATTGTTTAAAAGAAAAAAGCACCTTGACAGAATTGGAGGTTGGATGTTAGTGAAACATTAACAGTAACAAGGTTTATGGGCTGCGTGTCTGCAAAGGTAGCTACAGTGAGTTCGCATGTATACAGGTAACGTTTTAGAAGCAGAGAAAGAAACAAGTCTCTAGTAGAGAAATTAGAATAAAGTTCTATGTGGAAATTAATGGTGGATTTTAAATGAACTTGGATTCAGGAAAAAAATTCTATATACAAGAATTTGAATGAAGGAAATAGTTTTATATAAATGGGATTATAATTGCAGCATTTTAATAATAAAAATAGTGGAATAATCTAAATACTTAAAAATATAGATTTGTTAAATGAATTATTGTATATGCAAACAACTAAAGATAATGCCTATATTATATAAGTACAGTTGATTGAGAGAGATGGTTATTATTTATTTTAGAGTGACTAAAGGGTTTTTATGTATAAATGCAAATAAAAAATGTCACAAAGACATTTTTATACAAAGTGCAATCAATGATTATCTGACTTGTAGATTTAATAGATAGCTTTTATTCTTTCTTTTTTAGTTTGCATGTTTTAATTCTTCTACAATGAACACACAGTACTTATAAAAAACAAAACAATAACGTGCTTAGATTGGGTTTATGTTGCAGGATTCTAAACGGGATATGCTTTTTGTTTCCAGAATTCATGAAAGCTGAGCAAATTAAAGATGAGTCTTTAAAGATAACACAAAAAGTTCCCAGCCAAGATGGACGAATAGGAACAACTCTGGTCTGCAGTTCCCAGTGAGACCAATGCAGAAGGTGGGTGACTGCTGCATTTCCAACTGAGGTACCCAGTTCATCTCGCTGGGACTGGTTAGACAGTGAGTGCAGCCCACGGAGGATGAACAGAAGCAGAGTGGGGCATCGCCTCACCCAGGAAGTGCAAGAAGTTGGGGAACTTCCTCCCCTAGACAAGGGAAGCCGCCATGAGTGACTGTGCCATGAGGGACAGTGTTATCTGGCCCCAATACCACACTTTTCCCATGGTCTTCACAACCCACAGACTAGGAAATTCCCTTGGGTGCCTATACTACCAGGGCCCTGAGTTTCAAGCACAAAACCGGGCAGCCATTTGGGCAGACTCCAAGCTAGGTGAAGGAGTTTTTTTTTCATACCCTAGTGGCACCTGGAACACCGGTGAGACAGAACCATTCACTCCCCTAGAAAGAGGGCTGAAGCCAGGGAGCAGAGTGGTCTTGCTCAGTGAATCCCACTCCTATGGAGCCCAACAAGCTAAGATCCACTGGCTTGAAATTCTCGCTGCCAGCACAGCTGTCTGAAGTCGACCTGGGATGCTCGAGCTTGGTGGGGGAAGGGGCGTCTGTCATTACTGAGGCTTGAGTAGGTGGTTTTCCCCATTCTCTTGGCTTTTATCACTTGGCTTCTCTTTACTTATGCAAATTTATGCAGCCTGCTTGAATTCCTCCCCTGAAAAATGGGCTTTTCTTTTCTACCACATGGCCAGATTGGAAATTTTATGAACTTTTATGCTCTGCTTCCCCTTTTACATATAAGTTCCAACATTAGGTCGTTTCTTTGTTCACACATATGATCATAGGTTGTTAGAAGCAGCCAGGCTACATCTTGAATGCTTTACTGCTTAGAAATTTCTTCTACCAGATACCCTAAACCATCACTCACAGGTTCCAAATTCCACAGATCCCTAGACAGGGGCATAACACAGCCAAGTTATTTGCTAAGACATAACAACAGTGACACTTACTCCAGTTTCCAATAAGTTCCTATTTTCATCTGAGACCTCGTCAGCCTGGCCTTCACTGTCTATATCACTACCATCATTTTGGTCATAACCATTCAACCAGTCTCTAGGAAGTTCCAAACTTTCCCTCATCTTCTTGTCTTCTTCTAAGTCTCCAAACTCTTCCAACTTCTGCCCATTACACAATTCTAAAGTCACTTAAACATCTTCAGGTATCCTCATAGCAATGCCCCACCACTCAATTCCAATTTTCTGTATTAGTCTGTTCTCAGACTGCTATAAAGAAATACTTGAGACTGGGTAATTTACAACAAAAAGAGGTTTAATTGGTTCATGGTTCCACTGGCTGTACAGGAAGCATAGTGGCTTCTGCTTCTGGGGAGGCCTGAGGAAACTTCTAATCATGGTGGAAGGCAATGGAGAAGTGAGGCATTTCACATGCCTTTAGCATGAGCGAGAGAGAGTGAGGGGAGGTGCTGCACACTTTTTAACAACCAGATGTCATAAGAACTCATTATCATGAGAGCAACACCAAGAGGATGGTGCTAAACCACTCATAAGAAATCTGCCCCCATGATCCAGTCACCTCTTACCAGGTCCCACCTGCAAACACTGGAGACTACAATTCAACATGAGATTTGGTTGGGACACAGATCCAAACTGTATCACATTCAAAGAGACTTAGACTTCAACACAATAATAGTGGGAGGTTTCAACACCCCACTGACAGTATTAGACAGATCATCAAGGCAGAAAATTAACAAATATATTCAGGACCTGAAATCTGCACTGGATCAAATGGACCTGATAGACATTTATAGAACTGTCCACCCCAAAACAACAGGATATACATTCTTCTTCTAACCACATGACACATATTCTAAAATCAACTATATAATTGGAAATAAAACACTCTTCAACAAACTCAAAAGAACTGAAATTATAACAACCACTCTCTCAGACCACAGTGCAATAAAATTAGAAATCAAGACTAAGAAAATTGCTAAAAATCATACAATTACATGCAAATTGAATAAAATGCTCCTGACTGACTTTTGGGTAAATAATGAAATTAAGGCAGAATTCAAGAAGCTCTTTGAAACTAATGAGAACAAAGATACAACATACCAGAATCTCTACGATCCAGCTAAGGCAGTGTTAAGAGGGAAACTTACAGCACTAAATACCCACATTAAAAAGTTAGAAATATCTTAACAATGCAACATCATAACTAAAACAACTAGAGAACAAAGAGAAAACCAACCCCAAAGTTGGCAAAAGACAAGAAATAATCAAAATTTGAGCCAAACTGAAGGAGATTGAGTCACACAAAAAAATTCAAAATATCAACAAATTCAAGAGTTAGATTTTTGAAAAAATTAATAAAATCGATAGATCACTGGCTAAACTAATAGCTAATAGAGAAGAGAGAACACCCAAATAAACAAAATTGGAAATGATAAAGGGGATATTATCACTGACTCCACAGAAATACAAATAACCATCAGAGAATATTTTGAACACCTCTGTGCACACAAACTAGAAAATCTAGAAGAAACAGATACATTCCTGAGCACATACACCCTCCCAAGACTGCTCCAAGAAGAAATTGATTCCCTGAACAGACAAATAGCTCTGCAATTGAATCAGTAATAGGCTACCAACCCAAAAAAGCCCAGGACCATGGATTCACAGCAAAATTCTACCAGATGTACAAAGAAGAGGTGATACCATTCCTACTGAAACTATTCCAAAAAATTGAGGAGGAGCACTCTTCTCTAACTCACTCTATGAGGCCAGCATTAACCTGATACTAAAATCTTGCAGAGACACAATTAAAAAAAAAAGAAAACCCCAGGCCAATATCCTTGATAAACATTGATGCAGAAGTCTCTAACAAAATATTGGCAAACCAAATCCAGAAGCACATCAGAAAGCTTATCCATCACAATCAAGTGGGCCTTATTCCTGGGATGCAAGGTCCCATATGAAAATAAATAAATGTGATCCATCACATAAAAACTAAAAACAAAAACCACATGATTCAATAGATGCAGAAAAGGCTTTTGATAAAATTCATGTTAAAAACTCTCAAGAAACTAGGTATCGAAGGACCATACCTCAAAGTAATAAGTTATCTTTGACAAACCCACAGCCAACATCAAACTGAATAGGCAAAAGGTAGAAGGATTCCCTTTGAAAACCTGCACAAAACAAGGATGCCCTTTCTCACCACTCCTATGCAACATAGTATTGGAAGCTCTGGCAAGAGCAACTGTGCAAGAGAAAGAAAGAAAGGGCATCCAAATATGAAGAGAGGAAGTCAAGTTATCCTTGTTTACAAATGACATAATCCTATATCTAGAAAACCCTATAGTCTCAGCCCAAAAGCTCCTTAAGCTGAGAAACAACTTCAGCAATGTCTCAGAATACAAAATCAAAGTACAAAAATCACTAGCATTCCTATACACCAACAGTCAAGATGAGAGGCAAATTAGGAATGCAATCCCATTCACGATTGCCACAAAAAGTATAAAATACCTAGGAATACAGCTAACCAGGGAGGTGAAAGATCTCTACAAGGAGAACTACAAAACACTGCTCAAAGAAATCAGAGACGAGTCAAAGGGGAAAATATTACATGCTCATGGATAGGAAGAATCAATATCATTAAAATGAGAACACTGCCCAAAGCAATTTATAAATTCTGTGCTATTCCTATCAAACTATCAATGGCATTCTTTACAGAACTATAAAAAACTATTTTAAAATTCATATGGAACCAAAAAAGAGCCCAAATAGCAAAGGCAATTCTAAGCTAAAAGAACAAAGTTGGAGGCATCATGCCACCAGACTTCAAACTATACTACAGGGCTACAGTAATTACGACAGCATAGTACTGGTACAAAAACAGACACATAGACCAATGAAACAGAATTAGGAGCCCAGAAATAAAGTCACACACCTACAACTATCTAATCTTCGACAAAGCTGACAAAAACAAGCAATGGGGAAAGGACTCCCTATTCAATAAATGGTGCTGTGATAACTGGCTAGCCAGACGCAGAAGATTGAAACTGCACCTCTTCTTTACACCATGTACAAAAGTCAACTCAAGATAGGTTACAGACTTAAATGTAAAACCCAATCTATTAAAAACCCTGGAACACAATCTAGGCAGTACCATTCTGGACATAGGAACAAGCAAAGATTTCATGATGAAGACATCAAAAGTGATTGCAACAAAAGCAAAAATTGACAAATGGAATCTAGTTAAACTAAAGACCTTCTGCACAGCAAAAGAAACTATCAACAGAGTAAACAGAACCTACAGAATGGGAGAAAATGTTTACAAACTATACATCTAACACAGGCCTAATATCCACTATTTATAAGGAACTTAAACAAATTTATAAGCAAAAAACAACCCCATTTAAGCAAAAGTTGACAAATGGAATCTAGTTAAACTAAAGACCTTCTACACAGCAAAAGAAACTATCAACAGAGTAAACAGAACCTACAGAATGGGAGAAAATATTTACAAACTATACATCTAACAAAGGCCTAATATCCACTATTTATAAGGAACTTAAACAAATTTATAAGCAAAAAACAACCCCATTTAAAAATGGGCAGGCTGGGGGTGGTGGCTCACGCCTGTGATCCCTGCACTTTGGGAGGCTGAAGCAGGCGGATCACAAGGTCAGGAGTTTGAGACCAGCCTGGCCAACATGGTGAAACCTCGTCTCTACTAAAAATACAAAAATTAGCTGGGTGTGGTGGCTTGTGCCTGTAGTCCCAGCTACTTGGGAGGCTGAGCCAGGAGAATCGCTTGAATCCAGGAGGCAGAGGTTTCAGTGAGCCGAGATCACACCACTGCACTCCAGCCTGAGCGACAGAGTGAGACTTTGTCTCAAAAAAAAAAAAAAAAAAAAAAAGTGGGCAAAGGATAGGAACAGACACTTTCCAAAACACAACGTACATGTGGCCAACATGAAAGAAAGCTCAACATCACTGATCATTAGAGAAATGCCAATCAAAACCACAGTGAGATACCATCTCACATCAGTCAGAATGACTATTATTAAAAAGCCAAAAAATAACAGATGCTGGCAAGGTTATGGAGAAAAAGGAATGCTTATCCACTGTTGGTGAGAGTGTAAATTAGTTCAACCATTGTGGAAAACAGTTGGTGATTCCTTGAAGAGCTAAAAACAGAACTACCATTTGACTCAGCAATCCCATTACTGGGTATGTAGCCAAAGGAATATAAATCATTCTATCATAATGACACATGCAAACATATGTTCATTGCAGCACTATTCACATAGCAAAGACATGAAATCAACCTGAATGCCCATCAATGGTAGACTGGATAAAGAAAATGCAGTACATATACACCATGGAATACTATGCAGCCATAAAAAAGAACAAGATCATGTCCCTTGTAGAAACATTGATGGATCTGGAGGCCATTGTTCTTAGCCAACTAACACAGGAACAGAAAACCAAATACCTCGTGTTCCCCCTTATAAGTGGGAGCTAAATGATGAGAACTCATGAACACAAAGAAGGAAATAACAGACACTGGGACCTACCAGAGGGTGGAAGGTGGTAGGAGGGAGAGGTTCAGCAAAGATAATTAACAGGTCCTAGGCTTATACCTGGGTGACAAAATAATCCACCACAACAAACTCCTGTGACACGACTTTACCTATATAACAGACCTGCACATGTATCCCTGAACTCAAAATAAAAGTTAAAAAAAAAAATAAGTTTTCCTCATAGGAAAACAAAAAACATATTCCTCTTCAGGGTTCAGGAATGTTGTCAAACTTTGTAAAGTAATTGAATTTTCTCAGCACTGTGATGTTAATATTTTATAAACATTGCCTCATTTAATTTTTATAATAACTTTATGAAATGGATATTTTTCTTCCTACTTTACACAGGAGGAGGATGAAGCTCAGAAAGTTCAGTTGACCTGAGAAAAGTCACACAGACAGTGACTAGCAAAACTGCAAGCGGACTAATACTTACCTGATTCGAAGTCTCCTGATGGTTTTGCTATGCCTCCACGTGTAAGTGTCATAGTGGATTTTACATTTCTATACAAGACATATAACTTCTATATGAATCGCCCAAAGTATCACTAATTAACTACAAATTAGACTTCAGTTTATTGTATTATATACAGATTTCTTATTTATATAGAACCTATTGTTAGTTTGAATGTAGTTTTATCTGAATTACATGACTCCCAGGTCATATCTTTTCTGGGTATCTTCAAATTTATACTATTATATCCGTTATACAAAGTCATTATTCTTGCTCTACTCAAGGGTCATACTAACAAAGAGGTAACATTAGAAATTAAGAACATAAGAAAGGCAGCAGGATCCAGGTTTTATTTCTATGCTTTTGGTAAAATCATTTTTCATATGAAATAAAAACTTGGACAAAAATATGACATTAGCAAATAACTTTTTTCTCATGAGGTACTTGCATTTCCTCCGAAACAACAAAAATCTTTGGTTTGATTGCAACATACATTAGGGAAAATATGCCCTATTTTGTATTCAGAAACTAAAATGAAATAGGTATGGGTTGTGTTACTTGTTATACACACATAATTAAAAACAGTACTCTTAAATTTAAATTCTCTGGTCAGTAGGAAATAATAAAATCCAATCAATAAACCAGGGGTATATGCACTATGCACTGTCGTTGTGGTGTTTTTAGAATCTGAACATCAGCCTTGACAGGTAAGATTTTTGCCCCAGAGCTGCAGCACTAGCACAGTAAGGAGACTCCACCAGTGCCCTGTATTCAGTTCCAAGGGATCAGTGTCCTTGTGTTTGTTGCTACATGCTTCGATGACCACTGTACCACAATCCTTCAGTATTGGTTAAAGTACATTTTAAGGAGCCAAACCCCAGAATTAATAGAATTTCTAAAGCCCATCAGTCTGCAGTTTTCAAAAGCTAGAAGCTCCCTAGTTTAAGAACTCTGCCAAGCACTGTGGCTCACCATGTAATCATAGTACTTTGGTAGACCCAGGTGGGATGATTGCTTGAGGCCAGGAATTCAAGATTACTATAAGCTATGATCACACAACTGCACTCCAGCCTCGGTGACAGAGCAAGGCTGTAGAACACTACTCTGACCTTCTGAGAGTAGCATGATTTGCAAAAAAGCCAAGGAGAATGTTCAGTCCATGATTGCAACAAACTTAAATACCAAAACTCCCAAGAAACTTATGTTTAAATGTTTTGGACTTTGGGGGAAAGAATATCAAATATTTAAGCTCATTTCTTGTCTAATAAGCAAAAAGCCTTTCTTGGGACATAAAAATATTTCTGCTCTAGTAAAATTTTTAAAAAGCCAAGATACAGCAAATAACTCCATGTTCCAGTGTTCCTTTCCTAAATCAACTCACAATTACTCTTCTGACATGTACTAAGAGCTAATGTTCTTTCTGACAAACCAAGTGTGGACTAAGTGAGCACATTCCACAATGACACAAGGCAGAATAATGAATTTCTATAGACACTCACTTCTCAACTTTTGTATTTTCTGTGCTCTCAGAATCTATATTCATGGTTGCCTCTGCATGTTTCATGTACTCTCATTGGTTGTCACTTCTAGAGGGGGTCCTCAAACTGCATTAGGTTTGTGGATCACCCATGCTAAGATATCTGGACCCTTCATGGATTTGATGATATAATATTTGCTGTTAAACTTTCCAAATGGTTCCCCAGGGTAATGCCACTTGTGGTAATGATGGCTCCTTGAGTGAGCATGGTTATTTCAAGGTTCTCTAAATGAGGTGTGTACAACAACTTCCCATTAACTGACACCGAATTGCTGACTATGATATTGTTGGTGCAACAAAGTTCCATTTTCTTTTTCACTAGATCAAGAATCAGCAACACATGGTCTGCAAGCCAAATCTGGCCAGTCACTTGTTATTGTAAAAAAAAAAAAAAAAAAAAAGAGTTTCATTGGAACATAGCCACAATGATTCATCACATGTAGTTTATGACTGCTTTCACAGTACAATGGTAGAGTCAAATCATTGCGACAGAGGTGGTACAGCTTGCAAAGCCTAAACTATTTACTATCCAGCCCTTTACAAAATGTTCTTTGATGTATGTCAAAATCCTACTGGTTTCTAAAATCTGAGGTCTCATCACTTTGACAAGAGTGAGCAATCCCCACTTGATGCTGAGAAAGTGCTGCCTGTGAAGCCTTCCAAGAACATTGATATTCTGCTTTTATGCATTTACTTCCCCTACACAATGGTCATGAGATTCAAATATTTTCTCATAGCAGCTTCGATGGCTATGTCACATGGATAGTCAAACACATATTCTGAGCGCTATGTCCTTATGTATGCAACCCCGGAGGCCTAGGGCAGAGAGCGGCCCAACCTAGAGCTGAGCTGCTCATGTCAGCCACCCACCTATCACTGACCTGGGCATGCTGCACCAGAGGCTGAGCCCACTGCCAGGCTCGTCGTTCACTCAGCCTGAGGGAGTGGGGCTGCTGACACAATAATTTATGTTTTCCTCCCATCTTTTTTCTCATTTCATATTTTCCTGTAGCAAGCATGGCTATTCAAGTTATCACTTTTTATTAGTCAGCTTTCATTAGGTTATACTGCAGTAACAAACTTTATTATAAGCCGTTAGTGCTTATAACAACAAAGATATATTTCTTGCTTATGTTAAAAATCAACTAAGGATTGTCTCAGAGTCTGCTCCAGATGTGTCCTTTATTCCAGAATCCAGGCTGAAGGAGCAGATTTTCTTTGGTATGTGTCACTCTAGGGGCAAACATAAAAGAGAACTATGGCAGAACTATGTAATAGCACTTAAAACTTCTGCTCAGACATCCTGTGTGTTTCTTCTAGTCACATTTCACTGACTAAAACAAGTCATGTAGTCAAACCTGATATAAGTGGAATTGGAAGTATATTCCTCCCATAGAGAAGGTGCTACTGCAAGTCACATGGCAAGTCACAGGATTACAATCTTCTTTTAGGGAGGAAAGAGGAAAATTGGGAACAATAATGCAATTTATATACATTCTTTTGGTGTTTAAAAGTAAACGTCCTTCTGATTTAAGTTGCCATCTCATCAGGACGAGGAATTTAACTTGGGCTCTCACACCTTTAAATGCTTGAATCCAGACTGGACATATCCTGTGTTTACCATCCTCTGATGCTTTAAAAACCTTAGTGCCTTTTCTTGCCACGTAGCCAAATTGATCCTGAAATTTAAATCCCCAAAGTTTCCTATTTTAACTTCAGCTCCTAGAAGTCTCTATTTAAAGTTAAAATTCTATTAGTAGAACATGATGTTTTGCCTTTATCATTTTCAAGGATTTTTATGTACTGGATAAATGGTACGAGTTATGATGAAAAAGCTAATATCCTGTTCCTGTGCCCACCTCCACCTACCCACCCATGCGGTAAAAGATACATTAAACAGAACTTTTTGTATCATTGATGACTTTGAAGCTAATGGCTCTTGCTTAATGAGCCATTATGTGAACTTGTTTCATAGTGAACTTAGAGCCAGTTTATTAAACACAGGTAAAAAATCTATCTCACCATTGTATAAATATAGAGCACATAAATTTGCACAGTTACATTTTTTCTTTTGTCCTGTTTTGCTCTTTTTGGTTTATCATTCAAAAAATATGTATTAGATACATTTCATGTGCCTGTTACTCTTCAGTCTACCAGGCTTTAAACCTTTATGTGCTGGCCTGAGCTGAAAGGCTCCAGATAGAGGCCCTTCTGGGCTAGCCTGAATTGGGCTGCCAGGGGAAAGGCCTGTATTGTAACACAGCCATGAGAAGGCTGACTGAGGCCAATTCCTTTGAGTATTGCTTACTTCCTTAGCTGCATGCTGATACAGGTCACAGAGCAACATATAAGGAAATCACTTGAAGTCATTATCCTGAAACTGAGGTCCTCTAGGCACCTGAAATGTGAATCCCTGATTGCAGAGTATATCCTGGGAAATAAGATATATGTTGCAAGGTTACTATTTGCTTTACAAAGATTTACTATGAGGTCTTTACTTTTTAAAAATCTATTTACTTTTTAAATGATAATACAGGGTTCAAAAATCAAAAGACACAGGGAGGCTTGTAGTGAATGCTAACTCTTTCATCCTGTTCTCCAGCTATCCAGAGACCCTCCCAGAAAGCAACCATTGTTATCATTTCCTTGTGTACCCTTCTAGAGATATTCTATGCACATGCATGCACATTTTCTCATAATATTTCCTTTTCTTTTTCTTCTATTCTTTCCTTCCTTCCTTTCTTCCTTCTTTCCTTTAGTAAATGGTAGCTATTCTTCACTTTACAATATATCTTGGAGAGTGTTCCTTTCCCTACATACAGAATTGCTTTACTCATTCTAACTGTGAAAAAGACTAGCATTAAGTGCAGAGACTAAGGACCAAACTGTCTGGGTTCAAATTTTAGTTTCATCACTTATTAGCTTTGAAATGTTGGGCAAATTACTTACCCTCTCTGTTCTTCAGTTCTCTTGTCTGTGAAACATGAATAATAATTATTTCTCCTCATAGGGGTGTTATAATACTTAAGCAACTTAATGTGTAAACAAAGTTTGGCGTCACCTCTGGGATCCAGTAAGTGCTCAGTGAGGTTACTTATTGTCATTGTTACCGTTAGGTATTCCTGTATATAAAAGTACCATAATTTATTTCATCAGTTCCCTCTAGATGGTTATTTAGGTTATTTCTAATCTTTATATGTACAGTGTTCAATGAAGTGGTCAATGTAGATACATATCTACAAGGCCCTTCAAATAAATACCTCAGGATGCTTGAATTACCTGGGAAGACAGGGATAGGGAATGAGAAAATATTAATAACTTACATTTGTATCGCACCTTATATCTTGAAATAATATTTACATGCATTAATCTCATTTGAAGCTTAGATGACACAATGCCTCTATCTACTTCTCTCCATCTTCATCACCATCACCACCCTTTCAAAGTGCTATCAATGTGATCTCAGCACACTCAGATGGCACACATAGTGGGTATAAAATAAAATGTATTGAATATATATATAAGAGGAAACAGAGAGTAGAAAGTAGTAAACAATTTACTAAGTAAACTAATTACTAAGTTCCTATAGTTGGGAAATGCTGAAGCCAGACCCCCTGTGCACTTCCAGAAATACTTCACTGCATGTCTTAACAACTAGTAGTTACAGCTACTAGCAAAGATCAACAGAAAAGAAGGTAAACTTTCCCTCTTACCTAGTTATTGCTGGCACCAGTGGGATAAGAATATTCTCTTTACACAATTCCCTTTGAAAGAAACGTTTTCGTGAATAAATTTATATTTGTGTTTGTATTACAAGAGCAACTCTTTTGCAATTCAGAAAACTGCTGCAAATTTAAGTAACTTGATTACGGTTTTTTTTTTCAGAATTGTTAGAAAGGAGAGTCAAAATATGTGATAATATATTGAGGAAAGAACAGATAATGAAAATAAACTTCTATAATTAAAGTATGAAACATGGTTATCAAGGTAATTTCTAAACAGGTGGATTTGCAGTGCTTATTATTCATTTTTTAAAAGGCTTACAGAACTCAAGGAAAAGCAAGTGTGTCTTCTGAAAGTTAATTAGGATACCATCTGAGGAGCCTATGGAATGACCAAAACATCATTGATAGGATTGCTTGAATAACTATGGTAGGACAATGATATCCCTGATTATTTACTTCCTCATTCCCAGGTTTAAGTAAAATTACCTTACTCACACCAGCTCACTACCAGGCATCATGCAGCTCTGTACCTATGTAAACACAGGGTGCTGGGTGAAGTGGAAATTCTCCATGATTTATCCACTCCAGTGATCTCTATCAAAGTGCTTCCCTCAAAAGATTTCCTTTATGTGAACCTACTCTACACACCAGAATTTCTCAAAGTGTGACCCATGGACAACCTGTATCAAAGTCACTTGGAGTAGTTCTTTAAGAAGCAGAGCCTTGGTCTCTATCCCATACCTACTGAACTCAACATATCAGAGGGTGAATCTGGGAATTTGTATTTTAGTTAGTAGTGTGAGTGGTTGCTATTCACACAAAAATTTGAGAACCACAACTTGATGATTTAGGCAAATTACTCCTCAAGTACCACAAGTTATAGATGGATCCACTTTTCCAGGAAAAGCTTTGAACTTCTGTATTAGCTCTGCAACATGATCTCTAAATCTCAGAAAAATTACAGGAAGTTGCTATTGCCTGGCAGAATTTTTTGTTCTTCTTTAAAGTAATTTGTGGTCTAATTTCAGTCCCCCAAAGACCAGACTATAAAAGCCAGAATCAGTCTTAAAAGGGAAATTAATTGGTTGCATTGCTATCTTTCTTGACAGAGGACAGTGTTTATCAAGTAGAATTTGGAACACTAGAATCTGTACTGAGGCAAAGGAATAATCAAGGTTAATGCTACAATAGTTATAGAAATCATGTTGACAGATACTTAAAATATACATTAGACAAATTCAGAATTCATCTGCAAGGCAATAGATAAGGGGGAAAAGAGATAATGGGTCATAAAACATAAATTATCATGAACTTCCTGCATTCCTCTCTGTAGTCACCTGCTCTCCTTGTATTTCTTTTCCAAGCTTTTATTATCAACTGTCTAGTGAACTAAGAATAATAACTACTTTAAATTAAATAACACAAACATCCACAATAGTTTAGAATGAGAAAGATAGTAAAGTACTTAAGTAGAATTCACTTCTTGACTGCTGGAAGGTTACAGTAAAGTAGGTATCAGTGACAGTAACACTTTCATGCAGAGACAAACATGTGACTTCAAAACCTGCCTTCTTCAAGCCCTCTGGTCAGTACTCAGCTGATACCTTCACATAACTAAGGTAAGGTTTCTTCTGGACTTTTAGGTATACTAGGTTCAGTTTGCAACTTCATAGATGGAGGGAGTATTGGCCTCCCAGCTACAAATATCCTACATCCTGGGGTTCAAGCCCAGGGAGATGTCTGGAGGTTCACCTTGGAAGGCCCTCATTCTCCAGAATTTTTCCATGGAATGCATTTAAAGAAAGAGTCCTGCTGCTAACAAAAACTGAATAGGAATCACTGTCCAACTACAGCTGATGGACTGAGAGATATGAGGAATCTAGAGAGCTAGATTTGTTTTTCTACCTGCACTTCCTCCAACCCCCATGCTGCTTCCCCTTCTTCCTAGCATCCTCTGAATGTAGTAGCTCCTCAGGACTCAGCCCATTATCCTCTGCTTTTTATTCTTATCAGCTCCCCACAGGAGAAGTAATCCAACCTGAGAGCTTCACAGTCCTCTCTCCATGGACAATCATTGCATCCACCTCCCATTTCCAAGCCTGCAACAAAACTAAGGCTTAGAGAAATTAAATTATCTGCTCGAGGTCACTCAAGAAGCTGTAGCCTGCAAGTGGCAAAGATGGATGTATCGTCACTCCCACAGCCCATGCTTTAACCCCTGAGCATCTTTTGCTCACAGCCTTCTCTCACCTGAGCCAAATTATTATTGGAAATCTTGGCAGTATGTCAATTTTGACATGTTACAAATAAATTAATTGTTTTCCCCAAAGGGAAAAAAGCCTTCCTCAAGTCGATATTTTCATTAGTGGCATAGCTTTTTATCAACCCCCTAAACTCAAACTCAATAGAAACAAATGCTCAAAACAAATATGGTCAAACTCTTGCCTTGAAATAGATTATACCTGTCCGTTTTTATATCACGATCATCACTTTTATTCAGACCCTATCACTTCATGCCTAGACTGTGTAGGGTCCTCTTAATGTGTACCTGTGCCTCCACACCCATGTCTTTCAACCACAGAAAACTTGCTTGAAATACAGATTCCTGGGTCCCACCCCCAGAGGGGCTGATTTAGTAATTCCAATAAAGTGGCCCAAGGAAAATCCACTGCTCTGGACTTTCCTTATAAGGGTCCAATCTGTATGAAAGTGCCGAAACCATTCATCATCATTATAAAACACAATTTTGGAGATGTATGTATAGACAAGTGAGGATGAGGATTGAGAAGCTTAAAAATGATTGTTAAATTCCTTTGGAAAAAATGATAAATTGGAACAGAAAGACTATGAAACAAATCACAGAGGAAAATGTAATATTTTTAAAATGCAAGATGTAAAAAATGCATAAAGTTATAAGAAAGGCAAAGGACAACTGAAAGCATTAAGCACAAACATGGTATTTTCATCTGTAAATAGTGCATGCTCACTGATCCAAAACATGATATTCCTGCTCCAGACCATGCAATGAGTGTCCATGTTTGTCAAGGGGCAGACATTTTCAAGTGAATTTCATGAGCAGAATTTATTCTTTAAATAAAAATGTATGTGTAACCCCAACTTAGTGAATGTTGAGGAGTTGCAGTGGTTGAAGAAGGACAGAGGCTCTGAGCTCCCTGACCAGCTCCACCTCTTCCCTGCAGCAGACCTTGAGAAATGACTCAGGGTCCCAGGGATTCTGAGAATGCAATCTTGGGAGCCACTACTGGAGACCATTCACAGGCACACACAACTGCAAGCCACAAGCCTAGTTTATTTGTGTACTTGTGTGCCTCCAGCACAGGCATCTGGCCTGCACACCTTGCTGCAACAAGAAACACTTCTGCTGCTGGGATATAGACTCAATTTTAAGTTTGATGTATTCCATTTCAAACTGTTTATAGAAAATAATCCCAATTTATATAACATATTCAAGGAAATAAGACTTGGATGAAGATAACCAAAAAGTTAACAGAGATAAAATATTTTTAAATGGAAAACAAAATAATTGCTTTCAATAAAATACTATCTCAAACATTTTTTTTGTCATGGGACACATTCCAAACTTCTTATCTGGACATGTGAGCTGCCCACCGCTGGTGTCCCAGTAACGTATTGTTGAACACTTTCCTAAATGAGAGCTGTTCCCTAAGCCAGCCTCAGCCGCATTAGTCTCCCTGTTGTTCTCTAAACATCCATTGTGTGTTCCTGCTTCTCAGCTTGGTTCACATACTTCCCCTCATCTTCCTATTCAAATTCTATTCATGTTTCAATGTCCAGTACAACTTTCTTTCCCTCATGAAGCATTTTGTGAGCTCCTTGGGACACAGCAATCTCTTCTTATTTGAAATTGTAACACTGGTTTTCCGTACCAATCATTTGGCAAATGGGCCTTGCAATATATCCAGTATTTTAATTTGCCTTTAACTATTTCCTTAACATCTAAGAGTGTATATTACATTCAATCTCTCTCCTTAACTTAGTTCTATGTTCACGGTGTATATATAGAATGTGTTTGCCTAAAGAAGTGCAGTAAAAAGATCAGGTTTTAATGTCAGACTGCTCTGGGTGGGGTTTAGTGGGAACAGTATAACTCAGTTTGGTCATCTGTGAAATGTTGGTAACAATATTCCCTAGGATAATATGAAATGTGAAATAATATGTGTAAAACTTACAATTCCAGTCCCAGGAACAAAGAAGGACTTAGTAAATCATAGCTATTATTTATGATCATCATCATCATTATGCCATTATAAGGTTCCTCAGATCAGGAAAGATCAGATCTACAATGTAGCCCTAAATTACTACTTATTCAGCAAACATTTATTGTGGTGCCTGTTGCATCCCAGGCACTACATTATGGTAAACATGGTGACTTAGTTCTTGTCCTCATTGTGCCTACAGTTGGGTTTCATTATAGATGCAAATCTTAAACCATCAGGGCTAGAACAATTTTTCCAGGTATAATGGTGTTAACTAAGAGTCATAGTTTTCTGTTGTGAACAATAATGCACCTATAATAACTTCTAAGTACAATATATTATTTCATCAATTCATTTGTCTTCAGAGAAGTTAGAAAGACAAACAACTTCACATCTTAACATACTCATTAATCACAGTTGAACTCTGTTTTGCATTTGATATGATTTGATGTCGCTTCACTATGTCTCCATTGTTCATCACCTAAGAATGCAAATGCTCTGCAGTAATGGCAGAGAGGAAGATAGTGAAGCATCTGAATCCCCTACACATGTGCGTGCACACACACATACACACACACACACACACTCATGGGCTTATAGACTGTACGCAATATTTGTAATGGTTCCTGGGGTATCCGATCAATGGGCCCCACCATGAAACTAGATGACTTCCTTTTCACTCATTTCCAAAAACCCTGTATACCATAGCTTTCTCCAAAGCAGGCTCTGATTCCATTAACAGCTGTTACTGAAGTACCTTCCTACCATCAGCTGAATAAACATTTAAAATAATAATAACAAGAAAAAGGCTGGCATGTGCACACACTGACTCACTTAAACTAGCTCTTGAAACTCTGACCTATAAATTTAGGTCATTTTTCCACAGCACTTTTAAAGATGCTTCTTGGATAAATGACTCAGCTGGTGGCTTAATATTTTCCCATATTAAAAAAATGTCACAGATAGACTGGTATGTGACCTTGTGTACACCCATGAAGGCTAAACCATGAGGGTGAAATGAATATCATGAGGAAAGAAATAGCAGTTACAGCATAGGACTACGATCAGGAAATGGAATGCTTCACCTTGCCTCTTACATTTAAAAAAGTTACTTTCAGCTAGTTTATTTTTTAGATATTATTTGATGGGATAAATTGAGCCTCCTTAATGATATGCTTAGAGGGATGAATAAGTTGCTATTGGTTTGATTTGGTGATGTTTTGTTTTGGTTTTGTCTAGCTAATTGTGGTATGTGAGCACATTTGAAGCTTTGTACATGAAAGTAGGGAAAGAGAGTGGCAGGAATTTTACTGGCACAGCTGAAAGGATTTTTCTGGAAGAGAGAAGAAAGATACACAATAACTTCCATAGAAAATGGAATCATGGAGAAAGAGAGAGGCATTAATAGAGAATTCCTAGGAAGTGTTGCTATGTGCTGTGGGATCAAACTCTCCCCTCTGTTGGTGATCCCCACTAACAACTTCAGAGTTGTATTTGTGAGTAAGAGAGGCAGGCAGCCTACGGGATGAGTGCTTAGTGAGAAAGAGCGTTATAAACAACTTAGAATTGTATTGCTCAAAGGGGGATAATGCCATTCTTCCGTTTAAATTTTCATTTAATTTTCCTTTAGTGTAAAGAACACTTGAATCTCTAATAAAAAATCTTGGACTATGTTATGGTCTCAAACCAATTTCCTAAATAGGGTCATTCAAGATTTATATAGCTCAGATAAGCCACCTTAATTTAAAGACATATTAGCAAGCAAACAGCTCGGTGTTTATCATTTTATTGGTTTTAATTTTTTTCTAAACAATCCATGTTCATTATCAAAATTGCAAAAGTTGAAAAACTGGTACACAGTTAAAAGTCCCCCAAGGGTAACTGGTAATCTAAATTAGAAACTCAGTGTCAGGTCACCTAGACTTTTTTCTAAGTATTGACTATTAATCTCTTTAATCAAAGCTACCTCCATAGTTGTTACAATGACTTTACAATTATAGCCTGGTCCTGCACTATTTTAACCTTTGTTATTTTACATCTATTGAACCTATTTACTTTTTGGAGTTAAAGTTACCCAGTAGGATTTATATTTGGAAAGTAATTATTAATGGGATAAGATTCTAATTTTTAAAATATTTTGTATTCATATTATCGTTAGGCTCTCAATTCTTAGCTTTATTTTTCATGGAAAGTTTCAAATTTTCAAGGTTTTCCCCTAAAAATCCTAAATTCTGAAATTCCTTCTCAGACTTCCTCTTGATTGATTCCTGTTGACATAATACAAAACTGTATTATGTTTTGTGAGTATGTAAACCGCACTGTTAATTTAAGCAAAATGAAACTAAAAAGAATTGTCTGCCTTTGTGTACTCCAATACATTAATGCAATTTAAAGTTAAAGAAGTGTAAGTTTGAACTTTCTGTGTTACTGACCCCTCGATGAAATAAATGAAACTTACCAATATTCACATTTAAAACGTCATAGGCCTTGTAATTATTCAACAAGAATTAGTATCTAATTCTGACAAATAATGAAAAGAAAGAAAAAGAAAATAAAAAGGAGAATCTTAGAAGTCAGGGAGAGAAAGAAATAATTACGTTATTATTTGTTTGTTATTCAAAATGGCTTTCAAATGAGGAGGCTGCCTCTTTCCCTGGAATAGCTTCACAAATGTTTCCTTCCACATTGAAACTATGGTCAATCATTTGTCCTGGCTGTGGATTAATGAAGCCTCTTCTGTTCCTTACTTCCTGACTTTGGTCACTCTCTACATCCTGATCAGCACAAAAAGCTGCAGCCAAATAAAAAAAAGATTCAACAAGGACTGCCTCATCTCCTCCCACTGAATTTAGATGAGTCTTTATTGCTTTTAGCGCCTCACCCAAATAACCTACCCAGACAATAGGTAATCAATCTCCTTCCATTTCCATTTGATTAAATTAAAAGCGGCACTTAATTTAAGCAAATCGAAGGAATGTTCAGGCCTCTTTGCCTTTCTCTATTTCCTTCACTATGACTTTTTTCATGTTGTTTATGTCAAATCATTTCCTCTTTTGTATCATTTAAGTTAGTCTCTCTATTCCTAGTTCAAAACTCAAAATTGCACAAAATGTATTTCTTCCAGAAGTCTACCCTGAATAATCTTGTTAAGGTAAAGATGAGGGTAAACTATATAGTTCCTAACCTTGACTCACGCAAGATATACCCTATTCAAGGATTCACCACCTAGGAAATGCTTTCATTCATTCATTATTCATTCACTCACTCATTTAAGAAATTGGTATTGATTTTGCTATACCACCAAAACTAGATTACCATTGTTTCTCACTGTGTCCTAACAGAGAATGCCTATCCATTGCAATTCCCTGCCTCAGGGACCAGTGGAAGAAGGGTGAGAGCAAAGAATTGGAAAGAGAAGATGTTGGCTTTCCTCTTTTCTATCTGCAAGACCCCTGCCTAGACATATCTGTGTGGTGAGTTAGAAAGGATTTTCTATAAGCTCTTTTCCCCTTAAGTCTTCTAGGCTAATTCACAGAGTCCATTTGTACCAGTATAAATTGATTTTTAGAAATCAATATTTCAGCCAGTCTTGGTGGCTCACACCTGTAGTCCCAGCACTTTGGGAGGCTGAAGTGGGTGGATCACTTGATGTCAGGACTTTGAGACCAGCCTGGCCAACATGGTGAAACCACATCTCTACTAAAAATACAAAAATTATCCTGCTGTGGTGGCAGGCATCTGTAATCCCAGCTACTTGGGAGGCTGAGGCAGGAGAATTGCTTAAACCCAGGAGGCAAATGTTGCAGTGAGCCGAGACTGCACCACTGCACTCCAGCCTGGGCAACAGAGCAAGACTCTGTCTAAAAAAAAAAAGAAAAGAAAAGAAAAATGAGAAATCAATATTTCATATACGAATACCTATTGTACAAAGAAAGCTGTCACAATGGTTAAAACAAATACACTATAAGGAAGGAAATCTGAATAAAGTATTGACTTTAGTAAATACTAATATATTATTATTGGTTCATTAGTTAGTATGCCATACTAACATAATATGTTAACAATAGGGAAAACTGGGTATGGAATATATGGGAACTCTCTGTACTATCTTCATAAGTTTTTTATGAAATCTAAAAGTATTCCAAAAGTTTGCTTAAAAATACAATATTAAAATTAAAATACAATCTTAAAATATTAAAGGTTTGCTTAAAAATACAATAAAAAAATTTGGTGCAGCCCTTTTTTCAAATTCTCCACTTTTTTGTTTAACTTTTGATTAAAGAGAATTTTGTTATTGTTCAAATTGAGACTCAAAGTTTTGTTTTCATTTTAAAAAGTCAACTGTTCCTTTATAGACAACTGAATGTGGGGAATGGAAGTAAGCCAACCATCTGCAACCCCAGTCAGTTCAACTTCAAAGTAAAATAAACTTAAGGCAAATAATTAAATAGAAGCAAAAGCTTACATACACTAGCTCTACACTACTCTCTCTCCCCTACCCCCCAAAAGAAAACAAATATGAATGTCTGTCATTAGGTAATGGTTTTAATAAATTATAGCACATAAGCATTATAGAATATTATGTGCCCTTTCAAAATAAAAGGATAACCATAGGAATATTGAGAATTCCTTAGCATGTAGTAACAGGTGAAAATAGCAACATATGAGAGTTTATATTCAATAAATGCAAAAATAAAAAGTGTTTACATATTGTAAGTATCTTACAAGAGTAAGATATGTTGTTTATTTGTTCATCAAAACATCAAATGATATTATTATGAAGTAGTTATATTTCTTGTGGTAAGACTGTCAGTGAATATAAGTTTAAAAGGAAACAATAAGCACGTCATCCTTTTCTATACCTTCTAAATCTAAATGGGTTGACTTAAGAGCCCTAATTCCTGTAATAGCAGGATCTCAGTCTCTCTTCCTTTTTTTTCTTTTATTTTTTGAGAGGGAGCCTCGCCTTGTTGCCCATGCTGGAGTGCAGTAGCGCGATCTCGGCTCACTGCAACCTCCACCTCCCAGGTTCCAGTGAATCTCCTGCCTCAGCCTCTGGAGTAGCTGGGATTACAGGCATACACCACCACATCCAGCTAATTTTTTTGTATTTTTAGTAGAGACAGGGTTTCGCCCTGTTGGCCAGGCTGGTCTTGAACTCCTGACCTCAGGGAATCCACCTGCCTCGGCCTCCCCAAAGTGCTAGTATTACAGGTGTGAGCCACTGCGCCAGGCCCCTCTCTTCCATTTTTTAAGGTTTCTGTTCTAGTGGGATGACTGGGAAGGAGTGTGGGAGAGAGGGAGGGAATTGCCTATGCCTCAATATCCTCTGTTATTTTGTTCCAGAATAACCTTTGCTTTTCACCCCATTTGTTTTGCTGTTTGTTTGTTTTAGGGCCACTGTCCTCCATTAAACTAAAGCTGGCCTCAAGTAGAGCTTGCTGCTGTTCTTTATTATTTTGCAGGTCAAAATTTAGGCACTTGCATTGTTGTGCAGAATAAGTTGTTTTTAAATTTTTAATCTATAACTGAACTTTATTCAAAAGCTTGTCTTTCTGCATAGTTGTAAGCTTACAGTGAATCTTACAGTCAATTACTTTCATTAACAATATCTTATAGTTAATCTACTTTTATTAAATTTACCAAGACAGAGAGAGAATCCTATATCCTACATCTCTGATGTTCAAAAGTAACTTTTGGAAGCTTTTGTTGAGATTACTGTATGATACAGTTTGTCTCTGTGTTCCCACCCAAATCTCATCTCGAATTGTAATCCTCATGTATTGGAGGAGAGGTCTGGTGGGAGGTCACTGAACCATGGGGGCAGACTTCCCCCTTGCTGTT
Organism: Homo sapiens; assembly: GCF_000001405.40. Taxonomy (NCBI): domain Eukaryota; kingdom Metazoa; phylum Chordata; class Mammalia; order Primates; family Hominidae; genus Homo; species Homo sapiens. The sequence goes on along the minus strand of NC_000008.11, from coordinate 90,688,072 downwards.
TTCGTAATAGTGGGTGAGTTCTCAGGAGATCTGGTTGTTTGAAAGTGTGCGGCACTTCTCCCCTCACTCTCCTTCTTTTCTCTCTCCTGATCCGCCATGGTAAGATGTGCTTGCTTCCCCTTCACCTTCTGCCATTGTCACCGGTGGAGGGTGTCCAGGTTCTTGGCGTCTTGAACAAAGAATTGGACAAAATGCACAAACAGAGCAAGGAAGAAATGAGGGATTTATTGAAAATGAAAGTACACTCCACAGTGTGGGAGTGGGCCCGAGCATAGGGGCTCAAGGACCCCATTACAGAATTTTGGGGAAATACCCTCTAGAGGATTCCATTGCTTACTTGGGGTGCAACCTATGAAAATGAGGAGTAAAGTTACAAAGTCATTTACTTGGCCTATACCCTATGGAGAGGATATTTCCTGTCATAGCTGAAGTGTGAATCGGCCTTGAATTCCCTGCCTCCAGACCTTGTTTTTATGCCTCATCTCCCTGCTGAAAGATGTGATCCCCATGGGAGGCAGAGGAACTGATGGTCTTTTTTTCTGTAACTGCTTCATGCTGGCTTGAGGCATAGCCCCTACCTATTGGGGATCATGGAACTCTCACTCTGCTCTGTCTAGTGGAGGCAGGGAAGCTCCTTGATGGCCCGGGGTGGGGTCTTCACCTGGAACTGGCTAGAGCCCTTGCTGCATGATGGTCTGAAGCTTGATGGTCTCTAGGCAAAAAAAAAAAAAGAACTTGGTTAAAAGATTTAATGGGAACTTCAGGGGGTGGATACTTATGCTGTCAGGAATATTTATTATAGGGATTTGCAGAAGAAAAATGAAACCTGATTTGTGGTGTGTTCTAGGATCTATGCGTTTCCTTAAAGTCTTAGCATGAAAGGCTCCATTTTAGTTTGGTTTGGTCTGTTGGGGCCTAGTGCCTGAGCTCAGTCCAAAATAATGGCCTCCCATAATTTTGTTTAAAAAATTCCCCCTTTTGGTCAGGTTCTCACTTAGGTGAGATTGTGACCAAAACTTATGGCCTTAGTGCCACTCTCAGTTACCATCATTTTTGGTTTCCCATCTCAGCACATCATTCATAGGTTACAGTGTCCTCATGGTTGCACATTTCTTTCAGCTCTTGTCATTCCAGTTGAAGAGAGACCATATGACATTCTAGAGATGGCTACATGCAAGCATTTAAAATCTTTGAGAGAATACAGTGTACCAGGGAGACTATTATTATGACTATTGGGAGGATAATACCAAGAGTTTGGAGTATGTTCCTTACCCAAGGTCTTCATAAACCAAACCTAAAATCAAATAGATCAAAAAATGACTTAACTAAGCAGTTTCTTCATTAATCCGCTACAATCAAATTTCTATGATCTTCATTTGATATATTTCTCCATAGGCCACAAGTGCCAGCAGCTGCACAGATACTTCTTTGTTCAGCCAATCCTAACATAACTTTCACACGAGAATTTGAAGTCTGTTGTGTAACTGTAGACTTTACAGTAGAATTTGCTATAGAGCCTATCATGAGGGAATCATTACTTCTTTTACTTTAAAACATGGAAAAAGGACCTAACAAATGATGCCCTTCTAGAAGAGCAAAAGCCTCCTGGCAATGCTCTCCTTAACCCCTGCTGTGGGTCAAGAGGAGTGAACTAATGTTTTGTTTTTGACTGATTATGAGGCAACCTATGTACCATTAAAGTTTCCTACCTACATTGGGACTTCATCTTTTATTTATCAAAGTATAAGTTTATCCATATATAAGGCTGGCTGCAAACTCCTTTACAAATCAAAGTACACCCCATAAGTGCACATAACAGACTCCCTTTTCTCTTCTATTGTTCATAGAGGCATAAGCAAGAGAAAATATTCAAAGATAAGAGTTTCATGACAGTAGAAGTCTTAATCTGTGAACTTGGGAAAAGCTGTTCACATCAAGGATGCCATTTTCTTCTTGGGAGAAATTTCCCTGGTTAGTTTTACCTTAAGGGTTCCAATGGGTGTACAGTTTTGAGAGCATGAAGGTACCTTTCTCAGTTATGAGATTATGAACTCAAAGCTCAAGCTCCCTAAGTTTTGTTGTAATGTGGATGGCAAGGACAGTTTTTCTTTGATGTTTCCAGAAGATCCAAACCATAAAAAGCTTTCTTTACCTGGTGAAAATACACTGTAGCATAATAATCTACTGTTATAACATCAGCCCTCTTGCATAGGAAAGCTTTTATACTGTAGGGGTGGGTTGCCCCTCCACACCTGTGGGTGTTTCTCATAAGGTGGAACGAGAGATTTAGGAAAGAAAAAGACACAGAGACAAAGTATAGAGAAAGAAAAAAGGGGACCCGGGGAACCAGCGTTCAGCATATGGAGGATCCCGCCAGCCTCTGAGTTCCCTTAGTATTTATTCATCATTTGTGGGTGTTTCTCAAAGAGGGGGATGTGTCAGGGTCACAAGACAATTGTGGGGAGAGGGTCAGCAGACAAACACGTGAACAAAGGTCTTTGCATCATAGACAATGTAAAGGATTAAGTGCTGTGCTTTTAGATATGCATACACATAAACATCTCAATGCTTTACAAAGCAGTATTGCTGCCCGCAGGTCCCACCTCCAGCCCTAAGGCGGTTTTTCCCTATCTCAGTGGATGGAGCATACAATCGGGTTTTATACCGAGACATTCCATTGCCCAGGGACAGGCAGGAGACAGATGCCTTCCTCTTGTCTCAACTGCAAGAGGCATTCCTTCCTCTTTTACTAATCCTCCTCAGCACAGACCCTTTACGGGTGTCGGGCTGGGGGACGGTCAGGTCTTTCCCTTCCCACGAGGCCATATTTCAGACTATCACATGGGGAGAAACCTTGGACAATACCTGGCTTTCCTAGGCAGAGGTCCCTGCGGCCTTCCGCAGTTTTTGTGTCCCTGGGTACTTGAGATTAGGGAGTGGTGATGACTCTTAACGAGCATGCTGCCTTCAAGCATCTGTTTAACAAAGCACATCTTGCACCGCCCTTAATCCATTCAACTCTGAGTTGACACAGCACATGTTTCAGAGAGCACGGGGTTGGGGGTAAGGTCACTGTAGGGGTGGGTTGCCCCTACACACCTGTGGGTGTTTCTCGTAAGGTGGGACGAGAGATTTGGAGAAGAAAAAGACACAGAGACAAAGTATAGAGAAAGAAATAAGGGGACCCGGGGAACCAGCGTTCAGCATATGGAGGATCCCGCCAGCCTCTGAGTTCCCTTAGTATTTATTCATCATTTGTGGGTGTTTCTCGAAGAGGGGGATGTGTCAGGGTCACAAGACAATTGTGGGGAGAGGGTCAGCAGACAAACACGTGAACAAAGGTCTTTGCATCATAGACAATGTAAAGGATTAAGTGCTGTGCTTTTAGATATGCATACACATAAACATCTCAATGCTTTACAAAGCAGTATTGCTGCCCGCAGGTCCCACCTCCAGCCCTAAGGCGGTTTTTCCCTATCTCAGTGGATGGAGCATACAATCGGGTTTTATACCGAGACATTCCATTGCCCAGGGACAGGCAGGAGACAGATGCCTTCCTCTTGTCTCAACTGCAAGAGGCATTCCTTCCTCTTTTACTAATCCTCCTCAGCACAGACCCTTTACGGGTGTCGGGCTGGGGGACGGTCAGGTCTTTCCCTTCCCACGAGGCCATATTTCAGACTATCACATGGGGAGAAACCTTGGACAATACCTGGCTTTCCTAGGCAGAGGTCCCTGCGGCCTTCCACAGTTTTTGTGTCCCTGGGTACTTGAGATTAGGGAGTGGTGATGACTCTTAACGAGCATGCTGCCTTCAAGCATCTGTTTAACAAAGCACATCTTGCACTGCCCTTAATCCATTTAACTCTGAGTTGACACAGCACATGTTTCAGAGAGCACGGGGTTGGGGGTAAGGTTATAGATTAACAGAATCTCAAGGCAGAAGAATTTTTCTTAGTACATAACAAAATGGAGTCTCCTATGTCTACCTCTTTCTACACAGACACAGTAACAATCTGATCTCTCTTGCTTTTCCCCACAGGTCACAGAATCTCAAGGCAGAAGAATTTTTCTTAGTACATAACAAAATGGAGTCTCCTATGTCTACTTCTTTCTACACAGACACAGTAACAATCTGATCTCTCTTGCTTTTCCCCACATATACAACCAGAAAACATGCATTGAAAATAACAATTGAATGAAATCCCTTTATAAAATGTTTAATTGGCCAACCAGGTGACCAAATGTACCTGAAGCTTTAATGGTTTTTTCCAGGAATATGGGATCAAACATTGGTTATAAACTATGTTAGTAATTTGTAAGTCACCACACCAATGTATTCAATTTGGATTATTTTATCTTTTCCATGATGAGTCATGGGATGCAGAACTTTTAAGAATTAAAGCTCTAAGGACTCAGGAAGGACAAGGAGGCCATCCTGGTTCTCCATGAGTCCATGCTTAATTAACATTAGACTTATATCCTCTTGGATACACCTAATTTGTTTTTCCAAATTAGGTGCATAGCACTGACAAGGAAATTTGGTTATTGCTGTGGTTTACAATAACTTAACATAATAACCATAATTATAATACATAGCATATACTTAGACATTAGAATTTTAGAAATCCCATGTAATTTTGGAACATATATTAGTATTATTCACAAAAAAAAAACATAACCTAAAGAAGACTGAACATCATTTTGGCAATCCCATGTACCTAAAAATGTCAAATAACCTTGTTTACTTCCTTTTTGTATGTTTTCAGGGGCCCTCTGATCCATCCACAAAGCCAGGCATTAGGAAAGACAATTTTTTTTTATTTTAAGACAGAGTTTTGCTCTTGTCGCCCAGGCTGGAGTGCAATGGCACGATCTCAGCTTACTGCAACCTCCACCTCCCGGGTTCAAACAATTCTCCTGCCTCAGCTTCCCAAGTAGCTGGGATTGCAGGCGCCTGCCACTACTCCCGGCTAATTTTTTGAATTTTTAGTAGAGATGGGGTTTCACCATGTTGGCCAGGCTGGTCGTGAACTGCTGACTTCAGGTGATTTTCAGGTGACCCACCTGTCTCAGCCTCCCAAAGTGCTGGGATTACGGGTGTGAGCCACCATGTCTGGCCAGGAAAGACAATTTTAAAACTGAAGTTTGATTTTGGAATTCCAGATTACCATAAATTATTTATTTTGCCAAAATAATGACTAAGAAATTTTAAAGAAGTGAAAACCTTTTATAACGTTTTACAAAAAAACTCTACGTTCTACTCTTCTTACACACCTTGCATGTAAAACTGTTTCTAGTAGTCTAAATTGCATGTTATAATGGTAAATTCTAACATAAAACCTGGTAAGTTATGTTCTGAGAGGTTTGACTATTTCCAGCATAGCTGGGGGTGTTGCCAGCTCCACGTGTCCCCAGGCCTTACCTAGATGGAAAGCAGGCAAGTTAAACAATTTTCAAAAGCCAAAGAAGCAGCTTATGTCCTTAAAGCATTTAGCAAACCTAATATTTGAACATAATTTAGACCACATGTTTACATTTTGAAGACATTTGTATTTTACCAGTAATCTTTAAAACTGTCTTCATTTCCCAAAGATTACTCAAGTCACATGAACTAAATAAAAGTCATTATGTTTTTCACTTTTCTGACAAAATATTTGATTTTTGTTTTTCTTATTATTAAACCAATTAGTTTAAAACTTTACAGAGGTAATAAACAGTGACTTTTACTTTATATTTAACCAGTTTGCACAGAAAGAGGCCAGAGACTGACTGATAAGAAATTCTTACCCTTTTGCCAGCATGCTAGGTTTCTGGGTTCTCCCTCTCCGCGGGGCCCTAGTGACCCTGCTTGATTGTATGCAAACAAACACATTGCCATGAATTAAGAATATTTAGGAAGGGTTTACAAGTTTTGGAGAAATTAGGCAGAGAGAGAAATATGACTCAAATTCTATTTATGAGAGTATACTTAATAGGCTTAAAGTATCAAGAAGCCTAAAACCCAAAAAGTTAGTTAAAGGTTAAAAGGCTGGTACAGGCCAGGCGCAGTGGCTCACGCCTATAATCCCAGCAATTTGGGAAGCCGAGGTGGGTGGATCACTTGAGGTGAGGAGTTTGAGGCCAGCCTGACCAACGTGGTGAAACCCCATCTCTACTAAAAATACAAAAGTTAGCCGGGTTTGATGGTGGGTGCCTGTAATCCCAGCTTCTCAGGAGGCTGAGGCAGGAGAATTGCTTGAACCCTGAGATGGAGTTTGCAGTGAGCTGAGATCACACCACTGCAGTCCAGCCTGGGGGACAGAGTGAGACTTTGTCTCAACAACAACAACAAAAAGGCTGGTGTGCTCTATCAATTTCTGCAGGCCTGAAAAAGGTAGCCTAGGAATTCCAGATAAAAGGAATGAATGATGACTTGCTAGAAATGCATAGGAAACAAAATAAGTATTCACAGAACCAAATAAAAGTCTTCCACTAGGACCTAAAAAACATCATGGTTATACGTAAATGCATATACAACCAAAGCCAGAGGAGAATAAAAAGCAAATGAGTGAAAACTAGAAGTAAAAACAAACAAGAAACCAACCCTAAATTTTCCTACTTAATTTTACCTGGAGGCTACAGTGTTACCTAGGGCCCCAGAAAACCCACATAATGAATATTTTATTCCTGACACATAATTTAATATCTTTAAGTTCACCAATATTATTATATGTTCTGTGCAATCAAGAAATCCACTTTAGGCACATGAACAATAAGTACTCCAGTGCCAGCATTATCCATGCAAAACAGTAAACATAGTGTGAAGCAATGCAAGCATGTATGTGAAATTTGGCTTCACACTAAATCCTGCTTCATGCTTAACTATATTAAAAAAAAAAAAAAGAATTGCCAAACTGCTGATGCATTTATTTACAAAGCTTCTAACTTTACTTTAATCAAGACTAAGAGCTTTATGAAAATGTAAATTAGCCAAATGTCTCCAATTCTCTATCAGGTTTTAAAGAATATTATTTAAACTTTTCCACATTTTTCTCTCTTACTTAATGATTCCTTACTACATTGTTTCATAAATAACCTTTTCATAAATAACTTTTAAATAACTTCTGAATTAGACAAAATTTTTTTTTCCACTAATAACAATCCTTTCTGGCACATTTTGTATACAGAATTATGTGTTAACTAGAATTTTATCCTCAGCAACCTAAAACTTTAGTGTAACCCTAAAAAGCAAGAAATCCTGAACTGTTAGATATGGGCATTTATGGATAAGAACAACTCCACAATTTTAGAAACATAGTTCCCCGTATCATAACCCCTTCTTAATTGGAAATGACCTACATATTAAATGAGCATCAAAAATAACTTAAAAGATTTTAACTTACACAAAAGTTTACGTAAAACATTTATCCAATTCACTGTACCCAATTTTTTACTTTTAACAAGGGAGACCTGAGACGTCAATCAACACATGTAAAATGAACATTGGTTTGATCCGGAAAGGTGGGACAACTCGAAGCGGGGAGGGGGTTTGGGAGCTTTCAGATCACAGGTAGGTGGGAGACAAATGGTTGCATTCTTTTGAGTTTCTGATTAGCCTTTCCAAAGGAAGCAATCAGATATGCATTTATCTCAGTGAGACTTTAAATAGAATGGGAGGCAGGCTCACCCCAAGCAGCTCCCAGCTTGAATTAACACTGACATTTTAAAATATCTAGCAAAGACAAACATAAAATTTAGACAAAATGTATGCTGGCAATTCTGAAGGGATTTCTATTTTTATTCCACCAATAATTTTAAAGCTAGCTTGTTTAGTAAAGTTATACTTTAAGTCACGTGAGCTTGAAAATTGCTTAGAATTATTTACTTATGAGCACTCTTTTATTTATAAGCCAATTTTGGTAGACACAACATATAACAATAAGGTACATACAAATAAACACATCTAGACATATATACACACATATAAACAAAGATCCAATAGCTTGGAACCTTAGCCATGAGATAGCAATACAGGCTTGCTGGTTTTACTTTGCCCCAATAGATAACCCAGTGAAGGCTGTGAACCAAAATTTTGGGCAAAGCAGTCGCCACGGCCGTTTGATTTTTAAAGGCCAAGCCTCCCCAGACTCCAAAGAGCACTGGGACCAAACAGCACCAAAGGACATCATCACACATTAACCAGGCCCCCTTCTAGAACCACAGTACAAAAGCCTGGATACATGCAACACATTCCACTTTGCCATTAGACAGTAAACTATGGGGCGGAAAGGAAAAAGTTCGACAAAACGCACAAACAAAGCAAGCAAGGAAGGAAGGGATTTATTGAAAATGAAAGTACACTCCACAGTGTGGGAGCGGGCCCAAGCATAGGGGCTTAAGGGCTCCATTACTGATTTTTTGGGAGTTTAAATACCCTCCAGAGGATTCTATTGGTTACCTGGGGTACACCCTATGTAAATGAGGAGGATGAAGTAAAGTTACAAAGTCATTTACTTGGCCTACATCCTGTAGAGAGGATATTTCCTATCATAGCTGAAGTGTGAATCAGCCTTATGTTCCCTGCATCTAGACCCTATTTTCCTGCCTCACTATGATTGTAAGTTTCCTGAGGCCTCCCAGCCATGCTTCCTGTATAGCCTGCAGAACTATGAGTCATATAAAGCACTCGAGCAGTTCTTTTAAGGGAGGAGACCACCCCTCGTATTGTCTTATTCCCAATTTCTGCCTCAGAGAAAAAGTAGGAGTTAAAGAAAAGACAGAAATGAAATCAGCAGTCAAACAGCCCCATGCTGCATTCCAGGCCTCGTAGTTAAAGATCGACCCCTGACCTAACCGGTTATGTTATCTATAGATTCCAGACATTGTATGGAAAAGCACTGTGAAAATCCTTGTCCTGTTCTGTTCCATTCTGATTACAGGTGCATGCAGCCCCCAGTCATGTACCCACTGCTTGCTCAATGGATCACGACCCTCTCGTGCAGACTGCCTTAGAGCTGTAAGCCCTTAAAAGGGACAGGAATTGCTCACCCAGGGAGCTCAGTTTTTGGAGACATGAGTCCGCTGATGCTCCCAGCTGAATAAAGCCCTTTCCTTCCACAACTCGGTGTCTGAGGGGTTCTTGTCTGCGGCTCGTACTGCTACACTTTATAACAGTGTGAGAATGGACTAATATACTGTGTCTAAACAGAGTTCTTCTAAATTTGATTTAAATTTGACTGAAACCTCTTTCCTCCTTTTTAACAAAATCAGAAACTGGAGGGAAAAAAATGTGATTCTTTGCATTCTCATGAAAGGCTGAGCCTCAACTTTTATTTTTTTCTACTTTTACCAAACCCATCTCCTGACACACTACATTATCCATTTAAGAATACTCAACATAAACATGTTTCCATCTGAGTGATACTTAACTAGTAGATAATTAAGTTAATGAGATGAGTCAAGCAAAAGAAGAGCTTCTGCATAAAACAAATAAAATAAGCAATAATTGCCCAACTCCTCAACTGTGTTAATAACAACAAACTCAGATAAAGGAGATAAGCTGTTCTTGGAGCCAGCTCTGACTAGGTAAAGTAAGTACGCTTTAGTTGATAGCCTCTCCAAAGTGCTGTGCTTATTTAAACATATTATTTATAAAAGACAAATGCTGAAATACACTTTAATTGAGTGTCCATTTTGAGGTTGGCCAAGACATTTTTCATTCTTGCCTTTCCTTCAATATAAAGCTACTTTCCTTCCCCTACACTTTGCCTTCTCTCTATTGGGCCACCTTGCCACATGGAGCCCCTACTGCCATCTCACAGTGGTTATTCAGATAGAAGAAAACCTGGCCCATCACTCAAACTGTACAGGTGAGGAAGACATTTAGAATCAATCTCATATAGATGATTCAAAACTTCAGAATAAAACCCAGGAGGTAACTGCCTGTTCTTCTCTCTACCCTTTGTTTTTCATGGAGGAGATCCCATATCTTTCCCTGACATTCTAGTCTCTGACAATTTCCATAGGCAAGACATGCTTTATATCTATCCTAACTTTCTCCTCTTGTTATGCATGAATATGCCTTCTTGATGTACCCTTAGTGGATATAGATACTATTCATTTTTTGATAATTTGTTGTAGTATACTGCAGCAGGCTATGTACTAGCCATCCGAAAAAATGACCCTCAAAATTACATGTCAATTACTCTTACCGTATAACCTAGCACTATGTTCTTCAGTAAGGGAATGAATAAATAAACTGTGGTACATTCAGACAATGGAATATTACTCAGCACTAAAAAGAAATGAGTTATCAACTCATGAAAAGACATGAAGGAAACTTAAACGCATGTCACTAAGTGAAAGAAGCCAATCTGAAAAGGCTATGGTATGCTTCCCACAAAACTGTGAAGACAGAAAAAAGATCAGTAGTTGCCAGATGCTGAGGGAAGGGATAGAGGAACAGGCAGAGCACAGAGGATTTTTAGGGCAGTGGAAATGATATTACAGTGATAGATACATGATATTATACATTTGTGCAAACCCAAGAGTGAACCCTAACCTAGACTGTGAAGTTTGGGTTATGATGATCTGTCAGTGTAGGTTCACTGATGGTAACAAATGTGCCAGTCTGGTGTGGGATGTTGATAATGGACAGGCTATGCACGTTTAAGGGTAGGGGGTATATGGGAAATCTCTGTATCTTTGTAAAGCAAAAATAAAATTCTAAGCCCTGCAACAAATTGAATGGATCTCTCCTCTCAGTCAAGGACATTCGAAAGTAAACCTGAAACTCTAGTTCAGGCCACAATGGGTATAGGTGGTCACACATGCTTCATTATATCTTCCTTTCTTTGGAATTCAGGCACAGCTGACCAGCATTAACATTGCAACAGAGACCTGAAGACTGACATAACAGGCTATTTGTAACAATAAAATACCAGTATGACAGACAGCAGGCCCTGAAAGAAATCAAAGTATTTTACCACAAAATGTATTTCTTTGACATATTTTGAAATGGTCCTGCAAAGCTGTCTGTTGTGGAAAAAAATCTATATTCTGTAGAGAATCCCCTTCCCTCTCCAGGTCTTTTTTCTGTCCAGGAGAGAACTAAAAATCTAGTACCTTATTAAGTCTGATAAGAAATATTTACAATTTATTCTCTCTGAAGCCTGCTACCTGGAGGCTTCATCTGCATAATAAAAACCTTAGTCTCCACAACCCCTTATTTAACCCAGGCACTCCCTTCTAATGATTCCAGGTCTTAGATAAACTCAATCAATTGTTAATCAGAAAAAGTTTGAATCCACCTATGACCTGAAAGTCCCAACTTTGATATGTCTCACCTTTCCGGACAGACTAGCTTTTCAAGGAAAACACAAGCATCTACTGTCTATTTTAGTATGCTCTTTAGGTCATCATCTGCTCCAATTTCCTGGTACCTCATTTCTATACCTATCACTTGCCAATTTTGTTATTTTCTTTTTTTCAGCACATTGGATCAAATAATATCAGAAGCTCTCCCATCTGTGATCTGTCTATAGCCTTACCATTAGAAGCCTCACCAGAGCCAGGCAGCTGCAGAAGCCTCTTTTAAAAATGGTTTAGAATGATGACTGGACTTGGCAGCAACTTGCTTTGGAAGCACCAAACAAAAAGTGTTATCTGGTGTTTGATTTGATTAACTGCAATCTAGACATCCATTTTGTGGACCGTATTCACATAAGCAAGCAGCTGCAATCCAGGCCTCTGTTTGGGGTTGCTGAGCTGAGCCAAGACATTCACTCTTCAACAACAAAGGCATGTTGGGAGCAGCCAGGAGCAGTTCTGGCGCTTGGGAGTGAAGGAATGTTCTGCCTAATGAGTGCCAGATGAAATAAAATCTTTGATATATTATTGTTTAGTGTTCCCAAAGGGATGAACCATTACCCAAGTCACCGTCCTCTGTTGCCTAAGTTACTACACTATCCCCTAACCAGTTTTCCTGCTTTTTTTGTATCAATTTTCGATAGGGTGTTTTTTTTTAAAAAGAGACCTACTAATGCCATCTAGCTGCTTAAAGTTTTCTAATGGCTTCCCATCATGCCTAGAATAAAATCCAAATTTCTTATCCTGATTTTCAAGGACTTGTCTGATCTGGCCCCTGCCAATCTGCCTAAATTCATTCTTTACAACTCTTCTTTATCCATCATGTACCAGGTACACTGCTCTTTTTGACTCTCACACATGCCAAGTTCATTCCTGGCTTAGGAACCTTTATGCTTGCTGTCCTCTCTGCCTGAAAGCCCTAAGGGATTTTATCAATTAAACTTTCTTAATGTAACTGAAAATTAACTGGTTCAAGTAAACAGAATTAGAGCAAGCCTATGTTTACTTAAGTTACCTTTCTTACAGATATAAGCACAACCAGGGAGCTTCTTGTCTCACATACCATTCTTGGGATGTATTAATAATATACTAATAGTTGTCATATTATTTATATTAAAATCATGCCACTCATTTCTCTAAGAAGTATAGTAGCTATACCCCATAGGGCTAATTTGTAGCTAAAGACATTCGTATGATAAATTCAATCTACCTCTCTGCATCTTATAACAGTGATTATTTAAGGCCAAATCAACTTGATCCTGGGTATTAGGGTAAACGCTAAGCTTCTTTAAGAAAGATCCCCAAATACACAATGGAAATGAGACAAATGTTTATTTCACTTTTATGTAATAGGGCAAGGTAGCATAGTGGGCCAAGTCTACTCTCCAAGGACATCCAGCAACTCAGATTCCCTCCACAATGCTGCTCTATTAACCCCTGGGACTCAGTCCTCCTCTGAATAGTCAAATTAGCTTGAAGCTTTTCCTAAGGTCTAGTCCACAGGAAGACAAGAGAAAGTAACTTCCTTTGAAGCAAGTGAGGTAGAAGTTGCACTCATTGCTTCTGATCACTTTCCATGGTGATATTTAGCTCTATGGTCACATTTTGTGCAAAGAGAATGGGAAATATGGTCTCTAGCTGGATATCCATGTCTGATTAAGAATGGAAGGGCAGATTTGGGGGGCCCACTAGCAGTCTGCCACACTCACATAATGCATGCTATACTTGATGAGTAAATGATTAATTGGCACATGAGATAACAGTCCTTTCTCCCACCCAATACTGATCTCATTGAGAAACAAAAGAATAACAGACAGAAACTAACGTAACATTTTTATTAATAATAGAGGCCAGATTGGAGAATATAGCTTTATGTCTGTTAGCCACAGGAATTTGATAATGTCAAATCTCAGAATACAGCAGATTTAACCAAGTTCAAGGCAGCATTGGACCCAAACGAGTCTTCTTATATGGGAGAAAGAGCTTGTCCTTGGAGGAGAAGGAGAACATATGCTCTCCACAAGAAATGATGCTCCTGAAAGGAACGATGGCTGAAGCTCAGCCAAGGATACTTTTACTCTAATCAAATTTACTACATATATCATTGGTTCCACCTCGCTTGAGATGGTGTGGGTGAAGGAGTAGAGACAGTGCAGCATGTTCTTAGGCATACTCCTAAGAGTAAGAATGAAGAAATCAAATATGTGACTGAAATCAAGCCAAATTGGCTATCAATGCATTTCTAAAATCCCCAGTTCTTCACCTTTCAGTTTCTTTTGGTCTCAGGCTAATCTCTTCACCAACCCTTCCTGCTGTAGCTCCGTTCCTTCTAATGTATCTCTGCTCTTGCTAATTTCTGCTGCATACAGTTTGCCCTCTCTTTAAGATTTTTTTCTCCACTAATTTATTTTCACTGGGAATATTTTACACAACACTGTCTTCAGAGTTCTGGTAGAATTACCTTTAAGTTCAGTCTTAGACTTCTTCAGAGGAGGGAGAGGATGTTTGCCCAAACTGTGATTAGTGTTTTTGAGTGGTTAATCCTAATGTATACTTACTGAAACAAATTAGGCAATAGCACCTCTGTTTATTGCATCCTCCACATGACACTACTTGGAGTAGCCTTTGCACAGATCCTTGTTCAGTGGAAATACTAATTTAAATGGTGGAGTGATTCCTTTGAAGTATCCAGAGCTTTACCTGATTTTATATCAAAAGCTATCACTATGATCACCCATATAAACAAAGGTATCAAAATGGTATTTAGTGCTATAGTACCCTCCAGCAACACTGTTGTAACTCTTCCAGAACCAAATATATTCACAGAACCCCAAACTCAGAAAAAGTTGGGGGCAACTTCAAAGGAGCTATCATTTTACTATATTCTGAAGCAAGGAATTGAATGTCAAATTCATTCCTTCCCACTCTGCTGAATTTGCTCTGATATATCAATTATGAAATAAGCTGGTCCCATATTAACTGTGGGAAAAAGTTGCACACTGACTTGAAATAATATGTGACTAAAATAGTATTCATTTATTATATAGGGAACTATAAAATAATATTGAATATTATTGCTATGAAATGCTTATTTTAAGTGCAACTAATGCCAGTTTTAAAAAAATAGCTGTAAAATGGCATTTTAACATCCAACACATGAAATCCTGAAAAAGAGTTTTTGGACTCTTTTCTTAGCATGTTTTGCCACAAAATAGCATTTCCAGTATTATAGTACATATTAAACTATATTAGCATCCTCTGATTACTTGTCTGTCTTCTCTAATTGGCTGTATATCCCTTGAAGGCAAATAGTCATCTCTGTACCTCCAGAGTAGTATAGTCTGAGCTCCATGAATAAATAATTAATGAAAGCTCCTGGAGCTTCCAGGGTCAAGGTTAATAGTACTATACTTAATCGTCTAATTAGTATTACTACTTCAAAAGCCTCAGAAAATTGTGTCACATGCTGAATCTTACAGCCTAAGTGGTTAACATGGTGTAACAAGAGTACTTTACTCACGTCTCAGATTTCACTTTCTGTTCCTCTGCTTTTGTGTGAAATGTACTGTTTTTTTTGTTTATATTTTCCCTTTTCCCCTCTTCTACTTGTCATTCCTCCTCTGCATAGCTGTTCCTATTATGGAAATAAATTATGTTTAAATGTTTATGAATTGAGCAAAGTTGAACTTTCCTGGATTAAATAGCAATACGGTATTTAAATTACCATTTTTTTTTCTCAGAACGAACATCTTTCTGGATTCCTTTTAATACTGAGGGCCTTATAATTTGACAATGTAAATTAAAAGGCATCTAACATAAAAATGATACATAAATTTGTTTTTTTAAAAAAAAGCACACGCATCATATGTAAGAATTTATCACTATCTTCTGCTGTCTCAAATTTCCACTTTAAAGAAATATAAAAATTTGTGTAAGACTAGCAAGCAGCAACTGCTTTTATAATTGACTTTTCCAGTCCTATTCATCTTTTTTGATTAAACATAAGGTATAATCTGTTGAAAATTCAGTAATTCAAAAAATGAAGAATCATTTTTGATATCTATGTCTAGATTAAATACTGAAAAGAACTTTTTGTAAGGTACTTTACATAAGTGGAACTGTGGGGATTATCTAGAATAGAAATACCATTGTGCACCAAGGGTTATTTGTGACCATGTGTAAATACAAAAATAAATTTGGCCTATAGTTTAAAATTTTACTTATATGTAACTTTATTGATAAATTTTCATGCAGTAAAAACTGTATTATACTGTCCAGAATTATATAGATGTATTATATATTGCAGATAGAGATGTATGCACCATTTTATAATATCAAAAAGTTAGAGGTATGTACTTTGGAGTTGAGTTTCAGATATCTTCTAAAATTAATTTCTGAAATAGTAATGTAACAATTTATTTTTCCTTCTCTTTCTAATGAAATATAAGAATTACTGAAGCATAAACATAACTGATCATGAATAGCTGCAGCAACTACAATAGTTAGCATACACATTAGACCTCTAATGGTCTTTGAATGAAAACCTGGAGGTAATCAAATGAGCAAAGTGACAAAAAGAGATTACTGATTTGTCTGCAAAAAGGGATTGCTGAGTGTTTCATTCATTTATCCAGTGAATGGCTATTGAATATCTAATATATGTTAGGCCAGGTGTTGGGCCCAAGGAATCCAGCAGTAAACAAGACACAGTCTTCTGTACTCTCGTGGTTTACAGTCTAGCTGAAACAAAAATTTTCATAATGAAATTACAAGTGAGCATACAAAAAAAGGATGGTTCATTGGGCTACAGACTCATAAAACCTAGTCTGAGAGGCTAACAAATTAAAATGTGTGTGTGTGTGTAATTATGAGTTTAATTTTCCTAACATAATCAGTTATTTAAATGATAATACTTCCAGAGTTAATCTTGGTTAAAGACTCTGTGCTTTAGGAGACATGATGAAGCCCTCCCCTAAATACCTTCCCCAATAGTGTTCTGAATAAAGGTTACAGTCAAGTGTATGATTAAATGCCATTCAACAGGAAAAACAAAATCTATTGAGTGCCTAATAAGTGCTGGAGAACAAGACAGACATGTTTTGGCCCTCGGGTAGCTTCCAGTCTAGGAAAATGATGGCTGTTGAAGAATAATACAACATGATGAGTATCTCAGTGGGAGAAGGCCAGAGAGCCAAAGGAAGATACAATTTGGAAGCTGAGCCAGTCAGCTGTTGGCTGAAGGTTTCCAAGAGATTCGCAGACAAGTAAACAGCTCTACCTTTGGCACCTTTAGCATTCTGTGGGATTTGCTGTTCTTTGTCTCTTATAGAGTGTGTCTTTTCACATAGTTTTCATATTAAAATGCTCCCTTTTCCCCCAACACACACACTCACACATGCACACCAATGGCTCATGACTGGGTAACACAGGTAAGATCAGTTTTACGTTATGAAGGAGAACTGATCTTTTACCCTTGGCACTTTTCTTTCTTAAACTTGACTTTCCCCCTTCTTACTGCTGAAGTTACAAGACTCTGAAAGCAACAATTAGGGCGTAGGCCTAGGGCAGTGGAATCAAAGGAGCCTCTTTGCTTTCTTTTCATCTAGGCTTTAGGCCAGCGGCACAAAAGGAGACTTTGCGGAATGCCATGACTCAGCCTCACTCACTAGGGCTCTGGTTTAGTGCCAGAGACTCATCGTAAAGAATGCGTGTGTGCTCAGACTTTTTCATGGGTCCCTAAGCAATCAAAAGATGGCTGATTTATTTTTTAGAGACTTGAGAGTTCCAACAAAGCTTCTTTTTAACAGAGATTTATCTAACAGAAAACAAGATTACAATATGTTGTTTTCTTTAGGAAGGATACTCAAAATTTGCAATATTTTTGTTGTTTTTAAAGTATAGAACTCTAGTTGACATTCACACCGTTTCCACCAGTTTAGGGAGTAGGGTTGCTTGCTTTGATAAGATCACATGATATTGATTGAGCTGATTTTTCTAGGGTCAGGTTTTCCCCTGTTGTCAAGAGAGAGGTCACCACAGGCCTCCCTTCCCTCTTGCTTCCAATCAGATGGCTGGCAGAACAGGGTTGGAAGAGAATTTGGGGATAGAGGGGTTGTCCTCTCTTCCTTCTTCTCTCTAAGTTCGGAGCACAGCCTACACCACATCTGCAGTACACAGGGAGCTAACAGGGTCATCTTGTTTGTCTTTCTCTCCATTTCCATTAGTGCCCACTGGAGTCTAAGAAAAGGAAAAGAAATGAAGAGAGAGCATCCTAAGAGCCTGCCTTAGCTTGAGGCTATTCAGGCCTAATAAGCTCAGGAAAAAGAAGCCTTTCATGTACTCAGCCAAGCTTACTAGAGCTTTGTAGTGGCTTGAAGCTAAATTCCTAACTAATAAAGTTTTTTTTTTTAACTGTTGTTGCTTAGTTACTTTCTCCCTTGAATCATTTGCTTTATGAGAATACACCTCTCAGAGGTATCAGGGGAGGAGACTTAGTTAAGGCGAGTTTAGAAATACTCTTAGCACTCTGACAAAACACATTAAACAGTAACCCAATCTCCCTCAAATTTCTAAATAATGTACACATGAACTATTGATTTAAAAGTAAAAAATGCTGTTTTTTTTGTAGAATATATTTTACTGATATTGGTGTCAGTAAAGGCCTTGACATTCACTGTAAACAGCATAATATACAGAGCAATTACATATTTGTAAACCAATCCATGGAGTTCAACAAAATCTTGACAGTGAAGCCAAGACTGCCCACGCTGAATAAAGGATACCCATACTACCACCTACACTGTTCATGAGCTGCTCCACTTGACTTGCTAAATTTAGAATTAGAGAACTATTAAATATTAAGAGAGAGGAGAATGGTTTGAATGCTGGTAATAAAATATATCTACCGTGAGTTACTTTGCAGCTATGTGGTTGAAATTTTACAATGAATAGAACTACTAATCGCTGTAATATACCATGCTAGACTTTCCAAAAGCAAGTGCTAACATAAAAATTTCCCTTTGCACACATTCTTAGAAATGGATATTATCTGTTTTTAGCAAGAGTGTCGTGTAAATTCTGGCATTTATATACTGAGTCTCAAAGATCTCTACCTACATGGTTTTCATATAAGTAGAGATCTATATGGTTTGCTGCTCTTACCCACCCTGTGAGGTGAGTGGGTCAGTCACAGCTGTTGAAAAAATAGCTTTGTAGAGTTCCCCTTCTCAGCTGGCTGCTCTTCTTATTCATCGGGGTGTCACATATATAGTCTGAAAAGGCATGTTAAATATTATAGTAATTTGAAAATGAAGCCAAAAATGTTGGTTTTATAATGTAGAACACAAAAACAAAGCTGGAACTAGGTGGATGTTGAGGCTAAGATTCTCAATGATAATGGGGTGGGGGAAAAGGTGTTCTGTTTATTCAAAAAAGGCATGGGCTTTAGAAAACTGATAGATAATCTTTTTCCTAGATGATCTCACACACTGCCTTGGTTTTACCAACTACTAAAATACTGGTATCTTCTATATTTGCATCTTTAGGCTGGACTTCTCTTTCATCTCCTGACTGGTATATTCATTTACTTACTTAAAAACTCCTTGGAAAAAAAAAAAGTCAGCTTGATTCATACTGTCTCAAGGCATGAATGAATGGTCTTGCAGAAGAGGTTCTTCTACAGCATCTGCAGATAAATAGGTTAAGGAAGGCAAGTTATGGAGGCAGCAAACATAGATGGCCTTCATCAAATCTGTTGTGTTCAAACTGCTTTAGTTGATTCTTTATAACATGATTTTTCTATTTCTGAAAAGTAATACAAATTTTTAAAATTCTAAATTATTTTTGATCTTTAACAGCCCCTCAAAGTGAGATAAGCAAACCATTAGGCTAAAACCAGATTTAAATTAAGCACAAGTTACTAGTGGGTTGATTCATGACAGGCATTAGCCCTCTCACAGATAAAATGTCTACATAGTCATTACCAAAACATAATATGAGGTTATCTGTTGTTATGCTAATAGGTAAATGCTTAAACAACAATTGCAAATCAAGTTTACAAAAGCAAATGTGATACCTACTAATTTACAACTGAAATAGTGATTATCCCCTTATTTTCAGAAATTGATGTTTCAAAACATTGAATCAGCAGAAAAGTTGGACCTTGAAACAGGAACTGCTACTTAAAATAATTAAGACAAGGAATCACACAGACCTTTATATAAGGCTTTAGTGATTATTAAAAACTCCTATACTAGCCAGAAATGTATGAATGCATGACTCCCACTGGCTTTAATAGACATTTTGTGTAAACTCAGCTGTAATATTTACAACTGGGAGGTATGTTTTTCAAGGTTTTTCTGCGGATATTTGCACAATGAAGCTTCTCTTTAGTATTTGTCTATTCTTGCTCTTATTTCTCATTGATTTAACTATGTATCATATAATAGAAAACATTTCACCAGGGGGAACATTTTTATATTTGTCTTAAAATATGAGTAGTTCCATAAGTGAATGTTGTAAGTCTTAAAAACCTAGTGCAACTTTATTCTAAGTCCTATTTGACATTTTTCTTTGTGTTTTGAAGTTGAAACTGAACACCTGGAAAGCAATATTACTGGTTTAATATGTCTCCACTTATATATTTTATTTGAAAATGCCCATAAGAAACCTTACTGAAAATATAGGAAAGAAGATTCACTTCGAGAAGCAAAATGGCTTTAACGCAACAAAAATCTTTTTCAGAGTGAAAAAGCAGCAACACCAACACAAAACTGATTTTATTCTTTCTACCACCTGAATCATGCTTAAAATAAAGTGCTTTCTGGCTGCTTGAATAGAACAACAATGGATTTCATGATAACTTTTCCAAAGATTTATCAAACAATATATTACCAAAAACCAATACTGCTGAGATAAGCTATACATAGAATTTAATGGCAAAAAGATAATTCATTAAAATTATATGCATCTACATATGTATACAAATACATTTCAAGCCTCTGTCTAATGAATTGATAACCACCATGTGGCATTCTAAAATCATAGTAGATACCTAGGTACTTAAACAAAAATATAATTTTATCACCTTTTCTTTTTAACTTAAGCTAAAATTGAGTATGTCAGTGATCCCATTTGATTTTTCTCTTCCATTGGACAATAGTTTCTAAATATCATTTTATACTTCTCATTTACAATGAATTTGGATTAAGTAAAATATGTACAATGCTGGCTCCTTGGTGCTTATGTGCCTCATGAATTGGTAAGTCACAAAAAGACTCTTCAACACTACCTTTGCCATACAAAGGTATCCCTACATACGTAGGGATTCCTTAAAAGAGATTAATGGGATTCTCCAGCTTCTCTAACTGATCCTGGGGAAGACAACTGTGAACCCAGCTGTCTTCCCTGGAGGACAGGCATTAGAGACCCCACAGCTATCTCCTTCCACCTATTTACATTTGTAGAATAAAGCTGACACTTTAAATTGCAAATAAACAAACGTAAATATCTATCAGATTTTATTATAGAAAGTTAGAAAGGAGTTTTTGCCCTCCAAGATTAGAGGCTTTTAGCATGCCTCAGCAACTGGGAAATAACAAGATAGTGCCTAAAGATCAATTTTGTGAGCTTTAATTCAGGAAGGAAAATGGGAATCCACTGGAATTGTGAAGGACACCCCAGATCCCAGGGAGGATAATGTGGGCAAACAGCTCCTGTGACAGTATCTGGCTACTAAAAGTGTGTGAAGCCCCAGTATGTGAAAGAGGCAGAAAACCTTCCTCTGTGACTTACCTTTCCACTGGGGATCCAAGCAACCCAGGCCAAGGGAAAGCACTTTGTTTCTCCCAAGCTCTGAATAAACTGGGGAGAGGCTTGGAGACACTGTGAGGGAAAGACACCAGAAAAAGCTGCAGGCATTTTCCCAGACCCGGGACCTAAAGCAGGATGCCATTTTAAATCCAGATGCATACACAGTCAGCCATTCTTTGTCAACCTAGCAGCCTGGCTGTGGAAGCATTTTAGTCTCTGCCAAGAGATTGGAGCACCTGCCCTGGAGTGGGGTAGGGAATTACATAGCCACAATTTGGGAAGTACCTCAGCAGTAGGCACTGGAATTGTGCTCTCTCCTATCACAAGGCTGGGGCAGGAGAGAGCTGCTACAGCTGTAGTTTCTCCTGGGTGGCAAGACTTGCAGCTAGGGCCAGCTTGGTGACCTGGAATCAGTCTGCATGTGTCCTTGCTGGGTGCCCCAGCCTGCTCCCCAGAGATCATGGTGCAGCAAGGTCTTCTCTGTTCCACCCCTAGGCAGAAATCCAGGCACTCGGAGCACCCACCTGCCTGGACCAGCAGCCTGAGCTGCCTGATCCTTCATGGACATGGACATGGTGTAGCATGGGACATAAACATGGTGTAGCAGGTCCCTCTCTGCTCCATACACAGGCAGGTCTCTCCAGGTATTCAGAGCACCCCTCGCCTGGATCAGCAGCCTGAGCTGCCCCACCTTTCCTATATATAGATTGTGGTGTAGTCGGGCCGTCTCCGCTCCATGCCCAGCAGATCTCCAGGCATTCAAAGTATCTCCTCACCTGGATTGACAACCTGAGCCACCCCACCCTTCCTGTGCAAAGATCCGGGTGCAGAGGGACCCTCTCTGCTTCATACCCAGGCAGATCTTCAAGTATTTGGAACAGCTCACCTGATTCAGCAGCCTGAGCTGATCCACCTTTCCTGTGCAGAGATCTGGGTGCAGAGGGGCCCTCTCCACCTCATACCTAGGCAGATCTCCAGGAACCTAGAGTACCCACTATCCTCATTCCCATGCAGAGGACTGGGGCTGAAGAGGTTTCTCAGCTCCACACCTAGGCATACCTTTGGGCACTTGGTGGCCACTCACTAGATGCTCCCTCAGTAGTGGTACTTATGCCTGCCATTGGAGGATCTGCAGGTGGACCTTCCCAGTCCAACTCTACTCATCTTGCCCCTCCACCACCCAGGGCTGAGCAGGGAGCTCAGACCACTGTGCACCCCATAAATCAGTGCATTGTCAGAGGCAACAGATATCTTCTTCCAGTAAACAAGGATCAAGTACATACCCAGCTGCATTGGCCACAGCCAGCTCTTACCTATAAGCAACATCTGGGTAATATCAACTGAACAAGGTGAACTGGTGTTCCAAGTGCCTGCAGATCTGCCTGGCATAAAGCAGAGAGGGTCCCTCTGCATGCAGATCTCCGCACAGGAAGGGTGGAGTGGAACTGCATAACCCAGTAAAAAACCTGCTGACAGAAGTGCATAGGGCTATAAATGCAAGGCCAGGAGGCCCTAGCCAAAATTCTCTGCAGCCACATCCCCTAAGGAAGCAGGGAAATGGAAAGAAGGAAAAAAACAATAACATAAAGAAAGAAGAAGAAAACATCCTAACCACAGGAAAATAATTACAAAAATTGGAAGTGCCAGCATCTCCAGATGACAAAGAACCAGTGCAAGAATTCTAGGGCCTGAAAAATCTCACTATAGTGACACCACCAAAGGATTGCACTAGCTTTCCAGCCATGGTCCTTAACCAAAATGGAAAATCAGAAATGACAGATGAAGAATTCAAAGCATAGATAGCAAGGAAGCTTAATGAGATCCAAGATAAGGTTGAAATCAACACAAAGAAACTTCTAAATAAATCCAGCAAATAAAATAAGAAATAAATATCTTAAAAATAAGTCAATCAGAGCTACCGTAACTAAAAAACTCAATTAAGGAACTTCAAAATACAATTGAAACTTTTATCAATAGACTGAAACAAGTAGAAGAAAGAATTCAGAGCCTGAAGATTAGTCTTTTGAATTAGTCCAGTCAGAAAAAAATGAAGAAAAAAGAACTACAAAAATGAACAGTCTTCAAGAAATATTGGACTATGTACAGCAACAAAGCCTATGGATTATTGGTATTCCTGAGAGAGATGGATAAAAAGAAGACAACCTGGAAAACATATTTGAGGGAATAATTCAAGAGAAATTTCCTCATCTTCCTAAAGACATACACATTCAGATACAAGAAATCCAGAGAACACCTGCAAGATGCTATATAAAACAAATATCACCAAGGCATATAATCACCAGTCTGTCTATGATTAATGCTAAAGGAAAAATTTTAAAGGCAACTAGAGAAAAACGTCAGATTATGTACAAAGGGAACTCCATTGTGCTAATAGGAGACTTCTCAGCAAAAGTCATACAAGCCAGGAGAGACTGGGGACCTATTTTCAGCATTCTTAAAGAAATGATACTTCAATCAAGAATTTCATATCCCATCAAACTAAGCTTCATAAACGAAGGAGAAATAAAATATTTTCCAGACAAGTAAGCACAAAGAGACTAACTTTACAAGAACTCCTTAAGGGAGGAGTGCTAAACATGGAAATGAAAGAATAATATCTGCTCCCTCAAAAAGACACTTAAATACATAGCCCACAGACTCTGTAAAGCAACCACACAATAAAAACTACAAAGCAACCAGCTAATAACTTCATGATAGGATCAAAATTTCACATATCAACATTAACATTGAATGTAAATGGTCTTAACACCCCACTTAAAAGCCACAGACTGGCAGGTTGGATTAAAAAAACAAGACCTAGGCCTGGGGTGATGGTTCATGCCTGTAATCCCAGGACTTTTGGAGGCCGAGGTGGGCAGATCATTTGAGATCAGGAGTTTGAGACCAGCCTGGCCAACATGGTGAAACCCTGTCTCTACCAAAAATATAGAAATTAGCTGGGCGTGGTGGCATGTGCCTGTAGTACCAGCTTCTAGGGTGGCTGAAGCATAAAAATTGCTTGAACCCAGGAGGCGGAGGTTGCAGTGATCACACCACTGGGCAACAGAGCAAGACCCTGTCTCAAACAACAACAACAAAAACAAAAACAAACCGTCTATCTGCCGTCTTCAAGAGACCCATCTCATGCGTAAGGACATCCCATGCTCAAAGTAAAGGGTTGGAGAAAGATCTATCATGCAAATGGAATGCATTAAAGACAGAGGTGACTATTCTTATGTTAGGCAAAACAGACTTTAAACCAACATTAAACCAACAACAGTAAAAGAGGACAAAGAAGGACATTACACAATGATAAAAGTTTCAATTCAACATGCAGACTTAACTATCCTAAATATGTATGCACCCAATGTTGGAGCACCCAGATTCATACAACAAGTACTTCTAGACCTATAAGTAGAAATAGCCACACAATAATAGTAGAGAACTTCAACACTCCACTGACAGTGTTAGACAGATCACCAAGACAAAAAACTAACAAATAAATAGCGGACTTAAATTTCACATTTGACCAGTTGGACCCGATAGACATCTACAGAACAGTCCACTCATCATCCTCAGAATATACATTCTTCTTATCTGCACACAGAACATACTCTAAGACTGGCCACATGCTCAGCCATAAAGCAAGTCTCAGCAAATTCAAAAAAATCAAAATCATACCAATTATACTTTCAGACAAGAATGGAAAATAGAAATCAATACCAAGAAGATCTCTCAAAACCTCACAATTACATGAAAATTAAATCACTTGCTTCTGAATGACTATGGACAAACAATACAATTAAGGCAGAAATCAAAAAGTTATTTGAAATAAATAAAAACAGACACAACATACCAAAATCTCTGAAACAAAGCAAAAGCAGTGTTAAGAGGAAAGTTTATAGTGCTAAATGCCTACCTCAAGAAGTTGAAAGCTCTCAAATTAACAATCTAATATCACACACAGAGGAAGTTAAAAAAGAAGAACAAAGTAACCCCAAAGCTAGGAGAAGGAAAGAAGTAACCAAAATCAGAGCAGAACTGAATGAAATTGAGAACCAAAAATCATATAAGGGCTCAATGAAACCAAAAGCTGTTTCTTTAAAAAGATAAAGAAGATCAATAGACTGCTAACTAGATTAACAAAAAAACAAAACAAAACAAAACAAAAACCCAGAAGATCTAACTAAGCACAGTCAGAAATGATCAAGGTGACATTACAACAAACTTCTTGACATAAAACAGTTCCAGTGAAGGCATTTTAACAAGATAACCCATGAGCAAAACAAAACAAAACAAACAAAAACCTAGAGGGATTTTCTGTCCAATTTTGCAGTTGGAACAAAGCAAAATAAAGTGCTATCTGTTTCTCTGTCAAAAAAAGTTAGAAAGGATAAAAAGTACTAAGCCGATTTTTAAAAATTACTTGTAATAACACTCAAAGGGAAACATATTGGTATATTTCCTTCCAGTGTTTTTATGCATATTTTCAATATACATTTCTTATACACTAAGTCCTCATTTTATGTGTCAAAATAATACTGCCTAGCATAAAAGGGAATATCATACAAGTTCAGTATTTAGTAAAAAATTAGAAGGGAGCCAAAATAAAAGATAATATGAAACAGACTAAAATACTAGCGGGGAGGGGAAGGGACTCAGAAAACAGTGGGAGTAATTAAGAAGGATGACCCTCAAAATGAGAGAACCTAGTGAGGATCTTAAGTTCCAAAATAAAATTGAGATAACTTAGACAATAGATCGCATATTGCTTTACAGTTTAACCTGTAATAAAACCAAGAAGGACACTTTTTAGGTCACTCTGTAGCTTGTTGCACCAATATGAAACTAATATAGGGAAGAATCTTGGGCTATTCATACCCAAGTCTAAATGCAACCCAAGGAATAATGCTCAATACATTCTTTCTGTGTCATCACAGAGCCAATTTGTTATTTGGCTTTTTGACTTTTAACCTGAGGAATGGCTCCAGGACAATTGTGTTTTTGAAATAGGTACTGTATTTATGGGCTGTCAGAATATTTTTTAAAAGGCATATTTTATATACTGGGTATATGAAGAGGAATTATGCACAAATGCCCCCCTAGAAAAAGTCCCTTTATTAAATAGATTTTCCAGCTTATTCTCAATTGAAGATTTTCATTAACATTAGAAGGGAATGTTATTTCATCAACTTATAAGGCAATAAAAATATAAAAACAGGAATACAAAGATATTAATCTTAACTTCACGTGCATTAAATCTGAAAAGGAGTTTGGTCAGATTTTTTTGTGCAAATGAAAAATATTTAACTGTTTTTAAATATTAAACTAGTTTTGTTATGCAAAGCAGTATTTTTCCTGTATTTATTAATACTTATTAACAAACTCAAGCCAATTCCTTTTATTTTATGAACTTTTAGAATACCATTTTTCCAAAGGGCATAGAAGAATAACAAATATCACATTTGGCTGGGCGCAGTGGCTCACACTACACGGTGGCTCACAATGCTGTAATGTCAGCACTTTGGGAGGCCAACATAGGAGAAAAACTTGAAGACAGGAGCTCAAGACCCCGTCTTAAAAAAAAAATTACATTAAAAGTGTTTACATGATTTCTTGGTACTTAACTTTTAATATAATGATATCACTAAAATATAAATGAAATGTTTGCCTCTGTAAGTCATTTTATTTTCATATTAAGACATTATTCCATTTTGATTAATCATTAAGTGGTAATATTTCCTAAGAATTAAGCTTTCAAATTCTTTTTTTCAGCGTATTTCTCAAGTCGTTATCACTATTAGTAAGCATTCAACTAAATTAGAGGATATTTTATTTAAAAAATTTATTTTATAAAGTGAATTGCTTTAGAAGTACAAGTAACCTTTTTTAAAAATCAATATTTTTATCCTATTCACCAGACAGAATTATCATCATGGGACAAATTGCATATCTGATTTTCTTAGACAGGTAAACTTATTTTCCTAACAACTCAGTGAGTGATTTCCTCATTGCCAAGTAGCCTGTAATTCTCACATGAAATTTATTTTTAAAATGAATAAAATAGTATTGTCTATGAACATCTATGTTCTCCAAGGAGACAAGGAACCTCTTGAGGGCTGGGACCCTGTGGTTCATTTTACATGCCCTGCACCTTTCAGCAGTTGAGGCATTTCAGATAATTTTTTAAAAAGTCACGAATGAATGAATGAGCCAGTACATAAAACTAATGTAAACAGTGCTCTGTGCTTCTCTCAGCATTTCATAACAATACAAGAAATTGTTCTTTTTATTTCTCCATGTCCAGTTTCTCTATCCTCATGATCAAATTTTATTAGGTAGCTGTTCTAGTTTCCTGGAGCTGCCATAAGACATCACCACAAACTATGTATGTGGCTTAAAAACAACAGAAACTTATTTTCTCACACTTTGGAGGCCAGAAGTCTAAAATCAAATTGTCAGCTGGGCCATGCTCTCTATAAAAGCTCTAGGGGAGAAGCCTTCCTTGCCTTTTCCAGCTCCTGCGGACAC
Source organism: Homo sapiens (assembly GCF_000001405.40). Classification (NCBI taxonomy): domain Eukaryota; kingdom Metazoa; phylum Chordata; class Mammalia; order Primates; family Hominidae; genus Homo; species Homo sapiens. The sequence goes on along the minus strand of NC_000008.11, from coordinate 90,660,382 downwards.
CAGGTGTCCCTTGGCTTCACATGCCTCACTTCCATCTCTGCCTCTGCCTTCACGTGGTTTTCTTGTCTTCTGGTTTCTTTTCTGTCTCTTATAAAGACACGTGCCATTGGATTTAGGGCTCACCTGGTTAATCCTGGATGATATCATCTGGCGATCCTTACCTTCATTGTATCTGTAAAGACTATATTTTCAAATAAACTCACGTTCACAGGTTCTGAGTAGGCATATTATTTGGGGTCCATTATCCAATCCACCACAGTAGCTAATTGTACAGATATTTTTCTATTGAATATTTTTTAAAAATACCTTTTAAGTGGGTATACATATTTGTGCTAAATGATATGTTAAGCTGATACAAAAAAAAAAAAAAAAAAAAAAGCCCTAAACATATAGTGGCCTAAATAACGTAGGAGTTTATTTCTCATCTCACAGTCTGGCCAGACTAAGTGGTTAGAGTGGCTCTGCTCCATTAGGTCACAAAGGGTCCCTGGTGCCTTGGGTCTCTGCCATGTTGGCATTCAACTCAGATGGGGAATGGAAGTGGGGAACAACTACTCGTTTTAAACAAGTAAGGCTCAGCTGGGCACAGTGGCTCAAGCCTATAATCCCAGCACTTTGGGAGGCCGAGCAGGAGGATCACTTGAGCCTGGGAGTTCAAGACCAGCCTAGGAAACATGGCAAAAACCTGCCTCTACAAAACATACAAAAATTAACTGGGTGTAGTAGCATGCACCTGTAGTCCTAGCTATTTGTGAGGCTGAGGTGGGAGGATTGCTTGAGCCTGGGAGGATGAGGAGGCAATGAGCTGTGATTGTGCCACTGCACTGCACTCCAGTCTGGGCAACAGGGTGAGACTGTGTCTCAAAAAAACCCCAAAAAACAAAGAAATGAAGTTAGAGTTGCACACATCACTCTTATGTTACCATTCCACTGGAGAGAACTTATTCATGTGGCTACTTCTAGCTGTGAGTAAAACTAAACAATTGTATTTCTAGCTGGGTGGCCATGGATCCAGCTTTAACTCTACCACTATGCAAACTGGAGGAACAGATGGAAGAAGAACTAGTGTGTGACGTTAGAAAATCTTAACTCTCCTAATTGTACCTTTTAAAAAATTAAACAGGCCTTTAGCGGAGTCAACACAAGATATGCATGTAGTTAATCATCATCTTCATTCATAGATTGAAAAATGAATATTAACTTTCTTGAATTTTTAAAATTCCTTATTGTGTTCGACATTTATTACCTTTGAGGGAAGAAACTATTTTTCTATAGTTTAGAAGTCATTTTTAGACATGGTTAGCATTAGTCATTGTTATTTTCTTTTTTGAAAATGTATTTTGCAGAGATGGGGTCTCACTATGTTGTCCAGGGTGGTCTCAAACTCCAGGTCTCAAGCAATCCTCCTGCCTTGGCTGCCCAAAGTTCTGGGATTACAGGTGTTAGCCACTGCACCTGGCCATTTTTTTTATTACTATCTTTAAAACTCTCTTATAAAATATACGTCTTACATAACTTATCCTTTGCTTTCCATGAGGAAGTATTTCTTGTGGCTTCTTGCTCTCTGTGGTGGTTAAATTAATTACCTGGTAAGTGGGTGACAGTGATTGGCCTAGGTTAGTCTGTCTGCTCTACACTCAAATCTTCCAGCTACTGGGCTATTCCAAGGTTCCTGCTGGCAGTAGAGAGTTATTATTTGGCTCTCACTCTAAGGTCCATTCTCCATCAACTCTATCAGGAATATTGTTAAAGTTTTGACCTTCAGTTGACTGACCTACATCTCTCTCAACAGTTCAAAACTTAGGTGGTGAGGAGGTCTAATTTATTAACCCCCCTTACCCCAATACTGAGGAAATGCATTATGCAAGTTTTTGTTTCCCATATGATTTGTGAGCACAAAATGGTGAATCAGAGAAGTTCCTGAAAGACTGCAGCCAAAGACTGTGTTTAATATTGCTATAAAGAAAGGGTAAAATTTCTGTCCAAGGGAGGAATTTTTTTTCGATTTATTTATTGTTGTGGGAAGTCAGGGACCCTGAATGGAGGGACTGGCTGGAGCCGAGGCAGAGGAACATAAATTGTGAAGATTTCATTTTAATATGGACATATATTAGTTCCCAAAGTTAATACTTTTATAATTTCTTATGCCTGTCTTTACTGAAATCTCTGAACATAAATTGTGAAGATTTCATTTTAATATGGACATTTATTACTTTCCAAATTATACTCTTATAATTTCTTATGCCTGTCTTACTTTAATCTCTTAATCCTATTATCTTCATAAGCTGAGGATGTATGTCACCTCAGGACCACTATTGTGTTATCTGTACAAATTGATTGTAAAACATGTGTGTTTGAACAAAATGAAATCAGTGCACCTAGAAAAAGAACAAAATAACAGTGATTTTCAGGGAACAAGGGAAGACAAACATAAGGTCTGACTGCCTGCAGTGTGGGGCAGAATAGAGCCATATTTTTCTCCTTGCAGAGAGCCTATAAATGGACGTGCAAGTAGGGAAGATATCGCTGAATTCTTTTCCTAGCAAGGAATATTAATAATTAAGATGGTGGGAAAGGAATGCATTCCTGGGGGGAGGTCTATAAATGGCTGCTCTGGGAGTGTCTGTCATATGTGGTTGAGATAAGGACTGAAATACGCCCTGGTCTCCTGCAGTACCCTCAGGCTTATTAGGGTGGGGAAAACAACCCACCCTGGTGAATTTGAGGTCAGACTGGTTCTCTGCTCTCAAACCCTGTTTTCTGTTAAGATGTTTATCAAGAAATATGTGCACAGCTGAACATAGACCCTTAGTGGGAGTTTTTTATTTCGCCCTTTGCCTTGTGATCTTTGCTTTGCCCTTTGCCTTGTGATCTTTATTGGCCCCAGAAGCATGTGATCTTTGTTCTCCTTTTTGCCTTTTGATGCATGTGATCTTTGTGACCTACTCCCTGTTCGTACACCCCCTCCCCTTTTAAAGTCCTTAATAAAAACCTGCTGGTTTTGTGGCTCAGGTGGGCATCATGGTCCTACCAATATGTGATGTCACCCCTGGAGGCCCAGCTGTAAAATTCCTCCCTTTGTACTCTTTCTCTTTATTTCTCAGCTGGCTGACACTTAGAGAAAATAGAAAGAACCTACGTTGAAATATTGTGGGCGGGTTCTCCCAATAATTTATTATTATTATTTTTAGATGGAGTCTCACGCTGTCACCCAGGCTGGAGTGCAGTGGCGTGATCTTGGCTCACTGCAACCTCCACCTCCTGGGTTCAAGCAATTCTCCCTACTTCAGCCTCCCAAGTAGCTGGATTACAGGGCCCCCCCCAACTACACCTGGCTAATTTTTGTATTTTTAGTAGAGACTGGGTTTTGCCATGTTGGCCAGGCTGGTCTTGAACTCCTGACCTCAAGTGATCCACCCACCTCAGCCTCCCAAAGTGCTGGGATTACAGGCATGACCCACTGCGCCAGTCTTTTATTCAGTTTAAACCCCATATGAAAGTTATCCTTCCAGTCAAAAGGAGCAAAATGTAACTCCTATCTTACTCCCACCCCACTCCATACTTTCCTTCCACCCCCTGTGCAGTCCTAACCAAGGACACACCACAAAGGCTGTAGTCCAATCCAAGAGACACAGAGGGTTCATGGGCTGCAAAAACAGAAAGGCTAATGAGTTATAAATATTTAGTAATGAGGATTAAGGAAAGCAACTACTTTGGATATACTACTGACAGAAATTATATTGATGGGAAAATTCAAAATCTGCAAAAAGATAAATAAGTGTTTGTACAAAGATTTGATTATTTCAACAGCCCCGCAAGAGATAAGAACATCGTATAATTCAAGAAGAGTGTCATCAGGACCAAGCCACCTGAAAAAGAAAAACATTCAAAGGAGGATAGATCAGAATAGAGACTATTCCTTAAATATTCTTGGCTAAGGGCTCCATAGTTGCTAGACAGAGAAGCTGGAAGTTAATTTCAAAACCTCCCTCTAAGTGTTTAATATAATTGGTATCAACTTACTCAATTATATTTATGTTTCCATTTTGTGGCTTCCACCAGTCTCAATTTATCAATTTCTTATAGTTTTCATGAAGTCTTTTATGTACTGGGGGTCAGGGGACAGGGCTCCTACACTTGTTGAAGTATATTCAGGCTGGAAACACCACAATTTTATTTTAACTTTTATTTTAGGTTCAAGGGTACATGTGCAGATTTGTTATATGGTAAACTGTGTGTCATGGGAGTTTGGTGTACAGATTATTTAGTCACCCAGATAATAATCATAGTATCCAATAGGTATTTTTTCTGAACCTCTCCCTCCTCCAACCCTCTACCATCAAGTAGGTACTAGTGTCTGCTTTCCCTTCTTTGTGTCCATGTGTTCTTATTGTTTAGCTCTCACTTATAAGTGAGAACATGAGATATTTTGGTTTTCTGTTCCTGCATTAGTTCCCTCAGGATAATGGCCTCCAGCTCCATCCATGTTCCTGCAAAGAACATCATCTCATTCTTTTTCATGGCTGTATAGTATTTCATGGTGCATATACACCACATTTATCAAGTCTACCATTGATGGGCATTCAGATTTATTTCCTGTCTTTGCTATTTGTGAATAGTGCTGCAATGAATATATGCATGCATGTGTCTTTATGGTAGAACAATTTATATTCCTTTGGATATATACTCAATAATGAGATTGCCAGGTTGAATGGTAATTCTGTTTTGAGTTCTTTGAAGAATTGCAACACTTATTTCTACAATGGCTGAACTAATTTATACTCCTCCCTCTCTTTTCTCCACAACCTTGCCAGTATCTGTTATTTTTTGACTTTTTAATAACAGCCACTCTAATTGATGTGAGATGGTATCCCATTGTGGTTTTGATTAGCATTTCTCTAGTGATTAATAATGTTGAGCATTTATTCATATGCTTTTTGGCCACATGTATGTCTTTTTTTGAGAACTGTTCATGGCCTTTGCCTATTGTTTAATGGTGTTGTTTACTTTTTGCTCAAAAATTTGTTTAAGTTTCATATAGATCCTGGATATTAGACATTTGTCAGATGCATAGTTTGCAAATATTTTCTCCTATTTTGTAGGTTGTCTGTCTACTCTGTTGAGTTTCTTTTGCTGAAACACCACAACAGATTTACAGCCAAGGTTCTGATACTAAGAGTGGGTGCAATGAGTTCTGCAACCACTAGAAGTGGGTTCAGCACCCCTAGAAGATTCCTTAGGAAGTTTTGCTCCTATCTGAGTGGGCTTCGGGTTACACATTTTTGAGATATGACTGCTGAATGACCATGACTGGGCCATCTCTTTATCTAGCTGTAAAGGCCCAGCTCATGATACTGGCAAGAACATGATCTAAAACTTTGTATGGTTTGTTGGTGGAATAAGATTCTTTGAATTCATAAACACTATAGAATTTCATTTATATTGTGGAACATAATTATAACATCCTGGACTCCTTCCCTTTCTCTTATTCCCCATATTCCATCATTGCAAGTAATCTTGTTATGCTTTAGACATTCTCAAGTTTATTTCATCTTTCCATAAATGGGTTGCAGTCTATTTACTCTGTCTCTTGGACATGTGACATAATCTACCAAGTGGTTTCCTTCCCTGGTTCTCCTCATAGCTTTTAGTAAATTTTCTAAATCCAAATATGTTTATTTCTTTCTAAAGCTCTAACAATTCCAGGGACTCCCATTTGATTATAGGAAGAAGTCCAGAAAACCAGAAATGGTTCTTAAAGTATGGTCCCAAGACCAGCTGCACCAGTATCACCCGGGAATTTGTGAGAAATGCAAATTCTTGCTTTCCAAGGCCACACACCAGCAGAATTAAAAACTCTGGGGATGAGGCCCAGTAAACAGTTCTTTGAAAAGCTCTCCTGGGAATTCTGATGCATGCTCAAGTCTGCAAACCACTGTTAGAGGATGGTATATTTGTTGATATTATTTGCCTGGCTTCCCCCAGAGTACATAGAGGTGCATTCTATGCATGTGTCCTCAGAACAGCTTGCCACTTCCCAAGCACATTGTACCTTTTCATACTTCTGTGCTTTGGCACTTTCTGTGCCTGAAAGGCTATTCTACTCTCCCACTGTCTGCTCAAATCCCAGAGACAGCTTAAATCCTTTTGAAATGAGTAAGATGTAAATAACTGTATACTTATCCTTCAACACCCAGCTCAAATATCATTATGGCTGCAAAACTTTCTCTGACTCCCAGGCAGATTTAGTTATTCCTTCTGACAGTGCTGTCACTGTATTTAACACTTTGTGGTGCAGTTGTTTAGGCCGTCTCACACTGAAAGATGGATTCTTGAGGGTACACCTCCAATGTATCCTTTAAAATGCTGGGATCACAGTAGATGCCCAACAAGACATTTTTGAGTAAGATCTTATTTGGTGGCTTAGCAGGCAAGCCCCTCACTTCCTGTGCTTTGTTTTTCACTCCTTTCTTTTAACTGAAGATGAAGTTTCCCCTCTTCTTCCTCTTCAACTGAGAGCACAGGTTTGGGAGAGAAGGTTGTAAAGAGATGAGGTCAGTCACGTTAAGCCTAGAGTTCCACAGAGTATAGATCTTTCCTCCCTAATTCATATCTTATAAATGAAACAAATAATATTGATGCAAATCCAGATTCAAGTTCAAATTCTTAAAATTTTCTCCAATCATAGATTTTATTTAAGTCTTGATTAATGAGAAGAGTTATAAAACCATAGTATTTAATAAATCTTGAAAGACATTATTCTGGGTGACTAAAAAGACATTATTAGTGTGACTAAAAAGTAATGAATTTATTCTGTGAAAGTAATCAATATAAGTTTCTAATCATATTTTCTATACTAGTAAACAAAGGTTCATTGGCAGTAGAATATTCTGAATTTTCCTTTTACTTACATTTTTAAACAAAAATTTAAGGTGGATAGTTTATATTAGTTTTTCTCCTTAGTATGCTATACGGTGTTAATTAGCATAGTGGCTAGACTGAGAAGTACTTTGTGTGTATATCAACTTGTATGGTAACGTAAGTATAATAACAGTAAGATTTGGCATTTTTGTTCACCTTTATAAATGAACAACAGTTTTCTTTTTGGAATCCTGAAATACTATTTCCCATGAAATTGAAATTAATGGAAACTGGAAACACCAAATCTTCTGAGTCTTCTGGACTGGAAGTCACATCTGCAGAGTCAACCTATAATTTTTCATTTTCTGACTGGGAGTGGTAATTAGCTAAACAATTACTTAGCTAATACGAGTTGGTGATTCCCCTTTCTCTGCTAATCCTTATATGTTGCCTCCACCAAGACTCACTTCTTTGGGTCAAATATGTAGTGAGGAGCAGTGTGAGAGGGAGACTGGAGAGACTCCTCAGGGCGGTGCGTACTTGGTGAAGCATGGGCGGGTGTGTAAATATGAGGATGGCAGATCAAGCATGGATGAGATTGCAGCATTTCCCACTACAACTGTAACCTTGCATGGGAGAGTTGTCCAAGATTGGTTATTTTCACCATTAGCTCAGAGTATCAAGGACACCTTCAGTTTCAAGTGTCTAGTTAACACATCCAAGGAACAGAACTAGGAGCACTATTTGGAAACGGCCACCCCATCTGGAGTCATTGTGCTTTCCCTTGCCATCCTAAACCTTTCAACACCACTCTGATGCACGCACCACACAGGCTTTGTAATGGAGTTATTGTTCTTTTCTTCACAATTGGATTGTACTCCCTGAAGGTAGGAAATGCCTTTAATTCATCTTTATATTCTCAGAAGAGTCTAGCAAAGTATATACCCTCAATATACTCTTCCTGAACAAATAAGCTGAATACTCCTCATTCAGGAAGAATTAGTTGTTAACAGTAAAGAGCAATTTCATACAGGGTCCAAATGTACTTATTTAAATTACAGATCTTAAGCAAGTCTGAAAAAAAGGCACTTGTCTTCTGTAAAATGCACCAAAAAGGATCTACAAACTATTTGCCTTGCTAGCTGAAGAGCCTATTGAAGAACAGCCTTGTTCTCCTGAGGCCACCATTTGATGCAATGCACTTATAATTTCATTTCCTTTTGCTGCAGGAGTTATTCACTGAGGGATGCCTGGCTTATGTGTTTATGTGGTTCAGAATTTCATGAAGAATTCAAAGCTTCTGGTTAGCCACAGTGGCTCACACCTGTAAACTCAGCACTTTGGGAGGTCAAGGCAGGTGTATCACTTGAGCCCAGGAGTTCTAAAGAAGCCTGGGCAACATGGCAAAACACCATCTGTATAAAAAATACAAAAATTAGCCAGGTGGGGTGGCATATGCCTGTAGTCCCAGCCACTCAGGAGGCTGAGGTGGGAGGATAACTTAAGCCAGGAGGTGGAGGCTGCAGTGAGCCATGCACACTCCACTGCATTCCAGCCAGGGTGACAGAGCAAGACCCTGTCTCAAAAATAAAAAATAAAATAAAATAAATAATTCAAGCCTTCTGGAGCCCTGTTATAAAATAAACCAAATTCTAATTTTGAGCCCAGAACTCTAAAATCTCCCTTAATTAAAGATTTTAATGGGAGTCAGAGAAAGGCAAAAACACAGCAGGCCACCGAACCCAGAAGAAAAGGGGACTCCAATTGCATTTGATAAACCATTTGTATGAATAACAATAAATCACAGCAAACTAATTTTAACAGGTAGCTTCAACAACCACATATCAAAACACATTTAATGTTATGGGTGCACTTAAAATTAACTGAAGCTAATATTGTACAGTACACAGAAATTCATAATTATAAAATAGCAAATTTAGAGTTTAGAGAGTGATGTACCATTGAATTCGTTAATAGTATCTTCCCATTTTCCATTTAAATATGATTACTTAATGCTTGATTGGATTTTTCTCTTCGATCTCATTTTCAGTCCTCACAGATACTAACAAAGTACCACATCTAAGTCAGAAGTGTAGTGGCAAGTGTATAACAGGGAGCCTGGAAAAATTTGCTTATTGTATAATTGACACCTGAAGAGCTGAGAAGATAGATCAGTTCTTATTTTTGATCAGGAAAAGTCAGAAATGAAGCCCCAGGCTATCAAAGGGGAGAGAAAAACTACCTGCCAGTCCCCAACTACATTAAAATAAATCCTGAAATGACAGAATCTATTACGATTAGAAATAGGCAGTGGCAAATTTGCATTCATCTCTACATCTTTCCTTTGAATCTCAAAGGAAGCACTGTCTCCCCTGCATCTAATCCTTCCCCTAATATCTTAACCACATTCTCTTTCATCTCCTTTACAACCTGGCTTCATTATATTTCCTCTCTTCTGTGCCTTAATGCCCTCTTCTCTCCAGCCTTCTTTACCTCAATCTATAAACACACTGGAATCCTTCAGTTAGAATGTCCCCATCTTCCTCACCCTGTATTACCTTCTAGCTATCACCTTTTTCTTCCTTTCCATCCAAAATTATTAAAAGTGCTATCTAAACTCACTCTTTCATAGTTACCTTTCATTCACTCTCAAACTGGTGCAATTTGTCTGTTCCTGAAAGTACTTTCCCTAAGGCCCTAGTGGCTACCTTTAAAAGAAATATCTAAGGGACACTCATTGGTCCTTCTCTCATCTTGGGTCTTTATCTAGGTCAGTAGTGCCCAATCTTTTTCTTTTAGAAATAAAATTAAATAGAGAATTAAAGGCTTCTGGAGCCGTATTACAAAATAAACCAAATTTTAATTTTGAGCCTAGGACTCTAAAATCTCCCTTAATTAACAATTTTAATGAGAGTCAGAGAAAGGCAAAGGTGCAGCAGGCCACCAAACCCAGAAGAAAAAGGGACTCCAACTGCACTTGACAAACCACCTTAACATTCCATCTTTCCATCTTAACATCTTAACATTCTCTCTTCCTTGGACTTCTAATATAACAGTTTCTGCAGATCTCCTCACACTCCCTGAGTTTAAATTTGAAATCTGCTTCCACCACTTTCTCTGTGTGGCTATGGGTGAGTTATATGAACTCAAGTGTTAGCTGTACTGAGCTTGTCAGCCTCTGACCTGCCCCTGCTGTGTCAGTGAGAGTTCCTGCAGGCAACAAAAGCAACTGTAAATAGCGTCTAATCAAGGAAGTATTAAAAAGGATGACAAAGCATCAGAAAATCATTACTAGAGCTGGGAAAGAGTTGGAAACTTGGTAAATAAGAACTTTGTTCACAAAATTCAACCACTGCCAAAACCATAGTGAAACTCAACCGGGAAGAGATAAATACCCTGACCACTTCTCACCTGTACTACCCTCCAATATTCTGCTGGTGCCTCTCACTGGTCAAGCCTAACTGGAAATCCAGAGCCCAGTGGAGGCTGAGTGACACCGTCTCTAGAGGTCAACCTCCTGAGACACACAGCAAGCCAGCGAAGGGTAGACACTGAACCTGGATAGACGACACCAGAGAACAACCAGCACATGAGCACACTGCCCACCATCCCTTTCCTTCACTTAAAAAATATTTAGTGTGACAGGGACTATTCTAGGGAATCAGAGTACAGGGGTTCACAAGACAGGAAAGATACTCACTCTCATGGTATTTCATTCTGCTTATGGAAGACAGAAAGTAAAGGAATAAACAAGGCAATTTCAGGTGATGATAAGTGCTATGAAGAAAATAAGGGGTACCAGTAACCCGATGTAGAGAGGGCAGTCCTTTAGATGAGGGTAATCAGGGAAGTCATCTCTGAGGAGATGACAGGAGAGCTTAAAACGAATAAGAATGAAGAAACCAGGCTTTCTCAGAGCCAAGGGCAGAGTGTTCAAACAAGAAAGATTGGCAAGGGCAGAATGCAAATGTCCTGAGGAGGAAACCAGCTTGACTCATCCAAGGGAGACACAGGAGGCCTGGGTGGCTGGAACGTGTGAGAGGGAGGGTGGCAGGAGGTGAGGTAGGAATGTCAGGCAGAGGCTAGATCATAAAGGGCTTTGTAGGCCAGGCAGAGAGTTGGGTCTTTCCCTAACGCAATATAAGAGTTTTAGGCTGGTTGTAGTGGGCTGGTAGATATGGATTAAGACACATCTGATGTCCAATTGTAAAACATAATTTTCACAATTCTGTGAAAAATAAATTGTAGTGGGACGAGAATAGAAATATCCCACTACTGCTTGCATTGCTGTACCAGAGGTCCCATGCCCAGGAAAGCTAAATGATGTTTCAGGTAGGAGTGACACTGTTTAGAGCAGGATGGGCACCTGACCCAAGAGTAGCTCATTTCCAGGTTGGCTGGCAGCCCATGAAGCTACTTAGAGCTAAGAGCTCTGGAACTGGCTTATATTCTTCTGAAATGCAGACTAAAGGATAAGAAGTGGATTAATTAGCCAGTTGGTAGTGTGAGAATAGATTAAAGAGGTAGAGAAGAGCAGAGACACAATGAGAAAGAAATAAGAGAGTAGCTTATGCCTGGGCTCCTAATAGCTACTCATATACCCATATAAACACTTGTTCCTTCTTTTCATTAGTCTCTTGAGTTTCTCTTTCTTACAAGCAAAGGAGTCTAACAAGCACATTGGTGTTCACAAGTTTTCTTCCTTAAACCTCTTCTTCTCAGGCACATTATCCAGGATGACAAAGATCTGCTCTGGTAACAAAACTCAAATCTCAATGGCTTAAAACAACCAAGGTTTACTTCTCACTTTACATGTCCTTCATGATGTGACTGGGACTCTGTTCCGCATCATCTTCCCTCCAATACCAAGGCTGATCGTGCATATGCTCTCTGGAACACTGATGATTGCCATGGCAAAGAGAAAAAGAGTTCTGGAAGGTCTTGCATCAACAATTAAATGCTATGCTCACACTTAATTCGGAGAACATGTCATGTAGTTCAACCCCATCACAGGGAGGCCAGGGCATACAATCCTCCTATATTCCTGTAAGAGAACAGGAAATATTTGGCACACCTATCACCACGCACTCATTCATAAACATGGTCTTAATTGCTGCCCATATACCAATGTCAAAATTTCTAGGAGAGATGCCCCACTTAATTCCCTATCTATATTTTCAACCATCTACTGGAATACCACGTTTGGATGTTATCATAGGCACCTCAAGTCTCATGCATCAAGACTGAAGGCTATCTTTCTTACAGACTTGCTGTAGTCGCTTTCTTGGTCAATGGCCCCATTATCTATTACTTTAAATAAGAAATCCAGGTGTTATCCTTGACCTCTCCCTCTCTTCTGAAAACAAATCAGTTGCCCAGCTCCTCTTTAAACTTATCCCCATTCAACTAACACCAGGACCATTATCCTACTTCACTGATCCTCACAGCTTCTTGCCTATGCAATTTTGTCTGGTTTTCCTGCCTTCATTTCCCCCTACAAATGGCAATCATTTGTGTAAGCAACAAACATTTAAAGAGGGCTCATTGCTCCTTAGATTAAATAAGTAACGGGCCCATCTTGAAGAAACTCAAAGCTTAAAGAGGGAGACAGTGATGTAAACAAAAAATTACAATACAACGGGACAAATGTGATAATGGCCATACAGAAAGTAGCCTGGGAAAGGAAAGGAAATACCAAATTGAGGGTGATGGTGAAGGGAAGGTAGTGCAGGACTGATATGGTTTGGATTTGTGTCCCTGCCCAAATCTCATGTCAAACTGTATGTAATCCCCATTGTTGGAGGAGAGGCCTGGTGGGAGGTGATTGGATCATGGAAATGGAGTTCTCATGAATGGTTTAGCACTATCCCTCCTTGGTACTGTTTTACGGAAGTAAAACTTTAGGTAAATGCTGTGGCAGCAGTAAGAGCTGCTCCTCCGTGTGAGTCACAAGGCTTGGAAAAGAGAGTTGAAGGATGTAGCACTTGCCTGGCACCTAGTAGGGACTCTACCTGACTCAGCCCAACCAGGGTGGATAGGAGGGAATGGCATGGAGGAGCCTGATCAGCCAGCAAGCAGGAGCCTGATCAGCAACGACCTAAGGTGTCCTGGTCCGTTATCTGGCAGGCAACTGGGTGGAAGGTCATCCACTGAGATATGAAACCCAGAAGGAAGAGTCGGTCTATGGGGGATCACACTTTTAATGAGGGATACCATCACATAGTTAACATTTACTGACGACTGATTTCAGGCATAGTGCTAATCACCTTACTTTACTATTTTGTTTAATCCTCACAACACTCTTACGAAGCTAAGTTGTACCATTATCTCCATTTTGCAATTTAAAAAGAAACAATGAGATTCAGGGACTGATTGTTTGACCAGTTACTAAACGTGATTTGCACCAGAGCCCAAGTTGATCATCTATCTACCAAGCTCTGCTGAGTTTGAGCTGCCTGCAGAATTCCACCTGGATGTGTCCACAGGCCGGACCACAAGCTGGGAAGTGTGGGCAGAGACATTCACTTAGGGGTCACTTCTTATGGGGGGCACGGCAGGATCAAAGCTGTTGGGCCTGGATGAGATGGCTCAGGAAACTCTGAAAAGGAAGACGGCAAGAGGACCTGGGGAACACTAACCTTAAACAGGCGGAAAGAGGAAAAGAAACCAGCGAATGAGTTTGAGAAGCTGCCCTCTGAGAAAGCGAACTCTTAAAAATGTCCTTCAGTGAATCTTTTTCAAATGCCCCTAGACCAATGCCTGGCACTCGATAAAGGACCTCTGGAGTCAGAAGGGGCGTTCTGTCAAGGGGGTGGGGGGACTTTATGCCTAATTTTTCCAGCTCCTAAAGGACCAAGCCATATGAAACCCACAGGGAGACCTCGATACCTGGGAGGCAAGTCTGAGACAAGAATAGGGTCAAGGACCATAGCCAAACCCTCCTCAGAACACAAGAACTCTTTCCCCCATTCGACAGGGCAGCGGCGGATGTGAGCGCCACTCACAGCTGCCCGCTCTGATAAGAGGTTACTGCGGAAACGACCAGGAGGGAACGGGCGAGGATCCAAGCCGCTCACGGACTGGGGTCGCCTCGGTCCGAGAGGGGGAGCGCGCGCCCTGACACGCAGGCATGCGCGCGCCTGTGGGAAGTCGGGGAGCGCGCCTGGGCCCCTGCCCGTCGCCCGGCTCTCCCCTCGTTGCAGCCTCGCTCTCCCTAGAGCTCCTTCTCCCCTCCCAGTGGTTTCCCTCCGCAGCTGTGGGCCTCCGCTGGCCCACGCGGACGCCCCGCGACCCCCGCAGCCTGGCGGGCAGCGCGTCACGGGAGCGGACCAGAACACAGCCCGCTCCGCCCCATCGCCCGCGGCCCCGCCCCCTCTGGCCGACAAGGGGCGGGCACCACCGGAGTGGGCTCCGTGGGTGCTGGGGCAGGAGTTTCCTCACTCCCCGCCTGGCCGTCGCTCCTCCGCTGACTCCGCGCCCTTCTACGGGCCGTCTCCCACCCTCTGAGCGGACGCAGGGAGTCGATGCCGGGCGAACCGGGCGCCATGAAGGGCAGCTGCCTAACGGGCGCCGCGGCGGAGGGGCTGGCCGGCTGAGGGCCCGCGCTGGGCCGAGGCATGCGGAGCCCGGGCGGGATCCTGCTCCAGGCGCTGCCCCGGCTGCTGCAGCACGCCGCCCTCCCGGGCCTCGCCGAGCTGCCGGCCCGCTGGGCCCTGCCGCGGGGTGCGGGCGGGGACGGCCCGGCGGACCGCCTTCCCCGCGGGGGCGGGGCGAGCGCGGCGGCGGCAGCAGCGGCGGCCTCGGGCGCCCTGCTCGGCGCCTATCTGGAGCGCCACGGTCCGCCCGAGGCTTCGGAGCTGCCGGAGCCGGGCGGGGCCTTGGCGGGCGGCCCCGGGAGTGGCGGCGGCGGCGTGGTGGTCGGCGTGGCTGAGGTGAGAAACTGGCGCTGCTGCTGCCTCGGCAGCACCTGTTGGTGCCGGAGCCTCGTGCTGGTCTGCGTGTTGGCCGCCCTGTGCTTCGCTTCCCTGGCCCTGGTCCGCCGCTACCTTCACCACCTCCTGCTGTGGGTGGAGAGCCTTGACTCGCTGCTGGGGGTCCTGCTCTTCGTCGTGGGCTTCATCGTGGTCTCTTTCCCCTGCGGCTGGGGCTACATCGTGCTCAACGTGGCCGCTGGCTACCTGTACGGCTTCGTGCTGGGCATGGGTCTGATGATGGTGGGCGTCCTCATCGGCACCTTCATCGCCCATGTGGTCTGCAAGCGGCTCCTCACCGCCTGGGTGGCCGCCAGGATCCAGAGCAGCGAGAAGCTGAGCGCGGTTATTCGCGTAGTGGAGGGAGGAAGCGGCCTGAAAGTGGTGGCGCTGGCCAGACTGACACCCATACCTTTTGGGCTTCAGAATGCAGTGTTTTCGGTAAGTGGGGTCCCGCTGGCCTATCCCTCTCCAAGTCTGTTTTTGAGCGGTCTTGTGGCGGCCCTAGGAGGGCGCTCTATCAGATAAATACCAGCAGAGAAGTGACATTGACGGCAGGAGTTACGATTACTTTCCATCGCAGCCTGGGAAGTCTGTCCTACACATAAAACATACCTAACGCGGAGCCTCGAAAGAGAGTTTGTTAGATAAAAAACTAATGTTTCTTTTAGGGATGGGAATGTAATTAAAAATGAAAAGCCCTCTTAACAATAGGCATGCAGGGACATGAATGGAAATGCCCATCTTTAATACTTGTCATCTTTTGTAGCAGCTTTGGCAACATTTAGGGAGGAAAGCTTTCTCTCTTGCTTACATAAATACATCCAGGGTTTTGATTCAAGTTTTTAGCGACATGGACCAAAGGAAGTGTTTCAGTAAACAGTGGAGGAGCTAGTTGCAGACTCCAGATTTTGGAGTTTGCTAAATTTGAAATGGGCTTTTTCTTCTTCAAGTAATTGTGCTTTAATGTGATGTAAAGAAGAAAATCCTACTGTTTATCTTTCTTTCTTTGGAGGAACTTCATTTCGAAATCACGGGGTGGTGAATAAAACAGAACAGATAATCTTTTGCTCAGTTAGCATATATTTTTCTTCTGTATCTGCACCATTATAGACTCTTTTCTGTCCTTGTATTCATATGTTTTGCTTACTCAGGTTTCTATAGCTAGTGTGCATCTCCATGCAACTGATTTAGGATAGAAACACTGCTAGTGAAGAGATCATCTTATTGGAAGAAAGGAATCTGGTCTTTACAAACTTTGTGACTTTGGATCAAGTTACTGACCCTGTCTGGCTTCACTTTTCTCTTTTCGAAAGTGAAGGACTTAAAAAAGTAGATTACCATGTTCCCCAAATTCAGTGATTCTAAACTACCAAGAGTTTATGTAGATTCCCAGGAACTTAACCCTTCAGCTAGACTTAAAGAAAACTTACTGAAATAAAGAGATAATTGCATTCAAAACCATAGGAATTGATGTATTTTAAGTGATTCTGATGCATTATTTTGTTTCAAAACGTAAATTATTGTTAGTTTCTGGAAACTTTCTCATTTTGTTTTGAATTAGGAATAATACTAACCAATCTGCCTCTTTGTGATGAAATTAAAACCTTTCTCTTTTTTCTTTTCTTTTAAATGCCTTTTGCAAACCTCTTGATTCCAAGCAACAGCAGCAATGACTATGGAATGGTATTTGGTAGAGGCAGTGGAAACAGATAAGGGGTTTTCTGTAGAGATAAAGTTTAGTGTTAGCAGTAGTTTGGTATAGTCTTAGTCTTAAATTTCTTTTTCATACCCTCCTATAGTATGAAATATAAACTTGAACTTTGACCCAGTCTTGGGTAATAATAAATAAACTGTCCCAGGACTTTGAAAGAAGGTTGGGCTAAGGAACCTAAATAGATTGATTCTGTTAGTTTGTGTTTCAATATAGCATGTATCCTTGGGCCTTTTCTTGTCCATCTACCGTGTGCCAACTACTGTCCTCGGCTCTTTCCACATATTTCTGATCCTTAAACCAGCCCTGCAGAAGTTAATTATGCACATATTATAGACTAGTGTCTACTAGTTGGGAGCACAGGGCTGGTGTTGTGAAATCCTGCTGTCTGCTTAGAATCTAGTGACCTTGGGCAAGTTGTTTATTCTCTCTGGGCTTCAGTTTCTTATTTGTAAAATGAGGAAAGTAATGATACCTACTTCCATAGGATTATTGAGAAGATTACATGAGATGAATACATGCAGCAGAGCCTGGCTTAACAAACACGTGTTGGCTTTTGTCGTTTCTGTTGTTATGACCCAAGGTCACCAAGGTACTAAATTAATGGTAGAGTCAAACTTTGAACCATGGTCTGATGGCAGTGTCTCAACCAACCACCTCTTTATTTCTTGAATATATATTTAATGCCTGGTGTAGTCATGGGTAAATAGTAAGGGCTCATTATGTATTTATCGACTGACAATAAGGTAGGCTTTTCTTTTGATTTTGTCTCTTACATATTAAGTATATAACTAAGAGGTTGTATTTTGTGCTTGGTAATAATTTAAGGTAATCATGTAGTTGAAACTGAGCTTGACAAGGGACAAATCTCAATTTAGCATTGTGTGGTCAATAAAAAAGAAGGGAAAAAAAAGAAAAATGGCCTCTTGCAATAGGTATTATTGTCACCATTTCACTGAGAAGAAACAGAGGCTCAACCATCCAGGAACTTCTTCAGTCACCCACCTACCAAGTGGCTGAGCTAGGGTTTGAACCCAGGATCAGCTGATATGGTGCATCTTACTGTAAAATTTTGACTCAGCCATAGCAGGGTGGACTGTGAAGCCCCTGGATATGGTCTGTTATGTCCTGTTTATACCTATTGTTCTGAACTGCCTGCTTACAGAAGTAGTCCTTTCAACAAAAACAGTTTACTGAATTCAGCCAAGATATGTGAAAGAAAAGAAAGCTTAGTTAAGGCTGATGTTGGTTTTAGTCTGACTTGACTTTCTGCCTTCTAGAACTCCATTCTGCCTCCTCATGTATCCTCTCCACCTCATACCCCTCCTGCTGACCATAGCTGCCCCCTTTTCTAGGCATATTTCTTGTGTTTTCCACATCCCTCCCTATCTTTGAAATCATCCTTTTTTTTTTAAAGAAAAAAATTCCAGTTAAAACTCATTTTTTTTGTGTGCCCATAATTAGAGAAATTCATCTGGGCGTACCTCAAAGAAGTTAGGTGTAGTGGTCATGTGAGGCCCAGGCTTTGGAAATAGATGATCCTGAATTAGTCTGTGCCATCTGGCCTTCTCCATTTCCTCATCTGTAAAATAAAGTAGTTATGAGGCTTAAAAAAGCTGATACAGTGAAGGCATTAAGTATTTTGTCTGGCTCATAGTCACTTCCCAGTAATTGTTAAGTGTCATTATTGTTTGTAGTGGTGGAGGTAGTTGTATTCACATTTTAGAAGCAGGAGCTGATTGTAAAGGATAATATATGGAAGAAGGAAAGGTGCTTTCCCTTGCTTATCTCCTCTGAACCATTTTTTCCCCTTCTCCCATGCATGGTAGAAACTTGAAATGAGATTGGTTCCAACATTTACAGTGTCATCTTGAAGTAGTTATAGTTACTCTTTTGAGCTATACTTTCTGTTGTGGGATGTGTTTAATAATACCTGCTGCAAAGCTGTGATAAAATATATAGTTTGCTCATTATTTACTATTTCTTTCTCACCATCCTCTGCCTTCCAAAATAAGGACAGTGAAGTTGAGCTACTTTTTAAAAAAATTTAACAAATACCTACATTGTACTTAACTAATTCCTGGGCACTGTTTAATCATGCACACATAACTTATTTACTGTTCATTTCAGCCCTGATCCTCATCTTATAGCTGAAGCAGTTGAGGCACAGTGGTGAAATAACTTGCTCAAGATTACACAGTTAGTAAATGTTTAGAGTCATTAACTTATCCAGGCACTAGTGTTGGTCCAAGAAGAGCTGGATTTCCCAGACACATCCTGATTCCAGTTATAGAATACTTGTCTTAGAGCACCTTAAAGATCAGACATTATGGAGGACTGGGTAAGGTTCTATACAGTTGACTTAGGTATCATCCCAGATGTTAGAGCAGGGGTCAGAAAACCACAGCCCAATTTTGTATGGCATACAAGCTAAGATTGATTCTTCCATTTTTAAATGGTTGGAAAAAATACCACAAGAATATTTCATATACATGAGAATTATATGAAATTCAAACTTCAGCATCCGTAAATAGTGTTACTGGAATACAGCTGTGCTCATTTATGTGTGTGCTATGTGTGTCTCCTTTTAAGCCAAAACAGCAAATTGAGTAGTTACTACAGACCCTACTGCCTACAGAGCCTGAACTGTTTACTACCTGGTGCTTCATGGAAAAAGTTTGCCAACTTCTGCCTTAGAGTCACACCAACAAAACAGCTACCAAGGCTGAGCCCCTGCAACTGTAGGAAGAGGCCCTTAATTTCTCACATATATCTTGTATTTTTATTTAACAGAAAAAAAATTTTTAAAGCAATAAATGGGTACTGTGTGTAAAATGCAAACAAAATAGAAATGAGTAAATTTTAAAGTGCAAGACCTTACCCATCACCCTGGCTCACTTCTTAGGGAACTGCTTTATAGAATTGAATGTTACCAAACTGCCAGTTACTTTGGTTATTTATATGAGCCCACCATAGGTTTGAAGCAACAAATAGATTCTTTGTTTTGGAGGGAGCCGGGGAGCTGTGAAACTGGTACTGACTGAAATAATAATAGTGAAAGATGTCATCATAACTTTAAGCAGATATAACTGTTCTCAAGTTTTCTTTGAGTTTGCATTGAGCTATCAAGAAGATAAATTACTTTTACTAATTTAGTTTATATTTGAACTGAAATTTATTACAACTAAATAAAAGTTTTTGGCAAATGACTCTAAGACCACAAATACAGTATAGTCTTAGCTTATGCTATGGGGTCTTCTGGTTCTGTCTTAGCTCCTTTGTAGCCCTGGCGAAGTGATTTAATGATTCTGGCCTTCAGTTTTCCTTATTTGTAAAATGAGAGGGTACAGATGAGGTCAGAGTTTGCTTTTAAAAAGACAAATGTTCTGAGCAACAGTGTAACATTACCTTTTATTTTTTAACAGTTTAGTGATAGTATGTGTTATAAAAATACACATTTTCTCATTTTCTTGAGTTCTTATTCTGTAATATGTTTTCTTATTTTCTTAATTCTTATTCTGTGCTGTAGATAGAGCCATAGATTCAAAAAAAGATATGATCGGTCATAATACTTGTCACTGTATCAGTGTATCTAATGATGATTTCTTCTTACTATTAAAGTGTAATGATTCGCTGCCAGTGGTACAGTTCAGGCAAAATAGAAAGGCAGACACAGTCTGTGTTTTGAAAGAGTTGGAGTCTGGCCCTTAAGGGTCAGATAGGATGAACAAGTTGTGTAATGTCATCTCAGTGCACATCCTGAGACCTCACAATACCACTGAATGCAGTTGACCTTTATTTCCTTGAAACTGTTTTCCCCTCTTTGTGTCTCTTTAGTTATCTCATCAGCTTCTGCAGTTTTTGTGTCATATGTAGGCTTACAATTCACTAATCTATATCTCTAGCCTGTTATATTAATGTATATAGAGTATGTTTTATTAACCCTTCCTAGATTAAAAAAAATTTGTTTAAAAGCAACGAGGTTATTAAAACATGTTTTAACAATGTTTGTTTTTTCTGTCTGTATGTATTCATTGTAAAAACTTTGAAAAGTATAGCAAGTACAAAGAAAAACATCATTAACATTTTCGTGTTTATTTTTCTCTTTGCATTTTATTGATATGTATTTTAATATAATATTGAGTTAATGATTTTTGTGACCTTCTTTTACTTGAAGTAATGAACATCTTGTTATTACGTGTATTACAACATGACTTTTAATGACTGCACAGTCAGCTGTAGTTTTCCATCTTTGTATCTTTTTTATTCTGCTTAGAACTGGGTCTTAGATATATATAGAAGGCATATGATACATGTTTTAGTACAAATAATAAACCTATAGTATGTCAGACTGTATGAAGAAAAGCTTTTCAACTTGTGTTCCAGAAATTATGTACAATAAGATATACATTTTTCCCCCCTTGAGAGAAGATTCAAGGCCTCTGTGTGTATGTGGGTGGGAGGGTGGAAGGGGGGTTACACCAGATTCTCAAATAAATTGGTGACCTCTCCCTAAGATATTTGGGAACCATTAAAAGCAGTTCCTAATTTAGGGACAGTGAAGTCATGAAAAAGCTTGCATATGTGAAGATGCTTCTGTGTTGTAGACAGACATTGACCTAACCATTTCTGTCAGTAGAAATCTCTTTACCCTGAAGCCCTCTCTAGCTGTTAGGGTAGGGTCTCAGCACTGCTGCGGCCTTCTTGTTCTTTTTTTTTTTTTTCCTCCAGTAGCAAGACTTTTTTCAGTACTCTCAGGGTTGCTTGAGAGACCCTAACCAGAGGGTCTTAGCCTTGACATTAGGTTCACCATGGCGGTTTCTGGAAATATTTTTAGTATTCATTCAGTAAATAATTGGTAGGTGCCTAGTATGTGCCTGCTGCTGTTTTAAATGCTGGAGGTGTAGCCGTGAATAAAAGAAAGTCTCTCCCTTGAGGTGGTAGCATTCCAGTGGAGAAATAGCATTCTAGGTAAATCATGGTGTAAGTTTTGCTGATAATAAGCTAATTTTCATTTATAACATTTTTTCTGTGTGTTTGGCAGAGTGTTCTTAATTTCTGAAAATCCGATTAAAAATGGACATTGCATTCCAACTTGTTTATAAACTGGCAACTATTCTAGGTTTCCATATTTATAAATAAAGCATTATTGGTGTTGATACATCCAACCTCCAATAAACATATATTTAGCAACTAATATATAGTAGGCATTTGTTAAGATCTAGGGACACAATGAGGACCAAGAACGACAGATCCCTTTCCTCACAGAATTTATAGTCTGGGAAAGGACTGAGGGGCAAACAAATGGTGAAACCTTCAGTTGTTCTCCAGTGCAAAGGGGACAGGGAAGTATAGTGTTCTGTCAGAGCACTTGAAAGCACTTAACAAAGACTTGGGGCATCTGGGAAGGTTTCCTAGAGTAATTGATGACTGAGTAGTGAAAGACAGTGTAGGAGTTTTCGGAGTAAATGGAGTGGGAAGAAGGATGTGCTTGTTGTACTCCCCAGAAGGAACAACGTAGAAAGGCCCAGAGGGAAAGGGGAGCAAGTAGTGTTCTAGGAACTGAGAAAATTTTGATGTGACTGGGACATAGTGTGACAGGGTGCATGAAATGCTCAGAGGCCAGATCATGAAGCACTTTGCACTCTGAAGAACCTCATGGCAGTAGGAGGGAGTTTAAGCAGGATTAGGCTCACTTTTTAAAAAGATTTCTGCAGGGTTACCATAGGTAGTGAGTGGGGGTAGTCTGTGTAGTCAGGACCAAAGAGGAGACTGAATTAGAAATAGGCCCAGACGGTGGATAGATTTCCCCAGAGAAGGTGCGGTTGACAAGATGTAGTAGATATTGAATGTGGGAAATAAGGAATTAGCTATGTGCCTGACTGATGAGGTCTCCAGCTAGGGCCGCTGAGATTGGGAACACAGAAAAGATGAAGAGGTATTTTGGGGAGCAAAGGAAAGAGAATAGGTAGTTAATGTTTTTCTTGAAACTGATTTTTAAAGTTTTGATTTTCTGAGAGTGAAAAATAGTTGCCGCTTCTGAATTCTTTTTCTCTGTTCCCCAATTTTTCTGAAATATTAATAGGAAGTATTTTGGGGATATGTACAGTAAAATTATCAGTAAATATTAATTAGATGAAAAGACCAAACTGGTCATTTTAATTTCTCTTGACCAATCCTTTCTTAACAGTCATAGGGATTCATGATTTTTTTCTATAGGGATTCATGATTTTTTCATATATAATATAATTAAATGTATTTTAATTGGAATTTATAATATTTTAACAGTAACTTTGTTAATAAGCAGCATCCCAAATACCAAGCAACAAGTCTATACAGGAAGGTATAATTTGCCAAAATTAATGCTAGATTCACAGAGCTGCACATAAAATTTGAGGTCTTCTGAATACTGGTCACCTTTATATTTTTTATTACATCCATGCCAAGATATTCTATGTAAAAACAAAGTTTCTGGGTGGGTTAAATCAAAGTGGTAAAGCCATTGTGTAAAAAGCTATAATCTTAGAAAGCAGAAGAGCTGGGTCAGGTTTCCTGAGAGCTGTGCTTGGTGCTGTGCCTAAGAGGACCGACCACAACCCCAGCTTCAGTGAATGATCTGAAGACAGAGGTTCTCTGTTGTCAGCTCCAGAAATGCTGTGTTCAGAGGTGAATCAGCTCTTGCTCTTCAGAATTAGTTTTTTTTCCTCTCATTTTTTTCCCTCCCAGATGGAGTACTTCTTTGTTTTCAGGATCTATTTGGTATAGTGGTGAAGTGATGTTCCACATGTTAACCCCTGCTGACCCAGTTAAGTGAATCACATCTCCAAGTATATCACTGTACCTCTGGGAATAAGAGGATATATAATTTTATAGTGCTTCTAGAGTTTTTAAAACATGAGATGACAGCAATCAGTTGGTGTTTGCCATCCCTTAAACTCTTGCTGTGGTATCTCATCATAGAAACTAACTAGCAAGATAGCATCGATATCCTAGGTTGAGAAGTGTAGGGGTTCTTTGATTTGGAATACAACTCCTGAGCCAAAATGCTGGGTACTGCAAGCAGGAATTCCAATGGTATTGATCTAGGCTCATGTTTAATGTCTTTCTACAAAGTAGAACAAGGAGACAGAATTTTATAACTTTGGTGCTTGAAGACTTACTGGGGAGAGAAGGCTGGATGCATCTCCTTGTGGGAACAAGTATTCCAAATATGTTTGTCAAAGACTGAGCTAGATGGAGATTCTGAGTAAAATTTTTGCTTATAGAAAATGCCATATTAAAATAGACCAGGTGCAGTGGCTCACGCGTGTAATCCCAGCAGTTTGGGAGGCCGACGCAGGCAGATCATGAGGTCAGGAGTTCGAGACCAGCCTGACCAACATGGTGAAACCCGGCCTCTACTAAAAATACAAAAATTAGCCAGGTGTGGTGGTGTGCACCTGTAATCCCAGCTACTCAGGAGGCTGAGGCAGGAGAATTGCTTGAACCTGGGAGGCGGAGGTTGCAGTGAGCCGAGATCGTGCCATTGCACTCTAGCCTGGGCAACAGAGTGAGACTCTCTCTCAAAAAAATATATATAAAACAAAAATAAAATAGTTTGGAGGAAGCTGTTCATCTTTAATAAAGTTATTAATAGTTTAAAACCTGTGTATATGTATGTTACTGTGTTGCTCCATTGGTTAAAGCATTGAGCCCTCCAGCAAAAATATTTACGATTATTAACTAAAATTATATGTATGCATAGTAACACTGTTTCCCAAGGGTAAGGTTTGGTCATGAAAGGTTTGATAAACTTCAGTTTATGCAGTTTATGCATGGGCAACGGTCTTGTTGAGTTGAGTGGTGGAGTTGTTTCACATTTAGGAAATCTGTTCTTAAATTACCAATTTGAATATTATTGATGTCATCTATGAATGTCAATTATGTGTTCTATTTAGAGAAGCTTCATTACATTTAAAGGTAAAGGTTGTGGCCAGAAGTGTTGCATTCTGAAATTTTTGAACTGAGATATTTATTTTAAAGATAACTTCCATAATATGTAATGTTTTGTTATTAACTGCAATATAATTTTATAACATTCATTTTTGTCATATGTTCTCATTTTCTTTATTTGACATGTTTATTCTAAAGAAATTTCTCTGCTCCTGTAAGTGCTCTAAATTGAAGAAGGAACCTTGCTCAGCTTAGCTCCATTCACATCATTCTTTGACTAGACTCCCTGGTACCTTTCCTCTGAGTATAGGCTCCTTCCTCTTTTATCCAAGGCCCCAACAAGTATCACCCCATGTAGTTTTCCTGTCTTTATTTTACGGGATTTGTGTGTGTCGTATAAACAATCCTAGCTGTACTGCCAACTTTATGAATATATTCTGTACTTTCCCTGCCATTGCACTCTAGCCTGGGTGACACAGCGAAGAGTCCGTCTCAAAAAAAATAAAATAAAATAAAATAAAATAAAATAAAATAAAATGATTTGGAAGCTGTTCATCTTTTGTTCATTCTCTTCTTGAAACACCTGCCTTCCTCATCCTATCTATCTTTGCTTGCCAAACTCATACTAGGCTTTCAGTGTCTGCCTTGAATCCCTCTCTTCCCAAAAAGTTACGCTTTGGTTTCCACTTCTACAACTAATTTTCATCCTTTATTCTTTAATGCTCAGCATGTAGGCCTTCTCAATGCTCCCCATTCTGCCTGTTTCTGAGGTAGTTTATGTGTATTTGTCAGTGTGTAAATCCATCAGTGGTAGGCATTGTGTCTTTTTATCTCTTCCAAGCACTTCTTGGAGCATCTCGCATGAGCAGTTGAGTCAGTGATCGATAAGGTGGATTGTTAACAACCAGTCACTGTAATATTCTTTCCAAATCAGCAGTGATGCATCTCCAGTTCATTATCTATTAATATAGTTGAATGTAGTTTTACTGAAAATGTGAAATGATTTTTAGATTTGGTTGTATTAATAGTTATAGATTCACCTATAGCTGATTAAAGTATCAGATTTTAAAATTTGTAAAAAAGTTTAATATAGTGGCCAGTAGCTTTCTTATATACCAGTAATACTCAGATGGGGATGTGGAAAAGTTACTTTCAAAATCAGTAGTAGTGGCAACAATAATAACATGAAGTGCTTAGAAATAAACTAACAAGAAATGCATGAGATATGTGAATAAAGTGACCAAACTTTAGTAAGAGGTATAAAAGAAGATTTTGAGTAATTATAGAAAAATTTCTGGATAAGAATACCTAATATTGTAGAGATTTCAGGTCTATCCAGATTAATTTGCAGATTTGCCTTAATCCCAATATGAAATGTACTGATTTTTTTTGAGTGACAGAATGATCTGCAAGAATAAATATGGCCAAGAACAGTTATGGCCATTTTTAAAAGAAGCGTAAAGAAGGAGTTTGAATAGAATGGGAAATTCCTTGCCACGTATTAACTGGTAGTCTTTATTACAATTTGGTTTCAGTACGAGATTTGAGATACCCATGTTTTAGTTCTAGTAGAAGATTTAAAATATACATGGACAGTATTAGAGCTCCAAATAAGCCCTTTTTATATAAAGTAACTTTTATTTCTACTGAAGTATACATAATAAGTCCATGGAGAAGTTATTGATTATTTGGTATCTAATGCTGGGAAAATTGGCTACTGGAACGGGGAGGGATCAGGCTATATCCTCACCTTTAATTTGAATAAATTTCAGAAGGAATAAGTGGTGAATGCTAAAAAGGAAAACATAATCAGAAGAAATATATAGGTAGAAACCAACAATATACTCTTAAAACACTTTCTAAAGCTAAATGCAGTGGAAAAATAAGAGGAAAAAATAGATAATATTTGATTATATAAAAATTTAAAAACATTTGTATGTCAAAACATAAAATTAAGAGATAAAGGACACTTTAGCGAAAACTATATGCTACATATAATAGACAACAGATAGCCCTCACTATATAAATAGTTCTTACAAATAAACAAGAAAAACACTTAACATCCCAATAAAAAAAGCAAATGTGAACAAATGAAGCCATAAGGAAATGTGAATAAAAAACATATGTAGAAAATGTGTCAATATAAAATAGTACAGATTAATGATGAAACATCATTTTTACTCCTATCAAAATAAGAAAGATTAAAATTTAATACCTACAGTTGGTAACAGTATGACACAATGGACACATTCATGTATCACATACTGACAGGTGTGTTAAATCATTGTGAACATTTTGGAAAATAAGTTTTTTACTATTTGAACCAATAATTCTACTTCTAGTGATCTATCCTACCAGAGTTAAGATACGTGTGTCATGTATTGCTGTATACCAGATCACTTCAAAACTTAGTAGCTTAAAACAATCATTTATTGTCTCACAATTTCTCTGGGTCAGGAATTCCTGTGCAACTAGCTGGGTACCTCTGACTCAGGCTCCCTCACAATGCTGCAATCAAGGTTTTGGCCAGGGCTGCATCATCTTAAGGCTTGACTCGGGCAGGATTCACTTCCAGGCTATTGACTGGCTATTTTTCCAGACTATTTTTGCTAGCTATTGACTGAAGACATCAGTTCCTTGCCACATTGGGTCTCTCCATGGGAGCTACTTAGAGCATGGCAGCTTACTTGCTTGAGGAAGAAGTGGAAGTCCTATTCATTTTGTAACCTAATTTTGGAAGTGGCATCTCCTCACTTCTGCTCTTGCCTGTTTGCTAGAAGTAAGCACGAGGTCCAGCCCACGCTCTAGGGGAAGGGATCACACAAGGGCATGAATACCAGGAGATCAAGTCATTAGGAATATTTTAGATGTTGCCTACCACAGAGGTTAATATCCAAAAGATGTCATTGTAATTTTAGAATTTTTTGATAATAGCCAAAAATAAATGTGTAATTACATATATTCAAAAAATAAAGCAATGTAAATATTCTACAGCAGGAGTGGTTAAATTGTGCTACATCCACACAATGGTAGTATAATTGCATAATAATGATAATTTTCACCTTTTTTGAGTGTCACTCATATGCCAGGTATTTCCTAGATACTTTAGAAATATTTTTGATCCTAACAACAGCCATCTAAGCTGGTGATGATTTTCATTTTACAGATGAAAAACTGATAGCACTTTGGGAGACTGAGGTGGGCGGATTGCCTGAGCTCAGGAATTCAAGAGCAACCTGGGCAACACGGTGAAACTCTGTCTGTACTAAAATACAAAAAAGTAGGGCCTGGCGTGCTGGCTCACGCCTATAATCCCAGTACTTTGGGAGGCTGAGGCAGGCGGATCACAAGGTCAGGATATCGAGACCATCCTGGCTAATATGGTGAAACCCCATCTCTACTAA
The DNA here is from genome assembly GCF_000001405.40 of Homo sapiens. Lineage (NCBI taxonomy): Eukaryota > Metazoa > Chordata > Mammalia > Primates > Hominidae > Homo > Homo sapiens. The sequence continues at coordinate 90,632,501 of NC_000008.11, read as the reverse complement.
AAATACAAAAAATTAGCCGGGCATGGTGGCGGGCGCCTGTAGTCCCAGCTACTTGGGAGACTGAGGCAGGAGAATGGCATGAACCGGGGAGGCGGAGCTTGCAGTGAGCTGAGATGGGGCCACTGCACTCCAACCTGGGCGACAGAGCAAGACTCTGTCTCAAAAACAACAACAACAACAACAACAAAAAGTAGCGGTGTGGCGGCATGTGCCTGTAGTCCTAGCTACTTGGGAGGCTGAGGCAGAAAAATTGCTTGAACCCAGGTGGTGGAGGTTGCAGTGAGGCCAGATCGCACCACTCCACTCCACTCTGGGCGACAGAGCAAGACTCTGATCCAGACAAAGCAAAACAGATATTTAGAGACAGAGTAGCATATTGAATTATCAGCACCAGAATGCCATTCTAGGGTTATCTGGCTTCAAAGCTCAGCGACCACACTGCTAATTAAGAATGCTTATGAAGAATGTTTAATGATATGAGGAAGACTTACAAAACTGTTTTTACAAAGTTATCAATGTGTGGATTTTATTTACATGAAAGAAAAAATAGTCACAAATGTTACCTTTCAATGGTAGTATAATAGAATATTAAAATTTACTTTTATTTCATTCTAAATTTTCTACATTCTGCATGTATTCTCTTTATAATCATTTTGTAAACTCAGAATACTGTTGTAAAGATGTCAGCTCCTTCCCGAGGAAATACCACTAGTTAGACTTAATACACACATTTTTTTATGTTGAATTGAAATTTTACTTGGTAATGAATCATTCCCTTTAATCTACTCTTCTAGATTACTGATCTCTCATTACCCAACTATCTGATGGCATCTTCGGTTGGACTGCTTCCTACCCAGCTTCTGAATTCTTACTTGGGTACCACCCTGCGGACAATGGAAGATGTCATTGCAGAACAGAGTGTTAGTGGATATTTTGTTTTTTGTTTACAGGTGAGTTTAAGGCCAAGGGTTGTCTCTTTTTTTCTCTCTGTTTCTTTTTGTATGGCATTGCTGATTTGACAGATTTCATTGAAAATAATCAGAGGGTTTTTCCATTTTAGATTTTTTTCTTGGTTCTTTCATTACTACTACATATTTTGACAACATTAAAATTTTTTAATTGTGTGGATATATGCAAGTGTAGAACTGAATTGATACAGAAAAATCCTCTTAAAGAGGCAAAAAAGAATGACAAAAATAGGGTTATTTTTGCAGTGATTATTTTCAGAGTCATCACAAATCAAATACTGTATTTTGATTTTGTGTGAAGTGTATCTGAAAATAATTTCAGTAAGATTGGGCAGAGTTGAGTGCTTATCTTATTTATATTCAAATTATTGAAACTCACCTATTTGTATTTTTTAGTGTTATGTTGAGAGTGTAAATTTCTTTCTAGTACAATTTGATGTGAAACAAAAGATTTGTTTTAAAAAGTATTACCTCGTAAAAATGTCTAAGGTTTTCTATTACAAGTCCAAATAAGACTTGTATAATGGATTATTATTACCATGCAGATTGTAATATAGTTTGGGGCACATAAAATTTTACATAAGAAGTTGATGAAAGAGAAAAACACTGCCACATAGGCAAATTTCTTTAGAGCCTTTAAATTTGCATGCAGAAATAGTTAAAATTTATTTGTGATTGATTTTATTCCTGAGATTTAACAAAATAGAAAATCATAATTTTTCATGAACTAGTAAGATGATGATGATAGTTCACCTTTATTCCATGCTTTATATGCCACATATTTAAGCTCATTTAGTCCCTACCAAAACCCTAGGATGTACAGATTTTTTTTTTCAGATGTTTATTATCTTGAGCTGGTTATGTATTATACATCTCTTCCCAACTCAGCATTCAGTGACATCACATTGATAGCTTGAATTGCCCATGATGGGAATATTTACACCATGGGAAATGGCAAGTGCTGTAAATCAAGCCCCCTGTCTCTGATCCACAAGAACTGGTTCACAAAGACACCATTAGATAGTAACTTGTTTAAAGTCCCGACTAATAAGTGGTAGAGCCAGGATTTGAACCAAGGTGGTTGGTTCTAGAGATTATGCTCAAAACCAGTAGAATATAGTCAGCCCTCTCTATCCATTGGTTCCACATTCATGGATTCAACCAACTACAGATCAAAAATATTTGGGAAAAAAATTAAAAATAACAATACAACAATAAAAAATAGCACAAAAAAGTATTACAATAACTACATAGCATTTACATCATATTAGGTATTATAAGTAATATAGAAATCATTTAAAGCATGGAAGGATATGCAAAAGTTATATGCAACTATCATGCCATTTTATGTAAGGGACTTGAGTATACACAGATTTTGAAATCTGGGGGGCTCCAGGAACCAATACCCCACAGATACAGGGGACAACACTATACTCCTCTAAGCAAATAATACTAATGAAATGGTCCTCCAGACTTACTGGTCTTTTAACTTGTTAGTTTTAACTTAACTGTTATTGAGTATATGGTACCGTATTACAAATTTAATTTTGGTGGCATTATTCTCAAGTTTTTGAGGCCCTATCTTATTTAAAATACTATGATAAAATAAAGCCAGAGTTAATTTTCTTTGCGCTTATGAGGTACAAGTTTAGTACATAAAGTAAAACCATGAATATTTACATTGAAATATTGCCTAAATAAAGCTTATCAATAAGAGTACTTGCTTTAAGAAAAATTTTGTAATATTTTTGACATGCAAAGAGTCAGTTTTTATTTTTCTTTACTTTTTTTCCCCAGAGCTATATTTTCTTCAGATAATCTGAATCTAAGTTAAATGTTTTTGTTACAGTTGGTTTATTTATATAATACAGCATGCTAATCATATAAAGTTAAACTTTCTATGCATTATATCTATAGCACAGTATATAAATTAACATTTATGATTGTCCCAAAGAACTGTAAAATTATCTAATATGTATTGCATTCTCAGATTTTTTTAGTATGAAGTTAAGCATTTTTTTTGTAGTTTCCTGAAAATAAGTAATCTATTTGTAACATTTTTTTCCCTTTGACTTTACATTTGAGTAATTAGAATCCCTCATTGTTAGTAGCTTAGAGAGAACTTTTACTATTTGAAACTTTATATTTTTATGCATCTTAGTAAATTACTCAACTATAGTCAATGAAGTTCATGATGCTTTTTAAACTATAGAATCTTCTTTTATTCAGTGATTTCTCACCCTTTGGCTAAGCTGGAAAATTTAAGCTTAGAATACAAGACAGTGGGGAAAGCACATATTTCTTAGCCTAGGGATTTATGAAAAGAAGTGAAGACATGTTTACGCTTGTTTGATTTAATTGATATTAGTTACAGCTTAATTTGTATCAGGAGGCATTTAATGCAGCTTACAAAATATATACAAAAGGAAAAAAAGAGAGCTTAGGTTAAAGCTAGCAGAATAAGTATATTCATGAGATTCCTCTTATTTTCTAGAAACGAGCCACAAATTTGCCTCTGAGTTTTATGGCTGTCAGCCTAAAATAAAGCAATACAAAATAACTGTTCATAGGAAGCCACAACCATTTCTTGTACAGTTTGATTATCCCTTATCTGAAATGCTTGCAGCCAGAAATGTTTTAGATTTTGAATTTCCTCAGATTTCAGTATATTTACATTGTGCTTACCTGTTGAGTATCCCTAATCCAAATGTCTGGAATCTAAAGTGTTCGAATGAGCATTTTCTTTGAGTGTCTTGTTAGTGCTCAAAAACTTCGGGTTGGAGCCTTTGAGGTTTGGAATTTCTGGGTTAGGAATGCTCAAACTGTACTGAAATCCAGCTTAGATTCTGTGGTCTATTTAGTTACTCTTCCATGCCTGTTATTTTTCTATGTATCTACTAACCAAAACCCCAAACCTGAATACATCCAAGTTTTATCTGCTTTGCCCCTATTCTTTTGGGGAAGTCATGTAACCAGACACATTGATATTTAACTCATGGTTGCAAATCTTCACCTAGTTTCTCGACACTGCCCCACATCCCATCTCTCTCCTTTGTCTTCTCACTCCCCTGCTGTTGTCTTGAAATAGTTAATTATTTTAAACTATCTTCACTTCTCCTCACAATTTTGACTCCTTCGCCTGTTTCCATCTTTATTGTCAGCAGATTACCTCTCTTGCTTAACAGAAAAATCAGAAGCCTTCAACTGAGAAACCCCTGAATTTGCATATAAGAAATCTGTTAACTTCTTATGTTCCTGCCCCTGCTTAGCTTGCTTTCCAGTTAGCATTAAGAGATGCCTGTCTTTCTGTATGAGGCTTGACCTTCTGCCTGTGTTTGATTCTTTGATTTCATTTTAATAAGGAAACTTTTAAAACAATTGTCTGTACTATCTATTTCCATTTTCTAAACCCTTTTTAACACTTCACTCAGCTAAGGAAGATGGGGAAGGTGTGTTGGGGGACAGTACAAATCGTCAGGCCCTGGGATCAGAAGTGCAGCTGGGAAAGTCCCACTTAAAGATGTAACCATTTCACCCTTGCTATCTGTGGCCCTGCCACTTCCTTCCCTCAAACTGCTCTTCTTAGGGCTGTCAGTAAGCTTGTCTAAATGAGATGTACTTTCCATTTCTCATCTAGCTTGACCTGTTAGTAGTCTAAGACTCCTGACAGTGCCTTCATTATTAAAACACTCTTTCCTTAGTTTCTTTGATACCACTGTCTTAACTTTTTTTTTCCACTTGCCTAGCTTATGCTTAACTTCTTCCTTTCACCCCTTATATCTGTGTTTTTGAAGATCCTAGCTTAAGTTTTCTAGTCCTACTCTGAAAACTTTTTTACAGCAAATCCAGTTACTCTGATGGTTGCTAATATGTGTATTTGGGTCAAGACCCTCCGCCTGCCCTCATCCTACTCCCCAGCACTTGTCTTTAGCTCAGCCCTCTTTCCATAGCTTCAGACCCCTTCACTGACATCCATGAACTTTTTTGGATATCTAAGAGGCACCTCGAATTCAGCATGTCTTAAACAGAAGGTAGCATCTAATTCACAAAGCACCCGCCCCCGCCCCCATATTTTTTTCATCTCTTTACATGGTGTTTCCATTTGTTGATACATAGCAAACTTAGGAGTTTTCGGTAAATATATCTTGTTTCTTTTAAGAGAAGTAACAGAAAACAGTTACAGAATTTAAAGACCCAGCTTTAAGATGCCTAACTTATTTACGATTTTACTGAGTGATGGGTACTCATTTAATGGCACCCCCTTGTGCAAGTTCCAAGTTCCTCCCCTCTCACACTTACCATACCCCCAGTATGCTCTGCTTCTGTTATCTCCTCCCCCAACCACCCTCAGCACTTGGATTTAGAATACTTTCCCTTTAAAGCTTATGTTATAATTATGGGTAGATTTCATTGAAATTGTATTATATTTCCGTATCACTTTTGGTTACAGCAGCCTTTGTAAACTTGCTGGGACATTAAATAACACCTGCTGTGTTTGCTCCAAATCCTAAAGAACTGATTTACAAATGAACTTTGGAATAAAACTCATTTAGAAAATGTACACTGCTTAGACATTCTGAGGAGCTGTACATAGAATGCTAAAGTTGGCCGGGCACTGTGGCTCATGCCTGTAATCCCAGCACTTTGGGAGGCTGAGGCAGGCAGATCATGAGGTCAGGAGTTTGAGACCAGCCTGGCCAACATGGTAAAATCCCGTCTCTACTAAAAATACAAAAATTAGCCAGGCGTGGGGCGCATGCATGTAATCCCAGCTACTCAGGAGGCTGAGGCAGGAGAATCACTTGAACCCGGGAGGCATAAGTTGCAGTGAGCCGAGATTGTGCCACTGCACTGCAGCCTGGGCGACAGAGCGAGACTCCATCTCAAAAAAAAAAAAAAAAAAAGAAAGAAAAAAAAAGTACAGAGGGACCACAGCTTCCTATAGGACAATGAGAAACTGAAGCTTCCCTAAATCACACATCACTAGTGAATAGCTAAGCTAAGACTAGAAACCTGACTTTCAATTTGATCAGTGTGATGATTTTTCTAGTATCCCTTTGACTAACATTTTTAAATAATCATCATGTTTTCCTCTGATTTTGTTTTTTCCTAAGTACAGGCAATTACTTGTTCACAATCTCTTGTTAATTCTTTGGAAGTTTATTGGCATTTCATTTTTTTAAGTGGTCTGTAATACTTTTAATTTTGTCTTCACCAGGTAGTTCATTGCAAATAGTAGTGCTTCTCACTAAGTGGGCTTAGAAATACCTATGGACATTTATAGTCATGCAAAGGTATAATACTACATTAATTATACCAACAAAGTTTAGCCAGCTGTTACCTCTATTGTAGACATTTTTTATTCCTTGAAGAAAGCTTTTTGGTACAAAGAGACAGGTTTGGCTTGTATCAAGTGAACCAAAAGGAATGTGTGTTTTCCTAATACCATGTCATGGTTACCTGTAGACTTTGGTCCTCCACTACCAGGAGAAGCAGCAAAGGAAAGAATAAACAATAACTGTGTGTAAACTATTTAAAAATGTATAACCCTTTACCTACCATCTTTGAGAAGCACCCTGTTTGAAGCATTTCTAAGCCAAATATTTATTGGATTTATTTCTTTTTTTTGTATAAAATATTGATAACTGTAATGTTTTATTTTTATTCACAGATTATTATAAGTATAGGCCTCATGTTTTATGTAGTTCATCGAGCTCAAGTGGAATTGAATGCAGCTATTGTAGCTTGTGAAATGGAACTGAAATCTTCTCTGGTTAAAGGCAATCAACCAAATACCAGTGGCTCTTCATTCTACAACAAGAGGACCCTAACATTTTCTGGAGGTGGAATCAATGTTGTATGATTCTAATGAGATACGTGATTGTCAAGAGCCTAGTGTGCTATCTAAGGTCTAGCAGTCACTTCACTAGTGGGCAGAGACAAGTTCTAATTGTATTACAGCACAAACAAAACTGACTAGTTTTTAAATTGCACAATTTTTTTTTTTTAAAGCAAGAATCATTTTCTGGGTATGTAAGTGTAAATGTAGATGCAAATTTGGCTGCACCTCTTTATCATGCCTGTATTGGCCTATAGGTCTGCACTTTAGTGTTTTTTAATTGTTTTATTTCTGTGTATTTACGAACAGAGAAATAACCCAAATATTATTTCTGCTTAGTGTCTTTATTTATAAAGCCCATGAGTAGTTTGTATGCATCTTTCCTACTTGTAAAGATGAGTAAAAGTATGCAGTTTTAAATTTATAATATTATTGGATGTTCTTTGCTTTGGTAGTCTTTCCAGAAAGGATAAACAGTGGTTTTTGTTTTGTTTTGTTTTATTGTTTAAGTGGGACCACTTAGCTTCCCGTTTCCTTACTAGTTAAAGAACAGACATTAATTTTCAGTTGAATGTATTTTTGCAGGCATCATATTGTTACAGGGCCATTTACACCTATTCACAAAGCTTAAATCCTACCTTGTGGGACTGAAGTGCTCTTAATATAACTGTTTATTTTCACTGTGTAATATGCAAAGCAAAAGGGAAATTATTTGGTGGATGGTAGCTCAAAATTGGAACTCTTGTTCTAATTCAGTTACATTGGCTTTACCCTCCTTAGATTTTTCATCAAAGGGCTGTCCCATTGCAATCTTACTAAAACATTTTGTTAAAATAAACTCTTTTCCTTTTTATATTAATAATTAGGCTTTTAAATAAAGATGTTATTCCTTTAAAATGGTGGGCTTACCATCATTGAAGATGTCACTCAGGTGGCCTTGTTTGATCAAAACGCCTTTTTTAAAAACCAAGCTTTAAAAACATGTTTATAATTTCATGAAGTACATATATATTGTTCCCATAGTCTTCAGCTTTAAAACTATAAATATGCCCAAATTTTGTTATTTGCCCTACTTTAAGTAGGTTTATTGTGTTTGTTTTTTCAGTACTTGTTTTTCTCTGATAAGACTCAGGAATTCTGAAATGTGAAATTGTCTCAATTCTTTCTCTTGTAGCATGAATCAAATGTATTTATTAATAGCACTTATGACTATAGAATATAATTTGGCATATGATTCATATTACATATGTATTCGTTTTATTTTTAAAATAGTTTATAAACTTAATGATTTTTTTTTACAAATGAGGTTATAGATATTAATGCAAATTTTCTGGTAGGTATCTCTTTTTTTGCTATGATGATTCCAACTTATCAGAGACCTCCCATTTGCCTTTTCATTACGGTGAAAGCTTTGCCCTCATCTACTAAAGTACAAAGGAATTCTTTGGAAGCAGATTATTCTAGTCTTATGCTAGAGATGAATTTGATCATTTTAATGTGTGATCTTTTTGCTCTATCAGGTATAATTGTTTTCCTTTCCTTTATAATGGGTAAGTTTTCTCACCTTTGAGTAACAGTAAAGTTCATTTATATGTCCATACCTAGAAGACCAGTGCAAATACTTTGAGAGCACCTGGGTCTACAGGACATAATTGGCATCTAAATCCTCATTTCTTGCTATTAGTAGGAAAACAGATATAGTATTGTAATACCCTTATTCTTTTTGAATCCTAATTACTCATTTCGGTTTTTTTTCTCTCTTTTGAATCTAGTTGCTGGTTTTCGTTTAATGATTTTAGTTTAACAATCCCAACCAACAATACATTTGATTTATTTTTTTCTGTCTAACCTGACAACCTTTTTCTTGTGCTTCTTGTTTGTTGGTTAGTTTTTGTGAAAGGAATCATTGTTTAAGATCACTGTTTTCATACTTGTTTTACACTTCACGTATTTTGAAGTACATTTATTTACTAAGCATTTGTGACTTGAATAATTTCACCAAATGAATACATTTTGGTAGTTTGTAATGAGTTCTTCTAATTGTTACACTTTGCTTGGTACTTAACAATAAATATGTAAAGGTAAAAGAAATAATTTTCTGTATTCTGCCAATCTTAATTTTATATAATAAATCATCCATTTTTTTCTTAAAATAGTATGGATTGACTGTTTCTAAAATACCAATCTGTGGCTGTGGTTTTTCTTTTCTTCAGCATTTCCAGCATCCAAGTAAACAATAGTCCCTTATAGTCCTGCTACTTGATGGGTAAATTTGGTTGCTGGGTTTTTAAGTTGCACTCACAATAAATCGTGCAAAGCATTGTCATGCCTTATTTACTCCATTTTTAATCCTGCATCCCAGATTTATGGCAGCAACACATATCTACAGGATACTTTTATGTTGTCCAAATATTGCTGTCAGTCATATGTACTTATAAAATGTCTCCACTCATGTATATTTATAGAAATGAAATGTCAAATTTCTCAGACTGTTAAAGTGCAGTATAAAGTTGCTTAATGCACACTTAAAAATGATATATAATTTCTGAATCCTATGAAATATGTGTTCTTTTTTAATTCTTTGGGAGTTTTCTTAAGTTTTACATGTTTTTTGGTTTATTGTTAATGATTTTGTTTACTCTTTGCCAAATTTTGTCATGTAGGTTATTTTACAATAGCACCTTTAAAAAAAATGTATATGCTAATTTACTAAGCATATTCATGTCCATTTTTATTTGATCATCTGATTTGTGAAATAACTTGAAATTTGTACTGTTTGGTTTGTGAAAATAATATTACCAAATCTCTGTCATTAGAATGTGTACTTTATGTTCAGAAGTGACTGTGGGTTTATTCAGAGCCAGCCATTCTCTCCCTTGATGCACTTTGTAACCAGCTACACATGCTTTTAGGTGGCTTTTCCCTGATAGGGTCAAGTATATGACTATAAAACATTTTTCTTGTGAAGCTATTAAGTTCATTAGTTACTCTTATTTCCCCTTGTTGTAACTAAGTGGTGCAGGTATAAGCATATCCCCAGCATTCCTGTGTGTGTGAATGTGCACTGCTGATTTGGACTGTTCTTGAGAAAGGTGCTGTGACATATGTCAATATTTGTTAGCTCTGGGGATATCTTTAGAATGCTTGAGAAAGTTGCTAGGTGTGTGCCACATTGGTGCAGGTAAATCCATGCTGTTCACAGCCAAGCAGCATTTGCAGAGAAAAGGAGAGTTTTACATAGACCCCAGGAAAAACAGTACTAACCTGGTTGATGGCCTTGGTGGTGGAATTTTGTTTCAGCCAGAGGCTACTCATTATATCAGAATGATGTTCAGTATAACACTATCTGATTTTTAGATTGGTCGATTTCTGTTGTAATCAAGTATTTAGGATGTAATCTTTTTAAAGTCATTGCTTTAATCTGAAAAGCCATTAGAAGGGAGAGGAATCACTGTTCCACAGGATATTTAAAACTCAGGAGTTCAAATAACCTCACATATTGAACATAAACTGTTAACTTATTCCACAACTAAATTCTAACCTGATACTTATGAATTGCAAAGTGATTGCTGCAAACTTTTTCTAAGGTGGCTGAAGATTTAAAATAGATCATTCTAAAGGGAAATCAGTAAAATGTCTTGATAATTGGTATCCAAATCACTTGTGTGCCTGAGAAAATAAAAGGTAATATTTTACTTTCTTCTCGCTTTTCTTTCTTTGTCTTTATACTTTAATGCATGTAGAGAAAAGACCCTACATGTCATGTAGGGTGGATTCAGGGGATATCCTGAATCCCCTGAATCACTCCTTGATTGAGGGGATAGGGAGGATGTACTCCTAAAAATGAGAATGTTGATAATTGACCCTCCATGGGGTGCTTATGGTTCTTGAAGAAGCTTTAAGGAGAAGTTATTCTGACGTCTTAAATTGGCACTCACTCCAGTTTTTTTCTATATCTTTAAGTCATGAAATGCCAACTGCCAAACAGTTGTTAGTCATTTGTCCCAGCCAGTGGCAATATTTATGATGCTTTTCATAATGTCAAAGGACTTTAACTAATCTAATTTTCTGTTGATCTCTACCCTATTTCCATGACTGTTTCCTAAAAGGCACATTCCATTTGCCATAACATTTTCATCTTAGCACCAAGAACAATATTTGTCCTTGTTTATTTGTAGAAGCTCCAATACTGTTGTACACCTTTTGTTACCCATTTTGGACCACAATTATTTGCTAGTTTATAAAATGGGCCACAAGACATAGCCACATGTTGCAGACTACTTTCACCAAGGTGGTGTAGAGGAGCATTCATCAGATAAGCATTTTGACATTGTGGTATGCTTGTTATCCAAGGTTGTACGATACTGTCTGCCATGCTTGCTCTTCTTGGTTGACAGTGCCTATTAGCATCCTGAGTGTGGGGAAAGTGTATATTAGTGGTATACTGTATTTTAAGTTAAATATTTAACATTTGTAGGGGTAGCATTACATGCATGGTGATATTAAACAAGATATGTGTATATAGTAAATTTACATTTAAGCACTCTGCCAAGTTGATTATCCAAATTACTAACTGATATCACTGTCTTAAAAGTGACTTAGTGTTCTATAAGGTAGCCTGCTGGATGAAAGACTTGAAAATCTTAAAATATGCAGTGAAGTTCAGTAAGGAAGAGTGATTAGAATATGTATTGGACAAAAAATAATAATTCCAAAATTACAAAAATTTTAGAGTGCAATTTGGGTGGTATGCTTCAATGTAAGTACATTTATCCTAGGAGACATAAAATTCATGACCACCACAAAGTAGGAGAAGCCAAGAGGGAACTCTTTGGTTCTGTCTTTGTTGATTATCAAGCCATTTTCAGTAAAGTGATTTGAAACATGGCCTGTTTCATACTCTAACTCTTACAGTCCTGTCCTAAGTTGACCTTGGCAGGCAAGGCAGGAACTGAGTTATTTTCCACTAGTTTTTGTTTTTCAGCTAATTACTCTGATTTTTGAGTAAATTAGCTGGTTTTGTATCATCACATTTCTACTTTAAATATACAATAGAACAGCTTTGTTTGGAATGAGCATTTCAAGTAGGTTTCATAGCAGAGCATTAAATTATTAGATGGACTTGGAATAGGTTCTGGGAACATAGAACCTGGGCTTTTCCTTCCCTCCCTTGCTGCCGAGTGCATATAAGGCCTTGCTCTCTGGTGGGGGTCTTGGCAGAGAAAACCAGGACAGGATTTTTTCATACACGGGGCAGCAAGTGTCAGGGGAAAAGACTGGAGAGCAGATCTTGAAGATCTCTTTCGCTTTCAAATTTGAGCTTCTGAAGAGAAGTTTGATATTGGCCCCACCAAAATATGTCACTTCTCCCTTCCTGACCCCCAACAAATGGCTGAGAAGGAGGGAGTGTTCCCTGCTGCGTGAGAAGAGAATTCAGGAAGACCAGAGACAGAGAAGCTTCCTCCAAGGAACTCAGCCTGCCTGCTTCATGTTCCACCACTGGCATTTGTGATGTCTTATATTAATTGCAGCTTTGTTCTTAGAGTCAAACAACTGGAAACAAAGTGAACTTTGTTTTCAGCCACTCCCTTATGAATAAATTGTGATAGATCCACACAAGGAAGATTGAGTAGCCATCAGAAAGGAGGAACTAGATGTATTCCAGTGAGAGACGTTACCAGGAGGTATTGTTTTGTGAAAGAAGATGCATAAAGTTGTAAAAATATTGCATTTTTAAGAAAATGCCCTTTCTTCCTTGGTATATGTATGTATATGTGGGTTTGTATGCATGTGAATATCTGCATCTCCTCATATAGGATTAAATTAGTATGGATAAAAATATGGAAGGGAAACTACTTTAAGATGGATTACTCTGATGGGGGTGGAAAGCTGGGTTCAGGGGTTTGATGGGGATAGAATGAAGAGGAGGGAGGAAGAAGATAATAAAGCCAAAAAGGAAGGGAAAAAAGCAATTATTTTTAAGGGCAAAATGGGCCTGTATTTCTTTCATTGACATGTTAGAAGTCATTCTCTTCTTAAAACATCCCAGTTGATAGTTGTTCTGCGCAAGGACTTGAGGTGATGTAGTAGAGAATTGAAGAATGTCCTTTCTTAAGGCCAGCTACTAGTATTCAAACACCAGGGCCATTGCTTCTTGGATACATGATCTTGAGAAGTTAAGAAGTTACTGCTGTGTTTCAGTTTCCTCACTTGGATGATGATAGCCTAGCTTAGCTCATTGGGTTGATTGTGAAAATTAAAGAGTTTAATACAGTTATGTGTTGAGAGTAACACTTGGTAGGTAGTAAGTACACAATAAGCATTAGCTATTATTACCTGGCACCAACTTGTTCTTAGGCATTGAGAAGCTCTTTCAGTATTTGAGTATTTGGCAGACTACATTGAGTTGGTCATTTATGGGCTAGAGTAGAACAGAGTATTAAAAGTTACCTAGCTCCTGTCTTTACAGAGCACACAATGAAGGTAGAGAGACAACAAATACAACAAAAATGACAACCATACAATACTTACAGGGTAAAATATCAATGTAAAAATTACTATAGCACAAACTGAGTGGTGAAAGGAGTACTTAAAGAAATCATTGCATGTGGGGATGGTTGGGGAAATTTTCTAAAAAAGATATGTTTTTTACCTTGTTTTTGGTTTTTGCAGGAAGAAACTATAAAGTTCATGGTACTCAAGGGGGTCTCTGACCAAAAAAGGATTAAGAAGAATTGAGGCAAAAGGTAAAAGTCATGCAAATAGGAACTTTTTTCAGGGTAGTGTAAACAAATGAGTTTTCAGTCTAGTGAGTTTTTTTCCTCAGTTGACTACTACCTCCACCAGCAGCTTTAAAAAATTATTCAGCTAACACATAACTTAGACTCATTTGATTCATATCTTTTGAGTTATCCAAGTTCTTTCCTTCATAAACAGTTAAGGTTAAGTTTATTGAATTCTTGTGATTTTTTTACGTCAATTTTTCTGTTATCCATATAATCTCTTATATCATTAGTGAGAAAGTAAGATTTAAATTTTCTGAATTTCTGTGTAGTCATTTTTTGAGCAAATAGAGAAAATAGGCTAGATATCAAGCATTTGTTAGGCTTTGGGGTTACAGAGATAGAAATAACACTAGAGGGACTCTCAGTGGGGAAGGTAGAAAAGTGAAGACACAATTACAATAAAATGTGGCCAACCAGGTCTATAATAAAGGTTTCTACTGTAAAAGCAGAAAGATAAGGTAGAAATAGAAGCTGTGGTGTAACTGTTCAGTGTATTTTTCTTGCCCACTGCCCAGATAGAGCTGATTATTAAGACAGGAGAATTAAAGAGTTCAATACACATAGAGCTGGCTAAATGGGAGACTGGAGTTTTATTACTCAAATTAGCCTCCCTGAAAATTTGGACACTAGGGTTTTTAAAAGGTAGTTTGGCAGGCAGGGGCTAGGAAGTGAGTGCTGCTGACTGGTTGGGGATGCTATCATAGGGGTGTAGAAAATGGCCCTGTGCACTGAGTCCACTTTCGGGTAGGGGCCAGAGAACGAGTTAAGAGTCAGGCTCAGGTGGGGCCATCCTGTTGTCAGAAGTGCGGAAGCCTAAAAAGACACCTCAAAAGGCCAGTCTTCAGTTTATAATAGTGATGTTATTTACAGAAGTAACTGAGGAAGTTGTGAATCTTGTCACCTCCAGAATAATGGTGGACAATTGTTTATGCCTGTGTTTTAGCAGAATTTAGGCCCCTAACTTGGTGGACATTTATTAGTTTTATAAAGGTGGTTTAGTTTTGGGAAGGGCTATTATTATTTGAACTATAAGCTATATTTTTTTCCAAAGTTAGCCTTGGCCCATACCAGGAATGACCAAGGGCAATTTGGAGGTTAAAGGCAAGTTGGAGTTGGTTAGATTGGACCTCTTTTACTGTTATAAAAGTTGACACAAGTTGTTCTAATTTTTGCAAAGATAGTTTCAATCCTCCCTTTTGGGTTTTACCACACTTTATTCTTAAGGTGTGAGCTTTGGAGATTGTATTAGTCACTTCTCATGCTAATAAAGATATACCCAAGACTGGATAGTTTATAAAGGAAAGAGGTTTAACTGACTCTCAGTTCCACATGGCTGGGGAGGCCTCAAAATAGTGGTGGAAGGCAAATAAGAAGCAAAGTTATGTCTTACATAGTGGCAGGCAAGAGAGTGTGTGCAGGGGAGCTCCCTTTTATAAAACCATCAAATCTTGTGAGACTTATTTACTATCACGAGTACAGCACAGGAAAGACCCGCCCCCATGATTCAATTACCCCCATCCCACAACACGTGGGAATTACGGGAGCTACAATTCAAGATGAGATTTGGGTGGAGACATAGCCAAACCATATAATTCCACCTCTGGCCACTCCCAAATCTCACATCCTCACATAAAAACCAATCATGCCTTCCCAGCAGTCCCTCAAAGTCTTAACTCATTTCAGCATTAATTCAAAAGCCCACAGTCCAAAATCTCATCTGAGACAAGTCCCTTCTGGCTATGAGCCTGTAAAATCAAAAGCAAGTTAGTTACATCCTAAATACTATGGGGTACAGGCATTGGATAAATACATCCATTCCAAATGGGAGAAATTGGCCAGAACGAAGGGTCTACAGGCCCCATACAAGTTCAAAATTCAGTGGGCCAGTCAAATCTTAAAGCTCCCAAATGATTTCCTTTGACTCCATGTCTTACATCCAGGTCATACTGATGCAAGTGGGTTCCTGTGGTCTTGGGAAGCTCCACCCCCATGGCTTTGCAGGGTACAGCCCCACCTCCTGGCTGTTTTCACAGGCTGGCATTGAGTATCTGTGGATTTTCCAGACACACGGTACAAGCTTTCAGTGGATCTACCCTTCTGGGGTCTGGAAGACAATGGCCCTCTCCTCACAGCTCCACTAGGCAGTGCCCCAGTGGGGACTCTCTGTGGCAGTTTCCACCCCACATTTCCCTTCTGCAGTCCCCTAGCAGAGTTCTCCCTCAGGGCTCCACCCCTGCAGTGCACCTCTGCCTGGACATCCAGGCATTTCCATACATCCTCTGAAATCTTAAGTGGAGATTCCCAAACCTCAGTTCTTGACTTTTGTGCATCTTCATGCTCAACACCATGTGGAAGCTGCCAAGACTTGGGGCTTTCACCCTCTGAAGCCACAGCCAGAGCTGTATGTTGCCCTCTTTTAGCCACAGCTGGGATGCAGGGCACTAAGTGCTGAGACTGCACAAAGCAGCAAGGTCCTGGGTCCAGCCCACAAAACCATTTTTTTCCTCCTAGGCCTCCAGGCCTGTGATGGGAGGGGCTGCTGTGAAGACCTCTGACGTGCCCTGGAGACATTTTCCCCATTGTCTTGGCAATTAACATTTAGCTTCTTGGTACTTATGCACATTTCTTCAACTGGCTTGAATTTTTTAAAAGAGAATGGGTTTTTATTTCTATTGCATCATCAGGATGCACATTTTTCAGACTTTTATGCTCTGCTTCTCTTTTAAGCATAAGTTCCAGTTCCAAACCAGATCTTTGTGAATACAAAAAACTGAATGTCTTTAATAGCATCCAAGTCACCTCTTGAATGCTTTGCTGCTTAGAAATTTCTTCTGTCAGATGCCCTAAATCATCTCTCTCAAGCTCAAAGCTCCACAAATCTCTAGGGCAGGGGCAAAATGCCACCAGTCTCTTTGCTAAAACATAGCAAGAGTCACCTTTGTTCCAGTTCCCAACAAGTTCCTCATCTCCATCTGACACCGCCTCACCCCGGACCTTATTGTCCATATCACTATCAGCATTTTGGTCAAAGCCATTCGGCAAGTCTCTAGGAAGTTCCAAACTTTCCCACATCTTCCTGTCTTCTTCTGAGCCTTCTAAATTGTTTCAAGCTCTGCCTGTTAGTTCCAAAGTTGCTTCCACATTTTTGGGTATCTTGACGTCAGTGCGCCACTCTCGGTACCAATTTACTTTATTAGTCTGTTTTCACACTGCTAATAAAAACATACCTGAAACTGGGTAATTTATAAAAGAGATTTAATTGACTCTCAGTTCCACATGACTGAAGAGACCTCAAAATCATGGTGGTAGGCAAATGAGGAGCAGTCATGTCTTACATGGTGGCAGGCAAGAAAGCGTGTGCAGGGGGACTCCCCTTTATAAAACCATCAGATTTTGTGAGACTTATTCACTATCAGGAGTACAGCGTGGGAAAGACCTGCCCCCATGATTCAGTTACCTCCCGCGAGGTCCCTCCCACGACATGTGGGAATTATGGGAGCTACAATTCAAGATGAGATTTGGGTGAGGACACAGCCAAACCAGTCAGAGATGGAAAAAAGTCAGTGACTGCTCCAACTTCCTGCTGACAGGGGGCTTAGTGGAGATTGGGGTTAGTCCCAGGGTAAGAGAAATAAAACTGCTTTGCAGCTGTCTGCATGCCTAATATAACAAGCAAAAGTTCTGGCTGCAGGAGTTCTTGTAGAATTCATCTGAGGCCCTGAGAGATTCTGGTGAATAGCCCTGAGAGCCAGTCAGAGATGAGTTTGCTAGTAGAGAGAGATTTGGGTCAGAGGTTGTTAGAAAGACAAATTGGGATAAACAGGAAAGAGTACATTTAAATATACCATATCTTTTATAGTCAGTTTTAGTTCTGTGACTAGATCAGTTAAACAACTGTGTCTCATTTCAGGAGGTTAGGCCTCTATATATGATGGGCTAGGCCTCTATATATGATGAAGGCAAAAGTTTTTAATAAAAGGCATTTTTATAGAAATAAAAGCCAAGGTTAATGTTGGGTACAATTTATCCAGATATTAGACTCAAAGCATTTTTAGTTACAGAGGAAAAAGGTGGTGGCAGTCTGATCTGACATGATTTTCTTGCCTGTATTACAAGGAATAAGTTCTAGCTTTCAAGGTCTTCGGGAAAAGGTAGTCGCAATGTCATTGTCAGAAAAATGGAAGAAAAATTTGAAAACGTTAAGTTTAGGGACCTGTAGCCTGGAAAGAATTCAAGATTCAGTCCAAATTGCAGAAAATAATAAAAACCCCAAAACAGTGGACAAGACTAGAACCTAAAAACAGATGTATTATAGTTTTTTTATTTGAAACATAATGTTTTTCTCTCTCCAGTTTCTATTTTATTAACGACAAATCATAGTAGGACAAATTTATTTGCAAAATGAGTCTAGTTTTTTAATACTTGGCTTGATTATTTGCATTAAGTGCAGCAAGAACAATTATTTGCCATACAGGCTTTCTAAACATTGGCTTTGCTGGAACTTTTTAAAATAAGGAATTGCAGATTTGAATTTTTAAAGCCTTGAGCCAGCCATGGATTTATCTGTGCCTGCAAATAGTTGTATGAATTGGATAATTTTTCTTTTCTCCAGGTCCCAAGATAACTTGAGGCTCCCAGGCCTATCAGAAAGTGATTTTCTTTTTTTAAATCATAGGTCGGAACCCTGTATAGGGACTAGATAGACAAGGTATGAAGTTGATTTTTTCAAGGGGCTTTTATCAACTCTGTAAGTCAATTTGATTCCTTAAAGCAGTCTCTTTATATTTGAAAGCATGCCATTCTAGTCAAAGCCTTGGTAAAATAACCAGTGGTATCTTGTCATAAAAGAAAACAGATTTTTATTGAACTTATGCATGTAACTATACTGTTATAAATTAAGTATATGCTTACAAATAGTTTTTAAATTCTGGAGAAATAAGATAGAAAGAAATGTGTTTTAACTTTTACTTCCATGAGTATACTCTGTAAATAGCTTAAAAGAAAAAAGCTTTCTAGACTCTGCAAAACAAAAGAATTAGCAATATTTTAAACAAAATGTCATAAATATTATTTCAGTCTTCTTTTTTTTTTTTTAAGAGACAGAGTCTCCCAAAGTTGCCCAGGCTGGTCTCAAACTCTCGGGCTCAAGCAGTCCTCCTGCCTCAGTCTCTCAAAGTGCTGTGATTACAGATGTGAGCCACTGCACCTGATGTTGGTCTTTTATTAATTCAGTCCATGCAATTCCTGTTTTGCCCAGTATTGGACCAGCAGTCCTCATGAACACACTAGCTCTCTATGACAGTCCTGGAAGTTAATTTTTTTTTCTTTTTCATTTTAATGGCACAGTCTCTACAATTATCAGACACCTGCATCCAAGAGCACCCATTAGCATCTTATAGCTGCTTATAAACCGCCTTTTGAAAAGGATCAAAACAAGACAGTTATCTGTGGAAGACAAAAGTCAGGACAGCCACAGTTAAAGATGCAACTGAAAAGGAAACCTGGTCATTTTTATGGCACATAACCATATAGTAATTATTATTATTTATAACATATACTCAGTCATATCAGAATTATAGGAAAAGTATATAATGTTGGAACACATATTAATAACACATTTATTGACTGCAGCCAAAAAAAAGTTGAATACCATTTTATATTTGACAATGCTCTCTGTATGATTTTAGTATACCAAATAAGTCAAATACGTCTCTTTTGGACTTCAGGGGACCTAATACTTAAAAGTTAATGAGGTCAAAAATATACTTAAGTCAGAATTTGATTTTGGAATGTTTGTCAAATATCTAACGTTTAACACTTGATATCACAAAATAGAATTCTAGGTCATTGTAAGTCATTTATTTAGCCAAAATAATAATTTAAAATTTCAAAAAGGCAAAAATCTTTACTTGTTAATAGAGAGGAGTCTCAACTTGTTAAGACCAATACAGATAGCATGAAGCCAACTGAAACTGTCTTTTCTCTCTCCCCTGTATTTAAATGACAAATAAATTTTTTTTATTTCTCAATGTTATGAAAATCTTATTTAAAAGAGAAAGCCAAATTTTAATTTTGCATTAGTGTATTCTTAATGTTATACTCAATTTTTAATATTTTGTAAATAAATCTGTCCAATTTTAATTAGTTTGACTATGAGGTATAATTTTTATGTCTATTTTTATAATCCTTTCTAATTTTTTATTAAAGGGAATATCAGTGTTCTAAGGAAACTCTGTTATTTAGACAGATGGACCTAGATTCTGGCCCTGCATCAGTGTACTCTTATTTTAATATTTTAATTTATGGAAGAACTAAGTAATATCCTTTTAATTTTGGCCAACTTGCTTATATACAGAATTTTGTTAAAGCCAATTAATTACAGTTCTTTTATGTATTTTGGTAACAAAATATGTTCCCAGCATATATAAATAGACAGAAGCAGATCTGGTGGGGGGATAAGATGATGATGATGATGATTGTTATTATTATTATTATTAATTAAGACAGTGTCTCTGTTGTCCAGGCTAGAGTGCACTAACATAATCATGGCTCACTGCAGCCTTGACCTTCTGAGCTCAAGCAATCCTCCCACCTCAGCCTCCCAAGTAGCTGGGACTACAGGTGCACACCACCCTGCCTGGCTAACTGTGATAAGATTCTTTGTCAGTTTTTAAGTTTTCCTTTTTGACCTCAGACCATTAGTCTCTTGATTATCTGTTCTCTGATCTAAATAATTGTCAGCCAGGCAATTCTAAATTTGTGTTTTTAAATGGATAATTTTTAGGTGAAACAAAATAAAGAACTTATATTTTATTTAAACCAAGGGAAAATGGTGTGGATAAAAGTTTAGTCAAGATGACCAGGAAAAACAGACACGCTTACACGGGGAGATTTTTTTTTTTTTTTTTTTTTGAGACGGAGTCTTGCTCTGTTGCCCAGGCTGGAGTGCAATGGCGTGATCTCAGCTCACTGCAACCTCCACCTTACACAGAGAGACTTTTTAAAGATCTGTTTCTTGATTGGATTATTGGCTTCAGGTTGGAGTCTTTTAGGGAACAGGGTCAGGAAAGCATGCAGTTTTTAGGGTCCAATAAGCAGGCACAGCTGGAAGGCAAAACAGATCCCCAAGATCAAGGATCTCATTTTTACACCAAATCCTGGGGTCTCCAAAAGAGGGAAATACTATAAGACAAGACAGTGCAATCATTCCACAGTGTATCTCATTGAAAGGACATTTCTCCTAGGCCGCTTGGCAACCCAATGCCAATCAGCCTACGCTATAATCACCCCATCTTCCATTCTGTACCTTCTAGGTGTTTACAAGCATGCTTTCCTTATTTCAACATAGAAAGAAAGACGTACAACCCTGTGGTGATCATCGTTCACTGTAAGCAACTGACATCAGCCATTTAAAAAAGTATATCTCTTATCTAGCTATTATACATTAAGGTTAAATTTTCTCATAATGCAAATTAATCCTGGTGCCCCCAAAAGTCAGAGATTAGATACAGTGGAAGGAGGGACAAACAGGAGTAAATGAGAAACAGAATTCAGTTGACTGAGTAGTTTTTACAGAGGGAGAGCAAGAGCCTTAAAACAATATCTGTACCCATATAGTCCAAATTAAATCAATTTTAACTACAGAACTTTCAAAAAAAATCCTTTAAAAAAATTTCTTATTACCAGATTTCAGCAGGAACAAACAGTGGATATTTTCAGCTTTTGAATTTTTTACCAAAGGTAACCTCCCACATAAAATTAATAATCCTTAACTCAGGCTATGACTTAACCACAGACACATGAGGTGTCTCCAAAGAGATGGCAAGTGAGCTTTACAAGATCTAAAATCACCCTAAAGGTAGCTCAGGGAAAGAAAAATTTAAGACAGGATATCAGAAGCTGTACATGGAGGAAAAAATAATAAATGGCAAAAGTCCCACAATTTTTAAACCAGAAAGGACTTGTTCCCTAATCTGGGAATTGAGCCCAGGCCACCATTGTGAAAGGGCAGTGCCTTAGCTACTGAACTACAGCATGGGACAATTGTCATTGCTCTCCCAGAAGGAGTCTAGAGTGGTCATTTTTAAGCTTGTAAAGGATTTTAACTGCTCAAGAGAATTCTTAAGGCTAGCCATGACATGAACCTGAAAATTCTTTCCCGCCAAATGGCAGAGACCAAGAGAGAGTGCCTCCATGTAGTCACAAAGTCAAGTTTTTAAGGTCATAAGACAAGAGGGAAACCTCATGATTTTGTTTCAGGGATGTGCAGCAAAGTTTGTATCCGATCAGTCTTCAGGGTGGGCTCGAACAATGGGTTTATAGGGGTCTTAGGCCTACATTCTATTCTGTGGTACCCCTCTCCACAATAGAACAACACAGAAAGACAAATTTTGGTACAAAATACACCAGATTTGCTACAGCCTAAGTCTAGTCTCACAAATCTTTTTTCCTATTAATCAAAACCTTGCAGAGGAGACTTCTTTGTTACCATTCATTCAACCAACTGGTTTGCTCAGATAGAGGCCAGAAGCCTGCCTGGTAAGAAATACTTACCCTTTTGCCAGTTTGACAGGTTTCCAGGTTCCCTTTCTCTGAGTGACTTTGGTGACTATGTTTGCTGTGCCATAGATAGAGGGGCCAAGCTGCATTACAAAAGGAAGTCATCCTTCTCCACTTCATGGAACCATAGGCAAAAGCCTCTCAATTTTCATGGGGGAGCTGAATTAACATATCTTATTCTGACTGGAACAAAATACACATAACAAAACACACACCAGTCACCCCACTCAGCACTTGAGTATCGACCTGGCAAGCCTCAAAGTTGCTCCTATTGGACCTTGACATCTTTGATCTACTCAAAGTGGAGTCAGATGATTTCTGACCAGGAATTTCAACAGGTGGTTTCTGGGCAAGATGGAAGAGCAGACGATCACCCTGAGTTAGACCTGTTGAACTCCTGCTAACAGTTCCTTCAGGGCTCACCGAATGTGACCCACCAGACAAACTAGGAGAGGCTGCTAGACTTCAACCAGCAATTCCTTCAGCGATCTCCTTTACATAAACACACGCAACAAATTAAAGACATAAGACCTTCCAAACCAGATTCCAAACCAGAAGAATATTCCTCCAAACAGGTCCCCTATTCTCCATACATTTGGGGAGAAATATCCCCACAGCAAAACTCTTCCTACAATCTACGGAGAGCCAAACAGTCCTCATGATAGACTACACAGCCAGTCTCTGTGATGGGAAAAATGGAGGAAAAAATAATAAATGCCTCTAGAGAGGCCAACAGATCGAGAGAAGTAAGGGGGTGTTGACAGTGCCTGGAATACTCACCAATATTTCTCCATTGCAATTAGATCCATCCACTATAGGTCAACAGCACCCCGCTGGTAGCTGCAGTGCCAGAAATAGCCCTTAGTCCAATAGACTGAGGTGGCCACTTGGGCTGGCCTCCAGACCCATCACCAGTGAGGGGCTGCCAAACTGCAGGCAGGTGCCCGCAACAACTATCCCAGATGAGCTCCCAAATATGTAACTACCCAATGGGTTCCTCTTGCCCTCTGCTGAGATGAAGCCAATTTATCAAGACAGGAGAACTGCAATAGAGAAAGAGCTCAATACACATAGACCCAGCTAAACAGGAAACTGGAGTTATGTTATTACTCAAATCAGCCTGCCTGAAAATGTGGAGGCTAGGGTTTTTCAAAGATAGTTTGCTGGGCAGGAGCTAGAGAATGGAGAATGCTGATTGGTTAGGGATGCAATCATAGAGGTATGGAAAATTGGCTTTGTGCATTGAGTTCACTTCTGGGCAGGATTCACAGGACCAACTGAGTCAGAATCACAGATTCAGGTAGGGACATCTGGTCATCAGAAATGCAAAAGCCTGAAAAGACATTTCAAAGGGTCAGTCTTCAGTTTTATAATAGTGATGTTATTTACAGAAGTAATTGAGGAAGTTGTAAATCTTGTGACTTTTAGAATAATGATGGGTAATTGTTTAACTGTGCCTATATTTTAGCAGAATTTAGGCCCTTATTTTTTTAATCTAGTAAATGTTTATTAGTTTTATAAAGGTGATTTAGTTTTGGGAGGGGCTATTATTATTTAAACTATAATCTAAATTTTTCTCCTAGCTAGCTTGGCCCACACCCGGGAATGACCCAGTTTGGAGGTCAAAGACAGGATGGAGCTGGTTAGATTGTCATAATTTTACTGTCATAATTTTTTCACGGTTATAATTTTTGCAAAGGCCGTTTTGGAGGTAGGGACAGAGGGCACTGGGGGTGCGAGGGGTTGAACCAGAGTTGGAAGGTATGCTACAGCTAGTGGTTGCTGAATTGAATTTGGAAGAATAAACACAAATAGTCCAAGGGGAAAAGAGGAGGAAGGGTGTTCTAAAGACAAAAGCACAGGAGAGAATGGCAAGTAGTTCAGTATAGCTAGAACATAGAGGGCTAGAGGGGGTTATTGAACTGAGGCTGGAGATTTGCATATAGGGGTGTGTGTGTGTATGTCTGCGTGTTACAACATGTATATAAATAGAGTAATGTAAAATATTAAGAATAAACAAGTGTGGGTTTTTATTTTTATTTTATTTATTTGAGATGGAGTCTCGCTCTGTTGCCCAGGCTGGAGTACAGTGGCGCAATCTCAGCTCACTGCAAGCTCTGCCTCCCAGGTTCACGCCATTCTCCTGCCTCAGCCTCCCGTGTAGCTGGGACTACAGGCGCCCACCACCACACCTGGCTAATTTTTTCTTTTGTATTTTAGTAGAGACGGGGTTTCACCATGTTAGCCAGGATGGTCTTGATTTCCTGACCTTGTGATCCACCCACCTCAGCCTCCCAAAGTGCTGGGATTACAGGCATGAGCCACCGCACGTGGACAAGTGTGGGTTTTATATGTATGGATGAGGTGATATTAAAGTGACAATTGTGTCTACATTTTTAAATCACACTCATAGAAGTTTGGAGAAATTGAAGAGGGTCAAAAGTACCAGTCTGAAGACTGACTACAGAAGAAATAATGAAGGCCAGAAATAGGACATGACAACAAATATAGGGAGTGGTTATATTTGAGAGCCATTAGCATAAAGAAAATAAATTTGGCAAGGATAGGATGAATGGTGTCAAAAGAGGGAAGAAGCTGTGATGGCTCCTCAATTTTTGGAATGGATGGTGTCTTAGTCTGTTTTGTGCTGCCATATCAGAATACCTGAGACTGGGTAATTTATAAAGATCAGAAATTTATTGGCTCATGGTTCTGAAGGTTGGGGTCTAAGGTCAAGGCTGGCAGATTTGGTGTCTGGTGAGGCCATTCTCTTCTTCCAAAACTATGCTTTGCAGACTCTGGAGTGGAGAAAGGCTGGTTACTCAGCAAAAGGCAGAAGAACCAAGAGACAAAAAGGGGTTGAACCTGTCCTTTTATAACAGCATTAATTCTACCCAATCACATGTTAAATGTCCCACCTCTTAATACTGTTACAATGGCAATGAAATTTCAACATGAGTTTTGGATGGGACACACATTTAAACTATAGCAGATGGGATGTAAGCATGAGCAATTTGGAGGCAGAGGAGACAATATTTTATTTGAAATGCCTATGTGCCATGGAAATCAAGAGACACTGGGTAAGTGGACTTACGGAGCTGAAACTCAAGAAGAGATAGAGGCTGGAGATAGAGGTTTGAAAATTTATCAACATCCATAGGTGATACATCAAGCGTTTGGTGTGGATTTGGTACCAAGTGAGAAGAAATGGTGACCAAGACTAGGGCCAGGCATGAGAGTCCCACAAAGGAGTCAGATAAAAAAACAGCTAAGAGAAAGTGTTGAGAAACAGGACGCTGTTAAATACTACAGAGAGGCCAAACGTGTTAACTTAAAAACACTGATTGAGTTTGACAATTTAAGCAGTCATTGGTAGCTTGCCGGCAGTAATTACACACAACTTGGGAACACAGAAGTCTTGCCACAGTGCTGAGTTGCGAATGGGAGATGGGAAAATGTAGACCACTCTAGATAAGCTTAGCAGCGGCAGTGGAAGAATACAATATAAACATTGAGGCTTGTTAGAAAAGGGCCTGCTTTTCAGAGACTTGAATTTCTTTACCCTTTACTGTAAATTTCACCTCTTTTGAAGTTTTTAATATAGTTATTATGTCATTGTAAGTGTTAGAAAGTCAGACTGAGTTAACGAGAAAGCAGTAGCTCAGGAATGGGAAAAGATGAAAGAGGTAATGAGAGGTGACAACATGCCAGCAGCCCTCCCTCGCTCTCGGAGCCTCCTCGGCCTCAGCGTCCGCTCTGTCCGCGCTCGAGGAGCCCTTCAGCCCGCCGCTGCGCTGTGGGGGCCCTCTCTCTGGGGCTGGCCTAGGCCGGAGCCGGCTCCCTCTGCTCCTTCTGCTCAGGGAGGTGTGGAGCGGGAGGCGCGGGCGGGAGCCGGGGCTGCGCAAGGCGCTGGCGGGCCAGCGCGGGTTCCAGGTGGGCGCGGGCTCAGCGGGCCTGCACTCCGCACGGCTGGCTGGCGCCTCCTGAGCTTGATCAGTGGTCAAGCTCCCTCTGGGCTGCCAGAGTGCCCAGGCTAGGTGCCGCACAGTCCCCATGGTAAGTGCCAGTGAGAGGTGAAGCCGGCCGGGCTTCTGGGACGGGTGGGGACTTGGAGAACTTTTGTGTCTAGCTAAAGGATTGTAAACGCACCAATCCGTACTCTGTCAAAACGGACCAATCCGCTCTCTGTAAAGTGGACCAATCAACTCTCTGTAAAATGGACCAATCAGCAGGATGTGGGTGGGGCCAGATAAGGGAATAAATCAGGCCGCCCCAGTCAACAGCTGCAACCCGGTAGGTTATCTTACTCAGCTGTGGAAGCTTTGTTCTCTCAGTCTTCTCAGTAAATCTTGCTGCTGCTGACTTTTGGGGTCCGTGCTGCGTATGAGAGCTGTAACACTCACTGCGAAGGTCTGCAGCTTCACTCGTGAAGTCAGTGAGACCACAAACCCACCAGAAGGAAGAAACTCCGGGCACGTCCAACTGCGGACACACCATCTTTAAGAACTGTAACACTCGCCGCGAGGGTCTGTGGCTTCATTCTTGAAGTCAGCGAGACCAAGAACCCAGCAATTCCAGACACGGTAAGACTGTAGTTCTCTCATATTAAAGTCACCTGGAGAACTTTAAAAAAAAAAAAATAGCCTATACCTGGCCATTACCATCAATTAATCATAATCTTTCCAGGTAAGGCTTGGGCGTTGACTTCTATGTAAGAGCTCCAGCTAATTCTGATGCCTAGTAAGAGGGTGAGACTGGAAAACCGCAGAGGAAGGGCTTTTCAGTTAAGATAGGAGTGAGTGAAGCCTACTTAAATACTGAGAGAGATAAACCTTCTATAATTTATATTAGTGTGTTGTAACTCATTGATTAGAGATACCTTTAGCCTATATCACAAGATACTGGTATTATACAAGTAAATGCAGCATTGGTCTGGGAGTTAAGAAACATAATGCATTTTAATTCTCACTCTTGCCAGTTAGCTACATAATTTTGTGCAAGTAAATGATTTCCACATGGGCCGGGGGCGGTGGCTCACGCCTGTAATCCCAGCATTTTGGGAGGCCGAGGTGGGTGGATCACGAGATCAGGAAACCGAGACCATCCTGGCTAACATGGTGAAACTCCATCTCTACTAAAAATACAAAAAATTAGCTGGGCGTGGTGGCGGGTGCCTGTAGTCCCAGCTACTTGGAAGGCTGAGGCAGGAGAATGGCGTGAACCCGGGAGACGGAGCTTGCAGTAAGCCGAGACTGTGCCACTGCACTCCAGCCTGGGCGACAGAGCGAGACTCCATCTCAAAAAAAAAAAAAAAAAAAAAAAAAAAAAAAAAAAAAAAAATTCCACATGTATACAGTGTGGAGGCTGAGATCCTTTACCTAAGGTCCATTTCAGTCTAAATTTGTTTTAGTTTTCAACCACCTTTTTAGCAGAATCATGGCTCTCTAGAACAGGTAACTGATTTGTCCCCGGGGTTAAATATAATTCCAACTCTAATCAATCTTAGGATGCTTTAACATTTTTTCTTTAATTTCCTAAAAAAAAAATCAAAAGATTCATGTGATGAAACACATCTGATACCCTCCTTGGAGAACTGCAGGGCTTAGAGAAAACTCATTCTGTGTTCTCTACCGTCAGCATTTTTATTCCAGTGAAATTTATTTTAAAATTAGTTTAATTTTAGAAAAACATGTTTTAAACCTGAAAGTAATGAAGATTATCTAGTTCAGATTTTTCATGTTGAAAAAAGGGTATTTCCTAGGGTGAGAGAAAGTTAGTGGCAAAGCATTTCAGTATTTCCTTGTCCCATTCTGTGCTTTCCATGCTAGTCAACTCAATGGCAACAGGAGGCCAGCAGAAGCAGTGACAGAACAGCATCCAGCCTGTGTTGCCTTGGTGATACGGGAGGCTCCAGAGCACCTTTAGAACTTCCTAATTTATTGAAAGTTTTACTCCACAACTACTTAAACTACATACAATTTGATTAAAGCTGAATTCTTTAAAAGTATTAAGCTGGGCTGGGCACAGTGGCTCACGCCTGTAATGCCAGCACTTTGGGAGGCCGAGGCGGGCAGATCTCGAGGTCAGGAGATCAAGATTATTCTGGCTAACACGGTGAAACTCCATCTCTACTATAAATACAAAAAATAAGTCGGGTGTGGTGTCACGCGCCTGTAGTCCCAGCTACTCGGGAGGCTGAGGCAGGAGAATCACTTGAACCCAGGAGGCGGAGGTTGCAGTGAACCAAGATCGCGCCACTGCACTCCAGCCTGGGTGATAGAGCGAGACTCCGTCTCAAACAACAACAACAACAAAAATATTAAGTTTTGGAAAATTGCATATCTAATAATAACAAATAGTTTGAGACTCATGGTATATATATATGGGGTGTGTGTGTGTGCGCGTGTGCCACAATTCCTTAGTTTTAAATCTTTGCCATTGAAATAAAAATGAATTTTAGGGTATTTAGTTAGTGATACACAGAAAAGTTTGTTACATGTCAAAGTAGATACACTTTCTACTCAGCAAAAAAAGCAAAATCTTGAAAAATACAGAGACATGTATAAGAAGTAATTGAAAAGAAAGGAAAATTATTCCTAAGGAATAGTTGCAAGCCTTATCATATCTCCTGGCTGTATATATAGGACATTAGGTCAGACATAATTTTTGCTCTAGCATTAGTTTCAAGTTTAAGAAATGATAAAGTTCTGGAGATGCATGTATTCATAATATGCTTTCAGGGTTAAAATGTGTGCTAAACACTTAGGAGCAGATGTTATCAATGGAATTCTTCGAATTTAGCTTACAAACCTTTTGTACTTATTAATTTGATAGACACAATTAGAAACAAAGGATTTATTCAAACAGATCAAAAGAAACAATTGTAATACTATGGAAAGATTGAAGTGTATATAGGAACTACTTTCACTAGTCTTTTAACCTAAGGTTCTGAATTACAGTGCTCAATGAGTTAACTCTGATGTCAGAGAAGTGAAACTTGATTTGGCTTCGGATCACAATTTTTGTGCTACATTCCCCCCCACCACCAAAAGTTATGAAGTGATGATAACATACGCAGACGACCTAAGCTATCCATTATAGACACTTGAGAAACGTGAATTTCTTTCCTCACTGCTTTGCTTTCTTTAAGTGACAGAATTAATGACCATTTCTGCAGGACACACTGTATGGAGGAACATCCAGTGACAAAAGAGGCTCAAATATTTTCACTAAGGTGTAAGAGACCAAATAATTTACAATTACGTGGCCAGGCACGGTGGCTTACGCCTGTAATCCCAGCACTTTGGGAGCCAAGGCGGGTGGATCACCTGTCAGGAGTTTGAGACCGGCCTGGCCAACATGGTGAGACCCGGTCTCTACTAAAAATACAAAAATTATCTGGATGCAGTGGCGCGCATCTGTGGTCCCAACTACTTGGGAGGCTGAGGCTGGAGAATTGCTTGAACCCGGGAGGCAGAGGTTGCAGTGAGCCGAGATCGCGCCACTGTACTCCAGCCTCGGTGACAGAGCAAGACTCCGTCTCGAAACAAACAACAACAAAACAATTACAATTAGTCTTTTTTGAGTGTCAGTTACTCTTGACTAATAAGTTAAGAATTAGCTTGTTTAGGTGCAGCTGTTACCATTTGGTAACACTTGAGTACATTGAATTTCTTGGCTTCATACTTCTGACAAATGAGCTGATTTAATTCGAGGTCTTTTAACCTCTGGATTGATAAAGCATTTTTTTTTTATTTTACTTTAAGTTCTGGAATACATATGCAGAACATGCAGGTTTGTTACATAGGTATACATGTGCCATGGTGGTTTGCTGCACATATCAACCCTTGATAAAGCATTTTTAAATTTTGTAATCAAATTAGAACTACCTTTCTTATTATGATTTACTGTATTTCATATCACCCCTTTAGAATAAAAAAGAAAAAAGATGCCCTATTGCTTTTCTTACAGGGCTTATTATATATTTGTTTTGTATTTAAATGTCTAACTTTTAGTTGGGAATGAGTAGCCAGGACTGTGCCTTTATTGTGAGATGAGAGAGGCCAGTTGAGTCACATCACGTATTGATTTCTTTCAACTTATCCTATCAATGTAGTTTCCTTACAATAAATATTCCAAAGCATTGTTCTTGTTTTTTAATTAACAAAATGATGCAAGGATCATCTGCAATAAAATTTTGTGAAAATGGCCAGGAAAGCTTTAAAATTATAAAGAAGGACTTCCTGTACCAAAATTTAATATGTAAAGTCATGGAAATCAGAAGAAATAGACTAATGGAACCGAAGAGAAAGTCTAGAATGAGACCTAGGTGTACATAGAATATATTATATTTAAAAGGTAATATCAATAAATAGCATTTAGAAAACAATCTTTTGAAAAGTTTAAAGAAAAATCAGAGGTTTAAAACGGGAAAAATTAAATATAACATGCTACTACCAGAATGAAGGGGCATGGATAAATTTAAAATTTTTAACTTGAAAATCCAAGCCTTAATTCCACCTCCATAAAATACTTAATTTATTCTCATCTGTTATTCTATACATACTGTCTAATGCAGAAACACGTGTTTATTACATTTTATATTCCATTTTATTTAGTATTATGCTCTTTCTTAGGTCAGTGTAGTATTTTAAATTACCATTTTAATGGGTATTTTAACAGTCATCTTTTTTTGCAGGTATAGGTAATTCACAGCTAACAGTTTGCGTAAAATACTTTGGAGTTTTTTCTTTTTGTGTACAAGTATATAAAAATATGTTTGTATGCATTTGCTTCACTGACTATAATGGGATTGTGCTATATACATTATTATCTTTAGTTTTTTTTTCAGTGCACAACATATTTTGGAAACAAGATGACCTTTAAAATCACATTATTTACTGTCAACTTCAAAGAAACAAGGTCTGCTGTGATTTTATTTGGAAATCAAATTGTAAAGAAGTTTTTTGTTCTAAATTAATGTCTAGGCTATATTTATAAACCTTCCTACTTTATCTGTTTTGAAGAATGTACTGTTGCATATTATTCTAATTTCTAAAATTCAAAACCTTAATAGTGAAATCAGTAGTAGTATATTGGGTTACTCGATAATATTTACCATTTCACAGAGCAAAACAAGCCAATCTCTTTTCATTTCTTTTCCTTTCTCTGTGTAGCCTGTGCACAATTGCTTTCTCTTTTTCTGGAGTAGACCAGGGACTCCAATTAGGGTTCAGCTGAGGCAGATATATGGAAATAGAATGTTTTATGGAGCTTTAGCGATGCCTACTAAGGTACACTCAAGTTCTCTTGCTTCAACATCCTTGCCTTCTCAGAAGCATTTGTCTTGTTCTCTGTCTTGGTCATTACCATATGGCAGTACCTAGTACATACAGTGCCTGGTACCTAGTAGATATATTATACATTTGTTGACTTGTGAAATAGTAAAATTATTATTACTTTTTACAGTTCAAACGTTAATATTATTTGCTTACTTTATTGGATTTAATAAATATTTAAAAGTGTTGATATTAATCATTTTTCACTTTTAACGTGTTATGTAAATGCCAGGGTATATAATTTAATACTCACAATTATGCTATACTAAGGATGTTGCTTTTTCTGGGTTACTGAAAACAAAAACATTTAATTTCTTGTGAATTTGATAGAAACTTTCTGAATTTTTAAAGTAAATTTATTAAGGAGTGTTATTATAGAATTCAATGTAATAAATATGGTCATTAGGATTTAGAAATTAATTTTCTTGCTTGTACTTTCAGTAGTTCCAGTGTTTGTTTAAAAATCTACTTTTATGTTAGACAATTTTATATTTCACAAAAAGGAGAGGAGTTTATTTTAGATGTATAGACACAGATTTTTAGAAATGAGGAAAAAATACATCAATTACCCTGAAAATATCTCCCCTAAAACAGTATTTTAAAACTGCAAGCATTCTTTGTGGAACTAAAAATTCATATTAATTAAATGGGTTCCAAAGAATCATTATATTTATCAAGATGATTTCTAAGTATGTTTAAATGACACATAGTAATAATTCATATAGATTATATAAATGAATAAATATTGTCCCTTTGCCTTTGTAATAAGAGATATTTTTGTCCTCTGATGATAGAAATAATTTAGTAGAAAGAACATTATGTGATTGGCTTGACACTACTCAATTAAAAATAAATGCTTGATTTTCCTAAACTTAAAAATACCTTTTTCTAATTAGCATGGCTTGTTGCCTCTAAATTTTTATTAAAATTACAAAAAAATGGGTTGGGCATGGTGGCTCATGCCTGCAATCCCAGCACTTTGGAAGGCCAAGGTGGGTGGATCACCTGAGATCAGGAGTTCAAGACCAGCCTGGCTAACATGGTGAAACCCCCGTCTCTACTAAAAATACAAACATTAGCCAGGTATCATGGCGGGCAACTACAATTCCAGCTGTTCAGGAGGCTGAGGCTTCCTTGAACCCATGAGGCAGAGGTTGCAGTGAGCCAAGATCATGCCACTGCATTCCAGCCTGGGCGACAGAGCAAGACTAAGTCTCAAAAAAACAAAAACAAAAAAATAAAAATTACAAAAAATGCACTTATGTTTCCAGGAGAAATTGCTGCATAAATGAGCTGAATATTATTACCGTCATTATATATGTAACTGGGAAGGAATACTGACAATCCAGCCAATATAAAACAAAAAGTCACTGAAATGTTTGGGACTCAGTCAAAGCATATTTGGATAAATTCTATCGAGCATGTCATGTGATATCTCTTGCTTCGGATATATGAACTTATTCCTGTCACTAGAAATAATGACAATAAATGTATCCTAGTATTTTTGCCCAGGTACCTTGATAAATTGATATTGAAAATGTGTCCATCTTGAGTTTTCTTCTTAGGAAAATGCATAAAAATGCTTCTTGAGATTTATATTATTCTAGAGTAGAATTATTTTTTAATTTTATAAAGAAATTTCTTTGCAGCAAATTATCGACGTGAAAACACAGAAAACTCAAAATAATTCTCAGCAGATTTCAGATACTGATTTTATGTTCTAATTTTATCTAGTGGAAAGTAAAGTACTAATTAAATATCCTTCTATCACAGAACATACGAATTCACTAAATGATGCTAATTACACATACAAGGTAGAGATGGAAACTTTGAGAATTAAACTCTATCTAATATTTAAGTATTAACATTCCTTCCATATTAACAACTACTCTGTTTATTTCATATGTTATGGCCCCTTTCATAAGTAAAATTACCTGTTGACTTCATTAAATTTACATTCAATCTTATAAAATTTTCATATTAAGTTGTATTGCAAAGCCCATGTTATTTTAGGTTTACATGCTGGTATGGTCAAAATAAAAAAAAAAAATTTAAATGATTTTTTTTAATGTAGAACATAGAGTTATTTCTGAAATAAGGATCTGTGTTGTGAATCCTGTAAGTTGATTGTTTGCCCATTGAGTTATACTTTCTTAATGTCTGGAGTTATTCTTTGGAAAAATAAATGCCACCATCTAGCTTAGTTGTGACTTTGCTCTCAGGAGAAGAGCACTGAGATTTCCACAGTAACTACGTAGCATTTTCTCTCCTGATCCACCCACTCATCTCCTGGGAAGCTGTGTGCCTTTCTGTTCCACTGCAGCTGATCTGGCTTAACCATAGTCTTTTGGGATAATCCCAGGGTTTGGAACAATGCAACAGGTCATGTTTTTTAAGCTCCAACTCTCCAGGCACTTAAGAGGAATAACCTTAACCATATGAGGTAGACTTTATTAGACCTTTATGGATGAAGCAACTGAAGGGCAGTGAGCTCTAGTGACTGAGAAGTCCTTTAGTTTGATTCTAGAACTGATCTTAGGACCACTATGAAATATGCCTTCCCATTTTCTAGACTAGAGCTTCTCAGCCACGAATGTGCTACAGGTATACCCAGGTACTGATCCCCTCAGCCTTTGACGTTGCTGGACAGGACCTGGAGCCCAGCATTCCAGGTCTCTTCTTCTATCTGTGAGAAGCTTCATCCACTTAGACCAGTGTGCTATACAAAGATGATGGTTTTCTCATGTGCTGTGAAGCAAAAAAGTTTGACAAGCACACACCCTAGAGCAAAGAAAACATTTAGAAATATATTAAATATGTTTTCTAATTTTTAGCTAACATTAAAATAAAATTTCAGATTCAGCAATCCTCTGACAAGGGATAACTCTTATACCTTGTATAATTCTACTTTATTTTGGTTTTTGTCTAAGTATTACATATGAAAAATGGTTTGAGTACAAAGACTTAATTTTTTCCATTGATATTTTGTTATGCTGCATGTCAGTTATTCTTAACTGCTAATTAGGCAACATTTATCCTAGTTAGAGTTAAAATGAAGTCTTTACATCATTAAAATTGAATTCATTTAATTATTATTGATACTTTTTTTTTTACTGTTCTTATGAACTGTCTACTTCCCAATTATCAGAATTGGCAAATGTTTAGGCTTAAATGTTGAAGTACCTAAGGGTGAATGAGGTTAATACGGGAACACTTTGTAAAGAAATGATACTTGCAAGTTTAAAAAAATATGATGGAAAGAATGTGTATACTGTCTTGATAAGGAATGATTTGTGTTGTTCAGGAGCCCTTGAGTAGCACTGAAGTGGTGTTGGAGACTTTATATCACTTAGTACCATTAATGAAGAAAGATAAAATAGTTCAGAATTTCTGACACCAAAGGAACAGCTCAGGAGAACCCAATTGGTAATCCGGATTGGCTTAAATGAGATTGTAGTGACGCACGAACACTTACACTCAAATGTTTTCATTGTGTTTAAAATGATTTTTTTTTTCACAATGCATTAATCATGGAAGCTCATCTGAAAGTGTGTGGTTTGTGGTTTTCCAGATGTCTTCTCAATAGAAGTTTCCAGGTAAAGATAAAACATGTTGCAGATAAATCAAAGAGGAA
The DNA here is from genome assembly GCF_000001405.40 of Homo sapiens. Taxonomy (NCBI): domain Eukaryota; kingdom Metazoa; phylum Chordata; class Mammalia; order Primates; family Hominidae; genus Homo; species Homo sapiens. The sequence goes on along the minus strand of NC_000008.11, from coordinate 90,597,378 downwards.
AAATTCATTTCCTCTTGATTGCAATAGCCAGAGAATGTCCACTTACATACATCTGATCTAGTTTAGTGACTTGCTAGGGACTGTTTAGGGAGCTTTGACTATTGGTGATCTGGTCTGAATACCCGATGACATATGAAATACAAGGCAGGGGGAAGCAAAGAAGGTGACTCAGAGCTTGTAAACCTCATAGACCTAATAAAGTGGGCCATTATCAGGGAAAATATTACCAGGAAGACGAGGTGAATGGATGTGCTGTGAGGTGGAGAGGATGTTGAATTCATTGGGGAGCATGGAGATCTGGAGAAACTAGGGAGAGACCCAAGAGGAGAGTTAATGAAAGCAATCGGAAATTCTTGCTTGGAGTCGTGTGCGGAGATTAGGACTGGAGGTTTAGAGTTAGGGTACTCTACTCATAGGTACTCATAGCAGGAAGGGTGAAAGAGACCTACAAGGAAGAAAGGATAAAGATAAGCTTGATAAAAATAGGCCTCATCACATTACCTGGTTAACCACCTTAACAGGAGGAGAAAGTCAAAAGTTGGGCAGCGAAGGAGACAGGCCAGCTGGCCTCCTTGGTGTTCCTAAACCACCAAGCACAACCCTACTGGGGCCTGCACCTTCCATCCTCAGCCTGCAGTGCTCCTCCCACAGGGGTTGAGGTGCTTCCTTTGTGCTCCCGTAATACTCTATGTTTCTGACACTGCATTTACCAGAATATCATACTTATCTGTTTATGTTCTTGTGTCATAAGAACAAAATTCAGTGATATAAAATATTCATTGAATAAATAAACGGAAGAAATGAAATGAGAAAAGATTGTACTTAAGGCCTCATTTCAGAAATCAAGATCTTGGAGTTCTGATAAAGTGGTCTGATGAAATGTTATTTCAAATAAAATATAATTGGACACCCATTTTGTGCCAACCATTCCTGGAATAAAGGTCAGACATTCTTAGACAATGTCAGCAGGACTCTCTGCATCTCTCAGCTCTGGTGATCTAGGTACTGGCTTCTTTTCAAGCAAGCTCTCTCTAAGTGGCAGCAGATCAACATCTACTTCTTCAAAATGATTCTGTCTCTTGGGGTCACTTGCCTGTCAAGGAGGTAGAGCCCCTGGTGGGACTACCCATGGGAGAAGAAGTGAGTTTGTGAAGCAGGGTGTGATATGGGGCAAAAACAAACTTAACAGAAGTCCATTCTAGAAATCATATAAGAGGCCCTCAGGAAGTGGAGGTGAGAGGATGGCTTAAGCCAGAAGTTCTTGGCTGTAGTGTGCTATGCCAATCCGGGGTCCACATTAAGGTTGGCATCAATATGGTGATTTTCTGGGAGCAGAGTCCCATAAGATTGTCTAAGGAGGAGTGAACTGGCCCAGGTTGAAAAAGAGGCAATCAGGTGCTCATAAGTGGCAGCATGATCTGAAACCAATAGTGGAGGACAGCTAGGGAAATGGAGTGAATTCGCTTTTCTCTTCTTCCCTCTTATTGTCAGAATTACAACTGACTATCAGAGAAAAGGATGCTAGGCCTGGAATTGCCTTTGTTGTATGTTTGAGGTTCCACAGATGAAGGAGAGTTTAAGAAGAGAAAAAGATCAGCTGACAGTAAGGCCACTTGTTGGCATTAGAACATTGAGGCTTGGTGATTTTATTTATTTAAACATTGTTCTTCATTTGATATGAAAAAATAAAAATGAGAGTTTCACCTAAACTTTAAAAAGTTCTATAAAGTCCTAAACATATAATGATAATGATATAGTGTGGGCTTTGCAAATAAACTTAGGTCCAAAGCCTACTCTGCCATTTTCTACCTGTGTAAAGCTTAAGCAGGTAACTTAAGCTTTTGTATCATGTTCTCTGCAGTGCTTAACTTAGGGGTTAAATAACAAAATTCATGAAAAGCACTTAGCATATCATATAGCAGGGCATTCAAGGCTAGTGAATACTATTGGTGGTGTTATTGCTTAAAAATTTTTTATTTTGGGAAAATATACATAACATGAAACTTACAATTTTAACTATTTTAAATGTACGGCTAAGAGACAGTAAGTACATTTACATTGTTGTACCATCATCACGATCATCCATCTTCAGAACATTTTTGCATCCCAAATTGAAACCATATACTCGTTAAACAAATCTTTATTTCTCTCTTCCCTGTACCCTGGTAATCACTATACTAACTCTGTCTCTGTGAATTTGCCTATTCTAAGTACCTCATGTAAATGGAATCATACAATATTTGTCCTTTTGTGTCTAGCTTACTAAGATTTTTTTTGGTAGCAAAGGCTGAGTGAATCCGGACTGGTTAGTCATTGGTTGCCGGGCTTTCTGTACTGCATGGGTCCCAATCCATAAACTTAAATTCTATCATCTTCGTGATAATATCTACTAATTACAGGCATAATGTTCCTAGGAGAAAAGCAGTCTTTATGGCACACACTTTAGGTGTCCAAATATATTTCAACAACATTACAGGAGCAGAACTTTTTTTTAAGAAGACTGTATAAAATCTGAAAACACTTCTGAAAGGTAGCTTTGAAAAATTCTTGGGTACTTTAATTGCAGGTGAGGATAAAAAATTTCAGCCTGTGGATAGCACCCTTTTATTTATCAGCCTCTTGATTCCTCTCCCAAAGTGACTGTATATTGTGCAGTTGGTAAGCAATTAAATAGTTGGCAACACGGTATAAATATTTAAAATTTATTAAAAACTACCAAGGCCTAAATCAAGAGATGTGATTAATTATTCAGGAAAAGTTCTATTTAAAAAAAAAAATGTGCTCACAGATGTGTAGTAATTACACAATCTGTTTCTTTTTATCATGTATATGAGCTAAATGTAATGTTTCCCTGCCTTGAAAGTCTGCATTCCCTCAGTTCTCCATAATGATGCCAATTCATTCATGGAAACAAAGCAAGAGTCATTAAGCTTATAACCATCAGATACCAAGGAAGTTGTTTCTGTAGCAATGAATCAGCCACGTGAAATCTCTTAAGATTTTTACCTCTTTACTCCAGTGACTTATCAATGCAAATAGGCCTCTGTCCATCAACTGGTATGTTTTAAACCTACAACTTAAAAATCAGTTTCTAGTTGGTTCAGCTCCTTCACACTTGGCCTTTCTGATATCCATGGCACAGATTATGATAACTGTTACTACAACCAACAAATGCCACTTCTAACTGCAATTTTTGCTTTCTTTATATAATCTTGGGTGAGCAGTTTATTGTCTCCAAACCTTGGTTGATTCATCTGTAAGACAGGAGGAGAAAGATAGCTTGTGAGAATGAGTAGCACAGTATGTGTACAGGTAAATACTAGATTTAGGAAAGAAATACGTGAACATGTACGTTGTACTTTTCCAGCCTTCTTCCTCCTGGAAACTGTTTCTCTTTTGTCTCCTAGTAACTATATTGTAGCTGCTGGCTCCCATATTTGAGAACTGAAGTTTCCACCTCATTTACCCGTCCACTCTCAAGGCTTTTTCAACCTTGGGCACTCTTCCTGGCATAAGCAAAGACTGCCGCTAGAAACCACTACATTTGGTAATTTAATTACTTTTATCTTATCCATCCATCCCCTTGGCCCTCAGGACTCTGCTCATTTGCAGAGCAAGTTTGACAGCCTCCTATCTGTACCTTTTAATCTAAAAAAAAATGGCATTGATTCAGACAGACATCTGAAAGGACACCGTGATCACCAAGGGAGACAAAAATTCTGTAAGAACAAGAGCAAAAAAAAGTGTTTATAATTTACATTAACCCTGGGCTCTTTATCAGAAAAGGCAATGTTTTGTTTCACATATCCTTTTACTTCTTTGAACAATTATGCTGGTTTATTGAGTACTTACAGTAGCCCAGACACCGTGCTAAGCACCTCACATTATATTATTTAATGTAATACACCCAGGAATCCTAGGAGGTGTAGGTGCTGCTATAACCCATTTTATAAATAAAGAATCAAAGACTTGGGTTAGGTAACTTGCCTAACATCACACAGTAAGTGGCAGAGCTGGATCCAAACCGGACAGACCTGACCCATGGTCTGGCCACTACAGCAGAATATTCAGTGGTATGTTTAAAGGCAGTTACTCAATAAGGGAAAGATAATACTGAACTATTTATTTTATTTAGGAAGCTTATGGAGAGGTTTAAATGATGGTCCTTTTTACTACACATTTTTTTCTTCTTTCCGTCTTTATTTTTCTTTTATTGAGGCCTTTAGTGTTATTTTTTAAATATTAAATCTATCTATTCTTCTCTGTTCCTTGCAGTAAGAAACATAAGGCTTCGAGAAGGCCATACAACTGTACATGTTTGAAATTCCTTGTCCAGGATGTGGTGACATAATACACTGAATCCATTCAAGAGTCAATGGTGATCTCAGTGATGCTTGTGGTTGGAATATTTTTTGTAATGAAAATAGTTAGAATCTGTTGATTAAGTACCTGTTAAGGTGTGCCTTTAAATTAAGAATTAGGAATGCTGCATGCATAATATTATATTTCTTCAAATCAGAAATAAAATATCCCATATGTAGAACTTGTCTATATGAAAAAAAAATCAGGAATCACTTATTAAAATATTTCATGTGGTTTCCAGAGTGGTCCACAAGATTGCCTCTTGGGAGGGTTCTATTTCCTCTATTAGTTTCTGGTTTTGTTTTTTTTTTTTTTTCTTTTCTCATTGTTTTTTATTTTCTATTTTTGTATATATTTTAAAATATACATAAATCTTTTATAATGTGCATAATAGTAATTTATACTTGAAATTATGTACTATTACTATGATGTATGTATCAGGTACAGCTCAAAAACAATTTGTTGATGAAATACATGATCAAAAATGATCTGGAGTGTACTAGTTTATAGATTTGGAATTATAAAGTATTAGGAATTCTTATAAATTTGATAGTTACACTTCTAACTTTTCTAAAATATAACAAGCATTTATTTATTCGTGATCCAACCAACCAGTAGTCCAAATAACCAGAACTTAAAAAAAAAAAAAAAAAAGACTTCTGTAAGAAACAGCTAAATCATAGTACATATATCAGGTGATAAAAGGTCATTTGTAGGACGTGCTGGGTTCATCTCCAGTAAAGTATAATGATGACTGAAAGCCATAACAATGTCCTTGGGGCCTTGCAAAGCTCTTAATTACCCTCTAGTCTAAATTTTCTTAATTGCCTCTAGTTTAAAAGTAAAATTATATATAGTGCCAGTCATTAAGTGATTTTTATTTTTTCAAGTTATTTGCTTGCACTCTCTGTGGCTCCCATTGTCCCTGATATGACCTCCAAGCCCTTCCAGTATCCCGATGGTCCAATCGTACCTGGTTGGTCTCCAGTACTCTCCTCCAAGACTACTTTCACTCCATCTTTAACACATTTCTTGCCTTTGGGCATTTACAGATTCCATTTCCCTTTTCTCAAAGAAAACACCCTTTCCTTGCTTTGCCTGTCTAACTCCTTCCCATGCTTTCAGTCTCAGCTAAAATATTTTCCTTCCCCCAAGTTTAAATGAGTTGCCTCTGCTATGTGTTCCGTGGCATCCTGTAATCTCTTCTCCTTTAACATTTATCACATCACATGTTCAGATGTCTGTCTTCCAGTCCTACATTTGTAACACTCACCTCACATTTTTGCAGATGGGCCTGTCTGGACTCAATTCCCTGGACCCACATTTAGGTGGAGAAATAATGGTGCATGACTGAAGCCTACCTACTCAGGAATTGGGGAAGCTTCTCTGGCCCTTACGTGGTACCGCACACTCTCCCTCATCAGCTGATTTAAGCTTTGTAGACTGTTAATTACATGCTTTGATATCTTCACTTGAATCAATGATTTTGAAGCGGCCTCGTTTGGGGTAAATACCGTAGGTTCGTCCTCTCACGCCAAAGAAATCAAGTACGCAGATACACCAAGAAGTGGGTTCAGGAGGGGAGGTTTAATAGGCAAAAGAAAGAGAAAGGAAAATAGCTGTCTCTCCTGCGAGAGAGAGAGCGCGCGCGCAAAGGTTTTATAGACCGGCTTGAGAAGGTGGTGTCTGAGTGACATGGGGCCCATAGATTGGTTGGACCAGGTGTGACATTTACACAGCACACAGGGAAGCTGGCAGCCCCACCCTAATCATGATGCAAATGGAGTCCTTGCCTGACCTGCAGCCATGTTGTCTGCTCCCTACGGCACACGTGGTTGGCAAGGAAAAGGAAAGATGGAGCTGCCATTTTGAACATGCCTAGTTCCCGGGTAGCCCCTTTCCTATTGGCACAACTGCCAGCATTCGCCTGTGCAAGCTTCTAGCTTACTTATCTGTCTGCAGCTCGATTTTGTGGGCTGTTCTTTGTGAGAAAAGAAATAAGTTTGGAACTGCTTTTCATTAAAAGGGAAACCTTACCAAGGACTTCCTTACCCTATCTGCCCGAATAATTTCTTTTTAATTCCCATCTCAATTTCTTCATTCTTCCTTCCTTTTTCTTTTTCCCTTCTCTTTCTCTTTTCTGGCTTTTCTGTTTATTAGAATGACAGACTAGTCCTGTGAATCCTTCTGGTTTTTCTCCATCTACCTACACTTTATAGAAAATTAATCTTGGTTCTTTAAGCAGTGTCAGCAAAGCATGTGTAGACCCAGCGGCCAGCTGAGAAGTGCTGCTGAGCAGAGAGCCCGCAAGAGAAAGCACTTGGAGCCTGAGAAGAGATGGCGAAGTGGATTTTAGATGGGACAAGATTCTGTAGGATTTTTGACCCTTGAGCTACAATCAGTCTTTTAATACAAATTTCCTCTAATTTGGGAAAGCACTAGGTTTTTTGTTCCCGTAAATTTCGAATCTATTTTTTCCTAAACAAGAAAATGCATTTTCTCTATCTTTATATTCACTTGACTCCAGTGCACGGATGATAGAAATTATGCTGTCAGCAGAATTGTATTTGACTATGAAGGCAAAAACATTGCTGAATTACTTGAAATTCTGTTTTGTTTATGTCCTAATTCAAATATGACTTTGACTTTATTTAATTGCAAGAGATTGTATATTATAGCCACTCTTCAGCCATTTTTCTGGATCGTGAATTCAGATTTATGTTTTATTCCTGTTAGTCGATTTGGAAAGTATTTCATTTAAATTTTTGTTGTGTTGAATATTTCTTTTGTGGATCTGGATTACAGATTTGCTCTGCCCCTCTTTCCCCAGTGCTAACTTAAACAAAATAGATCGTTTAAAAATAGGCACCATCTTCAAGATTTATTTTTACAATAATTTTCTGTTGTTTGTAGGGCTATTGTTGGCTTTAATGTCTTTGCAAGATTGTGCTTTAAATTGTTTGTCAATTTCTTAGTGTACAAAGCTTTGTTTGAAATACTTTAATAAGTAGGAAAAACTCTTTTAACTAGCTGTAAGTGTAACTGTGAATTTTTTTTTTTTTTTTTTTGGTTAAGAGAGAGTCTCTCTCTGTAAGCCAGGCTGGAGTGCATTGGTGTGATCTCAGCTCATTGCAGCCTCCGCCTCAGCCTCCCAAATAGCTGGGATTACAGACATGCGCCACCATGCTCGGCTAATTGTTGTATTTTTAGTAGAGACCAGGTTTCACCATGTTGCCCAGGCTGCTCTTGAACTCCTGACCTCAGGTGATCTACCCACCTTGGCCTCCCAAAGTGCTGGAATTATGGGCATGAGCCACCATGCCTGGCCTTAACTGTGAAATTCTGACTTAAAGATATCTTCACTTGCGTTTAAATGGTTTTTACATGATGAAGTAAACATCCTAAGGCTTTTGTTAGTAGAATTATCATAGTAAATGTCAATAATTTATTTCAATTAAATATACAAATGATTGATTGGAGGACCATGTATATGTGAATCATGTTGCATTTATGAATTAGTGAGTTTATCTTTTCACCAATATAGTGACTTAGTTATCTGATTTGTTTGAAGAGTGATGTCTCATGAGTAATTTTTTAAAGAATAGTTGAAGTAATTCATTTTTTTCAAGTTATACCCTTAAAATCTTTTTTAATGCAGAATATAAGGAATCTAGAAAATACAGATAAACAAAAAGAAAATAATCATCCATAATCCAACTGTCTAGAGACAGCCACTAATTTCCTAATATATATTCTGTTTTTCACTTTCTTTTAATCTAAAATTGTGTGTTGTGTCTATAAAATAAAGTGAAAAAAGCAATAGTGTATAAATAGAATATCTTTGTGAAAAATGAGAGAAAAAGACTACACAAGCAAATTCTTACCAGTTTTTTTTTGATAGAACACTTCCTGATTTTTAATAGTCAAACTTTAAAATACATATTTTTCAAAACTTCTGGAACAATTTTTATAGAGAAAAATACATATTTACATTCTCAAAACTCAATACAAACAATTTTAATAAAACAATGTCAATTGGCCATTGGTATTCTTCAATAAATTGTTTGCTGATAACTTTCACTCATTTTTCTATTAGGTTTTTTGCCTTAGTTCTTGATTTGTAGGAGGAGCTCAATATTTTCTGTCAACTTTTGGCTGTGATTCATGTAGTTCAGCTTTGAACTGCCTTTTACTGCATGGAAATTTACATTATTGTATGTAAACAAATCAGCAAACCAAGTATTTCCTACGTGGCTTCTGAGTTCTGGGTCATACTTGGAAAGGCCATTTTCTCTTCAAGATTATACAAGTATTCACCTCTATTTTCTGGTATATTATACGTGTGTTTATATCTACATATATTATCTATTATATTAAATTTAGATACTTCATACATATGAAATTTGTTTTTTAAATGATTGGGGTTTTTCCCTATATGGCCTAGTTGTCCAAACTTTGCTTTGAAGTCCCACCTTTTTTATAGATGACTTCCCATATACATCTGAGTTTATTTTTGGCCTCTCTGTTCTGTTCCATTGATACATTTATCTATTCTAATATACCAGGGCCAGATTTTTAAATGTCTGTAGCATTATTTTACATTTTTAAATCCAGGAGGACAGCTCCTGTTTTATTATTATTTTATTATTCTTTAAAAAATTTCTTAAGGATACTGGAGTATTTACTCTCTAGCTAAAGTTTTGAATCAATTTGACATTTACTATAGTGAGCTTTCTGATTCAGGAATATGTTATGTTACACCAGTAATCTGAGATTTTTACAGTGTTACTTGAAAAAGTTTTAGAGTTTATTCCTGGATTTTTTTTTTATAAAGAGGATTTCTGGTAAGTGAGGTTTTTTTTTTCTTTTTACAATAAATGTTATTATTTTGATATGTTTGTCATATAGGAAAGTTATTATTTATACTACCTTTTGGGGGACTATCTTATCTAACATACTGTTTCTAAGCAGATGACTTTTGTTACCTGTCCTGTAGACGATTGAGGAGAAAATGATCGGGGAGTGAGCTAAGAAAGGATGCTGAGGTTTTCGCAACCTTGTGTGTCTCTGAAAGTTTACTCAGTAGGCTGTGATTTTGTGTGACCTATTAATGGTTCACAAAAGGAAAATGAGTTGGGTTCCCAATACTCTTGTCCTATCCAGGAAACTCTCAGGACTAGGAAGTGTTGATAACATACCTTTTAAAGCAAATTAACCACTAATTGAAAATAAATTAGAATGTTGGCATTGCATTCTCAAAGGGACAGCAGCGCTCAATTTAAAGCGCTGAAGAAAATGGAAATATGTACTCTCTGTTAAGAATGATTGTATTAAGCAGCACTGATTTGAAATGTTTGCACTGTGATTCAGCATTTTATTAAGGTAGAATTTAAAAAAGTTAATTGACCAGCAACTTGAACCAATTAAACCCATGTTTTATACACAACCATGGGATTACATGGGAAGGTGAAAAATACCAAAGCTCTTTCGAAAGTGAATTCTAACAAATATTTATTTTAGCAGTATTAACCACTAAAATTTTACAGAGCTGTGTAGTTTATGTTACTCTTTATTTGAGGTCATTTAATCCTCATAGAAATCTCTGGAGTTGAAAAAGGAGGTTCTAGTTTTGTTCTTTCTTTGCCCAGGTTAAATGAACTGTCCAAATTTGTATAACTGACTCTCAAATGGTCAAGGGTCTAAATGCAGATACCCTGATGCTTCCACCAGTGTACATTGGAATCCACACTGCTGCCTCCCCTGAGATTCAGCTTATTTTAAATTGAGATATGAAATATTCTGCCTTGCCTTTGCTTGATTGCATAGGTGTGCGGCTGTATCGGATGTTAACATTACATGGGTCAACCAGAGTGTTTCACCAAGCAAGTCTGATGATTGCTTTTCTGCCATGGCCAGTGAAAGATTTCATTAAGTCCTTCCAATGTATATCATTTATTTTTGCTACTCATTGACTTTATGCTGAGCAATTGTTTCTTATATTTTAATTAATTGCAATATAATTCTAAAAGAAAATTCTCACAGTTTTTTTTTTTTTTTTTTGAGACGGAGTCTCACTCTGTGGCCCAGGCTGGAGTGCAGTAGCGCGATCTTGGCTCACTGCAAGCTCCGCCTCCCGGGTTCACGCCATTCTCCTGCCTCAGCCTCCCGGGTAGCTGGGACTACAGGCGCCCGCCACCATGCCCGGCTAATTTTTTTTTTTGTATTTTCAGTAGAGACGGGGTTTCACCATGTTGGCCAGGATGGTCTCAATTTCCTGACCTCGTGATCCGCCCGCCTCGGCCTCCCAAAGTGCTGGGATTACAGGCGTGAGCCACCGTGCCTAGCCAAATTCTCACAGTTTTAACAACCTAAGTTCAATGAGCTTTCAATCTTGCCATTGCGGTATAACTACTTGATGCTGATAAGGATTCAATAATTTTTGGTGAATTTTAGAGTCCACAATATTTTTAAAAACACTTCTGAACTTTCTTTGCATAACAGTCTTTTTTGTGAGGCTCCAAAACTTTTTGAATATTATTTTCCCCATCTCAAATACATCTTCCCAGTGAGAGGGTGTAGGATGAAAGAGGATGGAATATTAGTGGATTATGTTTATCTAAAGTGGTCTGTACTTTTTTTCCAAGGAGTTCCAATGGATATCCTATTGCTGACTGGGGAACATACTTTGAAATAAATGGGCCAAAGGAATTCATTTTCTTTCAAAATTTTTAAAGTTCAAATCTTTTGAGTAGAAGAGCACAGTCTTGACCCATATACATTTATGTTTTTAGTTAATTATATCCTGAACACTTAAAACATTTTTTGAGATCTTGTCATCATCCTTATTTCTAAATATCTCATTTTCTCTCTTCTTGTCTGTTCTTATCCTACTCTATAGATGACCTATCACTTTTTCTTCAGTTCTTCACCAGACCCATAGGACTAACCAATTGATTTAAAGCCATCTGTGTACAACAAAGTATTGGATCAGAGACATGAAAAACTTAAAAGTTTCTTCAAGTTGAGGAATTTTCGATGATAAAAGAATATCTCATTAAGGAAAAACTTTAGGACTCTCTTTTGTTCTGGGTCCTGTCAACTTTAATAATGTGGACTTTGAATAAAAGAATATATGACTTCAAAATTAGTAATCAGAATGAAGTAAATAAATTACCCTTTTTGTGAAACTCAGAAGATTCCACTCAAATAAGGGAAAGTCAGTATTCTGTATACTGTGTTAGTCACTATTTTCAGACCACACGTCAAGGTTTAACATTGCAAACTGTCAACCCAAATTAAGGCTGGGTACAAAGCCTCTTTCCAGACAAGTGACTATAATAAGAGAAGGGAATAAATATCACATTAAAATCCTTTATTTTATTAATTATTATTTTTGAGACATGGTCTCTGTTGCCCAGGCTGGAGTGCAGTGGCATGATCATGGCTCACTACAGCCTCAACTTCCCAGGCTCAGGTGATCTCCCACCTCAGCCTTCCATAGTAGCTGGGACTATAGGCACACACCACCATGTCTGGTGCTAATTTTTTATAGAGACAGGGTTTCACCATGTTGCCCAGGCTGGTCTTGGACTCCTGGGCTTAAGCAATCTGCCTGCTTTGGCCTCCCAAAGTGCTGTGATTACAGGGTGTGAGCCACTAAAATTCTTTATTTTAAATAAAAACTGTGATGCATAAAGTTTTCTAACCAAACCTTTCTTTGTTTCATGCTTATATCTAAAATCCTTTTAGAGATACATTGTCAGGGTATTATGTCTCTAGCACCTCAGGGAAAGTGTTGCCTTATTATAACAAACTAACCTATGTATAAATACATAAAACATTTACTTTTTTTCTATATATCATTCTAGCATCTGTGTAATTTTCTCATTTAGTATTTCTATGAGTTGCTTACTGTTCATTTGGTTGAAGAGTAATATATTACCATAATGAGTCAGAACAGCATATTCGCATATTCCTTTGTTACCAGTAAAGAATTCTCTCAAGGTTTGGTTTCTTAGCATCAGTTTTTGCCTGGTTTTTAGTGTTAACAAGAATGCTTCAGATGCTTTGAGTTTGACTGATGTTAGAAATATTCCAAAAAAGGTTTTAACTGATAATTTGGATATGAATATCTACTCCCTATATTTCTCAACCAATAACATGTGGAACACAGCCACTTTATCAATTAGCATTGAATTGCAGGTTTTTCTTTTCTTCAGAAAAAGTAAACTTAACAATAATTATTCCTGGAAAATATTGGCATTTAATATGTACCTGGAACTATGCTAAAAATCGAATAGCAGAGAATATGTAGCTGCCTCCGAACAGATTCTTTAAAAGATAGATCTTTTTAACAAGAAAAATAGAATGTTATGTTGATGTGATGCTTGTTACGACTATGACAGTGGCAGCAGTGTGAAAATAATAATGTTAAAACCTGGTATCAACCTTGGCTTTAATCACTATAATATAGTGTTTCACAGGACATTGAGTACTTCTTCTTCATGAGGATTTTTTTTTTCTGTTTTATCTGTCCACCCATTACCTGGTTATTTGCTTATTACCTGGTTGTTATTTATTACCGGGTACCTGTATTCTAGTTTTAGAAATGTCTCAGAAGTCAGACATTGGGGGGGTGTTATTGTTTTTGTTTTTTAATTCTCACATTTGGAGAGGAAATATGTGGCCTCCTTCAAATGCTAGAATCGAGGGACTGTATCTTTCTTTCGCTATAATAATAAGCCTATCTTTTATATGAAGCTTATGTCAGTAGATCATGAAATGAAGCTACTTTCCCTGCTAGTGATAGTTGCTGCACATAGACGTAGTCCTATTCTTTCATTTATTCTAGAGGCATGTTTTTAGGACATCTGGTAAGATCCAGAAAGTTAGAGAAGCTTGGAACAATCTTGGAGTATTGAGGTGAAATTTTAATGGAGTGGGTATGGATGTATCCACTTAATCATCATTCCTGGAAAAATAATTCAGAGTGTCCCTTGTAGTTAGAATCTCATTCCTAAGCTGTCAGCGACAAAGACTTTCTACATACACATAGGTAGGAATTAACCATGACCTAGGACTTGTCCAAAGTTTGCTTAAGACATTGTGCAGTGCTGTAGTCTATTTAAGTGCTGCAGGTCTGTGTCTGTGTTGGGACAGCTCATTTGCAACTAAAATATTTATCGTACCTCATCTGAATCTGTTAGGGGTTGAACTGTGCCCCACCCCTGCCTCGCCCAAATTCATATGTTGAAGTCCTAACTCCCAGTACCTCAGAATGTGATCTTATTTGGAAATAGGGTCATTACAGATGTAATTAGTTAAGTAAACATGATGTTACACTGGAGTAAGGTGGGCTCCTAAACGAATATGACTAGTGTCATTAAAAGGGGACATTTGGACACAGGGACATACATACAGGGAGAATGCCATGTGAGCATGAAGGCAGAGGTCAAAGTGATGCATCTACAAGCCAAGGAACCCCAGATTGCCAGCAAAACACCAGAAGCTCAGAGGGTGACATGGAGCAGATTCTCTCTTACAACCTTCAGAAAAAAACAATCCGGCTGACACCTTGATCTTGGATTTCTAACAATAAATTTCTATTGCTTAAGCAATCTAGTTTGTTATGGCTGTTTTGGCAGACTGATATATGTTCCTTCAAAAAAAGACTTTCATTGATTTAGAATTAAATATATTTCTATATGCCTTCAGAATGTTGAAATGAAAATGTTATTTTTAAATAAGACTTTGTTTTGCAAAGCTATTAATATACTGACATGCTATAAGACCATTATAATAAATTTCTACTTGAGTTTAGTTGTGAGAATAGTTTCGTATGCTAATATGTATGCTTTCCTTTTTAAAATCTCAATGTGTTTCCCTTTTTACTCTAGGCATCCAGAATGCTTAGAGCCAAGTGTATTGCTCCAAAGCTATAATCCGTCAAACTCGTGCCTGAACACCTACTCTGTTTCTTCCTTTAAATGTTCTCTCATATTCTTGTCTCATTTTGACTTAATTCATAAGCAGTTTTAAAACCTTTCGGAAATGAAAGAAAAAGTAATTGCAATGTTTACAGAAATAAATGATAGTACATCTTCCCTAGAAGTTAGTCATTATCTGCCATTTTCCCAGAGAAATTAGAATTAATAGCTAGAGAACGGTGTTTGGACCTTGAGTCCTGAACAGCTGTTGATGAGGGAAAAAGGGAGTGGGGGAGGGAATCATGCCTTTTGGATCCAGGAAAACTCTTGTGCACCCATCAGTAAAAAGCAGCAAAGACCCAAAGATATTCCCCATATGGTGTTTGGTCAGCTTACCAATGGTATTACTTTATGTGATTAGTTCATAATGTCTATAAAAGGCTCACCTTTTTGTGTGATCTTTAAATGAGTAGGGCTGATGCATGACCATGGCCTCTAGGAAGTACAAACAACAAGCAGTCAGAAGAAGAGGGCTAATGGTGGCAAATGCCTTGACAGGAAATCTCAATGATGATTGTGGCAGCAGCCTGCAAAACAGGCATCTTGATGTCAATATGAGGCAAGTCAGTGAGTCAATATTGAGTATTAATGAAGTCTTTAATCTGTTGCTACAAACTGCAGCTTGCACCCCTACACGAAAGCTCATTAAGCCAGAGACACAAGAAGTCCAGAAATATAGAGCATTGGCAGTGATGCCACAGACTCACGTGTGCAGGGAAGATAGCATGGAACCTTGCTACACTTGAACCTTAGTAACTCTTTAGGTGACCATTGTGCCATACACAGCAGTAAACCAGGACATGACAACCAATACGCCTGGCAGTGTGGCAATGGAGGCAGAGGTTTATAATCACTGCCTATAGCTGGATGCCCTTAAGCTGTTTCATTAGCTCCACATCATACTCCTCCCTCAGCTACCACTGCCCTTGTACTTACAGCTACATGAACAACCGTGTGTTCCAGGCACTCAGATAATATATGATCTCCTGTTACCTTACCATAATCCTAAGAAATAATTTTATTTTATCTTGCTATAAGGTAAGAAATCTAAGGCTCAGAAAATAACTTGCCTGAGGTAACCCAGCTGGTGAGTGGCAGAGCTGGAATTCAGGCTTAGGTGTGTTAGTATTTAAAATGTTCCTATTCAGCCTGTTCAGGGAATAATCATTGTCATTTATAATACCAACTTAATCACTGTCACTGCCCAGTTCAGACATCTCAAGATTCAATACCATCTGACCTACTTCTTTTAGGAGAGTATTTACAGGTTTTCTGCAAAATGTTCTCCCACCCCTTCCAGCTATCCTTACCATTTCATTAATATTATTTTTTCCCTCATAGTGCTATTGACTGCAGCTTAGCTCTGGGTTCAAGGGCTTTCATGAGAGGGCAGATAATTATGTCCACTTGGAATGTGCTGCAAATATGCCTCCTGATTTCTAATCACCAGCCCAGGATGATTGTCTTTGTTTTTGTCAGCGTGACCTAGCTGGCTTGCCCCTTTAAAAGCTGCAGATCTGGAGTCACAGAGATTTGGGTCTGAACTTGTTTTGTGTAGGAACTTCAGTAGTTCTAGGCTTGCACAATGGACAATGACAAGATGGGTCTTAGCATCACTGGGGATAAGGATCTAACCACCACACTGCGCCTTCTTTCTTTTGGCTCACATTATAGGATTTAAATCAAACAACCATATGGACACTCATTGTGGTAGCCTGAATAATGGCCATTTATGTTCATGTTCTCATTCTGAAAACCTGTGAATGTTACCTTATATGGCAAAAGGGACTTTGCAGATGTGATTAAGGATTCGAGGATGAGAAAGATTATCCTGAAATATCTGGGTGGATACTAAATGTAATTCCAAGTGTCCTTACAAGAGAAGGCAGAGGGAGCTCTGACTACAGAGAAGGCAATGTGTTGGAAGCCGAGAGTCATTTCAAGAGGCTATGCTACTGTATCTGAAGATGAAAGAACAGGCCATGAGCCGAGAAATGTAAGGAATGCAGCTTTGAAAACTGGAAAAGGCAAGGAAAGGGATTCTCCCAAGAGCCTCCAGAGGGAGGGTAGCCTGTCAACACTTTGACTTTAACCCAGTGAAACTAATTTCAGACTTCTAACATTCAGAATCGTAAGAGCATAAATGCGTATTGTTTTAAGCACCACATTTGTGTTAATTTGTAATGATGCCGGTGGGCTGCGGGAGGCCCCCAAAACACCAGTGGGACCTTGACCCCGGCTGGTGTCCAGGCTTTTGACATCATTACAAGAAGGAATTCAAGGATAAGTCAGAAAATAGTGAAAGTATAGAGATCTATTGCAAAGCAAAGAGTACACACTCAAGAAAGGGGAGTGCTGGTGTACTCATGAGAGTTGAGTTGTGCCAGAGGGTTTGGGGTTTCTGCTTTTATGGGTTTCTTTAACCAATGGGTAGAATATTCATGAAGATTCCTGGAAAAACTTTAAGATTTCTCGGAACTGTAGTACCACCCATTTTTTACACCAAATATGGGTGTTTCCAGAACTGTCATGGCCCTGGAAAGGTGTGTGATTTAGCATGGTAATGAGCATGTAATGAAGTTCTAGGTGAAACCTAGGTCAAATCCAGCACCATGTTGGGTCCAGTCGGTCTAGCCAGCTTGGACCACGCCCTTGTTCTTCGGGGTCTTATCAGCCCCTCGCTTATGCAGCTATTTCAGCAGTTTCCTTTTGCTTAGTCATGTGAAACTGCTGCCTGGAATTTTCTTTTCTCCTGTGACCACCCTGTATTATTCCTGCCTCAGTCAGAACAGCCATAGGAAACCAATGCACTCATATTTTGAACTTTAAATAGAATGAGGCTAAGATATCTGAAATGTTATCATTTTTTTCTTTTTCATCAAGACAATTTCAGGAAATAATAACTCCTTCACAGCATTTCACTCAGTTTTACTAATAAGTGGCTGAGTAATTGTCACTGGCAGCCCAGTAATGGATCTTAAAATAATACACAACTCTTCTTTTGAGGAAATGTGTGAGTTAACATGGGTCACAAACTTTGTCTTTTAATATTCTTTCCTCAGTTGACATAATGCAGTGGGTGTCCTACGTTTGCAAGAAACGGCAGGGGGAGTTCTTGAGTGTCCTTGAGAATAACCCACTGACCTCTTAGTGCTGAGGCTCAGGCTGCAGACCACAAATTTATCTACTTGTGTGCATTTCCTATTACTCTCTTCTGTACACCAGGTCTCTATTAGCTGCTTATTTCTAGCATCTGGGCCAAATTGTAAGTCTGGGAAAATGCTGAATAGCCCTTCGCAAAAGTGAAGCAGAGGAAAGGTTATCAAAGAATGTCAAATAAATGTGCATACTAATTACCAGTCTCTTTGGTTTTTATTATGTAAACCAGTTGGAATGTTATCCCTGCTCCCCCGCTATCCCCCATCATACCTTCTTGTGTCTTTTAGGAATTTATATTCAAAACCTCTATTCCAATTAGACTTCACAAAAGACCTTTGGATTCAGCTACTTTCCTTTTCAGATTTCATTCTCAGGAGAGTGTAGTTAATGATAGCAGATCAGCAAGTGGATATTTTAGAGAGGTTCTTAGGCTTTGACCCAGTTCTGCTGCTGCTCAGATTTCTGAGTCCTACCTGGTACTTAGCCAAAAGTACCTCAAAACCACCTTCCACTTAGCCATGGTGATCTCAGGGCTCCATGGTGCTGGTTTATCTTAGGCTAGTACCTTACTGATGAATACACTCTGAAAAAGGAAACACAAAGATGTCTTCCAGCCTTATTTAAAATGACTTGTTGCAAGATGCCACTTTGTTCTTTGTGGCAAGTGATCCTAGTTTAAGAACATCAGTTTTCCAATTTGACTAGGAGTTATTTGTTGGAATGCAGAAATTAATGATTGAAAATTTTTTCTTCAATAATGTTTATGTGAAGATTTGCTGTTGCCTCAAACTTCCTAATAAAGACATTTGGGACAAATGGAATTTTGTCCATATTTGAACCTGCTATCAGTTAAAGCTTTAGAGTTCGTATACATTTGGGTGTTGTTTTTATGGTGCAAGTTGAAAAGCAGTTACTGACTGTAGAGCTAAACTTGAAGTTGCCTGCTCTCCGTGGGTGGTGAGTCCTTTTCATAATTCATTGTGTACACACTTCAAGTCTCAGTGGAAATCTAGGAATACTAAGAAGTAAAAGACAAGATGCTTGGCTAGCAGGTCGAGTATTTGGGTAAGCTTAGCTAGGTTACAGGGAGCACTGGCTAGAAAGAAGGGTTCAATTCTGAGAAGAAACTAAAAATACAAAGAAAAGAGGGGGACAGAGACACAAGTTCAGATGAGGCAGGAGGGCTCAAGGAAGGTTAAATTTGTGACAGAGGAGGGGTACAGTCATGGAATTAGAAGAGAAAGGGAAAAGGTGGGATTAAGTGTTGATTTGCTAGCTTTTGAAATGAGAGTTGAGGGATTTCAGAGGGTATCTATTTCAGTGAGGAAAATACAAATGAGGTTCGAATTTGAAGAGGGGAAATTTCAATACAGTATTTGTGAATAATATGGCAGAAAGTCAATATTTAATGAATGAAAATGTTGTGGATCAGAATGAGAGCCAGGGTGAGGCTGCATATCACAAGTCTGTAATAAAACAATCCGTTAGGCCATAGTGTCCAAATCCAGGTTTCCACACCCTTGGGTCTGTGGACCTTGTGCCTAGGATACATGTGACCATGGAACATAACACATCTTCCTCTAGTGTCAATTTTACTTGGAACATTTGCAGTGAAATTGCAATTGCTTAGATCAATATTTTAAAAATCATTTTAATATAGAAGGATAGGATGAAAATCAGGTTTGTTAAATTTTTAAGGTAAATGAGAAACTTCAAACAAATACTGTAGTAAGCCTTTTTTTTGTTCTTTTCTGTTTTTCTTTGCTTTTTTAGAGATGGGGACAGGGAATCACTCTGTCACACAGGCTGGAGTGTAACGGTACAATCATAGCTCACTGTGACCTTTAACTCCTGGGCTCTAGCAATCTTTCCACTTCAGATTAATCAGTAGCTGGGCCTACAGGCGCACACATCACTACACCCAGCTAGGTTTTTTTGCTTTATTTTTAGTAGAGACAAGGTCTTACTATGTTGCTGATGTGATTGGACTGTGCCCCTATCCAAATCTCACCTTGAATTATAATGATCCCCACGTGTCAAGGGCAGGGCCAGGTAGGAGATAATTGAATCATGGGAGTGGTTTCCCCTATTCTGTTCTCATGGTAGTGAATAAGTCTTATGAGATCTAATGGGTTTATAAATGAGAGTTCCCTGCACAAGCTCTCTTGCCTGCTGCCATGTAAGATGTGACTTTGCTCCTCATTTGCCTTCCACCATGATTGTGAGGCCTCCCCAGCCATGTGGAACTGTGAGTCTATTAAACCTCTTTCCTTTATAAATTACCCAGTCTCAGGTATGTCTTTATTAGCAGTGTGAGAACAGACTAATATGGTTGCCCAGGCTGGTCTTGGATTCCCAGACTCAAGTGATCCTCCCACCTCAACCTCTCAAATTGTTGGGCTTGCAGGCATAAGCCACTGATCATGACCCAGTAAACTGTTCTGAATGATAACCACAACCATCTCTGGGAGGTTAAGGGCATCTGTTCAAATCTCTTTTGCTATTACAGGAAGGCCTGTGGAGAAGTTTGAGAAGCTGGGGTGTTGATCTTCCTAAGTGTAGACAATGTGAGCAGGAGCAGAGAAAACAGAGGGTGGGTTTTTCCCTATGATTGGCAGCAACCATAGACCAAAGAGATTTAGGATTCAAAGGTGCTTGTGTAAGGCACTACAGGGGTTCTTTACTCCATGGGATAAAGTGATTCTCATAATCCCTCTGATATAGATGTTATATTATCCCCATTCCCTCTGATGTAGATGTTATATTATCCCCGTTTTAGAGATACGGAAGCTGAACTTCAGAGTGGTGAGCAATTTCCGTAAGTTACACAGTTGATCATCAGCAAAGAAAACTGAGTATGGTTGGAAAGACTAAAGGCTCACAAGACTAGGAGGCAACAGAGGAACTGCAGGGCTGGATGAGGCAAAAGCCAGGGTCAGCAGGAGGCAGAGGCTGGGCCATGCAGAAAGGTGGCAAAGGGAGGCACTGTTATTTATTGGTTGGTCGATGCCAAAATCATAGCTTAGATTTAACAAAATTCTGTAAGCCCCATTCAAAAATTTCAAAATGGCTCTAAACCTCCATTCAGCTCTTCAGAGTGGCTGCTCCTCTGTCTCCCATTTCTCTTTCCCAACCAACAGAAATTCTGCGATGATGCTGAGGTTTCCTCCTTCTGTTGTATGTGGATCACACATTATACAGACTTTAAGAAACCAGAGTAAATGACACTGGATTAGTTCTAAGTAGCTCAGTTACTTCTCTACCCATCCATTTTGGAGAAAGAATAAACTCTGGCAAATTGTATCTTCCTGCTTCTCCCTAATAACATAAATATATACACATACACTATATATACACACATATATATATACACTATATATGTGTATATATACATATAGTGTATATATGTAGTGTGTATGTATGTCTATATACACTATATATAGTGTGCATATATGCATATATATACACTGTGTATATATATGTGTGTGTGTATATATATATACACACAGCACCAAAGATTTGGAGGCCTATGAGAATTTGTTACCCCAGCTACACAGCACTGAGTTTTTTGCGGTGTGTGCCCAGGCTCTTACATTACTTTAAAAGACTTTTCCAGGTGAACATTAAAAGAGACCTTTTTATTCTGTTGGGGATTTAAAATCATTGTTGTTGTGCATTTAATATGTATTTCTTGAGCACAAGCTACATTTTCAACATTCTGCTACATTTTTATTTTTGGAAAGGCCTCAAGAGACTTATCTACAACTCAGGATCAACTTTAACTGCTACCTAGTTTACTTGGTGAGTCAGTCTTGAAACCATTTGCTTTCTGATAGATGGAAATTCTAAATTAGTAGGGTCAAATATACAGGGAGTTTTTAGTAGCCCTGGTTGGTCCAGTTTGGAATCTGGTGTTTCCAGAGAAGCAGGATCCAGTGTAGGAGTTAGAGGACTCAGGATACTATATGTGAGCTAAAATAATGTGTGCAGTAGAGCTGGAAGATCACAGTGAAATTCTCACATATTAGGGAGCTCAGAGATGCAGATGGTGTGCTGGAAAATGCATTCATGAGCTGTGTGCCAGGCAGATGGGAGTCAGTCAGGGCAGCTCCACCCTTAGGCAGGATTCCCTTCCTAAGTTCAACTCATCAGCAGTAGCAGCTGCAGATTAAAAACAGACATGGCAGCTCTGTGTCTGCTAGCCCCACCCTTCTTCCCTACCCCAGAGAGGCCCTTGGGTCTATATATTGAATGATCCTTTCAAAATATCTCCTTTTGACATGAGATAAGCCTGGCAGAAAGAAGAGGGAATACTGATTAGAAGACCTTGTCTCTCGTGAGCTCAGAAGATTTCTTTATTAAGAACAAGGAGCAATCTTGGTGCATTGTCTTGGAACCAATATTTCTAGATTTTTTTTTGATATATTTTATCCAAACAGTGGAGGCTGATCAGAGGAATGTGACTGATTTTCAGAGTAGGCAAGTTAATTGTTAACCTAATACAGAATTGGCTAACCTAACCAGTGTGAGTCTGGATGGACCAGGAGGCCCTTACCCCATGGGAATCAGTTTTCTGATCAAAATAATTTTTGTGATCATTATCATTTAGCTAAAGGCAACATGAGCTAGCTTTTCATGGAAAATACTAAAAACGTAAGTAAGGCTAAGACGTGAATGATTCGTGATGGTATTTTGAAGTCAAGTTGGTAAAAACTCAAAAATTATTGCTATTCAAAAATAGTATTGCAGAAATGTCCTGGGGAACATAAACACCGAATTCATAACGTACCGTCATACAGACATTTCAGGGGAATGGTAGCAGTATGATTTAAGCAACAATGGCAATAAAGCCTCCAGGGTTCTCTTGTCCTTCCCATCAGAGATTTACACAGCAAGTCTGAGGATGTTTTTACAGGCAGTTTGGATATTTTACCAGAATGACTTTCCCTTTCATGGATTCGAAGGAAGGGACAGACACATGTGCATGCCATTTGTGCAGTTATTGAAGTTAAATATTCTCTTTAGGAGGATGCAGCATTCATTAAATATCACGATATGTGAACTATGTTCCAAGCAGTGGACTAACTGAACATCTGCTTATTCTGTTTTTCAATCATTAAATGGAAAGAGGGTGTGTAGGGAATAGGGCAGTGTGAAGATGGCACTAAGAGGGAGATACTCGGAACACAGGGCAAAATGGAAACAGCTTCCTCATGTTTGGGCAAATTCCAGTATGCTTAGGATAGGAAATTTAGAAACCAGAAGTATAGCATGGCTGGGAAATTAGATATCAGAGTTTGTTTTAAGTCTGTTAACACAGATATAAGTGGAATTTAATATTTAAACTTGTGCTTATATTTACTAAACCAAGTTAAGAACATAATGTGTTTATTTTTTTGAAAATGAGAATTACCTTTATTGATTAAGGCAGTTTTATTGTGAGCAACTACTGTTATCTCCCCAAACTCTGTTCACTCGCTCCTTGGCTGAGTGGAAATGCTTTTTCAGAAGTTGAATTCATGCAGCCTTCAATTTTCTCAATTCTTTGGAGAGGTCCAAGTGGCAGATTGTTTTAGGGAAGGCAACAGTTGGTTGACAGGCAGTGGGTCACTGAAAGTCAGCCGTAAGGGACATATCACTCAGCCTCTTGAGGTCCACCCTCACTGGGTCCTGCAGCCCTGGTGTCCTTAAAGCACCAAGCACTGTGGCAGCAGGATGCCTCTTAAATCCATCCCTCTTCAGCTCATGCCCCACTTTAAAGCAAAAAGCAATATATCCCTTGTCCTCACTGTGGAATTGACCTTTAATGTAACAATTTGTTCTAAATTTAGACTTCACCAACTTTACACTGGAGACAGAGATTGGATTATAATAGCAACTATTTAACTTTTGTTAATCTGTGGCATTCAAAAAGAGAGGTTGCCTCCCTTGAGCAATTTGCCATCTAAAAGGAAGAAGGAAAATTTTAATGGGAAAGGCATTTTGACTTTTATACTCAAAAATAATTTTTAAGTGAATAACATTTAATGTGATGATGACAATGACAAAGAGGAGGAGGAGGAGGTGGTGGAGGAGGAGGAGGCGGAGGAGGTGGTGGCACTGATAGGCATTCTTGCTATGAGCCAGATACTATAAAAGGCTATTTACAGGGGCTATGTCTTTTAACCTTCAGATTAACCTCATGAGGTCTCTCCTAGTGTTTTAGTTTGCAAATGAGGAAACTGAGATTTAAGATTACCTTGCTGAAAGTCCCACAGCTGAAGAACAGTGGAGCAGGAGTCAAACTCAGGCCCATGTACACTTAACCACTGCATTTCGCTGTTCCTGCTTGTCATGGTTTTCAGGTTGAAGGAAAAGGGAAGAAAGGATACTACCTTAATAAATATAGAAAAGCATCTAGAAACAGGAAGAGAAAAGAGAAAGTCAAGATGTGAAAGGAAGAAAGATAGACTGAGAAAGAATAGAAGTCAAAGAGGAATAAGAGTAGGGATGTAAGGCAGAAAGGGTCACCAAATCCATAGCATTTGGGCAGTGTGCATATAGCACAGGGTGCTGCTGGAACAATAGGGAGGTCTGGATTCAAATCCTGGCCCCTCTTCTTATGGGTGTCTTCCTGTGGTGCGCTATTTAATCTCTGGGGCTTGTTTCCTCAGGGGCAGCTGTCTGTCAAGTTTAAAACCCCAGCTTTGTAGCAAGTTCTTTCACCTATCTTGTAACTCAGGTTTCTCATTTGTGAAATGGAGATCAAATTAGTACTTATCTCACAGGGTGATTGTCAGGATTAAAAGGTTATATGTAAAATGCCCAGAACACACATGGTGTGTGCTCAATAAAGATTCACATTGTTGTGTGAAAAATGGGAGTCTCAGTGTTGGGCATCATTAGAGGATTAGATACTAAATTCAGAGCATAACCTAAAGACTCAATGAGCTATTAGCATTTCTTTACTGAGGCTTAGATCTTCCTTTCTTCCTTCCTTCCATCCTTCATCCTTACCTCTCTCTCTCCCTCTCTCTTTCTCTGCTTCCTTCCTTCCCTCTCTCCCTCCCCCATCCTCCCTCCCTCCCTCCCTTCCTTCCTTCTCTATCTTTCTACCTTCCTCTCTCTTGTCTCTATCATTCTATTTCCAGCCCTTAAATCAATGTTTGCAGTCATTTTGAGTTGAACCTTTAAAAAGCTGGCTTTACCAAGGTTACTTCTAATCTCTGCATGTAAATCTTCTCAAGACCCTTGCCCTCAGTAAACCAGTTTGACAATTTAGCTTTAAAGGTTCAGATTAAGGGATACAACTTGCCTGTTCCCACCACAAAGCAAATACAGAGCGAAAGCAGGCTAAAGATCTGAGCTGACCTCTGCCAACCTGTGGCAAACTTACCTAAGCCTCACATTGGAATCTTTTATTTTTATTCAGTGTGTTATGGAGGACATATAAGTCAGATTGTGATGGAGAGTTGAAGCAAAAGACGCCCAGAGGGGGAAGTGGGAATAAGAGCTACAGATGAAAGCAGAAAGCAAAGCTAGAGAAAAGGGAAGGAAGAAGCCTGGAAGAGTTGTAAAGGGACCCTAAAAGTGGGATAAGTAAATGTGTGCACAATGAAATCACAGCCTGATCTTTATTCCAATTTGACCTGAACAATAGTTTGATATAAATTTTAAATAACCTTTTATTTGTCCATTAAGTTCACCAGCTAGATTTATAAATGTACATATTGGCAAGCTGTGGCCCACTTAAAAGCTGAGTGAAAACAAACTGCAGATACTTCCACATATCCAACATTTGATGGTTCTTAGAACAAGATATCAGCAAGTTTTACTAAGTTGTTACTTCTCTAATGGTGCAGGTGGGAATATGAAGATTGTTGTAGATGGTTGCTCATAATTTTTTTGCAGTGTTTACTGGTGGTGGCTGCTGGAGGCCTTTGTAATTGCTTGGCACTGAAGGCGGCTTCCTAACTAGATTTGGGAAAGGTATTGTGTCCGGAATTGGTGGGTTCAACAGTATTCAACTAAATTTAGAATGACAATTCTGGTCCTTCACTCTTTGATAGATGTTTTATTTTATGGGCTTAGTGAAATGTGGGACCCTAGCACAAAATCTGCATTATAAAAATAAAAACCTATTATCTGCCTCTAGACTAAGTTAGGCTGAGGCAGAGGGTGGAAGACTGGGGTAATAAGAGGCTTTACTCCTCTTCAAGCCCAAGAGCTATTCCTAGTGTCCTCCAGATACTTGCTAATCTTTTCAAAGTATCAAACTCACCTGTTCAGTTAAAGATCAGTGCTATGCTTAGAATATTAAAATCATACTTTCTCTGCTTGGTCTGAAAAGATTTTCTGTTTATTAAAATGTAAAAGCTTTAGCTTATTGAGATGTTAACTTGTCATTCATGATATCTGTTAATTGCTTAAGTATCTGTCAAAAACAACATTTAAAACACTGTACATATAATGACAACATTTTCTTTCAGGGACCCAAATCAACCAGGAAGTTTTTATATTTTAGGATGAAATAACTTTGTAGATCCTTTAGAATGCTTCCTTATGTTCTGAGTTCTTTTTAAAGTTAATTTATTGGTGAAGCTAACTGCATTTCTGATTCTTAGGGATACTCAGATGGAAATTGCCAAGACAATGCTGTAGTACTGTTCCTAACCACAGGATGGCAGGACACTAACACTTTTTCACTTAGTGCTTCACTAAACCTGCCTTTATCTTTTTAGGAAAGTCTCCTTTTCTTTTTTTTCTTTTTTTTTTTCTTTTCTTTTTGAGGGAGAGAGTGTTTAAAAGAAAAGAAATGTGAGTGTATATATTTGTTTATTTATTTAGAGTGATAAGTGGATAAATGTAATGCCAATCAAATATTCAGCTGGTAGAAATACATTTTTATTAATCCTAACACAAATAATAATTTTCGTAACTTTTATAAACTTCTGGACTAAATGGACTCTCATTCTAAAACCCCAAAGAAAGGCCTAGTGTGAACCATATATGTGTCAGTTAGTATATAGCTCCATATGGTAGAAGAAATGATACACCTTTCTTTTCATTTAATTATTTTATTTTTTCTTTTTATTTGGATTTGTCATAAGATCTTAAACAAAAGTACAGTCATATACTGCCTAATAATATTTTAGTCAATGATAGACTGCGTATACAATAGTCCCCTAAGATTATAACGGGCTGAAAAATTCCTATCTCTTAATGACCTCATAGCCATTATAACACTACAGCACACTTATAGTGAGTGCCTTTTGTTTTTAAAGTTTGGTGCTTACCTAAGGAAGAGAGTGAGAATTTGCCATACTTTTATTTCCAAAAGTTGTATTGAAACAATACAACTGATTCCACGTGCGTGGTGGCGCATGCCTGTAATTCTAGCTACTTGGGGTGGCTGAGGCAGGAGAATTGCTTGAACCTCATGAGGCGGAGGTTGCGGTGAGCTGAGATCGCGCCATTGAGCTCCAGCCTGAGCAACAAGAGTGTAACTCCGTCTCAAAAAAAAAAAAAAAAAAGCTTAAATACCCTTAAATTTACATGGGAATTAAGAAATTGTTTTAATACTTAGCACTAATATATTATGATTACATGTTTGAAAAAATAAAAGTTTAGAAAAAAATTGAATGAAATTGAAATAGTAATGTGTAAATACTTACATTATCTGGACATGGTAATATTATAAGACTTTCTTTTTGTCATTGAATTTTCCTAAAACTTAATAATTTGATATTTCAAAATCTCTACCATAGGGTAGAGATTTTGTTTGCCTTATTTATTGTGATATCCTCAACATCTATTAGAATGCCTGCCCAGTAAAAATTGTTGAACAAATGAATTACGCACTGGAGGACATACTGAAATCTTCTGGTAAAGCTTCATGTGTTTTTTTTTTGTTTTTTGTTTTTTGTTTTTTTTTTTGAGACGGAGTCTCACTCTGTTACCCAGGCTGGAGTGCAGTGGCATGATCTCGGCTCACTGCAACCTCCACCTTCTGGGCTCAGGCAATTCTCCTCTCTCTGCCTCCTGAGTAGCTGGGATTACAGGCATGTGCCACCACACCCGGCTAATTTTTTGTATTTTTAGTAGAGATGGAGTTTCACCATGTTAGCCTGGCTGGTCTTGAACTCTTGGCTTCAGGGGATCCACCCACCTTGGCCTCCCAAAGTGCTGGGATTACAGTCGTGAGCCACCATGCCTGGCCACCTCATGTGTCATTGATTCTGCAGCAGCCTTGGTAGGATTTTAATCTCCACTGTCATCAGTATTTTCAAAGTCAGAAAAGATATATTTGCTGATGGCAGAATTTCACTGGCACAGAATAGGAAGAGAGTTTCTCTCTCTCTCTTTCTCTCTCTCTCTCTCTGTGTGTGTGTTTTGGGATCAATAGTGTAGTGCAGGCAAAAATTTACCTCTGCCCTTCTAGGGTCTCTGCTGGGCTTGAGAATTAAATTGACGTAAGATAAATTAACAAGAGAAAAGCGTATAAATTTAACATATTTTACATGACACAGGAGCCCTCATGAGAAAATGAAGATAAAAAAAAAAGCAAGGCTTACATGATTTTGTAAAGAGGCAATTGTGGAAAAGTATCTAAATTTTGTGGGGAGGCCAAAGGGAGATAATTCTTTTAACAAGGTCTGTTTATACGGAATTATCTCGGCTATGAGTCTTCATGGAAGAATGTTTCTTTTCTCTTGGCACAGGGAGGGCATCTTCCACATGATAGTTTTTATCTCCTACCTTCAGGGAAAAGAAAGGGAAGATTAGAATACATGTAATCTTCTTGAATCTGCTCTTTTTCAAGTGCCTCTGGCTTGAAGTGATCCTTATGTCAAAGTGGCATATTTGGGGGTGGCATAGCCTGCCACCCTTCAGTAGTGTGACTCAAAGCTGAGTCAGAAAAGTGCATGGTATTTTGAGGGGTAGGGAGCAAACCTTTGTTGTCAGGTAACCCTATAAGCACAGCATGGGGAAAGGGTCTGTCTCCTAGTCTTGCTAGTTCTCCCAAGAGGCATCTTAAGTTGTGCAGAACTCTCAGAATTCTCATATGACCCTTTTGAAAATCAGCAGAGGCCTCTATCAGAATCAGTGAAAGCAGGTGTGCTTTCTAGACCTTAGAGAGACATGGAAGATGCCAGGATCAGGTCCTGGAGAATTTCTGTTTCAAAATGTGCAGTCTCTAGTTTTTTTTCCAAATGAGCTTGAGTTGGAATCTCAATAAGTGGATCCACGTGCCAGTCAAACAAACCAGGTAAAAGTGATTCAGATGGGAAATCTTCTGGGTAAGAAAACTGAATAAGGAATAAAAGAATTTACCCCAGGCAAAACTGACATTATGTTCATTCTTTAAAGGCTCACATATAAACAGCGATTAACAGAGATCCCACAATGCTGGACACTGTGAGAGAAAGATTTACTTTTAGTAGAAATGCACTTACATTTCTTGTTATGCTTGGAAGCAGGGCAGCTAATTCATCCTTAGGAAAATCAAAGAAACATTTGGGAGGAAGGAAACATTGACAGTACCACCAACTGACCCCTTTAAGAACTATCTATAGTTATCTATAATTAGTCAATAAATGATCAGAAACATGTGAGTTCTTTCTTATTTGGTTGAGGAAT
This sequence comes from Homo sapiens, assembly GCF_000001405.40. Classification (NCBI taxonomy): domain Eukaryota; kingdom Metazoa; phylum Chordata; class Mammalia; order Primates; family Hominidae; genus Homo; species Homo sapiens. The sequence continues at coordinate 90,568,252 of NC_000008.11, read as the reverse complement.
GTGGCCTTGAGAGCACAGAAAAGCCCTAACATTTAAGTGTGTGAGCAACATGGGAAGAAGGCAAAATGGCCAGTGACCAGGACAGAAAAGACAAACTTATGCAATGGCATGATTTTACATAACCTGGGTTCTCCTAGTACATGGCAGGGATTAAGTTACCAGGTTCACACAAGCTCCACCTGGGATACCAGTCCCGATTAATTTTTCATGGCTTCCTGCAGCACAGCATTGAGATATAAGATGATAAAGATTTCAGCTGTGTAAGAGACTGTGGACAACGTGTTAATGTCTGTCTGGAATAAGGGAGGGGGAGTGTTGATGCAGTGTTTGCCAGTGCTGAATGGAAGCTTGGTGGAGCTTTTTTGTCATGAATGAATTAGAAGCACAACTTGCAAAGTTTGCTTTTACAAGTATTGAATACGGACAACTTATTTTTTACCACATATTTTACTTCTTGTACATTAATCTTTTTTTTTTTTTGTTGTTGTTGTTTTGAAATGGAGTCTCGCTGTGTTGCCCAGGCTGGAGTGCAGAGGCACGACTTTGGCTCATGCAACCTCCACCTCCTGGGTTCAAGCAATTCTCCTGCCTCAGCCTCCCAAGTAGCTGGGATTACAGGCACCCACTACCAAACCTGGCTAATGTTTGTATTTTTAGTAGAGATGTGGTTTCACCATGCTGGCCAGGCTGGTCTCGAGCTCCTGACCTCAGGTGATCCACCTGACTAGGCCTCCCAAAGTGCTGGGATTACAAGCGTGAGCCACTGCACTCAGCCACATTAATCTTAAAGTTTCAGCAAAGCAGATATGACGTGCTTGGTTTCCCTCATTAAAAAGCTCAGGAAGATATTAAAACCCTGTAAAACTATCCTTTGCGGGCTTTGTGTACTGAATTGAGGTAGTGAATGCATTTTTCTTCTCATTACTCAAGGAAAACCTCACTATTTGGTGGCAGTTACGACAAGTGTATTCCCCAGAAGCTATAGCACATTAACTGGGTGACCAAGGTTAGAATGTTCACCAACGGCAGCCCCTGTGCTGCTTCACTTGTTCTGCAAATTCAGTCTCTGGAGATCCCCATATTAAGCTTTCTCCGAATCCTTGATTATTACAGTTTGGAAGTTTCTGTTCAGGCTACCACTCTCCCTTCTGAATTGCCCTTTTATTTCTTGCCCACTCCACTCTCCAGGTACCAGGGTCTTCATGGGCTCTCCCAGGTAATCCACATGTATGGCTCTTTCATGGATCCTTCATCTCACCCTTTATTCCCCAACATGACCGATCTAGTCTCCTCCCATTCTTGTCAGTGGCCTTTTTGAACTAGCCCCAAAAGAGCCACCTAACAAACATATTCATTCTAAGGCATTAGCAACAACTGAATGTGTTGTCCTTCCATTCTAAGAGGTGAGCAATGAGTTAGACAGTACCCTACTCAGTGTCATCCCATCATGTGAGTTCTTTCTTATTTGGTTGAGGAGTGTGGCCTTGAGAGCACAGAAAAGCCCTGAACATTTAAGTGTGTGAGCAACATGGGAAGAAGGTAAAATGGCCTTCTTCCATTGGTCATGCCCTAGCCAATGTCATCCCATCAAGTGATGGGAAGAGGGCTATTTGGGCAGAGGGCACACTGATGTGGCCTCTGTTAAGGCATAAAACCTACCGTCCCACAGGATATATTGACAATTAGGGGTCACAAGTTCTTACTGCAAAACACTGATGAGCAGAAATGTTCTGTTTTCTTCCTAGAACGATGTGTCAACATAAGCTGAAATCAGAAAATCAGAAACAAAATATCTTTATTTTATTTTATTTTATTTTTTTACTTTTCAGTACAGCAGGAAGCTTTTGTAAATGACTGAAACATAAGTTTTTCAAGGTTTCCCTTATGTCTTGGTTCCCGTAACACAGGAAAATCTTCAAAACATTTTAGAAAAAAGGCAAGTTGTCTGTGAAGAAAGAGTTTTAAAAACTAAAGAACTTTATACAGAAACCATTTGAAGGATGGGAAGAGGCTAACAGCAAAAAAAAAAAAGTGAAGATTTAACTTGGAAAGCAAAGCAAAAAATAGATGCGAACAACTAGAAAAGAAAAGAACAAGCAGTTGAACATTAAGCCACTTCCTTTTTAGAGATTAAATACAAACCTGAACACTGAGAAAAAAAAGCAAAAAGAAGAAAAGAAAGAAGAATTTAGAAGTCTTTAGAAAAAGGGCATTAGATAATATTATGCTATAAATGTTTTGAATTTTTATTTTGTCTGAAATTTTTTTAAATATATGGCATCATACTTAGGGTTCCACTGAATTGCTTTTATTGCAACATTTTAAATTTCTGTTGAAAATTTAATCCAGTACCTGACTTAGTCCCTTTATGAAGAGAAGCAGCCCTAGGACAGGACATGACTAGGAGGAAGGAAAATGGAAAATAGAGGAAATTAAAAAAAAAATCACAATACTGGCTAGGCAGGTTGGCTCATGCCTGTAATCTCGGCACTTTGGGAGCTGGAGGCAGGAGGATCACTTGAGCCCAAGAGTTCTAAACCAGCCTGGACAACATAAGACTCCATCTCTACAAAAAAAAAAAAAATAGCTAGTCATGGTGGCATGCACCTCTAGTCCCAGCTACTTGGGAGGCTGAGGTGGGAGGATTACTTAAGCCAGGGAGGTCAAAGCTGCAGTGAGCCGTGATTGCACCACTACACTCCAGCCTGGGCAACAGAGTGAGACCATGTTAAAAAAAAAAAAAAAAAAAAAAGAGAGAAAGAAAGAAAAGAAAGGAAAGAAAGAAAGATAACAGTACCACAATTATAAAAGTTTACTTGCAACATGTGGAAGGAAGTACTGGGTAGTGGTTAGCATTTTTGTAGTTAGAGATCTTGATTTAAATTCAGACTGGCGCCTGATGGTAGTGTGGCCTGTGGACAACTTACTTAAACTTTTCTGTCTGCTCAGCTGTAAACTCTCTGCCTGGAATGGTGTCTGTCACACAGAGGGAATGGAATTAATGTTTGTTGAATGAATGAATAAAAGACTCATACAACATGCATAATTCTTTCCTAATGGGATTGTGGTAAGGATCAAATTAGACAATATCTAGTAGCTTATGACTATTAGAATATATCAAATATATCTGGAATTGAAACTGGCCTATATGTTGGGTAATGTAGAGTTACACATGCAAAGGGCAGCTTTTCCTAGGCCCTTGACACGTGTTCTAAGATCCAAAGTTATACCTGGGCATGTGTGGCCTCAGAGCTTCTGCTGTGTTGTCACCTCATGGATGGGTCATCTGTACCTCACAATCTTTAACACCCCTGCCCTGTGGATTATTATATACCTCATCCCATAACAGAGTGTATAGATGAACGATGTATAATCCCATATACGGTGATTAGGGAATTATTACTAAATGAAAATGAGAGAAAGCTAACAGAGGGTGAGAGGGATGTTAGGGTATCATTGCCTGGAATCCCTTTGCAACACATGCACCTCTTGACCCTCACTACAACATCCTTCTCTTGCCAGTCCAGCACAGTGGAGGTGTTGCAGGTTGCCAGCCCTAGGTATGCCCCCTCCACGTTCAGATCACACATTTTGTTAAGGTACAAAATCCTTGTTTTCTTTCTTTCTGTCTCCTTAAACTTAGGTGTAAATCTTTCTTTTTTCTTCAACTTTAATTTTAAGGTCATGGTTACACGTGTAGGTTTGTTACATGGGTAAATGTGTGCCATGGTGGATTGCAGCACAGATCATCCCATGACCTGGGAATTAGACCCAGCATCCATTCAAAATCCTAGTTCTCTTATAAATCTAGTCATCATTTCCTGAGGTAAAACCAACGTGGGTGAATGTGGAGTATGGATAAGTAAAATTACATGAATTCAAGGAAGTTTGTCATTAAGTGAACAAAAACTGACACAGTACGCAGGAATTCCGATAAGGGATAAAATCCTTAGAGTGAACGTGGAGTTAGCACAGTATCTGCACATCCTTCTTAACCTTTAAGACTCTGCTTCATAATTGTAGAGGCAACAAGGTGGGCTGAGCAGATATGGAAACTGCCACTCCATTCCTCTGCCCTGCCTAGGTCTATACACAGAGAAACACTGGATAAAGTAGATATTAAAATATTACATCTTAGATAAGTTCAACTGAAAGAACAGGAACAAATTAGGAGTCTGATGCAAAGAGAAAACTCAAAGCCATTTTGATGAATGAAAGTGGATGCCAAGTAGTCCTTTGTGGTATGTGTTATGGACTGGTCTCCCAACACCTACAAGGTGTTAGGAAGTTGGCATTGGACTCCTTAAATAGTGGAGCTTTCAAGGAATTGTGTAGTTCATGAATTATGAGTAAATTAACTGTATTCATTAGTAGCAATTCTTGGGCACAGTTGGATGCCAGATGACTGTACTAGACTGTGATAAACAGGCATCCACAAGAAATGTGAGCACCTAAGACTGTGGGTGGGGCATGGATACACACTACTTGCCAGGGCAGGGACTTGGCTGAGAAGCCAGTGTTGAAACTAGCATGGAACCAATGAAACTCACAAAACTTTGCTAGAGGCACATACCAAACTGCCCTAGGCAGGAGGCTACCTGCCCCCCTCATTTCAAAGCAGAGGAAGCATTTCCACAACTTCTGCCAGAAATGAGCTCAGTCAAGTAATATAAAAAAAAACTCACCACCAATAGAGGTTCAAAACACAGAACAGCTGTGACCATTCACGTGCAGAATCTACAGACTGTTGAATTATATGAAAGGAATTTTTCAAATAAATATTTTAAATCAGAGAAATGAATGGGACCTACGAAATAAATTCAGGATATTGGGGAAAAGCACAATTGGATTTATTAAGAACATAATAGTTCTAAAAATGGAAATATGATAGTTGAAGTATGATGATTGAAACTTAAACTAATTAATACATAAATGGTAGGCTAGACCCACCTAAAGAAAGCATTTGTGAATTAGAAACTAGATTTGAGGAACTCACTCAGAATGCAAAATAGTGGAAAAAAGAAATGGAAAATATGAAAAAAATTATAAGATGAATAAATTAAGTTAAAAAGTTAAACATAAGCATCAGTAGAAGTTCCAAAGGTGAATGGTAGGAGAACAGGGTACAGGCAGTGTTCAAAGTGATAATGGCTAGGAGTTTCCAGAACTGAAGAAAAGTAGATGGGGCAGAGGAAGGATTTACATCAGAGCTTAGATTTTTCGAAGACCCTCACCTGATCCCACGAATTGGGTTGGCTGCCCTTGATCTATGCTCCAATTTTATGTATTTTGTCATTATCCCTGACACTCTAGGCTCAGGAGTGGTTTCTTATTTATCATGTACATCAAGTCCCTAATATCCTTGGCACATAAAAGGAGCTTAATGAATATATGTGGAGGAAGCAAAGAAGAAAGAAAGGAGAGAAGGAAAGAGGGAAGACAATGGAAGGAGGGAGAAAAGGAGGGAAGAATAAAGGCCTGGGTGAAGGAGGAGGAAGAGAAGGAGGAGGAGGAGCCTTAAAAACTAAAACAACTCCTGGAAACAGTTACACATATATGTGTGTATGCATATACCGAACATATATATATATATATATATATATATATATATATACACACACACCCATACATATCCACACATACACTGGGTATTGCATAACAAAACTTACAGTTTCACATACAAGCCTATTAAAATTTTTACATAAAGGACTTTATTTCCAGAGAGGTGGGAAAACAATTTCCAAAGTTGGAAATGCTATATACTCAACATCTTTTCAAAGTTCAGCCATGAAGAATAGTAACAAGTAACCAGTTGTATCAAACACAAGTACAAAAGTTAACAAGTGCCGTGAACGCTTAGTACTAATTTGGTAAATGACATCCTGCCTGACTTTTTTTTTTTTTTTTTTGAGATGGAGTCACCCAGCCTGGAGTGTAGTGGTGCCATCTCAGCTCACTGCAACATCTACTTCCCAGGTTCAAGCAATTCTCCTGCCTCAGCCTCCCAAGTAGCTGGAATTACAGGTGGGCACCACCACGCCTGGCTAACTTTTGTATTTTTAGTAGAGACAGGGTTTCATCATGTTGGCCAGGCTGGTCTCAAACTCCTGACCTCAAGCCATCTACCTGCCTCGGCCTGCCAAAGTGCTGGGATTACAGGCGTGAGCTACCACACCTGGCTGGTGCCTGACTTTTGAATGTATCTTGAAGATTTGGGTGATTGAAGTATTTTAACTTTCTATTCAAAGTTGAACCAAGCTGTATCTGCATACCATTTAAAAGCTAACATATTCTACCCCCAGATACTCTGACTTCTCAGCAGTGGTTGACAAGATAAATGCTGATGTTCAATTTATAAAATAATTTTCTTTTTTAAGAGTGAAAATTTGAAGTTATAAAAGTCATGAGAAAAATGTTTGTGGAGGAATTTCAGTATATTTTATTGAATAAACTTTATTCTTTCAAAATAAATTTTAATAAATGTCATAGAAGTATTTGAGGAATAAACTTCCACATATTGAAGACCTCTGTGTAATGTTCTCCAGTGGTGATTCAAGTACATCATATCCTTTAGTCTTCTCCCAAACCCCCCACTTTAGAGATGAAGAAATTGAGACCAAATGTGCTGTGTATATTGCCTAAGGTCACACAGTAGAAAAAAGTAAAGTTGACATAGGCGTGGCTGTCTTCGGATCTCTTCCTCTGTGCTTTGTCAAGTACAGATGTCATAGATTTATTGCCTGGATTGTTGTAACAGTCTGTGTGAGCCATGTTTGATATATTAACATGAGTACTGTGAACATTTAATGTGATATTCTTTCCTGTCCAGCAATGAGGGAGTAAGTGATTGTGAATCCACCCTCCTGCTGTAAACTAAAATGAAACCAGATCAAATACATAAAGCAACTCTTTCAGACTTTAGATATAGGCCACACAGGACCATGTTCCCTAAGAAAGAAGAAACACCTACCTAAGTGAGTCAACAATCATTCTATTCTTTTGTCTGGAAGCAGTTTTTGGACCAAAGCGGGGGTTATAGAATCCAAGCAGATCATGGAGGTCTCACTAAGCTGATGGGGAGTTCAGACAGTGGAAAATCTGGGATGAATTCTAGAGTGTTGGATTGGAATTCAGGTTTTAATGTGAGCTCATGGTTTATAATATAGAAATAAATGTAGATGTAAATATGTGTTTGTATATACATATATATTTTTCAGTCTTATCTACTGAGTGGGATTGGGAGCAGCAATAATCCAATTCTGATTAGCATAACTAGAGCCTAAATCTTGTCTTCCAACTACCATTTTCATCTAAAAGGAACTAGGGCTTCCTAAAAGAATGGTCAATTTCGGGGCTGGATCAGGAAAAGTACAACACAAGCCTAAGTTATCTTATTGTGCCAAAAAGTAACAAAATGTCAAAGAATGCAAAAGCTTAATGACAATAAAAAGAGAGAGAGAAGAGAGAGAGAGAGAGAGACAGAGACCCTCTCAAAAACTGCAAAAGCTCCTACTGGTCTAAGCAGGGATAATTTGACTGTGAAAATAAATGTAGTCAGTAATACATTTTAGCTCATTGAATTAAATAAGAAACCATGAGACCATAAAGATGTAAATAAATTAGTGAATCAATAAAAAGTTTAGTGAAGAATAGCATATTTGCGTAGTTTCAAAGTAACTTCTCACAAAATACATATTAATTACAAATTGGAAAGAGTAATGTCACCTGGCAGACAGGATCCTAAACAAGCGATCAAAGTGCACATCATGAGAGGAGGAAACAATTGATCTTGTGCACTCTCTGATAGGAAGCAACAAGAACACAGTACTACCTCTGATATTCCTGCCAAAGACATAGCACCCAAATGTAATGAGGAACAAGCATTAGACAGGTCCAAACCAGGGGGCTTTCTACAAAATAATTGGCCTGTAAATGCCAAAAGTGTCAAGCTCATGAAAATCAAGGAAATTTTGAGAAAATTTTCCAGACTAAAGCAGACTAAAAAAAAATGACTAAAAATAATGTAATGACTGTTTCTCAACTGAGTCCTCATTCTGTAAAGGTATTACTGGAACAATTGAAAATTGGCCCTGAGTATTCAATGGTAGCGATATGTCAGTATCACCTTCCTGATTTTGATGGTATTATCTAGCTTATATAAGATTGAAATAATACAAGTTTATTTTCTGACCACAACACAGTTAAAATAGAAATCAATAGCAAAAAAAAAAAAAAATTCCTGGAAAAATCCTAAAGTATTTTGAAATTAAATAACATGTTTACAAATAATCCATGAATCAAGAAGAAATAATAAGAAAATTATTAAAATTTTTCAAAATGAATAAGAATGCTAACAAAGTTACAAGTTAGTAAAATTGAGAAAAGAAGTAAAAGCAAATATTGATCTGTTTAATGAAAATCTGTATTTATTACAGAGGTTGAATTTATAATAAAAGCTTTTCCAAAAAAGAAAATTCCAGGCCCAAATTGCTTTGCTGGTATATTCTACAAAATATAGTAGAAAAAAGTAATATAAGTCTTCTGTAAACTCTTTCAGAAAATAGAGAAAAAAGAATTCCCAATTTATTTTAGTAAACCAGCATAATCGTGGTAACTAAACCAGAGAGGGACATTACAAGAAAAAAAAAAATTATGGATCAGTATCTCTCCTGAATATATCAGTTGAATGAAACACTTGGTATCTTGAAGGAATCATTTACAGAAGGAAAAAAAATGACTCCTCGAAGAAACATTCAGCAAGCAAAGATTTTTGAGCACAGCTTGGTAAAAATAAAATTGTTAAGCGGGCACAGACTAGAAGAGAAGACAAAAGCAATCAGTGTGAAAGAGTTTTCAGACTAGGTCATTGAGATTGCATGATATCATTGGCAAGCAATAATATACTTGTATTCATGTGATTTTTAAAAATTGAAATCAAGTTCACATAACATAAAATTAAAAATTTTAAAGTATACAATTCAGGGGCATTCAGTATCTTTATACACATAACCATCACCTTTATCTAGTTCCACAACATTTTCCTCTCTCCAAAAGCAAAATCTATGCCTATTTCCCCTTCCTCCAGCCCTAACAACCACTACTCTATTTTCAATATCTCTAGATTTACTTATTCTGGATATTCCATATAAAGTGAATCGTATGATCTGTGACCTTTTGTGTCTGGTGATTTTCACCAGGGTCTTTACCCTTCGTGCATCTGATTTCTTTGCCCTGAAGGCAGGAGAAAATTATTTATTTCAAAATATCATTCAGTTAATTTAAGCCTAAATTAGAGCTCTGACTTGAGCTTGCATCTTGGAGAGTTGTAAGCAGAGCTCTTAGCACCTGTCTTGGAATGTTATAATGTCCAGTTTGAGTTAGTGGGTTGTGGTGGTGTTGGTGGTGGTGAGAACAGGATTGGAACCTTTACCAGGCCATATGCATGAAAGACCAAGCAGTGTGTCCCAAAGAGAGATCTGGGATTCAGGGCAGAAGCTATACTCTCAGAAAACATTTCTGCGGGCATCCCCACTGTGTGGTGAACAGGGCAACTGCATGGGAAATGGAAGCGCTGCTGCTAGCTCCTGCGTGGTTGCTGCATCAGTGAGCCCATAGGCCATTTCACTCATCTGGGTCCTGGATTTCTCATCATTAAATTGAGCAGGTTGGACTATATCATGTCCAAAGTTGCTTCCTATTCTACACTTTCTGGACTCTCAACTGGAATGCCATTCCCAGAAATAAATACAATGACTGTGGGAACAGACATGGTAGCCTGGAAGCTGATGGGCACAAAAGAAAATTTACTGTGCTCTGTTATGTAATAAATTGTTACATAACAGTTTATTATGAGGAAAAGAGAGATGCATGACAGGATAGTCACCATTCACTTAGTGCTTTTTATGAGTTACTGTGGTAAACACTTAGATTTACTAATTCATTTGTATCTTACAAGAATCCATGATGTAAAAATTGTTATCCTCTTTAATTTCAGAAAGCTGAGGTTTAGAGAGATTAACTTTTTAATCTCTCTAGTAGAGACAGCTAGTAAGTGGGAGGTTGGCATGTCACCCATAGCTTATTTTCTTTTGGTAAATTCACTCATGGTGGTAATTAAATGGAGACATGTTGACTAAACAGAGACATGTCAGACAGGGCTCTTAGGATGGCCATGTGAATGTTCAACTTCTGAGACCTCAAAATTTCATTCAGTCAATAGTATTCCAAAAGCTATATTAAGAGAATGTTGGGCACTTTTTATGGAACTGGAGATTTCAATTCTATGTGTAATGCTCCTAACCCCTAACTCTGAATCTAGAGAGCACTAATTTAAACTCTCTCCCTCTTATTTATAACATCATTTGCCAGGAGGGATTGAATTGTGGATTGGCATTATGCACCTGGAAAGGTCTTCCAAATAGTATTAAATATATGACACTTTTGCATTGGTCATAAGTAACTTTTTAAGCATTTGTAGTTTATGAAAAGAGATTAAGTATAGAGTCTATTTGCAGCCTTTCAACTGGCTGCTAAATATCAACTATCTGTTGTTAGTCAGACACTGTATCAGTCAGAGCCCTGTAGGAAAGAAAGGGCATTCTCCAGCTGGAAACTTCAGTAAAGAGGCATTTCCAATGTTTAAGAGACTATTTACTCTAGTAAGGGAAACCAATGAGAGGTAATAAAACACTATGGGGCTAGCAATTGCATGGAACCGACATCAATCCTAGAAGGAGCAATTAATGCAAACTTGCTGAGTAACTGGAGGTAACTTCCTGCAACCTAGAGGTCAACCTACTGGACGTGTGGACTTCTGTAGAGAGGCATCTTACCTGTTGTAACCCACAGGGAGGGAACCAGTTGGACAATTGTACAGAACCTTTTCTCCAACCTCTGATTCACTGTTCATGCAGCCTATGAACAAACCTAGTCAGAAGAGATAAGGGAACTTGTAGACACAGTTAGTAAAGGTCAGCTCCCAGAGTCAAGAGGAGTAGAGAATGGATATAGAAAGGCAAATGGAAATATTCCAGAAATATATTTTTATATAGTCACATATACATTGCTATCTCTCCATGCCAACTATATCCCAGAAGATGGTGGATGAAAATGGGAAAGAATCTTGGAATTATCTTTCTGATATAAGCTCTGGCCATCTCTCATGCTAAAAATGCAAACAAGGGAAGATAATTATGCATTATATATTTACAGGATGGCATACAACAGATCAATGCTAAGAAAAATAAAGGTGATTTCCACTGGAAGATGACAACTTTGCCTGGTGCTGCTACTGGGTAGTTGACTAGTTAGTGGAGCTAGCTGAGCCCTTGTTAAGGTCATCAGGCCACTGCATTTATAACTATTAAAATATAATCCAAAGCGCTGTTCGAGGGAAAAAACAATGAAAGTTGAGATTTGTCTAATAGATATACATACATATATATGTATATTATAAAAACAGATTTATTGAGATACAATTCACATACCATAAAGTTATTTATTTATTTATTTTTGAGACAGAGTCTCATTCAGTTGCCCAGGCTGGAGTGCAATGGCGCCATCTTGGTTCACTACAACCTCTGCCTCCCGGGTTCAAGTGATTCTGCTGCCTCAGCCTCTCAAGTAGCTGGGATTACAGGTGTGTACCACCATGCTCGGCTAATTTTTGTATTTTTAGTAGAGACGGGGTTTCACCATGTTGGTCAGGCTGGTCTCGAACTCCTGACCTCAAGTGATCTGCCTGCCTCAACCTCTCAAAGTAATTACAGTTCACTCTGAGCTGTGTCTGAGCTGGTATCCATGATGCAAGACAAAGTCTTCCCCCACTCTTTTCTCTCCTTTCCTCAAGCAGAGGGAAAAGGTCTCTTTTAAAGCTATGAGCTGTGCAGCTTGGGGTTAGGGGAGTGGTAATGCCAGCACTCCCTTAGCCACCCCTCTGGTGTCTCTGTAGGTGGCGTGCCCCCCCCACCCCAGTTTATTGTCTCTGGGCCCAGTTTAACATTAGGACTTACCAAGGATTTCCTGTCCATGTCACCTAGATTGTCTTTTTAGTTTAGGTAGAACTCCAGAGTACTTTAGCCCACTGTAGTGAGGTTTGTAGGAACTGACGTTTGGGCCACTGGGATCAGTGATACCCCTCTGGTTAGGGATGGTTTAAATGCTCCCTCCACGGGTGAGTGTCAGCTGAGTTTGGTTTAGTTTTGTTTTCTGTTATAATATGGCAACAATGAGTTCAATGCCTCATAAATGCTGTGTCTTCCTCACCCCAGCATGGCAAAATGCTGTCTGCACCTCATTGCCACTGTGGGGAGATGGGGAAGGGGTGGCGTTGGTGATTCAAGATTGTTTTTCCTATCTCTTTAGTGCTTCTTTCAGTGATATGAAGTTAAAACCAGGTACTGACTGTGGGTGCTCACCTGATTTTTGGTTCTTATGAAAGTGCTTTTTTTGGCGTAGATAGTTGTTAAGTTGGTGTCCTTATTGGGGGTGCAATTGGTGGAGGTCTCTATTCTGCTATCTTGCCCTGCCCCTCTGTCCTTACCACTTATTCGTGTGTCCTTTGGGCCTCAGTCCTATGTTTTTATGCTATATCTGGCTATCTAAGACCTCCAGCGTGGTATAAAATCCAGGTCTTTGTTCATTAAATAGCCCATAATCTGAATATATTTTTAAGTTTTAAAATCTCAGCTCTTACTAAAACACTTCTTCTGGGTCCTATTCTGATGGAGTCTGCATAACAATTTGATGTGCAAACTGAGAAACCAATCCAAGAAAGGCTGTGTTTAATGGTGAATATATGTTTAATACAGTGCCCCATTTGCAATATGAAAGGGATATTCAATAGTTCAACACACACAAGTGTCTGAAGTAGGGGACTCTTTGCTTACACCTATCAAATTGCAATGGAAACCATCTTGACTACTCTGTAATATGATATAAGGGTTTTTTTAAAATTGTCTTTAAACAGTCATTCATTTATTTAAACAAGCATTTATTCAATGTCTGCTACACGCCAGGTATCATGTAGTATTAAGCACAATGAGAAAAAGCAATTTTGTCACCCACAAGATGCTCACAATCAAAATGTTCTGGACCATGTCAAAGGTATACAATGGAGTGAGGTCTATGAGTGTGGAATGCCAGGGGCTATTAGAATGGAGAACAAGAGCAACAATTTCAAATTGGGAAGCAGAAGGTGATGGAGATTCAGAAAAAGCTTTCTGAGTTGACTCTTGAACTGAGCTCTGAGAAGCTAGTAGGAAAGAGTTAAGTGAAGAAATGGGGAAAGGTTTTTCAGACCCCCAAATTGGCATGACAGCATGGGACATTTTGGGAATAAGGACAGGGAATGCCTGTGAAAAGCACCAAAAGCTGAGTCTGAAAAGTGAGTCAGGAATAGAATCTTAAGATCACTGAAGGTCAAGCACAGGACTTGGGACTTTATACTGAAGGCAATGAGGAGTAATTTTTATGTGTAATACAACCCAATAAATTACCCACAATGTGTTTGAGTTTGTATTACTCTGATAAAAATTGTAACAGAGATAATACTTTATAGTCACTGTGCTATTTCATTTTCATTCTAGGCACACAACAAGACATTCTCCAGATCACCTGGCATCTAGCTGGGGCCACAAGGTTTTTTTCTGCCAACGGAATATGTGCAGAAGTGATGTATATGACCTCAGAGCCCAGCCTCTAAATATCCTGTGTCATGCTCCACATTCTGTCCATTCATCTCTCAGTTAACTAAATAGAAGTGATGCAAGGGAGGACTCCAAGGAAGCCCTAGGGATCATGAAGCTACAGAATGGGAGAATTGCTGTCACCACAGTTCTGGAAGAAGAATTGTTCAGGAGAACAGCCATTGGACTATGGCATGCCAAAGAAATCTCTGTTGTGGTAAGTGGCTGGGATTTGGCAATTGCTTTTTAGAGCAGATAACATGAATTACGTTAATACAAGAAAGTCCATCAGATCCTCAGCAAGGGAGTAATATAATCAAGTTTTTATGTTAGTAAGATTCCTCCAGCAGCTGCGGAAAGCATGAAGTAGAGATGGTGTGAGAAACTTGAAGGGAGGGAAGTCAGTCATGTGATCAGTGCAACCGTGCAAGCAGGAAACGATGTCTTGAATCAGAGCAAGGGCAGTAAAGATGACAAGACGATGCAATTACAGGATGTTAACAGGACAGAGTCAAAGTGTTCAGTGATTAGCTTCATGGATCTAGAGCAGTGGTTCTTAAATTTGGCTGTACTCTAGAATCACCTGAGAAGCTTTTAAAAAGGACAATTACCTGGCTGCACCTGAGATCAGTTAGATCAGAATAAATATTGTTTTTACACTCCTCAAATAATTCTAATGGACAGCCAAGGATGAGAACCATAGGTATAGAGCAGTAGTTCTCAATATGTGGCCCCTGGATCAGCAGTATATGTATCATTTGGGAACTTGTTAAAAATGCAAATTCTTATGCTGTACCTTGGGTGAACAACTAGACTGGCTTACCTGAGACTGAAGAGTTTCTTGAGATAAAAAAGCTGGGCAAGGTGGCACACATGTATAATCCCAGCACTTTGGGAGACCAAGGCAGGAAGATTGCTTGAGCCTAGGAGCTCAGCACCAGCCCCAGCCTGAGCAAAATAGCAAGACCCCTATCTCTACAAAATTTTTTTTAAAAAAATAGCCAGGCATTGTGGTGTGCACCTGTAGTCCCAGCTACTTGGGAGGCTGAGCTGAGAGGTTCCCTTGAGTCCAAGAGTTTGAAGCTTGCAGTGAGCCATAATCATGTCACTACACTTCAGGTTGGGCAACAGAATAAGACTCTGTATCCAAAAAAAAAAAGAGGGGAGGCTGGAGAGAGAAAAGACTTTTAGTGCTAAAACTTGATAGTCCCAGGAAACGTGGGATAGTTGGTCATTTTAATCTGCCACATCAGACCTACTAAAACAGAAACTCTGGAGGTGAGGCGTAGCTGTCAACATTTGAAGACCACTGGTATAGCGTATTCTGAAACTGCATACTTAAAGGCTGTTTTAGTCCATTTTGTGATGCTTATAACAGAATATCTTGAACTAGGTAATTTAAAATGAACAGAAATTGACGGACTCATGGTTCTGGAGGCTGGGAAGTTCAAGATTGAGGGGCTGGAATCTGGCAAACCACCTTTATAATCAGCGTTAATCCATTCTTGAGAGCCAAGCCCTCATGATCCAAACCTCCCATTAGGCTTCTCTCCCAACACTGTTGCATTGGGGATTAAATTCCAACACCTGCTTTCTGGGGGACACATTCAGACCATAGCACATACTGATAAACAACCACATGGAAAATGTGGCCTGAAGAGAGTGAACAAAGGGAAAATTATGGGGGAAAGGAAAACATCTCTTTTTTTCAACAGAATGACTATGGAAACAAACAGAAGCATGCCTATTGTATTTTCAAAACTTTCCTAACATTATTATCTAATATAATGAAACCAGATAAAGGCTAACATTTATCCAGACAGAACTTCTGAGTTCATAAAATTTAACTAGCCAAATGACGATTTTTAGTGATCATGCATTTTTAGTTCCCTCATTTTACTTTAAGGAAACCGAGACTCAGAAAAGTTAAATGACATATCCAAAGCCTCACTGCACTTATATGGCAGTGTCAAGATCAGACTGATATTTCCTCCAGGCAAGGGTTATGTTTTTACTTAGTTGTATCATCAGCCCATAGCAATGTTTGGCACATAACAAGCTCTTGCCAATCCGTTAAATGAATACATGAATGAAGACTCTAAGATCTCTTGCCAATGCTCTTTGTACAAACTCAAAATTCCTTTAAATCAGGTCACATTGTTCTCAGTGTCATACTGGTTGGAGGTACCCAAGTTAGCTGTTTAGTCTTGAGGACTCAAAATTAAAAAATGTTTTGAATTAAATTAATTCTTTCTTTCTAATTGGCAGCCTTTCTTGGGCATTGGTTTTGTTTTGTTTTATTTTTGCAGTACTGATTGTCTGGGCATTAAGCCTACTTGGAATTAACTTGCATTTGTTTTCTCTTGCACAATTTCAATTTAATATAAATGTGGTCAGTTTATAAATTGCTGTAGTTATTACTTTATTTACTAGAATAAAAATGTCCTAATCTAGCACAGACCTTGTTAACCATTACGGGGTTAAGTCAGACCTCTGAGTTTTCCTTCTGCCTCTTACTAAATGATCCTAATACTTTGGACAAACAGTCGGTCAAACAAACACAAACACACCCACTACAACTAGAAGTGAATTTAGGGATCAGCTCTTGTAGCCTCATTTCGATACATAAGTTGAACAACAATCTACTGTGGTTTGCCTGGCAATATCGTCCCAGTGTAATTATTAATAGGGCCCCCCTTCATTGCTAAGTGTCCCCATTTGGACAATTAATTATGTGATCACCCACCATATGAGGAATTTCAAGTCTGGAGAGTTGATGTGATCTAACCCTTAGACATGCAGTAGGTTAGTGACAGAACTGGACAAATTTTTAAAAATTGCTTTTCTTTACCACTTTACATATTAATCTGCTTTTCTAACAGTTCAGAAAGGGATGGTTTTTAGTTTCCAGTTTTGATTATAAATATCACTGCAATAATTTCACAAAAATATAGCATGTCTACATTTCCCACTTAGAATCCTAGAGGATTTCACAAGATTAGTTTCAGTCTAATGGCATTGTATTTAAAGTTTCTGATTTTAAAATTCAACTTACATAAAACAATCTCATGCCAGCAGTAGGGTGGTGGAGAAGCATATAGATTCGGCAGCCAGATGCCTGTGTCTACATCCCAACTTCATCAATAACCAGCTCTATGGCTCTCATTATTTTGTGTTTCAGTTTCCTCATTTGTAAAACAAGAATGATGATGGTAACAATAGTATCTAATTCCTAGAGTCTTTTGAGAACAAAATAATTATATGTGAGTTGTATGTAAAGGACATACTGTCACCTGGCACATAGCAAGCACCATGCATGTCTTAGCTTTGAACACTGTTTTTATTATCTCATCTGCCATGAGCCACTCTTCCCTGATGTGCACTTCATACTCCTGCAGTGATAAACCTTGGCCAGATCATGTAGCTTTATGAACCCTGCATGCTCCCAAAAGTGAGTATTACAAAGGCAGAGGCTTTGTGATACTGTATCCCAAGTAACCAATTTCCATACTGGTTACTTGTATCCCAAGTATGGAAAAGACAACAAGGTAGGCTCTTAATACATACTTCTTAAATAAAAAGGAATAAAAGGATGATTAAGTTAGTTGACCTATATAGAAGACAGCTACTCCTGTTCCACATTTCTCTTGTAACTTCACCTCACCTCCTTTAAGAAAAATAAATCCCACAAAACCCTGGATTTTGCAAAGAATCTTGCAAAGAGTCTCTGACTAAGGAATGGAAGAAGACAAACTGAATGAAGAGGCAGTTAGGGATGTGGACACTAGGGATAGAATCCGATAGGGAATTTTCCTGCTCTTTTGGTGGTCCATTGTACACATATCTTTAGAATTTTAAAATCTCATTTTTCTACACTGCCTGTAATTCTAAAGGTTGGACAGTAATTTACATTAATAAGTATCTTCTTTGAAAGACCAGAAAACCTATAGGGAGGGTAAAAGTATTATTAGTCAAAAACATTCATACATTTGAGTTCCATCTGATTACACTTTTCCTGACACCAGCTAATTCACTTGCACTGAATTTATTGGAGGTTTTTACTGCTAAAGTGGAGAAGATGGAAGGAGGAATAAAAAATTTGGAGCATGGTATACGTCATGGATCAGGGATCAAGCCTGGAAGTGATTCTCAGACAGGCTTAGAACCTGGAGAGAGAGGAAGTAAGAGATAAGAAAGAGGTATAAAAGGAGAGAGGGATATTAAAATAATATGCTTTCTTGGTTCCAGGATTTATTTTTCTAGAGCCATCGTTAAACATAAGAAATAGAAGGAAAGTTAATTTTTCTGACTTATTTTCTCTCATAACTATGTGGACACTGCTTCCGTCATAGAGTTTATAATAAATAATAAGAATAGCAGAAAAAATTACATATATATATGTATATATATATATGCAGACATACAGGCAAGAATGAGTCATTTATTTAAAAACACAGCTGGACATAATGAGGGAGAAATTATTGTTAACTGATCTATTGTAATCAAAGGCGATAGAGGTAAGGCAAGTTCAAAATAACCAATAAGCCGAATATTTCTAGACCTTAAGCTTCTTGGATATGGAAACTAAGTCTTAGTTATTACTGGGTTACCAGCATCTGGCCCAGGGCCTAGCACAGGGCCTCTGTAGAATGAATGAGTGGATGAATTTTGGCTTCACAATCAAGGCAGTGACATGTTTATTCTCCCTTTCTCATTTTTCTCCTCTCTTCCCCCTTTCACCTTTCTCTTGGCTTGCATCTGGTCCCTTCTTGACTTACTTCTATTTTCTGAGGTAAGAATTCTTCGAAATTTTTTACTCCAGCTTATGTTAAGGCCACAGACTATGTAGAATCCCAAACAAACAAACAAACAAAAAAGAGGGGAACAACCACCGAGCCCAACAAACGGCCCACATAGAAGCAAGACCCACTACAGTGCTCTGCCCTTAAAGACAACGTCCTCCTTTTCAGCTTTGCCTTTTGGTTCAGATTTTTGAGAAACTCTTATTGGCTGCTGGACAGTCAGTGGTTTTGCTCTCTTGGATTAGGTGTACTCCTCTGGTGCAATCAGCTGTGAACAGGAGGGATGGAGTCAGCTAGGCCTAGGTGTTCCTGCCTTGGGTTGACAGAAGAA
This sequence comes from Homo sapiens, assembly GCF_000001405.40. NCBI lineage: Eukaryota > Metazoa > Chordata > Mammalia > Primates > Hominidae > Homo > Homo sapiens. Next base: position 90,549,434 of record NC_000008.11, on the reverse strand, counting down.
TGCTGTGTTAGTTTGCTAGGGCTGCAATAACATGGTATCAGACACTGGGTGGCTTAAAAATCGGAAATGTATTTTTTCACATTTCTGAAGACTTGAAGTCTGAGATCAAGATGTTAAGCCATAAAGGAATGGTCTGTCTATTCCAGGCTTCTTTCCTTGGCTTATAGATGGCTGTCTTCTCCCTGTTATGTTCACATCATCATCCTTCTGTTAGGTGACTGTCCAAATTTCCTCTTTTTATAAAGGTACCAGTCATACTGGATTAGGGCTCACTCTAATGACTTAATTTTAACCTAACTACATCTGTAAAGATCATGTCTGTAAATATGGCCACATTCTGAAGTGCTGGAGAAACTTAAGCATATAAATTTTGTGTAGGGCAGTGGGGAGTAGTGCATTTCAGCTGCATTCTTTTAAAAAAATTTTTTTAATTTTAGATTTTGGGGGGTACATAGTGGGTGTATGTATGTATTTATGGGATACATGAGATATTTTGGTACAGGAATGCAATGCGTAAAAATCATGTCATGGAAAATTGGGTATCCAGCCCCTCAAGCATTTATCCTTGGTATTAGAAACAATCCAATTATATCCTTTTAGTTATTTTTAAGTGTACAATTAATTTATTATTTACTATAGTTCCCTTGTTATGCTATCAAATACTAGGTCATTCATTTTTTTCTATTTTTTTGTGTGCCCATTAACCAACCCCACCTCTCCTCCATCCTCTCCGCTACCCTCCCCATCCTCCAGCAACCATCCTTCTATTCTCTATCTCCATGAGTTCAATTGTTTTGATTTTTAGGTCCCACAAATAAGTGAGAACATGTGATATTTGTTTTTCTATGCCTGGCTTATTTCACTTAACATGATGACCTCCAGTTTCAGGTGCATTCTGTAATACAGTAGCAGAGAAGTGTGAGCATCTTTGGTATTCCTATTAATGAAGGTTCTACCATGACTGATTATCTAGGGAAAGCAATTGAATGATACAAGGAGCATAGAGTTTTGGACATAATTTTCTACAATCCCTTGTAAAATGAAAACATTTATTTCCAAAATAGTTAGAAAAGATATATTTTCCCAAAAAGAGGGCTATAAAATTCTCTTTATCATTCTTGACATTTATTAAGATATCTAAAACTATTCCTAATGATGTAGGAAGTCATCTGTGTCCCCTGTTCATTTTTGAGGTGTGTCACATATGGGGTATAGTAATTATTCCTGACATGGGAGCCTGGCCCTTGATGTTTCAGAGAACACAAAACCAAATCAGCATAAAAAACCACTTCCAAGGCATACCAAATTAAGCTCATGTTCAGTTTTCAATTATTCATCATCCCCAGGGCAGGAGGAATAGATGCCAGAATCTAAACAATGGAAACAAGCAGTCTGGGTTCAGACTCTGTGGTATAGAGCTGTGTACATGGAGTAGAAACAAGAAGAATGTGACAGAATGAATATGCAGTTCCAGCACCACTGCTGCTGCCTTTGAACCCTACCAGGCAACAGCAGCCTCAATCAGTGGAATCACAGTTCTCATAATCTATGCACATGCACAGCAAGCAGGGGACAAATATGAAAACAAAATGAGGAAAGGAAGGAGATGCAAGTGAACAATTTCGGAATACTTGGAATCTGCCCATGTATCATCGGAAGAGTAGGGACATAACATCATGGGACGCTTACTGTGGACCAAGTAGAATCTAAAAGTCTAAGTACTTCCCTCTGTACCCTGATTCCCTTATCTTTACCTAAAAGTGAGAAACTAATATATATATATATATATATATATATATATATATATATATATATATGCATTATATATCTCATATATATCTTATATATATAGTCACAATTCTCACATCCACATTATCTGCTGTTTAGTTTAGCCCTAAATCAGGAAAAGAGTGGTTTCTAGGTCATAGTGGAGCTATGAACATGAAGATGAGCTTAGGTGGAGCACCAGTGGGTGACAGTACCTCACAGTGCCTACCGTTATTTTCTAGGGCAACAGTGATATATATCCCCTCATAGAGTTAATTAACACTGCAAGCTCAACTGCCTCATAGCAGTAATAAATGAACTTGGTAATGATAAGGCTGACCCACAAGCCCTTTCCACTGAAAAATTAAAGGGTGGTACTTTTTCTTTTGTTCTAAATGTTGAAATTTGATCAACAATTTTATTTCTGTAGAATTTTGTAAAGATTCATGGGCTAAAGTTTGAAATTCAGAAGAGAAAGGGTTTAGAAAGATCTTGGAAAAGGCACTCTGTGTTTTACCAACATACAGGTAATACTTCATTTCTTAATGAAAGTGTAGGAGAGAGAAAGGAGCTTATTTAATGAGTACTTAAGAGTCAGAATTTCTTCCAGAAATATGAATTTTCCCATTAAACTCACAACCATTCTATGAAGTACATTATCTTTGTGCCAGAGTATGAACATAATTGTTTAAGTATGAAAACTTAGCACTGTTTTTCATTTTCCCTCTTCTTTTTTTTTTTTTCTACATTGGGAAGTCAAAATGTAAAATTTCCTCCTTACCCTCCACTCACTGGGAGGGTTTGAAAATTCCTTCTTCCAATCCTTGATGAAAAAGAAACTCATTTTTTGTTGGTTGATTTTCCTTGTAATGGGCCACTGAGGTCAATTAGGAAACAAACAAAAAGAATAGAGATATTTCCCAAAGAAGCAGAGTGACTTGGAAGAAAAGGGAAGTAGACAGGAGCCCACTCCTCCAAGCCCTTATGCCCCTGCCTATAAAGAAAAAGAGAGGCTGGGCGCGGTGGCTCACGCCTGTAATCCCAGCACTTTGGGAGGCCGAGGCGGGCGGATCACAAGGTCAGGAGATCGAGACCATCTTGGCTAACACGGTGAAACCCCGTCTCTACTAAAAATACAAAAAATTAGCCGGGCGCGGTGGCGGGCGCCTGTAGTCCCAGCTACTCGGGAGGCTGAGGCAGGAGAATGGCGTGAACCTGGGAGGCGGAGCTTGCAGTGAGCCAAGATTGTGCCATTGCAATCCGGTCTGGGCTAAAGAGCAGGACTCCGTCTCAAAACAAAAAAAGAAAAAGAGAACTCCCTCACTAGGGTTGATGGACAGAGGGCTGAAGCACTGGAGCAGGGTACTCGTAACACTTTTCCCTGGCGCAAACTCCTGGGAAGCTGAAAGACTCCAGAGAAGAGTGCCTGATACTGCCAGGACCAAGACTTATAGGACCTTAAACAGATCCTCCACATTGACCAAGATGCCTTCATTCTTCCCTGCAGCCTGACTATATTTCAGATAGGTTTCTTTCTGACTGTTAAGTCCCCGGCATCTTTTTTCTTAGCGCATTTGCCCTAGAAAACTTGCAATTTCAAGTTATTTTTCTGCCCCTTTGAGATATAAATCTCTCAGCCTCTTGCTAGTTTTACACCCAAAGAATGTAATTTTCAAGGACCTGTGAGTCATCCCCTTGAAATGTAATCATCAAGAAAGATAGGGTCCTATCTCCTCATCTTTGTAGGAGGGTAGGGGCCTGACTTATATCACGCCAGTGAGAAAATACCAAAGGCCTAATCACATTTGTCAATCTCCCCACTCAATGGTCCTCCAATACTTTTCCAGCAGCTCACCCCAATGCTTAAAAGCTGTCTTGCTTTTCATTCCAACAAAGTTGAGTTCAACATCTCTCCCCTATTGTCATAGTCTTGATCCCTATTGCCATAGTCTCGAATAAAGTTTCCTTGCCTATTTAAGTTTTTTCAGTGTAATTTTTCTTTGACGACACCCTAAGGCTGGAAGAAAAGAACACAAAGAGGGGGTTATGGAGCCATTCACATGGACACTTCAGAAGAAACCTATGTGGAGAAATGACCAATAACCAGAAAGATCCTCTACTTAACTCTTTGACACTGCATAAAATACAAAATGTGGCATAGACTGGGGGGCCTTCTGCATGACTTTTAAGTTTCCTATCATCAGTTCAGCAGAATGGGAGCTCATGGTAAAGGTACACACAATAAAGTGTTCCTTCTCACCCTCACAGCTGTTCATGCTGTTGTCACTACCATGATGCCCTTTTGTGATGGACTGAATGTTTCTGTCCCTGTATAATTCATACGTTGAAGCCTTGCCCTACAATGTGATGGTATTTGGACATATGGCCTTTGGGAGGTAACTAGGTTTAGATGAGGTCATGAGGGTGGGCCCCCATGATGGGATCAGTGCCTTTATAGGATGACAAAGAAGGGAAAGATAGGAGCTCACCCACCTCACCACATGAGGGCCCTCACCAGAACCCAACCACACTGGCACCATAATCTCAAACGTGCAGCCTCCAAAACTGTGAGAAATCAATTTCTGTTGTTTAAACCACCCAGTCTATGGCATTTCGTCAAGGCAGCCTGAGTTAAGTTGCTGATCAGTGGAGAAAGAGCAAACAGAGGCTCAGATTTAGTTCATGAGTCAAGAGATATGAGGATGGGGTAGAGCCATCTGAAAAAGAGAAGCCAAGAAAAGTTAAGGAGGTTAAGTAACAGACTGGTAGATGAGAAATAATCACCTGGGGAAGTGGAGGAAGAGTTCATGAGAAACTACAGGTAAGACAGGGGATGTTACAAGAGATGAGGCACAAGCAATCATGCTTAATTCTGGAAAACGGGCAGGGTTGGCCTAGAATTATTTTCAATACATCAAATTACTTTTGCATCATGACATAATAATAATAGTGATGCTAATATCTTATGACTACTGAGGACTTTTATAGTCTGGGTTTGTACATTGCAGTCCTTTTTCCACAATAATAACATGAAATTTAGATAACATAAGACACAGAACATTAATCAAACCACCATTCACTCAGTAGTTTCAAATCATCTCTTTTCCTCATCCTTCTCATTGTTTATGAACAACCATCCTTCTCATCATTTGTGAATAAGCCCTGACAATCTCTAAAATAGTGGATTCCAACCACTTCTCACCTTCTCCACAGCTGTGGACCCAGGCCACCCTCATTTCTCCCTTAGACTATTGCAACAGCCTCCCCTCTGGTCTCCCTGTTTCCATGCTTGCATGCCTATGATCCACTCTCCAGAGAGGAGCATGAGTAAGTTAAAAATTGTATATTTTATCGTTTCACTCCACTGCTTGAAACCATCCAGTGGCTTCCCATTATCCCTAGATGAAATTCCTAATTCCTTATCGTAATGTAATCTGCTTCCTGCCCACATCTTAGGCCACATTTCAGATCTCTGCTTTAGAATAGTCTCATTTTCTATATCTCATACACAGTATGCCTTTTCCTCAGCTTTTTTGCCTCCTCATTATTTGGTTCTTAGCTTCAATGTCCCCATTTCAGACCAGTCTTTCCTGATATGTCTAGCTGCATAGCCCAGTCACTCTTTATCCCACTGCCCTTTCATCAATATACTTCTATTTAAAATTGTTATTTACTATTTATGTAATTATACGTTACCCCTCACCCCCAAATCTAATGAAGGCAGGGCTTCCATTTGTCTCCTGTGCATTGATATGCCCCCAGTACCAGAGTAGGGGCTCAAGTTCCTTGACTGAAGCCATTCAATTACAAGCAAAAGATCTGAAAGTCAAGAGAGGTTCTGATTGTCACCGAGTTTATGCTATTTAAGTCGTGCCATAATCCTTTATAGTGTATCCCTATTTCTATGCATCCCAAATATCTCATGATGCTGGATCCAGATCTTTGGATGGGGTTCAAGGCTGACTCTTTGTCCTGCCTCCCCATCTAGCCTCAATTCTCAGCAGTTCTCTCCCCTGTCTCTTGTCTTTGCATGCTTCTGTATGCTAGGATTTGTGACTTCTCTAAGTGCCTCAGATTTTCTGGTTGGAATGCCCTCACACTTGTCCTTCTGCCAGAAATACCATTTTCCTTCTTTCTGAACCTGCATGAGTCTTACACACCTTATGATCTCAAGGGTAATCACCTCCTTTTCCTGACAGGATTGACTATGAAGCTAATGTTTCTGCAGCAGATGTCTACATGCCCTCGGACTTATGTGTGCATGTGATGGGAAGTACTGCATATCTACCAAGCTTCTAACAGCCAACAACTGCCTCTCTTTGCCTGAAGGCCTTCTGAAGCTCACTCTTTGCTTCTCATATGCAGGTGGAGAATGCTGGGAAGCTTATGGCCCTCCCAGACTTTGAGGTGTGTGTTCCACACTGTCACGCTGAGTTCCCCAGCAGTGGCTCACAGCAGTACCTTGCTTTATATTGCATCCATTATTGGTGGCCTTTCCTTCCTTTCTCACTTTTTTTTTTTTTTAAATTCCCAACTGGTGTTTCCTTCACCTCCCAAATAAACAATGTTCACTCAAATCCTTGTATTAGGTCTGGTTCTTGGGGGAAGCAAAACTAAGAAAGAATCCCATCACACTTATCTCAGTATGTTATAATTATTTGTTTGCTGTTGACCTGGCTAGAGTGCTTTCAAGAGCAAGGTTTGCATTTTCTATCTGTATTCCCTGCACTTAGCAAAAACATGTGCCTAGCAAGCATGGAGTAAGTGTTCACCAAATCAGTGAACAGTGCTTAATAGATACCTGCTGAGCTGAACTAGAAAATAGGATTTCTTAATCCAAGAGGGAAGGAGACATGTATTTCTCACGTGACTTGGCTTGGGGATGCTTTTTCAGTTTCTTGGAGCATTTCTGCTAGAAACTGTTGGTGGATATTTATAAGATAACTTTTTTCAACTCTTATTTTGTTCATTCCTTAGCACTGATTATTCGTAACATAATTTAGTAGCTCTCAGTGGTCTGGGTTGCTCTTCAGAAATGGACAAATATGCTGTGATTAATCTCAGAAAATTCCTTTTCTTTACCTTACAGCATAGCCATCGCTTCAGGGTAGTGAACTCTGTACTTATTTTTAATTCTGGGAAATGATGTGTTTTGTTCTTTATTTTAATTTTGGTTAAATTTTTATCCAAATCTATTCAGAAAAAAATTTCACAGAGTATAGTACAACATGGTGATGATAGTTTATAGCATTGTATTATATTTTGAAAATTGCTGGAGAATATATTTTAAGTGTTCTTACTATAAAAAATGGTAAGCATATGAGGTGATGGATATGTTAATTAGCTCAGTTGAGCCATTCCGCAATGTGTACGTATTTCAAAACATCATGTTGTACACAATAAATATATTCTATTTTTATTTGCCAATTAAAATCAACAGAAGAGAAAGTGTTTTATTTTTTATGGTAACAATTTTAGACTTTGTTCTTTCTGGATAGGACTAGTCAGTAACACAGTAATTACATTTATTGCAAGCAACAACATAGCTTTAAAAAAAACTTAAAGCTGAAAAAGTAAAACTAAAACTCCAAGAAAGTTTTTATCCTCAATGTTGTCTTTTGGAGCAGAAATTTTTAAAAATATGCTGTTTGCTCTCCTCTGGTGATAAGCTCAAATTGCATTCCACAGGGATTAAAACTGCCCCTGCTGGAACAGATTAGCCTGTCTGATTTCCTCCTTATGTCACCACTCACTTTCTCTTTCTCTGGAGTCCTGGCCTTTGATTATCTTAGATGTTTATGATTTTGTATATGTAAAGTATTTTTGAAACTTCCAAATAAAATTTTTCTTTTATATTTTGAACTTCACTTTTAACTTTGCAACTGTTGTTTAGTAAATATTCACTGTTCCTTTTCCTCTTCTCTAATGCAAAAAGAAAACATTCTTGTTCCATTGATGTTGGACTTGACTGTGTTCCTTGCATTGGAGTATGAGTGATTGTGATTTCACCAGGCTTTCTCGGGCTTTTTATGGACTTCCATGGTTATGATTTGACTCACTTGGCCTTTTTCACTGCTGCCTCTGAATGGGAAAATGAGAAAGGAATGTCTCAGGGGATTGCTGCCCCTTTGACCTGGGTCCTGCAATGACAGACAAAGGAAGTCGACCTAAACATGACTTTCAGCCTGAAGTGGAACCATTGCAGCCCATCTCTAGATGTGTGAATAATACCTTAGCTTATGTTGGTGGCCACTGCAATGTTTTTGGGGTTGTTTTATATGCAGTATTAGTATCCCCAAAACCAACAAACAGAGAAAATCTCCATGCAAATAAGTAAAACAGTTAAAATTTTAATATTCACAAACTGGTTTAATATTTTGCCACAGTTTATTATGTGTATTCACTTAGGAATAGCTGAATTTGTGAATTGATCTCATAAAACAGCATTAATAAACACATGTGGAGCACCTGGAAAATGCCTTTATGTCAATGAGTTTTCATTTTGTATTTCTTCCTTTTTGAAGTCTGAGTTATTACATTTGTTCACTTGTGCTTTCTAATACCACCAAATATAGCTAAATACATTTTCATTAAAATATCACAGTTAAAAAATGAATCTTAGGCAGTTTTTGTTAGAATACTTATGAGACTAATTTGGGCACTAAGCCTCTGAGTGTAGGCTACATGCTGTGGGAGGAAGCAGAAAATTCACCTTTCCTTGTATTCACAGCATTTGCACTGTGACTGACACACGGTAGGTGACTTATAAGCATTTGATTGAATTTAAAATGTCTTGATGCTATTCTATTCTGTGGTTAACTGCCAGAAATAGGGGAAGTGCTGTGACAGAATGATTCAGCTATGGACTTCCAGACAGCAGCCCTATGATCCACCTGTGTTTTCCTCATCATGTGTTGAAAATTATTATTCAGGCTTTACTTATTCATAAATATATACTGATCATCAATGTGGCCTGGGTATCTATGCTCCTTTCCCCAAGCAGTGCACAGTCTAGTTGAACAGAAATGCAAATATGAATCTGGCAGAAAGGTAAGGGATGTTCTCTTGCCTGCTACTGAGGAGAGCATGTTTTGTTTCCTTTCAGTACTAGGAGAGGGAATCAGTGGCATGGTAATTATGCTCATCTTTGGGGAGGAAGAGTTTTCAACACATTGTGTGATTCTGCCTAGGCTAATTCTGAAGATAATTTTTCTTGACCATTCATTGCCAGTTTAGCTTCTAGTAATGATGTCAGTAATCTTGACATCTGCTTGAAGAAAGGATGTAAAAATTTTCTTTTGAACTATACAATATTAGCACATTTTACAAAAAAATCAGAATTTGGAATAGATGCCTGCAGTGCCTATTTCTCACCGAAGAACACAGCACTGTGCTAGTTTCAGGTCTTACTTACAATTTACTTGATCAGGGAATTAATCCTTTATGTAGTTAATTAATCAAGATCAAACCTTAACTTTACATTTTCTTGCTGTTCAAAGGGCTTTAAAGTTCAATTCTAACGTGCCTGAGGCCCTGCTAATTCTAAGAAGAAAAAGTCTTTGTGAGACTTATACTCAATAACAGAGATGAGCAAACTATGGCCTACTGCCCAAATCCACCCACTGTCTGTTTTGATAAAGTTTTATTAGAACATGGCCATATTAGTTTACGTATTGACTGCAACAGAGACAATATGGACTGCAAAGCCTAAAATAGTTTCCATCTGGACGTTTACAGAAAAATGTTGCAGATCTCTACTCTATTAGCTGTTTCATGATCAGTGACAGACTATGATTTTTTTCTGCATTATTGCCTGAAATCTAACTGATTTAGGCATTATCTCAATGGCAATAAATTAATTCAAAATTGATAAGCGGTTAGAAAGGAAATAACACATTATACTTGAAAGTCTCCTTTGCTAGGAGATTTAAAGGGCTTTTGCTATGTTGTTTATTCATCTCTTCAGCAAGCCTGAAACTATTGGGTCTATTTAATTCCACTTTGTAAAAATCCTGATGGGAAATGTGTGGCTATATATTGAAAAATACTAGTGTATGTTGGGTGCTAAGAGGATCAGAAAATTTTTCAAATGATAATGAGTCTCTTAAATTACCTGTAAACATTTTCTGTAAATGTGGATAAACAGGAAGGAAACAGGAAGAAAATTACATTTCTTTAAAAAATACTCTATAATTCATTCCAAAATAGTCTTTTACTCTTCTGAAACATTCTTTTCCTGTACAGTCTGAATTTAGTGAGTTCCCATAATATCTATTGATACCGTCTCTCAATTTCTGCATTACAGCATCTATTGTCTCTACAGGAACAATCTGAAAAAAAAAAAAAAAGTGATTTCTTGACTTGCTCTTGGCTCATGTTCATATATTTATAAGATGCTGTCATGATTACTTGACAAATCTACAAAGTGAACCACATCTGCTGGTTTTGAGCTAGCACAGCTGGAAGTTCCTTAGCTTCTGTACTAAACTTTTTATATGGGTATGATTCTTAGTTGCCTATTCTGTCTGTATTTATGCAAATTACAGTGTTATTTATAAGCAAGTAAATAATCATTTCTAAGACAACATCTGCACTACTGTCTGCTTATTAGACACCTGCAGAATCAGCTTGCTCTGAATAGAAGGCCATATAGTGCATGGATCAGACCATAGCTTGAAATAAATTGCAATTATTTGTGTGCTTATTGATTTCAATCTTAATTTGAGGCATTTCTTTATTAGTGATTGGTTTTAGGGATGCCTTTTATTTCGAAGCCTTTTTAGATCTTCCAAATATAAAAATGTAATGGGATGAGAACTAAAGAAAGATACAAACTTTAATTCTGGTCTCCCAAGTCACTTACAAAGTATGTGACCTTATGACTATGTGATTTGACATCTTAATTCATCTTTCTTCATCTGTGAAGTAGAAATAATAGCACCAATCTCACTGGGATATCCTGAGGATTAAATGAGAAATGTACATAAACACACTTTATTGCCTGATAGGCAGTGTATGCAATAATTACTGCTTCTCTTTCTTTACCTTTCTCTTACTCCTTCCAAAGCATAAACTATCTTTTCCCTCAGCCACCAAAAATGTTAGAAAATGAGTTATAGGAAGAGTCTGTAGACAGGAAGAGGGAATCCTAAGCTATGCCTAGAACTACTAGAATTAATTATTATTCAAATTTACAATGCTTTCTTTGGAGAAACAATAAAAATCTTAAAAAAAGAAATAAACTGGAGGTAGCAATTGTATCATTTCAATATCTAAATGACTTGCAGGTAAGAGGATGGAGCCGAGAATAAATCATTGTGAAATCCATTTATGTAATGAATATAATGGTGTGTAGTAGTGTACCATCTATCTGAAGACTCCGTCAGACACTGAAATAGAAATTAGGGATTATATTTATTTTAGTCTTATCTCTAGCATTAATGTTTCTATGAACTGAACAAGTTCACAAGCATGCTTATAATGGGAAATTGGATTAAAGGAGAGTTTATAATAAACTAAAAGTTACCTCAGTTTAGTATCTATGCTGTTTAATGACATTGATCTTTTTTAATCCATCTCCTGTATTCACTCTTTGTATGACCACTAGCCAATTATAGAAAAATTGTTTCCACTTGTTTTCCTAACTAATTTATTGGTCATTCCTCTATCAGTTGTGCTCTTACATCTATCCTACTTATGAGCTTTTTTCTCTCTAGTCAATGCTGACCTCTATTCATTAGAGGCAACATCTGTGGACTGAAAAGCAAAATAGTTCTGTTCCTACCTTTACCCTACCACCAGTTAGTCATATAATATAGAAATAAATTGTTCTTCAAGCCTTAATCCCCTTGTTTGCTGGACTCTTATATAATCATGGAATTGGATTAGTTGGATTAATTGAAAAAAAAATGGACCAAAGGTCAGGACACTTGAAGTCCAGCTTTGTGTTGACCTTAGGCAATTCAATCAACCCTGTTAGGCTTCAATTCCCGCCTTTGTAAACTAGTAGATCTCATAGTTTCGTGGAACTTCAGCTCCAGAATGATCTTAGGGGTCATCTAGTCAACCCTCTTGCTTTGCTCATGAGGAAGCTCAAAAAACTTATGTCCTGCCCAACGTCCCAGCAGTTGATTGAAGAGTAGCAGACCATGTCTTCTGACCCCTGGGCTGAGCTCTTCTCACCCTAGCACCTGAGGCCCTTTCCATCTAGATCATATAATTCTAATAAGTATCAAATGAAAAATTGTGGAGGCTTTTCTGGCATCTAGGTATATGAATTTAATTAACAATAATAATAATAATTCAGTTATATATTTTAAATGGTTCACAGATTATGGTAAAATAGTCCTAAACACTGCTTAGTACTGTCCTCCAAATTTAAAAGCAGGAGATTCTGAATATTTGCAGGGTGACATCTGTCACTTCTCACCTGCCTTCTCTTTCTGTATAATGAAAGAGACGGGTTGGGGAGGAAAGCCTCAGGGGACTCCAGTTAGCTGGTATGGCTGATGAGGCCGCAGAAATTAAGTATTTTTTAGTTTGTGATTTCATAGCCAAGGAGACATTCTAATATTTGCTGGGCTATCAGACACAAAATCTCTGGTTTCACCTGGATTGGCTGCAAGAGTAGAGAGGGGATAATTCTGGCCTTCATTTATAGGTTGTCTTTGGCTTATGAGACCTGATATTCTGGGTTTACTGACTTCTTTGGAGCACATGAGAACAAAACAGTACTGGAGGTAAGGCGGAACTGAGTCATCCTAGAAATGCAGGCAGGGTTGATTTAATCATCCATCGGGACATAAAACACATTTTTTGAATTTATGCCCAAATTTTCCTCACCCAGAAGGGAAAGTTCAGGAAGTCAGTGTTGTACTTTCTAAGGACTACTAGACATTTACTCACTTGCTAAATCTCAGAGTTGTAAGGTACTTCAAGTCCAATTCCCCTATTTTGTGTATGGGAAAACTGAGTAGTAGAAAGAATTGAGGTTAATTCACTCAATTAACTGGACATAGGCACTCAAGAACAGAAGCAAGCCTAGATTCTGGGTCTCCTTAGCCCAGTTCATTTTCTGTTATATCACATCAAATTTGAGAAAAGAAAACTATTATGTTGATGGAATAAAGAACACACTTAATATGTGTAAGTGAGTGATCCTCCAGAAAAAGTGACACAGTGAAAGATGAGAAGAACTTCAAGTCAATCAAATACCATCTGGATAAAGAAGACTCAAATCTAAAAGAAACGTTCAGGCATGAGACTCTTTGAAACAAATGCATATTGGACAGATCCTTATTTCAGGAGTATATTTTGGTAAAAGTTTTTACCCATCAGGCTACCATGTTCTGTGTCATTGAGTAAATTACTGCGAAGTCTTAACTCTTGTTACACTTGCCACTAATGGGTAGTGACAGAGTTGAACCCCTCCTTTCTTTCCTTTTCCTTTTCCTTTTATACTAAAAAGCCTGAGTCTGTGTTGGGAGGGGACAGCTCAGAAACAACAAAAAGAGCCATAACATTTCTTCAGGCTGGAGGGCAGGAGCTCTCTTTGCAAATGCAATATGTCGCCAGATGAGCTTGTTATAAGGCAGAGCCCCATGCTTATCCACAGGTATTCTGAATTGGTCTGGGTTGGGGACCAGCTACATCAGCTTTTCTACATTTTCAGACATGCTGCCCTTGGGATTGGGTGTCATTACCTCGATCCTATGGCCAAGGGCCTGAAAAAAGTAAGTTATCTTTGACCTTGATGAATTGAAGATCATTCTGGAGCAGCTTAAGATTTTGTTAAGAGTAATGAAAACAGTATAAGGCAGAATGAATCTATTGCATCTTACTTTCACACAAGTATTTCTCACAGTTACTGGTACCATGTACATTCCTAACAACTGAGCATTGGGTCTATGAGTGATCCATGGGAAACAGGAGGAATGCCCTGACTACGAAAGTCAGTTTCCTTAATTTAAGGGATTGCATGTCAGTTGGTCTGCTTATTCTGGGTACTGAAATTCTGAGTAGACTTTTATCTTTAACAAAATAAAAATTACTTATGATTACAACAAAATAAAAAGTCAAGAATAATCAAACCACCCTCTGGGATAAGAATTGTATGAAGTTGCTATGCAGGAAACAACAACAAAATGAAGATCTAAGCAAGGGATTGCAAATGAATTTAGTGGAATTCTGTCATAAACTTCCTGACGTCCTCCTATGGGAGTGGTAAAACCCCTCAGCAGGTGGGACTATGGGGTGGTTTTAGTAATTGGGTCTGTAACTGGGTCTTCAGCTGTCTTTGTTCATTGATCCACTTTTTTCCCTCTGTCTCACTGACCTTCTCCCATGCCAGTCCGTGCTGCAATGCTTGTTTCTATGGATTAAATTTCTAAATATCTCTTGTAGAGGATTCCTCAGTTTCTCTTCCTGCAGTTGCTCAATGGTTAGATTTTAAAGAAATTGCTTGTGAAGTGAATCACTAAAAGCACTTGCTTTTGCTTATATACTGTACAAAATTGTATTTTTGGAAATTCTGGTTGATAACCCCTTTTTCGCCCTTTGTATCTCTACCAATTTGCAGCAATGTTTCAGGAGAATAACATTACACCCTCTATTTGATCCATAAGGAACTTGTACATTAAAACCTGCCTGCATTTACTCTGACATTGGTGGAATAACAGCCTCACGGTCTTTCTTAAGAGACATCTTCTCTGATTGTAGCAGCCTGAGGCTTTTCTATTTACTTCTATGTGTATGTGTTGTATAGGTGCAGTACGGTTTTTATAAGCACTGTCCTAACTCAGTTTGGAGATCCTGGCTTGAGGCTAGTCAGTTTTTCTTCTAGAGAAGCTGATTAAATCCAAAACTCCAACCACCTCCCTTCTTGGTCTTTTCTAATTTGGGTCACTATCAATGAGCTCCAATCACCCCAGGGCCAGGTACCAGATAACCAGGGACAGCCCCTGTGCCCCAGAACCTGCTGATAGTATTCAAAGTAGCCAATTCTAAACCTGTTTACCATGCCTTGTCTGTTTCTTCCTGCAGAAACCACAATTAAAAGTTGTTCTTCCTGCCTCTGCTTCTTGACCAACCCCTGAGTGGCCCTGTATAGTGTTCTCCCTAGGAAACTGTGAGTATAACAAAACTATAAAAACCGTGCTTTTTCTCTCTTGACCTGCATCTGGCCTCACCATAGCCACCATACCTCACCCATGGTAAAATGGTCAAAACAATAGTTCATGCATGTTCCAAGTTTTCTCGATGATTATACTTCTTTTCTGTCACTCTAATACATACCGAAGAAGAGAAGAAAAGGAAATGATATAATAGCAAACAAATTCTCCATGTTCTAACAGATCTTCAATAGTTTTAAGGTAAATACCTAAAACAATTTGATGTAATACATGTGGGAGCAGGCTATGAGCGATTCCATTGGAATTCACTCAACATTTTTCAGATGGTTTGTTTTTACAGTTGTGTTCCACATAATGACATTTCCATTAATGGCAGACTGCATACATGACGGCAGTCCTGTAAGATTATAACACTGCATTTTTATTGTCCCTTTTCTGCTTACACATGTTTAGTTACACAAATACTTTCATTGTGTTGCCACTGCCTTATGGTATTCAATAGAGTAACATGCTGCATGAATTTGTTGCCTAGAAATCATGGGCTATAACTGTATAGTCTCAGTGTATTGTAGGCTGCACCATCTAGGTTTGTGTAAGTGCACTGTATGATATTTATATACCAATGAAATCGCCTCAGGATGCATTTCTCAGAATGTGTACCAGTTATTAAGTGACACATGACTGTATTTCATCATTTCTAGCATTTGAAGATTCACACTTCGTGGCATTATTTAAGGTTTGTAAGCTCAACTACTCTTTTGAAAAAGCCAAAACAACGTACAAAACATCTAAGCTTTCAGCAACTTCCAGGGAATAGAAAGTTAGTTTCATGTTAGCTGAAGTTATCCAAGGTTCCCAGCCTGGGACCCTGTGGCTGTAATCTTGTAGGCTGTCTCTGACTTCTAATGAGTTCATTCCATCCCTAGTGCTTATTCAGTCCTTCAAGGGACCCAGTTGTTTTCTCAAGTATATTATAATCTGAAGTAGGGGTGGACACAATTTTCCTGTAAATATCTTCAATGCCTTATCTACTTTCTAAACTTATGAGTAAAGGAAATTTGGAGAAATTGAAAAGAAGAAAAAAGAAAACAATAAGTAAAGAAGGAATTGCTGTTTGTTGCAATAAATTTAAAATAGTGATACATACTGCTTATAAAATAATGAAATATACCTAGCTATAAACTTCAGATATACATAAGAATGGTACTTAATATTGAGTTATATCTACATTAATACTCAACATAAAATGAAGAATTGAAATAGATTCTTTAATTAATTTACCTCTTTCCATCTCCCTTCCTCCAGTGTTTTCTCAGGAGGTTTTATTCTATATTTTTCTTTGCTTGGATAACTAGTAAGTGCTGTATAATTTTCTGAACAAATTCATGAGGGATAAATAATGTCACCAAGTTTACTATGGATCAATATTTCGAGTATAGTTAAGAAAAAACTATCCCCAACAGAATCTTACTTGTAATATGATTCATCATTTAGAGCTACTGTAAATAAAGCACTTTTGAAATTTAAGATAAATCTTATCACTGTGGTCTTATGTGCACCTGATGAACAATTCATCAATAATTAATCTAAAAAAAATTCCCAGTTGATGAATTCAAACAGAATTTTTCTCTCTAATTAGTTCACTGTAGAAATGGGTATTTCCTACTGTTATTGTATATTCTTGAATATGCATAAAACTGATGAAAATTACATGACTTGCTTTGATAGCTTAACAATACTGAATTGTGGTAATTGGGCTAAATTTTTTATGCCTGGATTCATTCAATGAAGTATTTCCTGTGCATATAAAATAAGATTCAGTTTCTAAAGCCCATATATATACTACACAGCTCATACCTCAAGAATATCATTTTAAATAGTGGGTCACGTTTGTAAGAGCAAAAAAGACTATTTACTAGAAGAAGTGGAATATTTAATTTTTAATTTTTTAAATAAACTAACAAATATTTGATATATACCAAAGAATACATTTAACATATATGTAAGTTACAGGGCATGATCAATGGATTTAATGACTGGCTTTTATACTTTAACTCTTAACAGGTCCATCAATGGATCTGTCTTGCATTTTTCCTGTTTGGTCCATGAATGGGCATTCTGCTGGAAAGAGGTCCCCAAGAGGTAGCTTGATCTCCTTGTGTCTCTTCTCTAACCTTCAATCACTGCTTTCATCACCCATCTGTCTAAGAGCCAGCCTTCTTTGTTTCAAGGAATAGAAACCAAGTTCCAGGAAATAGAAATAGAAGATGCCCCCTAACCACATCTGGCCATCCCACAATTCCTGTATTTGCATGTCAATGGTCCAGTTGCATTTGTAGACCAGTTCCTACGTGTATGGCTCTGATTGACCCAGTTTTATTGGTCCACTGTTGGATCAAACTACCATTTCCAGAGACATAGGGTCACAGGGTATAAATGTGGCTGTTGAGGCCAGACCTGGGGATTGAAGGAAGCTTCCAGAGGGAGATACACAGTTAACTGAGTACACAGTCTAAAGTTGTCCACAGTGAAATATCCATTTCCCATTTCCTAGTGTTTTGCCTGTAGCAATCATTTCTAGGTGAAGAATCAGAATTTCTAGCTTTCATTCAGGTGATAGCTCTGAAGTAGCTACTGCATGTGGGCATTATAAATATTGGATATTTTGCTTCAGACCCGGATTTTTTGAGAGAAAGCAGCTTATCCACTTCTTAGTTGTACAAAATGCTTGGTAGTTAAGCACCATCTGATTATTGGTCATCTCTTTCCAGAACCAATTTCTGTAGGGTGAATTGGATTTTCTCTAATTTTCTAGCTTGCTCTTTGGCATTTGTGCTAAAAGTTGAAGGCTGCAGGGAAGAAACTGGCTGGGTTGTATCTACCTGGATCCTATGTTTTGATACATTTAAATATTGGGAGGAAAATATTTTGTTTCCACTCATCAAGAAAAATTGCAGTGCACGAATCTGTATCTTTATCTGAAGTATAGCCAAATATATGTAGTGGTTATGGCATAAATATTCTAGACACAGAGAAAGAAATTTCTATTTTTTTTCAGAGAATTTTGGGTTAAGTCGGTAAGCAAAGAGTAAGTAAGGGATCAATTTGTTTTCCAGAAGAAACTGGCTGAAGCTACCTAGCATTACCCTGTGAACCCCACCTCAAGGCAGTGGGGGAATATAATAGATCCAGTAGCACAGAGTTATTCTATAGTAATTTGCCATTGCTTTTAATGGCAAAAACCACAATTACTTTCGCACCAACCTAATACTTCTTACTTAACATATGGGGAACTTGGTGATTTCTCTATGTCATTATCAGCACCTCACACAACACTGCAGGAGAGCATACTTGCTCAGATCTTGGACTCTGCATCAGTCAGAGTTGGGCTGGAATCTTTCCTCCATCTCTGTTTGTGTAATGTTGATCAATAACCCAGGCTCTTTGAATTTAATTGTCTCCATCTAAAATAATGTAATAGGCTCACCCTGTGGATCATATTAATGTTGGAAAAGGACTTAGTATAGGATCTAGGATCTGATTAACACTCAACAGGAATGGCTAACATTTACTGAGTACTTACAGTATGCCAGACAGAACACTATGTACTTTACATACACACTGAATCCTCATTATGATCCTATGAAGAGGTGCTACTTCACAGATTAGGAAATTGAGGCAGAAAATGTTCAGAACCTTGCCCAGGGCAACAGTGACAAAGCGAGGCAATCTGGCTAACATCTATGATCTTAACACTCTGTCGTGATGCCTTCTCAATGAATGATAGTTACTATTATTGGTGTCATTGCTGTTATTGTTGTTGCTGCTGTTACTTGGAAATTAGAGAATTCTGCACTCAAACTGAAGCACCAGTCACTAATTTGGGAAAGAGCTCTCACTATTCCAAAGGGATAACCAAGTTAGGTATATCTGGAAAAGGGTATTTGATGATATTAGTGTATAGGTAAAGGATATTCTATATAAGCACAGATCTTATTTTCCTCAAGCCCTCAATCTGCTTCCAAAATATCCCAGAATCTTCAATACTGTCTTTGGCTACTCAAAGTCTCAAAGTTGGCTGTCCTCCCCAACTTCCTCTTGCTCCTTAATTACTTCCACTTTCTGTCCATCAACAATACTCCTAAATCCCTTGGTGTGACTCACATCTCAACCATGTGCTAGAATGAAATATAGCTAGTTATCTAGTTAACCCCAAAAGGTAGATTACCTGAAAGGTTCCCAAAGAAATAATATTTTGAAATAAGAGCATATTAACAGAAATAAAGTTATAATCTCACACACTGTGTTAAAGTTTTGATGAATTTCAAGTAGCGTAGGGATTGGGGTAGGAAGAAGGGTTTGAAAGGAGGGGGGATGATTTTCTAACAGTTAAAATCACACTGAAGATTTTATCCTGCTATTAGGTTACACTGATTATAAAATTATTCCTAGAGAATAAGATAGCCTCTGGACCGTGCATCTCACTCTCCTCAAACATTGAGTACTTTTAATTTGACCAGCTGAAGGGGTACATTCAGCTACTCTCATTTAATCATTATGTTTCCAAATTAGCTCTTTACAGTAAGACTTAATACCATCAACTCTTATTAAGAAGAGGGACGGCCGGGCGCGGTGGCTCACGCCTGTAATCCCAGCACTTTGGGAAGCCGAGGGGGGCGGATCACGAGGTCAGGAGGTCGAGACCATCTTGGCTAACACGGTGAAACCCCGTCTCTACTAAAAATACAAAAAATTAGCCGGACGTGTTGGCAGGCGCCTGTAATCCCAGCTACTCAGGAGGCTGAGGCAGGAGAATGGCGTGAACCCAGGAGGCGGAGCTTGCGGTGAGCCAAGACAGCGCCACTGCAGTCCGGCCTGGGCAACAGAGCGAGACTCCGTCTCAAAAAAAAAAAAAAGAAGAGGGGGTAGGGCATATGAGCTGTCACTAGCCTCTCCGTTAAAGTCAGTTTACAAGAAATATGGATCTGAATAATAACATGACCAGGAGAAAGCTTGATTAAATCATACCATAGACTTTGCTTTAGGTAAAGAGTCAATTTTGATAAACAGATGAAAATTGTGTGTTTATGTAATAATGTTTTTGTTAAAAAATTATATTTCCTATCTTAGCATTGTGGTGTGTTGAGACATATACAATCACAGACTTACATGACATGAAGACACACTTTTAGGAATCAGTGCTAATACGTAACCTAAAGACCCTCATACTCAATGCTTATGAGAATTTGTTAGACAGTGGCTGCAGGAATTGATATTAAACATATTTTTTCTAACAAGTGGGACTCAGAAACACTAAGAGTTTCCTGCATGGCATCAGCTGTTCTATGGTCAAACCAGGAACTGAGCCCAATCCTGGGAAAACAAAGGTCAGGCTCTTTTCAGGATACCTTATGGACCAGAGGCCAGCTTGTCTTGCTGTGCCATGCTTGGGGCATTTGCTCAGCTTGTGTATATGCTTCGACTCACCACTTCATGTCTGTTTCTATCTTCATTTCTTGCCACATCCCATCTGCTTCTTTGTCTTACAAGAGCACCATACTATTTGTAATTTCCAGAACACATTACAATTTTTCTTTTCTTTTTCTCACAATGTTCTCACTGATAGGCTTGACCCCCAAACTCAATTATAAAAGAATGACATAAAAATTGATAGAAATAGAATTTTCTTGTATTTTCTTCCCCCACCCCATTGTCATGTGCACTCCACTTGGGAGACCACTGACCTAAAGCAGGTGGTTCTGAAATTTAAAAAGGGTAATTCTGTGAGCTCCATTGTGGTAATCATTTCATAATGTATACCTATATCCAAACAACACACTGTGTACCTTGGATATGTATAATTTTTATTTGTCAATTATACCTCAAGCTAAAAAAAATAAATTGGAAACACACACATACACACACACATAATAATCAGCAGATGCTCTTTGTGAAAGTGCAAATTTCCAGGTTTTCTCTCAGACACTGTCTTCAGTGGAGACAAGATGGGGCCAGGAATCTGTAATTTTGAGATACTCCTCAGGTGATTCTGATGCAGAGGCTTCATAGATCACATTTGAGAAAAACTGTTCTAGAGAAAAGAAGGCATTTGAAACCATCCCTTATTAAAATATGAGTTCATCCCAGGATTCTTCTGTTAGTAGGATTCTTGTAGTAGAAATCACATGAGCAGATGTGTATTAGTTATGTGTTGCTGTGTAACAAACGATGACAAACCTCGTGGCTTAAAATAAAACCCATCTTATTTGCTCATGATTCTGCGGGTTAACACACTGGGCTGGTCCCAGCTGAGTTGTTCTGCTGACCTTGTTGGGGGTCACTTCTTGCAACTGCAGTAGCTGTCAGGTAGGCCGAGCGCAAGTGTTCTAGGAATCCTGAGCTGTGATGTTTGCTTTCTGCTCCATGTGTCTCATCTTCTAATAGGCTGGCCTGGATTTCTTCACATTTGTGGTTTCAGGGCAGCAAGAAGGGACAAGACCCTCCACACAGGCACCTTTCGAGCCTCTGCTTGCATTGCATTTGCTTATATCTCATTTGCCAAAGCAATTCACATGGCTAAACTCAGAGTCAATAATGTACAAGTTAATCTACCAGGGCATGAATGCGGGCAGGTGTGCATCACTGGGAGATTCATTTGTATGTAGACCACTCATGACATAAGATAACATAACATTTTTAAATTAAATACAAATTGAATCTGTAGTACAGTCATCCCTTGGTATCCACAAAGAATTGTTTCTGGCCGGGCGTGGTGGCTCACGTCTATAATCCCAGCACTTTGGGAGGCGGAGGCAGGTAGATCATCTGAGATCAGGAGTTCGAGACCAGCCTGACCAACATGTTGAGAGCCCATCTCTATTAAAAATAAATTAGCCGGGCATGGTGGCAGGCGCCTGTAATCCCAGCTACTTGGGAGGCTGAGACAGGAGAATTGCTTGAACCTGGGAGGCAGAGGTTGCAGTGAGCCAAGATCGGACCACTGTACTCCAGCCTGGGTGACAGAGTGAGACACTGTCTCAAAAAAACAAAAACAAAAATAAAAATAAACAAAAACAAAAAAGAATTGTTTCCAAGATCCACCACAGAAACAAAAATCCAAGAATGCCCAAGTGCTGTGGTCTGCGGATCCTGAAGATAGGAAAAGTCTGCCCTGCTGTATTTTCATTTATGGTTGGTTGAATCTGTGGATGTGGAGCCCATGGATATGGAGGGCCAACTGTAATTTTTCTGACAGTACTTTACAAACAAATGTTTTCTAGAAATTACTGAGGAGACTTGAATATTATACTGCTAGATGCTTCAAATACACATTATAGAAAAAAATATGACTTAGGTGAGGAAACTCTTCTGCATCATAGTTGGAATTAGAGAAGTAATACAAGGTTTACTCCCTCTTCAAATTCTGCTCAATAGCAGCTTTTAGGTTTTCATGGAGAGGAAGCCTGATGACTGCTGGGTCAGTTGATGTCAAGCACTAAAAACCAAAGAAGTGGTTTATCACCCTCTATGTGTGGAGTTGGCCAAGCAGGGAACCTGGGTAGAGGGGTGCTAAGAGGAGAGTGAAATATCATATGACATAGGATTTTAAGCATGTTTGAGCTGATGCTATATCTATCAGAGGAATAAAGCTTTGTGTTCATTAGTTGGTAACACCTTAGGATTTTTAAAATAAAAAAGCTACCAGGCAAAATCAAGAGGTAAAGCATAAATGGATTGTGGAGTAACATGAGATAAATTTAAGTCATATTAGCCAGTATAGGAAAGCATTAGATTTTTTTCATCCATATGTGTCTAATTTAATCTAGAAAGTTAAAGTGAACATCTGTTGGGTCAATTAATCAATATTATTTCATAAGTGTCTCCTGTTTATGTAAAGCACTGATTGTGTTAAGTATGATTTTCAAACTTATATGAAAAAGCTGACATTTCAGTTGGCCAAAAGGCAAACCATCTCAATTCTTGCTTTTAAAATTATGTTTATTAACAGGGAAAATGTTTACATTAGGGAATTTGTGGGAACCATTTATTTAATTTTTGCTCTGAATTTTATACTTTATATTTTACCTTTTTGTCTTTTTGGATAATTTTGAAGTGCAAGGTTACAGTTTTCTCAGTCTCTGTTCATGGTTCCAGGTTAACAACATTTGGTAAGAGTAAAGAAAATCTTTCATTTGTTTATATCAAACACGTGTGTTTAAATTAACTATGTCCAAACACTAAAGCTGTTTCTGTTCTAAAGGGATATTTTTTAACTTTCCATATCTCTCTTCTGTTTCATAAGTCTTTGTTAAGTACAAACTGTCCAGTATAAAACGAAAGATATCTTGGTCAGTAAATAATTTATTTGATCCATATAGACAGCTGGACCAGAACATCTCACCCCAGAGGAACAATGTTTCGCCACTTTTTAGTGTTGAGAGCATGGATTCAAAGCTCTGTTTGGTACTGTAGAAATCATTCCCACAAAGCCAAGAAATAGGGCACTCAAAGCAAACACCAGATGAAGGGGTTATTGCCTCAGAGCTAATGGGCCTCATTCCAAGGTTGATGCTTTCCTTTCATAGAACACAAATACAAACCTCAGTCACTGCTTCTCTTCATTCCTCACTTCCTGCCTCACCTGCTTCTCTTTTCTGCTGAAATTCATTTTCACCGTAATGATCCGGAGTAGGAATGGGTGCAATGTATACATGTCTAAATGAGGCTGAGTACTGCATCTGCAACATACCTTGATTGAGGGCCTACAATATGCCAGGCATATTTTTAGATGCTGAGGATACAACTGTGGAACATCACAAGGTCCTTACCCTCAAGGGGCTCGCATTCTCTTGGGAGAGACAGACAGTGTATAATTCTATAGATTGGTGAGTGCTTTGCATCAAATAGAAACCAGACTTAGGGGACAATGTGATGGTGGTTATTATTTTAGCTGCATGGCTAGGAAATATCTTTCTGAGGAGGTAATGTTTTACATAAATATGAATAAAATGAAATAGAAAGTCATGTGTAAATTGAGGAGAGGGGAATTCCAGGCAGGGGAAACAGCAAGAGCCTAAGCCTAAGATGTGAGTTTGCTTTGGTGGAGTGGAGTGAAGCATGGTGGCCAAGAATCAGATCACATGAGGTCTTGCAGGCTGTGGTAAGGAATTTAGACCTGATTCTAAAAGTCACATGACCAGATTTACATTTTAACTATTTCACTTAAGACCCCCACTTTAGCTAATAATAGTATAGCTCCAATTTATTGACCAATTCCTTCATGGCCGCCATTGTTTAGTTTTACGTATTATTTTCTTTCATCTTTGCAACAACCCTATTAGGAGATAGTCTAGCCTTAAAGATGGGAAAATAGAAGAACAAGGGGTTTAATAAACAATTTGTCTCTGCTAATAACTGATTGAGCTGGGATTCAAGCCCAGGGCTGTCTGGCTCTAAAGCCCACACTCATTTCACCACAATGCTGTTTCTTCTACATAAGGAATCCTACAGAGACAAAGTATCCAAGGAAACCAAGAATGACTTGGGTATTGATCTGTGTATTGATGGCAGGAGAAGGATGAAAGGATTCTAAATTCCTAAGCATGAGTCTTGTTTACTAGCCTTGAGCTGAATGTTGCATGGGAAAAAAAAATAAACTTCTGCCTTATTTTGGAGGTCTCTATAACAGGGGCTGAATCTAAATTCTAAACGATACAGAGCTCTAATACTTGAGAACAAAGCTTCCATTTTGTATAACTCTCCTTTACCATCCACAATTATCATATACTGTTCTTTACATTGTAGGTGTTACTTTTTTTAAAAAGTACATTTAAAAGTATACTTTCAAAACATCGATTTCTATTTTTGTCAAAGTCATATATGTACATAGATTTAACAATGCTATAAGGCTTATCATAAAACAGCTGTCTTCTGCCTCGTCACCAACCTGCTCCCAATTGCATTCCCCATTTCCAAAGCCAAACCCTTCTAATTGTTCATATTGTTTTTCTCTGACTTTTGTCTCTATGTTTCAAATAATGTGCTTACACTGCTATTTTTTGATTCTTCAGTTGAAAGGTAGGATTTAGTTCTTTTATAACACTCACGACACACACACACACACAGAAACACACCCAACACATAGAGACATCTTTCTTTTTATCTCCTCAATGTATTTCTATTACTATTTTGTTTTAAATCAACATTCAGAGTTTACATTATTTTATAAGTTATATTGTTTTATTGTCATAATATGGCTGTCCATTCCAAATACATCCAAAAATCTATCTACTTCTCATCCTCTTATATCATCAGTCCAAGATACCCTCATTTTCCAAATTTTTGCAGTAGCCTATTAACTGGTCTGTCTGCTTCTGCCCTTTTCTACCTGCTGAAAATTTGCAGCACACCAGTCAGAGTGAGCTTCAAAACTCTTACATCAGATCCGGGCAGTCCTGCTCAAAACCCTTCAATGGCTTCCCATTCATTCTAAGTAAGAGCAGGGGCCTTGCAATGGCAGTTAAGTTCCCAGATGGAGCACCACCTGCCCCCACCCACCTCTCCAATATCACATCATCTTCTGTCACTCTTACTAATCTTTTTCAGCCACACTGGTCCCCATAATGGTCCTAAAAAATTCCAACTCTGTTGCCCCCTCGAGGATTTACTTTCTTTCCTTGAAGACTCCTCTTTCAGATGCCTCATAGCTCAATCCCTCACATCCTTTAAAGCTCAGTACAAATGTACATTTTATGTAAAAAATAGCTGCTTCCCATGGCAAGCCTTTTTCCCTCTTGCTTTATTTTTCTCTGATTTACTTGATATAGTTACTTGATATTTATTTATTGTCTGTATCCACACACTCTAATAAGTGCTGATTACATATCTGTTGAGTGAATAAGTTGCTGATACTTGAGTCATATAGTATACTACTATTCATTTCTTATGCAACTGTTTCACTGCCTTGGTGTTAATACCACTTTCGTTTGTTAGATTGTTTGGTTTTCTAAATATTTAGTCACTTTGGGCTAAATTATGCTGAGGTAACAAATAACCCCCAATTCCCAGAAACTTATAACAGTGAAGGCTCATTTCTTGCTGGGTTATTTTCCATGTCAAAATGGCTGCTGATATCCTCCAGGTTTCCCTTTTCTAGGACCTGGGATGAAGAAGCAGTCTTTATCTAGGACCTGCTGGACTCCTGGCAGGAAGAAAAGAATGAACGGAAAATTCTGTCATGGCTTTTCAAACTTCCATACAGAAGTGGCTGTGCTACTTTTGCTTGCATTGC
Source organism: Homo sapiens (assembly GCF_000001405.40). Classification (NCBI taxonomy): domain Eukaryota; kingdom Metazoa; phylum Chordata; class Mammalia; order Primates; family Hominidae; genus Homo; species Homo sapiens. The sequence goes on along the minus strand of NC_000008.11, from coordinate 90,523,247 downwards.
ATTGGCCATTCCTGACATCGATAATTCAGAAAATGTGCTTTTCCCCTAGAGTAGAGTATTAGGGAGATGCAGCAATATTTTCGAACAAATAACACTGTCTACCACAGTATCACCACTTCTTTCCCAAACTTTCTCACACTATGACACCACACTTTTCAACAGGATTAAACACAGCAGGTAATTTTCTTCTGGAGACATCCTTCCTGGAGCATCTGGCCTCCAATGTGGGCTCTTGACTTCTAGTCCTGCTACTCATATGTCATCCTAACACATCCTGGGTATTTTCTTTCTCTCTTTCCTGCACTTGATCCCCTAGCTGCTAGTCTTTCACCTTCTTGGTGTCCTCTCTAGACTTGGGGGATCACATCCTCCAGTTGCTTTCTGAGAAAAAAAATTCCTCCACAGCAGTACATTTTAGAGGACCTTTGATTTTTGTTAATATCTCTATCTTCATACATGATTAATCATACTTCTAGATTTATAATTCATGTTACCTAAAAATATTATGTAAGAATTGTAAATTCTAGGCTAGAAATAATTTTGCCTGTTTTGAAGGCATTACTTCATTTACTTTTAGTGTTCAGGGTTGAGCACCTGAGGTCATTGTGATAGTAAAGTTTTGAATGTTTTCCTCTCATCTCATCTCTGACAAGCTTTTAGGATTTCTTCTTTTATCATTGGTGTTTGGGAATTTCATGCTAATGTACTATAATCATCAGGTTTGTTCAGGAATGTAGAATCAAGTATTCTGTATCATCTAGATATTTCTAGAGTATTTCAAGGAGGAAGGGGTTTAATAAATTGGGTTATAAGTTTACAAAACTTTGGAAAACTGAGGAGTGAAAGTGAATAAGTATAGGTCCCTCAGGAAGGTGGCAATTATGAATCTCAGCTTTCTGCAACACCAAAGTGGATGGTCCTCAAGAAGAATCTAAAACTGTGGGGAAAACTCCACTTTTGCCAATACCTGTGAGCCACTCCACAGCCGCTGCCCAGGAATAATAGTTTTCCCTTCTCTTCTGCCTTCCAAATCTCTCATGAGCGCTTCTCACTGGTAAAATTTAACCAAAATCCTGAGGTAAGGAAACATGGGAAAAATATAGTTTCCAGGCTCTATGCCCATGGTGGAAGAAAGAACTTAGAAAGGCAGGGATGACCCTTTGCACAAGTTGCCTTGATTCAGTCCTTTATTTATTCTGCTTGCACTTGGTGAGCTTTCTAATCTGGAAACCCAGGCCATAGGAAGTTTTACTGACTTCCTTATTTGATAAGCTCCTAACTTATTTTTTCTTGGCTATATTTTTTAGGAAATCGTATCAATCAATTGTTGAAAACTGGAGTTCTTCATTTTTATAGGCATACTCTCTTCTTTCCCATTTTTTTCTTTATATTTTATTTTTTAAAGGTACTTCTATTGAATTTCTTGAGTTTTCACTCTATTGAATTTTCAAGTTTATATATTATATGTATATAAATCTAATATATATGTTATATATAATATATAAATTCTGTTTATTAAATACAACTTAATATAATTATCTATAATTTAATTTTCAAAGGCAATTTATGTTCTTCGTCTATTTTTTATGACATTCTCTTCTTGTCTAATGGATACAATATTTTAAAATGTATTCAAGTATGTTCGTTATAGCTTAAAATAAAACTTTCCATGAATTACCTGTTTCCTTTTTGTAGGTGCTATTCACTAATATTTTCACATTTCTGCCTTCTTCATACATGGTAATATGCTGCTTTGGATTCCTGTGTTGTTGAATGGAACCATATGACCACTTCAGGACAATTGTAATGAGCAGAAAGAACACGTGTCACTTCCAGTCCAGAGAATTTAACTGCTCATTCCAGCCTCTCCAGTTTTTCCCTGTACCTGGCATGGTGATTGGCCAGGGTCAAGAGAATGGTTTCTCTACCCATCTAGGTCACTGAGTTACTATAATGTGCAGAGCCTGCCTGGCAACCCATGAGAGCACATACAGAGAAGAAAAACCAGTTGTCATAATTTTATACTGCTGAAATGTCGAGGTTGTTGTGTAGCATAAACTTGCCTATATTTAATAATTAAGACAGGGATTTCACTTTGTTTTGTTTTGGTCTTAGTTTTCAGACTATATAAATTTCTCAAATACCTAGTGATCCTTGGCCATTCTTTCGGATTTGACAGTGAGGCTTGAAAAGCTGATACATACTTAGTGGCTGTGGGCAGGCTTTTCACCAGGCTGACTACACAGGGATGTGGCTGCTGTGCATTCCTTGAGCCTGTGGTTGGCTGGTATTTCCAGAGGAATTCTCCAACATTCTACTTGGTGGTGAAAAGGAGATGAGAAGTATAAATCTGGACTCGAGCTTTCTGAAAACCCAGAGGAGGAAATTTGGAGTTCTCACTCTGGAGTCAGTATACTTCCCCTTAACATTCCATGTTTTCTGCCCAATTTCTCACCCTTTTCTGTATCCCAAGTTAGAATCTTGCTATTTCTTTCCAGAGAATTAACCTCCTCTCTCTTACTAGGATTGGAAAAAGGTTTGTTATCTGGGAGCATGGGATAAGGGATAGGAGTTAGACAGGTTCTAACTTTTAGATATACAGACTTTCAGTTTTCTTATACTTAATTCCACCCTAATCCTCCAAATCTGAAATCCCTTGGCACCTGAAAAGCCAGGTATCTTCTCCTGCAAGGCATTTCAGCATTCTGTCTTTCAAAAAGCTATTGACATTTCTTGTTTGTTGTTATTTCCTCTCTTGTTCTCTTTTTCTTTGTGGTTTTATAGCATTTTTATTTTCTTACTGCTTTACTATTGTTATTTGATAAAGAAATGGTGATAACTCTGTTCAATCTTACACTTTTAACCAGATATCCCTCAAAAATGCATGCTCTTCTTAGTGTAACTTGACTTAAAGCTTCTGGCAATCTTCAACAAAGTCAGAACCCCAATGCATTTTATGCCATCCAGCTATGTGTTTACTATAGTTACTATTCCCTAATTATTAGGCTACACGGCAGAAAGAAAAAAGTTATGTTAAGTGACACTCCATGGGAGGCAATTTGTTATAGAATTTATTTCTCACTGACATTCCTATAGCATAAAATTCACACTTTTAAATTTTAAAAATGTAAGTATAATGCATAAAATTTAGTGATTTCTAATATAGCCACATATTTGTGCAACTTGCTATGTGCTTTCTACAGACTTCATTTCATTTAATTCTGTCAATCTTAACAGTAGCTGTATTAATCTGTTCTCATGCTGCTATAACTACTTGAGACTGGGGACTTTATGAAGAAAAGAGGTTTAAGTGACTCACAGTTCTTCAATCTTAACAAGAAGCATTAATAGAAGGCCTCAGGAAAGTTGCAATCATGGCATAAGGTGAAGGGGAAGCCAGCACCTTCTCTACATGGCAGCAGGAGAGACAGAGGGTGAAGGGAGAAGTGCCACACACTTTTAAATCAACAGATCCTGTGAGAAGTCATTTACTGTCATGAGAACAAGGGGGAAATCTGCCCACATGATACAATCACCTTCCACCAGGTCCCTTTCCCAACACTAAGAATTATAATTCAACATGAGTTTTTGGTGGGGACACAGACCCAAGCCATATCGTTACTCCCCTGGTCCTTCCCAAATCTAATGTCCTTTTCATATTTCAAAACACAATCATGCCTTCCCAACAGTCCCCCAAAGTTTTCATTCATTTCAGCATTAACTCAAAAGTCCAAGTCCAAAGTCTCATCTGAGACAAGACAAGTCCCTTCTGCCTATGAGCCTGTAAAATAAAATAATAAAAAAAGGTAGTTATTTCCAAGATACAATGAGGGTACAGGCATTTGGTAAATACTTCTGTTCCAAAAGGGATAAATTGGGCAAAACAAAGGGGCTACAGGACCCATGCAAGTCTGAAACCCAGCAGGGCAATCATGAAATCTTAAGACTTCAAAATAATCTCGTTTGACTTCATGTTGCACATCCAAGGCACCCTAATTCAAGGGGTGGGCTCCTAAGGGTGGGCAGCTCTGCCCCTTTGGTTCTGCAGGGTACAGCCCCCTTGGCTGCTTTCAAGGGTTGGTGTTGAGTGCCTGCAGCTTTTCCACGTGCACAGTGCAAACTTATGAATCTATCATTCTTGGGTCTGGAGGACAGTGGCCCTCTTCTCATAGCTCGACTAGGCCATGCCCCAGTGGGGACTCTGTGTGGGAGCTCCAACCCCACTGCACAGTGCAAACTGTTGGTGAATCTACCATTCTGGGGTCTGGAGGACAGTGGCTCTCTTCTCATAGCTCGACTAGGCAGTGCCCCAGTGGGGACTCTGTGTGGAAGCTCCAACCCCACATTTCCCCTCTGCACTGCCCTAGTAGAGGTTCTCCATAAGGGTTCCACCCCTACAGCTGCCTGGACATCCAGGCATTCCCGTACATCCTCTGAAATCTAGGTGAAGGTTTCCAAACCTCAGCTCTTCTCTTCTGTGTACTCACAGGCCCAATGCCATGTATAAGCTGCGAAGGCTTGGGGCTTTCACCCTGTGAAGCAATGGCCCAAGCTTTACCTTGGCCCCTTTTAGCCACAGCTGGAAACAGAGTGGCTGGGACACAGAAGCCATGTGCTGAGGCTGCACAGAGCAGCAGGGCCCTGGGCCTGGACCACAAAACTTTTTCCTTCGTAGGCCTCTGGGCCTGTGATGGGAGAGGCTGCCACAAAGGTCTCTGAAATGACCTGGAGGCATTTTACCCATTTTCTTGGCTATTAAAGTCTGGCTCTTCTTTACTTATGCAAACTTATGCAACCAGCTTGAATTCCTCCCCAGAAAATAGAAGGGCTGCAAATTTTCCAAACTTGTATACTTTACTTTTCTTTTAAATATGTTATCTTTGTTTATGCAAATGAATATAGGCTTTTAGAAACAGCCAGGCCACATCTTGAATGCTTTGCTGCTTAGAAATTTCTTCCACCTGATACTCCAAGTTATCTCTGTCAAGTTCAAAATTCCACAGATCCCTAGAGCAAGGGCACAATAACACCAGTCTTTTTGCTAAAGCACAGCAAGAGTGACCTTTGCTTCAATCCCCAATAAGTTCCTCATCTCTATCAGTGGCCACATCAGCCTGGGCTTCACTGTCTATGTCACTATCAGCATTTGGGTCACAACCATTCAACAAGTCTCTAGGAAGTTGCAAAGTTTCCCTCATCTTCCTGTCTTCTGATCCCTCCAAAGAGTTCCAACCTCTGCCCATTACCCAGTTCCAAAGTTGCTTCCACATTTTCTGGGATCTTTATAGCAATGACCCATTTCCCTGGTACCAATTTATGTATTAGTCTGTTCTCACACTGCTCTAAAGAACCACCTGAAGGCCGGGCGCTGTGGCTCATGCCTGTAATCCCAGCACTTTGGGAGGCCAAGGCGGGAGGTTCACAAGGTCAGGATATCAAGACCATCCTGGCCAACATAGTGAAACCAGTCTCTACTAAAAATACAAAAATTAGCTGAACATGATGGTGTGTGCCTATAATTCCAGCTACTCGGAAGGCTGAGGCAAGAGAATTGCTTGAACCAGGGAGTCGGGAGGTTGCAGTGAGCTGAGATTGTGCTAGTGCACTCCAGCCTGGCGACAAAGCGAGACTCCATCTCAAAAAAAAAAAAAAAAAAAAAAAAAAAGAACCACCTGAGACTGGGTAATTTATGAACAAAAGAGGTTTAAGTGACTCAAAGTTCCACAGGCTTAACAGTAAGCATGGCTGGGAGGCCTCAGGAAACTTGCAATCATGGCAGAAGGTGAAGAGGAAGCAAGCACATCATACCATATTGGAGCAAAAGAGATAGAGAGAGAGCAAAGAGGGAGGTGCTATACACTTTTAAATCATCAGATCTCATGAGAACACACTCATTATCATGAGAACAGCAAGGGGGAAGTCTGCCTCCAAGATCCAATCACCTCCCACCAGGACTCTCCCCCAACATTGGGGATTACAATTCAACCTGAGATGTGGGTGGGGACACAGAACCAAACTGTATCTGTATCAGTAGCTATCATTACCACCACCATACTGGATCAGGCTCAAAGAGACTAAGAGGCTTGCCCAAAACCTCACATGTAGGAAGGATGGGTTCTGTATTTGAACAAAAGTCTGTCTCCAAAGTCCAAGATTTTCCCTCTTATTCATTCACTTAATCACTTCTTAAGTCCCACTTACTCACTCACTTAGAAATAGTGAGTTTTCATCATGTTCTTGATTGTACCAGTGAGCCTAGAGAGGTATTTGTTAAACCCTTTTTGTCCAGTTCTCTCATTCAGATGATGGAAAAAAAGTAACTACCATCACACTTTTACATTTGTATTGAACTCTCTTTCTGAGCTCCTTCACATATATTGCTTCACTTGATTCAAATGTAAATGATGGGAATTTAATATGTAACACTAAGCAAATGTAATAAAATTCATATCTATATAAATTAAATGAAAGATAATGTAGCTAAATTGAATGTTAGATGGATTTATCCAAAATTATGTTTTCATCTCTATTCCTGTAGGATCTCAGGTCAGTGACTTTACACTCTTTTCTTTTTCTTTCTTTTTTTTTTTTTTTTTGAGATGGAGTCTTGCAGTGGTACCACCTCAGCTCAGTGTAACCTCCACCTCCTGGGTTCAAGCGATTCTCCTGTCTCAGCCTCCCAAGAAGCTGGGATCACAGGCATGCGCCACCATGCCCAGCTATTTTATTTTATTTATTTTTTTGTATTTTTAGTAGAGATGGGGTTTCACCATGTTGGCCAGGCTGATCTCGAACTCCTGGCCTCAGATGATCCACCTGTGTCAGCTTCCCAAAGTGCTGCGATTACAGGCATGAGCCACTGCACCCGGCTGACTTTATACTTTTTATAAAACTCATTTAAAATCAGGCTGAGAGTAAAGAGCTCTGACTCTGCTAGAGAGGCTTGGAGTATAGACTGAAAGTTCTCAGAATATAATACTTAATCTTTTCTTTGATGACAACTTTTACACATTTTACAGATAATCCCCTGATATCGCCTTCTGAGAGTTTTATTACAAAAAAACTTCATGTTCATTCATTAATGTGTGCCATTGAGGAAGGAGCACATAATCCCAATGTTTATGTGAGATGTGCCACTATTCCTTGGGCATACTGCAGTCATGGTAACAGGAATTAAAGGCACCAGTGTTGTATTTCATATAACTGATCTGTGGCCTTATTTCTGTTTGGAGGTGGAGGCGTGCTTATGCCATTAGTATCTGTTATCAAAAATTTCCATTGAAGGGAATGAGAAGTACTCCCATCCCCCTACCTCCAAAAAATAAGTGACTAGAGTAAATATTATTGATGAAAACAGATGATCTTCTGCTTTAAGTAAGCTTACAATACCAGTTGAAATGATCAGTGTGGAGCAGTGGCTTTCAGACCAGCAGCATCAGAATCACCTGAGACCTTGTTAGAAGTGGGAATTCATAAGTGGCCCCAGACTTACCAAATCAGACACTGTGAGGGTGCACTATAATAATCTGATTTGACAGGCCCTCTAGCCTGGTGATTCTGACACCTGATAAAGTTTGAGACCCGCTCTGGAGAGTAATGTAAACATGAAGATGACAACATAAGCATAACAAATAATCACATAGAGGTAGCAATATATTCAAATTATTTTGTAGCAGTATTCTACACTATTATCATAATTGTGTCTGAATGAAACTGAAGGTCATATTTGATCCCAGTCTTCACATAAAATCAGTCATATGTCTAAACAAAAGACAACAGATTTCTATTTTCTCACTGATGTAAAGAAAGGAGATTGCTCTATTGCCCCCATATCTACTTTATACTACGTGTCATGTGGGCTAGAAAAACCTGATAAGATCTAATTTATAACTCAAGATCCAATTTATAACCCAATTTACACATGAAACAAAATCAAAGGAAAAATAACAAAGATGCTAATTATAAACTGTATTTTATCATATGAAAAGCAATGACTTCTTTATATCTACTACATTCTTTTGTATTTTAATTTATTCTCCAATGAGTATAGATTAATTGTTCTTAATGATTGCTAAAGTGATACTACTGTGATCACAGACTGGAAATTTTCTGAGAGCTCATCTGAACTGTATATCACACCAGACTTACATGATGTATTTGCTTAGTTAAAATGTAATATGTATTCATTATTGCATCTTTGGGAAATACAGAAAATTATATGGAAAATAAGTTAACTGTAAAGCCCCCAGAATTAACCAATATTAATACTTCACATACAGTCTTTCAGTTTTTAATCTATGCATTTCAATGGAATTGACGTATGGTACTTACAACTTTGTATTCTTTGGTTAATCCAGCTCATATATCATAATTTTTTATGTTGTTAAGAAATCTTCACAATTATTACTTAATACAATCACATAATATGCCAACATATACATATACCATGATTTACTTATGTACTTATAATTTGGGGAATTAGAACTATTTAACTATTTCATTTCCTTTTTCTTTTCTTTCTTTGCAATTATGCAATTACATGTGTCTGTGATGAACATCTTTGCACATAAGTCTGTATCTAAAGTTTTGGTCAGTTACATTAGATGTTTTCCCACACATAGAATTATTAGGCATGGGACCATCAATATTTTAAAAAAACCTCCTGAGACTTATTGCTAACTTTTCCCTACAATACTGTATTAATTTATATGCTTATTGGCATTTTTTCAGAGGTCCTGTTTCATTTATCTTCACCAGCAAGGTTTTCATCTTGTTTTACTTACAAGTAAGTGGATGCAGGAGGATTGCTTGAGGCTGGGAGTTTAAGACCCAGCCTAGTCAGTTTAAGACTAAGCCTAGTCAACATAGTGAGACCCCATTTGGGAAAAAACATTAGCAAGGCATTGTGGTGCGCACCAGTAAGCCCAGCTACTCTGGGAGGCTGAGGTGAGATGACTTGACTAGGAGTTTGAGGGTGCAGTGAACTATGATCATGCCACTGCACTGGGTGACACAGAGACTTCATCTAAAAAAAATTATTATTATAAAAGTTATTTTATTACATTAATATGCATTTATTTTATTACTAATTAGGTTGAGCATGTATTCAAATATTTATTAACTATAGTTGCTTTTTAAAGAATTCTTTTTTCATATTCTTTGTCCATTTATCTATTAGAGTCTGATTGCTTTTCTTTTTTTTATTTCTAACTTTTAAGTTCAGGAGTACATGTGCAGGATGTGCAGGTTTGTTACATAAGTAAATGTGTGCCATTGTGGTTTGCTGCACAGATCATCTTATCACCTAGGTATTAAGCCCAACATCCATTAGCTATTCTTTCTGATGCTCTCCCTCCTCCCACCCCACACTCTGACAGGCCCCAGTGTGCGTTGTTCCCCACCATGTGTTCTTGTGTTCTCATAATTCAGCTCCCACTTGTGAGAGCATGCAGTATTTGGTTTTCTGTTCCTGTGTTAGTATGCTGAGGATAATGTCTTCCAGCTTCATCTATGTCCCCACAAAGGACATAATCTCATTCTTTTTTATGGGTGCATAGCATTCCATGGTGTATATGTACCACATTTTCTTTACCCAGTCTATCACTGATGGGCATTTGGGTTGATTCCATGTATTTGCTGTTGTGAATAGTGCTGCAGTGGACATACATGTGCCTGTATCTTCATAAAAGAAAGACTTATCTTCCTTTGGGTACATACCCAGTAATGGGATTACTGTGTCAAATGGTATATCTGCCTCTAGGTCTTTGAGGAATCACCACACTGTCTTCCACAATAATTGAACTAATTTACACTCCCACCAGCAGTGTAAAAGCTTTCCGTTTTCTCCACAACCTTGTCAGTATCTGCTGTTTTTTCACTTTATAATAATAGCCATTCTGACTGGTGTGAGATGGTATCTTGTGCTTTTGATTTGCATTTCTCTAATGATCAGTGATGTTGAGCTTTTTTTTATATGTCTGTTGGCCTCATGTAAGTCTTCTTTTGAGAAGTGTCTGTTCATATCCTTTGTTTAGCTAAAGAGAAGTAAAGTTTGATTAAGTTCCTTGTGGGTTATGGATATTAGACTTTTGTCAGATGAATAGATTGCAAAAATTTTCTCCCTTTCTGTGGGTTGTCTGTTCACTCTGATGATAGTTTCTTTTACTGCACAGAAGCTCTTTAGTTTAATTAGATCTCATTTGTCAATTTTTGCTTTCGTTGCAATTGCTTTTGGCATTTTTGTTATGAAATCTTTGCCTGTGCCTATGTCCTAAATGGTATTGCCAAGATTTTCTTCTAGGTTTTTTATAGCTTTGGGTTTTACATTTAAGTGTTTAATCCATCTTGAGTTGATTTTTGTATATGGTGTAAAGAAGGGGTTCAGTATCAATTTTCTGCATACTGATTTTTGGAACTTTTTTTGAGAATTTTTCTCTAATAAGAGTATTGAGATTTTGGTCTATATTAAATAATAATATTAATAAAAATGGGAACAGTCAATTATAAACCCAAGCAAAATTCAATATTAAGGCTTTTTTGCAAAGAGTGTCTTCTCAGACTGCTCAGTGGGTGGCCCCTCTGTATCCTGTGCACAATCAAAACACCTCTTCAGCTACAAGACATTCCTTTCTCTCAATCTCTGTAACAATCCTTCACCAAGACCTGTCATATTGCTTTCTCAGCATCTTGGATTCATCAACTTTACTTATCTCTAGCTAAACCATCATCAGTGATCCCCTGAACTATTTCAAGAACCTCCTGATTCCTAAAATTATATCTGGTCTCAATTTAACGAAAATATTATATCCCCTCCCCCTGCTCAAGCTTAAAGCCTTTCAGAGTTCATCTATTGTCCTTAGGATTAAGAAAAAGCTCTCTATTATGTCTTCTTCTCTAGTTTTATTCAGTGCTAGCTTTTCCCCTTTTTCCTGGGTCCATCACAGTCTTCTTTGAGCTCTTATTACCATGCCTTCTTTGGTTACAGGGCCTTTGCTAGTGTTCATCCCTCTTCCTAGAACATTCACTAGCACCTCGTCCCTTTACACTCCCTTCACCTTGTTGACTCCTAGCATTTCACAACTTTCACTTCTCAGCCCAAACGTTCTTCCACACCCAAATATCTAGGCTAGTTTCCTTTGATATGTGCATTCAGAGATCTGTGTTCTATTCCATTGGGGTACTTTTCTTATTGCAATTATATATTACTATGAATTTAATTAATATTTGTCTTTCTCACTATGTGGCTAACTTTGTATCTTCATGACAAGAAGAACAAGGTGTCCACTAAAGTTAGGCTCCTACCCTCACAAAGAGACTGGAAAATAGAGGTGCCATCTTCTTTGATGACTCCATTTCAAAGAGTTGGTTTCTAGGTCCTCGAGAAAGACATTCTTGCATTTACTGGTGGCAAGAGGCTTTTTAAAAGATTTATATCTCAAAGGGGTAGATAAAGCATTTATAAATATAAGTTTTCTAAAGCAAATGCTCTAAGAAAAGAGAGGTCAGGGTCTAGAGTTAGGGAGAAGCCTGTCTAAAGTTCAGCCAAACTGCAGGGAACCTTAGGGCTGTCTTGGCTGTTTGCCATCACGCAAGCTCCCTTCCTACCTGCTGCTCAGGAGGCTTGTGACTGGGTTCAGGGACTGCGACTGTTGATCAGTAGTCATTTCCAAGCAGTGACTCTGTTAGGGTGTGGGTGTGGGTGTGGGTGTGGTTTTTTTGAGACAGAGTCTCGCTTTGTCATCCAGGCCATAGTTCAGTGGCACCATCTCAGCTCACTCTAACCTCTGCTTCCTGGGCTCAAGTGATCTTCATACCTCAGCCTCCCAAGTAGTTAGTTGGAACTACCAGTGTGAACCACCATGCCAGGCTAATTTTTGTATTTTTAATAGTAGAGACAGGGTTTCACCATGTTGGCCAGGCTGATCTTGAGCTCCTGGCCTCAAGTGATCTGCCTGCCTGGGCCTCCCACAGTGCTGGGATTACAGGCACGAGCCACCATGCCTGGCCAAGCCTATAGCACCCGGTATTCCCAGGTGGTCTCCCATCAAAGTACTAACCAGGCATGACCCTGCTTAGCTTCCACATTCAGACAAGATCAGGCCTGTTCAGGGTGTTCGAGACTTCTTTATCTTCTGAGATTCTGCCCTAGAGTGACTGCATCTTCTCATCTTCCTCCCTCCAAATTCCTCCTCCTTTCATTCATTTTAATTTTACTTCACTTCTTCCCTTTAGGCTGATATTATCTAATAGCTTGAAAGCTTTTTGTTTTTTAAAAGACCCTGTACAGATGTCTCCAAGAAAAGAATCTTTGTCTTGAATTTGGTGCAGCCATTTTTTGAATCTTTGTTAGTAATGCGGTAAAAAGCTGGAGAGAGGGAAAAATGCCCTCTGGTTATGAGTGAGAGAGAAAGATAGAGAGAAAGATAGAGAGAAAGGGGTCAGAAACATCACATACAACCAGGTTCATACTTTGAGATATAACCTTGCCTCACACTCAGGAAGCTAAATCCTTTGTAGAGTCTTTTGGGGTTCTGCCTACCCTAACTTCTAATCAGGCTCCCTTGTCCAAAAGTAGTATTTGCTCTGTAAAAACTCTTCTCCCAACCTCTAGACTGTATTTCCACTGATACTTTAGATAACCCCATGCCTCACCCCCAAAGTGTGTTCTTAACCCCAGAGCCCATTCTTTTCTTCCCCCGGATATCAAATATTTACTGAGAACTGGGAAAGCTGCAACCATGAACAAAACAGAAACAGCCAATCCAATAATAATTTTCCACCCTCAGAGAATTTATATTTCAGTGGAGAGATGCTGATAATAAAATAATAAGTAAATGGTTCAGTAGAGCCAACAGTGAGAAGTACTACAATAAAACAAAATCAGAGAAGGAGCTGAGGAAGTGCCGAGACGGGTAACAATTTTACACAGAAGGCAGTCGGGCTAAGCCTCATTAAGATGATATTTGAGTAGAGACTTAAAGGAAATGGGTGACTGGAGGAAGAGCGTTCTGGGCAGAGTTTCTCAACTTTGGCACTATTGACATTTGGGGCTATTTCTTTGCTGTGGGGGCTATGCTGTGTGCATTGTTGGATGCTTAGCTGCATCTCTGGCCCTACCCACTAGATGCCAGTAGCATTCCTTCCCCAGTTGTGAAGATCAAAAATGTCCCCAGACATTGCCAAATATCCTCTGGGGTAGAGGGATAATAAATGCTTGTTGACTAAGTATTTTCTGAGCCTCCTTCAATGTCTCCATCATCTGAAGAAGAAGAAAAAACAAATAGAATGTAGTAATGTGTTTTCTTTTTTATTAATAGAAAGATTACTTCCTGGTTCTCGTGTATCATAATAATCTTATATCTCAGTCTCCCTAGTCTCCTGGGAGAGCCAGAGTTTGGTTTATTCTGTCTCTTCCTCCTTCTTAATTTAATCTTAATACCTTTCTCTCTCCTATATTCAATGCTATTTGTTACTCCTTCTTCTTTTTCTTCTTTAGTTCTTGCAAACTTACCTGTTAGAATTCCTCTAGTGAGATCTCTGGTGCTTGTCACTAGAGTAAGATCAGTTCTGTGAATCTCAGAGAACTTTAATAGATTCTCAAATATGTGAGGATAAGAAAAGGGCAGAGAAGAAAAAAGAGGAGAGGAGGAAGAAGGGAGTGATGAAGGGAGAGAAGATGAAAGAGAAAGAGATTATTTAGAGTAGACAATTTAGCCCATTATTATAACTAATAGAAAAGCAATAGCCCCTGTGTATTGGAGAACATACTGGTGGTGAATATTTAATTTTCACTTTGGTGATTAATTTGGTTTGACTTATTTATCCACTCATCTGATTTTTAGATTAGACTCCAATTTTTACCAATGTGCAATTACCTTTATTATCTGGCAGTTATAAATCAATAAGCAATAACATCCTTGCCTGAAAGAATATCCCCATCTCTGAACTCCCTAACACTTTATTTTTCATTATCTCATCATACTTATCACTCATTCTCTTTTATAATCATTATTGGAATATGTGTCTTCTCTCTTCTGTTAGATTACACAAAGATAGGAACTTTATCTTGCATACCTTTCTGTAAGCCCTTAAGTACCCAGTTTACTCAGTAAGTTCTACATTCTCAGGAAACAATAGAAAAATAGCATCAGGTAGCAATTTATATTTCCTGACCTAAACCACTCTATTAAATATACTTTCATGTAAGTCTTTTCTGATCTGCTTTCTGAACGGCTACCATCTTCCTATCCATGGCTAATTAAACTTCTGGTGCCTGCCCTGCTTCTGAGCCTCTCTCACCTCTCAGTAGACATCTGTCCATAATGTATTCCTTTCCTCTCTTTTATTTTTACCATTTCTCTCTTTACTGGCTTATTGGACAGGTGAAATGTTTGTCTTAACTATTTTTCAAACAAAGGGAGGAAAATGAGAGGAAGTGAAGTGGGTGGAAACGGCAAGGAGCAGGAACAGAAGGTCTCCATTTCCCTAATGACCAGGCCCTTCAGCGCTGAAACATAGCGTCCTTATCTTCAGGTTGTTTTTCCTTTGAGCATTCTTCCCTACTAACCTCATTTAATTAATAACTGCTCATTCTTCGAGACTCAGGCCAAGACACTTCTTTCAGGAAGTCTTCTGTGGTATTTCCAGATTACGTTAGGCACCCTTCTTCTGTGTTCACATAATAATTATCCTAAGATAGTTAGCAAATTGAATATAAGAATTGCATCCTTCATGACTGTATCCTTGTGTGGATAAGCACTCAATACCTACTTGTTTGCTGAATGGTTAGATTATTCCCATATGGCTTGATTTCGAAATATTGCAAAATTGTATTCTAAGAAAAAGCATATATCTGAACTCTACCAGTGTTCATTTCTAGGTTCCATTTAGAAAACTTCAACTTTTTAATAAAGATTTTATATCATGTTTTTAATGCAAGAATATAGTGTTCCTGTTATTAAATACTCACATATATAGAAAAGTATTTTTTAAAAAGTCATCTTTCATATCCCTGTCTTCTTCATTTTCATTCTCCAAAATAAACCATTGTTAACAATCTTTTTAAGCATACATAAATAAATAGAATTTAGTTTTAAATATGAACAAAGACCACTTTGGAGTTTTCTTTTCTTTTCTTTTTTTAACAAACAGTATTTTCTTTAAAAAAAGAAAAAGAAAAAAAGTGCTGTTACCTATTACTCCACATCTACTGCATCTTTAATCACTGCCTAGCTACCAGCTATGAGGGCAGACTTCATGTAGCGGAGACAAAGGACAACACATGCATTTTCCTGGGGTAATGGTATTAAGGAAGAACACAGAATGAAATAAATTAGGATATGAAAGAGGTGGCTTAAAGCAGAGCTTCTTAACCTCATCACTATTTATATTTTGGACCAAAATAAATCATTAAAACATTAATCAAGCAAACAAACAAAAGTTCTGTGGCCTAAATATGTCACTTTTCTCTGGGCTTTAATTTTATTTAACATGACTGGCCAGATTAATTTCTAAGATTCTCTATAATTACAGAATTCCAATCAAGGAGAATTTAAAAAGAGTACCATAAATACGAGATCAATAAGTTATTTCCACCTATGAAATGGGAGTAGATTTTCTGCCTCAGAAGATTAATATAAAGAAAAAAATAATACAATATATATGACCCAGTGACTTGATAAATATGAAGCACTGTCACTGTTACATCTTGTGTTGGGTTATTCTTACTATAATTCTTCCTTTGTAGTAACTTTGCACATTAAGATTACAAATGAGTTAGTAGAGTTAAGATGTTTTAATAGCCTTAAGTAACTACATCATGTAAATAATACATAATTATTACTACAATTAAGACTTACAATGCTATTTTTAGATTTGTTACCCAAGTTTACAAGCACTTCTTCCAGAAAAATTATAAACATATATTTTAACTGCAATTAACCTTGAAGGATAGAGCCGGCCTATATTGTTCCCAAATGACAAGGGAATTGCCTCAAACATTAATATTTGATAGCTTTTTACACTAACAAAGCTAGCTCAAAATTCTATTCAATTTGCTGGAACTATCTAGAACAAAGTAATAAAATAAAATTTTCCTTTATTTAGATGGGGAGAAAAAAGTTATTAGAGAAAGCATCAAAAAAGCGAAAATGATATTTTTATCCATATATGGACACAAATGGTCACCCAATGATAGAGGCACTCCACACAACTTGCAATGTTGTGAAACCATGCTCTCCCTTCTTCTAAATACTGCTGTATTAGTCAGGGTTCTCTAGGGGGACCGAACTAATAGGATAGATGTATATATAAAGGGGAGTTTATTAAAGAGTATTGACTCGGACAATCACAAGGTGAAATCCCACAATAGTCTGCAAGCTGAGGAGCAAGGAAGCCAGTCTGAGTCCCAAAGCTGAAGAACTTGGAGTCCAATGTTCCAGGGCAGGAAGCATTCAGCCGGGGAGAAAGATGTAGTCCAGAAGACTAAACCAGTCCAGTCTTTCCATGTTCTTCTGTCTGCTTGTATTCTGGCCATGCTGGCAGCTAATCAGATTGTGCCCACCCAGGTTGAGGGTGGGAATACCTTTCCCAGTCCACTGACTCAAATGTTAATCTTTTTGGGAACACCCTCACAGATACACCCAGGAACAATACTTTGCATCCTTCAATCCAATCCAGTTGACACTCGATATTAACCACCAGAACCCCCAAATAAGCATTTGCCTGTCCTTGCTAAATCCTACCCTTTCCCTCTTGCCTTCCAGATGCATTTGTTTCTCTTTCTTTAATTTCTCTGTGCTCTGTTCCTGGTAAATCTCTTAAATCATCTCAAACTTCTCAATTCTCTTCCCTCATCCCACAGCTCCCAGTTTATTTATGATAGTTGCAGACACATATGGAGAACAGTGTGCTGCCTCTCAGACCCAAGTCTAAATTCACTGGAGAGAGAATCTGTTTGACTCAACATGGGACAGTTATCCACCACTGGTCAGTCTCATCCCTATTTTCCGAGGGACAAGATCACTCAGCATGTACACAGCTTCTGGATTTTAACCTCCAAGGAGCTGGTATATATAAAGGGGAGTTTATTAAGGAGTATGGACTCGGACAATCACAAGGTGAAATCCCACAATAGTCTGCAAGCTGAGGAGCAAGGAAGGGGAGAACAATTTACAGAGAAAGAGGACTGTAAGAACACCTTAGAAAGCATTATCCATATAAAATGCAACAAGATAAAGTAGAAAATATAAAAGTTCACTGTAAACTTTCTAAATCAAATGCTATTTAGAAGGAAGATAATACTATTGTTCTAAATGAAGACATGACGAGAATAGCTGTTATTATTAGGCTTCTGTCAATTACATTTCCAAAGACAGTAATTGATTCTTTTTACAAAAAAATTACTGTCAGAACATTTCTTTATTGGCTTTGATGAAAAATAAGTAAAAATTATCAAGCTCTGTGTGTGGTTCATGGGAATTAATAACATTAAATCTGCCCTCAAGGAGCTTATGGTCCAATTAGAAATAATTATAGGCTAACAGTGGCTACGTGTTCAACGTGTATTTATTAAGCATCATTTATGCCTATCTAATATATATAATATACATATTTTTTAATCTCCCACTAAAATATAAGGCTCATAAAATCAGATGGTTTGTCTCTTTTGTTCACTTTTATGTCATCAGTGCCTAGAACAGTATCTGGTACAAATTAGACACTCAAAAACTTTTGATACGTGAGTGGATGGATGAGTCTTCTGTGAGCTTGGCACTGTGGTATGTGCTGGGATATTATGAATAAAATGACAGGAATTTTGCCTTCAAGGAGCTTGCAATATAACAAGGTAAAGAAACATTAAGCCAATATATTTATAAGTATATAATTAAAGCAATGTGATAGGAAAGAGTGTACAATTCTACCTGAGCTTTGAGTAACAGCATATTCAGAAATGCACAGAGAAGAGATACAGCCTGAGCCGTCTTCAAAGATGACCAATAATTGCTTAGGCAAAGATAAAATTCCCCCTATCTGGGGAAATAGTTTTATCACAGAAAGGAAGCAGCATGCATAAAGGCTTAGGGTTTTAAATATCCAGGTAGGTTCACAAAACTGTAAGACATTTGAGGTGTGGGAAGTAAACAAAGATGAAATAGCTCAGTGTTAAGAGAAACCACAAGTGGTCTAGGGAGACTGGAATGGAAGGTGCTGGGTGGGCAAGATCAGGTCAAGCCCAGCTTTAGGCTGTTTCCCAAAGGCAATGAAGAGTTTTAAGCAAGTGAGCTCTAGAAAGACCACTTCATTTATATTTTTATGTAACATACAAATAAAGGAACATTATATAAGCCAGATATGGAAAGTCTAAAATCTGAAATTAGAGGAGGAATGGCAAGGATACTGGTTAGAAAAAATGGTTAGAATAGAAAGGAGAAACACAAAGTGTTTAGATTTTTCATAGACGAAAATTTGCAGAATCTACTTCACTTAAAATATAGTAAATTGGGTTTCATTTTTATTTTTCTGAACTATGAACCTGTGGAATATAGAGTTGGTTTATAGCTGTACTGGAAATACTCTACCTTTACCTGAGGGGAATCCTGGGTACTTGATTTATGACTCTTGGCCAAGATAAAAACAGTGCTGTTTAAGGTATATGCTGTTTAAAATTCTAAGCTCCCTTGGTTGACCCTCGGGGTCAGAATATTTACCAGTGGCTTACAATTGGCATAACCTGATCTGTTCATATGCCCATAGGAGCATAGAACCACCAATGGGAACTCCTGCTTTGAGCTCTCCTGAAGCCTGGATTCTTTACAGAGATCTTGATGATTCAGTCTGGAGACAGAGCGTGATCAGATCCTTTTGTGACTAATGACACTGGGAACTTGCTCATGGGATGCCAGTCGGACCCCTAATGATTCCTGCCCTTTCTTTCTCTTGAGGCATTGTATCCATTGCCTTTGAATAAAAACTGTACATGACTATGCTCTGTGCAGTGTGGTGAGTTCTTTCAAATATCTGAACTAAGGCATTTTTTTGACTCTGACAGAGAGAGAGATGCTTTTACTGTCCTTCCCATTTCTAATAGTCTTTTAACAGCATATTTTAGAATTTTAAGGAAAAGATAAGTCTATTAAAATATACCCTTTAAATTTTAGTAATTTTTAAAAAGTGAACTTTAAAAAACACAGTAAACAAACATAATTAAATTCTAGAATTTCATAATTCAATTTGGCCCCTTAAATAAAACATATTACAGAACATATTTAACTACCTAGAATATTTTTTCTTCTGTTCTAGGACTAAAGCTGCATTTTTTGAGGCAATGAATCCTCCACAACTTAAATATAGTGTAGGTGGCTTTAGCAAATAATTTCTATTTTTGATATCCATGTTTTTACTTTATAGGAGTTAATTCATTTTAGGTGTGGCATAATGTCTGATAGGCTGTGGGTCCCTGTGTAATGCATGGTTAGAGGAAAACAACTTTGAGGAGTCAAAATTCAACTAGATATATATTCTTTTGAAAACAGAAAAAGGAAATTAGGAGTTCTTCTTGGTGGCTCTGTACTCTGGTTTCACATAAATATCACCTGAGGATGGGTTCTCGAAACAGGGCCAGGCAGGCTCAGTCCCCAGAGTCTGACTGAATCATTTGTTCGTGGGTGTGACCTGTATATGTGTATATATATTTTTAAAGTTCATCAATTACTTTATGTGTAGCAAGGGTTGAGAACTATGGAGCTAGAGGAAGTGAAGTAACTGAACAGTTAGCTCCCCAACACCGTATCTCTTTTTTTTTTTTTTTTTTTTTTTTTTTTGAGACGGAGTCTCGCTCTGTCGCCCAGGCCGGAGGACTGCGGACTGCAGTGGCGCAATCTCGGCTCACTGCAAGCTCCGCCTCCCGGGTTCACGCCATTCTCCTGCCTCAGCCTCCCGAGTAGCTGGGACTACAGGCGCCCGCCACCACGCCCGGCTAATTTTTTGTATTTTTAGTAGAGACGGGGTTTCACCTTGTTAGCCAGGATGGTCTCGATCTCCTGACCCCCAACACCGTATCTCAAGCATGAGGTGACATATGGGATGGCCGCTCCTTAGAGTCTGATGTTCCTGGGATTACAAAGATATGAGGACTAGCATGATGCCTGTCTGACAGGAAATAAAGAGGTTATCTTGACATGATTGTATTTTGAAACCATTTGAATTGATCCATTAGTTATTTCCCCAGCTTTTGTCTGATAGTCATACAATTTAAATTTACTTTAGCATTCTTAAAAATTACCTTACAATGGGAGTTTTCAAACTGTGTTCTGTGGAACCCTGGAACTCCTGGTGGTGTCTCAGGGATCATTTTAGGGATTGGGTAGGATAGCAGGAAGTCTGTGGGTCCCCTCCACTTCAACCAGAGCAGCTGGGCTCTATACTTGTGCGTGTGTTTATGTGTGATAGGTAGGTAGGTAGGTAGATAGATTCTTTCCTTTGGAAAAAAGGAGGCCTTGAAACTGCAGAAAATATTTAAAAACATGGTGTTATAAAACAAATGTTTGTGTACCCCTAAAATCCTTATGTTGAAATTCCAACCTCCAATGTGATAATATTAGGAAATGATACCTTTGGGAGGTGATGAGGTTATGAGGGTAGAGGTCGTGTAAATGGGATTAGTGCATCATAGAAGAGAGAGGAGCTCTCTTTTGCTCTTTCTTTCTCTTCTCTGCTATGTGAAGATGCAATGAGGAGATGGCTATCTGAAAACCAGGAAGTGGGACCTCACCAGACACCGGGTCTGTAGGCACCTTTACCTTGGACTTCCCCGCCTCCAGAACCGTGAGAAATAAATGCTCGTTATTTAAGTCACCAAGTCTATTGTAATTTCTTATAGCGGCCTGAACTAACACATATGGTTTTAGAATAATTGTAATAGGTCAATAAAGTCATGCTCTCCAATAGCTGGTATTTACTTGTCTCTTCAAAGACTCAAATATTTAACGTACTAACTCTTGAGCTGGTGGTAGATAGGAAAAAGAGAAACCCTTCTTTGGTATAAGTATGCTAGCAAATAATTGTCCAAGCCTTTTCTTTATTAGAAAGATGACCACTAATATCTTCTAGAAGAAAATAAATAAATATATATATATATATCTGTGGATGGATACACACACACACACAAACACACACACCAGAAAGTATTAACACTGGTTGATTATATGTATAAATATATGTATATTTGTATAGCAGAAAGTAGTAAAAGTGTTCATGCAACAAAAGATAAAAAAACACTCAATAAGAGTAGAAATTGTTAGTTCTGAAGAAAAACAGCAGCAGCTAAGAAAAAAAAAACCCTTAGGATTACTAAAATTTCCACTGTAAAAAGAATGTTGACCACTCAGTAGAGTAAAAATCAAAATCATTTGTCACAGGGCTGGAGAGGAAATAAGTGAAAATGAGAACAAATAGCCGAAAGATCCAGCAAGCCCCCACAGTGAGCGTTTGGACTGGGAGCTACCTGTTAGTTGAGGAGATGATGATGAGCCCCCCAAGGGGACTCTAGTGGGTTTCTTTGCCTCCAGTGAAAATAAGAAGGGAAAAATGGGAAGTAGCAGGCGGTAAAAGATACATTAAAGAAATATTAAACTGATGAGCTGGTTAAATAGTAGACAGGGCATATATAAAGTATATTTTAATGGATGGAAATGTACTAAAATGCTGAAAATTGCTGCCACCTCCTGGAGATTGTTTTTACAACTTCATGTTGCCATGGTCACTTCTATTCTGTGAAATAGACATTTCCATTAAATAGAATAATGAATAAACAGGGCTGGTTTTGCAGTGCTTGCTGACAATGCTGATATTTAAAAAGAAAAAAAATGAGTCTCTCCCAAGATCAGATAACAGATATCAGCTATTTTCAACAGAGCCAGTCAGGAAATAACACAATAAATGTCTCATTAATTACAGAAGGAAAACGAAACACACTTATGAACAGGTTTAAAAAGGTTCATACAGCTAAGGAAAGGTTGAAAAGACTATGCAAATAATCTTGAAATAAATATTGACAAAAAACTTGAAAAGAGCTTAGAAATAGGTGAAAATCTTAGCAGCTAAGAAAAATTGCTGTCTGAAAATCTGATGTGGTTGTTTCTTGAAACTTCGTGGAATGTTTTACTGTTCAAAAAAAAAAAAAGTAACCACAACAACAAAATATTCATGCATTTAAATATTCATGCTGTTGCTTACACTATTTATTCAAACCTGTCTGTTAAAAATCATCTCCTACACTGAGTTACACAATTTATGTTTCATAAAAAGTTAGAACATAGAAACTTTACTAAAGCTTCTAGTTTTTTGGCAATGATGCATGAAGGCTTCCATTTTTTTCCTGTCTAATTGGAGGACCCACGTAAGGAGGTAAATCATCTGAAAAAAGCAAGGAAGATTTTCTTCAAGAAAACCCAGCTGGCTATACAGAGAAGGCTGGGAGCTAGCCAACAGACTACAAGGCAGTTATTCAGATGTGTGCTGGTACTAATGTGGAGAGAATTCTGCCAGCTGCCTGTTTAATATTTGCTGATTGTTAAATATCAGATATTAAATACACACACACACACACACACACATGCACTTTTCCCCAAAATCATTTGATTCCATTATATACTTCCTTACATATTAAATTATATTTTCTTCATTCAAAGGAAACAAAAATTATTATATTAATTTACTATTACACTAATTTTTCTTCATCTTTTATCCTTTCCTTTCTTTTTATTATTATTATTTTTTTGAGATAGAGTCTCGCTCTGTCACCCAGGCTGGAGTGCAGTAGCACTGTCTTGGCTCACTGCAACCTCCGCCTCCTGGGTTCAAGCGATTCTCCTTCCCTAGCCTCTTGAGTAGCTGGGATTACAGGCCTGCACCACCATGCCCAGCTAATTTTTGTATTTTCAGTAGAGACGGGGTTTCACCATGTTGGCCAGGCTGGTCTCAATCTCCTGACCTCAGGTGATCCACCCTCCTCGGCCTCTCAAAGTTTTGAGATTATAGGCATGAGCCACTGCGCCTTTCCTTTCTTTTCAAGCATACCATTGCAAAGGCAAACTCATGGCTTGATCCCCTTCTCCAAAACTCCTGGGGAAACATGCCCTCTGGAAGGAGAAAAGAGAGACAATTTTCTCTCTACATTCTCAATTTTTTTCTTTTATCTTTTTTTTTTTTTTTTTGAGATGGAGTTTTGCTCTTGTTGCCCAGCAGTGGTGTGATCTTGGCTCACTGCAATCTCCGCCTCCTGGGTTCAAGCGATTCTCCTGCCTTGGCCTCCTGAGTAGCTGGGATTATAGGCGCACTCACCACCACACCCAGCTATTTTTTTGTATTTTTAGTAGAGATGGGGTTTCATCATGTTGGCCAGGCTGGTCTCGAACTCCTGACCTCAGGTGATCTACCTGCCTCGGCCTCCCAAAGTCCAGGGATTACAGGTGTAAGCCACCATGCCCGGGCACATTCTCATTTTTTTTAATGGAGAAATCTTAAATAGGATGATGGGAAATATAATTTTCTTAATTTGCGTTTTATGGTCAGTTTTATCTTTATTTTCTAGCTTCAAAGAATGAAAATATTTTTAAAGAAAACCTACTGATCACATTAGTCCCATGAAAACAATCTATTTGTAGATGAAGGGGTGTTTAGTTTGAATGCATGCGAGATAAAGTAAGTGGGAAGGAAATTCTGTCCCTTTAGGTTTCTCCATAAAGCCTGTTTTTACCATTTTATTTCATAAATAAAAGGCCTATTTTATTCTGTTGATTTTCTAATGACTTAAAAAAATCATGAGGGTAAACATCTATAATCCAACCAAATGGTTTAGAAATAGGTAATAGTATTATGCAAATAATTGTAGTGAAACATTTTTTCATCCAATTATTTGCACAATTGCATGATCATTTTCTTAATATATTGTAAGCCTTACAACTTAAAGAATGAGAATGAAAATACAGGTATATTTTCAACATGCTGATTTCAATTCCTTTGGATATATACCCAGAAGTAGGGTTGCTAAATTATATGGTAGGTATATATATATTTTTATTTTCGGGGAATCTCTACCCAGTTTTCTCTAATGGCTTTACCAATGAACATTTCTACCAACAGTGTAAAAGGGTTCTTTTTTCCATATCCTTGCCAACAGTTGTTACCTTTTGTCTTTTTTATAGCAGCCATTCTAATAGGTGTGAAGTGATATCTCATTGTGGTTTTGATTTGCATTTTTCTGACATAAATGTTACAACATTTTTTCATACACCTGCTGGCCATTTGTACTTCTTTTGGGAAATGTCTATTTTTGTCCTTTGATTTTCGAATCAGGTGATTCTCTTTCTTGCTATTGAGTTGTTTGCGTTCCTTATATATTTGGGATATTGACCCTTTATCAGGTACATTATTTGCAGATATATTTCTCCCATTCTGTAGATTGTCTCTGCCTTCTGCTGATTGTTTCCTTTGCCTTGAGGAGCTTTTTAGTTTGACGCAGTCTCATTTGTCTGTTTGCTTTTGTTGTCCGTGCTTTCGGTGTTACAGCCAAGAAATCGTTGCCCAGATCAATGTCAATAGATTTTTTCCCTATGTTTTCTTCTAGTTTTAGACTTAAGTTCTGGGACTTATGTTGTATTCACAATAGCCAAGATATGGAAATAACCCAGGTGTCCATCGATGAATGAATGGAAAAGGAAAATGTGGTGTGTGTGTGTATATATATACACGATGGAACATTGCTCAGCCTTAAAAAAGGAAATCCTGTCATTTGTCATGGAATTTTTTAATTTTCCTTAAAAAAGGAAATCCTGTCATGGAGGAACCTGAGGAACATTTAGTGAAATAAGCCAAGCATGAAAAGACAAATACTGCGTGATCTCATTTTATGTAAAATCTAAAAAAGATGAACTCACAGAAGCAGAAAGTAGAATGGTGGTTACTAGGGGCTGCAGATGGGTTGTTGGAAAGATGTTGGGAGAGGGTACAAAGTTTAAGTTAGACAGGAGGAACACATTCTGCAGATCTAATGTACAGCATGGTGACGACAGTTAATAATACTGTATTATATACTTGAAATTTGTTAAGTGAGCAGATTTTTAAATTGTATTTTTTATTTTAATTTTGGAGATTAAATGCTAGTTTGTAGCAAAATAATTTTTTAAATTTCAATAGCTTTAGGGTTACAAGTGTTTTTTGGTTACATGTATGAATTGTCCAGTCTTTTTGATATAATGACTTATTTTCCTGTGGGTAGATACCCACTAGTAGGATTGCTGGGTCAAATGGTATATCTACTATTAGTTATTTGAGACATCTCCTCTTTTCCACAGAGGTGGTATTAATACACATTCTTACCAACAGTGTGTAAGTGTTCTCTTTCTACCACATCTGCACCATCTATTGTTTTTTGACTTTTTAATAATGACTATTCTGATTGGGGTACGGTGGTACCTCATTGTGTTTTTTGTTTGTTTGTTTTTGAGATGGAGTCTCACTTTGTTACCCAAGCTGGAGTGCAGTGGGGCTATGGAGAATTGCTTGAATCAGGTCCAAGCAATGTTCAAGCGATTCTCCTCCCTCAGCCTCCCAAGTAGCTGGGATTATAGGCTTGTGCCACCATTCCCAGCTAATTTTTTTTTTTTTGGTGTGAATAGTAATTATAATTAACCCTTTCTAAAAGAAAAGGTAAATGTAATAGTACATAATAGAGTAACAATTGTAACTCAAGTCTTTTTTTTTTCATTTTTACTCAAAAGCATAAACCGGAGACAATATGTTATACCAGATTAACATGCAACTTAAAAAGAGGTTAATGTACATATTAAGCATGGAAATTCACCAGTAAAACCTTATTTGTCATTTTACCCCAACTACCTTGACATTATTCTTCCATTTCATAATCAACAAGGTTCTACTTGTGGTCAACTGTAGAACGCCTTGCATTCCTGGAGCTTGACATTTCAGTCAATTATGGACACAAGAACATTGTTACAAGTATAATGAAAAAACACATCTACAAAACAGCTGACTGCACTGCTTTCAAAGGAAAGATCCCCAGTCCAACCTGCCCACTCCCTCCCTTTTCTCAGCACAAACATAAATATCCCCCAGTCATTTATGAATCTGTGTTGTCAAAAAGGTCCTGAAGCATTATTTCCCTAGACACCTAACACATCAGCACTGACCAAATAAAAACCACCCAAGCACTCTAAAATTCTCACTTTTTCAAACATTCCTTGTGTGTAAAATTTTCTTAGCACACAGAGAAACACAAGTTCACAAAATGATAAAAAGATGAGACAAAATTTCTGCCTCTCCTTGAATGCAAATCTTGAGTCAAAACCTATTGTTTTGGAAATTCAAATACAAGAAACCTAAGGTTTTCTTATTTGCTTGTCAGTATGCATAGAGTCCAATGGATGGGGAGGGGACGGGGGAAGGTGTTACACAAAGAGACTAGGTGGAACCCATTTTTATCTAGGCTTCTCTAGGACAATATGATAAACAAGAAAGATTAATATCTACAAGAAGAATTTGTCATTTAAAATCAATAAGTAAAATGTATTTTAAGTGCAAATTAAAATGGTTAGTATACATTTCACTCATCTCTAGCAACCAAGAGAGCCCTCATTAGACATAGCTGCCTCCTCAATGATGTATCTTGGACATTAGCCTAAAAAAAATCTTTAAAAGTGCTTTGCAGGTATCACCTCATCTCATGGAAACATAGAGGGATGTAAGAAAAGGCTACTCCAATCTAAAGGACTATTTTCAAGCAAAAATAGAGGAATTCTGTGTATCATCAATGAAAGAAGTTTAGGGGAAGGGTATAGTACATATTACAATAATTTAAAATCATATGCACATTTCACTTTCCATGCACGATGATTTTAACACGAAACAATGTAATTATACATCACTGAAAATACAATCAAGCTTTGCCCCACTCTACAGTCTGTTAACAGAAACCCTGGAGAATATATGATAAATGTATTCAGATTCTATTAGTTTGATTTGTAAGCAGAATCTAACAAAGAGGAGGAATTTGGGCACATATACACATGCACAAATGAAATGGCTCAACATCTAAATGATATGACACAAAATTACCACTAACTATGAGAATCAAGAGGCTACTCTTATGCAAGCAACAAACTTTTACTTATGATTTCAAGCATACAGTTTAATTTTCTGTTAAAACTGTTTTAAAAAAACAGTAGTAGGGTTCAGTTTTCTAGTCTCGGCATGAACTAATGCCAGGGACATATTTGTATTAGAAAAGAGACAAAATGGTGTGACTCATGCTTCATTACATCATGGTTTGTTGAGGATTAGGTGGATATCTTCAATTTCAAGACTTTTTATTCAGGCCAGGTGCAGTAGCTCACACCTGTAATCCCAGCACTTTGGGAGGCCGAGGTGGGAGGATTACGAAGTCAGGAGATTGAGACCATCCTGGCTAACATGGTGAAACCCCGTGTCTACTAAAAATACAAAAAATTAGCCGGGCGTGGTGGCAGGCGCCTGCAGTCCCAGCTACTTGGGAGGCTGAGGCAGGACAATGGCGTGAACCCAGGAGGCAGAGGTTGCAGTGAGCTGAGATTGCGCCACTTCACTCCAGCCTGGGCGACAAAGTGAGACTCTGTCTAAAAAACAACAACAACAACAACAAAAAAGACTTTTTATTCAAATAAAGCACAAATTGTGACAGAAACCCTCTAGGCTGTGTCATCAGTTAAGACAAGCCATACAATACCATAGAAAATACATATAATTTATTAGATGGGCTTAAAATCAACAAATCCATTTTTAGGCACTTCTTGAGTACAGATTTGGGAATTTTCTACCAAAGAATGGGATATCTACTAAAGTTTACATCTTTATGCTGTTGCCTCCCAGCTAATTTTTTATGTTTTTAGTAGAGATGGGGTTTCCCCATGTTGACGAGACTGGTCTCAAACTCCTGATCTCTAGCAATCTACCCATCTCGGCCTCCCTAAGTACTGGGATTACAGGTATGAGCCACTGCACCCTACCTCATTGTGTTTTTAATTTGCATTCCCCTGGTGATGAGTGATGTTGAACATTTTTTTCATATATTTATTGGCCATTTGTATATCTTCTTTTGAAAAATGTCTGTTCATGTCATTTGCCCACTTCTTAATGGGATTATTCTTTTTTTTTCTTGCTGATTTATTTGAGTACCTTGTAGATTCTGGATGTTAGTTGTTTGTCAGATGCATAGTTTGGGAATAATTGTTCCCATTCTGCAGGTAGTTTATTTACTCTGTTGATTATTTCTTTTGCTGTGGAGGAGCTTTTTAGTTTGATTAAGAACTAGTTCTTTATTTTTGTTTGTCTTGCATTTGCCTTTAGGGTCTAACTCATTAATTCTTTGCCTAAGCCAATGTCCAGAAGAGTTTTTCCTAGGTTTTTTTTCTACAAATTTTGTGGTTTCACATCTTAAATGTAAGTCTTTAATCCATCTGGAGTTAATTTTTCTATATGGTGAGAGACAGGGATCCAGTTTTATTCTTCTAAGACAGTAGATCTTAAATATTCTCACCACACACACACACATACACACACCACATACGGTAACAAAATGAGGTGATCGATATGTTAATTATGGTACTCATTTAATCGTATATGGATATATCAAAATATTACATTTTATGACTTAAATCTATACAATTTAATTTGTCAATTATACTTTAATAAAGCTGAGGAAAAAAGAATGATAATGATTTATATTAAGAATTTGTTATTTATCAGTGTGAAACTATGTGCAAGGCATAAAAGACATTATTGTCTGTACACTAAGATTCCTGGGAAATTTGGTCAAGTCTCCAGAAAGAAAGATATGTTCCTGTTGGAGAGGTCACAATGGAGAGGGCAATGACCTTCGTACCAGGACAATTGGTTAACTGGAAGGACAAGTATTTCCTTGCCTAGAGAATGCTGGACTTTTCTGGGATATTTTTACCCCAGAAAATTTCAATAGGTTTTTGAGGATCAGGTGGTGTTTGGTTACATAAATAAATTCTTTAGTGGTGATTTCTGAGATTTTGGTGCACCCATTATCTGAGCAGTATACACTGTACCCAGTATGTAGTCTTTTATCCCTTACTCCCCTCCTACCCTTTCCTCAAGTCCCCAAGTTTATCATTTGTTTGCCTTTGCATCCTCACAACTTAGCTCCCACTTTTTAGTGAGAACATATGATTTTTGGTTTTCCATTCCTGAGTTACTTAGAATAATGGTCTCCAATTCCATCCAGGTTGCTCCAAATGCCATTATTTCACTCCTTTTTATGGATGAGTAGTATTCCATGGTATGTATATATACCACATTTTCTTTATGTACTTGATGACTGATAGGCGTTTGGGCTGGTTCTATATTTTGCAATTGCAAATTTTGCTGCTATAAACATGTGTGTGCAGGTATCTTTTTTGTATAATGACCCCTTTTCCTCTGGGTAGATACCCAGGAGTAGGATTGGGAAAAGTAGATGAAATGGTAGATCTACTTTTAGTTATTTAAGGAACCTCCACACTGTTTTCCATAGTGGTTATACTAGTTTACATTCCCACCTACAGTGTAAAATTGTTCCTTTTTCACCACATCCATGCCTACATCTATTATTTTTAAATTTTTTTA
Source organism: Homo sapiens (assembly GCF_000001405.40). Taxonomy (NCBI): domain Eukaryota; kingdom Metazoa; phylum Chordata; class Mammalia; order Primates; family Hominidae; genus Homo; species Homo sapiens. Next base: position 90,493,565 of record NC_000008.11, on the reverse strand, counting down.
TTATGGCCATTCTTGCAGGAGTAAGGTAGTATTGCAATGTGGTTTTGATTTGGATTTCCCTGATAATTAGTGATGTTGAGCATTTTTTTCAGGTTTGCTAGCAATCTGTGTATCTTCTTTTGAGAACTGTCATTCATGTCCTTAGCCCACTTTTTGACAGGATTGTTTGTTTTTATCTTGCTAATTTGTTTGTGTTCCTTGTAGATTCTGGATATTCGTCCTTTGTTGGATGTGTAGATTGTGAAGATCTTATCCCACTCGGTGGTTGTCTGTTTACTCTGCTGATTATTTCTTTGGCTGTACAAAAGCTTTTAAGTTTAATCAGGTTCCATCTATTTATCTTTGTTTTTGTTGCATTTGCTTTTGGATTCTTGGTCATGAAGTCTTTGCCTAAGCCAATGTCTAGAAGGGTTTTTCCAATGTTATTTTCTAGAATTGTTATGGTTTCATGTCTTAGATTTAATTTTTTGATCCATCTTGAGTTTATTTTTGAATAAGGTGAGAGATGAGGATCCAGTTAAATTCTTTTACATGTGGCTTGCCTATTATCCCAGCACCATTTGTTGAATAGGGTGTCCTTTCCCCACTTTATGTTTCTGTTTGCTTTGTCGAAGAACAGTTTACTATAAGTATTTGGCTTTACTTCTGGGTTCTCTATTCTGTTTCGTTGGTCTATATGCCTGTTTTTATACCAATACCGTGCTGTTTTGGTCACTACGGCCTTGTAGAATAGTTTAAAGTAGGGTAATATAACGCCTCCAGATTTGTTCTTTTTGCTTAGGCTTACTTTGGCTATGCAGGAACTTTTTTGGTTTCATATGAATTTTAGGATTTTTTTTTCTAGTTTTGTGAACAATGATGGTGGTATTTTGATGGGAATTGCATTGAATTTGTAGACTGCTTTTGAAAGTATGGTCATTTTCACAATATTCATCCTCCCCATCTCTGAGCATGGGATGTGTTTTCATTTGTGTCATCTATGATTTATTTCAGCAGTGTTTTGTAGTTTTCCTTGTAGAAGTCATTCACCTCCCTGGTTAGGTCTATTTCTAAGTTTTGTTTTGGTTTGGTTTGGTTTTCTGCAGCTATTGTAAAACGGATTGAGTTCTTGATTTGATTCTCAGCTTGGTCACTGTTGGTGTATAGCAGGGCTACTGATTTGTGTACATTAATTTTGTATCCTGAAACTTTGCTGAATCATTTATCAGTTCTAGGAGCTTTTTGAATGACTCTTTAGGGTTTTCTAGTTATACAATTATATCATTAGCAAATGGCAACAGTTTGAATTCCTCTTTACAGATCTGGATGCTCTTGATTTCTTTCTCTTGTCCAATTGCTCTGGCTAGGACTTCTAGTACTGTGTTGCATAGAAGTGATGAAAGTGGGCATCTTTGGCTCTGTTCCAAGATGGCTGAATAGGAAAAGCTCTGGTCTGCAGCTCGCAGCGTGATCAACACAGAAGATGGGTGATTTCTGCATTTGCAACTGAGGTACCTGGTTCATTTCACTGGGACTGGTTGGACAGTGGGTGCAGCCCATGGAGGGTGAGTTGAAGCAGGGCAGGGTGTTGCCTTACCCAGGAAGTGCAAGGGATCAGGGATTTCCTTTTCCTAGCCAAGGGAAGCTGTAACAGACTGTACCTGGAAAAATGGGACACTTCTGCCAAACACTGTGCTTTTCCCAAGGTCTTAGCAACTGACAGACAAGGAGATTCTCTCCTGTGCCTGGCTTAGCAGGTCCCACGCCCACGGATCCTTGCTCACTGCTAGCAGAGCAGTCTGAGATCGAACTTCGAGGTGGCAGCCTGGCTGGGGGAGGGCCATCCACCATTGCTGAGGCTTGAGTAGGTAAACAAAGTGGCCAGGAAGCTCGAACATGGCGGAGCTCACTGCAGCTCAGCAAGGCCTACTGCCTATATAGACTCCACCTCTGTGGGCAGAGCATAGACGAACAAAAGGCAGCAGACAACTTCTGCAGACTTAAACGTCCCTGTCTGACAGCTCCAAAGAGAGCTGTGGTTCTCCTAGCGTGGTGTTTGAGCTCTGAGAACAGACAGACTGCCTACTCAAGTGAGTCCCTGAACCCTGAGTAGCCTAACTGGGAGGCACCCCCCAGTAGGGGCAGACTGACACCTCACATGGCCAGGTACCCCTCTGAGACAAAGCTGCCAGAGGAAGGATCAGGAAGCAATATTTGATGTTCTGCAATATTTGCTGTTCTGCAGCCTCTGCTGGTGATACCCAAGCAAACAGGATCTGGAGTGGACCTCCAGCAAACTCCAACAGACCTGCAGCTGAGGGACCTGACTGTTAGAATGAAAACTAACAAACAGAAAGGAATAGCATCAACATCAACCAAAAGGACATCTACGCCAAAACACCATCTGTAGGTCACCATCATCAAAGATCAAAGTTAGATAAAAACCACAAAGATGGGGAGAAACCAGAACAGAAAAGCTGAAAATTCTCAAAACCAGAGCACCTCTTCTCCTCCAAAGGATCACAGCTCCTTGCCAGCAATGGAACAAAACTGGATGGAGAATGACATTAATGAGTTGACAGAAGTAAGCTTCAGAAGGTTGGTAATAACAAACTTCTCTGAGCTAAAGGAGCGTGTTCGAACTCATTGCAAGGGAGCTACAAACCTTGAAAAAAGGTTAGATGAATGGCTAACTAGAATAAACAGTGTAGAGAAGACCTTAAATGACCTGATGGAGCTGAAAACCATGGCATGAGAACTTCGTGACACATGCACAAGCTTCAATAGCCGATTCGATCAAGTGGAAGAAAGGGTATCAGTGATTGAAGATCAAATTAATGAAATAAAGTGAGAAGACAAGTTTAGAGAAAAGAGTAAAAAGAAATGAACAAAGCCTCCAAGAAATATGGGACTATGTGAAAAAACCAAATCTACGTTTGATTGGTTTACTGAAAGTGATGAGGAGAATGGAAACAAATTGGAAAACACTCTGCAGGACATTATCCAGGAGAACTTCCCCAACCTAGCAAGACAGGCCAACATTCAAATTCAGGAAATACAGAGAACACCACAAAGATACTCCTCAAGAAGAGCAACCCTAAGACACATAATTGTCAGATTCATCAAAGTTGAAATGAAGGAAAAATGGTAAGGGCAGCCAGAGAGTAAGGTCAGGTTACCCACAAAGGGAAGCCCATAAGACTAACAATGGATCTCTCAGCAGAAACCCTAGAAGCCAAAAGAGAGTGGGGGCCAATATTCAACATTCTTAAAGAAAAGAATTTTCAACCCAGAATTTCATATCCAGCCAAACTAAGCTTCATAAGTGAAGGAGAAACAAAATCCTTTACAGACAAGCAAATGCTGAGAGATTTTGTCACCACCAGGTCTGCCTTACAAGAGCTCCTGAAGGAAGCACTAAACATGGAAAGAAACAGCCAGTACCAGCCACTTCAAAAAATGCCAAATTGTAAAAATCGTCGATGCTATGAAGAAACTGCATCAATTAATGGGCAAAATAACCAGCTAACATCATAATGACAGGACCAGATTGACACATAACAATATTAACCTTAAATGTAAATGGGCTAAATGGCCCAATTAAAAGACACAGACTGGCAAATTGGATGAACAGTCAAGACCCATCAGTGTGCTGTATTGAGGAGAACCATCTCATGTGCAGAGACACACATGGGCTCAAAATAAAGGGATGAAGGAAGATCTACCAAGCAAATGGAAAACAAAAAAAAGCAGGGGTTGCAATCCTAGTCTTTGGTAAAACAGACTTTTAAACCAACAAAGATCAAAAGAGACAAAGAAGGCCATTACATAATGGTAAAGGGATCAATTCAACAAGAAGAGCTAACTATCCTAAATATATATGCACCCATTACAGGAGCACCCAGATTCATAAAGCAACTCCTTAGAGACCTACAAAGCGACTTAGACACCCACACAATAATAATGGGAGATTTTAACACCCCACTGTCAATATTAGGTTTATCAATGAGACAAAAGGTTAGCAAAGATATCTAGGACTTGAACTCAGCTCTGCACCAAGCAGACCTAAGAGACATCTACAGAAATCTCCACCCTAAGTCAACAGAATATACATTGTTCTCGGCACCACATTGCACTTACTCTAAAATTGACCATATAATTGGAAGTAAAACACTCCTCAGCAAATATAAAAGAACAGAAATCACAACAAATTGTCTCTCAGACCACAGTGCAATCAAATTAGAACTCAGGATTAAGAAACTTACTCAAAACCACACAACTACATGGGAACTGAACAATCTGCTCCTGAATGACTACTGGGTAAATAACGAAATGAAGTCAGAAATAAAGATGTTCTTTGAAACTAATGAGAACAAAGACACAACATAGCACAATCTCTGGGACACATTCAAAGCAGTGTGTAGAGGAAAATTTATAGCACTAAATGCCCACAAGAGAAAGCAGGAGAGATCTAAAATCCACACCCTAACATCACAGTTAAAAGAACTAGAGAAGCAAAAGCAAACAAATTCAAAAGCTAGCAGAAGGCAAGAAATAACTAAGATCAGAGCAGAACTGAAAGAGATAGAGACACAAAAAACACTTCAAAAAAATCAGTGAATCCAGGAGCTGTTTTTTTGAAAAGATCAACAAAATTGATAGACCACTAGCAAGACTAATAAAGAAGAAAAGAGAGAAGAATCAAACAGATGCAATAAAAAATAATAAAGGGGATATCACCACTGATCCCACAGAAATATAAACTACCATCAGAGAATACTATAAACACCTCTATGCAAATAAACTAGAAAATCTAGAAGAAATGGATAAATTCCTGGTCACATATACCCTCCCAAGACTAAACCAGGAAGAAGCTGAATCTCTGAGTAGACCAATAACAGGCTCTGAAATTTAGGCAGCAATTAATAGCCTACCAACCAAAACAAGTCCAGGACCAGAAGCATTCACAGCTGAATTCTACCAGAGGTACAAAGAGGAGCTCGTACTATTCCTTCTGAAACTATTCCAATCCATAGAAAAAGAAGGAATCCTCCCTAACTCATTTTATGAGGCCAGCATCATCCTGATACCAAAGCCTGACAGAGACACAACAAAAAAAAGATAATTTTAGACCAATATCTCTGAGGAACATCGATGCAAAAATCCTCAATAAAATACTGGCAAACTGAATCCAGAGCACATCAAAAAGCTTATCCACCAAGATCAAGTCGACTTCATCTTTGGGATGCAAAGCTGTTTCAACTTAACACAAATCAAAAAACATAATCCATCACATAAACAGAACCAATGACAAAAACCACATGATTATCTCAATAGATGCAGAAAAGGCCTTTGATAAAATTCAACAGCCCTTCATGCTAAAAACTCTCAATAAACTAGGTATTCATGGAACTTATCTCAAAATAATAAGAGCTATTCATGACAAACCCACAGCCAATATCATACTGAATGGGTACAAGCAGGAAGCACTCCCTTTGAAAACTGGCACAAGGCAACGATGCCCTCTTTCACCACTCCTATTCAACATAGTGTTGGAAGTTCTGGCCTGGACAATCAGGCAAGAGAAAGAAATAAACGGTATTCAATTAGGAAAAGAGGAAGTCAAATTGTCCCTGTTTGCAGATGACATGATTGTATATTAAGAAAACCCCATTGTCTCAGCCCAAAATCTCCTTAAGCTGATAAGCAACTTCAGCAAAGTCTCAGGATACAAAATCAATGTGCAAAATTCACAAGTATTCCTATACACCAGTAACAGACAAACAAAGAGCCAAATCATGAGTGAACTCCCATTTACAATTGCTACAAAGAGAATAAAATACCTAGGAATGCAACTTACAAGGGATGGGAAGGACCTCTTCAAGGAGAGCTACAAACTACTGCTCAACGAAATAAAAGAGGACACAAACAAATGGAAGAACATTCCATGCTAATGGATAGGAAGAATCAATATCATGAAAATGGTCATACTGCTCAAGGTAATTTATAGATTTAATGCCATCCCCATCAAGCTACCAATGACTTTCTTCACAGAATTGGAAAAAACTACTTTAAAGTTCATATGGAACCAAAAAAGAGCCTGCATTGCCAAGACAATCCTAAGCAAAAAGAACAAAGCTGGATGCATCATGCTACCTGACTTCAAACTATACTACAAGGCTACAGTAACCAAAACAGCATGGTACTGGTACCAAAACAGATATGTAGACCAATGGAACAGATCAGTGGTCCCAGAAATAACACCACACATCTACAACCATCTGATCTTTCACAAACCTGACAAAAACAAGAAATGGGAAAAGGAATCCCTATTTAATCAATGGTGCTGGGAAAACTGGCTAGCCATATGTAGAAAGCTGAATCTGGATCCCTTCCTTATACCTTATACAAAAATTAATTCAAGATGGTATTAGACCTAAATTAAATATTAGACCTAAATTAAATGGTATGGTATTAGATAGTATTAGACCTAAATTAAATATTAGACCTAAAACCATAAAAACTCTAGAAGAAAACATAGACAATACCATTCAGGACATAGGCATGGGCAAGGACTTCATGACTAAAATACCAAAAGCAATGGCAACAAAAGCCAAAATAGACAAATGGGATCTAATTAAACTAAAGAGCTACTGCACAGCAAAAGAACCTACCATCAGAGTGAACTGGCAACCTAAAAAATGGGAGAAAATTTTTGCAATCTACCCATCTGACAAAGGGCTAATATCCAGAATCTACAAAGAGCTCAAACAAATTTACAAGAAAAAAATAACCCCATCAAAAAGTGGGCAAAGGACATGAACAGACACTTCTCAAAAGAAGACATTTGTACAGCCAACAGACACGTGAAAAAATGCTCATTACTGGTCATCAGAGAAATGCAAATCAAAACCACTATGAGATACCATCTCACACCAGTTAGATTGACAATCATTAAAAAGTCAGGAAACAACAGATGCTGGAGAGGATGTGGAGAAATAGGAACACTTTTACGCTGTTGGTGGGAGTGTAAATTAGTTCAACCATTGTGGAAGACAGTGTGGCAATTCCTCAAGGATCTAGAACTAGAAATACTACTTGACTCAGCAATCCCATTACTGGGTATATACCCAAGGATTATAAATCATGCTACTATAAAGACACATGCACACGTATGTTTATTGCAGCCCTATTCACGATAGCAAAGACTTGGAACCAACCCAAATGTCCATCAGTGATAGACCGGATTAAGAAAATGTGGCACATATAACACCATGGAATACTATGCAGCCATAAAAAAGGATGCGTTCATCTCCTTTGCAGGGACATGGATGAAGCTGGGAACCATCATTCTCAGCAAACTATCATAAGGACTGAAAACCAAACACCGCATGTTCTCCCTTATACGTGGGAATTGAACAATGAGAATCCTTGACACAGGGCGAGGAACATCACACACCAGGGCCTGTTGGGGGGTGGGGAGCTGGGGGAGGGATAGCATTAGGATAGATACCTAATGTAAGTGACCAGTTGCTAGGTGCAGCAAACCAACATGGCACATGTATACCTATGTATCAAACTTGCATGTTGTGTACATGTACCCTAAAACTTAAAGTATGATAATAATAATAATAAAGAAAGTGGGCATCTTTGTCTTGTTACAGTTCTCAAGGGGAATGCTTTCATCTTTTCCCCGTTTAGTATAATGTTGGCTGTGGGTTTGTTATAGATGGCATTTATTACCTTAAGTTATGTCCTTTCTATGCTGATTCTGCTGATGGTTTTAATCATAGAAGGATGCTGGATTTTGTCAAATGCTTTTTCTGCATCTATTAAGATGATCATCTGATTTTTGTTTTTAATTCTGTTTATGTGGTGTATCTTATTGACTTGCATATGTTAAACCATCCCTGCATCCCTGGTTTGAAACGTACTTGATCATGATGGATTATCTTTTTGATATGCTGTTCAATTCACTTAGCTAGTAATTTGTTGAGGATTTTTGCACCTATGTTCACCAGGGATATTTGTCTGTAGTTTTCTTTTTCTCTTATGTCCTTTCCCGGTTTTGGTGTTAGGGTGATACTGGTTTCATCAAATAATTTAGGGAGGAATCCCTCTTTCTATATCTTTTGGAAGAGTGGCAATAGGATTGGTACCAATTCTTCTCTGGATGTCTGATGGAATTTAGCTGTGAATCCGTCTGGTCCTGGACTATTTTCTGTTGGTAACTTTTTAATTACCATTTCAATCTCACTGCTTGTTATTGGTCTGTTCAGAGTGTCTATTTCTTCCTGGCTTAATTTAGGAGAGTTGTGCATTTCCAGGAATTTATCCATCTCCTCTAGGTTTTCTAGTTTATGCACATAAAGCTGTTCATAGTAGCTTTGAATGATCTTTGGTATTTCTGTGGTAGCAGCTGTAATATCTCCCTTTTTTTTCTAATTGAGCTTATTTGGATCTTCTCTCTTCTTTTCTTGGTTAATTTAGCTAGTGGTCTATCAGTTTTATTTATCTTTTCCAAGGACCAGCTTTTTTGTTTCATTTATCTTTTGTATTTGTTTTTGTTTCAATTTCATTTAGTTCTGCTCTGATCTTGGTTATTTCTTTTCTTCTGCTGTGCTTGGGTTTGGTTTGTTCTTGTTTCTCTAGTTCCTTGAGGTGTGACATTAGATTGTCTATTTGTGATCTTTCAGACTTTTTGATGTAGGCATGAAATATGCTATGAACTTTCCTCTTAGCACTGCCTTGCTGTATCCCAGAGGTTTTGATAAGTTGTGTCACTATTATCATTCAGCTCAAAGAATTTTTTAATTTTCATCTTGATTTCATTGTTGACCCAGTGATCATTCAGGAGCAGGTTATTTAATTTCCATGTATTTGCTTGGTTTTGAGGGTGCCTTTTGGAGTTGATTTCCAATTTTATTCCACTGAGGTCTGAGAGTACTTGCTATAATTTCGATTTTCTTAAATTTGTTGAGACTTGTTTTGTAGCCTATAACATGGTCTATCTTGGAAAATGTTTCATGTGCTGTTGAATAGAACGCATATTCTGCAGTCGTTGGGTAGAATGTTCTGTTTATATCTGTTAAGTCCATTTGTTGTAGGGTGTAATTTAAGTCCATTGTTTTCTTGTTGACTTTTTCTCTCTTGATGACCTGTCTAGTGCTGTCAGTGGAGTATTGAAGTTCCCCACTATTATTGTGTTGCTGTCTATCTCATTTCTTAGGTCTAGTAGTAATTTTTTTATAAATTTGTGAGCTCCAGTGTTAGGTACATCTGTATTTAGAATTGTGATATTTTCCTGTTGGATGAGTTCTTTTATCATTATATAATATTCCTCTTTGTCTTTTTAAACTGCTTTTGCCTTAAAGTTTGTTTTATCTGATATAAGAATAGCGACTCCTGCCTGCTTTTGGTGTCCATTCGCATGAAATATCTTTTCCACCACTTTACCTTAAGTTTATGTGAGTCCTTATGTATTAAGTGAGTCTCTTGAAGACAGCATATACTTGGTTGGTTAATTCTTATCCATTCTGCCATTCTGTATCTTTTAAGTGGAACATGCAGACCATTTATATTCAATGTTAGTATTGAGATGTGAGGTACTATTATTCTATTAATCATACTATTTGTTGCCTGACTACCTTGGCTTTTTTTCATTGTGTTGTTGTTTTATAGGGCCTGTGAGATTTACGCTCTAGGGAGATTCTATTTTGTTGTATTTCAAAGCTTTGTTTTAAGATTTATAGTTCCTTTCAGCAGTACTTGTGGTGCTGGCTTGGTAGTGGCAAATTCTCTCAGCATTTGTTGGTCAGAAAAAGACTGTCTTTCCTTCATTTATGAAGCCTAGTTTTTCCAGATCCAAAATTCTTGGCTGATAATTGTAAATCAAAAACACAATGAGATATCATCTCATGCCAGTTAGAATGGTGATCGTTAAAAAGTCAGGTAACAACCGATGCTGGAGAGGATGTAGAGAAATAGGAACACTTTTACACTGTTGGTGGCAGTGTAAATTAGTTCAACCAATGTGGAAGACAATGTGGCAATTCCTCAAGGATCTAGAACCAGAAATACCATTTGACCCGGCAATCCCATTACTGGGTATATACCCAAAGGATTATAAATCATTCTACTATAAAGACACATGCACACGTATGTTTATTGCAGCACTGTTCACAATAATAAAGACTTGGAACCAACCGAAATGCCCATCAGTGATAGACTGGATTAAGAAAATGTGGCACATATACACCATGGAATACTATGCAGCCATAAAAAATGATTTCATGTCTTTTGCAGCAAACTAACACAGGAACATTAAACATGAGTTCTTGTCTCAGCAAACTAACACAGGAACATTAAACCGAACACTGCGTGTTCTCACTCACAAGTGGGAGTTGAACAATGAGATCACATGGACACAGGGAGGGGAAGATCACACACTGGGGCCTTTTAGGGGATGGGGGGCTGGGGGATGGTTAGCATTAGGAGAAATACCTAATGTAGATGACAGGTTGATTAGATGGTATCTTATTGTGGTTTTGATTAGCATTTATCTGATAGTTAGTGATGGTGAGCATTTTTTCATATGTTTGTTGGCCACTTGTATGTCTTCTTTTGAGATGTGTCAGTTCATGCCCTTTGCTTTTTTTCTTTCTTTCTTTTTTTCTTTTCTTTTCCTTTTTTTTTTTTGAGACAGGTTCTCATCACTCTGTCACCCAGCCTGGAGTGTAGTGGCACAATCATGGCTCACTGCAGCCTTAATCACCCTGGGCTCAGATGATTCTCCCACCCAAGCCTCCTGAGTAGCTGAGTCTACAGGTGCACACCACCATGTCTGGCAATTTTTAAAATTTTTTTGTAGAGATGAGGTTTTGCCATGTTGAACAGGCTGTTCTTGAACTCCTGGGTTGAAGCGATCCACCTCTGTTAGCCTCCCAAAGTGCGGAGATTACAGGTGTAAGCCACTGTACCTGGCTTCTTTGACTACTTTTTAATGGGGTTATTTGTTTTTTTCTCTCATTGATTTAAGTTCATTATAGATTCTAGATATTAGACAATTCTTGAATACCTAGTTTGTGAATATTTTCTCCCATTCTGTAGGTTGTCTGTTTATTCTGTTGATAGTTTCTTTTGTTGCGCAGATCTTTAGTTTAATTAGGTCACACTTGTCAATTTTTGTTTGTATTGCGATTACTTTTGAGGACTTAGTAATAAATTCGTTGCCAAGGCTGATGTCTAGAAGGTTATTTCCTAGGTTTTTTTCTAGAATTTTTATAGTTGGAGGCCTTACATTTAAGTCTTGAATCCATCTTGAGTTAATTTTTGTATATGATGACAATTAGTTGTCCAGTTTCATTCTTTACATATGAATACTTATGCTCTAATATTTAACAGTAGCTTTAAGTGACAAGGATTTTGCATAATATTTGTATTACTAGTGTAGGGAAGTTAGAACACTTTGTCTTGAATCAGAAAATTAAAATATTATATATATATATATATATATATTCTTTCTTGAGCGTATGGGCAGGATGTTACCTTGAAATTTAAAAATATTGTTTTCTGTTTGGAAAAAATTATCATAAAGATATATTACAATGTAATTGTATTTATGTTATGCTTTTTTATTACTAATTTACATATAGGAGAAAACTGAGCTGTAAAAAATAATTTTAAATCTTTGTGAAATTATTCTAATAGTTAAGCAAGGAAGAAATCCAGGGAAGTGAGTGGCTGTTATTTTGATAGAGATAAAAAAATAGCGGCTACCATTTATTGAGCCCTTTGATTGTTCCATGTCTCAAATAAGTAATTCATATGCTTTCATTTAATCCACACATTCATTCAACAAATATTTATTATGTGCTTACAATGCTGCAGATATTGTTCTAAATGCTGGAGATACGGCAGTAAACCAAAAAAGTGGTGGGGGTTGAGCAGACGTGGGGTCTCTGGTCTTGCTCCATTATTCTATCCTCCACAGAGGGTTCCTTCTAAACATTAAATCAGATGGTCTCTCTTTGCACAAATGCCTCTACTGGCTTCTTGTCTCATTCAGAGTAAAGCTTTCCTGACAATAGTGCTAAAGGTTCTGGAGGATCTTTAGTCTCCCTGTCCTACCCCATTTTCTACCACTCTCTCTTTTGCCTGGCCCACTTCTGCCATCATAACCACCTTGCTTTCCTTTGAATATGTCAAGAATATTCTTGCTTCAAAATTTTTATACTTGCTACTTCCCTACCAGAAATGCTCTTTCACTGAAAGATTCTCAGTCAAGGTTTTGGGTCTCTCCTCCACTGTCAGTGTTTCAAAGAGCTTTTCCATGACCATCTTAAAAAACAGCAATACCCTACCCACACCAATTATTTACTATTTCCTTTAACTTTCTTTAATCCTCTCTATGACTCTTATCACCACCTGACATAAGATCTGTTTTTTGGCTGTGTTTTTGAGGTCTTACCTCAAAAAATCTTTGTTCACACCAATGTCCTGAAGTGTTTCCAGCATATTTTCTTTTAGTAGTTTCATAGTTTGAGGTCTTATATTTACATCTTTACATCAGTTTGATTTGATTTTTGTATGTGGTAAGAGATGGAGGTGTAGGTTCATTCTGCTGCATATGGATACTCAGTTTTTCCAGCACCATTTATTGATGAGACCAAAAGACATACAAATGGCCAACAGGTATATGAAAAAATGCTCAAAATCACTAACCAAGAGGGAAATGCAAATCAAAACCACAATAAGATATAATCTCACTCCAGTTACAATGGCTATTATTAAAAAAAACAAAAAAGTAACAATTGCTGGCAAGGATGCAGAGAAAGGGGAACTCTCCTATACTATTGGGGGAATGTAAACTAGTGCAGCCACTATGAAAAACAGGATGGAGTTTCCTCAAAAAATTAAAAATAGAACTACCATATGATCAGCAATCCCACTGCTGGATATATATGCAAAAGAAAGAAAAGCAGTATGAGATATGCTTGAGGAGATATTTGTACCCCCATATTTATCACAGCATAATCACAATAGCAAAGATATGGAATCAACCTAAATATCCAACAATGCATGAATGAATAAAGAAAATGTGGTATATATACACAAAAGGATATTATTCAGCCATACACAAGAATGAAATCCTGTCATTGGCAGCAAAATGGATGAGTCTGGAGGACAAAAGTGAAACAAGCCAGGCGCAGAAAGACAAATATCACATGTACTCTCTCACATGTGGGAGCTAGAAAGAGTTGGTCTCAAACAGATGGAGAGTGGAATGGTTGCCAGGAGCTAGAAAGGGTATGGGACAGGATGGGATGAAGAGAGCTTGGTAATGAGTGCAGAAAAATGGTTGGGGGACTATAGTTAACAATAATTTATTTTATATTTCAAAACAGCCATAAGAGAAGATTTGGAATTTCCCCAACACAAAGAAATGATAACTGTTTGAGGTGATGGATGTCCCAATTACTCTAATTTGATTATTACACATTGTATGCATGTGTCAAAATATCACACATACACCCTAAATATTTACAAATACTATGTATCAATTGAAAAGAGAAATGAAATATGGGAAAAAAGCAAGGCTTAGTAAATCAACCTCCAGAAAGACACACGGTAAATAAGTGGTGGAACTGTGAGTCACACTCAAAACCTATTTTATCTCCTGGAAAACCGTAAGGTTTATAAACTCCAAAAGGAATATCAACTCTAAGAGCCAAGGGGTCATTGACACTTCTATTATCAAAGGAGGGGAATTAAAAAATCCTTCTCACTAACATTACAAAGGAGAAAAGAAGACATGGACAATGATCCATAATTCTTAAGGTTCATGTATAAAGATATGTAGGATTTTGCCTTTTAAAAAGTACTTGTATTTTAAGTATTGTGCTCAACTCTTTTGCTTTTGGTGAGTACATAACTGGATACTTTAATATAAGAGGTCTAATTGTAAGGAGAAGAATAATTGAATGAAAAACATGTTACTCCATGCATTTCTATTAAGCTGATCTACAGTGGGTCTGGTTGTTTAGAATGGCAAGCCACAATCCAGATTTCAATATTCAGTTGGGAGTAGCTTAATCTAAGCTTTATTATGAGTCAATAGTTTCTTAAAAACTCAAAAGTAGAAAAGAATGGCACATGTCATAATGACTTACTTGGATTTTTTTTTTTTTACCCTAAAAAGGTTTCACTTTTGCTTTACAGACCTATTCAAAACAAAGGATCAATTATTTTAGTAGAAGATTAGCACTCTCAGAAAAGTTACTTCTCTTCAAACAAATTCTAGTTTGGGAATTATGGCATTTCATTGAGTTTCTTTTAGCCTTTGGAAGCTATGATTCTGTTGGGAGTTTGTTGGTTAGGACATAATGTCAGTGAGGACAATGTCATAGATTTTAAATTTCTCTAGACTAATGAAATTCATTCAGCCTCATAAATGGAGACTTCACATTTCTGCATTATTTAGGCTACAAACAAACCTGCTGCAACAGCTATTTGTTGACTTAAAATAGAAGTTTATTTTTCTTTCATAGATAGTTCAGAAGTGAGTGGTTCAAGGCCAGTACAGAGGATCTTTGAACCTTACCATGTGGCTTTTGGGTTTTCTTCAGTCATTGCAATTCTCTAGCCAGTGGGAAATGAGGAAATCAGGGTAAGCAGAAGTTGCACCTATCACCACTTATATCCTATTGGCTTAACTTTTTCATATATCCACTCTAAGCTGCAAGCAAGGTTGGAAAATGTGATGTCTAGCTTAGGCATCCATTTCCCAGCTAAAACTCAAGGAGGTCTACTATAGGAAAGAAAGACGAGAAAACAAATATTGGGGCATAATTCACAGTTTTTTGACACAACTTGTATTCAGAAAGTCATGCCACAAAAGCCATAGCATGAATGCCATCATTGATGAATTGATGGCAATTAATAAATGGATTGAAGCAGTATTGTCATTGGAGAGAAATTTCAAAGCTTATCCGTTATTCCAAGTCTGTAGTTTTAGCCTTATAAATGAAATACCATATGTTATTGCAATTCTAAAGTTACAAAGATTCCAGTGCCCCATTCCTCTAGCCATGTTAGCACTCGCCTAAAACAAGTCTTTAAGCTTTTTTGTATATACTACATATCTATTTTATTATTTATTTATTTATTTTAGATTCAAGGGATACATGTGCTTGTTTATTACATGGGTATTACATACATAATAGTGGGGTTTAAGCTTCTAGTGTACCTGTCATCTAAATATTGAACATTGTAGCCATACACTACACATTTAAATACTAGCATTTCAGTGGTGCATAAGAAGGAATATAGCACTCATAATAACACTGAACAAGTCAGCAATAATGGTGATGAAATCACTATTACAGAGTTACAGTGTCTTCCAGTGACTATAAAAGCTGCACAATAATGACAACAATTCCTTGGTTGACCCTTCAGCACTGTGTTATACTGAATCTAATTATTCCCTTCCTGAGCTGTTCTTCCTTATATGTTTCATTCTACCCTAGAGCTTATTTTGGCCCTGACTTGACATTTTGCTATGTCTCTTAACTCATAGTGAGCCTAATTCTACTGCTTGCAATATGCAGTGGAGTCAACACTTCACTTGATAGAATGCTACTGAAACAATAGGTAAGCTCAATTAAAGCAAAAATAAATGTTATATGTTGAATGAAATTTAATGGCAAGCACATAAAGTGTTCCTGGCACTCAGAGAGTATGTCTGCATGACATAAAAATGCCCAAGCTGCTCAGACCACTCTGAATGGCCAGCATGGAAAGGGTTTTTCAGTGGTGTTCCCTTAAATACTGGCATTCTTTTGGAAGAGCAGATATTTGCAACATTAACAAGTTGAATGTCTTGCTCTATAAGTTGACTTAGTGTGGAAGCATAAAAGGTCATACAGGAAAACAAGCATTTTATGGAGTGGACCTTTAAAGGTTAGTACTTTGTATATTTGGATTAAAGATACTATTAGTCCTTTTATCTCTCCCAAAAGGAAGAGACTTGGGGGTCTAATATAACCAGTGCACGTTAAGACAGAAGAAAGAAAAGCACCAAAGACCCAAGCAAAGGGAAGTGCTTTTGCACAGATCCCACTAAAAATTGGGAGATTGCTTTTATAAACTGCTTTCATAAACTTTCCATGTTAATTAGAAAACTAATTCAGGACTTACAATAATGAGACAATTGATTTTTTCATCATTCATTGGGAAATTGAAATTCTTTGTTGACTTGAAAACTATCAGAAGTTCTTGACTCTGGCAATAGCTGCCTGACATTGGACAAGGCACAGATATACAAAAGGCTTTACTTTCTCATTTAGAAACTGTTGTAAATGTCAAAAGAGCTGATGTACTTGAAAGTGCTTCACAGACTGTTAGGCATATGTAAGTATGAGCTAGCTGTAATGAAGATGAAGTTCCTACTGAAATGTATTTTACGTGAACATAGCATTCAGCTAAGTGCATCATACACAAATATACAGTAGGTAAAATTTGTCTTCAATCTCACACCCTTTTTAAAATATTATATTTTTCCTCTTTTCTGTAACCATTTCCCTTTAAGCATATGTTTAATGTCCCATTCTTGCTAACTTTTTAGCTTAAGGATGGGAACATTTGGTGTCTGTGGCTTACTTCTCCCTAGAAACCCGTCAGATGAAATGAGAGGTACTTACAAGGCATGTGTCACAAACTCTTAGGTGTATCTAGTGCAAAGTAGAAATAAAGGATAGATAATTTACAGTTCTCACAGACAATATTAACTGAACATCATTTTAATAGAGGCATCATTGCTTTACATTTGTGTGTACACATAAATATAAACATATGTAACGATATGTATAACTTTGAAAAGCAGGAAACAATTTGGCTTCTTAAATTAATTTTCAAATCTGGAGCACATATCAGCTAGAGGAGTGGCAGAGACAAACAGGACTGAAAGAAAAATAGGTCATTGATTATAAAAACTTATAATCTTCATCAAGTTTGTTACGTGATCATGGAATTTTCACTCTGAATTCAATATTACTGTTCCTGGATATAAAATTTTTATTCAGAATATATATCACTTAATTAAACAAATGTTATTCACCTGACTAGCATAGAAAACACTTGACAAGATATGATAGGAAATAAAATGTAAATAAAACTTGTATATTGACCATGAGATGTTCAGAGTCCACTGAGAGACAAAAGCATATAAAAATCCTCAATGAAAGAGAGGCTCTAATTCAAAGAAATGAATAAATAATGTGCTGTGAGGGGAAAAGAGTAATTTGAATGTCATATTAATTTATAAAATAATTAATGGAAACTGTAAGTCATGAATAGAACTAGGTCCTAAAAAGTTAACCTCCACTAATATCAAGAAACCAACACTTCACTAGATTTTACATGTTTATATATATATTTATATATAATATAATTATATAATGTATACATTTTTTAATCAAGGCACTGCAGTTACTACAAAGAAGGCATTATGAACTGATTCCAGCTCTACAGTAATTTAAAAGCTTCTTGGTGAAGTAATGTGAACAAAATAAAAGATTTGAATCACATTTCAAGACCATGAAGTTCCACAAGGCAGATTATTAATTGCTGAAAATATCCTTCAGATGCTAACTAAAGAAATGCTCACCTCAGCTGGGGACAGAAACGATGTATGGGAGAGGTGCAATTAAAGTTGGTACTGAACTTTGGGAGGGCTTTGCATAGTTAATCAGGAGGCAGGAGGTCATGGGCAGAAGGAAGCATGAGGAAAAACAAACAGGTGTGTAAATGCTAGGCCGGAAGTCCCATCCTCTGTGAAGGCTTCTCCAAGCCATTCTCACTTCTGGTCCATCTATGTCTTTTGCACATTCACATTTTGTTGTATGTATCACGTTGCAATGTAATTACTGATTAGACAGTTGTTTCCCCTACTTCACTGAGTATTCCCTGAAAACAGGAATTCTGATCTACCTTTGTATTTCTAGTCCCTCCATGGTCCCCGGCACATTGAAGACGCATTTAATAACTTAACCTTGAAATGAGCCAATAGAACTCTGTGGGAAAATTGAGATGACAAGTATGGAATAGCAAATTGGAATGAGTTTGAGAAAGACTTTAAAAACACAAATATAAAAATTTTGAACTTCGTACTACAGACAATCGATTTTATTTTGTTAAATTGAAAAGTGGCCTCAAAAATTATTTGTAAGCATATTCTCCCAGGCGTCACCAGCCTTTGATCAAAATGTGTACATTAACAGCTGATTTTTTAGTATATGGTCTCTACCATCACTTCTTCAGGAACTCCAGAACCACCCTCCAAGGCTAATTAATTGTGGAGGTCCCAGGGAGTAAACTGCATATGCTTAGCAACAAACTTGTTCATATTCTTTTCCTCTAGCCTTTTGTATAGGTTTGCTGCTCACAAAGTACTGGAGAGAAGCAACTCAAGAGCCTAAATTCCACAGGTTCCAACAGGTTCTTGCTTCCCTCTTTCTTATACAAGGGGCAGACCTGGTGGTTCAGACTCTCTAAGAAGTGAGCCCTCTCCATCTCTCCTGCTCACCCTAGATTTCTCTCCTTCAGCTATTATTCCACTTCAGGTATCCACTCATGCCTCAAGCATTATCTCTCTTTTTTGCAGTCAACCCCTGTCCTAAACAAAATCATCATTATACAGACATATTCCTAGTCAGAGAAATGGGTCATGGGTCTACAAGTTCCACACACCCACCTCCCAATTGGCTTATTTAAGAGATTCTACTAAGAAAGATTGATCTGACAGTAGTGTGCAGATGGAGGAAAGAAAAATAAACATGGAGGCAAGAGGATTCATTTCAAAGTTTATAATGTAGGAATAAGTTGATAATAAAGGTCTAATAGGACTGTGGTTGTCAAGATCACATGGGAGAAAAGATGAATGGGAAGAGTGTGTGGAGTGGCGAGTGATTGCAAATATGAGTAAGAAAGAAGTTGAATATGCTGTGAGCAAATAATATGGCCGTTCTCAGGAAACAGAGGAGGAAGGAGAGACCATTATTTTGATATTCAAGTGAATTGGGCTTGGGGTGCTGGCAACATTTCAAATGGACATACTCAGCAGGAAATTGGAAAACATTGGAGAGCATGTAGAATGAGTTGTTCGAATTGTTTAACAATGTTATAGATTTGTTTTGTTGTTCAGGAACATCTTGAGTATTCTTGGGATACCCGAGAGAGGGTACAAGGAGAGAAGCAGAAGGGCAGAATCACCTAAGTTCCACTACATTTCTAAAAGTACCCACATTTTACTAACTCGATGTCTTCACAATGCTTGATGTTATTCCGTAAGCATGACACAGGGTTTTTCCTTCCAGGACAAAGGTACCAGTGGATGAGAATAGTACCAGGCAATAAATAATTAAAATTGTTACTTAAATTTGCTTGTAAACTAAAAATATAATTATATATGGTATATCCTATTCTATGCATATTACAGATAAAGAATAATTCTGTCTCTTTATTTTTTCTTCAACTAAATACTTCTGATTCTTGAGGATTTGTGTCACAAATATAGCAAATATTAATGTTTCCTAAATCTACATACATAGAACCATCCCTTGTTCATATTCAAAGTCAGCAAAAGAAAATAATCTCTGAATTCTCAATGTCTAGCAAGGTGTCTGGCACAAATCAAGTGCTCAATAAATTTTTATTGACTGAGTGAATTAGAGAAAAAAATTGGTGTAATTCTTAAATGAGAAAATTTTTAAAGTATCCAAAAAGCTATAAAGAAAATTTAGCATACGGTGCTATTTAGAAAACATGGTGCAGTTTTTCACTTTGAAAAAAAAATTAAACATTGTACCTTCAAAATAGATTTTTAAGGCTTTTAAAAACCCAAATAGCTTATTTATTTCCAAAAATGAAATTGCAAACATCTGGAAGCAAGATGCAAACTCTTGCCCTTGGAGATTATTTCTTATTTTAAGATTTATCCTCCTGTGTTGCCATGACTACTGACCATGAACTGAAATTGCTGTGTAATACATTCTAACTCCCATAGTGATTATACTGAAACCAGTGGTAAGTTTCTAATAATTAGAGGAGACAACTTCAAAGGTGGACTTGACAGAATCTTCATACATTATGTTAAAATCTTCTCCAGGGTTTTGGGCTATTGGTTGTTTATTCAAATGTGGCATTAGTATGGACAGGGTAATTAAATATGGAGCAAGAATTTCTGCCAAATATAAATTCTTTTGTCACATTCTAATGTGTCAAGTCATGTCAAAAAGGAGAAAAAGAGACAACCCAATTCAATGTTAGTTGGATGTGCAAGAGAGTGGTTGTGTATTTGGTAAACAAATGCTCATCCTCTGAGAGCTCCTAAAATAGTAATTTCTACTCTGAGGCATATAAATTCTCAGTTGGAGAGAAAGAAATAATGTTTGGTGTTCCAGAAAATAAAATGAACCCACTTAGGCATACTGACACCTATAATACTTAATAATTTACTCTTTCATTAGCACTAGGGTGATTTACATTATTTTTATATAAGATTACCAAGCTTGTGAATCATGTAGGAGAAAGTTATTTGTGCTTTAATAGCATATGGTTTCACATAACTGCATTCTTCCTGAAGGCAGATAGATGGCTACCTTTAGCTAGTATATTTCAGACTGACCAGGAAAAGGGAAAGACAGAGTGAGATATTGTTGAGATCGTATCTCACAACTGCCCTAATCTATGGGCAAGAGTGATGTATTTGTTTTCCACTGGGGCTAAGAACCATGCATTTTCCAAAATCAGACGTATCTTTTGCTTCCAGAAATGTTGCATTCTCATCGCAGTATTTTAACCTAAAAGTAAGCACTAGGAGTATTATTCTAATTGTGCTTCTGCATTGAGTTAGATGATGGGTGCGCTATCAAGAACAGGAGGGAATAAGCCGCTTCCCTCATGCTGATGGTGCTTCCACAGTAGGAGTGGATGAGATAAATCGCAAAAGGAAAGAGAGAGAAGGAAGGAAGGGAGGGAGGGACGGAGGGAAGGAAAGAAGGAAGGAAGGAGGGAAGGAAAGAAGGAAGGAAGGAAGGAGTTGGGAGAAAGGAAGGATGGGAGAAAGGAAGGGAGGGAGGGTGGATGAGAAAACGAGTTGATAAGTGTCACGAAGGAAAGAAGACAGGATGCTGAGGTACAGAATGATGGGTGGCAGTGGAAGGTAGGAGAGACAGCTACTGTAGATAGGGAGGTCAGGAAAAGTCCATGTGAAGAAGTGACATTTCAGAGGGATCCAAAGGGCTTATATGCTATAGGCAGACTGTTGGAAGTGAAAGAATGAGAAGTTTGAAGTTTAAATCCTGCATCTTTTATTTAAACTCTTATTAATTCAATGAATATTACACCGGGTATCTGCTACCTGTAAGTCACTGTGTTGTGTGCAGGAGGGTCCCTCATAGGACAAAACAGACATGGCTCCTCATTTATGGCACTTACAGTGTCATAGGGAAGAGAGCTGTTAACCAAGGAGTTTCCACTGTGAGGTATGGCACTGTAAAGTTGACTACATCATTGTAGAATAAAGTGAATCACAGGAAGTGTGGAATACAAGATTCCAGAGAGATGAAACTGATGTTTTGTCAGCCTCAGGACACATAAGCTCCTCCGGGTCCCAGGAGATGTGAGAAGAGACCTTGAAAAGGACCTTGAAAAGGGCTTTTTGTGCATAGACTAGAGTTCTATTTAAGGAACCTAAAACAAAGGAGGAACAGAGCCCTCTTTTCCTCTTCTCACCTGCTCCCCAAATCTCTACTCTTTGCACCTCACATTTGATGTGTGTGTGTGTGTGTGTGTGTATGCGCACAGGAGCACCATACACACATCCTGGGAAGAGAAGCTTTTGGTTCACTCCTTTTGCAAACAAGTGTGAAGAGCACTGCACCTTGTCACCAGCTACATATAAAAGAGAAAATCTAAAGAAATAGAGCACAGGATACCCTACATGCACTCTGAACTTAACTGATTGACTTGCTCATCAGAATGAAAGCACTGTTCCCAAAACTGGAGTTAAATAAAATGTCCTTGTCCTTGACCTTGATCTTTCCTTATGGAATAAGTGAGTAGAAACGCATATGCTCTCCTGGCCAAAGACAACGATGATTGAACCTCTTTACTCAGATTATGACCAAAAGCAACACATACTGTCTATCCTCTGTGGATCGTGCTCTCCTGAGCACTGAATCATCCCTGTGGTGTTGTAGGCCTCCACACTCCCATGTCTCTGTCTTAGAAAAATAGCCTCTGAGGATCTCTGCTCAATGAGAAAATAAGAGAACTGAGATCTAAAAAATATTGCCACAGTTATATTGATTCTTTTATCAATGATTGACAAGAAATATTTTTGTTAAATTGAAATAGCTAATTCATAGGTTTCTATAAGTGATATATAATATCTCCCAGTCAATTTGAGTCAATATTTTATGATAAAATTAGAATCCTTATTTAGTTTGCAAGACCTAGGACATTATGGTCTGTAAGTCAAAACAGTGGTCTGTCTTCCTCAGGAAAAGTACAAACTAATAAGCTTAGTGATAATTAAAAATTTGCTTGAGCAAGGACTTTTTATTAATTTGAGTTCAGAAGCAGTCTATTACTAATACAGATTGGAGAAGCATAAAAGTATCATAAAATATGGCCTCCCCACCACTGTTCTCCAAGTTGTCTCTGAATGGAAAGGTATTTGGTGATATATAGATGACAAAACCAATCATATAACAATAAACCACAGCAAAGCTCTTACATATTAAAAACTAATAAATACAAGTAGATAAGACACTGTCAGTTTATGTAGTTCATAGTACTCAAGAATGCATTATTTTCACAAGAGCAGAAATTGAATCCTAGAAATGTAACCTTCGGAGGATAGTTTCATTCTAAGAAGAATCATCAACCTTCTAGGCTTCTAAGCTAAAGGAGGAAGAAAAATGATTTGGAGAATCCCATGTGACTTTCATCATATGATTGCTTTACTATCATATTTATTTCCTAATTTACTGTGCATTGGTAATTTACTGTGCATTGGTTAATGTTTGTTTCAAAATAAAGAGGTGGTATTGAGTTGAAATAGCCATTCCTATATAAACAAGTCCTTGGATGTAAAGAATTAAAAATTAAATTCATAGTTCATAAGCAAATAATTGAAAGATAAGAAATTACAGGCCATATAAAACCCTATCGAAAGATTATATGAAATACTAAGGCTTGAGAATTATTTTTTAAGAGTTTCACCATGTATAAAATAACTTATGTCAAGAATATTCTAATTCTGAAATTTAAATGTAATACATAAATGTACATGTAAATATAAATGAAACTTCAAAAAGAATAATTATTACAACTTTAAGAAAAAGTTAAAAAATTATTACTATGATAAATTGACAGTAGAGATTATAAAATTGTATCTGAGTCAAGTTATTCATCAATTGGAAGGATCATAGGTAAAGCTATCAAAAGTCATTGCCAATTTCTGAATACTGTTGTTACTATTTTATTTTTATGAAGATTTATTCCTATATTTGAATAAGGGTATGTAACATTTTGGAGTAGCCATCCTTTAAATATGACATTAACATTATAAAATCCAAATGGTATATTTACATTTCTTTCTACTAGATTCCTAATCTCCCTTTCCACTGGGAAGAGACTGCATTACTATTAAATCAGTGAAAAATTCTGGCCTAAAACAAAACTAACCTTTATTTCTAAACCTCTTTTTTCATACTTTTCTTAAATTAGAAACCATTACGTTGACTTAAAATCATGCTCTTGTAGCTAATGCCACGCTATTAAAAATCCTACCTTTATCAATAAAAAATGAATTAAGCAGAATAGATGAGAATACTGCAAATTATGGTAACTTGAGTTAACTCTATTAAAATGTATCTTATCAACTATTAAAAAGGTAAATACAAGTACAGAGCTAGTAGTTGGTCAAATATAGGAACAGCTTAAATGCTTAAAGAAAATACCTTAGAATGGTAAAGAGGAAGAATTTGAGCCTTTGACGTGTCAACCATTGCAACAAAGAAAGGAAGCTCAGTTTAGAAATGTAATAAATAGAAACTGAGTGATAGCCATTAGATACTAAATAGCCAGCATAAATTTCTAAACAAACATTGGTAGTCCCAATACCTCTTGGTACAAGTAGCATAGCATGACAACATGCGGGGGCTTACACCTGTAATTCCAACACTTTGGGAGGCCAACACGGGTGGATTGTTTGAGCTCAGGAGTTCGAGAGCAGCCTGGGCAACATGGCAAAAGCCCATCTTTACAAAAAATACAAAAAAAAAATTAGCCGGGCATGGTGGCATGCACTTGTAGTCTCAGTTTCTTGGGAGATTGAGGCGGGAGGATTGCTTGAGCTGGGGAGTTGGAGGTTGTAGTGAGCCAAGATCATGCCACTGTACTCCAGCCTGGGTGACAGAGTGAGACTCTGTCTCAAAAACAAAACAAACAAAAATAAACTTATCTCACTTGACTCTATTTTTGTTTTTATGGCTTGAATCAACCAATACATTTTATGAAAAGTACTGAGATATTTATAGCAAACTAAGGAAATTTCAATAGAAAATAAAAAGAAAATCTAAACATGTACTCAGAATTTCCAGATAAATGTCTCAAGAAGTTTGCAGATTTAAGACACTAATAAAATAAATAATAACATTTCTAGAATTTAACTATCTTTTAACAGAAGAAAGATGCTGCTACAACAAATAGGTCTATCTCTGCACCCAATTCATATTTAAGAATACATCAAAGATGAAAATGTTGAAATGTACAATGTTTAAATTAGTGGGAAGAGTATGTGTGACTAAAATCTGCACCTGGCTCTGCCATTTACAGCTATGTAGCATGTCATGTATCTTTCTACATGTCTGTATACATGTCTGCAAAATGAAAGGGGTTGTCTCATTAATTAAATTAATGCTTAATGTTTTGGTTTTGAGAGGTAAGGATTATTTGAGACAATGTATATGAAGGTACTTTAAAAAAAATCAGACGTAGCACAAATATAAGGTATTGTTACTATGTTTAAAGTACTGTTAAATATATGAAGTAGGATTTATGTAGCAAAGAATAGAGATCTGGTAACCTAATTAAGATACAAAAACTAGGCTATCCTAAAATTTTTTTAAATGATATAAAGTTGGAGTTTGTCTCTAAAACTTGAAAATTTGACTAGATATTTTGAAGATAAGAAGCAGCAAAAATTAGTGAGTGAGTAAATTTTTAATCATGAAGAATTAGGATTGGTCTTTATTTCCAGACTTCTGTTTACACTGAATGCTTGCTGCTCAGAAATTGGTCTGAGAGAGAGAGAAAAAAAAAGTGAATTAGCCCTTTATGGGATTTCAAAAGGAGGTCAGTGCCTCCCTTAGCATATCTCAGATTACTCTGGAAAAGTGCCACAGTGAACTGTCAAGGAGAAGGCATTTTGAGGTGTGGCTGCATCGGGTGCCACAGCCCTAGCATAGACACACAGTTGACCCCTGGACATTGGTGGAAGCAATGGGCACTGCCATTTGAATGGGATGGATTTGCTAATTGATGGCTCAATTTGCCCCCTTGCTAAAATCTACTCTTGAATCTAGACACAGATGAAACTCAATGTGGGCCATGTACTTAGGAGCTGTGGTTAGCACACGCTGAAAGCCATGCTCACAAGCACAGGAAGTGAGAGCCCCTTGTGCAATCTCACTTGGTTTGACGTCATTGGAAATGCATGTTTTGTAAAAAGCAGGCATCGTGTCTGACTAATTACAGATCTTCTGGCTCTTTTACACAAGGAGAAGTTCATGATGTGGGTCCTAGCAGCATTTCTTTCAGGATTTCAAGGAGAAAGTCTTATGAAACCCTCTGATTATGACTCAATTTAATGTATTAATCAGTATAGAGATAGCTCAGTGCTCTCATTTATGAATATGAGCTTAGCTTACACCTCTCAGTGGCCTACATGATACTCTTTATAAGAAATGTACCAATATTTCTTATGCTCTCTCTGGTGGTTTAATTGTTATTTACATGCTAATAATCAGAATCTCCCTCACCTTCACCTGATTTCTTAATAGGCAGGCTGGCCACTGAACTCAGATTTCGTAAGAAATGACCTTGTTTTGTGTTTATAACTAGCTCTGTGGTAATATAAAAGATCCAAAAGATTGGAACAAAAGGAATGACAGTATATTTAGAACACATAGTGAAGGGTCTCATTCACAAATGCCAAGATATTTGAATATGTCTTCTTAGAAAATTATGAAAGTATTCAAATATATTGAAAACAAGTTGATGAAAACCATCGCTTTGTTTCCTGTGATGAGAAAACTGAAGTGAAAGCATTTCTAGCCTAGATTTGTAATGAACACATATTTCTCTGAATCAGAACTCTTAAATTAGTACTGATGATGGGCAAGGCTGAAATCTCTATTATGAAACACTTCACCAAAAAACGTCAAAGCCAGTCATCCTTTAAAATGGGTATGTTAATGACACTAGAAATATCAAATTGGAGCAGATAACAAATGGCTTAACACAGAAAAAGCATCATATGGAGCTTTCCCTAGATAATTTATTTTCCATTAATGAACCTATTTAAAGTGGATAATATATATCAGACAACATCTATATCTATATATCTATATTTATATCTATCTATCCATCTATCTATTTATTTACAATCTGGGGCCATAAATAATTTCAGAGTACAAGTTTATTTTAGGTAAGCAGCCTTTAGTAACATCTATTGAAAAAATTAGATACTACTGTTTCAGAATAACTATGAAAAACAAATGACTATACTCACTATGGCAATAAGGACTTGATTAGCTAGGTTACAGGGAGAGTAGCAAAAAATAGACAGAACCCTGAGCTTCAAAGTCAGATTCTACCCAGGTATGCTTGGGTTATATGTTTGTTGTTTTGAAGACATGATGTCTCTTTCAGCAAACAGGCATCATTATTTTATTTCTTTTATAAAAATAGATGATATTACTTAAATACGTCTTTCCAAATTACGCCTACTGTCAGAATACAACTCTTTTTCTTTCCTGTTAACATTTCCACATTTTTACACTGCTATTTTGGAAAGTTTAAGAAATTCTTCTCTGCATGTAATAGTCATAACTGCTCTCCCGCTTCTCAGAGAGCAGCACAGCATGAGGGGTAGAATGCATACAGCTTGCCTGGGATGTGCTAAATGTAGCCAAGAAAGGGTGTGTTCCTGCCCTTGATATAAGTATAAAGTGATGGAAGCACATTATAAACCCAGAGCAATCAAAAGGAAAGGATGGATAAATTAACCTAAAATTGTGTTAACATAATCCACTTTCCCCCAAACATGATTTTTTTTCCATTTCAATCCCCAAAAGTTGGGAATTTGATCATTGTTTCTAAATATTATCATCCTTTATCTCTTTTGTTTTACCTTTGAATTCCCATTACAATTTAAAATATTAATTTGACAAAAGACCTCCAAGAAGGCTTCCACTTACTTAAAGAAAAGTGTGGTATCATAGTATACAAATAGAGTCTAGATTTGGGTATTCATATTACCATCTATGCATAAGCACAGACTTATTTGTAAGAAAAATCTGATGTGTGATAAATGTCATTATTAAGAAAATTCTTATCAAAAGTAATTGAAAGAATACATGGGAAATATGGGCTTTTACCATGAAGGGGTCACTTCTCTACAGCCTACAGCCTCACTGAAAAGTATATAAGACTTTTAAGACTTAATGTTATATTAGCCTGCTTTTACACTGCTGACAAAGACATACTGGAGACTGGGTAATTTATAAAGAAAAAGCGGTTTAATGGACGCACAGTTCCTCGTGGATGGGGAGGCCTCATAATCATGGCAGAAGGCGAAAGTCACGTCTTATATGGCAGCAGGCAAGAGAGAATGAGAACCAAGTGAAAGGGGTTGCCCCTTATAAAACCATCAGATCTTGTGACTTATTCACTACCACAAGAACAAGATGGCAGAAACTGCCCCAATGATTAAATTATCTCCCACTAGGCCCCTCCCACAACATGTGGGAATTATGGGAGCTACAATTCAAGATGACATTTGGGTGGGGTCATAGCCAAACCATGTAAAATGCCCTCATCATTTTGCAGGTATTTATTGCAAAATCCTCTTAATATCTTCCTACATTTCCCCATCCAGCCCTGTTCCAACCTGTTCTCCACACTTTTCTAGATGAATCTTACAAGGTCTCCATGAAAATCTGACTGAATCATACATCCTTGTATAAAGTCCTTCAAAGACTGGTGCTGGTAGCAGCAGCCTGCCTAACAGCATGGTTTATAAGGCTTTTCCCGACGTGGAACTTGCTTAATTCTGCAGTCTCATCTCTCAGCACTGTCAGACCCTTCACTGAAGCTTTTCTGAATTGTTTTTCTTACCTTAGTCTTCTAGCTTTATTACTTCAGTGCCTTTGCAAATGCTTCTTCCACACTTGAAACCCCAACTCTTCTCCCCTCTCTGCATATTTAACTCCTGCTCACTGTTCACCCCCTTCTCATGATGGAATCTGACATCCTCCTTGATATTTCTGTAAGATCCTCTGCTCACTACACTCATAGAGCATACTACCATGCTCTATTGTCATTATACACTTTGCTTTGCTCTCTTAATAAAATATAATTTCCCCAAGGGCAGGGATAATATAGTTTCTGTTTTCATGACTACCTTGTTGGTTTTATTGGAGGCAGTACCGACTAGTAGCTATGTGCACAGACACTGCGGCCAGAGTGCTTGGGTTCAAATATCAGTGCTGCCACTTCTTGGCCGTGTGATTCAGTGAAAGTTACCTAACCCTTCTGTGCCCCAGTGTCCTCATATGTAAAATGGGAATAATAAGAGTATTTACCTTATAGCATTGTGAGGATCAAGTAAATTAACATATGTAAATGCTCAGAACATGCTTCGCACTTATATTTGTGTGAGCTGTCATTCTGGCTGCAGCATTTCCAGTGTCTGACTCATAGTAGGGGATGCACACAACTCTGTTGTAAAAATTAAAGGATGATGAAATAACAAATATAATGCTTTTTCAATTATCCCCTTTTTATTGTCTCGTCTTCTACCCTTTATTATTAATAACTGACCCATTCATTCAACAAGTATTTATTATCTACTCTCATAGAACTGAGGATTATCTTTAAAATACCCACTTCATTTTGTGGAGGGCTTTGGAAAAAAAGTACCTGCCAGAAAAATGATAGAATTGGGTAAAAACTCATTCTCCTAGAGTGCTCATAATAATAGCCTCCAGTTAAGTTTATACTGGGAGCTCTCTGGGGTCTTTCCAAAGGTGAAGAAAATGATTACAACTTCTGATTTTTTTTTCATTTCCAATTTGTATGAACTTTTAAACTTCTTTTAGCACTTCACCTAACTATTATGAAATCAAGATCAAAGGCAATTTCTTAAAGAAAAAAAAGACGTAACTCTACTGTGAAGCTAGTTATTTCATAAAACTACATCTTCTGAAAAACCACATAAAAGAAGTGACCAGGAGAAAAGATTGAAAACCTCACAAGAATAGTCAGAAATTTCAATGAAATTAGAACTTGTTTTCAAAAAATCCAATTAAAAACAACAATGGACATGATCAAGTGTACCATTGCCCCATTCTGCACTTTTTAACTTTCTTACAAAGGAATGTGCTAAGCGAGGCTGACTTTTTCTAACTCTATTTCCCACTGCCTTCCATAATCTTTTCTTCCTGTTTTGTATATGTTCTCTTCAGTCTTGAACCCTGTTTTGGGGGACATAAGGTTCTGGTAACATTGTAGGTAAATGATCTGTATTCTCTGTGTGATGTGAGTGTGTGGAGGCCTTTCTGGAGAGTCATGAGAGAGCAGAGGTTAAGTGTCTCTGTCTCCAATCATTTCTTTCTGTGCATCTCTTCTCTCCTCCAATACTTTCTGGCTATGTTATTCCACCAATGTCATATGCCCTATGTCCACCTATATTATGGTGGCCATAATATAGGTTCTAAGTTATCTCTCTATCTGGTTAACCAGGTCTAGCATAGCATAGGGTGGCTGTAGGCACAGGTAAAGTAGCCCATGACAGGCAGAGGTTGGGGTCATTTACTTTATTTTGAGTTTCACTGTATCCCAGCATGTGGTGAAGCCCTGGCACTCAGTTTCTACTGGGTGAGTGCCTGCTACATGCCAGGCATTGTGCTAGCTGCTGGGTATTAAAAGATGAAAGGCAGTACAGCCCTTTCATGTACTAGCTCAGTGACCTGGGCTAGATAATTCACTCTCAGCAGAAATGTCTTCATTTTCAAAGAGGGCTGATGCCCATTCTATAAAGCTGTTGTAAGGACAAAATAGATAAAAGTTCTAGTACAGTCCTTTGTACATAGTAGGTGTTTAAAAATGATAACTGTTATTTTTGGTGATGACAGTGATGATGATGAGGAGGAGGATGAGAATGACAAGTCATCCTAGCATTCCAAGAGCCTAATGTCTAGTGAGGTTTGATGAATGCACGAGTCTCCCATACCTAATTATTGTGCTTGAAACTTAGAAGACAGTGCAAACCATGACTATTTTTGGATTATTTTGTTCCTTAATTTTGTACGATGGGTCCAAGAGTAAGCTATTGAATGATCAAAGATGCCACTATGAGAATGACAATTCTGACTCCTGCACAAGTGATCCTCGATAACTGGGGAGTGAATCCACCTCTTCTGGTAAAGAGAATCCCAGCAGAAAAGGAATGTGATTCTCAGAGAAGACACAAGGTACTTTGTAGGTTGATCACCCCTAACTTGAAGACAGAGAAGGCTGAGGTTCCCCAGAGCTAAAGCCTACATATGCAGAGAAGAGAGACTTGCTTAAAGAGGCTTCCACTGCGGGGATGAGAAAAAGCCCTTGAGAAGATGCTGAGCTTCTCACAATTAACATAAATTGAAAGATTTGTAGGGAAGCTTAAATCAATTACATTTTTTCAGTCAGCAACATTTATTGTGTTCTGATTACAGGCCAGGAAACATGGTCAGGCTGCTAAGGAAACAATGATGCACAAAAATCTGGGTTCTCATTGTTTCAGGGCTCATAGGTTAGTGAGGAACTCAGGGGAACTCAAACTAAGACCTTGTGAGAGAAAATAGAATGCTGGGGAAGGACAACCCAGATCTGAAGGACGAAGAGGTGCTAACAAGTCTAGGCACAGGGAACTGTGTATACAGATCCTGCAATACATACACAAGATACTGGCGAGTGTGTGGAACAGAAAGCTACTCAGGTGTCTGGGGAGCAGCCAGTGGGGTGATGAGTGGCTGCAAACAATACTGCAAAGGGAGGCAGAAAGATCTTATTATCATGTTCTTCTAGGAAAGCAAGGAGTACATATTGCTAGTATTCTGTAGCAGAGAGTGACATGGGACCTGGAAAGATGAACATCATGACATTTTGTGCCAATGAGCTTCATGTTTTTTCTAGCCCAAGGATTTTATCATTCCTGCAGGTGGGGTTTTGGGTATATTCAAGATACAGACTCTCTTCTCTTTCTCTCTTGCCAAAACACCTTCAGTAACCTGCTTAATATTCACGGCATTTTTTAAAAAACCCAAATTCTTTTTCACAGTATACATGGCCATCTCAGTCTTGGGTTTGACTCTCCATTCTGTCAGTTATAGCCTCATGGCTGGCCTTTAACAGGCTGCTTAAACAGTCTTTACTCTTCTTCATCTGATAAAAGAAATAACCACCTCATAGAGACATTGTGGATATTTTTCGAGCAAATATATTCATTAAGCACTTAACTCAGCATTTGACCCATAGTAATAGCTCAACAAATGGTAATTTTTTAGCAGTAAAATAACAATGTACATATTAGAACACCTATAATTAGAAGGAAAACATGTGCCTAAAAGATTTAGCTAAGAAATTTCATTGCTATGTTCAAGCAGAAAAATCCGTGTCCTTTCAGGTTGTAGTGTATTGAATATGTGAAATTGAGTTTCAGAAACACCTATGTACTCCTGATAAAAAAAAAGTTGTGAATGTCACTTGAACATATACTTTACAGATTTTTTTAAGACCATGGCTCAAATATGTAGCTTTGTGTATAATTGCTCTGCTTTCTGATGGGTAACAAACAATAAAATCTAGTAAGGTTTTCATTCTAATACTGTCTTTATTTAAATCTGATCAAAGCCTCAAATATATAGTGTGGTATTAAGAGTGTGATGGCTTCCACACTATGCCTATGCATGTTTAGAAGAGCCTCCTAGAGGATGGACTTCCTTCTGGAGGTGAATAACTAGTGAGAACTGCACACTGTGAGATCTGTAATAAAACACCTTGAATTCTGATTTTCCAACTTGCTCAAGTACTCTCCAGTTGATGCTATGTCCTGAATTAAATTTGAGTTACTGATCTCAAGCATTTGATTTTTTTATGGCTATGATGCATTTCATAGGGTTAAGATAACTCCTTGAAATAGAAATTATCCAAATGGGAAAGCTTGGGTGAAAGTATATGGATAAGCAATTCTGTCCTCCTACAAATTCGCTCCTCTTGAAAAGTCATTATCATTCTTTTGTTGCATATTTGAAGCATCCTGTAAGTAAGCACATTGCTGCTTGAGGAAGTTGCTGTTGGAAAGGCCCCATTTTCATGGTTCATAATAAAGAAATACTGCAACATTATGAAAGAATATTCACCAACTGGTGCGCTCTCAAAAAAGTATTCACAGCCATTGTGTATGATTTGTGAATAAAATAAAACATTAAAATGTGCATTCAGAATATTAGCATGTTAATCATATGCTTCCATATGGTGCTTACAGTTGTCTCCATTGTGTCCATTCAAAGTTATTTGATTTTAAACTTGTACAAGGACTTTATAAACACTTGGTAACCATCATTCATTGCCTTAGCAATATGTAGCTATTCTGACCTAAAGCTAAATGAGACAAAGTATTTTACAGCACTGGTGTGCTGTAAAAATTGAAATATTTGGTTCTGGTCTAAATTTTTAGGTTTGGGGGTTACTTAACAGGAAGAATATAAATTTCAATACTAGCTAATAATTGCAGTTTAACAGTGGATTAATAAAAGCATTCTTTTTCAAGAGTCAAATCACTTACTGAGCAATAATCAGCTATCAAAATTATGTCATGGGTTGCTTGTCCACAAACTCAATCAGATCTTTGCGTAAATTGTACTTTCACATTTCCATTCTTGTGTCCAGAGTCAACAAATGTCAACTCCGTAGGCAGGAGCTGACGCAGCCCTTGAGCCTTGTTTCCTAAATATGGCTTTTGCACAAAAGCATTAGAAAGCTCAATGAGCTTATATTTATTGAATTCTTACTGTGTCCCACTAAGCTAAACTCTGAAATGGATAATCTTATTTAATTCTTACATATCAATGAGTTAAGTACTATTTTTAGCATTTCCACTTAAAAAAAAAAACTGATGTGCAGAGATTAAAGA
This sequence comes from Homo sapiens, assembly GCF_000001405.40. Taxonomy (NCBI): domain Eukaryota; kingdom Metazoa; phylum Chordata; class Mammalia; order Primates; family Hominidae; genus Homo; species Homo sapiens. The sequence continues at coordinate 90,460,063 of NC_000008.11, read as the reverse complement.
GCATGGCAAATACATAGTGCTAGTGAATGGCAGGAGAGGCACTTGGAGTGAGCTCTCTATATCCAAAGCCCACAACTTTACCCACTGTGCTCGTCTGTGTTTTGTCTACAACAAACTTTTCATGACCTCTTTTACTGCCCAAAAAGCCCATCCAGTTCAGGAAAGAACAAGCAGACTGGAACATTCTGCATAGTGCTCCCATTACTGCCACATTATACCCCTGGGCACTGACCTGTATTTCATCAAATTTCATACATATTGATGCTGGAGTTTTCTTTATCTTACCAAAAGGTTTTCACACAACTGTATCATGTCTATCCCATGACTGATGGTAATTTTGAGTTGTCATTGCTTTTAAGATGTATCCTAACTTCATTGTGGTTAATTTTTTAAAATTTAATTTTTTAAAGTCAATATAGTGTAATAAATATTGATTAGTATTGTCAAAGCCCTTTAGTGTAGTCTGGGGCCTTACTCAGCAACCTAATTTTGATTTACCTGTCACTAACATATTTTCCAAGAAAATAATCATTTAATTCTAACAGAGCTTAATCCGCTTTTTCAAACCATGCATCATGTTTACTAACTCACGTGTGACTCTCATCCAAGCAGCCACAATTAGAGTCAGCTGCATCCTTTTTCTTTCCAGAATTAAGTACATATATATTTAATTAATTAATATATGTGCGTATATATATGTAGTGACTGTAGAACTTAGTAATTGGTGACAGGTTTCATGATAACTGCTTTAGTTGAAAATAATTTTGAACTTTCAATGATTATATAATCACAGAATCTCGAGTCTGAGGAAATCTTTACATTCCAACTGGTCCAATCTCCCACCCTGGGTAGGAATTCTTGGCTGTAGCTCATCATCCAACCTTGGTGGCTGTGATATATGATACAGCAAATAACATTCTCTATTGATTTAGGTAGGTAAAATGTGATGTATTTTATGTTGCAAAATAAAAGATTTAAAATATTGGGTACATTATGTTGCAAAGTCTCCACCAAGTATCTTTATTTCTTGTTACATGTGGTAGCAACAGCACCAAGTGCCTCAGGGCCTAGACATCTCAGTGATGACTGGCCCTAGGAGACCATCGCTGAGTCCTGATTGCTGCAAATTGGGCTGGCAAATAATACCTGCCTGTACTTAACGTGGTATCCTTGCAACAGTGAATCCTGCTGTGCCCCTATGGGTTCCCTGAATAGCAGCCTCTTGAGTATCTTTTTGACAAGTTCTCTTTAGTTGTCACTGCAGGCCTGGTGTTTGGCCAAGCTTTACATCCATGCTATTAGTGATTTTATTATTCCAGTCAACACATTTCTGCAATAATGATAAAGTACCAATTATGTAATTCTATATTGTTTTGTTATGAATAATAATTAAATGGCTATGAACAATAATTATAGCTACCACTTTTTTATTGACCAGTATGCTAAGTGTTTTGTAATATATTATGTCACCATTATCACTTATTAAGCTTTCATAACTTATCCATAATCAGACTACCTGACCTAATGCCCAAATTTTCAACCTCAACCCTAACTTACTGGGAAGAAAGAAAGTTTATGAAACTTGGCCTAGAGAATTTATAGGAAGTGTGTAAGTTCACACAGCCAACAAGGGGTGAAATTCAGACTTGTGTTACAAGTCTTGCTTTTGGTCCATAGCTCCTTCTAAAACTCAACATTTGATGAAACACATGCAATTTTTGAATACATGGCTGGCTTACTTCTAGTGTAATTAAATTTAGTCTTTGATGTTGCATCCATTTTAATATGTCAGAAATTATACACAAATGTCTGTCTTAGTCTATTTGGGTTGTTCTAACAAAATACTATAAACTGAGTGGCTTTTTTTTTTTTTTTTTTTGAGATGGAGTCTCCCTCTGTCGCCCAGGCTGGAGTGCAGTGGTGTGATCTCGGCTCACTGCAAGCTCTGCCTCCCAGGTTCACGCCATTCTCCTGCCTCAGCCTCCCGAGTAGCTGGGACTACAGGTGCCCGCCACCATGCCCGGCTAATTTTTTTGTATTTTTAGTAGAGACGGGATTTCACCATGTTAGCCAGGATGGTCTCGATCTCCTGGCCTTGTGATCCGCCCGCCTTGGCCTCCCAAAGTGCTGGGATTACAGGCGTGAACCACTGCGCCCAGCCAACTGAGTGGCTTATAAACAACATAAATTTATTTCTCACAGTTCTGGAGGCTGGGAAGTCCCAAGATCAAGGTGCCAGCAGATTTGGTGTCTGGACAATGCCTACTTCTTGGTTCATAGATGGCCATCTTCTCACTGTAAACTCACATGACAGATGTCTAAGATTGAACTAAAAGTCAGAATCAGGAATGATTGGTCTGAAAACGCTGGATTCTATTTCTGCAGCTCCTCCCAAACTAAAGCAGTGGTACCAGGTGGCTCAAAAGTCACATAACTACTTCTGAACCTGACAAATACAGAATTACAATGACAAAGCCAATATTTGAAAGTAGAATAAAATCCATTCCTAAATCCTACCTGTGTCTTTGTGTAAAAGGTATAAACTAAATTTAAGTATTCATTAATGAAAGAAAAATTAAAGCTGTCTATCTAGCCAACATCTCAAGAAAATGTAAATTATAATTCAAATTTATATTCTTGTCTTTAAGTTATAAGGAAAAGGGTGGTTTAACATGTATAAAATAAAAGTCAATTACAAAATAAACCAGAGAGAATAAAAGTTCAAGAGAAGGAATTGGGAAATTGCTTCTTCATTTGATCAATGCTGGTCCCAAAGAACAACTAAAAAAATATTGAGGCTATGAGTCAAGATTGACAGTTCATTAATTGACATTTACAACTTTGTTGACACTTAGTAGACTAAAGTTAGTTTTTGGGTTCCCCAGAAGACAGAATATTTTTTTCATCATTAAAAGCCCAGAGGGCCTGGATTTCATAGTATTTTATTCTTAAGAATATTAGTTCTTTCAGCAATCATTTAAAATATCACAGTGTCTCCTATGAGAGCACTTATATTTTATTGTGTTATATTTTATTGTGTTACTCTCTGGGTTATGACCTTTCAAGTCGATTATTTCCCTCTCCCTTCCCAGAGGCAATCTCATCCTGATTTATATCACCATGGATGGTTTTGCCTGTTCTAGAACTTTCTGTAAATGGAACCATATAATATGTACTTCCTTCTTCCTGTATTTTTTACTCAACATAAATATATTGAGGTTCATCCATGTTAATGCCTTCATCAGTAGTTCATTCCCCTTTGTGTGCCGAGTAGTAGTCCATTGTATGAATATAGTACAGTTTCTTACTCATTTTTCTTTTGATGACCATTTGGATTTTTTCCATTTAGGGGCCACTATGAAGAATGTTTTGAAGATTATTATTCTTCAAGTTTTTGTTTGTTGGTTGGTTGATTGTTTGTGGACATATGTTTTCATATATTTTGAGTAGATCCTGTTAATATTTTCTCTCCTCACTGATTTAATTAACCATTTCCAGAGAAAAAATCCTCAGTTTTAAAAGGCCTGAAATATTTCCATTAAAAAAATAGAAAATATATTTGTTAATAAAACCAGGACCAGCCAATGAGAAAGAATTACAAACAAACTAATATTACTTGAAATACACATTTTGCTGGTCTATCTGTTCTCATAAGATTTTAATGAGAAAATAGTATATTGTCCTTGTCAAGATAGAACTGATAATCTGATTTTTGCTTCCTGCACCAGGAGACACTGAGGGTACTAGTTAGAACATTTGCCATGACACATTTTCCAATGTCAAAACCTTAATATACATTAGGAAAAAAGGAGGGAAAAAAACTAGAAAAGGAAGAAAACACTATTTTTGTGTTTCTATGTAACATATGTTGTGTCAGATATTTTCACATACTTTTTGTAATAATAATTATAATAAACAGCTACCAAACACAGGGAATTTGTTTTTTGCCAGGCACTGTGCTTCATGCTTTGTAAGCATTTCCTCATTAAATTCGCAGGATTCATGTAATTTTTCCAAGATCATGAAACTAGTAAGTAGTATAGCTAGCACTCAGATCCAGTGCTGTGTGAAACCAGATTCTGAGTTCTTCCTACTATGCAATCCTCACTCCCATTTTTGTCACTTATTACTTATAAGACCTCTGCAAAATAGCTGTTTCAAAACTCCTTTGCCAATGAAAACACTGTTGCCTGAAGAGGTTACATGATTTGCCCATAGTGTGGGTTACTGTTTCTTAGTGACATATAGTTCCTAAATTTGTTTCCTAGAAATGTCTTACTTATTGCTAATACTGGTGAGAGAAAAATACAAAAGGCTTATAATCTGTCTCTTTAACACGCAGAATTTTATATAACACTCCACAAGAACTCCTTTGTTATTTAACATGAAATGATGGAAAGTGAGAAAAGAATGGTAGAAACAGAAATTGTCATCTTGAAGGGTACCTGGCAGCTTCATAGTTATAGCATGGACCCTGCCCTTCTTTTTCAGGTTATGGCTCCCCAGGAAAACAAGGTGATGACGTGTGCTCTTTAAGCTGCACCACTGCCTTTGTAGGCTGCCCACTACTTACTGTGACCATATCTGTGCTTAGACAGGAAAGACAAAAGCAAAGACAGAAATTTTGACAAGAGAAATGGTTCCTAATTTCCTCCATGCAATAGACCCTATTCATGTTAGTCTTGTCAATCAGATTATGCAACAACAAAAGAACAATTCATTTCTTGTCAGAGAAGAATGCTAGTGAAGGATTCTGAAAATCCAGAAGGCTTTTGATGTGACAGCTTTAGTGATTCCACTTACTAACAGTGTAATAAACTGAAGCAAGGCTGTGATAGTGCCAATCATAAGAAGCAACTCCCTAAACAGAATATGTCCAGGATTCAGAACATGTTGATTATTTGTGTTTTAAAAGAGGCCATTGTCTGACCAAAGGCTAGCATTATGAATAAATGATTACAAAAAATAAAAAGACAGCAATTTGTTTCTTGCTAATAAATACCTTGAATGAATGGTTTATGAAAATTATTCAGCTGTCCTGACATTTTCATTAATGAAAACTGATAGGTGGGAGACATTTTTTATGACTTTGAGAACTCACTCCCATAGAACCCAGATACACGTTCCCTGATGCTTTGTAGGTGACTATCTATGGAGTATCGTTCAAAAAGTGCAAAGCAGATGAAACAATTTTCTCCGGATTCTTATACCCTCTCCCTTTTCTGTCATTCCATCCCATTACCCCATAAGCATGTATGCACATATATACATACACACAAGCTTTAATTAAAGGGTACCACTAACACAGATTAGTTCTTGGAGGGGCTCCAGCCTAGAAGGTGTTGAGGCCTGGGTGCAAGCCCAAATTGTTATGATGCCTAAAACTTATGTGCTATCTGAAGGAGAAGCATTTCAAGGGGAAAATTCCAAAGTGCCTGTGTTCCAAATTTAAAGGGTTTTATTTGCCTAAAATGAAAGGCTGATGAGGGCACAAAGGAAAAATGAAGTTAAATAATAGAAAAATAAAGATGGCTACATACCTTGCATGCCTTCATTTGAGGGTGGCGAAAATGAAAAGGTCTTCAGATATCTGGTCTCACTTGAGCTGATCTCACTTGAGCATAGGATTCATGATGTTCAATAGAACTTGGTGGCCTGATGAAAAAGTTCTATATTAGTCTATCCATTATGTTAGCCTGTAGCCTCATGTAGCCATCAAGTTCCTGAAATGTGACTAGTGTAATAGAGGAACTACATTTTAAATTTTATTTAATTTTTAATTAATTTAAATGTAAATAGCTACATGTGGCTAGTGGCTACCATATTAGACAATATAAGTATAAGTCATTGTCTTATCTCATTGTATTTTACGAATGAAGAGACAAACTCTGAAATGCTCTGAAATACCTTAAAATTATGTGGCTAGTAATGAAAGATAACATCTTGATTCCTAGACTGGAGTCCTAGGAAGTATGTTCCTTACCTTCCAACACTTTAGGAAAGATTATTTAGGCTAAGATTAAGGTTCTAGGAGAGTGAGCCTGAGCAGGGATATTTAGGAGTAGGCAGAGGCATTGTCAATATAAGAGGGATTTGGAAAGGGAAGGTAGAGAGGGCCAGTGCCAACTCCACTGTTTTCATCATGTCTAGTACCATTGTTTCCCATGCGGCCAAATCATCATCTTCTGAACATTAAAAAAACATAAAATGTCAAATGCCATTCTCAGAGAACTACAGTTTTAAAAGTCTCCTCTGGTCATTCTGATACACAGTCACATAGGAAACCACTTACTGAGATCACCCCTTGGAGAGTAAAAACCTGCAGGAACGGCCAGGAGCAGTGGCTCACGCCTGTAATCCCAGCACTTTGGGAGGCCGAGGCAGGCGAATCGTGAGGTCAGGAGATCGAGACCATCCTGGCTAACATGGCAAAACCCCGTCTCTACTAAAAATGCAAAAAAAAAAAATTAGCTGGGCGTGGTGGCAGGCGCCTGTAGTCCCAGCTACTTGGGAGGCTGAGGCAGGAGAATGGCGTGAACCTGGGAGGTGGAGCTTGCAGCGAGCCGAGATCGCGCCACTGCATTCCAGCCTAGGTGACAGAGCAAGACTCCATCTCAAAAACAAACAAACAAACAAACAAAAAAAAACCCTGCAGGAACTAGTGGAGTGAAATGACCAAATGAGTGCTAATAAATATTTATTGTGTGGCTTCTATATGCTACTGAGGGGCTGTGTAGTTGCATGTGGTTTCAAATCCTAGCTCTGTCACTAGATGTGCTACTTGGGCAAGCTATTTAACCTCTTTATGCCTCAGTTTCCACATCTATAAAATTAAGATAGAAATTATATTTTTCTCATAGAGTTTTTGTCAGGATTAAAGGACATAAAGCACTTACAAAAGTGCCTGGCAGGTGGTACCTATTATATAGATTTTGGATATTACAGTTTTGTGCATGAGACCAACACTTAAACAGAAACTGTCACCACAATAGGAAAGATGTTCATGGGCACCACAGAAGAGGAGCCATTAGCTCAGCAGGAGCTAACGGAAGGACAAGAGGGACTGGAGAGACAGGAAATCAATTCCTGCATTGTCTGCTTGAACTAGACCAAGGCACTTTCAAAAGAAATCATTTCTCTGGATTGCAGGGTATCCACGTCTAAATTTTTTCTACTTCCAGCCTTACTGTGAAGGATGCATGAAGGCCAGCACAATGGGCTTTGTTCCTGCAGTGGACATGGGTTGGCCCTGCCCTGCCCAGCTGTAGCTCAGAGGCTGGATTTGAGACCACCCAAGGACAGGCTGCCCGTAAATGGGAAAACAATTATCTCCCTTTCTTTTCCTTTGACAGAAACTTCAAAATCATCCTGCTGTGGGTTCACATCTGTATGACTTCTACCCAAAGCGTTTTATGTGTGGATATAGTGTGCATGGGAGAAATTAAGGCCACTGGCATTTCATGTTCCTGTCATGGTTTTTATGATAATATCTCATAGGGAGAAATGTCATGCTCTGCAATGACCCATTGCAGTTCTTATTGAAATTGAAGGACAACATAGTCTTCAATTACACAACGTGTGGCTAATTCAGGGAGGGTTAGCATTCATTTGGCTTCCTTTTAAAAAGGCAGGACTACTGCATTTCACTGATGTCCAAATATCTCGAAAAAAACACAGTGCCTGGTGCTCAGTAGATGGTGAATAAATTTTGTTAAAAGAAGGAATGGCTGTGTCACTGTGTCTTCCTATTACAGAGGACAAACACTCCCTAGAAAAACCCACAGCCATTTTTGAGTAGATCCATTGGATCAATTATGAATATTCCTTTTAATATTGCTACTGGTTTTTGTCTTCTTTATCAGATGTAAGCCTCATATGTTGAAACACATCTGACTTATTCACTGGTTTATTCCTACAGTTTATCAAAGTATTAGGTATATAATAGATGCCCTGTAAATACACATTGAAGGAATGAAGAAGTAAAGAAAGAGGTTGCTACCCTTCCCAGGTTGATGTAAGCTTTTCTTCTCTCCTATATGTTAGAGAATTGATCTTCTTTTGAAATTTGTCAGGGCAATTATTAGGAGTTACTATGTCCAGGTGAAAACCTTCTGATAGTGGTGTATTTTAAATCTTAAGGGTAGTGAAAATTTTCAGTGCAAAGAACTACAGAATGTACCAGCAACTCTGCGTGTTACTGATTCATCTAATGGAAACACAAGGAGCCTACGTTATAGTCCCTTCCTTAGTGAACATCCGTATTGTGTCTCAGGCTGAAACAGGCACCATGAAAGAGGGATGGCTGGGTGCTATAAGGAGGACCTGGTTCCACATCGAATTGTGCCAGATTTGAATTCTAACTCTGTTTATTGATCTTGCTTTACTCTAAAATATTATTTCAGGTTTTCCTTACTATCTCAGCCAAATTTCTAGCCCAGAAACTGTTTTTAGGTCCCCTGAGAACCATGCATTATTCCAACTAAAAGACAGTGATTTACAGGCATATCTCATTTTATTGTGGTTCATAGATACTGCCTTTTTGTTAAAAAAAAAAAAAAAAGGAAAAGAAAAAAGTGGAAGGTTTGCAGCAACCCTGCATTGAGCAAGTCTATGCAAAGTCTGTCCATGCCATTTTTCCAACACTGCGTGCTCACTTCATGTCTCTATGTCACATTTTGGTAATTCTCACAATATTTCAAACATTTCCTCATGATTATGTCTGTTATTGTAATCTGTGATCAGTGAACTTGGGTGCTATTTTAATGGTTTTGGGGCACCAAAAACCATGCTCACGTAAGATAGGGAACTTAATCCCTAAATGTTTATGTCCTGGTCCTTCCACTTATTGGCCCTTCCCTCATCTCGCTCCCTCTCCTGAAGCCTCCCTGTTCCCTGAGAAACAACAACATTGAAATCAGTCCAATTAGTAACCCTGCAATGGTTGTTACATTAAGTTTAGCCTAAAGCTGCCTCCATGTAATTTTGGCCTAAAGGTTTCTCATACATAATAAACTGTATCCTAACTGGACATCTAAACAGACTGTAACCTACTCTTATGCCAATCATGGAGTTTCAGCCAATCACAGTCAGCCAGCTGTTCAAATAAGGCAAACACCCCAAGCTGTAACCAGTCCAGCTGTTTCTGTACCTCACTTCAGTTTTTGCATTCACTTTCCTTGTTCTTCCCAGAAATCTTCTCTAACCACGTGGAAGTGCCACAATGTCTCTGAAAGCATTCTGGCCTGGGAGACAGCCCAATCTTGAATTACCCTTTTTTGAATTAAACTCGGTTAAATTAGAAAAAAATAATCTTACAATGTCATCTAAGTGTTCAAGTGAAAGGAAATTTCATACATCTCTCACTTTAATCAAAAGCTAGAAATGATTATGCTGAGTAAGAAGAAGGCATGTTGAAAGCTGAGATGGGATGAAAGCTAGGTGTCTTGCATCAAACAGTTGGCTAAGTTGTGAATGCGAAGGAAAGGTTCTTGAAGGAAATTGAAAGTTCTACTCTAATGAACACACAAATGATAAGAAAGCAAAATAGCCTTATTACTGATATGGAGAAAATTTTTGTGGTCTCAATAGAGGATAAAACCAGCTACAACAGTATCTTAAGCCAAAGCCTAACCCGGAGCAATGTCCTAACTCTCTTCAATTCTATGAAGGCTGAGAGATGTGAGGAAGCTGCAGAAGAAAAGTTTGAAACTAGCAGAGGTTGGTTCATGAGATTTAAGAAGTCATGTCCATAACATAAAAGTGCAAGATGATACTCTGGTGATTTCTCTTCAGATCATATGCATCTTTCTCCTTTTACTAAAAGTGCAAGGTGAAGCAGCAATTGCTGATGTAGAGGCTGCAGCAAATTATCCAGAAGATCTAGCTAAGATAATTGATGAAGATGGCTACACGATACAACAGATTTTCAAAGTGCATAAAATAGCCTTATATTATATTGGAAGAAGATGCTATCTAGAACTCTTACAGCTAGAGAAGTCAGTGCCTGGCTTCAAAGCTTTGGAAGGACAGGCTGACTCTCTAATTAGAGACTAATGCAGCTGGTGACTTTAAGTTGAAACCAACCTTAATTTCCCATTCCAAAATCCCTAGAGTACTTAAGAATTATGCTGAATCTAATCTGTCTGTGCTCTATAAATGGAACAAAGCATGGATGACAGCACATCTGTTTATAGTATGGTTTACTGAATATTTTAAGCCCATTAGTGATACCTACTGCTCAGAAAAACAGATTCCTTTCAAAAATATTACTGCTTATTGACAATGCACCTGGTCACCCAGGATGCGTCTGATGGAGACGTGCAAGGAGATTAACATTGTTTTCATGTCTGCTAACACAAAATCTATTCTGCAGCCCATGGATCAAGGAGTAATCTGGACTTCAAGTCTTATTATTCAAGAATGACCTTTTACAAGGCTATAGTTGCCATCGATAGCGATTTTTCTGAAGGATCTGGGCAAAGTAAATTGAAAACCTTCTGGAAGGAATTTACCATCTAGATGACATTGTGAACATTTGTGATTTATGGGAAAAGGTAAAAATATCCACATTAATTGGGGGTTGGAAGACACTGATTCTAGTTCTCATGAATGACTTTGAGGAGTTTAAGACTTCAGTAGAGGAGTAACTGCAGAGATGGTGGAAATAGCAAAATAACTAGAATTAGATGTGGAACCTGAAGACATTACTGAATTGCTTCAATCTTATGATTAAACTGTAATGGATGAGGAGTTGCTTCTTATGGATGAGTAAAGAAACTTTTTTTTTGTTGTTGTTCTTTTTTTGAGGTGGATTCTACTTCTGGTGAAGATGACGTGAACATTGCTGAAATGGCAACAAAGGATTCAGAAGATTACATCAACTTAGTTTGGCAAAGCAGTGGCAGAGTTTGAGAGGACTGACTCCAATTTTGAAAGTGGGTAAAATGATGTCAAAGAGCATCACATGGTGCAGAGAAATCTTTCATAAAAGAATCAACTGATGTGATCAACTTCATGGTTTCTTATTTTAAGAAATTGTCAAAAGCACCTTAACCTTCAGCAACTGCTGCCCCATCAGCCAGGAGCCATCAACATCAGGAAGACCCCCCCACCAGGAGAAAGATTAGGTCTCACTGAAGGCTTGAATGGTTGTTAGTATTTTTCAGCTCTAACGTATTTTTAAATTAAAGCTTTTACACTGCTGTTTTAAACATTATGCTGTTACATACTTAATAGACCATGGCATAGGGTGAACACAACTTTTATATGCAGTGAGAAACTAAAAAATTCATATCATGTATTCTATTGTGATATTCACTTTATTGCAGTGGTCTGGAACTAAGCCCCCAATATCTCTGAGGTATGCCTGTAATTGAGCATTCCCATAATTATAAACTGTGATACAGGCTATGAAGGAAAAGTGCAACATGTCAGGAGACTGTGTAACAGAGATATCTGGTCTAATGGGGCGAGACAGTCTGAAAAAATTGCTTTAATTGCTGAGAGCTGGAGAAATAATAGTTAACCAGGAAAGGGAGAGGAATCTGGAGGAGGAGCTTCTGGCAGCAGGAATAGAATGGCAAAGTCCAAGTTGTGGGAAGGATAGGGGCCCATTTAAAGAATGGAAAGGAAAATAAAATAGGAACACAGTACAGGAAGGAGTGAGGGATATGAGAAGAAACCAGAGAAAGAAAGGGGCTAATATCGAGGTTCTCTACCTTGGCACTGTTGATTAACATTTGGGGCTGGATGATTCTCTGTTGTGGGGAGTGGCCCTTTGCACAATTTTAGCAGCACCCTCTGGCCTCTACACACTAGATGCCATTCACATCCCTTCCCTTCAGTTATAACAACTGAAAATATTTCCAGATATTGCCACATGTTCCCTGGTGGGGGCAAGGGTGAAATCATCGCCCCCAGGTAAGAGTCACTGTTTTTGATCATGCAGAGCTCTTTAGGCCATATACGGATTGGGGCCTTTATAGGCAGAGCACTAGGAAACTCCTGAAGGATTTCAGTAGAATCCTGTCAGAGAATGTGATAGATCTATGGCACACAAGATAAGGACATCTTCTTTTTCCTGTAAAATAATCATTTTACCTCCTCACATAGCCCCCTCCAGCTATACCAAGATAAAAACTTTTATGTGTGATTCTTATCACCTACCACTAAAATGCATATGCTTAGCTATCAATTATGTTCAAAGAGTACCCAAACATTGCTTTTGAGCATATTGTTGTGTCATGATTGCAAAGTTATAATTATGAATCCTGCAGGGTTCATTAGCAATTCATATCTTCACTAGCTTAGAACTTTCAGAAATGTGTTTTTTGGGGAATCAAATGTATATTATGGCTCTAATTCTGAAAGAGAGATGTTTGGAGAGCTTTGTGACTATTTGATTTTTCTTGCATTAATCAAATGACAACCCTTATTTAGCTAGAGATGCTCTTCAACTTCTTTTACCATTTTATTCCTAAGACTCTTAAAGTGGTGTATATTTTTTTACATTTGGACTTAGCATTTGGTAAAACCAAATACAGAACACATACTCTGGCCAAAGGAAAATTGGCCTTGATTCCAGCCTCAGATATTTAAATAAATCATCGTTGGTGGATGTATTTTTCTTCTGTAGATAGAAGTAGACATTGAGGTAAGAATCTTGGCTCAGAGATGATAAGGAAATACTAAAGAGTTATGTTTAAATATGCAACTTGGCTAGGCACAGTGGTTCATGCCTGTAATCCCAGCATTTTGGGAGAACAAGGTGGAAGGATCGCTTGAGCCCAGGAGTTTGAGACCAGCTGGGCAACATGGTGAGACCCCGTTTCCACAAAAAATTAAAAAATAAAATAATAAAAAAATTATCCAGGTATGGTGGTGCATGCCTATAGTCCCAGCTACTAGGGAGGCTGGGGCAGGAGGATCACTTAAACCTGGGAGGTTGAAGCTGCAGTAAGCCATGATCATGACACTACACTCCAGCCTGGGTGATAGAGCAAGACTCTGTCTCAAAAAGTAATCAGACAAATATGCAACCTTTTGGAGAGCTAATGGTTGATTCTTCTCAAAAGGCAGAACCTCTGGGGATTGGGTGGAGGGAGGGAGAGGAGAAGGAAAGAGGGGCTAAAGCTGCTGAGGGCAATAGTAGGGAGGAAGGATAATAGAATCCAATGCTGTCATAGAGGAGAGGAACAGAAAAACACTGCATGATGCTTGTTGGTAACCTATTTCATCCCTTCAGGAGAGTGGTGTTGAGTGATACAGAATTCTAGCAGGAGAAATTGACCTAAAATGCTTTAAAGAAAGAATCAGGAAGTAGACTTAGTGCCTGGTGTAGGAGTTGGTGGATGCAGAGTCTCTAACACACTGCCTGGAAGAAGGTTCAGCTGTGCATATATGTCCCAGTGACCAACTATTCCAGTTTGCTTGGGCGTTCAGGATTTTCTGAGACATTGGACTTCCAGTGCTTCAAACCTAGACAGTCACAGGCAACCAGGACAGCTGGTGAGCCTACACACAAGGACACTTTTCACAGAGGATCATGGCAAAAATGCAGGGGGCAGACACAGCTTCAGTTCTGATACCACCAGCAGCAGCAGCAATGGAACCGATTTGGGGATGAGCCACAGTACACAGAACAAGTGCTGCTTGGGCTCAAGTAGTTGGTGGTGTGAGCTGTGCTGAAGGTGGCTGCAAAAAGTTTTTGTGAACTCTTCTTTCCCCGTAGAGCTCTACCATGTTACAGAAAGATCTAGGGAGCAGAAATAAGTGGAGAGGTGGAGAACCAAATAAATGATCCATAATTGAGATTGATTGTAAATCTTTCTGGTCTCATATTTAAAATTGATACAGATTATTAAAATTATTATGGATCTACAAAAATATAAATTAGTAAAACTCTTGTTGTACTCATAAAACTGTGAGCAGTTTGAGAGAAAGAACAATGTCCTGTAGACCACTGGTACTCAGTTTAGTTTAGTGCACAACAGACAGTCCAAAGATTTTCTTGAAGATGGAAACAAAATACGAACTGTTTCATGATGTCTTCCCAGGCTTTTATACATCTGTGTTTTCTTAGACTGCTCTCCGGGACACTAGAGCAGCAAAATCAAATGCAGAGAGCAGCCCCATAAGCATAGATTCCCGTGGAAGCCAACTGACATCACACCCACAGATTGGTGGGTGCAGAGTAGTTGGGAGGAGAGGTTTGGCTTAATGGCACTGTACCTGCTTTTTATTACCCTTATTCTAATTTATTTTAAGCCTGGAGCATTTAGGCTGGAGCCTGTTTTCCTAGGTAGAAGGATACCTTATAAAAATTAGTACACACTTGAAGTCACACCGTCCTCAAGATGCTTATGTCTAACAGCAGAAATAGCTGCATATGTGAAATAGCAGCAAATGTTGTAAGGTAATATACAATTAAATGCAATGGCTGTTTAGAAGAAGAGATCATTAGGAGTTAGAGAAACTGGAGATTGTGGTACAGCATTGAAAGATGGCACAGATTGAGAGCATTTTCCAGGTGGGAGGAGAGACAAAAGTGAAAAGAAAAAAAAATCTAAGAAACACAGAATAGAGAATGAGAAGGCTGAAGTTACCAAAAAAAGCTGACACTTTATTATTATTATAAATACAATGATATTTATTTGTATATAACCTATGTATTATGCAATTATTGTGCACTCACTGTGCCACAATTAATGCCCTAAATGACTAAAATGTATTCATTAATCTTCACAGGAGCCCTCCATAGAGGGTAATGTTATTGGCCCATTTTAAAAATGAGAAGAGGTTCTTAGAGGGGTTGAGCAACTTGCCTGGAGCCTCTTAATCAGGACTCAAAGCAATGAATCTGGCTTCAGAGCCTTTGTCCTCATGCAGAGACTCTAAGTGACCTTGATATGTGCCCAAATCAAGCCTGTATGTTGGGAAATTGCAGAGAACTATTTTGGGAGAAACATGAAAGACCTTGGTATTTAGGCAGAGGCATATAGACATGGATATTGCAAAAACAATTCATCAACCTTGTGGAAATGTAATTCTGGGTAGGTCCACATCGGTCAGAGCAAGGTCATTTTATCTGACAACCATGATAGAGAGTATCTGTGTACTCTGCCCTTTCAAAAGCTATAGAAATTCATGTGTCATGAAAAAAAGGTAATGGCTTTAAAATATGAAACAGTACAATGTGTATTTCAAGTGTAACCTTAGTACTCACTACAGATTTGCAACTCAATTTTCATATCTGCTAATAGAGTACGGAGTGAGCTTTCTACAATTCTTTACATACAAGAAAACAAACCAAAGAATCAATACTCATAACAGTGTTTTAGTGAAATATAGATATTTACTGGTGGTACTTTAAAACTTTTGAGAAGCATCGCCTGCACAATTTACTATTTTTGTCAGAAAAATTATCAAAAACTGGAAAAAAGGCATAAAATTGTGGTATGCTTTTTTCATATAATATTGGGGGAAAGGCCACTCAAGGACTGGCTAGAAGAATGTTCTTAGTTCATCTTATTGTTAGTTATTGACAAAAGGTCCCAGACTTAATGAAGTTACCTTACTGATAGATTTTTGTCCAGTAACGATGAAAATAATTTTTGTTTAGTGAAATAAATGGTGCCAAAGACTTATGATCTGTTGGACTATAATGGAGCCCGTTTTTTTTTTTTTTTGAGACAGAGTCTCTCTCTTTTGCCCAGGCTGGAGTGCAGTGGCATGATCTCAGTTCACTGCAACCTCCACCTCCCACTTTCAAGCAATTCTCCTGCCTCAGCCTCCCTAGTAGCTGGGATTACAGGTGCATGCCACCATGCCTGGCTAATTTTTGTATTTTTAATAGAGACGGGTTTCACCACATTGTCCAGTCTGGTCTCGAACTCCTGACCTCATAATCTGTCCACCTTGGCCTCCCAAAGTGCTTGGATTACAGGCTTGAGCCACCGTGCCCAGCCCCTTTCGTTTTTCTTTTTAATCAAAATCAGCAATCTTATCCTAACATTTCTTTGCTAAATCTCCTATAAATATCCTAGCATTTTGAATATTTTTGAGGCAGTCATAACACTTATTGAGTCCCTCATAAATTGAAGAGTTAAATAAAGTTTTTTAGAGTCATGATTTTTATCTTCCGATACGTATACTTTAACACTTTGAAAATATATTTTGGTGGCAGTTTTCTCACATCTGTAATTCTAAAAGACAGAAAAAGGACACCCTCTGACTGTTGGTGTGGATTTGACTGTAGAATCTAGAACTCAAGAGTGAATTTATTTTCTCTGTTTTACTCACTGATTTTTGGAATAAGTTCATAAAATATTCTTAAAACATCTCATTCTGAAATTGTTGCTCTCTCTCTTTACTTAAGATGATCTTTATGACTGGTGGGAAAATCATGGTGTCTGTTGTGAATGGGAAATAATGAAAATGTCTTATGGTGGTAGCAGTGTGCCACTTGCTTGTATAGTAATGATCTATTTTAACATACAGGCCTCTGATTCCACACTTGCAATTTATCAAATTTTCTGACTTGTACTTATAAAAATGAAATTCTAGAAATTTATTTGGCAACATTGCCACACCTATAAAAGCACTATAGTCTTTATCTGTACCCTATATAAAAGATAGAAATAAGACTTTTGGATAACCAAGCACTTTCTTTTTCAGGAAATAATGTGAATAAGATGACTTCAACTCTCAGGAAAAAAAAAAAGAGCTTTAATGAAAAGATTTTTAAAGGGTTTGACATTTAGCTAACAATGGGGTTCAAATTTCAAATGTGGCCACAAATGTATATTTGGGTAAAAAGGAATTTAGTAGACTTTAATGCATGCAAAGATATTCAAAACTATTAGAAGGAAGAATTCCAATGAAGCAAATTAGAATAAATTAAAATATTGTTCAACAATTCAATTAACCTTTCAAAATTGCACAAGTAGTGTCATACTGTGCTCATGTTACCTTAATAAAATACTATATACATATAGATGGTGCTCAAATTATACCATTAGTAGCATTTTTCTGAAGTAAATTCTAACATTATTGACACTCAGCAGTGATATTTACTATATGGAAATAGAAAAGTTCAGGATAAACCTGTTCACTAACAATCTGGGGTATTTTACCACAAACACCCCAGTTTTATTTATGTATGTACTTATTTATTTTGAAAGGAAAAAGGGAAAACCACACAAACAATTTATGAAAGCTTCCAATTAGGTACATTTTAGCAAAAATGCATATTACAGCTTGTCATTAACTAAGACTGTTTTGGTTCATAGGTTGAGCATATCCATATTGTCAGCATGAATAATATGTATGGTTTTCTCTCTAAAAACATTTCTTTCCAAGATCCAAGAAATAGAACTTTCTTTTCATTATCTGGAGCAGGGGAGTTCATTAAAAGGAATTCAAGCTCAGTACTGTCCTTACTTTCCCATCTGGGATAACTAATTCTGTCTCACTTATGTTACAACCAGCATTCTATAGCATTTCTCAAACTAAGGACTGGAGGAATTAGAAAAATTTCCCATTATATCCATTGTAATTTTGAGGAAATTGCTGAATATACTTAATTCTTAATGTAAAAATGTCTTTTTTTTTCAAAGGAAGATAAATAGCATTAATGAGCACTTACTCTGAACCAGACATTGAGATATTTTATGCTATTTGGAGCTGTTGTAATTCTAATGTTGGGGGCTAGTGGGGTGAGGCATGGAGAAGTTATATAACCTGTCCAGGGACACACTGTGTATAAATGGCAAAGCTGGTGAGCAACCTCAGGACTTCTAGCTGCAATCTGCATGTTTTTTCAACTGTACCATGCTGCACTCAGTTCAATGAGCAATACATCTATCTGTTTACCCATGACCTCAGTTGAACTAAGGTATCTCTAAAGAATATTGGACAGTTTAGAAAAAGACCTTTTTGTCATGCTTTGTATTCATCCTCTCCTAGGAACATTTCAAATGTGACATGTGTAACTGCATTCTAACAGAGAGGGCAAGAAAAAAAAAAGACTCATTCAAAAACAGATTATTCTCATTGCAGAAAGCCTGGTAAAAAATGTCCCCAGCTCTGCCTCCTTTTACTAGTTCTATAACCACCCCTTCTACTTCTGTTCCTTCTTCTTCTCTTTTGGCTTCTGGAATATAACTATACATTTCCCTCAAATCAAATACTCTGAGTTCATACTACCAAAAGAGAAAAGAAGACAAATATAGTATAAGACTTTAACTTAAATAAAATAGAAGAAAGAGTGAAGCCTGATAAATGAGGACATTACCCATTTATTTATTGAACCTAGTTAGAGATATGAATAGGAAATAGGAAATAATGTAATCCAGTAGACGACTAAGACAGGTAGACAGTTACGTAATCATGCTATAATATTATTAATGCTCTCATAAAGGCCTACACAAATTATTTCAGGAGCTCAGAGGCTGTAAAAGTTAATTTTGCTTGAAGGGATCAAGAGATTCTTCAGAAATACTTTAACTGAGCTACATATTGGAGAACCAAGAGTTTTACCAGAGAAGCAGGTGCAGGAGGCATTTCCAGGAGATGGAATACAGTGAGCCAAGGCATACAGAAATGTGAAAGTAAAAAGAAGGTTGGAAAATATTGAATTGTTCCCTGTGTTAGAGGACACATGGGTTAGGGTAAGGAGTAGTTATTTAAAGATTTGCTATTCTTGAGAGTTTGGATTTATCCTGTGATCAAAAGAGAGCCAAACATTGAAACATGGAAGGGCATGCCTTTAATGCTATGAAGGACTGGATGGATTTTATCTATCTAGGCAGATTTCTTGCATGGTATTAGGCATATTTATGTGATGACTTTAGGGGAAGAGTTAGTTCTCTCAGTTGATATCTGAGATGTAGAAGGAAAAAGGACCAGTCTTCCCAAATTCACCCATATTTTCTAGAGCAATCAACTAACACCTCCAAGGCCATCCCTTCTAGACACTGCTTTTCGACAGAAGTATTACAGGGGCCAACTCTATGCAGTGTGTATACTCTATGCCCCATGGTGATCAGAGTCAGCTAGGTATCTGTGGTGGCCAGCTCTGTTCACATCCTTTCTAAGCCCAAGGAGTGGCCTTTTGAAAAGTCTAAACAAGCCGGAGTCATATATAGAGGAACTAAATACCTTGCATTGTGCCACAGAATATAACTTGGTGCAGAAAGACTTGAGTCTAAATTCTGACTCAACTACTTACTAGCTGCGTTGGGTATGTTATGTAACTTGTTTGAAGCCGGGTTCTCATTTGTAAAATGAAAATATTTATCTTGCAGGGTTCTTGTGAGAATTCAGCGTGATAATACATGGAAATAACAGATTCTCAATAAATGATACCTCTGCTGCAGAGGCTTAATTTTCTTTCCTTGACCTTATAAAACATTACACTCCATCAGGGTGAGAATCACACAAGAGAGAGAAGAAAGTTTAGCATAGCATGCATGCTAATTGCAGCTTAGATACAGCATATTTTCTTTACTTTCCTGAGATTTCCTGAAAACAAATGACATTATTCCCTATCCCTTGCTGATTAGTCATTTACTGTTGAGAACGGTCGTGTTGCTATGTAATAACATGAAATAGCCAATTGTCTAGTTGGAAGCTAAGAGATGTATGCCTTAGTGAAGCTGGCAGACAAGCTCATAATTTTACATTTCCTCTGAGGGTTTTTTTCATTTTGATTATGAAGCAGAAGCAGAATATTTTCAACATTAGATCATTTTACACATGTTAACTTATTTAAACACCACTAAGGCTTTTTGGCAGAAACTGAAATTTGTTTCTCTGCTTTCAATTAACCATGGTGAGATTTTCCTGAGACTGTCAACTGACAGTTCACTGGTATCTCTTGGTTCCAGTTAAAATCAGACACTATTTTGACAAAGGTCACAGTTGAGTACTTTCTTTGTCTGCCTCCCATTTAGATATATAACTCTATGCATAGAGTTTGGGTTCAATTTGTATTTGTTGAGTAAGTACAAAAATGCAAGACCATCCTAAAGATAGACATCTGGGTCATCAGCTGTGTGTGCTTGGGATTATGTGCGGTTGCCTATTTTCCTGTCTCCACCTTTATTAGATCAAGATCTTCTTGATGGAGGGGACCATCTCCAGTATTAGTACAGATAGAAGGCAGATTAAAAAACTGTTGGAAACAAAAACGTATCATAATATCTATGGCATTTTTCATCTGCATTGTTTTCTGGAGGTGTCGTATGATTTTAGCATTCTTAGTGGGTTGGATAGGGTAGACCGTGGTAAAGGGACAAATTCAGAGAATGTGGTCAGTGGAATGAAGAGGAACCATTCTAAGGACAGTCTTAGTGCACATTGGGACCTGGAAATGAAGTGTCTTCTCTCCAGGCTCCGCATTCCCTGCCATCGGTGTGACTCTGTGACTCTTGACATCTTAACAGGACCTTGCCAGGAAGATAAGTAGAAAACAGATTGGGAGAGAACCCACAGTCTGTTTCCTCCTGCCCCACAGTCCATTCCTTTTGTTTATATTCAGAAAAACTGAAGAAACATCCAGGTAAATGTGGGGCCAGAAACTTATGTAATTTGGGAGTAGGCCCTTTAAGGAAAAAAATACAAAATTATATATACAAAATTAAGTATAAAAGTTATTATCTATTAATTATAAAAAAGAACTCATTAAAATTACAAACTTTAAAAAACTGACTAAAACAACAAACATCAGAACATCCAGAAAAATAATGTAATATTTTAATTAGTTAATGACAACTTACTTGAACAGAAATAACTGCCAATTCAACTAGTATATCCCACGAAATCCAAACTAAATGTATCCAGGATTCAGTTTCCCCTTAGCCAGTTTTCAGAAATGCCTCCAGCTAATCCAGCATGACAGGATAACAGGAAAAATAATGACAGAAGAGAAGCTGGAGTGAAAGAGACCACTGTGGTTAAAATACTGTGCTTTTTTAAAATTTACAATATCACAGGACTGTGATTACACTGGTAGGTCCCTTCTGGGACTTTGGAAGATACTGTGCATCTGAGGGGCTCTGAAATTTCAGCTCCACCAGCTTCACAGTAAGTCTTCCTTAAAGGGAAATCCAGGTGACAGTTTTTCATCTGCCTAATAACAGGGGTCACTACCTAAGATCTCTCAGCATCTCATATAGCATTTAGTCAAATGAAAAACTCAAAAGCCTTCTTGGTCTACTATAAATATTGCTAGCTTTAGTTCCATTTAGAAGTTCTACAGTATGCATACATTTATTTATTTAAAATGCCAATAAGTACATGTAAAGTGTGTACATATATATATTTATATATAAGTATATATATATTTTATATATATACTTATATATAAATATATATATTTATATATAAATATATATATATATCAAGCATTCATACATGTGAGACAATGGTGAAAATAATAGAGAATCTTAGCCCTCAAAGGCTTACTGTTGATGGAAGGTTACAAATAAGTAAATATCACAATACAAAGTGATTAAGGGATATTACAAGAAAAGTACCGCATGGCAACCTGCTGGAGGGATACAACTCCTCCACAAAGTCAAAGCCAAGACTTGAAGGATGAATTAGGAGTTTCCCAATGAAGGTGGGAAGGAAATGGCAATAATGTAAAACTCCTGATAGAAAGAACTGGATGTAACAGAGTTCATGGCATGACTAAAAAATTGGAAAAAAAATTAGATTACTAAATTGTGCTATGAGATGCAGGAATGGTATTCAAGGGCATAGGTTTTGGGGAGGAGATGAGAGTAGGAAGGGTTATAGGTATAACATCAGGCAGTAACTTATGGGCCATATGAATGGGTGGGCTTTCCTTCAAGAATATTGGGGAAATCACTGAAGAGTTTTAAGCAGAGAGAGTCCTGATAAAAGCTGTATTCTTTTGTATTATTTTTCTTAAAAATCCCACTCCCAAATTATATATTTTTAAAAAGGTGGCTCTGACTGTACTGTGAAGAATGGTTTGAGTGGGATTTGATTAAAACCAATAGAGAGCAGTTAGGCACCTTTTTTAGTAATCTAGGCAAGAGTTAATAGGGGGTAAATTCAAGTGATAGGATATATCATAATAGAACTTAGGAACTTAGGATGAAGGTAAGAGAGAAAAAAAGAACAAGAGGCAAGTGCTTTGCCTGATAATAGGATGCCATTCACAGAATAAGAAAACAGACCAATTTTTGAGATCTTGAGTTTGAAGTGCTAAAAGATTTCAAGAGATAAGATCCACGAGGCAGATGGATGAAAGGTGGCCAGAGCTTCTAAACAGATATCTGGCTTGCTTTAGAGATGTCTAAGTCCTTACTACAGAGGAATTTGAATTAATTATTTCTGGCAAAATCATGGAGTGGGATGGAAGTGTGTGATTCAAACCTGGTCTTGGTTCATGTTGGGTCTCACTCATCAGGTCCTTGTTCACATTCAGTTTCTCAGTTACACTAGACTGTAAACTCTATAAGGGAAGGGGCCAAATTTGCCTTGTTGATTGTTGTATGCCCAGTGCTGAGAACGGTGCCAGCTACATGGTGGATACTGAACAAACATTTGTTAAATGAAAGAATAAGTAGCATCAGTTACAGAGCAAGCAGTAGAAGAATTCATAAGAGAGATTGAATTGCAAAAAAAAAAAATAATAGTAAAAGTATCAGAATTTTTTAGTGTCATGAGATTCCACCAAAAGAGAGGGTTTAAAGGAAGGAATGGTCAACGAAGTCACCTGTTATAGGTCAAATATGAAAATGTCTAAAACACATCCATTAGATCTAGCACGAATGACAGTTGTTGCTTACCTTGACATAAATTTCAGCCTAGATATTTGGTTATGCTGTTTCAATTGCACATGTTAGAGAGACACAAACTATCACCTCTTTTGGAGGCTTCTCCCATCTTTGGGATCTAATCAAGTTTCGGAGGAGGTTTGGCACTCGGGAATGTTGCGAGAGGGTGTTTTTCACCCATTGATACATACAGGATGCTTCTAACTTAGACATCCCCTGTTTGCGCTTTCAGGGCCTCTTAAGTTCTGAGGCTCCCACTCAACTTCTATGCCACACTTTGGAAACAAGCATTCATGGTCCCAATGGCTAGATACACAAGGAAGACATTTCTTTCTGGGGCCTCCTAAAGAGCGAGGCCTTCTACCTTTGTCCTCTCAATCTACTGCCCTCACTGGGAAGTGCCACATCTATGAGGCTACTTGCCCTTCTTCTTTCCTACCCTCAACCCAAATGCATCCTTCAACAGGGAGAGGGAATGACAGGGCAAGCACAGCAATTCTTTTCTCTCCTTCCCCAAATATTTTATCTACAGTCTGAACATCTTTTTTCACAATGGAATTAAAGAGAAGACTCAAAGTCACATTCTAATTTCTCCCCGGTCAATCATTCTCTTGAGAAAATGATCAAAAAGGCAATTACCTGCTTAAATAGGGAGAAAGAGATGTGTGAAATATTGTGAGTAATTATTTGGTATTAATAACTTAAACATACTTCCATTCATATAAGGACAATATTTTTTCCAGAAGCATGACTATAAAAGAAAGGAGCATGGAAGCTGGAGGCAGATGTGGGTTTAAGTGGGGGTTTCATTTTGTAAGAAGAAAACGACTTAAGCATATTGAAATAATAGTGGGAAGAGGCCAATAGAAAGAGAGAAGTAGAAATAGCAAGAAGGAGAGATTTATCAATAGAGCGAGGTCCCTGTGAGAGTTATAGGTGCTGGGACCCAGATCACTGTGGAGTCCAATAATCTTAGACTGAAAGAGTAATGTCTCTTACAGTACAGAATGAAGGAGGGAGGGTGGTTTTATAGGCTCCTCAGTGGGAAATAGAGGGATATCCATTGCAGCAGCATCTAGTTTCTCAGTGAAGTAGAACGCAAAGCAGCACACATGGGTCTAGGATTGAGGAGAATGGAGCTTTGGGAGAATAAATAAATCCTGAGCGTTGAGGGCCCAGTTTGGGTCACTGACTGTAGTTTTAATCATACTCATCTCAGTGGTTCTATAATTTTCTTTAGCAGGACTTGGCAATACAGATTTAGACAAAGAGCAGGCTTGAGCCTAGTTTGGAGTTTTGCTAAGGTTGAGCCTAGTTTGGAGTTTTGCTAAGAAAGTATAATGGATGAGCAGAAGAGTTTTCTCAACTTGTTTATTAAAAAAAAAAAAGAATAATGGGTAGAGTGGCTTTCTTTATTTGCTTAGAAATAGTTCACCTTTCTGCCCAAGTCCAATATCTTCCATTTTTCTCTTGAATTTGACATCATAAAATTATATTTTTAATAGATCCCCTTAAGCCTAATGGCCCAAAAGAATTGTAGCAGCTGTAAAGCGAATTTAATTAACTGAAGTCTGATTTAGTGAGGCATATGCAGTGGAAACAACTAAGGAGTCTCTGGGAATCAACAGAGAAGTTGAATTTATGTTCATTAAAAGGGAAAAAGAATGTTTACAAAAGTTTCAGTAGCAGTAGAGAGACTGTGAGCAAACCATGTCTTGTGTTTTCTTACAAATGAGATGACATTTTGGTAATTTGTAATCTAAGCTATACATTCTAGAGGGACGTGTCCTCACTTGACACAAAAGTGAACTCTCATTAATACATTTGTGCTTCAAGTTGGGTGCATTTTCTATTTGTGTAGACAGTTCTAACTCAATGCAATTATTTTTTAAAGTAAATACATTAAGTAATACATAAGTATTAAGTAATGAAGATATTCTTACTCTAAAATATTCAGTGATATAGAAGTATACAAAGTGAGTATTTTTTCTCCTCCCTTCTCCAATCTTACCCTCCATCTCCTCCAGAAGTAAAACTGGTGTGAGACCTACCTAAATTTGTAAATTTTCTCTAATCAAAATATTGGGAATTTGTGTTCTAAAAGTGTCAGCCCAATTTATATAACCACAGAGAATATGAAATTTGCCCATACTTCAATTTTGAATGTTATCTGTTGACTTTTAATATTATTTTTGTCAATCTAATGAGAAAAAATTGTTTGTATATTAATTTGCCCTTTCTTGAACACTAATGAAACTGATCATTTTTCACTTTTTTTATGTACATTTATATTTCTTCTGCATATAATTTTTGTTCAGTCTTTGTCAATTTTTTCAATTATATTATTTGTCTTTTTCCTAAACGCTTATAAAACATTATACACTGTGAATATGTATCTTCACCTTTTAAATAGATAACAATAAATACAGCTATGTTGCTGTTTTGCTCCGTGTGTTGCTTTATTTTTTACTTTGTTTATGGTATCACTCATAGATCAGCAGCTTTTAATTTTAATGTAGTAAAAGCTCAGTCTTTTCCTTTATGTCTTTAGGTTGTAAATCTTATATAGTAAGGACTTTCCAACCACCAAAATTACAAAACTTGTCCCCTGTATTTCTTTCTAATATTTAACCTTTTAATGTGTCTGCAATTTATTTTTGTACATGATGTTATTTAAAAACCATTTTTTCCCTTGCTTTGGTTGCCAATCATCTCTGTGCCATTTGTTGAAAGCTCTATCTTTTGCTCACTGATAGAACAAATTTTCTTTACCATAAACTAAATATCACATACAAATGAATATTTTTATGACTCTCTTGTGTTCTACTAATCTGTCTGTTTCTAAAATAATACTTTAATGATTTAATCTTTCTAGCTTTATAATATGTTTTCATATTGAGTAGAAATCATTCCTTATTTTATCCCAAAAAGTTTTCTATTTCTGTGTATTTTTCTCAGATGACCTTTAGAATTATCTAAAGTTCTATTGATAAATCCTCTTGCAATTTTTATTACAACTTATTAAATATATAATCTATAAATATATAGGTGCTAATGTATAATTTTAAAGTAGTAAATCTTACCTTTTATAAACACAGGATATTTCTCCATTTATTCAGGTATTATCTTTGTTCAGTAAAGTTTTATAGCTTTATTCATAAAGGTTTTGAAAATTTCTTATTAAGTTTATCTGTACTTATTTTGAATTCATTGTTATTATAAATATTTTGACCGTTGCTGGTGAAATTTAACCATTCTTATCTATATCTGCTTTTCTTGTTGAACTCTCTTATTAGGTGTGAAAGCTTCTCAGTTGATTCTCTTTTGATTTCTAAGTAGGCAATCATTATGGCTGCTAATAATGATATTTTTTGCCTTTATTTAATTTTCTTATTATATTGCATTATTAGGAGCCCTGCTTGAATAGTAGTGGTAATAGCATAAATTCTTGTCTTATTCCTGATTGTATTAGGAATGTTTCCAATGTTGCAACATTATGATGCTTACTGTAGATTTATAGTCAATAGCCTTTTCAAGCTAAGAAAGTGTTTTTTTCCTTTGTTTGCTAAAATAGATTTTTAAAAATTAAGGCATGAGTATAAATTTCATTAAGTTATAGTAGCATTAATGAGTCTAGGGGATTGTCCTTAGAATGTTTCTAGGTAATTATATTTAAACCTTTTCTGAAGAATTGCACTTATAATTTTTTCAAATGTTAAATAATTATTTCATTCTTGGAATCAGTTCACGTCTTTATGTTTTATATTTTTGATACCTTTGTATTCTATTTACTAACAATTTATTTAAGACTTTTCACCTCCTTTTATAAATGAGTTATAACATATGGGCTTTTTTTTAGTGCTATTCTTGTATGGCTTAAATATTAGTATGATGCTAACCCTTTTGAGTGAATTAAAAAATTATCCTTTTTTCCTAAAGCTCTCTATGCTTTGGGATAGTGTATAAAGTATCAAAATTTATCATTCCTTGAAATCTACCCAGATCCTTTGCCTTCTTTTGGGAGCAGATCTTTTACCGATTTTTAATTACCATAATTGTCACTAGTATGTTTTAATTTTCTTTTCCTTTGTGATTCAAATTTAGCAATTCACATTTTCCTAGAAAATTGTCTGTCCAATCTATATTCCAATCAATTGTTTTAAACTATTATACTATTTTATTTTAAAATTCCTTTCATGATTCCATTTATGTCATCTTTCTCATTCCTAATATAGTTTGTTTGCATCACCTCTTTTGTCCTTAACCAAACATTTTGTCTATGTTGCATAGAATCTTCTGATTTTATTAAGTCTACTGTTTTGTTTTCTGCTTGTTGTTGCATTTAGATTTTTAATTACTGTTCTTTAAAGGATTTTCTTTATTAATCATGTTTGGCTTCTTTACTTAAATGTTTAGTTTATTCCTCATCTTTCTCCGTATCATATAAGCAGTGCAACAATGTTTTTAATATTATCTTAAGCACCAAGGCTGTAAATATTTCTCTGTTTTGGCTGTTTCAAACAAGTTTTGATATTGCAGATTATAAGCAATATCAGAGATATTTTGGGGTCAATTCCAGATCACTGCAATAAAGCAAATATTGCAATTAAGTAAGTCACACACGTTTTTTGGTTTTCCAGTGCATATAAAAGTTATAATATACTATGCCGTAGTCTGTTAAGTATGCAATAGCATTACGTGTAAAAAATAATGTACATGCCTTAATTAAAAATACTTAATTGCTAAAAAATGCTAACAATCATCTAATCCTTCAGTGAGTCCTAATATTTTTGCTGGTAGAGAGTCTTGACTCCATGTTATTGGCTGCATGTTGATGGCTGCTGACTGGGTCATAGTTGTTGAAAATTGGGGTGGCTGTGTCAGTTTCTTAAAACAAAATAACAATAAAGTTTGTTGTATTGGTTGTTTATTTTCTGAAAGAGTTCTCTGTAGGATGCAATGCCATTTGATAGTATATTACCCACAGTAGCATGTCTTTCAAAATTGAAGTCAACTCTCTCAAACCCTACCACCTTATCAGATACATTTACGTAAGCTTCTAAGTCTTTTGTTGTCACTTCAACAATGTTTACAGCCTCTTCACCAGGCTGAATCCATCTCAAAAAACACCTTCTTTGCTCATCCATAAGAAGCAACTCCTCATCTATTATAGTTCAATTCTGAGATTGCAGCAATTCAGTCACATCTTTAAGTTCCACTTTTAATTCTAGTTCTTTTGTTGTTCACCAGACGTCTCTGCAGTTACTTCCTCTGCTGAAGTCTTGAATCTTTCAAAGTAATCCATGAGGGTTAGAGTCAGCTTCTTCTAAACTTCAATTAATGTGGATATTTTGACCTTTTACCATGAACCATGAATGTTTTTAATAGCATCTAGAATGGTAAATCCTTTCCAGAAGGTCATTTCAATTTACTTTGTTCAGGTCCATCAGAGGAACCATGGTATGTAGCAGCTATAGCCTTACAAAATGTATTTCTTAAATAACAATACTTGAATGTCAAGATTACTCCTTAATCCATGGGCTGCAGAATAGGTGTTGTGTTAGCAGGCATGAAAACATTGTTAATCTCCTTGTACGTCTCCATCAGGGCTCTTGAGTGACCAGGTGCAATGTCAATGAGCATTAATATTTTTAAAGGAATCTGTTCTTCTGAGTAGTGGATATCAATAGTGGGCTTAAAATATTCACCCAACGATGCTCTAAACAGATGTGCTGTCATCCATTTGTGCACAAGGGAGAGTAGATTTGGCATAATTCTTAACGGACCTAGGATTTTTGGAATGGTAAAGGAGCACTGGTTTCAACTTAGTCACCAGCTGGATTAGCCCCTCACAAGACAGTCATTGACTTTTCCTCTTTAGCTATGAGAGCTTTTTGTTTTGGGGGGGTTTGTTGTTGTTGTTGTTCTTTTTTTGAGACAGTCTTGCTCTTCCACCCAGGCTGGAAAGCAGTGGCATGATCATGGCTCACTGTAGCCTTGATCTCCTGGGTTCAAGCGAGTCTCCTACCTCAGCCTCGCAAGTCTCAAGTAGCTGGGATTACAGGCACATGCCCCTACACCTGGCTAATTTTTATATTTTTGGTAGAGACTGGGTTTTGCCATGTTGCCCAGACTGGTCCTCAACTCCTGGGCTCAAGTGATCCTCCTGCCTTAGCCTCCCAAAGTGCTGGGATTATAGGTGTGATCCAACGCACCTGACTCGCTATGGGAGTTTTATATGGCTTCTTCTTCTAATACAGGATAAGGCTGTTTCATCTACATAAAAAATCTATTGTTTAGCATAGTCATGTTCATTAATGATTGTAGGTAGATCTTCTGGATAACTTACTGCAACTTCCCTATCAGCACTTATGGCCTAACCTTGCACTTTTATGTTATGGAGATGGCTTTTTTCCTTAAACCTCATGAACCAAGCTCTGCTAGCTTTAAACTTTTCTTTGCAGCTTCCTCACCTCTCTCACTCTTCACAGACTTAAAGAGTTAGGTTCTTGCCCTGGATTAGACTTTGGCTTAAGTGAATGTTATGGCTGGTTTGACCTTCTATCCTGATCACGTGGACTTTCTCCATATCAGAAATAAGGTTGTTTTGCTCTCATTCTTATCATTTGTGAACACACAAATAACATTTTCAATTTCTCCCAAGAACCTTTCCTTTGCATTCACAACTTGGCTGTTAGGCACAAAAGACCCAGGTTTCAGCTCATGGTGGCTTTTGACATGCCTTTCTCTCTAAGCTTCATCATTTCTAGCTTTTGATTCCAAGTGAGAGACATGAAACTCTTCCTTTCCCTCAAACACTTAGAAGCCATTGTAGGGTTATTAATTGGCCTAACTTCAATATTGCTTTGTGGAAAATAGAGATGCCTAAAAAGAGAGAGAGAGAGATGGGAAATGACCAGTGAGTGGAGTAGTCAGAACACACCCAACATATATAAAGTTTGCCATGTATATGGGACCACTTTGTGGTGCCCCAAAACAATTACAAGAGTCACATTAAAGATTACTGATCATAGATCACCACTACAAATATAATAATAACAAAAAGTTTGAAATATTATGAAAATTACCAAAATGTGACACAGAGACATGAAATGGGCACATGATGTTGGATAAATGGCACTGATAGACTTGCTCGATGCAGGGTTGCCACAAAACTTTAATATGCTAAAAAATGCAATATCTGTGAAGCACAATAAAACAAGTCCCCCCGAAAATGAGGTATGGCTGCATTTCTAAAAGTTTTTAATTTCTGCTGTTAACTTCTTCTTTAATATAAGTTACTAATGGGGTAATTTATTAGTATTATTTTATTTTAATTTTTACTTTTATTACACTGTGCCCAAAGAATATAACTGCTTGGGACTTATTGAGAAATTTTTTGTAGGTAATATAGTCAATTTTAAATGTTGACTGAGCAAAAATAATGTGTATTCTCTGAATGGGGGTTATACCAAATTTTGTGTTTACTATATATTCAGGTTTGTGAATGTGGATTGACTGAAAATAGTGTGTATCCTCTGATTTGTGGTATCTCAACACAGAGCAATCATTTGTGCTACTTAATTTGTTTTATATCAACTTGATCTGTTGATTTCTGAAGAACATATGTTAAAGACACATTAGATGATTGTCAATATGTGGATTTTTTATTTTAACCATATCAGTTTTTATGTTACATATTTTGAAACTATCATCATGATTTTAATAATATTCTTGATAAATTATACCCTTTTGTCAATACGAGATATCCTTCTTTGGTTCATAAAGTGCTTCATGCACTAAAGATTATCTGGTAATCAAATTCTGGTCCAAATCTCCGGTAACTTGTCCAAAGTCTCAGAGGTGGACCTGTTGTTGGACTTTCAACTCCATTCTTTTAACTTTAATTCCTGAGTTCTCTGCACAAGACAGTCCTCTATTTATAAATAGGGGAAAGTTGAATGACTTTCCCAGGAAACATTTTTTTTTTCTCTCCAGGCAGATATGGCAATTTTCATTTGTTCATTATGGTGTGTTGATATTTAAGACATCTTAGAAATATGAATTAACTCTGGCAACACACAGTAGTTTTCTGACAAGATGGAATGGAAACCAAAGAAAACAAAGCAGGAAAATAAATATAGCCTAAGAAGAAAATAGAAGCAATGTTTTGTCATTCACTTTTCTTTCATAGTCTTTTGCAGGTGGAGCCTTCACAATACTAAAGAAATTTTAAAAAAATACTTATTGCAGTCTAAAATGAGACTAATAATGTTGCATCTTATCCTTAAGACTCAACTTCTTTTAATTAATAATTTACACTGAAAATCCACACACCTTTAGATAATATATTAGGGAAGAAAGAATTAATAGTTTAAAGCTGTGCTTCCTTTTCTTCCTGACAAGTCTCCTTCCTTCTATCCTCCTTGTAGCATAAACCAGAATCACCTAGAGAGCTCCTTAAAATGAAGATCACTGGATTCCATCCCCAGAGTTTTTGATCAGTGGATTTAGGGTGGGGCCTAAGAATTTGCATTTCTAAGAAGCTGCTAGGTAGTCCTGATGCTGCTGGCTTAGGATCCACACATTGAGAGCTACTGTTCTTAAGTAATAGCAGTTTTATTTGGGTATACAACCATGAAAGACTTCCTTTCCCAGTGTCTCTTGCAACTGGGTATGCCATGTACCTGAGTCCCAGCCAACGCATTGTGAGTGAAACAGATGTTCTCTCAACATCTAGGTCACAATTAAAGGCAAGGCAGCATGCCCTCTCTTTCCCTTTCTGTCTTCCTGCAGCCATGGGGCTGAGCCATTTTTGACTCTGGAAAGGTAGGAAGTACCATGCAAATAACAGAGTCCTGACGCTGTGTTATCATTTTACCAGTCCTGATCACAACCTAAACTGCTTTGGGAAATAATAATCTGTCTTTTCTAAGCCATTGCTGTTTAGGACCTCTTATGACTGCAACCTAGACTAATCCTAACAAACACACAAAGATTTTGGTGTTTTAGAATCTACTTTCAATACATCAGCCAGAGCGATTCTTTTAAACTGTAAATCAGATCTATGCGCTTCTCTATTTTAAAGATGAGCTCTCACTCCAGAATAAAAGCCAAAGTCATTACACTGGTCCAGGAAGTTCCATAACCATCAGCTACCCTTCATCTCCTACTTCTCCCACCCTTGCTGACTCTGTTCCAGCTACATGGGCTAGCTCGCTGTTCACAGCACATCCCACCAGTCATACTTCTGCACTCAACTTCCTCCTTCAC
Source organism: Homo sapiens (assembly GCF_000001405.40). Lineage (NCBI taxonomy): Eukaryota > Metazoa > Chordata > Mammalia > Primates > Hominidae > Homo > Homo sapiens. The sequence goes on along the minus strand of NC_000008.11, from coordinate 90,427,979 downwards.
CTCCTTCAGGTCTTGCAGCAGCACCTTCTCAGTAAGGCCTTCCCCACCTGATCTGAGAGACCAAAATAGATGCCCCTTTACAAACTAAGATGGACTTTAAGGTTAAAGAAACAAAATGCTACCTATGGGTCAGGGGTTTAGGGCCTTGCTGACATGGCAAATTTCTAAATCCCTACAAGAAAAACCACACTCTTGTTAAACTCCCTAACAATCGGAGCTATCAGGTATCTAACAAATTGTCAGAACTGATTTACAACCCAGATCACTCCAACTCTTACTGGACAGAGGACTAGCCTTATATGTTTTTCTGATAAGCAACTGACCTCTAGACAGTTTTGGCCAGTTTATAAAGGCTACACACAAACTGTCTTTGTGTCCTATATTTCACCTTTTGATGTAAAGAACCAAAGTCCACTTCACTTTAATGCTAAATCCCAAAATGAACCTGGGATGTATGTTACATATATCTTTATCCATTGCACATGTGCTCAGCTACCTTTATAAATTTGTATCGCTTTTAGCCCAAACGTACTGAATATGTATGACTCTATTGTCTAATACAGAGCTTCTGAGGCATAAAACCCAATCTGTGTTTCCCCTCTTCAAACAGAAAGCACCTTGAGTACATTTTGGAGAATTTCTTTTCCTGGTTTGCAAGCTGATATCACAAATGAAGCTCTCTTTTTTACTATTTAGCCATCCTGGTGGTCTTTCAAATGACATCGAACTACCCCTATTTAAAATGATAATGGTAATTGTTTTCTCTCCCCTGGTGCTGCCTATAATCCTTCCCTGGTCTATTTTTCTCCATATCACCTGTCACCTTCTGAGACTATGTATGGTTTATTTATATTATTTAATGTCTAGAGAATATCCTACTTCTCTAGAATATAGCTCCTGGAGGGTGGGGACTTTTGCCTGTTTTGTTCACTGCTATGTCCCAGAACCTACTATATATAACCTGGAACATATGATGAGTGCTCAAATAATAATTAATGAATACATTCTTTAATTCAGGCATCAATGAATGAATAAAAATATAACAAGTGGGATTCAGCATTGCATGATGAGAAGCAATTTTACATGGAAACACAAAAGTCCTTGAATAATCAAAGCAATCCTGAGCAGAAAGAACAAAGCTGGAGCCATCACACTACCTGACTTCAGAATATACTACAAAGTTATAATAACCAAAACAGCATGGTACTGGCATAGAAGTAAACAGGCACACAGACCAATGGAGCACAATTTTTAAAGCTAAGAAATAAATCCATGTATTTTCAGCCAACTCATTTTTGACAAAGGTACCAAAAACATATAGTAGGGAAAGGACACCCTTTTCAGTAAATAGTGCTGGAAAAACTGGATATCCACATGCAAAAAGAATAAAAACTAGACTTCCATCTCTTACCATATGCAAAAACCAGGCCAGGCATGGTGATTCATACTTGTAATCCCAACACTTTGGGAGGCCTCACTGGCATGGCAAATTTCTAAAATTAATTTTTACCATTCCTGACCCATCTCAAAGTTAGTTTTCCCAGTATGGGTTTCCAGAACAACCTCTATCAGGATCACCTGTTGTGCTTTAAAAATTTCATATTCCCATTTCTCCCAGATCTACTGAATGGGGGGGCTCTGAAGGAGTGGAGCCTAGGAATCTGTATGCAATAAGTTTTCCCAGTTTTTATTATGCATGTTAATATTTGAGAATGATATATAAAGTCTTATCAAGTTTTGATTACTCACTCTTCAGACAATGTGGCTAAACAGGGTCACAGTGCTACAGGCATGAGTTATCTGAAGCAAAAGTTTCTCAGGGTGCTTTTGATTTCCTCACTAAGAAATGAAGACTTGAGCCTGAACTCAACTAAATCTGTATAACCCTCTGGAAAAACAGATACCAAGCATTACATGCTTATTTGTGTCAAATATTACATTTAGATAAGCATAAAATTAAGATGAGATCATTTAAGAACATACAGCTAGAACCAAGTTAACAAAAAAACTTCTATTTAAATAGATGCTGAAAAAGCATTTGATAAAGTTTGACATACCTTCATGATTAAGAGGTCTCCACAAATTGGGTATAGGAGGAACATACCTCAAAATAATAAAGGTCATATATGACGAACCCACAGCTAACATCACACTGAATGGGGAAAAATTGATAGCCTTTCTTCTAAGATCTGGAATAAGATAAGGATGCCCACTTTTTCCACTTTTATTCAACATAGTATTTACTGGAAGTCCTAGTCAGAGCAATTAGGCAAGAGAAAACAACAAAAGGCATCCAAATTGGAAAGGAAGAAATCAAATTATTCCTAGTCACAGATGACATGATTCTATATTTAGAAAACCCTAAAGATTCCACACACAAAAACTGTTAGCACTGATAAAGTATTTAGTAAATTTGTGAGATACAAAATCAACATACAAAAATCAGCATGGGCCTGATGGCTCACGCCTGTAATCCCAGCACTTTGAGAGGCCAAGGTAGGCAGCTCACTTGAGCCCAGGAATTGGAGGCCAGGTTGGGCAACATGGTGAAATGCCACCTCTACAAAAAATTTCAAAAATTAGCCAGGCATGTTGCCACACCCCTGTGGTTCCAGACACTTGAAAGGCTGAAGTGGGAGGATGACCCAAGCCTGGGAGTTCAAGGCTGCAGTGAGATGAGATCACACTACTGCATTCCAGCCTGAGCATTGGAGTGAGACCCTGTCTCAAAAAAAAAAAAATTTAAAAAATTTAAAAAAAATCAGTAGCATTTCTATACACCAACAGCAAATGACCTGAAAAAGAAATTGAGAAAGCAATCTCATTTATGATAGCTATAAAAAGTTTAAAAAACTGGACATACATTTAACCAAAGAAGTGAAAAAAAATCCCTACAATTAAACCTATAAAACACTGGTGAAAGTAATTGAAGAGAACACATCAAATAAATGGAAAGATATCCTATGCTCATGGATTAGTATTGTTAAAATGTCCTTACTACCCAAAGCAATCTATAGATTCACTGTAATCACCATCAAAATACCAATGACATTCTTCAAGAAAAAAGAAAAAAATGCTAAAATTTACATGGAACTGCAAAAGTCCTTGAGTAATCAAAGCAATTCTGAGCAGAAAGAACAAAGCTAGAGCCATCACACTACCTGACTTCAAAATATACTACAAAGTTATAGTAACCAAAACAGCATGGTGCTGGCATAAAAACAGACAGACACACAGACCAATGGAACACAATTTTTAAAACTCAGAAATAAATCCATGCATTTTCAGCCAACTCATTTTTGACAAAGGTACCAAAAACATGTATTAGGGAAAGGACACCCTTTTCAGTAAATAGTGCTTCCATCTCTTACCACATGCAAAAATCAGGTTAGGCATGGTGGTTCATACGTGTAATCCCAACACTTTGGGAGGCCGAGGTGGGAGAGGATTATTTGAGCCCAGGAATTTGGAAAACCAGCCTGGGCAACATAGCAAGACCCTGTCTCAAGAAAAATTAAAATATTTTTAAAAAATCATTAAGCAGGAGCGATGGCACATTCCTGTAGTCCCAGCTACTCAGGAGGCTGAGGTGGGAGGATTGTATGACTCCAGGAGGTCAAACTTGCAGTGAGCTGTGATAGCACCCCTGTACTCCATCCTGGGTGACAGAGTGAGAATCTACCTCTGAAAAAAACAAAATAAATCAAAATGGATTAAGACTTAAAGGTAAGACCTAAAACTATGAAACTACTAGAAGAAAACACTGGAGAAACATTCCGGGACATTGGTCTAGGCAAAGAATTTTTAAAAAAATAAGACCTCAAAAGCACAGGCAACAAAATCAAACATAGACAAATGGGATTACATTGAGCTAAAAAGCTTTTGCACAGCAAAGAAAACAATCAGCAGAGTGAAGAGACAACCTACAGAATTGGGGAGGGGGAGGAATATGCAAACTATCCATTTCATAAGGGATTAATAACCAGATTACATAAAGACATCTAACAACTCAATAGCAAAAAGCCACAAATAATTTGATTTAAAACAGGGAAAATGATCTGAATAGACATTTCACAAGAGAAGACATACAAATGGCCAACAAGTGTAGGAAAAAATGTTCAACATCATTAATCGTCAGGGAAACGAAAACCAAAACCTCAATGAGATATTATCTCACCTGTTAAATGGCTACTTTCAAAAACACAAAAAGTAATAAATGTTGGCAAGGATGTGGAGAAAGGGGACCACTCATACACCGTTGCTGGGAATATAAATTAGTATAGCCACTATGGAAAATAGTATGGAGGTTTCCCAAAAATCTGAAAACACGCCTACCATATGATCCAGCAATTCCACTGCTGGGTATATACCCATAAGAAAATAAGTCAGTACATCAAAGAGATTTGCATTCTCATGTTTATAACAGCAGTATTCACAATGGTCAAGATATGGAGTCAATCTAAATATTTGTCAATGGATGACTGTTAAAGAAAATGTGATATGTATACACAGTGGAATATCATTCCTCCACAAAAAAGGAATAAAATCTGTAATTTGCAGCAACATGAATGGAAATAGAGTCATTATGTTAAGTGAAATAATTCAGGCACAGAAAGACAAGTATCACACGTTCTCACCCAAATAGGGGAGCTAAGTTGATCTCAAGGAGGTAGAGAGTAGAATGATGTTTACTAGAGGCTGAGAAGGGTAGGGAGAAGGGAGGGATGAATAGAGGTTGGTTAATGGAAACAAAAATATAGTCACACAGAAGAAATAAATTCTACCATTTGATAGCACAGTAGGGTAACTATAGTCAACAATAATTTATTTGTATATTTCAAAATAGCTAGAATAAATGATTTAGAATGTTTCCAACACAAAGAAATGATAAATGTTTGAGATGATGATATCCTAATTACCCTGATTTCATCATTACACATTGTATGAAAATGTGTCAAAATATCACATATATCCCTAAATAGATACAATGATTATGTATCAATAAAAATTAAAATTAGAAAAAAGCAGAAGAGGAAGGCAGAAGAGCCCTTCAGAAGTATGTGGAGGAGAAGGTGAAGCAGGAGAGATAAGGTAGAAAAGGAGAGCAGAGCAGAGAGAAGTGTTAGAAGAACTCTACCTACCATTTCTATGCAGGCAGACTCTAGTAGCTGGGAATGACCCCCAGGCAATAGCCAGCAAGGAAACAGGGACTTCCGTCCTTCCATTGCATACAGCTGAATTCTGCCAATATCTTTTTCTTTTCTTTTTTTCTTTTTTTGAGACGGAGTCTCGCTCTGTTGCCCAGGCTGGAGTGCAGTGGCGCAATCTCAGCTCACTGCAAGCTCTGCCTCCCAGGTTCATGCCATTCTCCTGCCTCAGCCTCCCAAGTAGCTGGGACTACAGGCGCCCGCCACCACGCCTGGCTAATTTTTTTGTATTTTTAGTAGAGATGGGGTTTCACTGTGTTAGCCAGGATGGTCTCCATCTCCTGACCTCATGATCCGCTAACCTCGGCCTCCCAAAGTGCTGGGATTACAGGCGTGAGCCACTGCGCCCGGCCTGATCCATGAAAATTGAGAGAGAATAAATGGGTGTTTTAAACAAAAGAAAATAAAAATTCTTTATATAAAAAGCCAAAAAAAAAAAAAAAGAAAAGTAGCATTTTAAATTTCATTTCTTCTCAGCAATCCCTGAGACACTTCATCTATCCTGGCTGGTTCCACTCCAGCTCTGACTGGGGAGCAAGTGTAGCAGGAGTTTCCATTCACCACATGGTATAGATTTGTATTAGTTCTGTTGCCAAAGGCCTGGTATCCTCTCTGCTCACAATCTTCCTTTGACCACCCCCAATCATGTTGGCCAATTCACATGACCTGTCCCTCTGAGTATCCAGATTCTAACTGGGGTTCTGAATTGAAGATGTTGACTATTGTAGCTATAGTGTTACTTGATCTAATGTATCACTGGGGCCTGAAAACTCCTGGTTTGCAGTTGAAACCTTTGGATGTTGACACAGCCACAGGCTCATATCAGGAGCAAGATCACCAATATGTTCTCTGGTTCTCAGGCAACCTTCCCCAGAGCATCTGCTCAACAGCAAGGTCAGTTTCCCCAACCCTAATTCTACATGTTTCTGGCTTCTTCCCCTTTCATGCTAGAACAAACTCCTGGGATCCCATAGTCTTTCTGGCTGAATCCAGCTGAGTATGACATGTTTTGCTTACCAAGGGAATGCTTAGGGTTATTGACAAAGATACAACGTCAGAACCCGACCTCAAGTGAAATGAGTTAGAATGAGGAAAGCAGAACCAGGGGATTTAAGCAAACTAGGAACTCTGATTAAAAGCAGTTGTGTATCTGAGTTCTACCCCAAAGGATAGTGCCTCTATTTGAGGGATGATTATGGAGAAATGTGAGTTGGAATAAAGACTCAAAAGAGCAAAGTCAGCTTATGGGGAAAGGGGGCAGCAAGATGCCAGTATCATTAGCTAAAAGACCAAGCTGATGTCAAAGCCAGGGTGTCTCCAAGGCCAGAGTGGCCTGGTTCTTGATAGTAATTGCTGGGATCAAAACATATAGTGTCAGACAGATGTAGAATCAGATATAAGTGGTGTTGTCTTAAGGATCCCAAGGATGGAAGTGTCACAGTGAGTAGAACTCAGGGTAACAAAGGTGAGAATAAGCTCAGTGACCCACAGGTAGGAAGTCCCAAGTTGGCATGGCAGCAGGCAGGTGAGATGGGATGCTTCATACCCTCTGGTCCCAGAGTGGAGCTTTGGGTAAAACCCAATTTGAAATTTGAGGGATCCACATAGGAAGGTTTAGTCTACAAGAAGCAGCCCTTTTCTAATAACTACTGAAAAGTAAGACCTATAAAGACAAGCACAGGAATGCAAATCCATTCAACTGACTGAGGATTTAACATGGTCAGCTTTATACATAATCCCAATTGGATTTTTTTTTTTTTTTTGAGATAGAGTCTTGCTCTGTCTCCTAGGCTGTAATGCAGTGGTGCAATCTCCATTCACTGCAACCTATGCATCCCTGGTTCAAGCAATTCTCCTGCCTCAGCCTTCCAAGCATCTGGGACTACAGGTGCCCACCACCACATCTGGCTAATTTTTATATTTTTTTAGTAGAGACAGGGTTTCACCATGTTGGCCAGGCTGGTCTCGAACTCCTGACCTCAAGTGATCCACCCACCTTGGTCTCCCAAAATGCTGGGATTACAGGCATGAACCATCATGTCTGGCCCCAGCTGGAAATACTAACATAAATTTGTGGCACCCTATTGGGAACATTTGGATCACACTGGAGGACAAAGTTATTAACATTATTTTTCCTAGAGCCTCTGCTTCTCCTCTGTAAAATGAATGTTTTTCACAAGTTTGCTATGAGTATCAAATGAAATATGTTTATGAAAATCCTTCTCATCCAGAGGTAGGTTATTCTCTTTATGATTTTTATATGTTATGGTTATGGATGGATGAGGAAGAAAACATGTGGATATCATGGAATGTTTTCGGAAATGTAAGGAACAGTGGGGTGGAACTAAGCCAGCTGGACTAGAAAATTTATCCTGAGGCAATAGGTAATTTACAAAGCAGTGCTGACCAATGTCAAAGATGGCAGCCAGGGCTAACATACATGGAAGCTGCCTAAAGCATAAGGACAAAGACCAAGGCAAATCTATACATGGAAAAACCGTCTGAGAGCCGGAACTGGTGTCAGAAATAAATTTGAAAACAAACACAAGATGAGCTCTGGTCAAGGCAGACCCTGAAAACATTTTGGGGGCATCGGGGACCATGTTTTTGTGATGCCAGCTCTGTGATTTTGATAGGGACAGGAGGCAGAGAAATTCTGGGCAGAAGAGTGTGGGTCCCCGACATGGTCCCCACCCTCAAACTGAAAAGCCTGACACTGTGGCCCAAAGTGAAGACTTACATCCCTGTTTTCTTGCTCGAATGTTGCCTTTTCCAAAACCACCCATGGCCTGCCCTTCCCCGCATCCTGTGCCCATAAAAACCCCAGGCTCAGCTGATAGAGGAGAAGCAGCTGGACATTGGAGACTGTGGTTGGATGTCAGAGAGAAGCGGCTTGACATCAGAGGGACAGTTCCCAGCCGGACTTCAGGAGAAGATTGCTTTCCCACTCCATCCCTTTTTCAGCCCCCACCTTTTCACTGAGAGTCACTTTCATTGGCAATAAAATCCTCCGCTTTTACCACCTTCATTCCTCCTGGATGCCGGACAAGAACTTGGGTGTCACCTGTGTGGGTGCAAGAGGCTGTCACACTGACCCTCCACTGAGCTATTAACACTTAAGCCATCCACAGACAGCAAAACTAAACAGGCACTTCTACACTTCCTCTGGGGCTTCAGGGGTCGCAGGCACCCTCTTCTAGATGCTCCTAGATGCTGCTGAGGGACCACTACAGAGTTTGTTCTTGCCGGCACCCAAAAATGCTCACCCTAGCTCTTGCACCTGCTCACCTACGCTCCCCCTCCCACAAGGGGTAGACCAGTGAGTGAGTGGAGTGAGTGGAGTTCACCCCTGACAGTGCCTGTGCACTCCAGTTCCCACCAGCAAAGGGGTCAGGGAAATATCCTGCTTCAGTTTGGGTCAGGTCTGCTGGATTTATGAGGCCTTAGACATTCAGACATGCTGTAATGAACATCATCCTGATTATTCCAAGCTGCTATTGGTTTATACTTGTCGTTCCAGTATAATAATTCTACTTTCTAATGGCTTCTGGGAAGTTGAGAATGTGTGGGAAAATTGAGATCAGATTTAGAAGAGAACACCAGAAAAGATTGCAAAGGGAGCAAGAAACACAGGTGAACCAGGAAAAACCCCCACCCATTCCACTGGATTTAAGATATGTTGGATGATGTTTTAGGCCTCAATGATATTATCTGTCCTAGAGCCAGCATGTATTTTCCAGAGTGAGCAAATATTTTCTCCTCATATTCTGTGATGCTCTGCTTGGATTTGGAAATGTCCCAGTCAGTACCTAACAGGGCGCTAAAAAGTTTAAGAATAAACAGCAGTTTAACATAACTTTAAAAGTTAAAAGAGGTTTTCTGTTTGTTTGTTTGTTTGTTTGTTTGTTTGTTTAGTAGCCCTATACCTGTTTCCATGTTGGCCATTCAGAGGCACCACCTTGAGTGGTTCTGACAGCTCATTTGGACTACCTGAGCCTACCGATAATTTGTCTGCAATGTTGGCTTCTTCCAGAGGCATTCAATCAAGAATTTGCACTGTGGGGAGGTCATGGAAAACCAGAACAATAAAAGCAAAGGATGGATTGGGTTAAAAGGCAAGGTTAGGGAAATTGTATTCATAATAGGAGAAAACAGTTCAGGATATGAAAACAGGCTGAAGATCTATACCAGGTTGACACAGAAGGTGATGCAGAAATGATTAAACATGAATCAAAGGCAAATAGATACTGTAAGTTGCAATATGTCACATAGTGTGTGGTCCTGCACTCTGCTCAATAATTTATTTCTCACTTGGATGAGGGCACAGATATCTAAGACATTTATTTTTTTCCCTCATACTATTCCAGTCCTTTGGCATGTGCTTGGTTTTGTGTAATTCACACTAACTTTGTTAACGAAGTCACAGAGGTTCATCCTGTCCACCTCCTGGCATCTATGGAATCCACAGCCTTGGCCTGTCAAAGCCTCAGAGATTCAGGCTCCATCTCTGTCCCCTCCAGGCCTAACCCTATCTATTTTATATAGCAGAGCATCAAAAGTGAATGTCTGTTATCTTTGCAACAGTATGTGAGGATACTTAAAATTGATACTTGGTGAAGGAACTTCATCCCTTCCAGTGACATGGTTATTTATTGAATCTTTCATTTAATTCTGTGCTGAGTCATGTATTGCTCCAGCCAGGTAGGTCTTTAAACTAGGACTGACCCTCAGGCACAATCTTGGCATTGAAAAGCCCTGTTGTATGAGGACAGGGTATTTGAGTGCAATGCTGGATGAAAGTATATGAATAGAGTATACCCAGAGACAGAGCCCCAAAACTCAACTCGGAGAACCTCTTCTTGTCTTGTAATTTCTAATGGACTGCATTCTTCATTTGCTGAACACTTTCTAAGAAATTTGAAGCTGAGTATGATTCTCCACTTTGTGGGAGACTGATGAAAAGCTTTGAGGCAGGCAGTAAAGAGAATTGGCGAGAGAATGTGTACCAAAGCACATTATTAGGGGATTTCATGAGTGTAAGAAAGTGCTTTTCTGTCTTTTATCCACCTTTTTTTTTAACAACCTTATAAAACAAAGCAGATGAGAAACAGAAATACAGAAAACACTTCCACAGGCTCTGAGACTTAAGTAAGCATCTTAGCTAAGTTACTCAGTTAGAGATTCATGATGACAAGATTTACTCTGTATTTTTAAATTTAATTTACATTATTAATTTTTTCTTGATTTTAAGCTTTTGAAGCCTGAAATCTGTAAACAGAGCTCTGAGATCTTCCACAAACCAGGGATGAATATCAGGACTTCCTGGGGGCACTTTCAAAATGGAGATGCTTCGGTCTCACTCCACACCTCCTAAATCTAAACTCCCAGAAGACCTCACCTTTACAGAGTGCCTCAGGCGACTCTGATGGGTTGCAGAGTGAAGAACCATTAAACTATACCATGTCACCAAAAACAAGAAGAAAACCAGTAGAAATGACTATATGCAGTTATTTTTCTGTCATTTTCTAAGATTAAAGATCCTTATGACAAGAACAGTTTCCCTTCTCTCAGATAAAGTATATTTAAGGTTAAGTATCTAGAATAACGAATGTAAATATATCTTATTCTAGGAATAGATCTCAGAAATGCTGACTCCTTAGCCTAGTAAAAAAAATATATATGTAGAAAGTTGAACTTAGATTCAGCCACACTTACAGTAAATAATAGCAATGAGTTGATGTGTTATTGAAGCTGACCAGTTGGCTGGATATAGCCAGGAGGGTGTCTTGCAATAGTTTTTATGTGCTCTGGAGAACCTTTTTTGTTTCAACCCACCATAGTTGAAACAAATTTTAAAATATATTAATCACTCTTTGTAGTTCCCTGTAATGGTTAATACTGAGTGGCAACTTGATTGGATTGAAGGATGCAAAGTATTGATCCTGAGTGTGTCTGTGAGGGTGTTGCCAAAGGAGATTAACATTTGAGTCAGTGGAGTGGGAGAGGCAGACCCACCCTCAATCTGGGTGGGCACCATCTATCAGCTGTCAGTGAGGCTAGGATGAAAGCAGGCAGAGGAACGTGGAAGGACTAGACTGGCTAAGCCTTCTGGCCTCCATCTTTCTTCTGTGCTAGATGCTTCCTGCCCTCGAACATCAGATTCCAAGTTCTGCTTTAGGACTCTTGGACTTACAACGGTGATTTGCCAGGGGCTCTCAGTACTTCAGCCTCTGACTAAAGGCTGCACTGTTGGCTTCTCTACTTTTGAGTTTTGGGACTCAGACTGGCTTCCTGGCTCCTCAGCTTGCAGACGGCCTATTGTGGGACTTCACCTTGTGATCATGTGGGTCAATTTCCCTAATAAACTCCCCTTCATATATTCATCTATCCTATTAGATCTGTCCCTTTAGAGGACCCTGACTGATACCGATTTTGGTACCAGGAGTGGTTCTAGAGGAAAAGAATTTTGAGGATGGAGTTCTTTAGTTGGTTTTGGGTTTTCTGGAGTTGGCTGCTTAATCCGCTTAACCTGATTCAACCCAAAAATGCTAAGGACTCTATGTGTTTTTTGTTTGTTTTTCATTTTTGGGTTTTTTTTTTTTTTTTTTTTTTTGAGACAAGGTCTCACTCTGTCACCCAGACTGGAATGCAGTGGTATGATCTCAGCTCACTGTAACCTCTGCCTCCTGGGTTCCAGTGATTCTCCTGCTTCTGTCTCCCTAGTAGCTGGTATTACAGGCGCCCGCCACCACGCCCGGATAATTTTTGTATTTTTAGTAGAGACAGGGTTTCACCATGTTGGCCAGGCTGGTGTCAAACTTCTGACCTCAGGTGATCTGCCTGCCTCGGCCTCCTAAAGTGCTGGGGTTACAGGCATGAGCCACCACACCCGGCCAGAGACTTTACTTCTAATAGTATGGAGAACACTGATAGTCATTGGTGTGAACCATTTAGAGAGTTATGCAAAATAAATGTATTCGATACTCCTGTTTCACTGCTTGTGAGAGGCAAGGAGTTTGGTGACTCTATACATAATACCTTTGACCATACATAGAGGACCAAGGAATATAATGAAGTTGGTTGGTTGCTCCTAAATTCACTGCACAATGTGATGAAAGAAAAGGATGAACTCAGAGATTCTAACTCCTAGCTCCAGAAGCCCATACTGAGCCTCAAATCTTCTAAGATTGCCCTGGGTGAGAATTTTATCTCCTGTAGAGAAAGAGCTGAAATTGTGGAAAATCATGAACTCATCATGCGAGTGGCTGACCTGCAATGAAAAGTGCATGCACAGCCTCACCAGATGTCTACTGTTAAAGTGGGGGCATTGACTGGAAAAAAATTGGGACCCTGCAACTTAAAATGGGGATGTGTGGGAGGACCCTGGTGCAGCTGGGGACACTGAGCTTGTAAGCTCTGATGAGCCTTTTTTGCCAGAGGAAACAGCCTCCCCACCCCCAGTAGTGGCAACATCCCCTCCCTGACTCACACTGCCATCAGCCTTTCCACCTTTGTCTGATGAGATTAACCATGCACTGCCTGCGGCAACAGTGATGGCTGCTTAATCTGCTTAATCTGATTCGACCCAAAAATGCTAAGGACTCTATGTGTTTTTTGTTTGTTTGTTTTTTGTTTTTTGTTTTTTGGGTTTTTTTTTTTTTTTTTTTTTTGAGACAAGGTCTCACTCTGTCACCCAGACTGGAATGCAGTGGTATGATCTCAGCTCACTGTAACCTCTGCCTCCTGTGTTCCAGCGATTCTCCTGCCTCTGTCTCCCTAGTAGCTGGTATTACAGGCGCCCGCCAGGCAAGTGGGCAGTTGCCTGGCAAGACAATGTTGATTCTCCTCAGGACCCACCCCCACCACCCCTGTTTGCTTCTAGACCTATAGCTAAAATCCCAGAAAGCCCCTAGAGGGGAGGTTCAGAGTGTGACCCACGAGGAGGTGTGCTACACTCCAAAAGAATTGCCTGAGTTTTCTAATTGATATAAGCAGAAATCTGGAGAACAGGCATAGGAATGGATATTAAGGGTATGGGATAATTGTGGAAGGAACATAATGTTGGATCAGGCTGAATTTATTAATTTGGGACCAACAAGCAGGGATTCTGCATTTAATGTTGCAGCTCAGGGAGTTATAAAGAGGCTGTAATAGTTCATTTGCTTCTTTAGCTAAATATGGATCAAAAGATGGCCCACTGTGAGCAAGCTGAAAATGCCTGATCTCCCTTGGTTTAATGTAGAGGAAAGAATCCAAAGGCTTAGGGAGATTGGGATGCTAGAGTGGATTAGTCACTTTAGACCTACTCATCCCAGCTGGGAGGGTCCAGAAGACATACCCTTTACCAACACTTTGTGAAATAGATTTGTGAGGGCAGCACCTGCCTCCTTGAAGAGCTCTGTGATTGCTCTTCTCTGTATGCCAGATCTAACAGCAGGAACCACAGTCACTCAACTACAAAATTTAAATGCAGTGGGAATAATTGGATCCCAAAGTGGCAGGGGACAAGTGGTGGCACTCAACCATCAAAGGCAAGGTGGGCATAGTTACCATAATGGACAGCAGAGGCAAAGCAGCAATTAAAATAGTCTGACTCATGTAGAGCTCTGGCATTGGCTAATTAATCACGGTGTTCTAGAAGTGAAGTTGATAGGAAGCCTACTGCATTCTTACTTAATTTATATAAGCAGAAAACTTCCAGGTCGACTGGAGAAAAGACAGTTTGAATTATAAAAACAGAGAATCATAGCCCCTCAATCAATTTCCAGACTTCAACCAGTTCACAGACCCAGAACCCCTTGAATGAAGGGGAGACCAGGTCCCCTTGAGGAAGGACCCCACTACACTACTGACAATTTATGCTGTTAATCTTTCTTCCATCCTTCCTCAAGGAGACTTCCGGCCTTTTACCAAGGTAACTGTGCATTGGGGAAAGGGAAATGATCAGACGTTTTGGGGACTACTGGACACTGGCTTTGAGCTGAGGTTGATTCCAGGGGACCCAAAACGTCATTGTGGTCTCCAGTTAAAGCAGGGGCTTATGAAGGTCAGGTAATTAATGGAGTTTTAGCTGAGGTCCAACTTTCAGTGGGCCCAGTGGGTCCCCAGACTCATCCTGTCATCATTTCCCCAGTACCAGAATGCATAATTGGCATAGACATATTTAGTAGCTGGCAGAACCCCCCCATTGGCTCCCTGACTGGTAGGGTGAGGGCTATTATGGAGGGAAAGGCCAAATGGAAGCCATTAGAGCTGCCTCTATCTATAAAAATAGTAAATCAAAAACAATAAGGAATCCCTGCAGGGATTGCAGAGATTATTGCCACCATCAAGGACTTGAAAGACGCAAGGGTGGTGATTCCCATCACATCCTTCATCAACTCTCCTATTCAGCCTGTGCAGAAGGCAGATGGATCTTGGAGAATGACAGTGGATTATTGTAAACTTAACAAAGTGGTGACTCCAATTGCAGCTGCTGTACCAGATGTGGTTTCATTGCTTGAGCAAATTAACACATCTCCTGGTACCTGGTATGCAGCCATTTATTTGGCAAATGCCTTTTTCTCCATTCCTGTCCATAAGGTCCACCAGAAGCAATTTGCCTTCAGCTGGCAAGACTAGCAATATACTTTTACTGTCCTACCTCAGGGGTATATCAACACTCTGGCTTTGTGTCATAATCTTGTTCAGAGAGATCTTGAGCACTTTTTCCTTCCATAAAATATCACATTGGTCCATTACATGGATGACATTATGCTGACTGGATCCAGTGAGTGAGAAGTAGCAAACACACTGGACTTATTGCTGAGACATTTGCTTACCAGAGGATGGGAAATAAATCCAACTAAAATTCAGGGACCTTCTACCTCAGTAAAACTTCTAGGGGTATTGTGGTGTGGGTTCTCTCAAGATATTCCTTCTAAGTTGAAGGATAAGTTGCTGCATTTGGTTCCTCCTAAAAGCAAGAAAGAGGCACGACACCTAGCGGGCCTATTTGGATTTTTGAAGCAACACATTCCTCATTTGGTTATGTTACTCCAGCGCATTTATCAAGTGATCCAAAAGACTGCCAGTTTTGAGTGGGGTCCAGAACAGGAGAAGGCTCTGCAACAGGTCCAGGCTGCTGTGCAAGCTGCTCTGCCACTTGAGCCATATGATCCAGCAGTTCCAATGGTGCTTGAGGTGTCAGTGACAGATAGGGATGCTGTTTGGAGCCTTTTACAGGCCCCTATAGGTGAATCACAGCAGAGGCCTCTAGGATTTTGGAGCAAAGCCCTACCATCTTCTGCAGATAACTACTCTCATTTTGAGAGACAGCTCTTGTTCTGCTACTGGGTTTTGGTAGAAACTGAATGTTGACTATGGATCATCAAGTCACCATGCAACCTGAACTGCCTATCATAAACTGGGTGCTCTCTGACCCATCTAGCCATAAAGTGGGGCATGCACAGAAGCACTTCTTTGTCAAATGGAAGTGGTATATATGTGATTGGGCTTGAGCAGGTCGTGAAGGCACAAGTAAGTTACATGGGGAAGTGGCTGAAATGCCCATGGTCTCCACTCCTGACACCCTGCCTTCTCTCCCCTAGCCTGCACTGATGGCCTCATGGGGAGTTCCCTATGATCAGTTGACAGAGGAAGAGAAGACTAGGGCCTGGTTCACAGATGGTTCTGCACAATATGCAGACACCTCCAGAAAGTGGACAGCTGCAGCACTACAGCCCCTTTCTAGGACATCTCTGAAGGACAGTGGTGAGGGAAAATCTTCCCAGTGGGCAGAACTTTGAGCAGTGTACCTCATTCTGCACTTTGGTTGGAAGAAGAAATGGTCAGATATGCAATTATATACTGATTCATGGGCTGTAGCCAGTGGTTTGGCTGGATGGTCAGGGACTTGGAAGAAGCATGATTGGAAAATTGGTGACAAAGAAATTTGGGGAAGAGGTATGAGGATGGACCTCTGTAAATGGTAAAAAACTGTGAAGATATTCGTATCCCATGTGAGTGCTCACCAATGGGTGACATCAGTAGAGGAGGATTTTGATAATCAAGTGGATAGGATGACTCGTTCTGTGGACACCACTCAGCCTCTTTCCCCAGACATTCCTGTCATTGCCCAATGGGCCCATGAACAAAGTGGCCATGGTGGCAGGGATGGAGATTACGCATGGGCTCAGCAACGTGGACTTTTGCTCATCAAGGCTGACCTGGCTACAGCCACCGCCGAGTGCCCAATTTTCCAGCAGCAGAGACCAACACTGAGCCCTCGATATGGCACCATTCCTCAGGGTGATCAGCCAACTACTTGGTTACAGGTTGATTATATTGGACCTCTTCCATCATGGAAAAGGCAGAGGTTTGTCCTCACTGGAATAGACACCTACTCCAGATATGGGTTTGCTTATCCTGCACACAGTGCTTCTGCCAAGACTTACCATCCATGGATTCATAGAATGCCTTATCCACCATCATGGTATTCCACATAGTATTGCCTCTGACTAAGGTGCCCACTTTACAGCTAAAGAAGTGCAGCAGTGGGCTCATGCTCATGGAATTCACTGGTCTTACCATCTTCCCCATCATCCTGAAGCAGCTGGATTGATAGAATGGTGGAATGGCCTTTTGAAGTCATAATTACAATGCCAGCTAGGAGACCATACTTTGCAGGGGTAGGGCAAAGTTCTTCAGAAGGCTGTGCATGCTCTGAATCAGCATCAAATATATGGAACTGTTCCTCTCATAGTCAGGATTCACAGGTCCAGGAATCAAGGGGTAGAAGTGGAAGTGGCACCATTCACCATCACCCCTAGAGAACCACTAGCAAAATTTTTGCTTCCTGTTCCCACAACATTATGTTCTGCTGGCCTAGAGGTCTTAGTTCCAGGGGGAGGAATGCTGACACCAGGAGACACAACAACAGTTTCATTAAACTGAAAGTTAAGATTGCTACCTGGACACCTTGGGCTCCACCTACCTCTAAATCAACAGGATAAGAAGGGAGTTACAGTGTTGGCTGGGGTGATTGACCTGGACTATCAGGATGAAATCAGTCTACCACTCAGCAATGGAGGTAAGGAAGAGTACGCATGGAATACAGGAGATCCATTAGGGGATTACCATGCCCTGTGATTAAGATCAATGGGAAACTACGACAGCCCAAACCAGACAGGACTGCAAATGGCCCAGACCCTTCAGGAATGAATGTTTGGGTCACTCCACCAGGTAAAAAACCACAACCTGCTGAGGTGCTTGCTGAAGGCAAAGGGAATACAGGATAGGTATTAGAAGAATGTAATCATCAATATCAGCTACAACCATGTGACAAGTTGCAGGAAATGAGAAGTGTAATTGTCATGAGTATTTCCTCCTTTTGTTGAAAACATGTTAACCTTATGTAATAGCATTTGGGTTAGGGATTGGTGTGCTTCCAGTTGTATGAAGGATAGTTGTATTATATTAGGCATAATTATGACCTATTATTGTCTTTATTTGAAGATTTTGTATGATTTCAGGAGATCTGTATGGGTTCAAGTTGACAAGGGTTGGACTTACGATGGTTGATATTGAGTGTCAACTTGATTGGATTGAAGGATGCAAAGTATTATTTCTGGGTGTGTCTGTGAGGGTGTTGCCAAAGGAGATTAACATTTAAGTCAGTGAACTGGGAGAGGCAGACCCACCCTCAATCTGGATGGGCACCATCTAATCAGCTGCCAGCGTGGCTAGGATAAAAACAGGCAGAGGAACGTGAAAGGACTAGACTGGCTAGGTCTTCTGGCCTCCATCTTTCTCTCATGCTAGATGCTTCCTGCCCTCAAACATCAGACTCCAAGTTCTTCAGCTCTTGGACTCTTGGACCTACACCAATGATTTGCCAGGGGCTCTTGGGCCTTTGGCCACAGACTGAAGGTTGCACTATCAGCTTCCCTACTTTTGAGGTTTTGGGACTCAGACTGGCTTCCTGGCTCCTCAGCTTGCAGATGGCCTATTGTGGGACTTTACCTTTTGATCATGTGAGTCAATTTTCCTAATAAACTCCCCTTCATATATTTATCTATCCTATTAGTTTTGTCCCTTTCAATAACCTTGACTAATATATTCCCTTATAAGTGAACGGGAAAATCAGAGGTAATGCACTGAATGAAATGCAACAGGGTATATATAATATTTCTACTTGCGTAATCTTGCCAACACTTGGAGCTGTCAGTCTTTTTAACATTAGGCATTCTAAAAGTTGTACAGGGTTTCCCATTATAATTTTTATTTTTTAACTTTTTTGCAGGCAGATAACCCTTATGAACATTGATGCAAAAATCCTCAAATAAATTCTAGTAAACTACACTCACCAGCACATCAAAAGGTTTATCCACCAGAATCAAGTGAGATCTATCCATGAAAGGCAAAGAGAATTCAACATATGAGTCAACATTTGTTGATTACAACAATTAGTGTAACACAAACAATGTGAAATAAACAACATATTACAACAAACAGTGTAATACATCACACTTGTAGAATGATGGAAAAACCACAATCGTATTATTTGATGCAGAAAAAGCATTAGACAAAATTCAAGATCAATTCATGACAAAAACCCATGACAAACCAGGAATAGAAGGAAACAATCTGAACATAATAAAGGCCATATATGAATAATCCACAGCACCATTATACTCAATGGTGAAATTTGAAAAGCTTGAAGTAGCTTGACATAGCATTGAAAGATCCAGCCAGAGGAACCAGGCAAGGAAAATAAACAAAAGGCATCCAAATGGACAAGAAAGAAACAAAACTATCTCAGTTCACAGACAACAGGATCTCATGTGCAGAAAATTCCAAAGATTACACATACACAAACTGTTTGAACTAATACATGAATTTAGCAAAGTTGCAAGATACAAAATCAACATGAAAAAATTGTATTTCAACACACCAACAATGTGATTGAGATTAAGAAAACAATAACATTAACAACTATATATATATATATAAAACCACTAAGAAATTAACCAAGAGATTAAGAAAACAATCATCAACAAATATATATATATATACATATATATAAAACCACCAAGAAATTAACCAAGAAGACAAAACACTCAGACACTGCAAACCACAAAACGTTTCTGAAAGAATTTAAAAAGATACAAACAAATGGAAGATGTCTATGGTCTCCTCAGTCTGTCTCCAGGCTGTACTCACACTTCCTATTCTTTCTTTGCTCACAGTTCTGTTATCCACTTCAAGCAATTCTCCTTCCTTCCTCCCTTCTTTTCTCTCTCTTGCTGTCTCTATTTCATTGGCTTTTCCCCAACTTCCCTCAGTAAAACAAATGTTCTTCCACTCTCTTTCTCTTCCTCATTCCCATTCACTTGGGAGCCAAAAATTTCCCCCGTACCGTATATGAATTATATTAATTGTCCAATACAAGAAAATCTAAAAAAAAAAAAAAGTAAATTAGTTGTTGCTTCAGGCTAGTGGAGGAGGCTGGGAGGAATAGGAGGGTAATAGCTAAAGGTTGTGGAGTTTCTTTTAGAGATGATAGAAATGTTCTAAAGTTGACTATAGTGTTGCTTGCACATACACATGATTGTTATGATAAACATGAAAAAGCGAATTGTATGTAAATTGCATCTCAATAAACTTTTTAATTTAAAAGTAAAAACAAAATATTATGAACAATTTTATACATACAAATAGACACACATACAGCTGTCCTTCAGTATCTATACAAAATTGGTTCCAAAACCTCCCACAGATAAAAAAATCCTAGATGCTCAGGTCCTTTATATAAAATGGAGTATTACTTGCATATAACATATCTCACTTTAAATAAGCTCTGCATTACTTATAATACAATGTAAATGTTATGTAATTAGTTATTAAACTACTGTTTGTTTAGAGGACATTGTTTAGAGGATACTATATGGTTTGTTTAGAGGATAACACTTGTTATCAATAGTTGTTTAGGGGATATTGATAACAAAATATCTGTACATGTTCAGTACAGATAAAACCATCATAGGCCTAACTACATATTTGATTCATAGTTTGTTTGAATCCACAGGTGTGGAACCCATAGATATTGAAGGCTGGTGCTGTGTGTGTGTGTGTGTGTGTGTGTGTGTGTGTGTGTGTGCAGAAAAATAAAATCAACACCCTGTATCTGTTATTTGCTTATTAAAATTTTGCCATTACTTTTGAAGTTGGCAGTATGGTCTTTCCCAAATACAACTCTTTGCCTTCCCATCATTCATCTTAAGTTTTGAAAAATTATAATTCCTTTGATTTTCATTTTAATTACACTTCATATGTAGGTATCTCTAAATAATACGTTGTTTAACTTTGTAAGTTTTAAAACTTTCTATAAAGGTACATGCTATACATACTTCTGTAATTTTCATTTTTCATTCAACATTATATTTTTGAAAGCCTTCTATGAATGTTTTAGATAATTTCTTATTCAACTATATGTATTTCACAAATTAGCCTCTAAATTAAAGATACTAAAACTGACCTATATATATATGTATGTATTTCATAACTCTCTCTATATATATCTTTCATAAATTAGCCTCTAAATTAAAGATACTAAAACTGACCTCAGAGAGAATTATTGGGAGATAATGAAAGTAAAGTGCTTATAGGAGTACCTGACCCATTGTAGGCATTCAATAGTACATATGTAATATTAATAGTATATACCACATTATAATTATTAATAATTATATATTATATTATAGTGACTGCACCTTTCTTTTTGAATCTATATTATTTTGTGAGCTGTACTATGCATAAACAGTTTTTTTAAATTTAGTTTCGGGGGTACATGTACAGGTTTGTTACATGGGTATATTATGTAATGCTGAGGTTTGGGCTTCTAGTGAATCTATCACCCAAACAGTGAACATAATATCCAATAGGTAGTTCTTTAACCGTCAACCCTCCCACCTACCCTCCTCCCTTTTGGAGTTCTTAGTATATATTATTTCTATCTTTATTCCTATGTGTAGCCATTGTTTAGCTCCCACTTATAAGTGAGACCATGCAGTATTTGATTTTCTGTTTCTGAGTTATTTCATTTAGAATAATGGCCTCCAGTTCCATTCATATTTCTGTGAAGAATGTGATTTCATTATTCGCTATGGCTGTGTAGTATTCCATGATGTATATATACCATGTTTTCTTTATCCAGTCAACCGCTGCTGGACACTTAGGTTGATTCCTTGACTTTGGTATTGTGAATAGTGTTGCAATCAACATATGTCTTTTTGATAAAATGATTTCTTTTCCTTTTCCAATAAATGGGATTGCTGGATCAAATGGTAGTTCCATTTTTATTTTTTTTGAGATGTTTCCATACTGTTTTCCATAGAGGCTGTGCTAATTTACATTCCCATCAACAGTTTATAAGCATTACATTTTTTTCACATCCCCATCAACATCTGTTAGTTTTTTGGCTTTTTAATAATAGCCATTCTGACTGGTGTGACATGGTATCTCATTGTGGTTTTAATTTGCATCTCTCTCATGATTAGAAATGTTGAGCATTTTATTCATCCTTATTGGCCAATTGTATGTTTTCCTTTGAGAAGTGTCTGTTCCTGTCCTTCACTCACTTTTTATTGAGGTTATTTGATTTTTGCATGTTGAATTGATTATGTTCCTTGTAGATTCTGAATATTAGCCATTTGCCAGATGCATCACTTACAAATATTTCTCCCACTCTGTATGTTGTCTGTTTCTTCTGTTGATTTTTTTTCTGCAGTGCAGAAGCTTTTTAGCTTCATTTAGTCTCATTTGTCTATTTTTGCTTTTGTTGCATTTGCTTTTGAGGTCTTAGTTAAGAATTCATTGCCTAGGCCAATGTCCAGAAGTTTTTCCTAAGTTTTCTTCTAGAATTTTTATAGTTTGAGGTCTCATACTGAAGCCTTTAATCCATTTTGAGTTAATTTTTTATATGATTGGAGATAGGGTTCCAGCTTCATTCTTCTGCATATGGCTTACCAGTTTTTCCAGCAACATTTATTGAATAGAGTGTCCTTTCCCCATGGTTTCTTTTTGTATCTTTGTTGAAGACCAGTTAGTTGTAGGTGTGTGGCTTTATTCTGGGTTCCCTATTCTGTTTTATTGATCTATGTGTCTACTTTTGTATTAGTACCATGCTGTTTTGATTACTATAGGATTGCAGTATAGTTTGAAGTCAGGTAGTGTGATGGCTTCAGCTACCATTACAATTTTTGTTTGAATTTTCCAGATGCTTAAAGACATTCAGCATTTTTTATATGTTTATTGGCTATTTAGATATCCTCTTTTGTGGAGTTCCTATCAGGTGTTTTTCTCATTGTTTTCTTAGATCATCTGTCTTTTCTTACTGATTTGTAAAAGTTCTTTATATTTTTTGAATATGAGCTTTTTCTCTCTTTAGTACTGTCTTTCAATGAATAAAGTTTCTAATTTTAATCTAACCCAATATATAAATATTTTCTCATATAGTTGGTGCTTTTTGTGTCCCGTTTAAGAGAGCATTATCTCCACGAAAAGCTTAGACTCTGGAGCCAAATAGCCAGAATTTGAATCCCAACAGTTCACTCACTGAAGCGTAGCTTGAACACATTATTTAACCTCTATATGCCTCAATTTTCTGAGATAATAGTAGCTCCTAACTCGGGGTTGTTATAAGATTTAAATACCTTGATATACTTAAAGTGCTTAGAAGAGTGCCTGACACGTAGTAAGAACTATATTTGGCATTTGCCAGAATGTGCCTTTCCTAATGCACAATCTCATAGACTCTCTTTGTCATTTTTTAGCTTCCAGCATGAGAGTTTTGGTTATTATTATTTGACTAGATGATTACCTAGATGCCTGCCTTCAACATGAATACATATGAACTTGTTACCTTAATTCCAGTGGTTTCTCCTGACTCAGCTGGAGAAAAACAATCAGAGATATAAAGATAATCGCCAAAGTAGCAGCATGTCTGCCAATGACAGTTACCATATCCAGTTGGTTTTCCCTCTCTTCATCTTGGCTGTCAGTGACATTATATGTTAAGTTTAAGGTCTTGATTTCATTTTTTAGATAATGAAAAGGCACAATCCTAGCTGTCTTTGAGATTATTATATTTCTAATTTCTCATTACTGTTCTTGAGCTTTGGTAAAACACAAAGGAGAGCTTCGTAGCTTGCCATGCCCACAATTCTGTCCTACAGCCATTGTATTCACTTCAGCTCTAACTTAAGAACCAAGTACTTTTATATGTGGTTCATTCAACAGGCTAACAAAGTGAATTCCTTTAGGGAGGAAACTGGGTCTTATGGCGGGTATAATTTTGCTGTCACTTAGTAGCTCATCATGAGTTGATGATATTGATTTAATGAATATATATAGCAAATTGTATATATGTTATGACACAATATAGCATACATTCTTTGCGGATATGCTTCTAGTTGGATAAATAAGTGAATACCTCACTTTTCTAATTTAAATCTTGATCAGGGCTCAGCCCACTATTGGGGTGGGGGGTCTTGTTGTAACCACCAATTATATGTAGCAGGCTTCAAGCCCATTTAACTCTTAAGATGATTCCAACCCTGATTTATCTATCTGATCATCAAAAAAAATTTGTCAGTCACATAATATGTGTAAGGCATTGTATTAAATGCTGTGGAGAACAAAGGAAAATAAAAAGATGTGTTCCCTACCACTTAGAGGAATCTTGATCCAGTTGAATGATACTTATAAGCCAATATTTATCAAATGTTGGTTTTACAGAAATTGCATGGAAAATGTATAAAGTGTCCACGCTCTTATCTGCAAAACTTTTGATTTAGTAGATCTAGGTCTCAGACTAGAAATCTGCATTTTAAACACAGACTCTGGTAATTCTGAGACAGAATGATGTAGGGCCCATAGTTTAAGAAGCATTGGTCTATACTGTAGATGCAAACTTTAGAAGCAGGATTCTAACTGCTGCATACTATTAAAGCCAAGCCAGTAGGCTTCAGTGAGTGGTGAAAAATATTTTGGTCCATCTAGATCACAGTGGTTCTCTCAATCTTCTTATCTTGAGAATTGGGCTAAATAACAACTGAGCACTTGGAGTTCTGATAACATAATCCTCAAATAAAAATAGTAATACTTCTAATATTTAAACTATAAATGATAGATTTAAAATAAAAAATTTAATAAATCTTAATCTACAGCTGAGTTTGCTGGATAGTTAACGGAAACCCACAGTTGTCAGATAGAAAGATAAAAGAAGAAGTTTAAGTAAATGAGCAATCTGGTATTTCTTCAACTATGGAAGGTGGAGAGTAACACCCAGACATGTGGGCCTATATGAGGCTGAAAATTAGAGCTCAGGCCTTGCATAAAGCAGGAGCTCCAGTAACTCACTAACTTAGAAGGGAGTAGGAATCTTGTTCCCATCAGGCCTTTGTGGAAAAAAGTCTGTCATAAAAAACTGATGCTCTGGCCTGTGAGTCTTATGGGTTTGGAGTCTCATTTTACATTATTCATGTAATTTTATGGTTCCCAAGACAAAAAACTAACAAAAGATTATGAGGTGAGTGGCAGAAGAAAACAAAACCACCGAGGAGGAATACTTACAAATTTCAAAACATAAAGATTTCCACAGGTAAAGAACAGTCCCAGTGAAGATTAGATCACAGTAAAAATTTACAAAATATATGAGCAACAATCAGTCATGAATGAAAAATCAGATGAAATGAATATGACATTAAGCACTTAAAGACTTGAAACAATAGAAAGGTAGTCATAAAGAAAATTTTAAAATAAGTGACTTGAAAATGATTAATGAATTTTAAAAAATAAACATCTTACAGAATAAAACCAAGTAGGAATTTAAAATAAATAATTAGTTGAAATTTAAGACTTGATGATTATTTAAATAACATAGTGGCAATAGCTACAGCGAAATCAATAAATAAAAAAATGGCTCTGAGAATACAAAAAAAAACCAGGTCAATATTTATATAACATTTGTTCTGTGAGGAGAGAACACTAATATTTAAAATAAATAGGCCGGGCACAGTGGCTCACGCCTATAGTCCCAGCACTTTGGGAGGCTGAGGCGGGCGGATCACGAGGTCAGGAGATCGAGACCATCCTGGCTAACACAGTGAAACCCCGTCTCTACTAAAAATACAAAAATTAGCCAGGCATGGTGGCGGGCGCATGTAGTCCCAGCTACTCAGGAGGCTGAGGCAGGAGAATGGCGTGAACCCAGGAGGCGGAGCTTGCAGTGAGCCCAGATCGCGCCACTGCACTCCAGCCTGGACGACAGAGCAAGACTCTGTCTCAAAAAAAAATAAAAATAAAAATACAGAATCATTGTATTATTTGGGAGAAGGATGGAGTTTTTTTAATAAATTTCAGACATTGAAAGTCAAATATTCATGTTAAGTATTTAAGAATAAATAGTAAAAAGAAAATAGAAATAGATCGTATAACTTTTAAACTAATAAAGGGCAAAAAGGAAACAATAAAAGCTTATCCTATTTCAAGGATGCCCATTCAACGTGGGACTAAAAGACCTAGCCAGAACAATCAGACAAGAGAAACAAAAGAAGGCATCCAAATTGGAAAAGAGGAAGTCAAATTATCTCTGTTTGCTGATGATGTGATCTTATATCTAGAAAATCCTAAAGACTCTGCCAAAAGATTCCTAGATTTGAAAATTAATTCACTAAAGTTACAGGATATAAGCCCAAAATACAATAATCAGTACTATTTCTATACACCAATAAGGCTGAGAATCAAATCAAGAAGTCAATTCCATTTACAATAGCTATAAAAAACAAAACAAAACAAAACCCAAACCTAGGTATACATTTAACTTAGGTGAAAGGTGTCCACAAGAAACACTGCAAAACATGAATGAAAGAGATTGTAGATGACACAAACAAATGAAAAGACAGCCCAAGTTCATGGATTGGAAGAATCAATATCTTTAAAATGATCATACTGCCCAAGGTAATTTACAGATTCAATGCAACTTCTATCAAAATGCCGATGTCATTTTTTACAGAATTAGAAAACACAATCCTAAAATCTATATGGAACCGAAAAAAGATCCCAAAGAATGACAGCAATCTGAAGCAAAAGAACAAACCTGGAAACATCTCATTAACTGACTTCAAATTATACTACAAGGCTATAGTACCCAGAAACAGCATGGTACTTGTGTAAAAAAATAGACATATAGATCAATAGAACAGAATAGAGAACTCAGAAATAAAGCCACATACATACAGCCAACTAATCTTTGACAAAGCTGACAAAAAACATACACTAGGGAAAGGACATCTTGCTCAATAAATTGTGCTGGGAAAATTGGATAGCCACATGCAGAAGAATGAAACTGAATCCTATCTCTAGCCGTATGCAAATATTAACTCAACATGGATTAAAGACTTAAATGTAAGACCGGAAACTGTAAAGGTTCCAGAAGAAAACCCAGGAAAAACTCTTCTGGACATTGGCCTAGGCAAAGAATTCATGACTAAGACATCAAAAGCAAATGCAACAAAAATGAAAATAGACAAATGGGATTTAATTAAACTAAAAAACTCTGCACAGCAAGAAATAAACAAAAAAGACAACCTACATACAGAATGGGAGAAAATATTTGCACACTACGCATCTGGCAAAGGATGAAATATCCAGAATCTACAAGGTGCTCGAACCACTCAACAACAACAAAACCCAAATAACCTTGCTAAAAAGTGGGCAAAGGGTGTGTAGAGACATTTTGCAAAAGAAGATATATAAATGGATGAAGAGCATATGAATAAAATGCTCCACATCCCCAATCATCAGAGAAATACAAATTAAAACCACAACAATACAGCCTCACATCAGTCAAAATAGCTATTACTAAAATGTTAAAAAATAGCAGATGTTGGCAAAAGTGTGGAGAAAAAGGAATGCTTATACATTGTCAGTGGGAATGTAAATTAGTGTAACCTCTGTGTAAAACAATATGGAGGCCAGGCACGGTGGCTCACGCCTGTAATCCCAGCACTTTGGGAGGCTGAGGCAGGCAGATCACGAGGTCAGGAGATCAAGACCATCCTGGGTAACACAGTGAAACCCCGTCTCTATTAAAAACCCAAAAAAAACTAGCCAGGCATGGTGGTGGGTGCCTGTAGTCCCAGCTACTCAGGAGGCTGAGGCAGGAGAATGGCAGAACCTGGGAGGCAGAGCTTGCAGTGAGCCAGATGATGCCACAGCATTCCAGCCTGGGGGACAGAGTGAGACTCCGTCTCAAAACAAACAAACAAAAAATATGGAAAGTTCTCAAAAAAACTAAATATTCAACTACCATTGGATCCAGCAATCCCACTTCCTGTGTATCTTCCTAAAGGGAAGGAATCATTATATCAAAAAGATACCTCCACTTGTATGCTTATCATAGCACTATTCACAATAGCAAAGATATGGAATCAACCTAAGTGCCCATCAATGAATGAATGAAGAGAGAAAATATGGAATAGATGCTATATATATATATATAATCTGTAAATATCTCTATCATGACATCTATCAGTCTATCCATATATACACACCATGGAATACTACTGTACCATAAAACAGAATAAAATCATGTATTTTGTATCAACATGGATGTAACTGGAGGACATTATGTTAAGTGAAATAACTCATAAACAGAAAGTCAACTACCCCATGTTGTAACTTGTAAGTGAGAGCTAAATAATGTGTACACATGGACAGAGAATATGAAATTATAGACAGTGGACCCTTGCAAAGATGGAAGAGTAGGAGGAGAGTGAGGGATGAGAGATTATCTAATGGGTACAATGTATATTATTTGAGTAATGGTTACATTTTAGCCCAGACTTTACCAGTATGCAATATGTCCATGCAACAAAACTGCACTTGTACCCCTAAATCTATAGAAATAAAAATTTAAAAATGATGCAAATTATAAAAAGAAAATGTGTTCTATCCAATAGAAGGTAAGAAGAATGAAAAATAAAGCTAATCTTAAATAAAACAGAAGAATATGCTAAACTAAATCCAAGAATATGAATAAGTCCTACTAACGTAAACAGACTAAAAACAGTGTTAAAAGAAATAGCTTCTCAAAAAAAAAAAAGGCCAGCCGTAGGCTCTATATAAAAAATGCATCTAGAACAAACAAGAAAGCTTGAAGGTAAGTGAGTGGAAAATGATATTAACAAACCACACAGATGGGGGGAGCCAAGATGGCCGAATAGGAACAGCTCCGGTCTACAGCTCCCAGCATGAGCGATGCAGAAGACAGGTGATTTCTGTATTTCCATCTGACTTACCAGGTTCATCTCACTAGGGAGTGCCAGACAGTGAGTGCAGGACAGTGGGTGCAGCGCACCATGCACGAGCCGAAGCAGGGCGAGGCATTGCCTCACTCGGGAAGCGCAA
Organism: Homo sapiens; assembly: GCF_000001405.40. NCBI lineage: Eukaryota > Metazoa > Chordata > Mammalia > Primates > Hominidae > Homo > Homo sapiens. The sequence goes on along the minus strand of NC_000008.11, from coordinate 90,399,321 downwards.
GGGGTCAGGGAGTTCCGTTTCCTAGTCAAAGAAAGGGGTGACAAACGGCACCTGGAAAATCAGGTCACTCCCACTCTAATACTGTGCTTTTCCGACGGGCTTAAAAAACGGCGCACCAGGAGATTGTATCCTGCACCCGGCTTGGAGGGTCCTACGCCCACAGAGTCTCGCTGATTGCTAGCACAGCAGTCTGAGATCAAACTGCAAGGCGGCAGCGAGGCTGGGGGAGGGGTGCCCGCCATTGTCCAGGCTTGCTTAGGTAAACAAAGCAGCTGGGAAGCTCTAACTGGGTGGAGCCCTCCACAGCTCAAGGAGGCCTGCCTGCCTCTGTAGGCTCCACCTCTGGGGGCAGGGCACAGACAAACAAAAAGCAGTAACCTCTGCAGACTTAAATGTCCCTGTCTGACAGCTTTGAAGAGAGCAGTGGTTCTCCCAGCATGCAGCTGGAAATCTGAGAGCTGGCAGACTGCCTCCTCAAGTGGGTCCCTGACCCCCGACCCCCGAGCAGCCTAACTGGGAGGCACCCCCAAGTAGGGGCAGACTGACACCTCACAGGGCTGGGTACTCCTCTGAGACAAAACTTCCAGAGGAACGATCAGACAGCAGCATTTGCGGTTCACGAAAACCCGCTGTTCTGCAGCCACCACTGCTAATACCCAGGCAAACAGGGTCCGAAGTGGACCTCTAACAAACTCCAACACACCTGCAGCTGAGGGTCCTGTCTGTTAGAAGGAAAACTAACAAACAGAAAGGACATCCACACCAAAAACCCATCTGTACATCACCATCATCAAAGACCAGAAGTAGATAAAATCACAAAGATGGGGAAAAAACAGAGTAGGAAAACTGGAAACTCTAAAAAGCAGAGAGCCTCTCCTCCTCCAAAGGAACGCAGTTCCTCACCAGCAATGGAACAAAGCTGGATGGAGAATGACTTTGACGAGTTGAGAGAAGAAGGCTTCAGACAATCAAACTACTCCAAGCTACAGGAGGAAATTCAAACCAAAGGCAAAGAAGTTAAAAACTTTGAAGAAAATTTAGATGAATGTATAACTAGAATAACCAATACAGAGAAGTGCTTAAAGGAGCTGATGGCAGTGAAAGCCAAGGCTCGAGAACTATGTGAAGAATGCAGAAGCCTCAGGAGCTGATGCGATCAACTGGAGAAAGGGTATCAGTGATGGAAGATGAAATGAATGAAATGAAGCGAGAAGGGAAGTTTAGAGAAAAAAGAATAAAAGGAAACGAACAGAGCCTCCAAGAAATATGGGACTATGTGAAAAGACCAAATCTACGTCTGATTGGTGTACCTGAAAGTGACAGGGAGAATGGAACCAAGTTGGAAAACACTCTGCAGGATATTATCCAGGAAAACTTTCCCAATCTAGCAAGGCAGGCCAACATTCAGATTCAGGAAATACAGAGAACACCACAAAGATACTCCTCGAGAAGAGCAACTCCAAGACACATAATTGTCAGATTCACCAAAGTTGAAATGAAGGAAAAAAAGTTAAGGGCAGCCAGAGAGAAAGGTCGGGTTACCCACAAAGGGAAGCCCATCAGACTAACAGCGGATCTCTCAGCAGAAACTCTACAAGCCAGAAGAGAGTGGGGGCCAATATTCAACATTCTTAAAGAAAAGAATTTTCAACCCAGAATTTCATATCCAGCCAAACTAAGCTCCATAAGTGAAGGAGAAAGAAAATCCTTTACAGACAAGCAAATGCTGACAGATTTTGTCACCACCAGGCATGCCCTAAAAGAGCTCCTGAAGGAAGCACTAAACATGGAAAGGAACAACTGGTACCAGCCGCTGCAAAATCATGCCAAAATGTAAAGACCATCGATGCTAGGAAGAAACTGCATCAACTAACAAGCAAAATAACCAGCTAACATCATAATGACAGGATCAAATTCACACATAACAATATTAACTTTAAATATAAATGGACTAAATGCTCCAATTAAAAGACAAAGACTGGCAAATTGGATAAAGAGTCAAGACCCATCAGTGTGCTGTATTCAGGAAACCCATCTCACGTGCAGAGACACACATAGGCTCAAAAAAAGGATGGAGGAAGATCTACCAAGCAAATGGAAAACAGAAAAAGGCAGGGGTTGCAATCCTAGTCTCTGATAAAACAGACTTTCAACCAACAAAGATCAAAAGAGACAAAGAAGGCCATTACATAATGGTAAAGGGATCAATTCAACAAGAAGAGCTAACTATCCTAAATATATATGCACCCAATACAGGAGCACCCAGATTCATAAAGCAAGTCCTGAGTGACCTACAAAGAGACTTAGACTCCCACACAATAATAACGGGAGACTTTAACACCCCACTGTCAACATTAGACAGATCAACAAGACAGAAAGTCAACAAGGATACCCAGGAATTGAACTCAGCTCTGCACCAACCGGACTTAATAGACATCTACGGAACTCTCTACCCCAAATCAACAGAATATATATTCTTTTGAGCAACACACCACACCTATTCCAAAACTGACCACATAGTTGGAAGTAAAGCTCTCCTCAGCAAATGTAAAAGAACAGAAATTATAACAAACTGTCCCTCAGACCACAGTGCAATCAAACTAGAACTCAGGATTAAGAAACTCACTCAAAACCGCTCAACTACATGGAAACTGAACAACCTGCTCCTGAATGACTACTGGGTACATAACGAAATGAAGGCAGAAATAAAGATGTTCTTTGAAACCAATGAGAACAAAGACACAACATACCAGAATCTCTGGGACACATTCAAAGCAGCGTGTAGAGGGAAATTTATAGTACTAAATGCCCGCAAGAGAAAGCAGGAAAGATCCAAAATTGACACCCTAACATCACAATTAAAAGAACTAGAAATGCAAGAGCAAACACATTCAAAAGCTAGCAGAAGGCAAGAAATAACTAAAATCAGAGCAGAACTGAAGGAAATACAGACACAAAAACGCTCCAAAAAATTAATGAATCCAGGATCTGGTTTTTTGAAAGGATCAACAAAATTGATAGACTGCTAGCAAGACTAATAAAAAAAGAGAGAAGAATCAAATAGACACAATAAAAAATGATAAAGGGGATATCACCACCGATCCCACTGAAATAAAAACTCCCCATCAGAGAATACTACAAACAACTCTATGCAAATAAACTAGAAAATCTGGAAGAAATGGATAAATTCCTGGACACATACACTCTCCCAAGACTAAACCAGGAAGAAGCTGAATCTCTGAATAGACCAATAACAGGATCTGAAATTGTGGCAATAATCAACAGCTTACCAACCAAAGAGAGTCCAGGACCAGATGGATTCACAGCCGAATTCTACCAGAGGTACAAGGAGGAACTGGTACCATTCCTTCTGAAACTATTCCAATCAATAGAAAAAGAGGGAATCCTCCCTAACTCATTTTATGAGGCCAGCATCATCCTGATACCAAAGCCTTCCAGAGACACAACCAAAAAAGAGAATTTTAGACCAATATCCTTGATGAACATTGATGCAAAAATCCTCAATAAAATACTGGCAAACTGAGTCCAGCAGCACATCAAAAAGCTTATCCACTACGGTCAAGTGGGCTTCATCCCTGGGATGCAAGGCTGGTTCAATATATGCAAATCAATAAATGTATCCAGCATATAAACAGAACCAAAGACAAAAGCCACGTGATTATCTCAATAGATGCAGAAAAGGCCTTTGACAAAATTCAACAACGCTTCAGGCTAAAAACTCTCAATAAATTAGGTATTGATGGGACGTATCTCAAAATAATAAGAGCTATCTATGACAGACACACAGCCAATATCATACTGAATGGGCAAAAACTGGAAGCATTCCCTTTGAAAACTGGCACAAGACAGGGATGCCCTCTCTCACCACTCCTATTCAACATAGTATTGGAAGTTCTGGCCAGGGCAATTAGGCAGTAGAAGGAAATAAAGGGTATTCAATTAGGAAAAGAGGAAGTCAAATTGTCCCTGTTTGCAGATGACATGATTGTATATCTAGAAAACCCCATTGTCTCAGCCCAAAATCTCCTTAAGCTGATAAGCAACTTCAGCAAAGTCTCAACATACAAAATCAATGTACAAAAATCACAAGCCTTTCTATACACGAACAACAGACAAACAGAGAGCCAAATCATGAGTGAACTCCCAGTCACAATTGCTTCAAAGAGAATAAAATACCTAGGAATCCACCTTACAAGGGACATGAAGGACATCTTCAAGGAGAACTACAAGCCACTGCTCAATGAAATAAAAGAGGATACAAAGAAACGGAAGAACATTCCATGCTCATGGGTAGGAAGAATCAATATCGTGAAAATGGACATACTGCCCAAGGTAATTTATAGATTCAGTGCCATCCCCATCAAGCTACCAATGACTTTCTTCACAGAATTGGAAAAAACTACTTTAAAGTTCATATAGAACCAAAAAAGAGCCTGCATCACCAAGTCAATCCTAAGCCAAAAGAACAAAGCTGGAGGCATCACGCTACCTGACTTCAAACTATACTACAAGGCTACAGTAACCAAAACAGCATGGTACTGGTACCAAAACAGAGATATAGACCAATGGAGCAGAACGGAGCCCTCAGAAATAACGCCTCTTATCTACAACTATCTGATCTTTGACAAACCTGACAAAAACAAGCAATGGGGAAAGATTCCCTATTTAATAAATGGTGCTGGGAAAACTGGCTAGCCATATGTAGAAAGCTGAAACTGGATCCCTTCCTTACACCTTATACAAAAATTAATTCAAGATGGATTAAGGACTTAAACATTAGACCTAAAACCATAAAAAACCTAGAAGAAAACCTAGGCATTACCATTCAGGACATAGGCATGGGCAAGGACTTCATGTCTAAAACACAAAAAGCAATGGCAACAAAAGCCAAAATTGACAAATGTGATCTAATTAAACTGAAGAGCTTCTGCACAGCAAAAGAAACTACCATCAGAGTGAACAAGCAACCTACAAAATGGGAGAAAATTTTCGCAACCTACTCATCTGACAAAGGGCAAATATCCAGAATCTACAATGAACTCAAACAAATTTACAAGAAGAAAGCAAATAACCCCATCAAAAAGTGGGCAAAGGATATGAACAGACACTTCTCAAAAGAAGACATTTATGCAGCCAAAAGACACATGAAAAAATGCTCATCATCACTGGCCATCAGAGAAATGCAAATCAAAACCACAATGAGATACCATCTCACACCAGTTGGAATGGCAATCATTAAAAAGTCGGGAAACAACAGGTGCTGGAGACGATGTGGAGAAATAGGAACATTTTTACACTGTTGTTGGGACTGTAAACTAGTTCCACCATTGTGGAAGTCAGTGTGGCGATTCCTCAGGGATCTAAGACTAGAAATACCATTTGACCTAGTCATCCCATTACTGAGTATGTACCCAAAGGACTATAAATCATGCTGCTATAAAGACACATGCACACGTATGTTTATTGCGGCACTATTCACAATAGCAAAGACTTGGAACCAACCCAAATGTCCAACAATTATAGACTGGATTAAGAAAATGTGGCACATATACACCATGGAATACTATGCAGCCATAAAAAAGGATGAGTTCATGTCCCTTGTAGGGACATGGATGAACTTGGAAATCATCATTCTCAGTGAACTATTGCAAGGACAAAAAACCAAACACCGCATGTTCTCACTCATAGGTGGGAATTGAACAATGAGAACACATGGACACAGGAAGGGGAACATCACACTCTGGGGACTGTTGGGGGGTGGGGGGAGGGAGGAGGGATAGCATTAGGAGATACACCTAATGCTAAATGATGAGTTAATGGGTGCAGCGCACCACCATGGCATATGTATACATATGTAACTAACCTGTACATTGTGCACATGTACCTTAAAACTTAAAGTATAATAATAATAAAATTTAATTTAAAAAAACCACACAGATAAAGAGCGCCATTACATAATGTGAAAATAAACAACTCACTAGGAAAACAAAATAACGTTGAGCCTGTAGACTCCTAACAACACAGCATAAAAATTCATATAAGCAAAAAATGAGTTACAAAGAAAATTTGACAAATATGCAGTGATAATGGAGAATTTTAACCTGTGTCTTTCAGTAATTGATAATGAGAGCTAAGTCAGTGGAAGCATTTTTAAAAAATTAGTCAGTGGCTGAGACTAGTCACTAGTCTCATTAATTAGTCAGCTAGCTGTCCACCAGAAATGTGTGCTCCTTCCACAATGTGGAGTTGGCACTGTGGGGTGGCTGTCCAAGGCCGGACTTCATTTCCCAGTCTTTTATGACCATGTGACTATTTGTTTTCTCCCAAAAGAAGGGGAACAGAAGTTAAAATATCATTAAGGCATTATCTTCTGCCTATCAGGGTGGGGACTTTTTTTTTTATTATTATACTTTAAGTTCTGTTTACATGTGCAGAACGTGAAGGTTTGTTACATAGGTATATACCTGCCATGGTGCTTTGCTGCACCAATCAACCCAACATCTACATTAGGTATTTCTTCTAATGCTATCCCTCCCCTTGCTCTCCAGCCCCCGGCAAGCCCCAGTGTGTCATGTTCCCCTCCTTGTGTCCATGTGTTCTCATTGTTCAACTCCCACTTATGAGTGAGAACATATAATGTTTGGTTTTCTGTTTTTATGTTAGTTTGCTGAGAATGATGGTTTCCAGCTTCATCCATGTCCCTGCAAAGGACATGAAATCATCCTTTTTTATGGCTGCCTAGTGTTCCATGGTGTATATGTGCCACATTTTCTTTATCCAGTCTATCATTAGTGGAAATTTGGGTTGGTTCCAAGTCTTTGCTATTGTGAATAGTGCTGCAATAAACATACATGTGCATGTGTCTTTATAGAATAATTTATAATCCTTTGGGGATATACCCAGTAATGGGATTGCTGGGTCAAATGGTATTCCAAGTCCTAGATCCTTCAGGAATTGCCACACTGTCTTCCACAATGGTTGAACTAACTTACACTCCCACCAACAGTGTAAAAGTGTTCCTATTTCTCCACATGCTCTCCAGCATCTGTTGTTTCCTGACTTTTCAATGATCGCCATTCTAACTGGCATGAGATGGTATCTCATTGTGATTTTGATTTGCATTTCTCTAATGACCAGTTATGATGAGCTTTTTTTCATGTTTGTTGGCTGCATAAATGTCTTCTTTTGAAAAGTGTATGTTCATATCCTTCACCCACTTTTTGAAGGGGGGTTTTATTTTTTTCTTGTAAGTTTGTTTAAGTTCCTTGTAGATTCTGGATATTAGCCCTTTGTCAGATGAGTAGATTGCAAAACTTTTCTCCCATTCTATTAGGTTACCTGTTCACTCTGATGGTAGTTTCTTTTGCAGTGCAGAAGCTCTTTAGTTTAATTAGAACCAATTTGTCAATTTTGGCTTCTGTTACCATTGCTTTTGGTGTTTTAGTCATGAAGTCTTTGCCCATGCCTATGTCCTGAATGGTATTACCAGGTTTTCTTCTAGGGTTTTTATGGTTTTATGTCTTACGTTTAGGTCTTTAATCCATCTTGAGTTAATTTTTGTATAAGGTGTAAGGAAGGGGTCCAGTTTCAGTTTTCTGCATATGGCTAGCCAGTTTTCCCAACACCATTTATTAAATAGGGATTCCTTTCCCTATTGCTTGTTTGTGACATGTTTGTCAAAGATCAGGTGGTTGTAGATGTGTGGTGTTATTTCTGAGGCCTCTGTTCTGTTACATTGGTCTATGTATCTGTTTTGGTGCCAGTACCATGCTGTATTGGTTACTGTAGCCTTGTAATATAGTTTGAAAACAGGTAGCGTGATGCCTCTAGCTTTGTTCTTTTTGCTTAGGATTGTCTTGGCTATATGTGCTCTTTTTTGGTTCCATATGAAATTTAAAGTTTTTCCTAATTCTGTGAAGAAAGCCAATGGTAGCTTCATGGGTATAGCATTGAATCTACGAATTACTTTGGCCAGTATGGCCATTTTCAGGTTATTGATTCTTCCTATCCGTGAGCATGAAATGTTTTTCCATTTCTTTGTGTCCTCTCTTATTTCCTTGAGCAGTGGTTTGTAGTTCTCTTTGAAGAGGTCCTTCACATCCCTTGTAAGTTGGATTCCTAGGTATTTTATTCTCTTTGTAGCAATTGTGAATGGGAGTTCACTCATGATTTAGCTCTCTGTTTGTTTATCATTGGTGTATATTAATGCTTGTGATTTTTACACATTGATTTTGTATCCTGAGAGAGACTTTCCTGAAGTTGCTTATCAGCTTAAGGAGATTTTGGGCTGAGACGATGGGATTTTGTAAAAATACAATTATATCATCTGCAAACAGAGACAGTTTGACTTCCTTTCTTCCTATTTGAATACACTTTATTTCTTTCTGTTGCCTGATTGCCCTGGCCAGAACTTCCAGTACTCTGTTGAATTGGAGTGGTGAGAGAGGGCATTCTTGTCTCGTGTCAGTTTTCAAAGGGAATGCTTCCAGCTTTTGCCCATTCAGTATGATATTGGCTGTGGGTTTTTCATAAATAGCTCTTATTATTTTGAGATACATTCCACCAATACCTAGTTTATTGAGAGTTTTTAGCATGAAGGGGTGTTGAATTTTATCAAAGGCCTTTTCTGCATCTATTGAAATAATCATATGGTTTTTGTCATTGTTTCTGTTTATGTGATAGATTATGTTTATTAATTTGTGTATATTGAACCAGCCTTGCATCCCAGGGATGAAGCCAACTTGATCATGGTGGATAAGCTTTTTGATGTGCTGCTGGATTCAGTTTGCCAGTATTTTATTGAGGATTTTTGCATCAGTGCTCATCAGGGATATTAGCCTAAGATTTTCTTTTTTTGTTGTGTCTCTGCCAGGTTTGGATATCAGGATGATGCTTGCCTCATAAAATGAGTTCAGGAGGAGTCCCTCTTTTTCTATTGATTGGAATAGTTTCAGAAGGAGTGGTACCAGCTTTTCTTTATACATCTGGTAGAATTCGGCTGTGAATCCATGTGGTCCTGGTCTTTTTTTGGTTGGTAGGTATTAACTACTGCCTCAGTTTCAGAACTTGTTATTGGTCTGTTCATGGATTCAACTTCTTTCTGGTTTAGTCTTGGGAGGGTGTATGTGTCCAGGAATTTTATCTATTTCTTCTAGATTTTCTAGTTTATTTGCGTAGAGGTGTTTATAATATTCTCTGATGGTAGTTTGTATTTCTGTGGGATCAGTGGTGATATCCCCTTTATCATTTTTTATTGTGTCTATTTGATTATTCTCTCTTTTCTACTTTATTAGTCTGGCTAGTGGTCTATCAATTTTGTTGATCTTTTCAAAAAGCCAGCTCCTGGATTCATTGATTTTTTTGAAGGTTTTTTTGTGTCTCTGTCTCCTTCAATTCTGCTCTGATCTTAGTTATGTTTTGTCTTCTGCTAGTTTTTGAATGTGTTTGCTCTTGCTTCTCTAGTTCTTTTAATTGTGATGTTAGGGTGTTGATTTTAGATCTTTCCTGCTTTCCCTTGTGGGCATTTAGTGCTATAAATTTTCCTCTAAATACTGCTTTAGCTGTGTCCCAGAGATTCTGGTACATTGTGTCTTTGTTCCATTGGTTTCAAAGAACTTATTTATTTCTGCCTTCATTTCATTATTTACCCAGTAGTCATTCAGGAACAGGTTGTTCAGTTTCCATGCAGTTGTGCAATTTTCAGTGAATTTCTTAATCCTGAGTTCTAATTTGATTGCACTGTGGTCTGAGAGACTGTTATGATTTGCATTCTTTTGCTTTTGCTGAGGAGTGTTTTACTTCCAATTATGTGGTCAATTTTAGAATAAGTGTGATGTTGTGCTGAGAAGAATGTATATTCTGTTGATTTGGGGTGGAGAGTTATGTAGATGTCTGTTAGGTCTGCCTGGTTCAGAGCTGAGTTCAACTCCTGAATATCCTTGTTAATTTTCTGTCTCGTTGATCTAATATTGACAGTGGAGTGTTAAAGTCTCCCACTATTATTGTGTGGGAGTCTAAGTCTCTTTGTAGATCTCTAAGAACTTGCTTTATGAATCTGAGTGCTCCTGTATTGGGTTCATATATATTTAGAATAATTAGCTCTTCTTGTTGCATTGATCCCTTTACCATTATGTAATGCCCTTCTTTGTCTTTTTTGATCTTTGTTGGTTTAAGGTCTGTTTTTATCAGAGACTAGAATTGCAAGCCCTGCTTTTTTTTGTTTTTGTTTTTGCTTTCTATTTGCCTGGTAAATATTCCTCCATCCGTTTATTTTGAGCCTATGTGTGTTTTTGCACATGAGATGGGTCACCTGAATACAGCATACCTATGGGTCTTGATTCTTTATCCAATTTGCCAGTCTGTGCCTTTGAATTGGAGCATTTAGCCCATTTACATTTCAGGTTAATATTGTCATGTGTGAATTTGCAGGATGGGAACATTTTAAGTGTTACAAACACCAAGTATTGGCAAGAATATGAAAAAGTAGAAACCAGCATACTGTTTATGTGAATATATACTGGTAAAACTACTTTGAAATGCAACTTGGCAATACCCTAAAAAGCTAAAGATGTTAGTGTTAATGATTCAAAAAGTCTATGCCTAGATTTCTAGACAACTAGAAAGCAAAGAAAATTTTAAGAATTGTACAAGGATATTCATTACACCAGTGTTATAGCAAAAAGAAGAAACAGCCTAACTGTCCATCAGTAGGAAATAAATATACCATAGTTTATTCATATATTAAGTACCATAAAGCAATTGTAGTGGAGTGAGGAGATCTACATGTACCAAGAATAAATTATCCCCAAAAAAGAAATGAAGAGTGAGAAAATCAAACTCACAAATGATATGCCCTCTGGGATGTTACTAATGAAACTATATAAGAACATTAAAAAGTAGTACGAAGTTAATGAATACATACATAAGTAGAACATGTACAAAGCCAAACATGGAAATATTACATACCGACTTCAATGTAATAGCTACCTCTGGAGAGAAGAGGAAGGGATTGATAGATGGGGTTTTGGCTGCATCTCTAGTATTTTGTGTGTGTGTTAGAAAAGTCTGAAGCAAACGTAGTAACATCTTAACATCTCTTAAATCTGGATGCTGAGACCATGGTGTCTATTATATTATTTTTGTGCCTTATTGTAAGTTTGAAACATTTCAAAATAAAACACTATTGGCCTATAGGCATGACCAAATCAGACAATAAACACATAACCTTTATGCAAAAATGAGCCACAGGTCTACAGTGTCCCTGGTCAGCATAGTTTTCAGTTCTTAATCAGAAAAATTAAGTGCATTTAGAAAACCAACATGTGAGTATGACATAATCATTTTATACTAATCAATTAAGTACTTTGTGTTCCTGGGAGCTATTCTAGGAAGTCAAACCAGCAAAGCTATATACACAAATATCCTATAATTTTTTAAATGTACAAAAACTTTTCCTGGCTGAATGTGGTGGCTCATGCCTGTAATCCCAGCACTTTGAGAGTCTGAGGCAGAAGGATTGCTTGACTCCAAGAGTTCAAGACCAGCCTGTTCAAGATAACAAGACTGCGTCTCCACAAAAGAAAAATTAAAAAATTAGTGGGGCGTGGTGGCACATGCCTGTAGTCCTAGCTGCTTGCGAGGCTGAGGTGAGAAGATTGTTTGACCTCAGGAGATTGAAGCTGCAGTAAGCAATGTTCACGCCACTGCATTCCAGCTTGACTGACAAAATAAAACCCTGTATCAAAAAAAAAAAAAAGTAAAAGTTTCAATAAAACAGAAAGAGACTTAAAACTTTTCAGTAAACTTATTCAGCATTGAGATTCCTATTGTGAAAGCAGGAGAATAATTTACCTATCGCTACCAGTGAGACCAACAGTATCCTGAGATGTTGTAGAAGTGGAAGACAGACTATTGGCAGGGCAGTGAGATTCATGCTCAGTGTTGTAGATTCTTCATTCATGATCAAGATTTTGATCTACTTGATAGAGTGTATAAAGCCTTATTTCTTTTCCTTTCCTTAATTTCCTTTTTCTCCTCCTCTTTCTTTTCTCTTAATTTTTCTCCCTATTCCTCTTCTTATTATTATTCTTTTTCTTCTGCTTCTTGTTCTTGTTTTTGTTCTTTTCTTCTCCATCAAATAACTAGCACTTGCTAAATGCTGGATACAATGTTTTACAAACATTATCTCATTTAATTTTCACAGCAGTTAGGTAGATATTTTTATTCCCATTCACCAGATGCTAGAATTGAGGCTTCAAGAAGTGAAAAACATGTACAAGTCATGCAGATAGTACTTGGAAAAGTCACGATTATAAACCAGGTTTGGGCCGGACATGGTGGCCCATGCCTGTAATCCCAGCATTTTGGGAGGCCAAAGCGGGAAGATCGCTTGTGGCCAGGAGTTTGAGACCAGCCTGGGCAACACAGTGAGACCCTGTCTCCACAGGAAAAAAAAAAAAAACAAAAAACAGGCAAGGCATGCCTGTTGTCCTAACTACTTGGGAAGCTGGGAGGATTGCTTGAGCCCAAGGCTTTGAGGCTGCAGAGAGCTATGATCACATGGCTGAACTCCAGCCTTGGCAACAAAGAGAGACCCCATCTCCCATCTCAAAAGAGAAAAGAGAAAAGAAAAAAAAAGTTTGCCTGCAGTTTCAAATGCATGGATATTTGTAACTGCTGTGAAATGAGACCTCCTAAAAAGTTGAGTGACCTGAGGCACCATTTGAAATGAGTATCTTTGCCAAGTTTTATTTTTTAAAAAGAGAAGCTTTTACGCTGGTTGGACCTTTTAACTATAAATCTACTAGAAAACATTCTGAATGAGGAAAGAAAAATCCAGAAAGTTCTGATACTCTCGAACAGAATTTTTAGATGTCAGTTAGGACCCTTTCTTTAAAAAATTACCAATTCAAAATAGCTCTAGTGAAAGAGGTAATTCATTCACTCAAAGTGTCATCTCCTTTGATCCAAGGTAAAGAGTTTTCGTCAGGCATGGCTCAATTTGGGTTCCATAAAGTATCATCCAGACTTGCTTTCTCTCAATTCTCTCACTTGATGACTTCCAACACAGCCAGATTCATCCGTGGGGGATCAGAAGAGCTACAGCAGCCTCTGATTCATAACCTCCCCACTGCAAGTGCAGAAGAAAAGATCAAAAGCCTTTTTTGCAGGGGTAGGCCCCCTAAAAGGAACATGAAGTAGCTTAGGTCAGGTGACAAACTCTAAAATGGTCAACATTCCTTGGAAAGCATTTTGATTGTCTAGACCTTTGTCAAATGCTCCACCACTGGAATCAAGAGTGTAGGCCTGACAGAGCCTTCTGAGGACATTCCAAGACAGTATACAGTCCTGGGTTCTCCTTGGAAATCTGTATAGATAACATTTCAAGGGCAATACCTTGTTGGTTTTGACTGGATATTCATATAAGATTTTTAAAGAGTTGAGTGATAGAGGTAACTCTTATCTGTAAGTTTTGAATTTATACTGTTTCATCCCATGGACCAAATCATTTTTTCCTACAAATTGTTTGGGTTTTCATTGTTTTTTTTGTTTTTGTTTTTGTTTTTTTTTGCATTCGGGGGGTTGTAAAAGAAAAGAAAGCAGGATGTTTTATCATGGTTTTTGCTTCAGCAGCTTTAGGACAAATTAAAAGTCAATTCTAGTGCCAGGAAAAAAAAAAACAGTTGGAGTAGATTCTGGGGCACCAAGCAACCCTATCCACTAAACCTACTAAATTACAGGATCCCAGTGTCCTCTCTCTATCTCTCATCACTCAACCCTTGTCTCATATAATCAATCACCAAGTATTGCAGACTACTTCTTAAATAATCCCTTTCTTTCCATCGATATTATAACATCGATATGTTACCTTGAAACATTTCATTAGTTCATTTCTTCAACAAGTATGCATTATCTATAATGTGCCAACATTATAAATTATCACTGAGTAAGGATATATAGATGAAGCAAACTTAGATTTTGCCATTAAGGAGCTCACAGTCCGTGCAGGAGAAAACAGATTATTATTATAAGATATGTTGTGATACAAATATACACAGGGTGCTATGTGAATAGAATTTAAGGCTAACAAAGAATTACTAAAGGAGGTGATGTCTGACTGAGACTAGGTAATGAGCATTATTGCAAACAGAAGGATCAGCTTGAGCAAGGCTACTGAGGTAACAAACAGCAGAGTTAACATTCTGGTTTCAATGATGCATTATAGTTATATAGGATGTCATTGCTGGGGGAAACTGGGTAATGGGTACACAGGACCTCTCTGTATTATTTTTGCAACTTCCCATGAGTCTACAGTTATTTTTCCCCAACAGGTTTTTTAAAATCAATATAGCATGTGAAGTGTTCTAAACTTCTTGGACACTGCTGGTGCATCTGCTTGAAAGGCAGAGTTTTGAAAATGTTGCAGAAAAGGTGGACAGGTGCCATCTTGAAAAGTAGGCTTACTACTTTTTTGGCCCCATACCATAGTATTGGAGAAGTTGGTGGGTTTTAAGCTGGAGATTGACTTGATTCCTGCTTATTTGTGTCATCTTTTCCTTGTGTATCAACGTGGACACTAGTCCTTACTCTGCAACAGCTTCCCGAAGCCTCTAGTACTTTGCTTGTTTTTCTCAGATTTTTTGACCGTTTGAACTTGGTAGGGAGATTATTGTCTTATCCTCTGAGGGACTTCAGCTAATTCTCCAAGGCCTAATTTTCTTCCCCACCATGTGAGTCTTGAAGCAAACCTTGCCAACTCTCTACTACAGGCTAACCTTGATACCTATGTTAGAATGTAATCACAACTGTGGAGAAGTCAGGCTGGATAAACACAGCATTACCCAGGGGTCTAGCCAACAAAAGCCCAGCAACAAAGAGACATGAAAAACAGTTTTCAGTTTCTTCCAGCAGTTTATTCATTAGCTATTAATATTTGTTTAAAAACATTTATCACGCACTAACTTCATAGTAGATTCCATAGAAAAATGAGTTGGACAAAATCTCTGTCCTGGATCACCTTCAGCTGAGGGATCAGGGATATAAAATAGTCTCAGTGGAAGATAAGAGCCGTGCTTGTGGTTTATAAAAGCAGAGTGTTGTCACAAAGAGAGAGAATCAATTCATCCCGAGATGGCTGGGTCACCAAGGGGGCAAGGAATCAAATCTAACATATGAGGCATGGAAACAGCAATGAGTAACAGTGACCTGAAGTATATAAACTGTATTTATCTTCATGTCCTAGAGAGTCATCAATTTTGCATGTTACAAAAGCAGTCTGTTACCCTCTCCAGAGTGGAATGTGAAAAGACTTCAGCAATGCCTTCCTGTACCCCTGCACATTAGAGATTAGACGTCCCAAGACATAATTTTAATAAAAATTCCAGAGGGAGAACTTTCCCTAGAAATGAAAGAATCTAAATGTGTGACAACCATTTTAGATGAAGGACAAGACAGAGACTAAAGGAAAGAAGGAGATTCATTCATGGACTCATTCAATGAATATTTATTGAGCCCTACTTTATGCAAAGCACTCTAGTAGTATCTCAGTATTCTGAGAATTACAAAAATCAACCATTGGCATGAGTCTCTAAAAATACTTATCTTGTTAGCAAGTTCTGATGCAGCCTCTCACAACTGCCTTCCCATTCAAAAATAAATTAAAACACAGTGAAAAGAGGAACAATTATCTTAGAGAAAGTAGGAAACAACATAAACATTCTTTGTTGTCTTGTTCAGTTTAGAGACCTAGAAACTACTCACCCTGAAAACCTAGGTTGACATTTCTTTACTGGTTAGGTGCTACATTTTAGGTTTGCCAGAGAAGTGTCCCCACAACACTCATCTTTGTATAGCTAAACAGAGAGAGGGAAGAAAGGGCAGAATATTATGGGAGTGAGGGATGGAGGTGTAAGGATGGAGGAGAAAGAGGAATGGAAGAGGAACTGTACACTCCCAGGGCTATAGATTCTATTAAAACAACTGAAGCATAAAAAAGAGCCCTGTGCTTCCCAAAGTTTGCTGTATGCTGTGGAGAGTTTTTGTTTTTTTGTTTTGTTTTGTTTTTCAATATATTCTATCACTTCCATAGGAGAAAGTCCCAACTTGGTTATGCAAAGTTGTATGAGATACAGGACTCCCAGTCTCTAGAGTGTTTAGTGGGAGCTATCACAACGAGACTTCCAATCAAGTATATAAGGGTCCAAGCATCCAGTTAGTCACAGAGCGAGGTCACTAGCAACGCACACTCCTCACCTAAAAAAATGGCACAATTTGGAGAAATTTCTTCTCATTTGAGGATGATTGTTAATATTACTATCAATAATGAGAATAAGAATAATTAACATTAATTAAGGACTTTCTATGTGCCGAGCACTGAACTAAACACTTTAAATGTTTTATCTACTTTATCATTTCAACTCCATGAAATAAAATCTATTACTCCCTAAACTGGTTGTATTTAAAAATTCACAAAAGAGAAATTTTATGGTATAAATTATAATAATTTAATGACAATATTTTGTTAACAATGGTAAATTCTCAAACAGAATGGGTAAATAATAGGACCAAACATTTAAAAAAGAAATACAAAAGGTCAGCAAATAATGGAAAATGGTACTTTCAACTGATTAACAAAAACAGCAAGTTAAAAACAATAGGTAACAATCAACTACATTTTAGGAAACATTACAGCATTATAATATCTAACGTGTTCTTAAATTCAGGAAATTTTCAAGCATGCTGGTAAGGCTATTATATTTTCAGAACTTTACTAAAAGCCTTTTGGACTTATGTCTCAAAACCTGCAAGTAATTCATACATTTTCCCCTGGTAATTCAGCTCCCCAAAACTTATTCTAAGGTATCAAAGATCTGCATAAAAATGTATAAAAATATTATTGCATTATGCAAAAAAGTGAAGACCTCCTAAATATTCAACAATTCAAAATTTGTTTTGAAATACATTGTGCATTGAAGTAACAGAATGTTATGCAACAATTAATAATAATAATTTTGAGTTCTCCCACTTTGAGTTTCTTTTTCAAAATGGTTTGGCATCTCTTTCAAGATGGTTTGCATTTCCATATGAACTTTAGGATCAGCCTGTCCATTTTTGCAAAAATACCAGCTGATATTTTGATAAGGTTTTTGTCAAATCTGCAGATCAATTTGAAGAGTATTGCCATCTTTACAGTAATAAGTGATATGATCCATATCATGGACCCATTTATGGATTTCCATTTATTTAGATTTGCTTTGATTTCTTTCCATGAATTTTTGTGGTATTCAGTGTACAAATGTTGTACTTATATCACTAAATTCATGCAAAGTGTTTTATTATTTTAGATGCTATTGCGAATATAATTATTTTCTCAGTTTCATTTTTGGATTATTAACTGCTGAGGTATAGAAAAACAATTGAATTTTGTAGGTTGATTGGTATGTCCTGCAACATTTCTGAATTCATTTATTAGCTCTAGTAGATTTTAGTGAATTCTTTAGGATTTTCTATACACAAAATCATACCATCTTCAGATAGACATAATTTTTACTACATCACTTCTAAACTTGATGTCCTTTGTTTCTTTTTTTTTTTGTAATTGTCCTGGCTAGAAACTTCATTAAAATGTTGAATACTAGTGATGGAAGCAGACATCTTCTCATCCTGATGTTATGAGAAAAATATTACTCACAATTATTATATTAACTATGAGGTTTTTTTATTATTATACTTTAAGTTCTAGGGTACATGTGCACAACGTGCAGGTTTGTTACATATGTATACATGTGCCATGTTGGTGTGCTGCAACCATTAACTCATAATTTACATTAGGTATATCTCCTAATGCTTTCCCTCCCCCCTGCCCCCACCCCATGACAGGCCCATCCTGTGTCCCTTCCTGTGATGTTCCCCTTCCTGTGTCCAAGTGTTCTCATTGTTCAAATCCCACCTATGAGTGAGAACATGAGGTGTTTGGTTTTTTTCCTTGCGATAGTTTGCTGAGAATGATGGTTTCCAGCTTCATCCATGTCCCCACAAAGGACATGCACTCATCATTTTTTATGGCTGCATAGTATTCCATGGTTTATATGTGCCAAATTTTCTTAGTCCAGTCTATCATTGACGGACATTTGTGTTGGTTTCAAGTCTTTGCTATTGTGAATAGTGCCACAATAAACATACGTGTGCATGTGTCTTTATAGCAGCATGATTTATAATATGTTGCTTATATACCCAGTAATGGGATGGCTGGGTCAAATGGTATTTCTAGTTCTAGATCCCTGAAGAATCGCCACACCGACTTCCACAATGGTTGAAATAGTTTACAGTGCCACCAACAGTGTAAAAGTGTTCCTATTTCTCCACATCCTCTCCAGCACCTGTTGTTTCCTGACTTTTTAATGATCGCCATTCTAATTGGTGTGAGATGGTATCTCATTGTGGTTTTGATTTGCATTTCTCTGATGGCCGGTGATGATAAGCATTTTTTTCATGTGTCTGTTGGCTACATAAATGTCTTCTTTTGAGAAGTGTCTGTTCATATCCTTTGTGCACTTTTTGATGGGGTTGTTTGTTTTTTTCTTGTAAATTTGTTTGAGTTCTTTGAAGATTCTGGATATTAGCCCTTTGTCAGATGGGTAGATTGCAAAAATCTTCTCTCATTCTGTAGGTTGCCTGTACACTCTGATGGTAGTTTCTTTTGCTGTGCAGAAGCTCTTTAGTTTAATTAGATCCCATTTGTCAATTTTGTCTTTTGTTGCCATTGCTTTCGGTGTTTTAGACATGAAGTCCTTGACCATGCCTATGTCTTGAATGGTATTGCCTAGGTTTTCTTCTAGGGTTTTTATGGTTTTAGGTCTAACATTTAAGTCTTCAATCCATCTTGGATTAATTTTTGTATAAGGAGTAAGGAAGGGGTCCAGTTTCAGCTTTCTACATATGGCTAGCCAGTTTTCCCAACACCATTTATTAAATAGGGAATCCTTCCCCCATTTCTTGTTTTTGTTAGGTTTGTCAAAGATCAGATGGTTGTAGATGTGTGGCATTATTTCTGAGGGCTCTGTTCTGTTCCATCGTCTATATCTCTGTTTTCGTACCAGTACCATGCTGTTTTGGTTACTGTAGCCTTGTATAGTTTGAAGTCAGGTAGTGTGATGCCTCCTGCTTTGTTCTTTTGGCTTAGGATTGTCTTGGCAATGTGGGCTCTTTTGTGGTTCTATATGAACTTTAAAGTAGTTTTTTCCAATTCTGTGAAGAAGCTCATTGGTAGCTTGATGGGGATGGCATTGAATCTATACATTACTTTGGGCAGTATGGTCATTTTCACGATATTGGTTCTTCCTATCCTTGAGCATGGAATGTTCTTCCATTTGCTTGTGTCCTCTTTTATTTCATTGAGCAGTGGTTTGTAGTTCTCCTTGAAGAGGTCCTTCACATCCCTTGTAAGTTGGATTCCTAGGTATTTTATTCTCTTTGAAGCAATTGTGAATGGGAGTTCACTCATGATTTGGCTCTCTGTTTGTCTGTTATTGGTGTGTAGGAATGCTTGTGATTTTTGCACATTGATTTTGTATCCTGAGACTTTGCTGAAGTTGCTTATCAGCTTAAAGAGATTTTGGGCTGAGACGATGGCGTTTTCTAAATATACAATCATGTCATCTGCAAACGGGGACAATTTGACTTCCTCTTTTCCAAACTGAATACCCTTTATTTCTTTCTCCTGCCTGATTGCCCTGGCCAGAACTTCCAACACTATGTTGAATAGGAGTGATGAGACAGGGCATCCCTGTCTTGTGCCAGTTTTCAAAGGGAATGCTTTCAGTTTTTGCCCATTCAGTATGATATTGGCTGTGGGTGTGTCATAAATAGCTCTTATTATTTTGAGATACATCCCATCAATACCTAATTTATTGAGAGTTTTTAGCATGAAGTCCTGTTGAATTTTGTCAAAGGCCTTTTCTGCATCTATTGAGATAATCATGTGGTTTTTGTCTTTGGTTCTGTTTATATGCTGGATTACGTTTATTGATTTGCATATGTTGAACCAGCCTTGCATCCCAGGGATGAAGCCCACTTGATCATGGTGGATCAGCTTTTTGATGTGCTGCTGGATTCGGTTTGCCAGTATTTTATTGAGGATTTTTGCATTAATGTTCATCAAGGATATTGGTCTAAAATTCTCTTTTTTTGTTGTGTCTCTGTCAGGCTTTAGTATCAGGATGATGCTGGCCTCATAAAATGAGTTAGGGAGGATTCCCTCTTTTTTATTGATTGGAATAGTTTCAGAAGGAATGGTACCAGCTCTTCCTTGTACCTCTGGTAGAATTTGGCTGTGAATCTGTCTGGTCCTGGATGTTTTTTGGTTGTTAGGCTATTAATTATTGCCTCAATTTCAGAGCCTGCTATTGTTGTATTCAGGGATTCAACCTCTTCCTGGTTCAGTCTTGGGAGAGTTTATCTGTCGAGGAATTTATCCATGGCTTCTAGATTTTCTAGTTAATTTGCGTTAAGGTGTTTATAGTATTCTCTGATGGTAGTTTGTATTTCTGTGGGATCAGTGGTGATATCCCCGTTGTCATATTTTATTGCATCTATTTGATCTTCTCTCTTTTCTTTATTAGTCTTGCTAGCAGTCTATCAATTTTGTTGATCTTTTCAAAAAACCAGCTCCTGGAATCATTGATTTTTTCACGGTTTTTTATGTCTCTATTTCCTTCAGTTCTGCTCTGATCTTAGTTATTTCTTGCTTTCTGCTAGCTTTTGAATGTGTTTGCTCTTGCTTCCCTAGTTCTTTTAATTGTGATATTAGGGTTTCAATTTTAGATCTTTCGTGCTTTCTCTTGTGGGCGTTTAGTACTATAAATTTCCCTCTACACACTGCTTTAAATGTGTCCCAGAGATTCTGCTATGTTGTGTCTGTGTTCTCATTGGTTTCAAAGAACATCTTTATTTCTGCCTGCATTTCGTTATGTACCCAGTAGTCATTCAGGAGCAGGTTGTTCAGTTTCCATGTAGTTGAGCGGTTTTGAGTGAGTTTCTTAATCCTGAGTTCTAGTTCTTTGCACAGTGGTCTGAGAGACAGTTTGTTATAATTTCTGTTCTTTTACATTTGCTGAGGAGAGCTTTACTTCCAACTATGTGGTCAATTTTGGAATATGTGAGATGTGGTGCTGAGAAGAATGTATATTCTGTTGATTTGGGGTGGAGATTTCTGTAGATGTCTATTAGGTCCACTTGGTGCAGAGCTGAGTTCAATTCCTGGGTATCCTTGTTAACTTTCTGTCTCATTGATCTGTCTAATGTTGACAGTGGGGTGTTAAAGTCTCCCACTGTTATTGTCTGGGACTCTAAGTCTCTTTGTAGATCCCTAAGGACTCACTTTATGAATCTGGGTGCTCCTGTATTGGGTGCATATATATTTAGGATAGTTAGCTCTTCTTGTTGAATTGATCCCTTTACCATTATGTAATGGCCTTCTTTGTCTGTTGATCTTTGTTGGTTTAAAGTCTGTTTTATCCGAGACTAGGATTGCAACCCCTGCCTTTTTTTGTTTTCCATTTGCTTGGTAGGTCTTCCTCCATCCCTTCATTTTGAGCCTAAGTGTGTCTCTGCCCATGAGATGGGTCTCCTGAATACAGCACACTGATGGGTCTTGACTCTTTATCCAATTTGCCAGTGTGTGTCTTTTAATTGGAGCATTTAGCCCATTTACATTTAAGGTTAGTAGTGTTATGTGTGAATCTGGTCCTGTCATTATGATGTTACCTGGTTATTTTGCTTGTTAGTTGATGCAGTTTCTTCCTAGCATCGATGGTCTTCACAATTTGGCATGGTTTTGCAGTGGCTGGCAGTGGCTGGTACCTGTTGTTCCTTTCCATGTTTAGTGCTTCCTTCAGGAGCTCTTGTAGGGCAGGCCTGGTGGTGACAAAATCTCAGCATTTGCTTGTCTGTAAAGGATTTTATTTCTCCTTCACTTTTGAAGCTTAGTTTGGCTGGATATGGAATTCTGGGTTGAAAATTCTTTTCTTTGAGAATGTTGAATATTGGCCCCCACTCTCTTCGGGCTTGTAGAGTTTCTGCCAAGAGATCAGCTGTTAGTCTGATGGGCTTCCCTTTGTGGGTAACCCGACCTTTCTCTCTGGCTGCCCTTAACATTTTTTCCTTCATTTCAACTTTGGTGTATCTGACAATTATATGTCTTTGAGTTGCTTTTCTCGAGGAGTATCTTTGTGGCGTTCTCTGTATTTCCTGAATTTGAATGTTGGCCTACCTTGCTAGGTTGGGGAAGTTCTCCTGGATAATATCCTGCAGAGTGTTTTCCAGCTTGGTTCCATTCTCCCTGTCACTTTCATGTACACCAATAAGACGTAGATTTGGTCTATTCACATAGTCCCATATTTCTTGGAGGCTTTGTTCATTTCTTTTTACTCTTTTTTCTCTAAACTTCTCTTCTCACTTCATTTCATTCATTTGATCTTTAATCACTGATACCCTTTCTTACAGTTGATCAAATCAGCTACTGAAGCTTGTGCATTCATCACGTAGTTCTTGTGCCATGGTTTTCAGCTCCATCAGGTCATTTAAGGACTTCTCTACATTGGTTATTCTAGTTAGCCATTTGTCCAATCTTTTTTCAAGGTTTTTAGCTTCTTTGCGATGGGTTCAAACTTCCTTCTTTAGCTCGGAGAAGTTTGATCATCTGAAGCCTTCTTCTCTCAACTCGTCAAGTCATTCTCCATCCAGCTTTGTTGCATTGCTGGTGAGGAGCTGCATTCCTTTGGAGGGAGAGAAGTGCCCTAATTTTCAGAATTTTCAGCTTTTCTGCTCTGTTTTTTCCCCATCTTTGTGGTTTTATCTACCTTTGGTCTTTGATGATGGTGATGTACAGATGGGGTTTTGGTGTGGATGTCCTTTCTGTTTGTTAGTTTTCCTTCTAACAGTCAGGACCCTCAGCTGCAGGTCTGTTGGATTTTGCTGGAGATCCACTCCAGACCCTGTTTGCCTAGGTGTCAGCAGCAGAGGCTGCAGAACAGCGAATATTGCTGAACACAAATGTTGCTGCCTGATCCTTCCTCTGGAAGCTTCATCTCAGAGGGGTACCCTGCCGTGTGAGGTGTCAACCTGCCCCTACTGGGGGGTGCCTCCCAGTTAGGCTATTCGGGGGTCAGGCACCCACTTGAGGAGGCAGTCTGTCCGTTCTCAGATCTCAAACTCTGTGCTGGGAGAACCACTACTCTCTTCAAAGCTGTCAGACTGGGACATTTAAGTCTGCAGAGGTTTCTGCTGCCTTTTGTTCAGCTATGCCCTGCCCCGAGAGGTGGAGTCTACAGAGGCAGGCAGGCTTCCTTGCGCTGTGGTGGGCTCCACCCAGTTTGAGCTTCTCAGCTGCTTTGTTTACCTACTCAAGCCTCAGTAGTGGCGGGCACCCCTCCCCCAGCCTCACTGCCGCCTTGCCGTTCGATCTCAGACTGCTGCGCTAGCAATGATGATTTTATAAGGCATTTCTCCTTTTGCTTGGTTCATTCTCTGGTGCGTGCCACCATGTAAGACCGTGCCTTTCACCTTCCACCATGATTGTGAGGCCTCCCCAGCCATGTGGAATGGTGAGTCCATTAAACCTCTTTTTCTTTATAATCTGGTGCGTGCCACCATGTAAGACCGTGCTTTTCACCTTCCACCATGATTGTGAGGCCTCCCCAGCCATGTGGAATGGTGAGTCCATTAAACCTCTTTTTCTTTATAAATTACCCAGTCTCAGGTATGTCTTTTTCATCAGTATAAAAATAGACTAATGCAGTAAATTGGTACCAGTAGAGTGGGGTGCTGCTGTGAAGATACCCAAAAATGTGGGTGCAACTTTGGAACTGGGTAAAAGGCAGAGGTTGAAACAGTTTGAAGGGCTCAGAACAAGACAGGAAAATGTGGGAAAGTTTGGAACTTCCTAGAGACTTGTTGAATGGCTTTGACCAATAATGCTGATAATAATATGGACAATGAAATCTAGGCTGACGTGGTCTTAGATGGAGATGAGGAACTTGTTGGGAGCTGGGGTAAAGGTGACTCTTGCTATGTTTTAGCAAAGAGACTAGTGGCATTTTGCTCCACCCTAGAGATTTGTGGAACTTTGAACTTGAGGGAGATGATTTAGGGTATCTGGCAGAAGAAATTTCTAAGCAGCAAAATATTCAAGAGGTGACTTGGGTGCTGTTAAAAGTACTCAGTTTTAAAAGGGAAACAGCATAAAAGTTTGAAAAATGTGCAGCCTTGCAATGCGATAGAAAAGAAAAACCCATTTTCTGAGGAGAAACTCATACTGGTTGCAGAAGTTTGCATAAGTAATAAGGAGCCAAATATTAATTGCCAAAACAATAGGGAAAATGTCTCCAGGGCATACCAGAGACGTTTGTGGCAGTCCCTCTCATCACAGGCCCAGAGTCTAGGAGAACAAAATTGTTTCCTGGTCTGGGCCCAGGGCACCCCCTGCTGTGTGCAGACTAGGGACTTGGTGCCCTGCATCCCAGCTGCTCTACCAATGGCTAAAAGCGGCCAAGGCACAGCTCGGGCCATGGTTTCAGAGGGTGCTAATTATTGATTTCTGGTTGTTTTTTTTTAATCCTTATTATTTACTTCCAAATTGCTTTCGGTTCATTTTATTCTATCTTTTCTATTTTCATAGGTAAGAGCCTAGATTAATGATTTGAGACCTTTCCTCATTTCCAGTGCAAGTTTTAGTGCCTTAAATCCCACCCACCCTAAGCACAGCTTTAGCTATATGCCACGTTTTGATATATTGCATTTCATTTTCATTCACTTCTATTGGTTTTTAATTTTCTTTGAGACTTTTTCTTTGATCCATCAATTGTTCAGAATATGTTGTTAAGTTCCACGTGTTGAGAGATTTTCCTATTGTCTTTCTAGCTTAATTATATTATGATCAAAGAGTGTACTCTATAATTTCAATTCTTTTAAATTCATCGAGGTTTGCTTTATGGTCCTGGATATAATCTATGTTAGTAAATATTCCATGGGCATATTAAAATGTGTGATTCTGCTATTGGTGGGTAAAGTGTGCTTTGTATATCAAATAGATCCTGTTGGTTGGCTGCATGCATTAGATTTTCTATATTCTTGTGGATTTTCTTTCTGATAGTTCTATCTGTTGCTGAAAAAGAAATGTTGAAGTCCTTATTTAAGACTGTTGATTTGTCTATTTCTCCTTTCAGCTCTATCAGCTTTTGCTTCATACATGCTGACATACTGTTTCTTGGTACATAAACACTTAAACCATTATGTCTTCTTGGTAGACTCTTTCTTTTATCGTTACATGGTGTCCCACTTTTATTTAGTAATTTCCTTTGCTGTGAAATTTAATTTATCTGATATCAATATGGCTGCATGTCCCTTTTCAAAATAATGGTTGCATTAAATATATTTTTCCATCCTATCTATCTATGTTGTTGAATTTGAAGTTAGTTTCTTATAAACACCATATTGTTGGCTTTTTCATTATGTCCACTCTACATATATCTGCCTTTTGATGGTAAATTATACCATTTACCTTACAGCAATTACTGATACTTAGTGCCCACATTTGCCATTTTATTACTTATTTTCTGTTTATTTCCTCTAAGTCTTATTCCTGTATTTCTTTTTTCTTGTCTACCTGAATATTAATTGAACTTTTTGAAAAAAGAATTTTTATTTCTTTATAGTGGCTTTGAGTGTATCTCCTTCTATAGTTTTCTTAGTGGTTGCTCTGAATATTTTTTTAAATGCATATGTGGCTGGATTAGCAAGCTAGGGCTTCCATAACAACATATTACAGACTGGGTAACTTAAACAACCGAAATTTATTTTCTCACAGTTCTGGAGGCTGGAAGTCTATGATCAAGGTGTCAACAGGTTTGTTTTCTTCTGAGGCCTCTTTGACTTGCAGCTGGTTGCCTTCTTGCTGTGTCTCACCTGGTCTTTTCTCCATGTGCACACACATCTCTGTCTTAATCTCGTCTTCTTATAAAGACACTGGTCATATTGGATTACAGCCCATACATATGACCTCATTTTCCTCTAATTCCCTCTTTAAGAGCCCTATCTCCCAACACAGCCACATTTTGAATTATTGGGGGTTAGGACTTCAACACATAAATTTTGGGGAAGCACAATTCAGCCTGTAACAGTGACTGACTTACAATCTACTGGTATCAACATTTTATTACTTCAAGTGAAATGTGGAAATTTTATGTACATTTAGGTTTATTTACCATTTCTACTTTAAATATCATTGTTTTGAGTATTAGAAGTTGCTATAATTTTTGCTTCTATCCTCAAACATGGTTTAGAAAGTTCATTAGGAAAATATACCCATATGTCTGCTGTCTGTTGTTTTTCTTCCTTTCTGATGCTCCAAGTTTGTTTCTTTTATGATTTCCTTTTTGTTTGAGTAACTTTCATTTGCCAATCTTTTTTTTTTTTTTTTTTTTTTTTTGAGACAGGGTCTCACTCTGTTGCCTAGCCTGGAGTGCAGTGGCATGATCACAGCTCACTGTAGTCTCAAATTCCCAGGCTCAAGTGATCCCCCAACTTTATCCTCCTGAGTAGCTGGGACTACAGGTGTGCACCACCACACCCAGCTAATTTTAAATTTTTTTTAGAGACAGAGTTTCACCGTGTTGCCTAGACTGCTCTCAAACTCCTGACCTCACTGATCTGCCTGCCTCAGCCTCCCAAAATGCTGGGATTACACGCATGAGCTACCACGCTCAGCTTTTTAAGAGAATGTTTGCTAGTAACAAATTCTTTTAACTTTACTTTCTCTGGGAATGTCTTCAATTCCTTTTTATTCCTGAAGAATAATTTCACTGAGTTTAGACTTTGCAGTTGACAGTTCTTTCTTTCAACACAGGAAAAATGTTGTGCCACTTCCTCTGACCACCATGATATCAAAAATAAATTCATTCAAATTGGTATTCCCATGTAAGTAATGTGTCATTTCTCTGTGCCTGCTTTCAAGATTTATCTTTGTTTTAAGTTTTCAGAAGTTTAATTATGGTATATATTGGTATAATTTATTTGGATTTATATTATTTATGGTTCACTCAACTTCTTGAATCTGTGGATTCATGTCTTTCACCAATTTGGAAAACTTTTAGGCATCATTTATTCAAAGTTTCTTTCAGTCTAGCTCCCTCCCTTGCCTTTCCTTCTAGGGTTCCAATGATACAAATGTTGGATCTTTGGTTATTGTGTTAATAGGTTCCTGATGTTCTATTTTCTATTTTATTGTTTTGGTGTAGTATATTTTCTCTCTGTTGTTCAGACTGGGTAAATTTTATCATTCTAACTTTAAGTTCACTTATTCTATGTTTTGTTATCACTATTCTACTATTAAGTCCATCTAGTAAGTTTTAAATTTTCTGTTGTATTTTTTAGTTCTGTATTTACCTTGTTTCTTTTTTATACCTTCTCTTTCTTTGCTACAATTTTCTATTTTTTCATTTGTTTCAAGAGAATTTATAATTGATTGTTGAAACATTTTTATTATGATTGTTTTAGAATCCTTGCCAGATAATTTCAACGTGTGATTTACTTAAGTGCTGGCATTCATTATCTCTCTGCTCTCAAGTTTTGATTTCCTTGATTCTTGATTATCATGTTTGGTTGTCAATTGCATTCTGGATATTTTGTCTCTTACTCTAGTAAACTCTAGGTTCTACTGAAATGTTCTATTTTAGCAAGAAATCAGCACATTTAGGTTTAGCAAGCAGATCCTGGCCTACTTCATGGACTGTAGTTCCAATAACAGTTTAATTTTCAGAGCCATTGCAATGTTATTTTGGTCTGCTTTATCTGTTGCCATTGTTCCTATTTGTGCCTGCTAATGCTCTCTGAGAGGATGGAAAGTGTTTCCCTAGGTCAGGCTGCTAGATGTGCTTCGTTGTAGAATGGGGAGGCAATGTGGGTGTTGAAGGAGGACTACTGGGACTGTGGTGATGAAGATGCCTCCCAGGACAGGGGCTTGTTGTAGTAGCATGATAGGGCCCTGCCATCCCAGGTGTCTCTGGGTAGGGAAGAGGAATCTCAGGTTCACAAGTACAAAGTCAGGCTGCTTGTTGTGGCAGGGTCTCTTTTGTTGGTGCCACAAGGACATCTCAGTTTCTCTCAGCAGGGGAGTAGTCTCAGGTCAGGTGTGAAAGGAGGGCACTTCCCTTGGCCCCTTACTATTTGCAGGGCAGTTGATTCTACTTACCAGTGGTGCTGGGCTCACATGGTATTGTTGGAGGTATAAGCATTCTATCTAGGGAGAGGAATAAGCTTCCCTGGGCTGCCTTTTGTGGAAATTGCCTGGTCTCGGTCACATTCTGCAGCTGAGTGAAGGTAGAAGGAATAGTTCACCATACTGCTGTGTTGTTCTTCCAGTCCTAGGGTTTCTAAATAGTTTGTCATTCTCTTACCACTTTTCAAAGTTTTCCCTTGGTTGCCCCTTGTTCTGTTTTCCAGATTTATTGTTATATTTATCAGGAAGGAGCAGAGAGTAATGTATCCATAACAACGTTTTCCAGACTATAATTCCTTTCTTCCTGGGTGACTTTTCAGGCTTATGAAAATTTTCTAAAATCAGAGTGTGCTGATGGTTGTATAACTCTGTGAATATACTAAAAACCACTGAATTATATGCTTACATGGATATTTTAATGGTATGTAAATTGTATCTCCAGAAATATATATATTTTTAAAAAGAAGCCAAGGTTCTTTTCATAGAAAGTGGCTTTGGACTTTGCAAAAAAAAAAATGTGTTTCATATTTCACAAAGCTAAAGTATATTTACAGTGAAGCTAGAAGAATGCTTTTATCAGTTCCAGCAACAGGCGACTATCTGGATACCGTGGTGGTGATGTGAAGTGTAACAAGAAGTGTTTCTGACTCCCTGGGTAGTCTGTTGAAATCCATCAAACCCACTGCCAGGTCTTAGTGATCACTGACTGGATGATACATATATAAAGACAAAGTGTCATTTCTGTAATGTTGAAACCCTCAACTAAAGAAATTGCCACTCAAGTACAGAAAAGGTTTTCATTACTTTTTCCAGTCAAGGGAAGGATGTAGTACAACTTGAAAATGTCAGGTTTAGTATTTTAATCACTGGTTTTAATCAAGAGGATTTCAAACTTCACATATTTCTATAGTGGTTAAAAAATGTCTATGAAAAAACACAAAACAGCAGCATGGAAGACTAAAGATATACTAGAAAAATAAGCCCAATCATTCTAAGGAAATAGTAATAAATCAAAACTAATTTCTAGAAAAACAGAGAAAGCAATGTGCAAGATATAGATAGATAATATATAGATATATAGATAAGTAAAACACTGAAACTTTTAACATCCCAAGAAAATATAAACAAATAGTTATTAATGAGAGATTTGAGGGGATATCTCATTCTTGAAATAGAACAATAGAAATTTTCCTTTTCAAAAGAATCAGCTGTAATAGTAGAAAACAATATTGCATGTTAACTAATGCATTTGTAGGACAAGATGCTGAGAAAGTGCAAATTGAGCAATATTGAGTTAAGATAAAAGGAGAACCAGACATTCTTTGTGGTATGTACTACAAATTTTGTAGCCTTCACTTTGGACAGGCAAAGCATAGGAATGATGTTTTCCTAGTGTCCATTATGATACCAGCACTGAGGGAAGGCTTTAAATCTCCAAGTTTTTGATGACCACTGTGGTTTTGAGTCCCAAGCAACTAATTTTTTTAGAAATTGTATACTGAGGGTGGGGTCAAAACAATGAAAAGTGGTGCTGTATACAAAGAAAAACAACACTCCTATAATATTCTGCCATAGTCCAGCCACATACAGGGACCTGAATTTATTTCCAGATTCTAAATTTTAGTAGGAAGTTTGAAAATTAAAGCATATTCCTAGGAGAGTGACAGGAAGAAGGGTACAGATACCATGTCATATGAGGAATTCTGACAGACATCTTATCATGGGAGGCTTGGAAATAAGGCTTAATGAGACAAGATAACAAGATACCTATCTGAAATTTGGCCCCATGAAAGGTAGACTAACAAAAGATAAGATACTTAGGGGAAAATATCTAGCAACCATAATGATGAAAATAGTTGACCATTCCAGCTCAGCTGGAAAATAGTTATTAACTTACATTTTTGTCTCTAATCAGACTTAAAACCAATGAAAATTTAGGTTGGAAGTGGGCTATTATCAGAAGGATCTGAAAGTCATTCTTTGATGGATGGGTGAATAGATGTAGATAAGTAGAATTCTAGAATTGAACTGAAGCTTTCTATCTAATATCTAATCTCTTTTCCTAACTTCTTTCTGGCCTTGGTTTATTCATGTCTTTTACATTTCTTCATACCCATCTTCATTTGTTTAGAATTTTGCCTCAAACTTCAGCTAAGATATGAGGAATTCTCATTCCCAGCTATTGCTTAACTATGGGGTCAGAAAAGACTGTCAGGCCTCTCCCAGATTCACAGCTGGACTCAAGATACAAACAAGGTGCCAGGGCTAGCCGGAAGTCTGGATAGCATATACCACCTTGTCCCTTCAGATGAGATGCCACAAATATTAACAAATGTTAGGAACTGACTTGAGCCTGTTGAAACTCATTTGTTTAAAATAATTTGTTCAAAAGCATATTTCAGATATTTTCAAAGTATTTGTGGCAAATGCAAGACTGTGTGTTTACCAGGCTCTCTTTCTTTCCCTCCTGGGCACACAATTTATTCACATTTCTGAGTCTTGCCTGCAGCTAGTTTGGGATGTGTAACTCATTTTGTCTACTTGAGTATCAGTGGGAGTGGCATGCTTTACTTTCCAACCTTCATTCCTCCATACTTTTCTCTTTCCACCCTCTGAAAGCAGAGGAGCATGAACAGAGGATGACAGAGCTACATGATGTGTGGATCCTGGATTCCCTAATGACTGTGTGGAGCAGAGCATCCCACTGGTCCTCATTGGATATAGTGTGAGAAATAAACTTTTACTGGGTTAACCACAGAAATTTTGGCATTGTTATGCAGTCAACCTATCTTGCTTGATAAGACAGGTATTCATTGCTTGAAAAGAGTGCTGCCGGCCAGGCAAGGTGGCTCATGCCTGTAATCCCAGCACTTTGGGAGGCCAAGGCAGGTGGATCACGAGGTCAAGAGTTCAAAGCTAGCCTGGCCAAGATGGTAAAACCCCGTCTCTACTAAAAATACAAAAAAATTAGCCGGGTGCGGTGGCAGGCACCTGTAATCCCAGCTACTCGTGAGGCTGAGGCAGGAGAATTGCTTGAACTCGGAGGGCGGAGGTTGCAGTGAGCCAAGGTGGTGCCACTGCAACTCCAGTCTGGGCAACAGAGTGAGACTCCATCTCAAAAAAAAGAAAGAAAATAAAAGGGTGCTGCCAAAACAAAACCTAAAATGTGTGAAATTGGCTTAGCAGTCAGATAGTACATGGTAAGGAAAATGATACTGGAGGTTGGAATATTGATAATTCATGCAGTGTCAAAAACATTTGGTAAAGCTGTCACCTGCAGCTGGGCACAGTGGCTTACACCTGTAGTCCTGGCACTTTGGGAGGCCAAGGCAGGCAGATCACTGGAGGCCAGGAGTTCAAGACCAGCCTGGCCAACATGGTGAAACCCCACTGCTACAAAAAAAATACAAAAATTATCTTGGTGTGGTGGTGCATGCCTGTAGTCCCAGCTACTCATGAGGCTAAGGCATGAGAGAATCGCTTGAACCTGGGAGGTAGAGGTTGCAGTGAGCTGAGATCATGCCACTGCACTATTGCCTGGGCAAAAGAGTGAGACTCTGTCTCACAAGAAACAAAAACAAAAAAAAATGTCACCTGCAATAACTTGGAAGACAGATGATATGCTATTATGGGTTGAATTGTGTCTCCCAAAATAAATATGTTGAAGTATTTTTCTTTTTTTTTTCCCAAGATAGAATCTCGCTCTGTTGCCAGGCTGGAGTGCAGTGGCACGATCTCAGCTCACTGCAACCTCTGCCTCCCAGGTTCAAGTGATTCTCCTGCCTCAGCCTCCTGAGTAGCTGGTACTACAGGCGCCTGCCACTGCACCTAGCTAATTTTTTTTGTATTTTTAGTAGAGACAGGGTTTCACCATGTTGGCCAGGATGGTCTTGATCTCCTGACCTTGTGATCCACCCACCTCGGCCTCCCAAAGTGCTGGGATTACAGGCGTGAGCCACCGCGCTGGGCCAATATGTTGAAGTCTTAATCCCTAGTACATGTGAATGTGACCTTATTTTGAACTAGGATCTTTGTAGCTGTACTCAAGTTAAGAAGGGATTATTTGAGTAGGCCCTATTCCAACATGACTGGCGTCCTAATAAGAAGAGGGAAATTTGGACACAGACAGAGATACATATACACAGAGGGAGGATGATGTGAACACACATAGGGAAGACACCACGCGAAGACATAAGTAAAGGTTGGAGCAATGCATCAACAGCCAAAGTGACATCAAGGATTGCCGATTACCACCAGTAGCTAGGAGAGAAGCATGGGACAGACTTTCCCTCAGACCCTTGCAGTAGAAACCAACCCTGCCAACACCTTGATTTCAGACTTCTAGCCCCCATACCTGTGAGACAATACATTTCTATTGTTGTAAGTCACCCAATTTGTGATACTGTTATGGCAGCCCTAGGAATTTATTAATAATCCATATACCTATTGAATCTGTTGCTCTAGGGGAAGTGATTAGCATTAGAGTATCACTATATTTTTATTATCATTGGTTTTCAGTATCTTATTTTTAAGCAGAAATGAAAGGGAATACAGAGTCCAGAAATATGAAGCTTCCTAGAGAGAACAGCTGATTGCTTCAGATCCCAGTTAGTAAGATAAAAAATTAAAAGATCTTGACCAACAAGGCAGCAGGAAACATTCTCAGTTGATCAACCCTACAGTAAACCCAACTGCACAGCACTAGTGTGGTCTTCCTAATCATTGTTTTGGATGATATTATGGTAATTTATTAAACTGAGAAAGACATGAGGAAAATAAACTTTAAAATAAGGCATATTTTACAGCTATGATTAGAAAAGTTCTGTATAGTCATTTACATGTGGAACTGACTGGGACCAAATAAATCAGAAGCCTACTGATTTGTTGAGACAATCATATTGCCAAAGACACCACGAGTCTTTGATGGTCCGAACTATAAAACAAACTTTATGTTTTCCACTTGCTCTGGCTAGAAGCAGTTGAGAAAGTTGTGCATATTCCTCAATTCCCATTTCAGATATGGTCCAGTAGAATAATAAACCAAAAAAAAATCTCTTACTGTTGAGCCAGATGCTGTGGAGGAAAAATGGACACTGGAATTCTTCCCAAAAAGGGAGATCAGGCCCTAATCAAGCAACTCTCCCCATCTCTAAGTTAGGCAGACTTCAGAATGTTTGTCTCAAGCATAGATCTGTAGACTACAGGCCAGGTGCATGTGTACTGTTTTTATAAATAAAGCTTCATTGAAATATAGCGGGGCTTTATATATTCTCCATAGCTTCTTTTGAACTACAATGGCATAGTTGAGTAATTGCAGTGGGCAGTATATAGCCTGCAAACCTAAAATATTGGCCATTTTAGGAAATAGGAACTGAATGTTCTTTAGGAAAGCATTTGTTTGGGAGGCTGAGGTGAGAGGATGGCTTGAGTCCAGAAGTTCAAGACCAGCCTGGGCAACATGGCAAGATCCCATCTCAAAAGGAGAAACAGAGACAGAGAGAGAGAAGAAAAAGAGAGAGGAAGGAAGAAAGAAAGAAAAAAAAGGAAGGAAGAAGGAAGGAAAGAAGTGAGGGAGGGAGGGGAAAATATTTGCTGACGCCTGGCCTAAAGGATTTTTATATGCTATGAATAAGTTACTGCTGCATCTTTTATTTTTCACTTTTCTGAATGGGAGATATTATTGCAGTTATTTTGTTCTTGTTGTACCACTGTACATTGGGTGCATAAGATTAGAATGGGGTGGCACTTGCAGAAAACTTGTCTTTCTAATTCTTAACTTACAGGATCATGGTGGAGAGAACTGAGCATCACCAAGAGATTCTGAACTTTGAGCTGTACACCATGATTGAATGGGACTTTGAGTTGTCTCTCCTGTGAGAGAAAGAATGATATTTGGTGGCCAGAAATGTGTATTGTGGTATAAGTAATCCTTTGCGTTAACTAAATGACATTTCTTCTTCTTCCTGACCTCACAGTTAGACTTCATTTTCCAACTCCCTGGCAGTTAGGTGGGGACAAGAGACTAAGTTCTAGTGGGGACAAGAGACTAAGTTCTAGTCAAAGGAACACACACGGAAGTCATATATACCTCTTCCAGGTCTACCATCTAAAAAGTAGTATACCTCTGCCACAATTATTTATTTTTTTCTTTTTCTATTTCCTTTATAAAGGAGAAGAAAATAGAAGTCTAAAATATGGCAGAGTTGAATCATAAAAATAGCCTGGGTTCCTGAATGACTGGGTGGAGCATAGCCTCCACTGACCCAAATTGAACGATAATGTGAGTAAGCAATAGATGTTTATTCAATAAATATTTACTGAGTCAAGCCATTGCAATGTTCATATTGTTTGTTAAAGGAGTTATCCATCCCTGATGAATACTGTTAGACACTATATTTCAACATGAGGATGAATAATTTGTGGACCTGTCCTTCAACGAGCTCACAATGCAAAAGGAGGATGAATAATTTGTAGACCTGTCCTTCAAGGAACTCACAATACAATGAGAGAGACACGCACCCACAAAGTGATGATGATAATTAAATATTACAAGTACAAAGATAATTCACTTGATACTATGGCAGAGACAACTGACCCAGTATTGGAGAATTAAGGAAGGCTTTCTAGTAGAGGTAATGCCCAAACTTGACCTTGAATCAGGAAAACCCACAGAAAGAAAAGGAAATAAAGCAAAGAGACAATAAACATAAAGATGCAAAGGCAAGAAATGGCAATGTATTTGCTCAGTGGACTCCAAGCAGGTGTTGATATTAATTTTTAGGTAAGGATAGGCAGAAGTGAATGTCAGGACCAGATCATGATGAATCACACATTCATCATGTTGGGAGAACAAGAGGGTGAAGAGGTTGGTGGAATAGTTCATACTGTTTGCAAATCTTATGAATTTGTGGGATTCATCCCAGATTGCTCAGATACTGCTGATGGCCTGGGAAGAAGTCAGTTTGCCCAAGTCCGTTGTCCTCATGAGCTATTGCTCAGGTCCCTGCTCACAGCTCCCACCCCACTGTGGCAGATGTTGTGAATGGTCAACTCACTTGATGTGTTTAGACAAATGAAACGTTAAAAAGTCTATTTCTAAGGTTCCAGTGGAGGAGGTTCCTGATTTGTTAGAGTCCACCAATCAGACACACTCATGCAGGGTTTTAATTTGAAATGTAGTTAAGAGTGGAGAGAAACAGCTGAAAGGCATTCAGTCAGCCATGCACACCCTGGTAGACTTGGTATGGTTCCAGAGCAGGCAGCAGGAACTCTCTCACCCTGAACCATTGGATCCAGCAGCAGCACAAGTAAAAGCCCAGTTGTGTGGTGCGGTTTGGGGCTTTCCTGGAAACAAAGAGTCTGTTTCTTCAGGCTACTCAATGATTCTATGCTGTTTATGACTCTTATCTCCGTTTAAACATGCTAAAGTGAGTTTTATTGTCTGTAACTAAGAACCCGGGCCAATACATTCACCAAATAAGTTTCTAGCACATATGAAACTGGCACTGTGCTTTAAAAAGATTTATTGACTCAACTAATAGTTACTGAGGCCTTACCATGTGTTGGATACTGTGTACCACCCTTTGTACATTAATTATTTGTTTATTCATTTAATAATAATAACAATATTAACAATACTTAGAATGTGGAATTTATAGCATGAGGTTTAAATGAAAAAGAACATAAACCCATACAATTGTTCGTTGTGGTATCTGTGATACTTAAAGGTGTATATATAAATGCAACCTTTCCTCAAAAGGACTGGATTATCAAGTAGGTTTCCCACTACTAAAGTTGTTCAGAGATAGAATAATAATCTGACACAGATATTGTGTAAGAGATCTCTGCATTGTAGTGAAGTTTGATTAAATAATACTCTGAGAATCTCGGCTTATCCAAGTAGGGAATCCATCTTTCAGCCCCTGCTTCACACCATCAAAGCAAAGCAACAACAGGTCGGGCGCGGTAGCTCACGCCTATAATCCCAGCACTTTAGGAGGCAGAGGCGGGCGGATCACGAGATCAGGAGATCGAGATCATCCTGGCTAACACAGTGAAACCCCGTCTCTACTGAAAATCCAAAAAAAAAAAAAAAAAATTAGCCGGGCGTGGTGGCGGGCGCCTGTAGTCCCAGCTACCAGGAGGCTGAGGCAGGAGAATGGCGGGAACTCGGGGGCGGAGCTTGCAGTGAGCCGAGATCGCGCCACTGCACTCTCGCCTGGGTGAGAGCGAGACTCCGTCTAAAAAAAAAAAAAATCATACAAAGCAAAGCAACAACAATTTGCAGTGGACTGTCTCCAAAATTCTTCATCTCCTTTATATGTGCAATTGGAGCTGGTCTGTGGCTCCTTTTGGGAGACAGATGTAGCTTGAAGGGTTTCTTCCCTCCTTGTTCTTAATTCTTCCTGCCCTGATACGGCATTCCATTTCCGAACATGGCAAGCATCTTCCCCCTGGTGCCGCCCCCACCTCGCCCACACTAGGGGAGTGTGGGAGAGCAGTATGCAGCCAATGTGGACACTCTGTTCTATATTTTTGTCTCCTCCTCCAGGTGTCTGAACCTATCCTTACTGGTAATTACAGTACCAGATTCTAGTTGGAAAAAAAAAAAAAGAAACCCACAGTTTCACAAAACTCCATCTCCACTCAGACTCCTAATATTCTGTCATTAGTCGCAGTTCATTTAGTTGTGTTTTGATGGTGGGAATGGTTTGGTGTGTTTTCCATTGGAAGAAAAATGAATTTCAGCAAAGAGAGCTACATGTTCTTGTTCCTAATGTATTTATAAAATCAGTTTATCTAATCCTAGAGAGTTGCAGTTTGAACACTTTGATGTTCAGGGATCACATAAGGGGAACAATAGTAAGCTTAATGAAGAAATGTTCCCGGTGATCTGCAGGTGTCTCTGTCTAATGAACCATTCACATAACAATTAAGGTCATCTATAAAGGTCCTTTCTGTCTGAAATTGCTGCCCGCATGAGAAACTCAAATCTGGTTGGTCCCATTGGCTGGTACCGAGTATTGAAATGTGCCCCTGAAAAATATGACTTAGGAGAAGCCTGAAAACAAACACTAATCTGTGTGTCCGGGACCTAGAAGAAAACCAGGCAGTGGGCCAACTCCTTTTATATTTGGTTTTCATGAGAATCTGTCTGTGGGGGAGCTCTGAGTGTTTTTAGTGCAATAACAAGCTTGTGTTCTCTGAGCCAATTAGTATGTAATTAGGTGTTGGCTAATGAGGGGGAGGATAAAAGGTGGAGCTGGCAGAGAGAGCGGGTGTGGGTGTGACTCATGTGTATGCAGGTGGTGAAGCGGCACATGTTGAGAACTAAATTGAATTTCTAAAACCCAATAATTTGTTACACACTATTAGTAAGTTCTGTGCTAGACCTTCAGCAGCTTTTTCACATCTCTATTGAAATATGCTTCTATTCCTCTCTGCAAAATAAGATGTGTTCAGCAAATGCATGTTAACATTTTTCCCTGGCCATCTTCTAGAAGTTTAAAATGAGAGTTGGTTGGGATGCTTGTTAGTATTGAGTTACCTATAAGAAGGACAAAAGAAAACCATTGGTTTGTTCTTCCACTCAACATATATTTCTTTGCGTGTTCATCAGTGAACTAAACAAAGATCCCTGCCCTCCTGGAGTTTGCGTTCTAGTGAGGAGAGATGGATTGTGAACAACAAACATAAATACAAAAATTATATACTACCTTAGAAGGTGATGAAAAAATTTAGAGTGAGACAGGGGATCATCACCCCCCACCATACACACACACACAGACACCCAATGTTAAGGGATGTGTGCAAGTTTCAAAAGATAAACCTCCCTGAGAAGGTAAGATTTGAGCAAATACTTGAAGAACTTATGGAAGGAAAAGGTTGAGGGAAAGGAGGTAAGAATTGACACAAATAAGTAATGTCATGTGCCTAAAATGACTGAAGATTCA
This sequence comes from Homo sapiens, assembly GCF_000001405.40. Taxonomy (NCBI): domain Eukaryota; kingdom Metazoa; phylum Chordata; class Mammalia; order Primates; family Hominidae; genus Homo; species Homo sapiens. The sequence continues at coordinate 90,361,077 of NC_000008.11, read as the reverse complement.
GTAAAGACCAAATGGAAAAAAATCTCATTTTTTTAATTCCTCTCATATTTGATGTTTGTGAAAGTCTGTATTGGTGCAGGCACTTTGGGTGTTTCTGTGGCCGCAAGAGGCTCCTGATCTTGCCCTCAGATGAGTTTTTTTTTTGAAAAAAGGAGCACAATGGAGAGCAAGAAAAATAAAGGGAAATACAGCCTTTGTGAATGGGAAGGAACTGTGGTTTCAGTTGCAGAGGTGGGCCAAATAGTTTTGGCCTTTTTTTTGTCAGGCAGACACATGCACACGTATGTTTATTGCGGTACTATTCACAATAGCAAAGACTTGGAACCAACCCAAATGTCCAACAATGATAGACTGGATTAAGAAAATGTGGCACATATACACCATGGAATACTATGCAGCCATAAAAAACGATGAGTTCATGTCCTTTTTAGGGACATGGATGAAATTGGAAATCATCATTCTCAGTGAACTATCACAAGAACAAAAAACCAAACACCACATATTCTCACTCATAGGTGGGAATTGAACAATGAGAACACATGGACACAGGAAGGGGAACATCACACTCTGGGGACTGTTGTGGGGTGGGGGGGGGGAGGGATAGCTTTAGGAGATATAGTTAATGCTAAATGACAATTTAATGGGTGCAGCACACCAGCATGGCACATGTATACATATGTAACTAACCTGCACATTGTGCACATGTACCCTAAAACTTAAAGTATAATAATAATAAAATAAAATAAAAAGTTTTAAATGTAAAAAAAAAAAACAGAAAATGTGTTTTAATTCTGTGAGTCCTTCCCGAGTACACTTGACACTGTGACGTGTGCTTTTCATGAATGCACCCTTCACCATGTCTCCTGTTAGCTCATCCTGGTCTCCATAAAGCTGCATAGTTAGGAAGGTAATCTTCTTGGTTCTCCTGACTTCTGCGTGTCGGAGAGCTACTGCAAGTGAAAGCACCCAAGAGAGTGTAAAATACTTTAAAGATGTGAGATACTACTTTATTGTTAATCTGTGTTGTTAAAAAAATTCTAAATGATGATGAATATGCTTGTTCTCCTTCTCCAGGCAAGCAAGATGATAATTTGATTTTTGAGTTAACCTGATGAGTTTTTGTAGCTGTCAAGAGCTCTTAAATTGAGGTAAGCCCCAAATGATAAGTAAATTATGATATTATGGTCTGTTTTTCACCAGACTAATTCAGTAAAGCATCATCCCCACTACTTATCAAGGTACGTCTTACACTGCCTGTGCCAAAGGATTCGCCAATGGCAGAAACCAGAAAAAAATCAAATCCTTTTATTCATAGGTTCTCTTCCTATTAGCACCTCGCTATTATATTCATACATCATCAAGGAAACCACATTACCAGGAGATGTTTGCTTTTGCTCTTCTGTGCCTCTGGCAAGCTGATAATCTGAAACTAATATCATTTTATTATTTATACAACATTTGGCGAGAGTGGAATAATCACCAGTAAAGAGTGTTTATCTTTTGGCTTTGTTTTAAATTTCTACTCAAGAGTGCTTCTTTATTGGAAAGGGAACCAATTTACACATCTCCAATTTTGTAAGGAATTTCATATGACAGTATGGTTTAATTGACATCATAGATCCAAATTATTCCAGTCATATTTAGTCCTTCTTATAACTAGTTCTGTGGCAGTAGCCTCACCAAGCTCCTGCTTGAAATCTACTCACTGTGAACTTCCTTTCCAATCTAACTTTGCTCTTTCTTAAGATTCTGCTAATTCATTGACTTCTCCCAATCCTCAAAGTTAACTGCAAGTGAACATTTTATTTTTGAGCAGACGGACTTAACATTAATATTGCTCTTCATGTATGAGGCTGACCTTACTGACTGACCAGCCTTGGGGCAGACATTTTGATTTTTTTCTCCAGTAATGGATATAGATTTATTCTGGCATACTTATGCCCTTGCCGAGTAAAGCTGAGGCCATGAATCAGAGTAAGGCTGATTGGCCTCCATAGAGCATTGACCACATACCATACAGTTGTTAGCACCATGGGCTAATTTGCTGCATTAATGGTTACAGATGTTGTGTTTAATGTCCAAGTCAAAGCTGACCTTTACAAAGCAGAACAGACACTGTGCTAAGTACCAGACATAGACTATTTTCTATGCTCTACAACTCAGTAAGATTGGTAGTCTTAATCTATTTAGAGTGAGAAGATGAATACTTAAAAGGATTAGGTAATTTGTCTAAGGTGACAATGAGAATAAGTAGTAAGCCCAGGATTCGAATCCAGCTTTACTATAAAGCCATCATTTTTAACCTCTACACTAAACTGTGTCCTTCACTAATGGTATACCTAAATTTTAGCCTGTAATCTATAATGTAGTCTAGCCCTGTAATAATCAGGAATAAGATGACTGCTATACAAGGGCTATGTTATACTATCCTTGACCAAGAAATATCTCAAAGTTTCAAACAAACTCTCAAAGCTTCAGGTCAAACGTCCTCTTGAGAGATGGCCAGAGAGAATCTAGGCCAATATATGGTATATTGTCTTGATACTTAAAGTATTTTCTGTAAGCAAAGATTTATCAGGAAATTGATTTACTGAATGGCCATGAGGGCACCATTACATCCACTACTGCTTCAGTGAGCTGACCAATTGGGTCCTTTATTCCTCACAAGCAGGTTGCTTGCTGAAAGCTAATTTATTGAATCCATCAAATTTTGGTTTATAGTGAATACCCGACAAAAGCAAAAAAATCTCAATTTCAAAGATAAACTTATACAAATTGTATAATTCATGGAATAGATTGCTCTACTGATAATCAATGAATAAAAATATGTCATATTTTAAGATGGTTTTGCAATTGGGGAAAAAGGTGATTTTCCTCAATTAAAAAAATTAGGAGGCATATGTAGAATACAGAATGTTTTAAGTGAAAAATCAGAAACATGGATTTAGAAATTATTTCTTCATCTTTGAAGGGTTTAAGCTATTTTAAAGAGAAATTTAAACCTTTGAGCTTCAGAGGAGAAAATGGTCCATCAGTAGTCACAAACATAAAATGTAAATTAACTTTTGCTTTAAGAAGCAAAATATGAAACGTTCCACAAGATTTATTTTTATGCAGTTATTTCTTTTTTGGTTTTACTTTGAGCAAGAGACACAAAGTGCCATGAAATAATTACAAGTAGTAACAAATTTTTTATAAGACTGGAAAACATTGCTCTCAGATGAGTTTGAGGTGTAATCTCAACTCTAACACTTACTGTATTACTTTATATGCGTTAGTTAACTCTCTAAGTCCTAAAAAATGTTTAATGTAAAGTAGGACACTCTTCCATAGAATCTTGGAATAACCAAGTTGTGGCAGACTATGTATGCAAAGGGGTCGGCATAGTGCATGCCTTATAGCAAGTGCTCGATGAGTGTAAATTGCAATCTTTTTAAAATTTCTATTTATTTTCTATTTTAGCCAATGAAAGCAAAATTCAATAGAAGAAAGCAAAAAAATGAAGAAGACAGCATTAAAGGAAAAGATCAAGGTAATTTTACTCTAAGAGATTGTAGAAAAATACAGAAAGTAACAGGAAAAATATGATTTTTATAGAAACATAATATTGATGCTTTCAAAGTTTTAAGAAAAAGACAGTTAATTTATTAATAATGTAATACCCAAATTTCATCATGGGAACTAAGCAATCTCAATATGAGTAATAAAAGTATTTCAACTGATACATAAAAGATGGACACATAAGACTTCCTGAAGGCTTTTTTTAAAATTTCCAACAGAGAAAGCCCTAAATTTCCATTTTGAGTAATATGACATCTAATTATACAAGGAAAGCCGTTCTAATTTCATTGAACATCATCTACATAACATAACCTTTTAAGAAAGCATTGTTAAAGCACTTAAAGCTATGTATTGTTTTCACAACTCTGAGAATAAATGAAGATTATTGCCACTTGGAATTTCCCTATCATGTCACTGTCTGAGTAACAGACATAGCCACGTTTCTAAATGTTGCTCCACTATTGACAAGCTACTATTTGATCCTGGCAGAAGTGGCTTCAGTTTTTTTTTTTTTTTTTTTTTTTTTTCTGTTTTTCAGCTTTCTAGAATCATACTGGCTATTAATAATGCCTTTGGCTTTGGGATTGGGAATTTTTGATGTGACCAAACAGCCATTTATGTTCTCAGAAAACTGGAATAGGAATATCCTATGGTGGAAGAAAAGAATGGACCATGATGAAAATTTCTACACCAGAAGAGTTTAAAGTAATTATGTCCTTCCTCCCCTCTAGCCCCAACTCCCTACCCATCATCCCTAATTTCACTACATTTGATACATCAGTCAAGGGACTGATGTGATTTAAATAGCAAATAGAGAATCTTCCAAGAACCCTGACTATTTGAACATTGCTTCTATGGTCTGAGCAGCTAAGCCCTTGCCCACCCTTAGTAGGGCAAGGAAGAGACCCTTACTCCTAAGCTTTTGATGCCAAATACATTTGTCTTTCTACTAACATTAGTGCAAACAATAAGATTGAGATTGTAAACACCTGAATCTCTTTTAGCTGGATCACATTTGATAGGTAGTAGCTATGATCAGAGTAACCTAGTTGCTCATTATGTAGTAAACAGTGCCCAGGGCACCCTGGGGCTGTGGAGTGACCTCTTATGACTAAATTGCAAATGGTAACCCTTGATGAGACATTTATAAGTTGGTATATTATTTCTACTTCAAACAGCTGCTCTTAACTTATATCATGATTTTCACAATGGAGAAATAACAACTAAATAACGAACTAATGGAGGTGAGGGTTTGGAGTGTGTATGCACTGTGCACTCTCTGATCACAGCTGGGGTTTTTCCCCTTAAATTGTTTGAAGCTATTATACTATATCATTTTGTAGTAACAAATGGTGTTGGGATGATGAAGAATTATTTAAGTGAAACATTATAAGTTCTCTATAATAATAACTTCACCGTATCATTTTGAAAAGTCACATAATAGAGACATCTGAAATGTCGTATTCAGTGGCAGTGTACTCATCAGACCAGGGCAGTAAAACAAGATGCTCCACTGAGATTTTGAATAGAATGTAATGGTCTTTGTGCATAGATGTGAGTGGATCCAAGGGAACCAACAAGTATGTTGAGGTACCCAGGGACTCAGAACCCATTACTGCCCATGGGCATGAGAGGCTAAAGAGAGATGATGATGTCACTAGAGCCCAGTGACAGAGTCAAGAAAGGAGGAGAGCATGACAAAAGCAACCACTGACAGAGCCCCCAAAGTTGAGGAAGAGAGAGAGTAGAGAAAACAGTATCTTGACCTCTCCCTGCTTCCACTCTCAGATCCCCTTCCTGTGTCTTACCACTGGCAGATCCAACCAGAAGCCAAAGGGAAAAAGTGCTCCATTTATGTAGTCAGTAAGAGTAAATTTCTGGAGCAAAAGCAAGGTAGAAAAGGGTAAGCAGATTAGGGGTAAAGGCGTGGCACGAAATGTGGAATAATCACAACTCCTCACTGCTGGTGAGCCCTAGTGTTTGCTTTTGGTCCTGCTCAACATTTTTAACCACTTGGGTAAAGAAATAGTGCCAGAATATCAGACTGTGAATAGCAAAAAGCTGAAATCTGTGATTAACCAAGAAGTTTTCTGTCTATCAAGATGCAAAATTATCTTGACAGATAGAAATCTACAAAATAAAAGTTTATAAGAAAATTAGATAAGTTTCCCAGTTAGGATAATAAAAAGCTTTTTTTCAGGACAATGGGAGGGGTGGGAAAAGTGCTTGATAACAATACACATCCTAAAAGATGTGAATGTCAGTTGATGATGGGTCATGATTGCTTACAAAGCAAATGTAATTTGAGGTTGCACTTTCATTGGCTGCTAGACATCTCCAGCTGCCTATTCCACATGTTCCTCAAATGCAGTTTGCCAAAGCCTAATCCTGTTACCTTCCCAATCTCCCTGTGAAACTGTTTGAACTCCTCTGTTCTTTCTTTGGTTATCGGTATACTGCCCACAGGGATCTCAGCTAGGAGCCTTGGAATTATCACATTTCTCCTTCCCGTCCCATGTTTAATGCATCACTAAATCATGCTGATTCTATCTCAAGACATCACCTGAATACCCAATTTTATTTCTGTACTCCATTGTCCTTGCCTTTTTCAAGCCCCACTGTTTCCAGTCTCTAGACTTCTATACCAGCTTTCTCATTTTCGTGACTTCAGTCCAGTCTCCCTACAGCTGTCAGTTACCTTCAGATAAACAAATGGGCATTTGTCAGTCCTAACTTTATAAACTCTGTTCTCATGGTGGTATTTAGGACTAAGGGCGGACTCATTATTTAGTATAAAAGACACATGCCAGTCTCATGTCCATGTAGGACTTGACTTCTAGTACATACACGTCTTTACTCCAGCAACAAAGAACTGCTGTTCTGAAAATACCACAAGGCTTTGTGCTTTTGTGCTTGTGTATTCCCTCTGCCTGAAGTGCTTCTCCTCCTCTGCCACTCTTGATACACCCATATTCAGCTTTCCTGACACCTCCCAAGCATCTACTTCTGATTTCCTCCTAGAAAATGTGCAGCCACAGTTCTTTGCTCTAACTTTTGCAATAACACTTGCCTGTTTGTATGTATCCTTCCACCACTATTTCTAATTTATTTTTACTCCCCTAGCACTCAGTAGAATATCTTCCATATAGATTTCATCCAATCTAATTCCATTAGATTTCAACTAAATCTTTGTTGACTTATGAGTGCATTAATTAATTAATTGAAATGTATTGTCTAGAATATAGAAGCTAATGATATCACTACATTGGTCAGGCTATGTGTATTTTGCTTGACTTGGCCATTTTAAGAAATCCACAAACTATATTATAACCAGAAGATGACACATGGCATAGAGACCATATCATATTTGGTCCTTCTATTGGTCTTTCTTCTGAAATAGGAATAAGATAATTTATTCTGAGGTTACCTCATATTTCTAATCATATAACAATATCAAGGCAAAAATAGTCCTCATGCTATGAAGTTGAAATACAGCTATGCAGCACATAATGACATTCCAGTCAAAGAAGGACTATATATACCATGGTGGTCTCATAAGATTTTAATGGAGCTGAAGAATTTGTATCCCCTAGTGATATTGTAGCCCCGTAACATTGTAGGACAATGCATTATTCATGTTTTTGTGATGATGCTGGTATAAACAAACCTACTGTGATGACTGTCATATAAAAGTATAGCACACACAATTATATATAGTACCCAATACTTGATAATAAATGATTGTGTTACTGGTTTATGAATTTATTATACTATTTATTATTTGTGAGTATGCTCCACTTATTAATATAAAAAATGTTAACTGTAAAACAGCCTTAGGCAGATCCTTCAGGAGGTATTCTAGAAGAAGGCATTGTTATCATGGGAGATGACAGCTCCCATATGTGTTATTGCCCCTGAAGACCTTCGGGTGGGACAATGTGGAGGCAAAAGACAGTGTGATATTGATGATCCTGACCCTGTGTAGGCCTAGTTTAATGTATGTGTCTGTGTCTTAGTTTTTAACAAAAAAGTTTAAAAAGTGAAATAAAAATAAAAATGTTTGTTTAAAAATAGAATAAAACCTTATAGGATAAGGCTATCAAAAAAGAAAACATTTTTGCACAACTGTACAATGTGTGTTTTAAGCTAAGTGTTATTACAAAACAATCAAAAAGTTTTTAAAAACTTAAAAGCTTATAAATTGAAAAAGTTACAGTAAACTAAGGTTACTTTATTATTGAAGAAACTTTTTTATAAATTTAATGTAGCCTAAGTGTACAGTATTTATAAAATTTATAGCAGTGCACAGTAATGTCTTAGGTTTTTACATTCACATACCACTCACTCATTGACCATCCAGAGGAAATTCCAGTCCTGCAAATTCCATTTATGGTAAGTTCCCTATATAGTGGCACCATTTTTTTATCTTATACCATATTTTTACTGTAATTTTTCTACGTTTATATATGTTTAGATACATACTTACCACTGTGTTACAATTGCCTGCAGTATTCAATACAGTAACATGCTGTACAGGTTTGTAGCCTAGGAGCAATAGGCTATACCAAATAGCCTAGGTGTGTAGTAGGCTATACCGTCTAGGTTTGTGTAAGTTCACTCTACAATGTTCGTATGACAAAATCGCCTAATGACACATTTCCCATAAGATATCCTCGTCCTTAAGTGACCCATGACAGTAGTAGAGCAAATGCATGCAAAGTGTTTACATACTTGATAAATACTAAGTATTCAATAAATATAGGATTAAAATTATTATTGGGATTTTTAGTAGCAGAATGTAACACTATTATCATATACTTTTTACTTAAAATGTTATTTTTACCCATTTTCAAGATAGGAGTCCTGCATAAGATAGCTGTACCTATGCAAGTTAACCTTTAGCTAAGAACAGTACTTTTCACTCAATTATATCAAGAGAAGAAAACTTCCAATGTTATTAATTCCTTCTGCTTTCAGGGTGGTTTCTCCTAAATGATCCAAAATGTTATAATTTACCTCTCTCTGCATTAAATGTCGTTTAATTGCAAGCTACAGAACACATTCAGCATAACAATACAGTATGTGCAATGTATTGGGAGGACACCAGGGATTTGCCTGTAACCTACAATCAGGAAGGACAGCCAGGTTTCACAGGAACTGGTCAGTCTCTGCTCTCCTCGGCACCATCGTCATTCGCTCTTGTATTTCTGTTTGTATAGGCTGATTTTTTCATACTCCAGAATTAACTTTGGCTATTCCTTGGGGCACATGATGGGCAATGCCATCACCCCTAGGTTTGTACTGCTTCCAAACCCGGTGTCCCAGGTAACAGGCTGTGCTCTCTAAATTCCAATGGCACATTTCTAAGAATTAAATTTATTGTTCTTGTTTTAGCCAGTTGTCTTCCTATGACCAATCTACTATGGCCAGGAACAGTGAGAACAAACTCTCCTGCAGGCACCCATCCCTGTCCTAAGGAGCATGACTTTCAGGGAAGCTAGGATGGCCAACTATCTCAACTCTTCCTACTCCACAGTGCAATTGCTCATGATGCCCAAGGCAGGAAACTAAAATAGGTTTAATCCCATTCTTCAAAAATTTCCATACATAAAGTCTTCTTCCTTAAATCTAAATTAAACACTTTCTGTTATTGGTTAACAACTTCAATTCTTTTTCTATTTCTACTGCATGTAAAATTGCCTGGTCATGTTAACTCTGCATAAAAACCTTTGGAATAAGATTACCAATTTCATTGCAGCAAAAGGCTCTGGGAAACTATTTTTATTTCAATTTCCAAATGTTTAAAGATAAAGAATTATAAATTTGCACTAATTTGACTATTATAAATACCTCTCTGGAGACTTCTGGGCTAGGAGGGCCATTTGCTGATATCTGGAAAGGGAGTGGAACTGTGAGAAAACCAACTTTCCATATAGAATAGGCCATAAGTTATATCCAGGCAGAGTCCCAGCTCAGCTGCCAAGAAAGAGAAAAGATAAACAGAATTGGATTTTAAACTGCAAGGATGGTGATCCTCTTTCTGATGATAATAGGAGCTGATGCTGTGTGAGGGAATAAAAATGCTGATGGTGTGGGAAAGACGAATAAAATGATGTGCTTGACCCAAAATGCACTAGAAGGGCATGGAGTCAATGTTCCAGGTAGGACTGATGCATCAGAGAAACTGGCCTCATGTAAAGATAGATACTGACTTAGTATTCTGGCAATAACTACATCATTAGGAAGTTCCATCAGAAGAGAAAAGTCAGGATTTGCTCAGGGGAAAAAATGCAAGATTTATAGTAGTGAAAAACACAAAGAGAAGAAAGAATAGACTCTCCTGGTGCCAGAAACAGTGGAAGAGTCAGCAAGAGGTGATGGAGGTCTCTCTGCAAGGTCAGGGTGGGATGGCAGGAAGCCAGTAGCACAGGCAAGAGAAAAACTTTCTTTTATTCACAAGGTTTCAGGAAACAGTGTATCTCAAGAGGGCAGAACTGGTGGACAGAGTACAAGCAGCAAGTTCTGATGCACGGAAAATCCTGGGACCCCTCCAGACACCCTGACGGGTATAGACAAGGCAAGGGTAGGACACCAGGAGTGGAGTTAGAGTTCTAATTAGATCCTCCTCTTTCCAGGCTAAGGCAGAGTCATAGGCTCCCATGAGTCACTGAAGGATAGAGGAAGGGCAGCCAAAACTGAGAACAAGACAAGACCAGCTGCAGATTTTGCAGGGGTGGCAATCAGACAGGAAGTCCAAGAACCTCTGGATAAAACTACATGAACTTAGATGTTACTAGATGTCTATGTGCCTTAATTTTCTCATCTGTAAGTTTGAAATAGTAATAATCTCTGTCTGATAATGCTATGAGAATTAAATAATATATAAATTATGTGTTGTTAACAGAATGTGTATATGTGTATGGGCAAGTGAGGGGCAAATTTAGAATCATTTATAACAGGTATAAGAGAAAAAACTCAAATACTAAGATTCTTTGAAATTTTAAAACTTTTCTCCATACATTCTTTCGTATTTACCAAGCATTTAGATGGGACAGAAAATGGGAATCTGAGAGATGATCTCTAGAGAAATACATTTTCGCAGACGTTTTTATTGGGATGAAAATTGGTATAAACTTTTGATGGGCAATTTTTTAATGTTAATCAAAATTTAAAATTCATACACATTTTGTTGGAGGAATTTAGCTTCTAAAATATGATATAGCTGTATTCACAATGAGGCAATGGTTTTCACTATAGCATTTTTCTGCAATAATAACATACAAAAAAATTAGCCCAAACATCATCAATTAAATCAAAATTGGTTAAAAAAAATTCAGCACATTCATAAAATGAAATACTTTGTAAAAGTTAAAAAGAACAGTGTAAACTTACACTTCTGGCCAAGATACATTGAAAGTGACTGGATTTATTCTCCTACCTGAAACAACCAAAAGACATTCAAACCAGGCAGTGAAGAATAGCAACCACTGGGAGAAGAGAACAGATGAGATGAGCCCAACTATTGCTTCAGCTTCTTGCCTTGAGAGCATTTCCAGGCCACAGTCCACGGGAGTGGCCAGGGGAACTCAAGCAAAACCTGGTGGACTCCTTAAAAAGATGGAGATGAGAGTCTGGGAAAACCTAGACAGTGAAAGCTCACAGAACAAAGCACTAGAGTAGAGAGAGTTCACAGAGAGAGAAGTCTGAAAGTCTTCAAAAGGGGTCTTCAAGTATTCAGATGAGTCATGGTTAGTGCATGTACCTGTGGCCAAAGAAAGAGTCATATCAAAGGATTAAAGGCAGCAGTGCCTTCTGCTCATATAGAGCTGAAAATAGTGCCCTCTTCCCACCAGTCAAACTGTAAGGTCTCAAGAGTCACAGGATGTTGGATAGAGAACACAGGAGCATCTTATATCAGAAATGCAGAACCATTTGCCTTGGACTTAGCAATGTTCTGCTCACACTTAACAAATCTTAAAAGCAACAATTGAAATGATAAATTGTTTTCAACTAACTTAACTACATCACAGAAAAGTTCAAAAGTATTTATAGGAACAAAAAATACATATAGCACCCAACAAGGTAAAATTTACAATGTCTGGAATCTCATAATCAATAATTACCAGGTATGCAAACAAACTAGAAAATATGACCCATAATGAGTAGATAAACCAATCACTTGGAATTAACCCAGATCTAACACAGATATTAGAATTAGTACACAAAAATATAAAAAGGGTATATATAACTATATTCCATGTGTTCAAAAGATAAAAGTAGAGCATGGACACAGAAAATATTTTAAAATTCCAAATCAAACTTCTGTAGATGAAAACCACAATGTACGAGATTTAAAATGAAGAAATCACTAGAATAGTTTAGCCTCAATTTAGACAGTGCAGAAGAAAAAAAAAAATAGCGAACTTGAAGAGATAGCAATAGAAACTATCCAAAATTAAGTACAGAGAGAGAAGTGAATTTTTAAAAAATAAATAGATCAGCAGAAATCAAAGTATGTTGTTGTAAGGTTCATATACTATATGTGAAGTGGTATACTATCATTTGAAGGTAGAATTTGATAAGTTAAATATGTACATCATAAAACCCTAAATTAACCATAAGATAAGAAAACAAAGAGTTATAATTAACAAGCCAACAAAGAAGATAAAATGAAATAATAAAAATAAGAGCCAGTTCTTCAGAAAAACTAATAAAGTTACTCAAATTCTTGCAAGCCTATTTAATTAAAATAAAAAAACCCACAAATATAGAATATTAGGAAAGAATTGTGGGTATCATCATAAAAATGAAAAGATTTTAAAAATTGGGTACACTTATTTCTACAATAGGAGTTGGCAATGTTTTTTATAAAAGTCCATATAGCAAATATTTTATGCTTCGTGTGTCAAATAGAGTCTGTTGCATAATTCCTTTGTTTCGTTTTACAACCCTTTAAAAACCGTAAGACTCATTCTCAGCTCATGGGTGATACAATACAGTGTGCATGTCATATTTGGCTCACCATTTAACTACATTATGACCCTTAAAGCAACCTGTAAAATTTTTTAAGTGTTATATTAAAAAGGCGATAAAATTGAATCATAATACATTTACAATAAATACAAAATACAGAAAAGAGGAAAAAGGGAAGAAAGAATGAATTGGACAAACAGAAAACAAACAGAAATATGGTAAATTTAGAACTAATGATATAAATAAATTAAATATAAGTGGTTTAGATACTCCCATTTAAAAAGCAGAGCTTGTCAAAGTAGATGAAAAAGCAAGATCCAACAATAAACTACCTATAAGAAATGCACTTAAGATATAAAGACACAAATAGGCTAAAATAAACAAAAAAATAGGCAGTATTAGTACTAATCAGAAGACAGCTGGTGATCTATAGATTCAACACAATCCTGATCAAAACTGCAGTAAGTTAGTTTGTAGCTGTCAAATAACTGAATCTAAAATGTGTATGAAAAGGCAAAGGATCTAGAATAGCTAGCACAATACCCAAGAAGAACACATTAGAAGGATTGGCACTACTTGACTTTAAGACTTACTGTAAAGCTACAGTAATGCTGACAGCATGGTGTTGGTGAAAGAATAGACAAATTGATCAGTGGAACAGATTGGTAGACCAAAAATAGATTTACACGAACTGATCTTTGACAAAGGAGTAAAGGTAATTCGATAGAAAAAAGGATAATCTTTTCAACAAATGGTGCTGTGAAAATTGGATGCCCATATGCAAAAAAATGTGAATCCAGTAGACACAATCTTTATGCCTTTTACATACAAAAAATTCAAAATGGATTTTAGCCTTAAATTTAAGGCAAAGCTGTAAAACCTATGGAATAGAACAGAAGAACATCAAGGTAATCTTGGGTTTGGTGATGAGTTTTTAGATACAATATGAAAAGGGCAATTCACAAAGAAAAAAATGGATAGGTTGGACTCTTAAAATTTAAAGCTTCTGCTTTGTTAGAGAATGAAGAAACATTTTGGGAAAAAAAATGTTTGCGAACATATATCTGATAAAGGACTTTTGTTTAAAATTACAAAGAACACTTAGAACTCAACAGTAAGAAAATAAGCAACCCAATTAAAAATTGCACAAATAATCTGAGCAGATCCCTCGCCAAAGAAGGTACACAGCTGCAAATGAGCATATGAAAAGATGATAATCATATGTCATTAGGGAATTGCAAATTAAAACAAGATACCCTAAATACCTATTAGAATGTCCAAAATCGGAAAAGCAGATAACATCAAGTGATGGTAAGGATGTGGAAAAACAGGAATACCCATTCGTTGCTGGTAGAAATGTAAAATGGTGTAGCCACTTTGGCTGTTTGGCAGTTCCTTATAAAGATAAACATAGTCTTACCACACTATCCAACAACCATGATCCTAGATATTTACCCAAACGATTTGAAAACTTAGGCCCACATAAAGACCTGCACACAAATGTTTATAGTAGCTTTACTTATAATCTGCAGAAATAGGAAGCAACCAAGATGTTTTTCAATAGATAAATGGATACACTGTGATACATACATACAATGAAATTTTATTCAATAATAAAAGGAAGGCCAGGCGTGGTGGCTCACGCCTGTAATCCCAGCACTTTGGGAGGCCGAGGCGGACGGATCATGAGGTCAGGAGATCGAGACCATCCTGGCTAACACGGTGAAACCCCATCGCTACTAAAAAGTACAAAGAAAAAAATTAGCCGGGCGTGGTGGCATGGTGGCTGGCGCCTGTAGTCCCAGCTACTCGGGAGGCTGAGGCAGGAGAATGGCGTTAACCCGGGAAGCGGAGCTTGCAGTTAGCGGAGATCGTGCCACTGTACTCCAGCCTGGGCGACAGAGCAAGACTCTGTCTCAAAAAAATAAATAAAATAAAATAAAAGGAAATGAACTAACTATCAAGCCACAGAAAGACATAGGGGAACATTAAATGCACATTGCTAAAGAAAAAAGTCGGTTTTGATATGGAAGAACGCTAAATGCATATTGCTAAAGAAAGAAGTCAGTCTGAAGAGACCATGTACTATACGATTCCAGCTGTATGACATTTTAGAAAAGGCAAAACTATACAAACAGTAAAAATATCGGTGGTTGCCAGGGGTTCGGATAAGAAGCAGAGTATAAGTAAGGGAGGAATGAATGGGGAAAGGACAGGGCAATAAAAATATTCTGTATAAGAAAAAAAAAACTATAATAGTAGGTACATGTCATTATGTAATACATTTGTCAAAACCCCTAGAACCATAAAACACAGAGTGGAACTTAATGTAAACTATGGACTATAGTTAAAATTAATGTATCAATATTTATTAATTTTAATAAACATACTACACTAATACAAGCCGTTAATAATAGGGAAAGCTGGGTACAAGAGCAGGGGGTGGGGTTGAGCATATGGAACTCTATGTACTGTCTGTGTAATTATTCTGTAAATCTTGAACTGTACTAAAAAATAAAAATTATTTTTAAGTGGGGGGTGGAGCTATTTATCTATTTTTATACTGCAGTAGAATTTTTCTAGTTACAAGAATGTGAAAGTAATGATTATCCCTGGAGGGGGAGCCTGGAAATCTAGGGTGGGGAGGACAGGAATATACTTTTCACTAAAAACTCCTTTTTACTATTTAAATTTTTAAAACAAAACGTGTGTATTGCCTTTCCAATTAAACAAAAGGTAGCCTATCAGGACCCATTCCATTAACATTGGGATTGCCCAAAGACGTTTTGGGGGTTTGGAATTTTGAAATCCAGTGAACTTGGGAGAGGAGAATAGTTCACAGCTTCAGAACAGGCAGATGAATAGTGACCAGTAGGATGAGCATTTGTGCTTGCCTTCACTTCCTAGGGCTGGTCTGTGCAGTCCTACACAGTCATTTCTATTAGAATCAAATTCGAAGAGCCTCAGTGGCAGAGCCATGTTTTCCATTTTTTTTTTTCCATTTCCTATAAGGGCTTTGTACTTAGTAGCCACGTAAGCCCACCTGTGGTCATTATACTCTTGGCATGCTGTGTGCACCACTCTGGTGTTCAAGAATAATTTGTTGACTGTTTTTGAAAGCGATTGCAACTCTATTATCAATTCCAAACCTGCAGAGCTTTTAAGATGCAGAACAAAAGAATGAATGAATCAGAAATGATGAATGCCTGTAAAGCTTCCTGGCTCAAGAGAAGTCTAAGAAGCTGAGTTGATTGAACCAGAAGAAAAAGGATGACTCAATGCTTATTTTAGAATAGCAGAATTAATAGGTGTTCTGTATTTGGATCCATTTTGGTGAGGGTGAAAGGGGCAGAACAAGATGAAAAATTGACTTTTTGGGTTTTATAAAATGCTTGTTCCATGCAAGAACATGGTGTTTCAGGAATCCACATGCTCTCCATCTCAGTGGCATGAATATTGTCCTTCATATACATCTTATTCATCAAACTTCCAATTATTAGGGCTGGGGCTTTGATTAGTGATGTATTTATCCCAAAGTGTTATTTTCCATGTATATTCTTTTAAAGCCTGTCTGTCTCTGGCTTCCACAACAGTTTTGTTTTTGTTTTGTTTTGTATATTCACTGTCATTAACATATTAATAAGGCTATTTTCCTACTTAAGAAACATATCTCTTCCTTTCACAAAAAGCAGTAGAAAACTTTATGCTCTTTAGATGATCTTTTCCTTTATTTTATTTAAGTAGGATGAGCTATAAGCAACTGAAAGATACGTAAGCATAACTATGAATTGCTATAGATCAAAGTTTCTATGTGCAGGTTATTATTTCTGTTTTAATCTTTCAGCATGGTATTTTTAAGGCATCTAATAGATTTAGACCTTTATTAATAATAAAATAGTACAAATGACACTCTTAATATAATGAAATGCTTCCTTTCACATATATATGTATCTGATTTCTTAGAAGTATTTCATAAACTCCTGAGGTCTTCCTTCTTGTACTCACAAATAACATCATACATCACAAGTTTTCTTACAGCTCTCTTGAAGTGTGAAAGCTGTCCTCTGTGCCACTTCTTGTGTACTTAAAATATCATTCTGCCTTCCTTACTGCTGTTTATTCAAAAGATTATGCCCCAGATTTTCCCTGGCTAGCTCTTTCCTTCAATGTGAATTTTATTTATTTCCTTAGTGGCCATTTGTCATATTGACCAAGTCACATGCTCCCACAGACACATAGAACACCTCCAGAGAGATGCAAACCCACAAATGTAAGGTCTGCTCAGAAGTGCCCAGTCTAAGGTGTCTTCACCCTCCCTGCCCTGCAGACATTTGTAGACACCAGAGTTTACAGGTTCACTGTTCCCTTTGTCCTTTTCTTCTTTCATGTAAGCCTCCCTATTCTCATTTTGATCTGATGGTAACCTAGTTTAAATGACCCATTTATTTTTATATTGTAAATGAGCACGTTGTTGTCTAGCAGTTAACAGTCCACTTGGAAGAAATTTAGCTTTGTGAATGTTTTCAATATGTGTTGGTGCTTTTGCACAGGACCTAAATCTCCCTTCTGAGGATTGTACACTGTAACCTAAAAGGATATACCAAGAGCTCCCACTGCCACTGCCTTCAGACATCCCTGTAGTGAAGCATGTAATCCACCAAGCATAAAATTTCACTTGCTAAGTTTGAAACCTAACTTCCTTTATCTGGTTCTGCCTTAGTTCCCTCACTCTAAATGGCCATAGTTTGGGACAGATCTGTATTCTCCTTACTAAATACTTGAATACCCTTACATAGTTTTCCACTGGCCTTGTTATGATATATTTTAGGCAAATTCAATTCCTATGATAGGCTAATGGCTGATTTATTTGATTATCAAATCCTAAGACAGGAAGAAACTGTTATAGGTCAACTCAAAATGAAATCATTTTGTGTTCAAAATCCCTAAAATGTTATATCTCCTGTGCAGATTGCTTGAGCTTTGCTAGGCATGTTCATAGTGAAAGAAGAGGTGAGAGTTAACTTGTAAACATGTGACTTATAATACACTTCTAACAAAAGAACTTCTTAGTAGGGTCATAGTTCATGGAAGTCTGAAAAACATCCCAGAATATAACATCATTCTCTGCAGCCTATGAAACAGCTCATAGTCTTGCCAACAAGACTTAAGTGTAATCCTTATGAAAAATTCAGCTTCAATTAATGTTACTAATAGATGATCTTCTTACAAGAATACATTATAAACAAAAATGGAATGTTGTTACTATTCAGTCAGCAATGCTATTCATAAGTATCCCTTTTAAGAAGCATTATGCATGGAAACATACAGGCTGGAACAAACTATCCTTTGTCCCACTCTGCACATAATAACACATGCTAAGTTTACATTTTGTAAAAGGTGCAACCAAAGCACAGTTCAGTGTGAAGGATGCCAGCTGGGAAGTAAGAGACTCCAGAGGGTCAGACAGGGCTAAGGGATATGGTCCAGAACCTCAGATTTGAAAAATCTTTGGCGTCAGACAGAAACTGCTATAAATCCCAGTTTTACAACAATTATCTCTATGACTTTGGGAAATAATTTTTTTCGAGACAGAGTCTCGCTGTGTCACCCAGGCTGCAACGGAGTGTGGTTGTGTGATCTTGGCTCACCGCAACCTCTACCTCCTGGGTTCAAGAGATTATCATGCCTCAGCGTCCCGAGTAGCTGGGACCACAGGCACGTGCCACCATGCCCAGCTAATTTTTGTAATTTTAGTAGAGATGGGGTTTTGCCATGTAGGCCAGGCTGGCTTCAAACTCCTGACCTCAGGTGATCCACCTGCCTCAGCCTCCCAAAGTGCTGGGATTATAGGTGTGAGCCACCGTGCCCAGCTGGGAAATAATTTTAATTCTTAGTTTTTCTTGTCTGTGAAGGTGAAATAATATTACCTACCAATAGAACTGCATAGTTAATTAAATTAGGAATTAAATTATGTAACATATATTAGGTTCATCACGGTTTCCAGCACAAAGTAAATTTTCATTAAGTAATAGCTATTTATTATTATTACTTCCAAAGGGCTCCAATGCATGATGTTGAAAGGAGTAATGTGAGGTGTACAGATTTTGATGGAAACCAAATTCAAGACCAGCAAGGCCCTAGAGGCTCAGAATCAGGAAATACTTGGCATGTTGCTCACATGCCCCTACAATACCACTAAGACTGTGGCAGACATCATTAAATAAGCATGATGTCCTTCTCCACTGAGCCCTGAAGGCCTCCCAGTGCTTTTCAACACAAAACTTTAGTATCCACTGCCAATCATCAGAATAGACCCACTTTGCTGGGAGTGAGGATCCAGGTATCAGGAAATAGAACTAAAATCAGAGAAACTAGAAAAGATTATTTGAAAGGTAAGATAGTCTTTGAAGTAAATATGGCAGTAGCAGCCATCTACTACATTTTAATTGGAAATGTGGTTGTGAATTTGGGCAAGGAACATATTGTGGAAGCCACTGTATTAGTCCGTTTTCACATTGCTGATAAAGACATACCCGAGACAGGAAAGAAAAAGGTTTAATTGGACTTACATTCCACATGACTGAGGAGGCCTCAGAATCATGGTGGGAGGTGAAAGGTACTTCTTACATGGTGGCAGCAAGAGAAAACGAGGAAGAAACAAAAGCAGAAATCCCTGACAAACCCATCAGATCTTGTGAGACTTATTCACTATCATGAGAATAGCATGGGAAAGACCAGCCCCCACATGACTCAATTACCTCCCCCAAGTCCCTCACCATATCATTCTACTCCTAGCCCCTCAAAATCTCATGTCCTCACATTCCAAAATCAATCATGGCTTCCCAACAGTCCCCCAAAGTCTAAACTCATTTCAGCATTAACTCAAAAGTCCACAGTCCAATGTCTCATCTGAGACAAGGCAAGTCCCTTCTACCCATGAGCCTGTAAAATCAAAAACAATCTAGTTACTTCCTAGATACAATGGGATACAGGTATTGGGTAAATACAGCTGTTCCAAATGGGAGAAATTGGCCAAAACAAAGGGGTTACAGGGCCCATGCAACTCCACAATCCAGTGGGGCAGTCAAATTTTAAAGCTCCAAAATGATCTCCTTTGACTATGTCTCAAATCCAGGTCACGCTGATGCAAGAGGTGGGTTCCCCTGGTCTTAGGCAACTCTGCCCCTGTGGCTTTGCAGGGTACAGTTGGCTGCTTTCACGGGCTGGCATTGAGTGTCTGTGGCTTTTCCAGGTGCATGGTGCAAGCTGTCGGTGGATCTACCATTCTGGAGTCTGGAGGATGGTGTCCCTCTTCTCACAGCTCTACTAAGCAGTGCCCCAGTAGGGACTCTTTGTGGGGGCACCGACCCCACATCTCCCTTCTGCACTGCCCTAGCAGAGGTTCTCTGTGAGGGCCCCACCCCTGCAGTAAACTTTTCCCTGGGCATCCAGGTGTTTCCATACATCTGAAATCTAGGCGGAGCTTGCTAAACCTCAGTTCTTGACTTCTGTGCACCCACAGGCTCAACACCATGTGGAAGCTGCCAAGGCTTAGGGCTTCCACCCTCTGAAGCCATAGCCCAAGCTGTACATTGGACCCTTTCAGCCATTGCTAGAGCAGCTGGGACACAGGGCACCAAATCCCAAGGCTGCACACAGAATGAGGACCCTGGGCCCAGCCCACAAAACCATTTTTTCCTCCTGGACTTCTGGGCCTTTGATGGGAGGGGTTGCCATGAAGTTCTCTGACATGGCCTGGAGACATTTTCCCCATGATCTTGGGGATAAACATGAGGCTCCTTGCTACTTATACAAATTTCTGCATCTGGCTTGAATTTGTCCCCAGAAAATGTTTTTTTCTTTTCTATTGAATAGTCAGGCTGCAAATTTTCCAAACTTTTATGCTCTGCTTCCCTTATAAAATTGAATGCCTTTAACAGTACCCAAATTACCTCTTGAATTCTTTTCTGCTTAGAAATTTCTTTTGCCAGATACCCTAAATCATCTCTCTCAAGTTCAAAGTTCCACAAATCTCTAGGGCAGGGGCAAAATGCCACCAGTCTCTTTGCCAAAATGTAACAAGAGTCACATTTGCTCCAGTTCCCAACAAGTTCCTCATCTCCATCTGAGACCACCCTAGCCTGGATTTTATTGTCCATATTGCTATCAGCACTTTGGGCAAAGCTATTCAACAAGTCTCTAGGGAGTTCCAAACTTTCCCACATTTTCCTCTCTCTTCTGAACCCTTCAAACTGATCCAATCTCTGCCTGTTACTCAGTTCCAAAGCTGCTTCCACATTTTCAGGTATCTTTTCAGCAGTGCCCACTCTACTAGTTCCAGTTTTCTATATTAGTTCTCTGTAGGCACATACCCAAGACTGGGAAGAAAAAGAAGTTTAACTGGACTTACCATTCCACATGGCTGGGGAGGCCTCAGAATCATGGTAGGAGGCAAAAGGCACTTCTTACATGGTGGCAGCAAGAGAAAATGAGGAAGAAGCAAAGGCGAAACCTCTGATAAACCCCTCAGATCTTGTGAGACTTATTCACTATCATGAGAATAACATGGGAAAGACCAGCCCCCATGATTCAATTACCTTCCCCTGGGTCCCTCCCATAACACATGGGAATTCTGGAAGGTACAATTCAAGTTGAGATTTGGGTGGGGACACAGCCAAACAATATCAGGCACCAATCTGGACTGACCATGGAAATGGAGTAAAAATAAAAGCTAGAATATATAAAAATAACTACAGGAATATAACACACATATGATACATAAACTTGGTCAGTGTTATGGGTTGAATTGTTTCCCCCTCAAAAAAGAAATGTTGATATCCTAACCTCTGGTACCTCAGAATATGACCTTATGTGGAAATGGGGTCTTTGCAAATGTAATTAGTTAAGATGAGGTCATGCCGGAGTAAGATGGGCTTCTGATCCCACATTACCAGTGTCCTTATAAGAATACAGCCATGTGAAGACACAAAAATACAGGGAGAACACGACGTGAAGATGGAGGCAGAGATTAGAGTTACGCTGTCACGAACTAGGAACACCTGGGACAATAGAAGCTGAAAGAGGCAAGGAAGGCCCCACCCCCTAGAGGCTTCGGAGAGAGCACTGCCTAGCTGACACTATGATCTCAGACTTCCAGCCTCCAGAACTGTGAGAGAGTACTGTTCTGTTGTTTAAGCCACCCAGTTTGTGGTACTTTATTACGGCAGCCCTAAGAAATTGATACAGTTAGTAAGCAAGCAAGGTTATTGCACACAGACCACAATAGGCACCAGGAAAGCTAGCCTCAAATCCTCCAGCTGAGCCTCAGTATGGGAAGCCAGGCAGGCAAGGAAAGCTTCCTCTTAACAAGCGGTTTTGCTTCACCTCCCTGAACGTGCCACAGGTGTCTCTAGGAGATGGGGACAGAAGTTCCATGATTCTTTTTTTGACAGGCAAGTAGAAACACCCAGACACAGTGGGAAACACCCACTTTATGTTCACAGAAAATATCACAGGAACATAAAGTGGGAAACATCCACTTTATGTTCACAAGAAATATCTCACATGATAGATGGTGGGGAGCTAGGATGTCGGTGAAGTTTCCCTTGTAGCTGCCCCGGACCGGGTAACTCATGCCATCTGTGGTGGGCAGAATAATGGCTCCCTGAAGTGTCTTTTTCCTAACCCTCATAATCTATGAAAAGGTTAGCTTATATGGCAAAGGGGGCTTTGCAAATGTCATGCAATTAAGGACATTGAGATGGGGAAGAGTATCCTGGTATTGTCCAGGTGGGCCCAATCTAATCACAGGAGTCCTTAAAGCAGAAAATCTTCCCTGGATTTGGTCAGAGGGAGATTTGGCAAACACAGTAGGGTCATAGAGAAGGAACGTTGCAGGCTTTGAAGATGGAGGAAGAGGCAGTGAACCAAGGAATGTGGGCGGCTTCTAGAAGTTGGGAAAGGCAAGGAAATGGATTCAGCCCTAGAGTCTCCAGAAGCAATGTGGTTCTGCTAATGCCTCGGTTTTGGCCAAGCGAGACTCATGTTGGAATTCTGAACTGCAGAACTGTAAGATAATAAATTTGTGTTGTTTAAGCTGCTAAGTTTGTGATAATTTGGCAAGTGGATGGGTGTGCTGACAGCCTTTGGGGGATCTCTGTAGGCACATTCCCTCGGCTGACACAACATTATGCCAGAACCCTCTGTTGTCTTCACACTCTCCCTACTCTCTATCATGTGCTCAGCCCTTTCAGTCCTCTTTGTCTGTCCCTCCACCTCCAAATTTCCACTTCTCCCAGCTTCCTGGGATGACTCCTTTCACACCCCCAAAGCATCTCTTTTTTCAGATGCTGGAAATCTTTGGCCTCCTAGATGTTCTTCCTCCACCCATTTCTATTGCTGAGAAGAGACATTTTCTGAGCTGCAGAAAGGAGAAATCTTTTAAAATACATTTTTACAATGTTTATAAATTCTAAATTTGGGGGCCGTGGGAACAAAATCCCAATTGCACTTTCCTTGCTAAGGCACCAACTCTATGTCTGATAGATTCATTCTAACCAACTCTGCGAAACTGCAGCCAAATCAATCTTGTAGCAGTTTGCACAAACCCATTAAAATACTCAAAAAGGACAGATAAGGGTTCATTTATTTCGAAAGATTAGAAATGGTTCCTGAGTTGTCATCAGCCCCAAATCACTTTATTTTCCATTTGAAAGAACTGTATTAAAATGTTTTTTTTGTGGGTGATAATGCTTCTCAAATGAAAAAGAACTGAAATGATTTAAGGTTTTCAAGCAACCGCTAGGCACTTAAAACAACTAAAAGTAGAGCATTTTTTAAGTGGAGATGAGTGAGCTTTCTCAATTTGTAAGTGGGACAGGATGAGTTGCCAAGTGTCAGTGGGGTGGAGTCCTTCCCGTTACTGTGGGTTCTCCCATCTGGAGGCGAAACCTACTGGTTTCCAGTGTATTGTAGAGGGCTCACCCCAACAGCAGAGATCCTGACCCTAAATTGCTACATCTAGAGAAGCTCTATTCTTAATGTAAAACCAAAAGATTGGAGATAGTTTTGTGCATAGAAAAAAAAATTGATCGGGTTGGTGTGGGGAAAGGGGGGTGTAGAGGGGGATGGTAAGAAAGGGAGTAGTGACCATTGCAAGCACAAAACAGTGTAAGTACAAACAGTGAGAAAACTGATGGATTTTGTTCCCCTTGACCTCTTAGAGCAGAATTTTAAGGGAGTAGGGGTGAGAGAGGTTGGGACGGAGGGAACAAAACACAAGTAAGCTCCTCATGAAGTTTAGAGGGCATTTAAAAGAACAGGGGTTAGAATTATTTCCTGTCTACGCCTTTAGAGTGACAAACCTACAAATTGGTCTCACCCAAATGAGTTGGAGGAAGCCAGAGATATGGCAGCATGGCATGAATAGTTATACCATCGACCTCAGACTCTCCCCTACTGTCTCTTGGTGAATGGTGGCCCTCAAAACATAGGTTCACATCTTAAGCTCTGCAACCTGTGAAAGGGAGCTTATTTGGAAAAAGGGTCTTTACAGATGTAACTAAGTTAAGGATTTCAAGATGAGATCATCCTATATTATCTGGATGAGCCCTAAATCACAAGAACAAGTGTCCTTATAAGAGACAGAAGACATGGACACAGGGAGAAGAGAGGCCATATCAAGCATGAGGTAAAGTTATGCAGCCACAAGTCAAGGAACACCAGGAGACACCAGGAGCTGGGAGAGGCAAGGGAGAATTCTCCCCTAGAGCCCTGGAGAGGCCCTGTGGGCAGGTTGAT
Source organism: Homo sapiens (assembly GCF_000001405.40). Taxonomy (NCBI): domain Eukaryota; kingdom Metazoa; phylum Chordata; class Mammalia; order Primates; family Hominidae; genus Homo; species Homo sapiens. Next base: position 90,336,744 of record NC_000008.11, on the reverse strand, counting down.
CTGGGATCTCCAGCCTCCCAAACTGTGAGGGAATATATTTCTGTTATTTTAAGCCACCAAGTGTGTGCTAATTTGCTAAGTCAGCTCTAAGATAATAGGATTCATCCTTTCTGTAGTGACTGAGGACTCAAGAGGAGTGTGGGGAGGACTCATTCATAAGCTTGCTGGGCCTCCAGAATAAGGAGGGAACTTTCTAGTTCCAGAAAGGTGTGCTGCAAGGGCAGGCAGAAGCAGCTGGATCACTTACAAGGGATGGGGGAAGAAGAGAAGCTGCATCACTGTGGGATTTTCTGTCTCCTGCACTGTATGGTTACACTGGAACCAAACATGCCACCCAGCAAAGCCACCACTAGGTATCATCTGCACCATGAGTGCAGACCACAAAGACAATGATTGTTGATCACAGTGTGGGAGCCTGAAGTGGAAGAAGTCCAAGGAGTGCATACTACCCCTCCCCTCAAAGCCGCTTTTGAATGTGTTTGCACTTGCTTCTCTAGTTCTTTTAACTGTGCTGTTAGGATGTCAATTTTAGATCTTTCCTGCTTTCTCTCCTGGGCATTTAGTGCTATAAATTTCCCTCTACACGCTGCTTTGAATGTGTCCCAGAGATTCTGGTATGTTGTGTCTTTGTTCTCATTGGTTTCAAAGAACATCTTTATTTCTGCCTTCTTTTCGTTATGTACCCAGTAGTCATTCAGGAGCAGGTTGTTCAGTTTCCATGTAGTTGAGCAGTTTTGAGAGAGTTTCTTAATCCTGAGTTCTAGTTTGGTTGCACTGTGGCCGGACAGTTTGTTATAATTTCTGTTCTTTTACATTTGCTGAGGAGAGCTTTACTTCCAAGTATGTGGTCAATTTTGGAATAGGTGTGGTGTGGTGCTAAGAAGAATGTATATTCTGTTGATTTGGGGTGGAGAGTTCTGTAGATGTCTATTAGGTCTGCTTGGTGCAGAGCTGAGTTCAATTCCTGGATATCCTTGTTAACTTTGTGTCTCGTTGATCTGTCTAATGTTGACAGTGGGGTGTTAAAGTCTCCCGTTATTATTGTGTGGGAGTCTAAGTCTCTTTGTATGTCACTAAGGACTTGCTTTATAAATCTGAGTGCTCCTGTATTGGGTGCATATATATTTAGGATAGTTAATTCTTCTTGTTGAATTGATCCTTTTACCATTATGTAATGGCCTTCTTTGTCTCTTTTGAGCTTTATTGGTTGAAAGTCTGTTTTATCTGAGACTAGGATTGCAACCCTTGCCTTTTTTTGTTTTCCATTTGCTTGGTAGATTTTCTTCCATCCCTTTATTTTGAGCCTGTATGTGTCTCTGCATGTGAAATGGGTTCCTGAATACAGCACACTGATGGGTCTTGACTCTTTATCCAATTTGCTAGTCTGTGCCTTTTAATTGGAGCATGTAGCCCATTTACATTTAAGGTTAGTATTGTTATATGTGAATTTGATCCTGTCATTATGATGTTAGCTGGTTATTTTGCTCGTTAGTTGATGCAGTTTCTTCGTAGCATCGATGGTCTTTACAATTTGGCATGTTTTTGCAGTGGCTGGTACCTGTTGTTCCTTTCCATGTTTAGTGCTTCCTTCAGGAGGTCTTTTAGGGCAGGCCTGGTGGTGACAAAATCTCTCAGCAATTTGCTTGTCTGCAAAGTATTTTATTTCTCCTTCACTTATGAAGTTTAGTTTGGCTGGATATGAAATTCTGGGTTGAAAATTCTTTTCTTTATGAATGTTGAATCTTGGCTTCCACTCTCTTTGGGCTTGTAGAGTTTCTGCCGAGAGATCAGCTGTTAGTCTGATGGGCTTCCCTTTGTGGGTAACCCGACCTTTCTCTCTGGCTGCTCTTAACATTTTTTCTTTCATTTCAACTTTGGCGAATCTGAGAATTATGTGTCTTAGAGTTGCTCTTCTCGAGGAGTATCTTTGTGGTGTTCTCTGTATTTCCTGAATTTGAATGTTGGCCTGCCTTTCTAGATTGGGGAAGTTCTCCTGGATAATATCCTGCAGAGTGTTCTCCAACTTGGTTCCATTCTCCCCGTCACTTTCAGGTACACCAAGCAGATGTAGTTTTGGTGTTTTCACATAGTCCCATATTTCTCGGAGGCTTTGTTTGTTTCTTTTTATTCTCTTTTTTCTAAACTTCTCTTCACACTTCATTTCATTCATTTCATCTTCCATCACTGATATCCTTTCTTCCAGTTGATCGCATCGGTTACTGAGGCTTTTGCATTCACCACGTAGTTCTTGTGCCATGGTTTTCAGCTCAAAATTTTTAACTTCTTTGCCATTGGTTCGAACTTCCTCCTTTAGCTCGGAGTAGTTTGATCTTCTGAAGCCTTCTTCTCTCAACTCGTCAAAGTCATTCCTCGTCCAGCTTTGTTCCATTGCTGGTGAGGAGCTGCGTTCCTTTGGAGGAGGAGAGGCGCTCTGATTTTTAGAGTTTCCAGTTTTTCTGCTCTGCTTTTTCCCCATCTTTGTGGTTTTATCTACCTTTGGTCTTTGATGATGGTGATGTACAGATGGGTTTTTGGTGTGGATGTCCTTTCTGTTTGTTAGTTTTCCTTCTAAGAGTCAGGACCCTCAGCTGCCGGTCTGTTGGAGTTTACTGGAGGTCCACTTCAGACCCTGTTTGCCTGGGTATCAGCAGCAGTGGCTGCAGAACAGCAGATATTGGTGAACCGCAAATGCTGTTGCCTGATTGTTCCTCTGGAAGTTTTGTCTCAGAGTAGTACCGGGCCATGTGAGGTGTCAGTCCGCCCCTACTGGGGGGTGCCTCCCAGTTAGGCTACTCATGGGTTAGGGACCAACTTGAGGAGGCAGTCTGCCCATTCTCAGATCTCAAGCTGCGTGCTGGGAGAACCACTACTCTCTTCAAAGCTGTCAGACAGGGATATTTAAGTCTGCAGAGATTATTGCTATCTTTTGTTTGTCTGTGCCCTGCCCCTAGAGGTGGGGCCTGCAGAGGCAGGCAGGCCTCCTTGAGCTGTGGTGGGCTCCACCCAGTTCGACCTTCCCGGCTGCTTTGTTTACCTGCTCAAGCCTGGGCAATGGCAGGCGCCCCTCCCCCATCCTGGCTGCCACCTTGCAGTTTGATCTCAGACTGCTGTGCTAGCAATGACCGAGGCTCCGTGGGTGTAGGACCCTCCGAGTCATGTGCGGGATATAATCTCCTGCTGTGCCATTTGTTAAGCCCATTGGAAGAGCGCAGTATTAGGGTAGGAGTGACCCGATTTTCCAGGTGCCATCTGTCACCCCTTTCTTTGACTAGGAAAGGGAATTCCCTGACCCCTTGTGCTTCCTGGGTGAGGCGATGCCTCTCCCTGCTTCGGGTCACGTGCAGTGCACTGTACCCACTGTCCTGCACCTACTGTCTGGCACTCCCCAGTGAGATGAACCTGGTACCTCAGTTGGAAATGCAGAAATCACCTGTCTTCTGGGTCGCTCACGCTGGGAGCTGTAGACTGGAGCTGTTCCTATTCATCCATCTTGGCTCCACCCCACAATGGCTATTTCAAAGACAATAACCTGTTCTTAGTGTCTACTTAATATATAAAAGAAGGCAAGGCAACGTGAGAGATTTTGGATGGATATAAAGGAGGACTTTCCAATGGGTATTATAATATTAGAAGAGATTATAGATAGAGATGATAAAATTCCTTGAGCTAACCTAACAAGTTTGTGGAGAAAGGTAAAATAAGAAAAAAAAAAGATGTCTGTGCAAATTTTATGGCCAAAAAAATTGTCTACAATGGAGTAATTAAAGAAATGTAAACTTAAAAAAACTGAGATTCATAAAATATGATGCTGTAGTTAGAAATAATATCACAATTGAGAAAAAAGAAATAAGATATAATTAAAATAATGTACAGTGTCTATTGAGATGAAGAAAATGTGACTATGGCACACAAAAGGAACAGTGATAGCTTAAGTATAGAGCTCATTAAAGCACAGCTCAGCTCTCATAGCATACCTAAAATGCAGTTATTTTAGCAAGTTTCAGTGATATGCCTTGTAAAACCTATCATCCACAGAACTGATTTACAGTTCCTTCAGGGTACTTTGAATATGATTTCAAAGCTGTCATTTTAAGCTTGCCCTCAGCAAGTTGACTTGCTAAACTTACCTGTGTATGCCCTTTACTACACTCCATTTCTCACCTACACTCTAATTTTGCCTCTGTCAAGTCATCTACTCTTTCAAACTCTTCTCAAGGTCTATCTCCTTGGGGAATCTTCCTAACCTTTCAGGAAAATTAGACAATATCCACTGTTTCAAATACCTGATGCATAAACAGACCTCTGTATCTATTCACAACCCAACATTTGAAAAATTTTTAAAAGTCAGTAATCTAAGAACAAACCTTGAATAATACTCGTGGTTACAGGAATAAAATTTAAGATAAAGGTCACTCTTGGATCTCATTTTTCATTAAACAGGATGAAATCTTATTATTATTGCTCAAATTTGATGATAAAATATTTCATAAGGTAGGCTAATGATCTTTTAGCAATCTGAAAGACTCTTACTGTATTGAAACACTGAATAATTATCTAAATCTTTTGTTCCCCAGGAAGCTATAAAACTTTGGTGAACTCAAGTCATTGCTAGTAACATCAACTCACCTCCTTCTAGAAACATTTCAGGGAATGCCTAGACAGCAGTTGCTGCTTGAAAACTCTGTTGGAGGAAGCTTGTTCTAGAAATTTCCCTTTTTCCGATTGCAAAAACTAGTTATATTTTCATCAGCATCATGATGCCACTTTAATGTTCGCTACCCTTTCTCTGATGCATAGAAGAAAAATAAGGGCTCTAGTGATGTTGAAACCTTTGGAACTTAAAAGGAATTGCCAAGTAGAAAGCACTCAGAAGACTGATTCATTTGGAAGATATACTTGAAGGAAAAGCTGTGGGGATTCATAGTGAATTTTGATGGCCAAATATCTTAAAAGAAGGATCTGATAGCAATTTAACAACACCAGTGTGTCAGAAAGAAGCATTCTAATTATGGTTCTACAAAACATGGTTGTATGAGTAAGTCATAATATCTAAGATTAGTAAGTTGCAGATACTTTTGTCCTTCCATACATCTTCCTTTTATTTTCCCCTCTGTGGGATTTCTATTGTTTAATATTTTAGATTAGTATTAATAAAAATTTCTAATTACCAAACATTTGATAAAACAAAATGAATTTAACGTACATTCATTTTAAAACATGAAATGTTTTCTCATTTCCCCTAGCTTTCCACTAAGATCATATAATGTGACTGGTGCATAATCCAACTCTAGATAAAATTCTTACTGATAAACAACCACGTTAACATGAAGGAGAACTGTGAAAGTAGAAACTAGGTAATCAGAGAAAATATTTATATTCTTGCACTGAAAATATTAAATATATGCTGTTTCCACAAATCAATAAAGATAACTCAATAGGAAAATAGGCAAAAGGCTTGAAAGGTTTCACAAAAAGCACATCTACGTATCTACATGACCCATAAATATATGAAAAGCTGCTAAGCTTTGTTAACTACCAGAGAAATGCAAGTTAAAAATACAATATAGTAGCAGTATGTACCCATCAGATTGGCTAAATTAAAAATTTTAAAGAATGCAGTGATGATGGTGAGGATGTGGAGCAACTAGAACTCTCATTTTCTTCTGGGAGTGTAAATTGGTACAACTCTGGAAAATTCCATGGCAATATTGTGTACAACTATAATTTTCTTTTAAGTACTTTAGTATAAATAGTTATGTGTATGTGTAGTTAATCTATATCCTAGATGCAGTTAATTAACATTTGGAAGATTTTAACTAGAAGCTCACACTGTAATAGCAGCTAGTTAACATTTGAAAGATCCTAATCAAGAGTCTTCTTAGGGCTTGCAAGCACGTCAAAAATGAAAGTGCTTTCTAAAGCATTTCTAACTGGCAAAGACAGTATCAGAAATGATTTTTCGTTGGTAAAATGAGTGGTGTTCAGGAAATGCGGTTGCTTAAATATGTTCTGCAGGTATCTTCACCTTTCCAGGTGTACAGTAAAATAACCTGGTGAGCCCAGCAACTTAACATCTTCAAGTTATGTCTTAGAATCAAAACTCAGCTTCTAGTTATCTTCCTTATGGAGAATTTAATATCTAATTCAGCTGGAAGGTTAACTTTTCCTGCCATCATCATGTACTTTTCATTCAAGGTGCTTGTGGCATACCCAAAATGACAGAGAAAAGGGACGTCAGGAGCCAGCAGAACAGGTTACATCACTGTGTCGCTTGCTGAGAAGTGTTCAAATGTGTGGCACACTCTCATCTGAGACCCACTTTCATTGTAATATAACACCCATATGTGGCAAGGTTGTGGCAGCCCAGGCTTTTTGTCCTTATCCACCTCTAGTCCTTTCAGATTGTAGATACCTTTTTTTTTCTTTTTTTTTTTTTTTTTTGAGATGGAGTCTTGCTCTGTTGCCCAGGCTGAAGTGCAGTGGTGCAGTCTCGGCTCACTGCAACCTTCCCCTCCCAACTTCAAGCAATTTTCCTGCCTTAGCCTCCCAAGTAGCTGGGATTACAGGCATGCACTACCAGGCCCAGCTAATTTTTGTATTTTTAGTAGAGACTTGGTTTTGCCATGTTGGCCAAACTGGTCTCAAATTCCTGATCTCAAATGATCCGCCACCTCGCCCTTCCAAAGTGCTGGAATTACAGTCATGAGCCATGTGCCCGGCCTTGTAGATATCTTCTAAAAACAACTGGACAATTATAAAGGCCAAACCAACTTAGGTTAGTTCATAAGTGGAGAACAAAACTCCTGAAAGCAGAATCAATAAGCACTGTTGGTAGACAATGCCAAATAAATCCATTAAGGTACTTATTTACAAAACATCAAACTCTTAATTTTCAGCTATTCATTGAAATCATAGCCATAGCCCAGCATAAACCTGAAAAGTAATCTGACAAAAGAGCATAATAAGGCGTTAGGATTATTTCAACAAATATGTGTCAACCACAGAATATATTATAGCCACATGCTCAATGCTTCAGGAAACTATAATGTTAATTCGGTCAGTCCTTGACCCCACATTGCTAATTGCCCAATGAGAGGGACAGATGTATCAATTACAATCAATGTGGGTACTATGATAAGGGGCATATGCAGTACAATAGGAACCCAGAGGAAAACAGAGAGGTTTCATCTGAGTCACAGTGATGGTGCAATTTTATTTTGGTCAAGAGCAGCAAGAGCAGAGGAAGGCCGAGCACGGTGGCTTACACCTGTAATCCCAGCATTTTCGGAAGCTGAGGCGGGTGGATCACCTGAGGTCACGAGTTCGAGACCAGCCTGGCCAACATGGTGAAACCCCATCTCTATCAAAAATACAAAAATTAGCCAGGCATGGTGACGGGTGCCTGTAATCCCAGCTACTCGGGAGACAGAGGCCGAAGAATCACTTGAACCCCAAGGCAGAGGTTGCAGTGAGCCAAGATTATGCCACTGCACTCCAGCCTGGGTGACAAGAGCAAAACGCTGTCTCAAAAAAAAAAAAAAGGCAGAGGAGGGAGAGTATCATCTTCAAAGTCTTAAAAAACTCCAGGATCATGGTACTCTCCCTGCAGCAATGCAGGAAGTCAGAGGTGTCTCAAGCTTAGAACATAAAAAGGGGTGTGGCAGGCAGCACAGAGTACATTCAATCTCAATTCCTTTTAAATTTGCATTTCTTAGTAAAGTAAAAAATAAAATGCAGTAGCACTACATACCCACCAGAGGCTTAGCAGCCATTCATATATTTATGGGTCACGTAGATATGTAGATACACCTTTTGTGAAACTTCAAGTATTTTGCCTATTTTTGTATTGAGTTGTCTTTGTTTCCTTTATTGATTTGTGGAAACAGTTGATATTTAATATTTTCAGGGCAAGACTACACATAACTTCTCTGATTACCTAGTTTCTACTTTTGCGTTCTTTCTAGCTATTTAACACAACATTAAACCTCTCTACTGCAGCTTCCCCATCCACATACAAGAAATAAAAGTAATACTGTCTTACAGTTGTTGTGAGTACTAAATAAGTTTAAAAACATAGACCATATCAAACAAAACATGGCACACACTAAACACTCAAAAACCATACTAGCTATTATTATTTCTCTCTTTTTTTTTTTTTTTTTTTTTTGAGACAGGGTCTTGCTCTGTGGCCCAGGCTGGAGTGCAGTGGCACGATCACGGCTCACTGCAGCCTCAAACTCCTGGGCTCACATCGTCCTTTCTCCTCAGCCTCCTGAGTAGTCAGGACCATAGGTGTGCACCACCACAGCCAGCTAAGTTTTAGTTTTTAATTTTCTTTCTTTTTTTTTTTTCTGTAGAGGTGAGGTCTCACTACATTGCCCAGGCTGGTCTTAAACCCCTGGGTTCAAACAATTCTCCCACCTCACCCTCCCCAAGTATTGGGATTACAGGCATGAGCACTGCGCCCAGCCTATTATTATTTCTTATAGTAGCATTGTGTTAGTTTGCTAGGGCTACCATAACAAAGTACCACAGACTGGGTGGTTTAAACAACAGAAGCTTATTTTCTCACTGTTCTAGAAGTCAAAGATCAAGGTGTTGGCATGGTTGGCTTATTCTGAGGCTTCTTTTTTTCTGAGGCTTGTAGATGGCTGTCTCTTCCCTGTGTCTTCATGTGATCTTCCATCTCTACATGTCTATATCCTGATTTCCTCTTCTTACAACATACCAGTGATTTTAGGTTACAGCCCACCTTAATTACCTTATTTTATTGTAATCACCTCTTTCAAGACTCTATCTCCAAATACAGTCACATTCTGAGAAACATATTTCAACTCATAACAAATATATCAGAGATACTAGCAGGCTGTGTATCTTGGCAGTGAGAAAGGTTTAATCTTTACTTTTTGTAGAGATGGGGTCTCACTATGTTGCCCAGCCTGGTCTCAAACTCTTGGACTCAAGTGATTCTCCCACCTCAGCCTCCTGAGTAGCTGGGATTATAGGCAGGCATGTACCATTTGTGCCCTGCTGCTTTAATTTGGTTGGGTTTGGTTTGGTTATATTTGTTTTGTTTTTAATAATCTACCCTAAATTTAGGTCTTGATGATTCTTTCTTCCAGTAAGCCTCTCCTCTAGCATCAGTGGCTATACTACCCCCTTGAGGCTGAATACAAGAGGAGAGTAGATGGAGGAGTAGGTTGGTAGAGAGGTAAGGAATTAGATAGACCGAGGGACCACGGAGAGGGTAAGAAGCAAGATGTCCCAAACAAGAGCTGTATCTTTCCTTCTCAGCCTCAATTTGCACTTTCAAAGCTACTGTTCTCATCTTGACTCTGCAAATTTGGCTCTCAGACTGCTTCAGTGTGAGAAATGGAAGGCAGGTAAAGCAAGTTGGCCACAACCATTTTACTATTATTTTTTAAAATATTATATTGGTATGGATAGACAAGAGCTCTGTTTGAAAGAGCTTGCCAGCCATCTTGAGTTTGGATTTTATATTATGAATGATAGAAAGCTGATCTATATTTCTAGATACCGCATTAAGATGGTCAAAGTTTGGAGAATTATAATCTTGTAAATAAAGAGGAAGAAATAAACAGAAGAGAGAAAAACTAATGGCAGGGCAGGCAAACAAGGCAGGTGACACACACCTAAGATAAAGTAAAGGCTGCAGAGGTAGAAGAAACAGCTGGATTAGAAAAATGATCCCTAATCTCAAGTGGGCAGGGTTTGGGTGAGTGCAAAGTAGCAATTGCTGATTGTGAATTACAAGTCAGAAATGATGTCATTAACTAAGACTCAGAATACAGGAAGAGAAGCAAGTCCGGGAACAGAGCCTATCCACTAGGCTGTGGAGTCTTTTATTTATTTATTTATTTATTTATTTATTTATTTATTTATTTTCCTCTCGTTTATTTTCAAATATAAACATTTAAAGCCTACAGGTGTGTCTTGGTCCATTTAAGCTGCTATAACAAAATACCATAGACATAACAACAGAAATGCATTTCTTACAGTTCCAGAGTCTGGGGAGTCTAAGATCAAGGTGCTGGTAAAGCTGGTGTCTGATGAAGCCCTGTTCCCTCATAGACAGTGGTCTTCTCATTCTAATCTCACATGGCATAGGGGCAAGGAGCCTCTCTTGGACCTCTTTTATAAGAGTACCAATCCCATTTATGAGGGCTTCAACCCCATGAGTCCCCACCTCCTAATACCACTACCTGAGAGGTAAAGATTTCAACAAATGAATTTTAGGGAGATATAAACATTTATACCATAGCAACATGTAACTCAAAAATGTAGAGCCATTTTTAGACATGTTGAGTTTCAGGAGCCTGTGGAACAGTCAGGTGCTGATAGACAAAAGTCAGCTAGAAATGGGTTTGGTAGTTAAGGTAGAGATATGTATTTGGAAATATATTAGTTTTTGATTACTAATCCTGGAATTGATACCAACCAGGAGGAGGAAATAGAGTGAGAAGAAAAGACAGCTGTGGGTATTGCTATCTAGAATGAGACAAAGGCAGTGGGCAACATGAGGACAGAGAAGAGAAGGCGAATGGTGCCCAAATGAAGGCTAATCAGGAAGGGCAGTAGGAAAAGCACAGCTGACACTCATCAGAAGAGGCAAGGTCACCGCATGCTTGACTGTACCTTATTGTCCTTCATTCTCCACTCCAAGACATGTGCAAATCCTATTTTTTTTCAGGCTCCTGATACAGTTTGGGTAGTGGTTAAACCACATAGGCTCTGGAGCCAGACTACTGAATTTCAATATCCATCTCTATTACTTACCAGGTATATGACCTTGGACTAATTACAGAACCTCTTCCTTCAGTTTTCTCATTTATGAAATGAAAGTAATTTATGAAATGATTTTATGAAATTTTTTTGAAATTTCATAAATTATGAAAGTATGAAATGATTTTATGAAATTATGAAATGATTTATGAAAATAACTCATGAAATTAAAGTACCTGTATCATGGGGTTTGGTCATTTAAAAAATGGGAAACTATATGTGTAAGGATTAACACTCAATAAGTGTTAGTTGTCATTAATATGGAGCAAAGGTACCATGTTGTAAGATGGTTGCAACTTAAAGCAGGTCTTGCCATGGGACCCCAGAGAGAATCCACTGAACTAATGTGCAAGTGAATAAATGCACTTATTCCTTTCAATTTTAAGTCTTTTCTAGAAAGAAATATGCCCAGGAGTTTTACTCAGCATCATCTATTATGTTGCTGCCACTTGAGCCAGTGTAGGGAAACAACTAAATAAAAAACTTGAAGCAGAATATTCAAATACACAAATTCCTAACTCCATACCTCCTCATAATTATAAGCAAGGAGACTCTTCCAGGTATCTGGCTAGACAACCTCAATGGCTTCATCTCTGAAGACATGCTACCATTAAGCAAACTTGGGTTTACATTACCATGACATGTTCTTGTCATACATCAATTATTGCTGCCCACAGCATACTCAGAGTAGAATAAGTATTTTTGCTTGGACTTTCACTCATATACAATAAGCACTTAAGAGTCAAAATCCGTAAGGAAACAGTGGTTTCAGTGCAGCACCTCGGGTACCTTCCATTTCTAGATTTAGTACAGCCTTCTTCACAGTTTACACAGGGTTTGGTTCTCTGATTTACTGTACAGCATTTTCTTCCCCAGACAGTTCAGAGAAAACAAAGTGTTCCTGTGTTTTCTCCACTTTCACATATGTGAGACAAGAGCACCCAGGGCTGGAAATGAGTGAAATCTAGGCACAGCAGGGCAGGACTGGAGCTCAGGTTGGCCTTGGCTGTCATTCTTCCCACTTGAGCATTTCAGCCCAGTGTGTTATGGAGTGGTGAGAGAATCCCGTTTCCTATTAGCAATTTGTATATTTCCTCACACTCTCTCTGCAGTGGAAACTCACCATTTCAGCCTTCTGCCAGCACCTGCCACTTCCTTTTCTTTTGTGTATCTTTTATCTCCTCTTTATCTCTCCTCGCTCCAACAATGAGGTTATATTCCAGTTCCTTTCTTTTTAATATGAAACTCTGATATCACTAGAGCCCAGGCCTCACACTTCTGTCAAATTCCCAGGACATTCAACCTTCCCCAGAGTTATAGGGAGTGGGAGGAAGCAAACAAGGCTGAATAGGACGGCCACGCTGCATCGCACTGACCTCTGAGTCAGTTTCCAAGTGGGGATAATGATGTTCCATGATCAGGACAGGATTAAAGCAGTATATAAGAAAGAGCAAAATGTATGAGTCTGTGATAAATACCAGGAGGGGAATGAGTCACGATGTTCTCTCAGAATCCATTGTGTTAACCCAGCAGGGGTCAGGTAGAGAGGTTTTCTGGTGAACAGCTGCTCCTGTTTACCTTCAGCTCCACTTTTCCAATCATTTTGAACATCTTGTAAAGAGGATTAAAATTCATGGACTGAATCTAAGGGATCAAACTGCTAATAACGTATGCATTAAATCCAGAGGTCATCATTTGCTCTAGATGGAGGACATCACTTGAACTTGGATGTAGAGCTGTTACAAGTCCTCCATGGTCTATAGTTTAATGAGGATCTTTAATTCATGAGCTGGACTGATTTTTAAAAGTCACATTTTCTCAATTAAAAGTGTTATTAAAGCATTAATTTAACTTAGCTCATGTTTTCATTTTATCTAGTAGTCTCTGAAAGATCTAATTTTTTTTTAAAAAAATACCTGTATTACCAAATCTAATAGGTTAGTCTACATCCAGTGGATGAGAAAAGACAAAGTCCACAAAATATGTCTGGGGACTTTATCTACTCTTGTTATTTTGTTACAACCAAATATGGTCAAAAATCCTCAGAGTTGGGGAGCATCTATTTATGATCTTCCCACCCCATCCTGCAAAAAGCCACACCGTTACACTAGTCCTGGAAAGTACTTTAATATAGCAAACAATTGCCATTTGCAAGGATGAAGCCAATGATATAAGTATGTGCAAGATCCACAGGCTGTAAAGAAAACAGAATAAATAACTGAAGGTGAAGGTGTAGTGATAAGGAAGTCCCATAGAGGAGAAAGGAACAGATGGAAGGATTAATAAACTCTTTTCTTGCCGCACAAATGAGAATCCAACCTATGGTCACTGGCTAACAATGCTGCCTGGAAGCCAGATAAGATGGTATGTATTAACCATATTGCCAGGCTACCTTACCGGTGGTAGAATGACCCCTGATTGGTAAGTTGCATTTAGAATGGGAGAACAATAAGTGAACTACAAATATCAGATGGGGAGCCATAGCTTCAAGCTTCTCTGAGTATAGTGACCTGTGGAAGCAGTGACTATGGACTTTTTACAAGATCTATTGGCCCTGTGAGGCAGGTATCTTCTTCTATGCCAGGGCAGAAACTGAACTGCCCAGATGTGGATTTCATCTCCTTGCCCTTGAGCTGTCCCTGGGGACATGATAGTCGTATGGGCTTTTTCCCTGAGATTTCACTTGGTTATACCCTGCTGGCAAGCTGTGCTTCCTATGTGGCACCTTCTGATAAGTTGATGCCAACTGTGGCCTAGTCTAGCCTTGTGAGCCTGTGTGTTTAATAGAGCCTTAGAGGATCCTTTGATGGGCATAGCAAAAGGGAACCAAAGGTGTTGGCAAATCAGACAAGGCAGGAAAAAGGTATTCCAGGAACAGAAACACTTTCACAGGAAGGAAAAAACTCTGGGAAATTAATCAGTGTTGCTGGGTGGAGAAGAATGGTAGAAAATTAAGTAGGGAGGTGGGCAGGGGCCAGATCAAAGCTTGAGAAGCTGTGCTGTCATCAATGGGAAGCTACTGGTGTATTCCAGGAAAGGGAGTGGTATAATTTGCATTTTAGATTATTCTGGCTATAATATGAAGGATGGACAGAAGGGGATATGATCAGAGGCAGGGAGACTACAGAAGAAGCTATTGCAATAGCCCACGTGACAGACGGTGAGTACTTGAACTAGGGCTGTAGGAATAAATTGGAAAAGAGGAAACTGATTTGACAGCTACTTTCATGAGACATAATTTAGTGACTGATTAAGTGGAAAATGAGGAAGAGAAGTCTAGGTGATTCTCAGGTGAGGCTTGGATGACATCTTTAGTAGCAATAATGAGCCCATTATCCTGAACTTTGGCAGACTTCTTTTACAATGAAATATTTAAAAAGATATTCAGCATTTCTATTTATCATTATACTCCTGGCATTTTATTTCAGAGAACTGTACGAATCCTGCTGCCTTGCCATTTCCTAATTAATAAGGGCTATTTTTAGTTCATTTCATTGTATAAATAATGTTTATTGAATGGGCGAACGCAGCTATGCCGATCAGAAAAATCTTTATTTTTCTTCTCCTGAAAGTCCTTCAAACCCACTCTAGCTAATCTCCCTTCTAATCTCTCCTCCCTGCCTCTAATAATATCTCTGACAGATCCCAATTTTAAGCAATACAGCAATCTCCTTTCCAGGTGTTAACATAACAAGTCAGATGTATATAAGCACTCCAACTCCCTTGCAGTGTCAAGATTTTCTCCCTGCAGTAGTGGTAGGGGAGGTAACGTACTGCTTTCCGCCCCTTCCCACCTCCTGCCCACTGACTCCACTGCCTCTGGCTGGTCCAGAATAAAGGAGGGGACTGAGATGAAAGATCTCACTTGGTTGGGACTGTTGTTCTCTGGCGTCTTTGTCTGGAAGAGAATTGGTACTACCTTGAAATTCTTGGGAGAACTAGCGCTGTGTCCACTGGAATACGCAACGATGTGTCCCGGAAACTGTGGTGTTTGACTCTCTCTGGAAAGGCCTGAAGGTAAAGGGCTTCCAGGCAGATCAGACAAGGCAGGAAAAGGGTATTCGAGGAACAGAAATGCTTTCACAGAAAGGAAAAAACTATTTGGGGAATTACTCAGTGTTGCTGCGTGGAGAATCTGTCTGGGTAGTAGATGGGGCTTTTCTGTGAGTTCTGGGACTGCGTGGAAACCCTGGAGTTGGCCATGTTTCCCGCTCCAAGCAATTGCCTCTCCCTCTGTCTTTTTGGCAAGGTCTCAGCAATTGCTCCCAAGGCACAATCTACTTTTCTCTGACAGGCAGTCCTCCCCTACAGTGTTCTCCCGCCCAGCTACTTGTACATTCTGGTCCCTGGGAAGCAAAGCCCATCTGTACCCTCCCCCACCTTGCATGTGCAGAGTCTTTCCTGTGGTCTTGCTGCTCACTCTCCCTCATATTGTCCCCACCCAGCCCTTTATCTTCAGGTCTTTCCAGGGAAAGTCAAACACCACAATTTCTGGGACATATTCCAGTGGACACAGTGCTAGTTCTCCCATGAATTTCAAGGTAGCTCCAATTCTCTTTCATTTATCTTATCAATTATTTTTTAAACTTCCATTTCTTACATAGGATGAAGAAAGCACCACAGAAGCAGTTCATGTCTCACTAAGGCTAGACACTGATGGATCTAACGTCTCTCTTTGGAATTTATTGGCATTTAACACCTATTATCGTCAACTCTGGAGTCCTCAGCTAAACTCTAAGAGAACAGGCAAGGTACCATTAATCATCCAGTTACATGCATTAATTACATGTCAATGCAAGTAAGCCAAACACTTTTACACTGGACCAGAAGCCCAAGGGGGTAGTTAATGGCACAATGGGACTTGCATGACCAGGCAGATGGAAATAAGGGTCCACCTCAGGGAGGGGAGCTCAGTGATTTTTTTGGTTTTGATTTTTGTATTTACCTGGCAACAAGGGTTATTATTTGCACGTTTATAGCTAGTGTGCTAAATGGCACTTTGACAGCCTGCCAGGAAGGTCAGTCAGAATTTCCCACTGATGAATGCTTCTAGGCTTGAGTTTTGTTTTCCTTTAGGACCAACAAATAACTAGCAAAAACAGCAACAAAAAAGAGCTATGCAGCTCACATAGAGTAAAGCAATTACCCTAATTTGGAATTTTATTTTTGCTTTTTGCTTTGGAAAATCATCAATTAATTTTTTACAGACAGCCAATATGTAGAACAACAACCTCTCTTCAAAAATGTTTAATTCAGCATCTGGGGTGTATATTCATTATTATGAAATTTTCTTGCAAGGTTTACTCAGTTTGGACACCAGCTAAAAAAACTAAACAAAGCTGTGGGTATTGAAAGAACTGAGGTGGGGGCAGGGAGTTATGAATAGTTATTTTGCTTTTAGACAAGCAATTCATTCCACATTTGTTAAAGCTTGCTGGATTGAGTCCTGTAACAGCTTTTATGCAATAGATTTGTTCCTGTAAAGTTGTATATAAATCAATTTTTTATAAATTGATTCATACTTTGACTGCATTGAAGTCTTGCTATTTAAAGAAACCGTACTCTAAATCTTCTTGTAACATGAAGAATTCATCTTGTGAAATGGATACGAGACAGAGAGAACAGCTTTATTTAAAGACATGCCTATGTAATTGGTCATAGGAGACGATTTGAAAAAGTATATAGGTTTATGACTTATTTTTAAAGCAGCCTAGCACTGGGGTCACAGAAACTATAATGACTAACAGTTTTGTGACAAAATTGTATTCCCCAAATCCTGTAAAGAAATCTTTACACTACAGTACATGTCCAGAGGGCTCTTGTTCTCATTTCTGCTTTTATTTGAGTATCTCACATTGGTGAATGGAAAGGAATCAATGAGATCACTTTTTTGTTCCCTCGCAGCAGGCATGAAAATGCCCAGAAAGTTAAGAACATTACTGGAGATGCAGGACAAAATTAATCTCAGTATTCAGAACAGTTCTATGCCATGCCAACTGCCATTAGCCACATTTTACAGATGAGGAAACTGAGGCAGTGAAAGGTTAAGTAAATGCCCAAGGATGCTTCATTAATAGCTATGAGTCAAGGTTTGGACATCAGCAGTCTGACACTCAAGCTCAGATTCTTTAATAACCATGCCACATACCTCAGAGACATATGTGTATTGATGGATGGATGGATGGGTGGGGGGGCTGGGTGGACGGACAGATGGACAGATGGACAGACAGATGGACGGATGGATGGACGGATGGATGGATGGATAAATGGGTGGATAGGTGGATGAATGAATGGGTGGGCGGGTGGATAGATAATTTGAGATAATTATATAAAATTTTTATGTACTAATAAATGATATAAAATTATATAAATAATCTATAACTAACATTTTTAGTGTTAAATGAAATAGTCCTTGTCAAAATGGATCTTGGATATAGCTCATTGGTTTTCACTGTTCAAGAGGCCAAACATTTGTCACATTTATAAGATATAAAAGTTTACAAGGGATATCAATGTTGATCCTGAAGCCTAGATCCCCTCATAGCCTTGCTTTGTAGCATACAAGAGTTTCTTTCATTGGGAAATTCTGTATCAAATTTCAGCATTTTAGCTTCTCACAAAATTGAGTATTTGGCAGTAGTAGCTCCCATTTTTATAGGAGACAATCAGTTTGGGAATAGCTATGCTCTTCAGTTTACCATCTTTGCTGTAACGCCTCTTAGTTTTCCCCATGGCCTTCCTCATGCATTCACTTACCTCTTGGCATCTCTGGGTAAGAGAGTTTTTGAATCTTGAACCAAAAATGCAAATAAACAAGCCTCATTGTTAGAGAGCTCAAAGTAAATTTGTGCACATCAGATGACTATTGTGTGCAAAAATATACATAGTTCTTCTAATCAGAAAGAACTTTCAAAAAATTATAAAAAACACGAACCACATGCACATAGTTTTAACATAATTATCTATTTAATTAATATTGAAAATTTCCACTGCAAGGCAGCATTTGATATCTTAGTCCTACCAGATTTGTTTTAAGCATTCATGGCTCTGCAGATGAATGAAGGAGTGAAGAAGTTATAGAAGAAAGATAAGGTCTCCTAGAAGCCCTTGCACACAGGAAGAAAACTGGAGAGTTTACATCATTTTTGTGTATATTCCAAGTATGAACAAAAATGAGGTAGCAAAAAGGATCTCTATACACACATAGACCAGAAACTAACAAAAAGAAAGCATGACATAAAAAATACTTCTTTCCATACATTCCTTAATTCACAACTAGATGGAAATTATCACTTGAAAGTTATAGTTCTAATAGACATGTATTTTAAAATCCTATCATTTGATAGAAATATTAGCTGGCTTAAGCCTTTCATCTTATTTTATTTGTACTCTATTCTATCTGAAATTAGGTTCTGATTGTCTCAGTAGGAGACTCGGGCAATATTTGTAGGAATTATAGTACTTTAAAGGAAGTCTATGAAAATAATTGTGTGCTGTTATATTTCTTTTCACAACTCTCCAAACACCATTAATGAGGAATCAAAAGTGCCCTGCAATCAGAACAGGAATATAAATACCCACTCACCCTCCCGCGTAGCCAGCACAAACAATGGGTGAAAGCTTCCTGACTAAACAAATATGTTCCCTACTTCCTGTTCCGTTGGGAGGAAGATGCCAAACGTACGAGGCAGCCATGAATTTCGTTCACTGAAACGGCCTCTTTCAATGTGCTGCTAGTCGTATTTTAAAGAATATTTTGTAATCAGCCTTGACAACTGCCTTCCAGAAGAGAATAACTGAACCATTTTAACACCCAAACATTTGGAAGCCAGTTGAAACAACATACCACTTGTGAAGAGGTTTATCATGCTTGGATATCTACCACCAACTGAACAGGAAGGAAAAACAACTTAGTTGAGGATGAAATATTTTATAAACTCCTTCACAAAAACCAGGACTTGTTTTTTTGTGAGCATGGACAGAATCATATGTTTAAAATGCCCTTCAGACAGTTTATGAAATGCTTGATAATTTCTTCTTCTACACCCAAGATGAATGCTTTTATCTGTGATATTGCTTTCTGTGAATGCCTTGGCTGAGTTGGTATTCAGTATTTATTAAATTTAACTTTGCATTTGCCCATGCTGTTCACCCAACCTGTTATTTCCTCCCTTCTTTTTTTTGTGCTTAGCTACATATTACCAAGTCTAGAAGCATCCGTGTATTATATCAGCCATTAATGATCCAGTCTCTGACCTATGTATGTATACTTACACTAACACTTCAATATCTAAAACATTTATTCATGTCTTGCCAGTTTTTGTATTTCAACTGTAAATGTATATGTGTCTTCCTTGCCAAGCCTTATTTCAGTTTTTGAGTGGAAGAGACTATATATTATGCTGATTGGTATTCTCCACAACATCAAGTATCATATTCCTAAGCTTTAAGTGAAATAGAGAATGATCACATTTTAAGTTAGTAAAGGACATACATAGAATTCCTTACAACATCATTATGAAGCTCCATTATCATGAAATGAGCTAAAAACTGAAAATCTAAACCCTTAATATTTCAGGCTTTTCTTTTTCTGAAGTTATTTTGTTTATGGGGCAAAAATCAACATATTGGTCTATAGGTACACAAATCTAAATGTATGCTTACTAGGTAGAAATTCACAAACTGGACAAAATATGAGCAGTCATGTTAGTAAGAATTTCTTGCATTGAGGTATTATCTTTTACATGAGCATCTTAAAATATGTATTTTCCCCACACACTATATTGTAGAAGTCTCTTCCTATGCCTATAAAATTTGGAACAATTTATAAAATTGGCAGTTTATATATAAACACACTGATGAAGAGTTTGTGATGCTCAAGTTTTAACTCCTCATCCAGAGCTTTCTCCACAAGACCATCTTTTATTCCTTATTTGATACCTCAGGTCCTATAAACCAGGGAAAGAACAAAAGACAGCATCATTTGAGAATCTGAAGGATGGATAACCATCTGGCTGCTGGATTAAGAGTTGAGAAAGGGAGAGCTGGTCAATAAGTCAATGAAAGGCTGTTGTCGCTGTGCCTGGCAGTGGATATGAGATTAGTGGTATGGTCACTACAAAGCTGGCAGTCGGAAAGAAGAGGTGGTTGCAGAGCAAGGAGGGCAAAGACAGCTGGACCTTGCTGGGACTTCTGTATGCTTTCTCAGCACATTTACCCACTAGGACCTTAACAGAGCAATGGCTGCCTGCATAGGGCTGCCTTCCAAACCCTGCCATATTTCTTTTTAGGACAAAACTGGCCATACAGGAAATGGGATTCTGGAAAGTATAGTTCTAACTTAGCCCTTTTCCTCCTTAAATCAATCTTTCACTTGGGTTTCCAGCAGGTCACTGCCTCATCTCTCCCTTACTGTCTCTCTGAATGCTGCTTCTTAAACAAAAATAGATAGGGACATGAGTGTGAATATAAATATGGATATGTATCTAGATATATGGATATGAAGATTAATTCTATTTGGACTTGGATTTGCTTAGATATATTTAGATAGATTACAAAACGATTCAAACCAATTAGGTTACTCAGCAAATGTTAGATTCTTTTAGTAAATGTTAGTAGACTCTGTAAATAGTTAAGTGGCAATTTTATATATATCCCTTGTCTCACAAACTTACTAATAGATGCTATCTTACAATAAAACCAAATTTCAGACCAAGTTCCATCAAACTTATGATCATTTGTTACCAAAATGGCTCCTAAGTGGTTATGCAACAGTTACACAGCTTGGAGGAAATCCAATTTCTGCCTAGATACATTGATTTTACCACCTTGTATGAGAGGCTTACTGAAGTGAATGCACTGATGTTCTGACAGCGTATCAAGTCAGGCTTAGAGTAGAATCCTTCATCTGATTTCTCCAGGAAGTAGGGAAACAGGACCAATGAGACTGTAGACTTTGGTTATTCCACCAATGACATTAAACTGCTGGGCTTGTTGAACTTTTGTATTTCACTTATTCAAGGTGGTGAGGCTTCTATAATGTATTTTAACCATGCATCTATCTTGAAAATTGTCATTTTACCAATTATGATTAACAAACACTGTGGGATATATTTCAATAAATATATGTCACATGTTAAGTAACCATTTTGAAAATGTTGATTCCTGGTTAAATGGACTTCAAATGCTAATAACCACACCTAAAGTGGTTAGAGTTCATTTACACACTCACACACATACACACACACCTGTTTATATAAAACTATTGTAAAGTAAATCAACACATAAGCAATAGAATTATAAATAATTAATAAACAATCTAAGTATAGCTATGTATAGCTGTATAACCCACCAGCTGAGCTACTCTAGGTTTGGAAAGGCAAAAATAACAATTATGTTTGGAATATAATTTACTATAACTATAACATAGTCCATTTTCAAAAACCTTTTGCTGTTATTTAAGCAACATCCTTTACACAGAGGACATAAGATAATGCTTATGTATGCTTATGGCTAGTTTAGCAATTCGTCCCAGTTTGCCTCAATGGATGGACCCTACAGTCTTCTTAAATCAGAGTTCTAATCATAGGATATCTGCTTGACAGCCTCTAGTAGCTCATTGTCCATCTCCTTTTATCTTTTACCACACCTTGTTAAGCTGTCAGTTCTCTGGGAATAACCTGGAAATAGATCTGCTATGTTTTACCAACCTCAGATTTAACGAAATTGGAAAATCCATCCTGCCTCTTTAATCATGGAAGATGGGGGAGGATATACATGTGGCCTAGACAATGGTCTTTTGTGTGGCTGTGGTCTCCTTCCGCTGCACTGAGTGTATGTATCTGGCTTCCTTTCTCAGGATCTTCTTTGTCCAAGATCTTCTCTCCTCACATGATTTTTTGGTATCCTTCATACCCGAGGACTCCCTCGAAGGAAACCTTGACCAGATATAGTACACCAATAGACTTATTTCTGAGAGTTAAAAAAAAATTCTACAAATCAGGTACTAAAAGGAATGTAAGAGAATTCCAAATATGGGAGGAAGAGCAGGTCGAGCAAGAAGTGGCATCCACATAGTAGTTACACTCTATGACACAAAGCTATTGATAATACCATGAGATTTTCTGAGAAAATACTATTTATTTTTTCATACGTTTATGTTCTGCATCCCCAACAAGGTCATAAGCACTTAAAAAGCATGAATTTATTCTATCCTCCCACCATCAGTTTCTAGTATTATGCCAAAACTACCAGAATGACTTGTACCTATTAAAACCTCAACATTTTAGACATTTTAAGAAGATATCTTATTCAATTTCTCCTTTAGATAAATTTTAGAGACTTTAGATGTTTTGTGGATTCAATTACAGAAAAGGAAGAGAAAATGAAAATGGCTGGTAAATGTAAAAGTCATTACTTATTAATGACATTAGAGAAGAGGACTATTTATTCCCTGTGGCCAGATGCAAAAATAAAATAAATAAAATAGTTAAAACCTATTAGATGCATAGTATGGGAACATTTATGGCAATTATACTGTTGTGCTAGTTACAGCCTAGCAGTACTCAAGTAATCACATCTAAAACAAACACAGCATGTAAATTTATCTAGTTAGCACTGAATATATTAATTAATGTGATTTCATTAAAGCTTATTTTTGTAAAGGATACATTCTGATTCAATGAAATTTAGTTCATATTAACTTTCCATTCTTATCCATTTTTATTAGATGTCTTGATAATTGCAAACGTTTATTGAACATATGAGTCATCCTTTCTTCCAAGCTCCCATTTCTTCAGGCAAATAATAATTTTCAACATTCAAGTCTTCAACTTCCATCTGATTATTTGTATATTACAGATAATAAATTATTGAAATTCCTGGCTTGGTAGCTGTGTAACAAGGGCACTGTGGTCTCTGTAATGTAGATTAAATTGAACAGGCATTCCCTCTTTTTGCATTAATGCCTGGATTTCTAAATGTATGATGGATTTACTAGAAGGTTCACAATGTGAGGATCAATTATTAAACAAGTTACCCTAATTATTAAGCATACTCAAATCACAGAGATATTTTATCAAACAGGCTTATTATAGAATCATAACCACAGTACATTTTGACAGGATGAATCTTGAAGAAAATAATTTTTGATTTTACAGTATAAATGATTTTATAGTTTATAAAAGTCAGGGCTCTTTAAGCAGATGCAGATGCTCTATGCTGGCACCATGAGGATGAATATTTCTCATTTATAGCTGTATAGTCAAGAAGGACTGAGGGCCTGTAAACTATCTTAAATTATTTTTTCCACAACCTCTGTGGTGTACCACTGGATCACCTTCATTAAGCATCAGTTAAGTAATATAAGGATCAGTAAAGGGATTTTCTGACCTGTCAGACCACTCTACCATTTGAGTGTTACTATTCATGAATACTTGAAAACAGGGTGCAGAGTCAGTTCTAAATTTTGAGGCTGGCCTGGCATCCACTGGCTGTGAAACCTGAGATAAGCCACTCAACCTCCCTGAGCTTCTGTGTCTTCTTTTGCCCAGCCTAACCCTTAAGATTGCTTTGGGACCAAATGAGTTAGTGACTGTGAGAGTTCTATGACCTGTCAAACAAATGTATACCAGTTGTATTAATGTTCTATTGCTGTGGTAACAAATTACTGCAAATTAGAAGCTTAAACAATACACATTTATTTTCTTACAGTTCTGAAGGTCAAAAGTCTGACACAAGTCAATCTGGGCTATAAACAATGCAAGGATGGTGTTTCTTTCTGGAGACTTAGGGAGGAATTGGGTTTCTTGCCTTTTCCACATTCTAGAGGCTGCTAGCATTCCTTAGCTCACAGCCATTTCTTCCATCTTCGAAGTCAGCAACATTGAGTTTTTCTCTGACCCTTCTTCAGTCATCACAAATCTTTCTCTGACACCTAGGTAAAGTGTTCTGCTTTTAAAGCCTCATATAATTAGTTTGGGCCCAGCATGAAACTCCAGGATAATCTCCCCATTTCAAATTCCTTAACTTTGATAATATCTGCAGAGTCCCTTTTGGCATGTAAGGTAACATATTCAGAGCTCCTGGGATTAGAAGCTGAATATCTTTTGGGGGCTCATTATTCACCTTACCATACTTCATATTGTTCTTATTAAATCAAGTCTGAAATGATTAAACTTTCCCCAATAATTTCTCTCTTCTCCACCGAGATTCTTTCTTATAAGTATTTATGTATATGGATTGATCCATATAATCATCTATTTGTTCACAGATTGTATATTAGTCGATTTTCACACTGCTATAAAAATACTACCTGAGAATTGGTAATTTATAAAGCAATGAGATTTAATTGACTCACAGTTTTGCATGGCTTGGGAAGCCTCCGGAAACTTACAATCATGGCAGAAGGTGAAGGGAAAGCAAAGCACGTCTTACATGGTGGCAGGAGAGAGAGAGTGAAGGGGGAACTGCCACACACTTTTAAACCATCAGATCTCATGAGAACTCACTCACTATTGCAAGAACAGCATGGGGAAAACTGCCACCATGATCCAGTCACCTCCTACCAGATCCTTCCCTCAGTGTGTGGGAATTACAATTCGAGATGAGATTTGGATGGGGACATAGAGTCAAACCATATCAGGTTGCTTTATAATCACATCATTAAATCTAAATCTGCCTCACACATTCATTTCTTCTCTCCCAATTAGTAATCAAGTTCTTCTAGTACACAAAGTATACTCTATAGATACTCAAAAAATGCCAATAATTAAATATAGATTAATGAATGATATGGGAGGTTTTGAGAGACTAAAGGTCTGACAATTCACATACATGTGTTTTAGATAGGTCAGGAGCATATGAGCAGCATTGCAAGTGGTTAAGTGGGTGGTCTTTCCCACCAGACTGCCCGGGTTCAAGTCAAAGTTTTTTTTTCTAGTTAGTTGCATGATCATGGTCTACTTATGCCTCCATTTTCTTAGCTATGAAATAGTGTTAATAATAGTCACAACTTAGGGGTTTTATGAGGATATAAGAAATACAAGTAAAACTCTCACAGTCTTGATAAGAGTGGCTAGCACATAGTAGGCACTTGATAAGTATTGCTGGACAGTGGGCCCATAAATCCAGTCATATGTATTCTTGAGGCTTCATCTTACACTTATCTTTTCCACAGCTTTTTAATAATAGCCATTTATGAAAAAAAGACATGAGGATTTTCTCTTTGGATTAGAAAAATATTGACCATTTTTTTGCAATTTAAAATTACACACAGATTTGCAATTTCTACTTGTGAATTATTTGGCCCTGTTCCTACTCCTTTTTACTACTACTGCCTGACTTTGGGGCAATGCTTTGCTATTATCAGCTGTGGGGGTCCTTCCCGCAGACCCTGACCCAATGACGGATGAATAATGTACTCTGACATAGATATTATGCTTGTCAGTCCAGCTGAGAGTTGGGGCCGGCCGCTTACAGACTCCCAGGAGAGTGCTGTAAAAAGTTGCAACTACGACCCTGACTCACTGGCCTTCCCAGCATTTATTCAGCACACATTAAATGATAAAAGTCTCAAGTAAACATCACTAGAAGGTAATTACCACTGCTGACCCCCCAAGTAGAGAGCAATCACACACCCACAGATGGTTAAAGGTTAGTCTTAGGACCACATGAGTAAACAAGCTATTTAGATAGACTCTTCTACATTCCTGTTAATTACCCTTGCTATAGCTCAAAGAGGATTAGGCTGCCTTCAGCCATAACTCTATTCTGAGGCTTTTGCAAAAACCTTCTGGCCTTCCAATAAGGCTTATTTTACAATTTTTCCCACCATCGTGACTGAACCCCTACAATCAGCTGTAATCCAGAGTGGGCAGAAGGAAGGTAATAGGAAGAGAAACCCAAATCAGTCTTTTTGGGTTTCTACTGAATCAATTTGTTTGAAGCTTAAAACTGTTGGCCATCAGAAAGTCTTGCAATTATCTATGAATTTAATATTTTTGTATTTTTCTTGTCCTTAAAGTATAAGAGAGAATTCAAATTTGAGATTCCTATATTTTTTCCTATTCAATGACATAAAACCTAGACATTCACAACATCATGTTCCTGAGAGATTCTGAAACTCTTAGTTGTATGAGTCTGAAAGAAACCACTCTGTGTCTATCCATACAACACAATAAAACCTCCAGACCCTGGAGACTTTAAGCAGAAGTCATCCTCTTGAAAGGGAAGCTGTTATAATGCTTTTTCAAATCCATTTATGTGTAAGGGCTTTACAGACAAGCACACTATAGTTCTTGAGAAGTCCATAATTATTTCAATGATTTCAGTCCATTCCGAGCAGGCTGTATATTATCTTCCTTTTTGTGGGTGTGCTTTGGAAAGCTGAAGCTCTCTCTAGTAATGTCTGCTCTTCTGTTCTATTAACACCTCCCAATGCAGAAACATCTCAGGCCCTGCCAGGTTCTTCATTATAAATTCTAGTTTTCAACAGTTTATAAATCATCTATAAATATTCACTTGTGGTACGAAGAGACTTGACAGGATTTTCACAGTGATCATTTGAGGAATTATGGAACAAGAAATTATGTCTTACAGTTGACATGTTAGAAGAGAGAAGAAAAGAAGGGGATCATGTGGATAGAGCAAAATGAACTATTTGGAAATTCAGAAGTTTTAAACAATATTTTCACAGTATAAATTAATTGCTCATGATCTTATCAGAATCAAAGCAAATTCAAAAATTCTTTTGGTGAGATACCTACAAAAATAAATACTTGAGAAGGTATACATTTCCTATGTGTGTTATTTAATCCAATCTCTTTCATGTGGGGAGGGCACACTGTTTATGTTGATGTTGGAAGACCATTTGTAAGTCAAAACAGGGGAATTCTATTGTTGCAAACTGGCTGTCACCCAGTTTCTCCAACATATTTTGGCAAGACTTGTGATGGCATACACACAAAGAAGCCAAAACATGCACTGGAAGTAGCAAAAATAAGTAAGTAAAACACTGAACTTGCAAGAACAGAAAAATGACAAAGATCCCAAGAAACATTATTATGGTTCTTTCTCCACCAAACACTCATTTTATTTTTATGATGAATCCCGACACTGTTTTTAGGTTTTTGAAGAAAGAAATAAAGGTTAAAACAACTCTTTAAATGAATCTCTTTTTAGAAAAATACACAGAAGAAGGTGGAAAAAAAGAAGAGTCCTAACAACAACAAATGCAAACCAGTCAGTCCTCTGTGATTACTGATTTGGGTGGGAAGGAAGCCTTTGTGGGCAGCAAATGTGTTTTCTCTAATTAAATGAACAGAAGGAGGAACAGAAGAAACAGAAGAAAGGCCAGCTATGCTTACAGAGGCTCAGACAAAGCCATATACTTCAAAGGGCAAGATTTCTTTAAATGAGATAAAATAGCATTAAAACAAAATAAGACTTTTGAAAATAAAGATACAGTAGCACAACATCTTAGCACCTTGCAATTCTAATTCTCAGGGTACTGCAGACCACCCATTTCTCTGTGTGTGTGTGTGTGTATCTATGAGTTAAGTCACTGTGGTCATTTTGATGTTACAGAAAAGCAAACTAAAACGAAACATAGAGAATAGACATGCCAGAACAAAGGTCAGACATAATTTAGGGACAGACCTAACTGAGAACTGCAAAATTCGAGATGCTGGTTATTTCATTCTCCATTCATTTTGGCCATACAAACATATCTTTTTTACCTTGTTACTTATCTGCAGGTATAATCTAGTTTTCACTTTTTAAATAATATCTGGAACAGAATCATTAATATGTAGGACAGAAGAAATTGAAAGTCTATGACCTACCAATAAACAGCATTAAGAATACAAATAAACAAAACTTGAAAAACATAGCAGTATATGAAAATATTTTTAAAAATTTTCAATGGACATCTTTAAAGTAACATTTCCATCTGAAACCTACTCCTGCTTTAAATGTAAACACGAGGATTACCTTATCTCTAGGTATATTTAATAATTCCATTGTTTCATTCATTTATTCAGCAGATATTTATTGAATATTTCTTCATAGCAAATATTGTATTAAACACATAAAGTATGAAGATAAATATGGCTCAATTTCTGCCTTCAAAGGGCTTACAGGCAAGTGAGGAAGAAAGGTAAACATATCATGGCAATGCAGTATGATAAGGGCAATCATTACCCATTATTGCTGTTTGCAGTTACTGTTGGTGACAGACAACAAGGCATGCACTCTTTTTTCTGCTTCTAAGAAAGTGGTTCACAAATTTCAATATTCCTAAAAATCACCACAAGAGTTTAGTAAAAGATAAAACATTAAAATCCTGGATGCACACAGACACTATTAAATTCAAATTCAGTAGGTAGGGCTCTGTCAAGGTGATACTGCATCAGGTGGGCCACTTTGAGAGACACTGATACATGAGCAGTATGAGCACACATGATCCCTGAGTGATATGTGAAGAGAGCTAACTGCAGAAATTAAGGGCCAGTATTTAAGCAATGCATAACACTAGGAACCAAATGGCCCTTTATATTGCTTTTTATCTCCTAGACATCAAGAGCCAATGCAATTTTGAAGGAGAAAATTATCTTTGGAATCCCAAATTGGAATTCTGAGCATACTTTTCCATAGAAATATTATATGCTTAGTGGTTAAATTCAATGACTGCTGGTTATATTCTACAAGACTATTGGTTAGGCTTCTCAACTGTCTTATAGATTTCATGGATTTTGTTAGCCAAGCATGAAACCAAGCCAATTCTCTATAATTCAGTTTCTGTGAGGAAAGATTTTCTCAGGTGTGACAGTGCACCCTGTTGGAAATTGAACGTGATTTTTATCTCACTTTTGATAAGAGTGACATTGCTATGACATGGAAAATATTTCACTTTTATGCAGGGAACAAGTTTTTTTTTGTTTTTTTTTTTTTTTTTAATGTGTGGAAGGTATGGGCTCCTGAAGACAACCTATACACAGAACTTCAGCATATGAAATGACTGCTTCCCACTGAAAACAGTCAACTTTGATTGTCCAGAAAATGGGCTACAGTCAATATTTTGTTTTCTATGATTTAAAAGTGGAGGCTGTGGGATCCCAGTGGATGACTGCCTTTCCTGGGCAAACTATCACTGACTGATAGATTCTGGCCCTCATTAGCATTCATGTGCACTGAATGCCTACCCACAAGTCCTTATCAGTTTATAAAGGACAATTTCATAAACACCCTTAAACCTCACAAATAATAGACCTCACTGAATGTGTAATAGAGACAAGTGGTTAAAAGGTGGTTGATTGGAAAGTGCTGCCTTACCAGTCATGTAGTGAAAACTTTAATACCTATGATCTTGGGGTCAGATGTGGTACACAGAGCTGGAGGCAAAGAGATGTGGACATCACTATTACAAGAACACAAAAATAAATTTGAACTCCCACTTGTAGTGTCATGTGATCATTCAACAACTCAACTAACTATAGATTTTTTAAAAAAAGATTGCCTCAATCAGTTATTGAATTCTCTATTCTAAGCACCTTTATGTTTTTTGTTTTAAAGAAACTCATGAGAAAAATTAGGAAAAATGAACAAGTATGTATTTGACAAGGACTTTCTTAACTACTGGAAACAACCTCAGATCTGAGGTCTTCACCCTTGAAACATTTGGGTGTCCCTGGATTTCAGTCACAGAGTGGGGATGCCCTGTATGCATTAACCTTTTTCTCCATTCTGGCTGGGCTGCAAGATGGCATCTGCCAATTGAGGGATGCCAACGTCATGGCAGAGTAACTGTTACTCCATATGATTTTTAAAAATCTTGTCATTGAAGATTTTAATGTATATTCATTGATGAGAAGTTTCCCATCAGTGAATATATATTAAAAGGTAAAATTAATAAAAGTTCTCATTACTTCAGACTAGTGATTACAGAGGGCAAATTTCAGTAGGATTTCTTGTTCCTCGTTTATATGAAGGAGAAAGGGTAACAGGGCTTCAAATGAATGGCATAAGAATGAAAGGTCTACTAAATGACATTGAGCTCAAGTATGAGCAATCACTAATATAAATCCATCAGTGATAGTTTATGTCAAGAGGTTGCTTCATAAACCTAGTGGGTTTCTGTTGCTCAGAGGTATCGTTTACATTTCAGCCATCCAATAATTTAAAATTGTTCATTTCTTTGGATTCTCAAGAAAATCTATGATCAGAAACTTTTCCCCACAGGCATCTACTGTACAAATGAGTGAAGGAAAAATATGTGAATGAAATTTCAAATCACATCATAAATACAATAGTTGTATTTGGGTGATGCTGTGGGAGAGATTGTTCAACAATTTTACCATTTTGATATTCCTATGGAATATGTCACCATAATTTTTTAATGTCAACCTCTCTAATGCATATTTATCCCAGGAGAAAACTTCCAATTTTTGTTTTTTAGGCTAAATTCAGTGGAATGCAATTTACATTACATGGAGAAGACTTGGGAAAGGAAACTGTTAATTGAAAATAAGGATTTTTTTTTCAACAACTCAAGCTGGAGTCCAGAGATGGTATCACCAACTAAAAATAGAAAATCAAACTCATCCTCAACTTTTCCTGCTTCCTTATCTTTTAATTTCAATTGCTTACTGCTTATTTTGCTTTTTAAGTCTTTCTTTCATCTGACCCTTCATCACCATTTCTATGGTCTTTATTATCTCTTATTTAACTACAATCATCCCATATTCTTTCCTCACCCTTGTCTGGGCTCTATAGTTACTTTACTTAGTACTATTCTATCAAGATGTAATTCACACGCCATACCATTCATCCATGAAGCATGTACAAATCAGTGGTTTCTAGTATACTCACAGAGTTATGCAACCATCACCACAGTCCATTTAAGAACATTTCATCACTCCAAAAAGAAATCCTCTACCCTTTAGCAGTTACCCTCCATTTCTCCCCAGTTTCCTCCACAAGCCCTAAGCAATCACTAATCTACTTTCTGTTTCTATGTATTTGCCTATTCTGGACATTTCAGCTATATGGGACCATCCAATATGTGATCTTTTGTTACTGGAATTTTCCACTTAGCATAAACTTTTCTGAGTTCATCCAGGTTGTAGTATATATTTCATTCCTTTTTATCACTGAATACTATTTCTTTGCATTATATACCACATTTTACTCAACCATTTATCAGTTGATGAACACTTGGATTATCCAAGCTTTTGGCTACTATGAATAATGCTGCTATGAATATCTCATGTGCACCATTTTTGTGTGGACATGTTTTTATTTCTCTTAGGAGTGGAATTTCTGGGTCATATGGTAAGTCTATGTTCAATTGCTTGAGGAACTGCCAGACTATTTGACTGCTCCATTTAATTTTCCACCAGCAATCTATGAGGAATTCTCTACATTCCAGACATCACTTATTGTTTGTCTTTTTTATTATTGCCATACAAGTGGATGTGAAGTTGCATCGCATGGTTTTGATTTGCATTTCCCTGATGTCTAATGATGCTGTGTACTTTTTTATATGCTTATCAGACATTTGTATGTCTTCTTTAGGGAAATATCTACATCATTTGCCTATTTTTAATTAGGTTGTCTTTTTATTATTGAGTTATAAATGTTATTTGTATACTCTAGATACAAGTCCCTTATTAGATATACAATTTGTAAACATTTTCTCCTATTCTGAGGCTTGTTTGTCATTTTCATGATAATTTCCTTGACTCTTCACAAAAGGTTGAGATAAAATAATAAAATATCTAAGTGTTTAAACCATGAAATTATGACAGCAAAGCTGAAACGGTAGTGGCAATATGGAGGTGTGATTTGAAGACATAGCCTGAAAAACTCAGGTTAAAGAGTGAAGAACTTTTCCTGTATTTGGTAATTACACAAACAATAAAATATGTGTGCTTCACGTGTCTTCAAAATAAACAAGTGAAGTTTAGCAAAAGTGAAATGGAATAAGTTTGAGTAGGAGTTACATATTTCATATTTATGTACCTAGACTCCAGTTATTTACAAAGTACATTGTGAGACTACTCCAATAACAGCACTAGTACAATTAAATCCAAAATACAAAGTAAAAGACCAAATGTCACAAATAAAAGGAGACAGAAGCAGAAGAGCTATGTTACAATTTTCTAACTCAGGAAATCTATACCTCAGCTCTCAGCTTCTGGATCAAAATGAGGACCGCCAGCTTAACTCCCATACTCTGACAATAGAATAACCTATCAGCTTAGTAGGAGAAACTAAGTCCTTTCATCTCAGAACTTTCAGAGTAGCTCCCATTCTGGAGTTTTTTTTCTTTGTTCTCTATCAAGTTACAGCTTCTTAGTACATGTGAGAAAATTTTCTTAGGTCTCCACCAATAGAGATTCAAATAACTCATAAGTTTAAGATTTGTAGTATGGCTCTCCTCAACCTAAAAGGCATTTGGAAGCCCAAAAGAGTTTAGCCAAATTTCCTAGCATTCTTTGATGAAAAATGTAGCTGGCTGATACAGCACGACGTCCCAGAGAGAATGATTTTTTCACAAAACACCAATGAGAAAAGCAAGTGAAAAGTCTTAGTGTACACATTTTACAGATTGGAAAACTAATGCCCAGTCAATCAGTGTATCAACGAGCACATTGAAAAAGCATCAGAAACTCCTGCTCATGTCCCAAACCTGTCTTCTTGGTATTAGGCAGTTTATAACATGCTTAGCAATGTGGAGAGTTATTTTTCAGAAGATGGAAGTGTTTCCCTGTCTCCCCGCAAGATAGAATGAAAGTTAATGGGTTTAACAATTTCCAGCCAAAAAAAAAAAAAAAAAAAAGATTGGTTTAAATTGAGTAGGAAAGACCATATTTCAATGGGGAGGGTATCAGAGGACTGTATTTCTGTGCTTGGAAATCTTTTGAAATAAGAGCTCTTCTTATCTGTGTGCAGTAATGGAAATGGCATTGTAACTGCAGCAGAAGGGAGCTGGATTATAATGGACTCTCACAGTCCGTCTTATCTTCAGACCCTATAACTTAAATGCCATACCTTTATGGCAAAAATGATAGAGAACAACATTTACTTTCCATCCTTTCAAGAGCTATCTGAGTGTGCATCTTGACAAATTTCTGACAGCATCAAGAGTTCCATTTGGTCTACAATGAACAAGGAAAAAGCTACTCATGTACCCTCCCTAGAGTAAATTGTCTGGTTGGTTGATTTACTCATGAATGCCTTTGTTTGTGTTACTTATTTTTTGAATGTTTCCTCTGAACTTATCTGCAGCTAGAAATTGTTAGCACACAAGTTTAGCACACAAGTTTAGAATAAATGCAAATTTAACTGATGACCCTTTTTTTCCTTTACATTAGCTCAGTTTCCCCAAGAGCAGTGATGGGGTTCTTAATCAATTATAACCAATAATTCAAAAGTTCTCACTGAAAACTCACTCATGCTTGATGAGGCGATCATGGATATTAAATGTGTTATATTTCTATATTTTTTGTCTAGAGTTAATGTTGTAATTGGCAATTATGCATGCCTTTGATAATTAGTATTTATAAAATTCGAAAATATATTGCTTATAGTAAATCCTTGTGTGCCTGAACCTAGGGAATCTGGCCTTGGAGCTTGTACTCATACCCGTCATGCTCCACTACCTCTAAAGTATAAAAGTGACTATTTGTAATATGTGGTAAGTGTTATGATGAAGAGATGCATGGGGATCTATGGGAACTGACTGAGGCATGTGGGCAAGGCTTCATGAAGGCTGTGGCTCCTACTGGGAATAGAAGTGGTCAGGTAGGGTCTTGTGGTGGGGGTAGTGGTAGGCATTTGCTTATTCTAGGCCAAGGGAACTTAACAAACAAAAACACAGAAGAGAAATAAAGTCAAGTTTTATAGGAAACTACAAATATTTTTGTAAGATTTTGCACTGACAATGCAATGGATGAGGTGTGAGAAAGGTGGCCTCTGTTGGACATCAAGTAGAGTACAGGGTTTTGAATAAGAGAGATTTTGAATTTAGGTTCTCAGTCATACCAGACACATTTCAAATGTGCAATAACCGCATGTGGCTACTGGCTATTGTATTAGTACAGATAACAACATTTCCATCATTGCAGAATTCCATTGGCCAATGCTGTTCTAGACAGTACATAAATGTATCTCTTGTTCACAGCTAAATCTCTAGTATTAAGAACTGGGTCTGGCACATGTGAGTGATCACCAAATATTTATTGAATGAATAAAGGAAAAAACATCAGATTATTATATGAGCTGTCTATCAGCAGTCTTTACATAGAAACTCAATAGCATTTCTTTGTAATGGAACTTTGATGAAGGTATCCAGAACTTCTCCAAATAGGCAGTGATATAATGTGAGTGCATATCTCTTCAAACATGTACCAGGGTTTCTGAAGTGGAATGTGCACAGTCCTGGATGCTGATACATAGTCTCATCTCATCATAGCAGTTTTCCATGTCACCCCTACTGTTGATTCTTTACACAGACGCTAAGAGTTAAAACTGTCTGACACTGTGAGAAAACTTTCATCTCATTACTGCCTTGTTCCAGGCCCTATAAAGCCTTTGAGAGCCAGTCATATCAGTTGAAACTCTTAGCCTAATCAGAGACAACCTAACCTCTTCAATCTTTTATCAATATTCCTCCGCAGGTATGACATTCCAGTTAGGCGTGTCAATGTGAAAGCCACATCGATAATCATCTCCCAAAATATTTGTCTCAGGAGACCTGGGCAGACCCCTCAAATTGTCACAAGCTTGAAGAGACACGAAAAAAGACACTGCTTCAAGAAACATATCAAGCACATCCAAAGCTATCTCTTGCTCTGGCTTTTGACTCATGCTTTGTATGACATACTGTTTATTTGGAGTTCGACTTATGCAGATCTTTTTAAACACACCTGTGACTCTAATCCCAACATCTGACACCTAGAATGGTCCAACATCTATAGCCTGAGTGGCAGCCCAGCTCTAGGAAAGGACTGTCTCTACATCTGCATCACGTATTTCACTAATACTTTACCCCAACACAGTGTAAACATGTAGATAATCTGCTTTAGTGATGTATAGACACTGAGCTTCTTTATACTCCTTAGGCTATAGGAAAAGTGCATTTATCACTTCTTTAGTCTACTCATAGTTGTTGAGTGCCTACTATGTGTCATACATTCATGTGTCAAGATACGAAGATGGTCATGATGGATATGATACCTGCTATCCTGTAGCAAATATGAAACAATATCAAAACTACTCTGATAGCCTTACAGGGTGCTGTTGGAGCCAAATGGAAGCATACACTCTACCTCATATAAGGGAAGACCTTCATCCCTGAAGATTTGATGTTTAGGTTATGGACTAATGGGCTTACAAGACTTTATTGAAAAAGGAGAGGATGGTGGAAGATGGAATGTTTCTGAGAAAAGAAGCAGGAGTCAAGAGGTGAGAGGAATTCAGTGGAGGAATAAGAGTGTGGAGCAGAGTGAGGAAGTAGACAAACCCGAATTGTGAAGGGCTTTGTCAGCAATGTAAGGGTTTAGGCTATTCTCAGGCAACTGGAAGCCAATATATTTCAAACAGTATAGTGACATCATGATATATATGTTTGAAAAAGGTCAGCCTGCCTGCAGTGGGAGGCTTTGTAGTAATCCAAATAGTACCCAAGAGCTTCATCAGCTTTGACATTGATCGCTGTCCCTCTGACGGTTCTGAACATATATGTATTATTCCAGAGTCAGCTGTTAATCTGTACCCTTCACCCTGCTAAAGCAGATTTGTATGAATGGCGATTTCACTAGACGAGTGTCCCTGTCTCTACAGAAGTTTTGATAAGATGCTTAAGCATTCACGCGAATCACTTCTTTACAGTCTCCATAAACCCTAGATAGACTTTATAACCCAGCCCCACATGCCTCTCCCTCCCCTCAATTAAACTTCCAATTATGGCTCATTCTTATTCCAACACCAAAATCAAGCACTTTTTACTCTGCCATTATGCTGACTGATATGTAAAAATTGTTATTTGAGCACAGTTCTACCATTACAGGTGCCACCTGCACACTTAGAGTCCTAAAACCTTACTGGGGGATGCTTTTCCTGCTGTGCACACTGGCCAATGAGTGCTTGTATTTCATGCTGTCTCTTAGCTAAGATTTCACTCAGAAGGCTGCACTATCACTGAAGGGTCTTGGATGAAGATGACTCTTAAAACATTTTTATTTTTAAAATGTATATTTACCTCTGCAAAATATTTAATTAAAAATACCATGTGTCATCTCGACCTGAATTGCCCCATAGCCATCATGTATAACTGTGGGGTTTCCTGTGCACCAGGGGGTTTAGAACATTGTTATTTATTCCCAAGGTGGGATTCATGGATGTGCAACCAGTGCAGTCCCATAGTCCCCTGTACTGAAAGAGCCCTGGGCTCAGGGTTTAATCCTCTACAGCAGCCTTCTTGAAATGCTTAATAATTTTATTTCTGAACTTAATATTTTGTAAGTGAAGTCTATGGAAAAATGGAGCATGAGAGCCTTGGAGCCTCAGGTCGCATGGGTCCCTCCTCTGGCCAACTTCCTCCCTCCCTGGGATAGGTTCTCGCCTTACACTCCCCCACTTGTGGTGCTTGGAGTGCCAGACTGAAAGTGCTATGGGCCCATTCACTGGATGACTCCTGAGCCTTTGCTTGCCCCAGGTACTGAGCACATCTTGGCAACCTGGTCACAATCCTTTGGCAGTTGCCAGTCTATCTTCAGTTGGAACAGGAGGCCCATGGAAGGGGAGTTCTGCAGGAGGGGTGGCTCTCCCTGTGGGAGAGCACAACATAGCAAATAAAAACACTGCAACCAGTGTAGAGAGAGATCAAGGAAGAAAGGAAAATCTTTTTTACTTTTAGTACCTTCCATAGCACTTTTTTCTTGATTAGTGTCTATACATCACTAAATATAGAACAAAAGATTCTATATTTTTATTTTATGTTGGGCCCCGAAAATTATGTAGCCAGCCCTGTTTAACCCTCATCACAATCCTTTGAGGCTGGTATCTGGGGACTCATTTTACCAAGAGTCTAAGGCTCCAAAAGCAAAAAGATGAGTCCAGAGTCACAGAATTGTAAATGGTGGGGTTAAGATTCAAACCCAGAGTAAGCAGGCTCACAGCAGGCTCTAATACCTCCAGCCTTTCTTACTGTAACCTGCACTTCTTGTCTGTCAGAATATAGCCTGAGTTTCCTGGGATTTATATGTGTACAAATCAGAGGTGCCATCTTTGAGAGTTTCATGTCCTTGATGTCAGCTGATGTGGAGTTGTTTCTATGAGAAGAGTTCAAATAACAACAAAGAGGTCCTAAATCCTACATTTCATTCTCATTTTTGACACGTATTCTAATCTTCTGGTGCTTCTCCACAAAAATGCAGTTTTATATGAGAGATTTCAAGAGGGATCTTGCTCTTGAAATCTTTCATACAAAAGCTTCCTCTGGTCAGTAACTGAACTATACTTTACAGACTTCTTTCATTAAGGGCAGTTCTGAGAAAAACCACATCTGACTTTTTTTTTTTTTTTTTTTTTTTGCTAAAAATGGTGATGAAACTTACAACCATTATTTTTTGACTTACTTTTTGTTCAAATTTTCCCAAAGATTTACCTAATGAAGTCAGAAACACACAGGCCTGAGTTTCCACAGTGTTTCCGTGAATTTCAAATTCCTTTCTAAGTATTGAGCTTTTATGTCTCTACTTTTAAGGTGTACAAATCATGCACTTAAACACCACCACCATCAAAATCGAGAGAAATATAGATCCCTTAACTGAATAGTCCTTTAAAAAGACATCACAATTATGGGAAATAAACAAGCAATCATCTTCCAGATGTATATGTAAATAATTCTTAATACAATAAAACATTACCAAATAATACCTAGAAATCTAATATTCATCTATATTTATGGGGTTGTCTCTTACACATTAAATAGCAAAGCAAATCTTATTAACTGAATGGACAGAAATATTATATAATCTTTAAGAGTGAAAGTTATCTTGGGAGACATGAACATGGTCTTATCCTGGGTGAATTCAAAAATTATTTCCGTTTCCTCCTTCTGTCAGAGAATTTCAGATTGAAACTGTGGACAGGTGAGGATAGCCAAGATGCAGTTTTTAAAAAGAATTTATTAAAGATCTGAGACGGGGATTAGTGATACTTGTACCCCACTAAGTCAGCATAAAGTGTCAACAGCATAAAAGAAAGTGAACTTAAATTACATGAAAAGTTGGTTTGAGGCAAAATGAGAAGTGAACAGAATTTTCTTCTTTGTATCTTGCCAATTCTGCTTTCTCCCTTTTTCTGAATTCAATGATATTCTTCCTTTGCTTAAGGCCATCAGTGTCCTCATAAACTCCTGGAATCCCAAGGCTGGAAAGTCCTCTGAGCCTGTGTTTCTTCTCCCTCTCCTGGAGGCTGCAGGGGGAAGTAATGCCCTAGGCTTGCATCTAGTGGGAATGCAAATTCATCTACACAACAAACATTGACTGAGGTCCTACAATGTCCCTGGGTGCTTTGGATACAATAGAGTACATCTGAGTCATCTTTGC
Organism: Homo sapiens; assembly: GCF_000001405.40. Lineage (NCBI taxonomy): Eukaryota > Metazoa > Chordata > Mammalia > Primates > Hominidae > Homo > Homo sapiens. The sequence continues at coordinate 90,298,327 of NC_000008.11, read as the reverse complement.
TCTCAATAAATTTACATCTCTAGCAAAGAGGGACTGTCGAGTAAATAAGCAACTAAAATATAGTGCGAAAACTGAAATGGCAGCACATTTTTGTGGTGTACATTGTAGGGCATCTGATCCAGTCTCCAGGGTCAGGTGAGGCTCTGCATAGGGGTCAATATCTAAACTAGACCCAAAGGACAAGTGGGAGAGAAACAGGAGAAGGGAGAACCGCATTCTAGATAGACGGTGTGGCTTGTGTAAACACCCAAAGGTGACAGAAAAGCTGGAGCCTTTGTGGTCTGCACCCAGTTCAGTGGGGCTGGGGCAGGAGGAATGGGGCAAGGGGTCAGGAGTTAGATATGGCACTGAAGAGGTCCTCAGGGGCTAGATCCTAAAGGGCCTTGTATGTCATGCCAGGGAGTTAGATACTAAAATGTTTTAAGTAAGAATGTAATAAAATTAGATCTTTAGGGATCTCTTTGGGTACAAAGCACATAATAAAATGGAGTTGGGAGAAACTAGAAATCCACTAGCCTAATTGAGAGGTCATAGTGAAGGTAATGGTAGATAAATGAACGTTCTTGGGAAATAGGAGGCAGAATCAACAAAACAGAGTGATGGATTGGGTGCAGTGATTATTGTGGGGCAAACTAAGGAATAATGAGAAACGAGGGAAGATGCCCAGGTTGCTGTCTTGGGCCACTTGAAGGGCCATTGTGCCACTGCCTGCAGTGGGGAACTCCAGTGGAGAAGTTGTTTTGTGAACATTTCTGCAGGTGACTACTGAGAACCAAAGAAACTTGCTCAGTGCTTTGAGTAAATGATGTGACACCAAAGCACATTAGGATATTCAAGGCATTTCTCCTTTTTGAAGATATGGGATCTCTTCACTACATGGCCTTTTACAATTCTCTTCTGCTGCTGTCAAAAACTGTCCTCAGAATGGTATCTAACAAGCATATTCATCCTAACAAAAGTAGAGCCTTATGAAGACTCTGCATAGTGACAAGACAGCAAATATAGTTCAATCCTTATGTGTAATTAAGGGGAGTCATTTCGTAGCTGGCTTTCCTCTCTTGATATATGGCACATCCAAGGAAGAACAGTGATCTGCATTGGCTGTGTCCCCACCCAGATCTCATCTTGAGTTGTAGTTTCCATAATCCCCACATGTCCTGGGAGGGACCTGGTGGGAGGTAATCGAATCATGGGGGCTGTTACCCTCAGGCTATTCTCGTGATAGTGAGTGAGTTCTCACGAGATCTGTTGGTTTTATAAGTGTCTGGCATCTTCCCTGCTGGCACTCATTTTCTCTCCTGCTGCCCTGTGAAGAGGTGCCTTCCACCATGATTGTAAGTTTCCTGAGGCCTCCCCAGCCATGCAGATCTGTGAGTCAATTAAACCTCATTTCTTTATAAATTACCCTGTCTTGGATATTTCTTCATAGCAGCATGAGAATGGACTAATACAAACAAGTCTAACACACATACCACGGTACAGATTTCTTCTCTAATCTGCCAACTGAGAGAGATTCCCTCTTCTGGTCTCAGCCTGCTTTGGGGATCTTTTAAAATATAAATAAGGTGGAAATATCTAGACATCAAGAGATCTGGAGTTCAATGAGTTATTCTGACACTTTAAAAGTTCCATTTCGAAACACTTTCAAGGGTTAACACATGGGTGTCAGCTGTATGTGGGTAATAATTATTTTCTTTTATGTCAGAGATGACATGGATGTCCACCTTCCCAGGGCAGGGCCAAAAACATTTTCCCTAGAACTTATGGAGGTGTTTTTGACTCCTTTTATCACCTCTTTCAGAACTGAAATGGCTGTTGGTGGTAACATCCAGTTGTAACTCCATCACTTCTCCATTTGTAGTATAATTTTATGCTTGCTTGATCATTTGATTAATTTTAAATAACTGTAAGCTTCATTTGGGCAGGGAAGGTGTTGATTTGGTTCTCCCAGAGCTGCCTCATAGCCGATGCTCAGTAAACATTGCATGTGTGTATGAATGGATGGGTATCGATTCTCTCTCTCTCTGCTACAGTGTGGTGGCCTGAAGAGTTCTAACAGATACCCCACACACATAGACACTTTTTACATCTGCAGTGAAAAGAACATCTCTCAAATTGACTGGCCCTGGACCATATTTCATACCTGCTTCCTTCCCCAAGAAAACTTGAAGTTATCTGTTTCATAAGCTCCACAGTTACGTTTCCTTTTCACTTAACATTTTGCATTCTTAACCCTTACCTTTAATATTTACAATATTTTAATCCAAGGAAATGATCTTAAGCGTAAGAACTTTAGAACCATGAAAACCTTGTTCAATATGGGAACATTCTGAAAGCTTATTAAATAATCCTACAGGTAACCACCCCCTCTGCCTAAATACAGAACTCCTCCTCCAAAAACCTCTAGAAAGTCTTTATGAACTCATTGTGACAGATTTAGATATGTGACATGCTTTTAGTTTCTTGGAGGAACCAACATGTATTAAATATATATAATATGTCAATCTTTTGTGTAGTTTATTTAATTATAACATCCTATAAGAAAGATAATATCCACTAAATTTTTAAATGAGGAACTTAATTCCAGAAGTTAAGAACTTGCCCAAACTTAAGTGTTAAGGAGAACTTAAATTCAATCTTGACTTTATGTAATTCACAAATTTCAAATTTTTCTGTCCAGATTTATATCCTCCTGGGAAGAAAAGAAGTTCAGCCATGAAGTCCTGAAGTTTGAAGGAAGAAAATAAATCACATTCTCTTAGAAATGACTTTTTATAGGAGAATATGAAAGTAGGTAAAGCAATGTGATAATCCAAGATGCCCTCCAACAGTCCAGTAAGTGTGAAGAGAAAAAGATAGCCTTAAAACACCATCCACCCTGTTCAGGGAGCCAGTGAATGAAGACAGACACCAACTACAAATTGCAAAATCTCTCACCCCTCATCATCAACTACCTTTCTCTCTTTTGTCAGTTACTTTTCCTTGATGACTCAATTGTAGATTTCAAGTATGAGTACACTGGACAGACCATCTCTCCCCATTTTCCCTGGTGCCTAACACATCCCTAAGACACAGTAGATGGGAGCCAATAAAAACAACCCTAATCTTGCACTGGGGGAAATTTCCTCCTAGCAGGAGCTGGAGATTGACTTTAAAACTGACAGCTATGATAACCTCTGGCATTCTTACTTTCACTAGACTGTCTGAAAACACTTTTTTTTCAACACTGTTAATACAGTAGCTCTTTATTGACAGGTACGCTGGTGGTTCTTTTCTTTTTTAATTGTGACTTTAATTTAACTGTGAGTTTAATTTAGATGAAACACAGTATTTCCAGTAGCCTCTTACCAATAAATTTTTTTTTAAAAATCAATAAACATAGCTTTATATGGATTAAATCATTCCTGATCATGTGTGCACTATTTTTAACTGCCAGCTCTAGAGAATGAACTTGACTGAGGAGATCTGTAGATAGACTATGATTCTTTTCAATGTTTCTTACAGCCAATTGTTCAAAAAATCAGGAAAATCTTTAATTTACATCTGTGTTAGTGGTTAATTATAGCAAATATGAAATTAGTCTCTTAGCCCAAAGTTGAGCCTCTCATTGCATAAACTGAATAGGAAAAAAAAAGTCCTCTTTTTCCAATAGAAATAGATCAATTTTTAACACCAAGGGTCTTCATTGCCTTCTTTTTGAAATGTTGAAGGTAAAGCCTCAATTCTTAATTGTGCTTTGTACTTTTTTCTCTTTCTCAGCTGTACAGCTGAAAGTCTAACTGAGAACAGGCAGCCCAGAAAGCACAAGTAGTACTTGAAGGAGGCACATGCGGGCCTAGTTTTCATTCCCAGCCATGCACCACCATCTCTTTAGAATTCCTGCTTGAAGACAAAATAAAAGGCTGCTGCATACAGGTAGAAGAAAAAAGAGGAAGGTTGAGTTTGCTCATTGTTGCTGTAAGAATTTCTTCATCTGATTTATGAAACTTTAGACACCAGTCATAATTGACTGACTAGAGAGGGTCTTCTTCCGTAGTCACTATTGTCTTAACTGGCATTATCATCAATTTCAGCTTCATTAAAGTTTTTAGAAGATCTGCATTGTATATTTTAATCACTGCATATGTATATTTTTCTTTTATCACAAATAACAAATCAATATGTATGTTTTAATCCAGTATACAGAGCTTCACAATTTAATTTTGTATTATTATGCTTCTAATCTTTCAATTTTTTTTATTTTCTATGGAACAGTTACATTTAGACTTAGAGGAAAGGGAGGAGAGGGGTATAGAGAGAAGGGAAGTGTCTCTCACAAAAACACAAATAGAGTTAAGAAGGAAGGTGAGTAACTTAAGAGAAACTATGACTTATACACCAATGGCAGCTCAATTTAATAACCAGAGTTCACCCCCATGATAGCTTCTGACACATGAAGGATGGAGGACTCTACTATTACTGGAAAAGTTTAGGGAAAAGGTTCAGGATACATTGGCAAAAATAAACTGATAATTGAGAAAATTTTGCTTTTCTAAAACACATCAGAAAATCCCCACCAGAAGAAGAAGAAGGAAAAACAGGAGAAGGTAGAAGACAAAGAAGAATGACACAAAATAAGGAAGTTTATATTTATTAATACTCTTTCTCTTCATGTCCTGATACCTTTTCATTCATGTGCTTACTCTGGGGCTCAATTCCCATAGGTTTAATCCTTATTCAGACATTCCTGGCAAAGAAAATGCAAAGTCTCTAAAACAGGAAACTGGCTTCATTTTCAAAAAACAGCAGAGAGACCAATGTGGATGGACAGAGTAAGGAGTGGAGCAAAGCAGATGGTGTCAAGGAGGGAAAAAGGCTGGGCTCTGGAAGCTGAAATGGTAACTGTCGTTCATTGCAAGTGTTTGATTAGAAATGCAACTTGATTTGATCTGCATTTTAAGGTGTCCACTCTGGCTTCTGTATTAAGAATAGATTAAAGGAGGCAAGTTGGAGACAGAACACTTCATGTATGAACAAAAACTTGAAGTACAGAAATATTATCCATGTGGATATCTTGAGAAAGAGTATTCCAAGCAGAGGGAAGAGCAGGTGCAAAGGACTCAAGGCAGGAGGATGTTTGGTGTGTTCAGGGAATAGTTAGGAAGCCAGTGTGAAAGGAGCGAAGAGAATGGGGGGAATATGGAGATGGATATTAAAGGCGATGTGGATCAGGATAATGTAGGGCCACGTGGGCCATGGAAAGGGCTTTGGTTTTCACTGAGGTTGAAATGGGGACTATTGCTATGTTTTTAAGAGAGGTTTCAGATGATCTGGTTTAGGATTCAATAGAATCACTCTGGTTGCTGTATTGAACTCAGACTGTAGGTAAACAATTAAAAGCAGTTAGATAGTAGTAGTGGCTCAGCCAAGAATGTGAGCAGTGGAGTCAGTGGGAAATAATTAGATTATGGATCTATTTTGAAGGTAAATGTGATATAAGAAAAAAATAACTCGCAAGTTTTTTGTTGATTTAATTTTGGCCTGAACGTTGGAAGAATGAAGTTATCACCTGAGATGGAGGCTGCGCATTGAGATACTAAGTTTAAGATGCCTGTTAAACATCTAGTGAAGACGTTTAGCAGGCAGTTGGCTATGTAAGTCTGGGTATGTGGAAAGAGATACTAGAGATGTAATTACTAATTTGAGAGTCATTTTTATAGAGGTAATTTAAATCCATGAGACTAAATGAGATCATCAAGGGAATGATTTTATATAGAAAAGAAAAGGGAATCTTAAACTGCAACATCCTGGGATATTCAACACTATGAGGTTGAAGAGGAGAGGATTTGGCCACAAGAGAGACAGAGAAGAAATGATGAAGGCAAGAGGAAAACCATAAGGGTGTGCTATCATCGAGCCAGTTATAGAGAGAGTAGTGATATGGAGACTGAGAGTTGAACATTAGATTTATCTGTGACTTTGACAAGAGAAATTTTTTGTGGAATGGTAGAGGTGAAAACCTAGTGGGAAAGAGTTTAAAAGGCAATGAGAAGAGAAGAATCAGATACAATCTGAATTGGAGGAATTTGCTGCAAAATGGGGCCAAGAAATTAATGTGGTATTGAGGAATAGAAATGGAATCAAAATACAATGTTTCGTTTTTATTTTTTAAGATGGGAAGAATGCCATAACATTTATATGTTAATGTGGATGATTGATCCAGTGGACAGTGAAACATTGCTAATGTAAGAGAGAAAAGGGAGAATTGCTGGAACAATGCTCTTAATTGGTCATGAAGGATAGGATCTGGTCACAAGTGGAAATATTTGCTTTAGAGGAGTATAGATAATCCATTTCATGTAACTGGCATGAAAGCAAAGGATCTTGGTATAAATGCTGATAGTTGGCCAGAGATGGCAACGGAAGTCTATAGAAGTTCTTTTCTAATTGTTTCAATTTTCTTAGTGAAGCAAAGTTTCCCAACCGAGAATGGGGCTGGGAGAGGAAATTTTGGGAATATGAGGAGAGAGAAATAAGTCATCTAGGAGAGTATGTGAGTGTATGGTTACCTATCAGAACTTCAGTCTCACTTAGGGTTCATTCATGAATGTATAGTGAGTCAACATGGTGGTATGGTGGACAGTTGAATTATTCAGGGTCGTTGTTTTAACAAGTGAGATAAAGCAAGAGAAGTGTAAGAAAGGATATACATGAGAAGTGTTTGAAGAATTAAGCCTGTAAGGAATAGTGGAACACAGCAAAGGGACGAGCACAGTCAAAAGTGGTTAATCAATTTTGGACTGAAGGATTGTTATGTTGAGAAAACCATGGAATGAACTATACAAGTTGGAGATGTGGTCAGAGACACTGGGGTGCAGGAAGTTGAAATTATGGAGGATTGCAGTTATTGGTAATGACAAGATCTCATTTACGACTTTGAAAGTGAATGACTGTAGTTGCTGTCATCCAAGATGAGGAAGATTATGGAAGGGCCAAGTTTGGGGAAGATGGTCAGGAGTTTTATTTTGGACACATTCATTTTGAGATATCTACTGGAAACCCCAGTGATGATACAAATCTGGTTTTCAGAGAAAAGTTGTAAATTTCAGCATAATCAACATACAATAAGATAGTATTTGAAGCCATGAGACTGGATCAGCTCACATAAAATTACTATAAAAGAAGTTAGTATCTGCGATTTCCCCACGGAGTGTGGTGCTTTCCAGTGGCCTTAGAGTCAAAGCATCCAAGTTCAAGTCCTGGCTCCCTCCTACCTGTAAAACCTTGGATAAGTTTTTAGCTTCATGTGACATAATAAGACAATATCTATCTTACAGGGGATGTGTGAGAGTTGAATAAGGTAGTCTATATGACGAACAGTAAATTACATGGCATGTCATGAGTTCTTAATAAGCATTGGAAAATATGATAATAACCAAGATACAGACAAGATTCGGGGGAATATAAAATAACACCATCAGTTTTCCTAGATAAGGTGGAAAGGTTTGTACAAATGAGATAACATTTGAGGTGAGTCTTGGCACAGGATATGGAGTTTTGCAGAAGAAGATGATTAAAGGAGATGGAAAGAACAATCAAGGAAAATAACAAGTGCTGATTTTCAGAGCAGGATGAGAAAAGGTCTGGAATCCACAGTGCAGACATAAATTAATCTGTGACTAGCACCCATGAACAGACCCCCTTTCAGGGAACCAAAATGTGTCTAATAAGAAATACTCTTTAAATGCTCCTCTTCTGAGCAAACAGGCAGCTTCCTTGAAGCGTGGGATGCTTCGGAAAGGTAGGCTTTAGTAATCTTGTTTGTTTGTTTGTTTGTTTGTTTTTGAGACTGAGTCTCTTACTCTCGCCCAGGCTGGAGTGCAGTGGCGTGATCTCAGCTCACTGTAACCTCCGCCTCCTGGGTTCAAGCAATTCTCATGTCTTGGCCTCCCAAGTAGCTAGGACTATAGGCATGCACCATCATCTATTTTTAGTAGAGATGGGGTTTTTCCATGTTGGCCAGGTTGGTCTCGAACTCCTGACCTCAGATGATCTGCCCACCTCGGCCTTTCAAAGTGCTGGGATCATAGGCGTGAGCCACAGCACCCGGCCAGCTTTAATAATCTGATAAGTTTACACTTAGAGCTCTTAAAAATACAAGTTGGGTATTTTCTTTAGATTATGATGTTGCTTTCTAAATGTTTAAATATATATACAATTCTGCAACATTTAATATTCAAACCCTCATAGTATGGAACAAATTTCAATACAGGAAAATGGAACTCTGGACTGTGTATCAGAAGTCAGAATTATTAAAATGACCTATTTTTAACATCTGAATCCATTAATGGGAGATGTTTTGCATGAATATTACAACATGCCTGTCTCTCTGGTACTTATTGACATTTAATGAATAAAGGAAATTGAACTTTTTAATTGTGAGACTCTCTTGAGGCTACTGGGCATTAAAGTGTATCTAAAGTGTTCGTTTACTTATATTTCTTCATGAGCCAGATATGTGAGCTAAAAATAAAACCCTCTGGGATGAAAAAAAAATGTTGCCATTGAAAAGGCCTCTCTAAGTCAATTTGGAAACCTCAGTCATAAAATGCTATAAAGGGGTTTTCAGCAAGTCCCTGGTTGACGGTGAAAGCTACACATTTTTAGAGACTTTTTAAAAAAAAAATTATGCTTGTCAATAAACTGAGTATATGATAACACAGAAGTGGCATCATTCAAGAGCTGGAAGACCGGTATAGGAATCAGTCACATCTGAACACAAAGACAGCTATGAAACAGGAGTTCTAAAAGTCCCCTTGTGCCTCCAACGCCTCCTTTCCTCACTGGCCTGGAGGTTACTGAGGGCAACTGCAAGTGAGCCTTATGGTGGTGTCAGACATAAAACCACTAACAACTCTTAGCTCCAGAGATTGAAACTGGAGACTAGAACGGCCTGGAAAGCACTTAAAATGAGCAGACTTTCAATGGTGGACTCCAGGGTGAAGGAATAGACTGAGAGGGAGTGGTTCTAAGGCAGGGCAAAATCTGGGAGGACATACCTGGGTGAAGAGCCCTGAGGGTGGTTCTAAGCCCATGGGGAGATGTATCAGACTGCACGGGATACCTGTCAGAGGATCATGTCCCTACTCTGCTAGGTTAACTAGGGTGACCCTGGCCAACCAATCAACTCTGGGCATCTTATCTGACCTTATCATGAACTGTTTTTCCATCCATAAAATGGAAGTGGTAAAATCTGCCTGACCTGTGTGGTGGAGAACATTGTGTGAATAAACACGTTAATATAAACTTACAAACCTAAGGCTTTTCTCAGGAAGTATGCTACATGAATTCAAGGAATGAATAAAGTTAATTATTATTGCAAATTGAGTTATAGTTACCTAAAAGATTGCAATCATTTAGCAGTTAATCTTTATCTTGTGTAAAGCGCCAAGAAGCTCTCTATTTTCTAGGGGTAACAATTGCCTTTGGTCAATGAGATAATACATTTTGTTTAATTTTGTGCATTAAGAGAAGCTTAAGAATAATATTTCAATATGTCTGTTGAGTAATCAAATAAATAAACTATACAAAAATGTTTTAAAAGCTAAAAAGCACTATAAGCAAATAAGATATTACTATCGTTTAGTGCTATTTTAAATCATTTATCCTGCCACTGGAAAAAAATTTTTAAGTATACAGAAGCAAACTTGCAAAATCCAAGAATTAAGCTACACTGCATACCTGTTTAAGAAATGATATAAAACTAGATAAAAGTGTCTGCTTGTTACAATTCTATTGTAAATGGAATATATTTTCAGAACATTCATTTAAGCAAATATAACATAATTTTAATGTAATTTTTGTTTTTTATTTAAATTCACATTTAAAAATGTTCCATCTTTTGATTTTAAATACATTTCATTTTCCAGAAAAGTTCATTCATATCCTGAGGTCATAGGCAAGAGCTAGGTTAGAGCTGCCATCTCCTATAATCACAAGATAAAAGATAAAGGGAAGTTCCATTTTCTTCAGCCCATTTAACTAGGAAAAGTTGAAAACTGAAAAGCAAGACTGGAATATGTCAATAGACTAAACGTTCAGGCATCTCAGAAACTACTTGAATTTAATAGGCCATGAGAGTCATTTTGTGTCTGTGAAAAAGTTACTCTATGTTCTGGAAGCATACTCCCAAGCCAGCAATCCAGATATTGTGCACCATTATCACCACATTCCCTCTTTCTGAGTAAGCCAACATTATTTCCCTTCAGACTCCTAGATGAACTTTTCTGTAGCCTAAAAACTTTCCCTAAGTGAAATATGTTGACAGTGCAGCAAGGTGAACTCCCCAATGTCAAAGTAGCAGGACAATCAAAATGTTTTCCCACATTGTTGGGAAAACATGTGACTGAAGCGCATTGTGCAGCATTGGATGATCTCCATAATGCAACCAGGACAAAATCTCAGAGAGCCTGAAACCTCCAGGTCAAGAGCTACAGTCACCCTCCTATGTAAACCACCCAGGGTACCATTTGTAGGATGGTTAGCCCGCAGATCACTGAGCAAATTCCTAGATGTTCAGGTCTAGCTCAACTTCAATGACCTCTTTGAAGAATCAAGGTCTTGAATAGAAGGGAGAATTCCCACACCAAAGCCCAGTCAGATCATCATAATGTTTCTGCAGTCCTCACTGATTCTGATGGGTGCTAGGTTTCCTCTAGTAACTCTGAAGGATAAGGAGCAACTGCAAAGTTCTGAGCAGAGATGAGGTCATTCCAGTCACAACCTGATATAACACCCTACATTTGGCAAAGTAAATGTCCAAACCTACTGAAAATCTGGAAGATCTTTAGGGACTCAAACTCCATAATCTTCATAAGAGGTCCATTATGATACAATTTTCCTCTTGGTGATCAGGAAACCTAGATAATTTCTTAGTGAAATCATCTACTCTTTAAAGTCTGTTCGTCCTTATTTTAGTTGCTGCTGACAAGGAAAGCTGTTTTAATTTTTTTAATTAAAATATTTATAAATTAAAAGTAATCTCTCACCTTTTTCCTCCCTTTGAAAAGCAAAATAAAATAGGCAAAACAACATAAATAAGTGAAAAACTAATTACTTTGATACTTCCTTATGGGACCTAGTTTTCCTCCCTCTAATTCTTGTCAAAAAAGAAAATGACTATGTAGTCAGCCATGTTTTTAAAATAGTATTTGACACTGTAGTCCTTTGTTGGAAGCTTCTGGTGCATAGTAACAAATTAAAGGCTCTAAGGAGACCAGCCATAGATAAACAACAAAACCTGAAAACATATATTCTAAAAATGATTGTTTCACATCACTGTTTAATATATAAAGAACAGCGAAATATGCATAGGAGTTATTAGATCAGTAAAGCAATAGGCGAGGGCATGATATTGTTCAAAACCTGCTAATTGAAAGGCAAAATTGATGGGAGATTTCAGAATCAGACTGCCCAGAATCTTGACAATGTTTTAAGATACTGGGTTTCTTTCTCTTAAGCAGTAAGTAAACTTGATAATATTATAGAGATTCTTCTAGGAATGGGAATCTTTGTTTATTCCTTCAGAATCAATTTTACTATGACATAGCTTAGTGCATTTCAGCACCATAGCCACTGTTTCTTATGTACAGCTCTGTGCACACATAGAAATTGGCTGGTGTTGAAAACTATTAAACCAGTGTGAATTTTTTTTCTGCTATAAATTAAGCTCACCTGAGCTGTTCTGCCATTCTAGCCAAATGTAATGGGGAAGATGGATGCCATCTCATGAAAGAGGATGGTATAATGACTGCAAGTTCCATAAAAGCAAGAGGGCAGGTAGGAACCTCACTTCTACCATCTCTACCTCCCAATGACACTTGACCCTGATTCCTACACCAGGAAAAAAGGGAGGGAGGCAAATTTTAGACCAATGGCTGCACTGTTCTAGCCTTGAGAGAAAAGATGTCTGGGTGGAGTTGGAGGGAGGAGTTCAAATCAGAGGAGGCTTTGGGGTTGCTGGAAGGATACTCTTCACAAGGTGTCTCTACAGTAGCCTGGGGTGGGCTCTAGAGTTTGACAAGCGGCATCACATGAGTTTTGGCAGCTCTCCCAGCCCACCCAGTTTTCCCTTGTAGGTCAGAAGGATCACTGGATTTTCCAAGCAGCTCCAGTGGCTTACAGAAATCACTAGGGTCTCACTGGGATATTTGACAGAGGGGATTGGAGGGGTGCATAGAAAGTGACCCTCCAGCCAAAGGTTCCTACCCTAGACAGTGACAGGGACAAGAGGCAGAGAAACTCTGGGCAGAAGAGGCCAGGTCCCTGGTAAGGGCCCCACCCTCAAGCCTGGAACCATGGCCCAAAGTGAGCATATACAACCCTATTTTCCTGCTCGAATGTTGCCTTTTCCAAAACCACCTATGGCCTGCCCTGCCCCCATCCTGTGCCCATAAAAACCCCAGGCACCACTAGCAGAGAGAGGAGAAAAGGAGAAGCAGCTGGATGTTGGAGACTATGGTTGGACATCAGACAGAAGCAGCTTGACTTCAGAGGGTTGGCTTGAGAGTGTAGCTTTGGATGGACTCCAGGGGAAGATTACCTGTAGTCCCCAGTCAGACTCCAGAGGAAGAATATCTTCCCACTCCATCCCCTTTTCAGCTCCCCATCCCATGGAGAGTGACTTTCGTTGGCAATAAAATCCCCTGTGTTTACCATCTGCAATTCATTCGTGTGACCTCATTCCTCCTGGATGCTAGACAAGAACTCTGGTGCAGGTGCAAAAGGCTGTCACACTGACCCTCCACTGAACTGTTAACACTTAAGCTGTCCACTGATGGCAACGCTAAAAGAGCACTGACTGTAACACTCCTTCTGGGGCTTCAGGGGTCATGGGCAACCCTCTAGATGCTGCTGCCAGGCTGGTATGGAGTTCATTCCTGCTGGCTCCCAGAAGCACTCACCATGGGTCCTGCACCCACTCACCTGCATGCTCCCTCCCACAAGGAGTTGAGCACAGCAGGTTTGAGTGAGTGAGTGGAGTTCATCCCCGGCCAGTGCTGGTGCACTCCAATTCCTACCCATGAAGGGATGAGGGAAATTATCGTGCTTCACCAGGGACTAGATAAAAGCCTCATGCAGATCTGAGCCATTGTTACTGAAATGCCAGGGTTTTGTCCTGCTGCTCTCAGCACAGAATGCCAATCAGTGAATCGATGAGTATGGCCTTTTTTTCACCCATAATGTGAGGAATAGGGCCTTAAAACTTCAGGAGGACTAAGGGGGAATAAGTGACAAGGCATTTGTGGATGCTTGAGAGAGAGAGAAAGGTTTTAATGTATCTTCTTTCCCAGCTTGAACTTTAAACAGTTTTTCACTGGCAAATAAAAGTTCGAGAGGTTTGGGGGTTCAAATGCCCAGATGCATTTTGGATTTACTTCACATTTATCTTTCTTGGGAAGTGACACATTGATGCTCCCTAGGAGCCCTGAAGCTGATGGAAAATTGAGGTCACAGAGTAAGACTGTGAAGATAGAGGGAAAGGAACTTAACCTTCAGTGTTCTCAAGCAAAAACACAAAATGTGGAAAGTTCAGCCTTTGAGCTGAAGAAAATATTCTCAAAAGCTCAGGCCATTTCCCTACCTTCCTTGAAGGCATCCTCATTCATCTTGCTTTTGTTTTCCTTACCAAATGCTATTTCCTTTGATCAACTAACAATGTGTACTTGGCTATTACTCATCCAAGGTTGCAAGGAAAAGATTCCCATGTCTATTGAAGAAAAATATCTATGGGAATCCATAAATTTTTATAGAAAATATGTCCAGTTACCTTATCCGTGAGTTTTGGGGGCAAAAGTTCAGATTCTTACAACTATCAATTGAAAATATTTTTTTTGTTTTGCATCAAATTGGCTATTAGAAAACACATAATTCCTACTGGAGAAGATTTTGTGTTGCAAGTTATCATGGAGGCAAACAGGACTAGAGTGTGCTGCTTATGGGGATTATATCCCTGAAGCCCAGTCCTCTTTAAGACAATAATGGTCTCTATCTAGTAAGCAGTGACATCCTTCAGTACATCTTTGAAGCAGGATATTTCCCTGACCCCTTCATGTGTGGGAACTGGAGTGCCCAGGCACCAGCAGGGGCAAACTCCACTCCCTTGCTGCTCCACCCTTCATGGGATAGGGAGCTCAGGTGAGTGGGTGCAGGAGCTAGGGTGAGTGCTTTTGGATGCTGGCAAGAGCAAACTCCATACTGGCCCCACAGCAGCATCCAGGGAAGGGTGCCCATGACCCCGAAGCCCCAGAGGAAGTGTTACAGTGCCCTTTTAGCTTTGCCATCTGTGGACAACTTCAGTGTTAACAGCTCAGTGGAGGGTCAGCGTGACAGCCTTTTGCACCCACACTAATGGCACCTGAGTTTTTGCTCAGCGTCCAGGAGGAATGAGATCACATGAACAAATTGAAGGTGGTAAATGTGAGGGATTTTTATTGCCAATGAAAATGGCTCTCGGCAGGAAGGGGAGCTGAAAAAGGGACAGATCAGGAAGGTAATCTTCCCTGGAAGATTAAGTGAAGCTACACAGTTAAGCTGTCCCTCTGAAGTCAAGCTGAATCTCTCCAACATCCAACCATAGGCTGACATCCAGCTGCTTCTCCTCTCTTTGCCAGTGGAGCCTGGGGTTTTTATGGGCACAGGATGGGAGGCAGGGCAGGCCATGGGTGGTTTTGGAAAAGGCAACATTTGAGCGAGAAAACAGGGATGTAAGTTCTCACTTTGGGCCGTGGTATCAGGCTTTTGGACTTGAGGGTAGGGCCCTCACCAGGGAATTTCTGCCCAGAATTTCCCTGCCTTCTGTCCCTATCATCTTGATATAATCTAATTTTTTGTCATAAATCAGATACTATTTTAATGTTTCTTATTATTCTTTTCTTATAACTCTAAGAAAGATGATTATTTCCCTTTATAGATTGATATTTCAATAAACGTATGTTTTATTTGGGCTTATTCCCTGCAGCTTTTTATCTTTTTTAAAAAAACTATAAGCCATAAAAATATTAATTAGCTCATACTTACCACAGTAAATTCTCTGATTGTATTCACAAAACTGTTGAGTAAATTCAAGCTGCCAGGATTACCAGTGGTTTATTTGGGGTTTAATGGCATGGCCCCTGAACTTCATTCAATTTTCTGGAAACTTGGGTGCAAAAACTCTGAGGGATAATCAAATATAGCTCCAAGTAGTATACTAATTTTTATCTACTTCTTAATAGAGTGCAAACTCACAGTTGTTTGAAATAGCATAACAGCAGGGTATTTTGCAAATTATAATCAAGTAAATTAATCTTCAGCTCAGGGAGTTAACTAAGGAATATTCAGACCACACTGCAGATTGCAGGACTTTTCTCCACCTTTCCTTCTGCTACTTCTGCCTTCATGGGTGCATCTCCATGAAAGATGCTGTCTATAGCCCCCCAGATTCAGCAAACTCACAGCAGAAACTGTCCATCCCTTTCTTTCTTTGAAATATATATTTTTTTGTTAATAATATGGCCAAAAACTTTAGTGGCCAGATAACTCAGTGTTTCAAATCCACTCAACAACAACAACAAAAAAAAAAACACACTAGAAAACTATAACCACTATTACTACAAAATAGCTTTACCTGGAAATTTTTGTATTTTATTACAGATACTCCTTATGTATCATTTTAAACCTGGCCATTTCTGTTTTTTTTAATCTAAGTACTAAAATTTTAGTTTTTTAAAAAGCAATCAAGAGTCTTAAAGTAATTTTGAAGCAAATAGTTTTAATTATGAATATTAAATATAAAACTGGTTCTCCTAACACTAGTTGCTCAGGCTTTCTTCTTTGTCTTTTTTTCTCTCTGTCAATCAATGTATTTGTGCCAGACAAATCCAACTTTCATGTTATTTAAATTCATCATCATTTTTTATGGATGGAAGTGTATGTGACAGTCCTAGTGTTGATTAATAACCCTAAGATGTTTAAGTTTACCAGTTCGTAGATGCGTAGTCTGACAATTTGAGTTTCTGCCTATAATTCCAAAGTAAGCCCTATATATTTTTAAGTTTAGGATATAATAGACAAAAATAACAGGAAGCCAATCCTGTAAATATATCAGGTTAATTGACCTCCTACTATTGACATTAAAGGAGACCACTGCTACCTGCTGATGATGAGAATACTGATGATGAGAATGAAAACCTATGACTTTGTCAAGATGTCATCATTCAGTGTGAGACAGTAGAGCATAGCATAGCCTTTTAGAGCTAGGATTTGGAAAGAGAGCCTGGTTTAAACCCCAGTTCTCCCCATTGCTCACCAGCTGACTTTGGGAGAATTACTTATATAATTGTCACTGCTCATCTATAAAGTAAGAATAATAATAGTGCCCACCCAGCAAAAAGCTGTGATGAGAATTTAGCAAGATAATATGTGTAAAATATTGCCTTGCTTAATATCAGTTTTTTGCAGGGTGGGCACAGCTACAAAACAGACTTTTTGTTGCAATAAGACACCAAATTCCAGCCTGACTCTAGCATATTCAATCAGGAGCTTGCAAATTGCAAGTCTTTGTTAAATATGCATTCTCTTTTAGCCTGCAAATGGCCACATATATGGGTTCAAAGTGTTTCAATTTCTTTAGACCCCACCACTAGAGAAGTCTTTCCATACCATTAGCATTCACTTAGCCAAGCAACATAATTAAAAGCCCCACCATTCACTAATATTATAAGATAGAGAGACAAAAGCTAATTAGCCTCAGATCTTGCTCTCAAGAGGTTTGCTCTCTAGTAAGATGAATGACATGAACATACACCACTGAAATGCAAAGCAAATGGTAGTAAATGCCTTGAGCTAACATGCTGTAGGACAGTGGTTTCAAAGTGCAATTCTTGTACTCACAGCATCAACACCACGAGGTAATTCTTAGAAATGCAAATTCCCAGGTCCCATCCTATTTCTACTGCATCAGAAACTCTGGGGTTGACTGCTGCAATGTGTGTTGTAACAAGCTTTCCAGGTGACTATAATGCACACTAAAGACTGAGAAGTATTTCTATAAGAAAACACACTTAAAGCTGAGGGGATCCAGAAAGACGTGGAAGGGGCAGCATTTGACCCAAGTCTAGGAATAAGTGTGATTTGGACATGCAGATATGAGCGAAGCAAATAATTTATAACGAGAGTAACAAGTGATTCACTGTGGCTCAAACATTGATTATATAAAGTGAAGGTTAAATTGTAGATCTGATTGTCACACTAAGACGATTCAGTTTGGACCTGTCTTGTCTTAGTCTTCTGCAGAAAAATGGAAGATTTTTAGACAAGGAAGCCTCATGATCAGATTAGTTTAGTGTAAATTAAAAAGAAAATTCGAAGCCCCCAACCATTTGAATGGACCCTTCCTCTCAGCCAAGGGCGTTCCAAAGTTAACCTGAAAAACTAGTTCAGACCACGAGGAGAAAAGAGGGTTGGATGTGCTTCATAATATTCTCCTCCCTTTGGAATTCAGGCACAACTAACCAGCATTAACATTAAAACAGAGATCTGGCCAGGTGCAGTGGCTCATGCCTGTAATCCCAGCACTTTGGAAGGCCAAGACAGGCAGATCACTTGAGGCCAGGAGTTCGAGACCAGCCTGGCCAACACAGCATAATGTCGTCTCTACTAAAAATATGGAAAAAAAAATTAGCTGGGCATGGTGGGACAGTTGTAATCCCAGCTACTTGGGAGGCTGAAGCACAAGAATCACTTGAACCCAGGAAGCAGAGATTACAGTGAGCCAAGATCACACCACTGCACTCCACGCTGGGCGACAGAGTGAGACAATGTCTCAAAAAAAAAAAAAAAAAGAAAGAAAGAAAGAAAAGAAAAAAACAGAGATCTTAAGACTGACGAAACAGACCTTTTGTAGCAATGAGACATCAAATTCCAGCCTGACTCTAGTATAGCATCACATGATAGGTAGCAGGCCCTGGAAGAAGTCCAAGTATTTTACCCTAAAGTATATTTCTTTGATATTTTGAAATGGCCCTGAAAAGCTGTCTTTTGTGGGGAAAATCTACATTCTGTAGAGAATCCCCTTACCTTTCTAGGTCTTTTCCCTGATCCTAAGAGTCTGGCAACTTTTTAAGTCTGATAAGCAACATTTAAAATTTATTCTCTCTGAAGCCTGCTACTCAGAGGCTTTATCCATACAACAAGAATCCTGGTCTCCAAAATCCCTTATCTTAACCCACACATTTTCTTCTGCTGATTCCAACCAATTACCAATCAGGAAATCTTTGTATTCACCTATGACCTGGAAGCTGTCCCACCCACCCCACTTACCCCCTCTGGCTTCGAGTTGTCCCATCTGCCTTTCTAGACAGAACCAATGTATATCTTACATGTATTGATTGATGTCTTATGTCTCT
Organism: Homo sapiens; assembly: GCF_000001405.40. Lineage (NCBI taxonomy): Eukaryota > Metazoa > Chordata > Mammalia > Primates > Hominidae > Homo > Homo sapiens. The sequence goes on along the minus strand of NC_000008.11, from coordinate 90,279,902 downwards.
CTAAAATGTATAAAACTATACTGTAGCCCAACCACCTTGGGCACATGTCTTCAGGACCTCCTGAGGCTGCGTCACAGGCATGTCCTTAAGCTTGGTAAAATAAGCCTCTAAACTGATTGAGATTTGTCTCAGATACATTTTTGTTCACATTAGCAACAGTAAGTACATTTCAGTTTATAGTGGTATACAATGGATACAATATGTAGATGAAAATAAAAATGAGTGATTGAAGCAAAGATATCAATCAATTGAGGTTGATTAAGCCAGCATTAGGTTATGTCTAGGAAAAACTCAAGCCACAGATGCATATGTGGCTGCTTTTCTGAAAAAGTTTTCAGGAGATTTAGTATTTGTACACTTCCTTAAATGAGGGAAGACATGTAGAAAGAGAGACAGGCAGGCAGTAAGGTGAACATAAGTCTCCTTATAAATTTATAGATTTACTGGGCACTAACTAAAGTCTCACAAGGTTACATTCTTGTGTACACAGAATAAGGTGAATGTTTGAAGAGAAAAAGGGAATAAAGGAAGAATCAATTATGCAGACGTCTCTGAATAAGTGGAGGAATGATTGATCTGGCCTTGTCTTTGTTCTGCACCTGGGAAGATAAGCTTGCAATGGACATTATCAGTGTAGAATCAGACAGACTTTAGTTTTAGAAGCTAGACTTAGATTACAGACCTAAAATTATAATTGGCATGCCCTTATTTATGTGGGGCCAGCAAAGAATTTTCATATGAATGTTCTGTGAGGCCAGTCTTTTGTAGATACCTGAGGCCTTTTACTTTTTCATGGGGATCTGGCTATTCACGATGCTAGTAACAGCTATTCATTTGGAAGGGGTGTTGCATGACTCAGTCTCCAGGCATAAGGAGAATGGGGTCCTGAGATTTTTTTTTTTTTGAGATAGCATCTCATTCTGTCACCCAGGCTGTCATGCAGTGGTGCGATCTCGGCTCACTGCAACCCTTGCCTCCTGGGTTCAAGTGATTCTTCTGTCTCAGCCTTCAGAGTAGCTGGGATTACAGGTGTATGCCACCATGCCTGGCTAATTTTTTTGTGTTTTTAGTAGAGACGGGGTTTCACCATGTTGCCCAGGCTGGTCTTGAACTCCTGACCTCAGGTGATCTGCCCAGCTCGGCCTCCCAAAGTGCTGGGATTACAGGCTTCAGCCACTGCACCTGGATGAGATTTTTTAAATTTTCCTTTACATAGATTACAACAATGTGTGGAGAAGGCTTGAAGACTATTTGAAGATTGTTGCAATAATTTTTGTGTTTTATAAAGACATGAATTCAAATACATCTCTGTTCAGGTTCTTTGTACACCTAAAGTCTTATGCCTAATTTCAAAGGAGTTTATGATAGTATTATTGAACACTTAATAAGAGTCAGGCAAATGCTTTACATGATTTATCTCATTTAATCCTCACAACCGTCCATTGTCACTAGGTAGGCCATACTGTCTTCCTTATCCTATAAGTGAGGAAATTGAAGCCTTGGTAAGATTATGCACACTGGGCAATAACTCACAGCTAGTATATGTAGAGTTTAAATTTGAATCCAGGTGGTCTGAATCTAGAAGTTATATTCATGAACAATTTAACCTTTTATAATGTAAATGGACTTGCTTGAAGACAGAAAGTATTAACAGGAGTATATGATGCCTGGAGTCTAGGAATAGAACCAGAAACTCATGGTGAAGGAGTTAACAGCATGAGATTTGGGGACAAGAGGTAGCCCTTGGTTTCATTTCCAACCAATACTTATTACTTCTGTAATTATGTACAAGTTCCTGAAGACCTCTCAGAACTTTTGTTTCTTCATCTGCAAAAGAAGTTCATTGTGATGATATATTTTATGCAAAACACATAGCACAGAATATAACACATAGTAAGTCCTTAATAAATATTAAACAAAAGAGGGAAAGATATTCTAACTTTACCTGTAACTAACTCTGAATGTTTATAAACAGAGTCCCTAGGGAAATACAAGTGCTGCCTGAATATCTGTGCTGAAGTATAAACCCATCTAAATAAAATCAATTAAACTGGAAGCAATATTTCATAAGGAAAAGACTAGAGGTTTCAACTCTTACCCTGCCTGCTGTTAACTAACCCTGGGATCTTACTTAATGTAGGACTTCATCATTATGATGCAGTTTAAGAAACTGCTTCCTGAACCATCTATTCCAGACTTATGCTGTGTCCTGGGGATGTAAGAGGGCTTATACATTGCCCCTGCCCCAACTTCACTAGACCAAGATTTTTCTCACTGATGAAATAGGTAGGTGGAAGGTGAGAAAGGTTTTACTAAGCTGATTTAAATTATTTTGATTTTAAAATTAAAATTATTTTTATTTTCATCATTTAATTTTTTTGCCAGATGCTCTATTGGGTATTAATGTAATGAATCACAATTAAAAGTTTTCCCAATTTTTATTTTTCTTTGAGGTATTCAAATTTAGATCAGAATGATAAGAGGAACTATAAGGCTTACTAGTCCTGAGGTTTCATTAGTGGCTAATAGCCCAATCTATATTATTTTGTATCATTATTTCATGAACTATAAACTAATGTCAGTCTTTGTTCTAATGTTGACATTTTATGAGCTAGATATGACTGTATAAGAAACAACCTAAGCAAACATTTTATTTTCCTATCATTACATCTTTTAAATATGGTTTTCTTATTCTCTATGTTAAAAAAATGATTCTTCTTTGGGACTCACATATCTTTGTGGATAGTTCAGTGTTTCCTTTTCTTCCTGGTTTTAGATGTTAGCACTCAGACAAACAGTTAAGCAAATGGAAAACTAAACAGCTTGTTATGGAAGCCATGAGCAGTAAGACTGGAAGAGCAGCCAGCTGGGTCCCAACAACTCTGTGACTAATAGCAAAGGTTTTAGAATTAAAAATGGACAGACCTTGTTTTTAAACTCCTCTTTGCCACTTATTGACTGTGACTCTGGACAAGTTACTCATCTGTGCTGAACCTCAGTTTCCTTGTATATTAAATGGAGATGATGGTACTATTGTCAAGAATAAATGAGATGCTCTAAAAACAGCCCTCAGCACTATTTCATAGTGCAGAGTCAGCATGCAATGTAGTATAATTCCAGAGAAATCTAAAGTTGTCTTTTATTTCCTTCCCTGTAGTACTCATTACAGTGATCTGCACACTAAGAGTGCTCAATAAGGACTTATTAAATATGTCAAACTCCAATACAAATTATAATATAGGGCTGCCATAGCAAGGAGGTGACCTAATGAATTAGTTGAATACTTTAAAATAAAAACTGTACTTCCCTGTCATTCTTGGTCAATAGTGTCACATAAGGATAGAAAAAGAATGGCAGGCACAGATTCTCTGTTGATAAGTGACAAGCTTTTAGTTTTTCCATGGTGGTGAAGCATTAACACTTCCCACTCCTCTGCTATACCACCCCCTACCCTAAGTTACATTGATCAAAAGCCCCATTGTACTCTGAATATGCCACTCGTATGGTGTATTAGTCTGTTTTCACGCTGCTGATAAAGACATACCCAAGACTGGGCAATTTACAAAAGAAAGACTTAATGGACTCACAGTTCCACATGGCTGGGGAGGCCTCACAATCATGGCGGAAGGTGAAAGGCACAACTCACATGGCAGCAGACGAGGAGAACTTGTGCAGGGAAACTCCCCTTTATAAAACCATCAGATCTTGTGAGATTTATTCAGTATCACAAGAATAGCACAGGAAAGACCCACCCCTATGATTCAATTACCTCCCACTGGGTCCCTCCCACAACACGATGGAATTGTGGGAGCTACAATTCAAGATGAGATTTCGGTGGAGACACAGCCAAACCATATCATTCCACCCTGGCTTCTCCCAAATCTCATGCCATCACATTTCAAAACCAATCATGCCTTCCCAACAGTCCCCCAAAGTCTTAATTTATTTCAGCATTAACTCAAAAGTCCACAGTCCAAAGTCTTATCTGAGACAAGGCAAGTTTCTTCTACCTATGAAGCAGTAAAATCAAAAGCAAGTTAGTTAATTACTAGATAAAATGGGTATGCAGGCATTGGATAGACAAAACAATTCCAAATGGGAGAAATTGGCCAAAACAAAGGGACTACAGGCCCTATGCAAGTCCAAAATCCGCAGGGCAGTCAAATCTTAAAGCTCTAAAATGATCTCCTTTGACTCCATGCCTCACATCTGGTTCATGCTGATGCAAGAGGTGTGTTCACATGGTCTTGGGAAGCTCTGCCCCTGTGACTTAGCAGGGTACAGCCTCCCTGCTGGGTGCTTTCATGGGCTGACATTGAGTGTCTGCAGCTTTTCCAGGCTCATGGTGCAAGCTGTCAGTGGATCTAACATTCTGGGGTCTGGAGGATGGTGTCCTTCTTCTCACAGGTGTACTAGGCAGCACGCCAGTGGGGGCTCTGTGTGGTAGTGCCTACCCCACATTTCCCTTCCACACTGTCCTAGTAGAGGTTCTCCATGAGCACCCCACCCCTTCAGCAAACTTCTGCCTAGGCATCCAGGCATTTCCATACAGCTTTTGAAACCTAGGTGGAGATTCCCAAACCTCAATTCATAACTTCTGTGCACCCATAGGTTCAACACCACGTGGAAGCTGCCAAGGCTTGGGCTTGCACCTTCTGAAGCCATGGCCCAAGCTGTACCTTGAACCCTTTTAGTCAAGGCTGGAGGTGCTGGGATGCAGGGCACCAAGTCACTAGACTGCACACAGCAGAGGGACTTGGGCCCAGCCCACAAAACCATTTTTTCCTTCTAGGCCTCCAGACCTGTGATGGGATGGGCTGCCAAAAGGTCTCTGACATGCTCTGGAGACATTTTCCCCATTGTCTTGGGGATTAACGTTGGCTCCTTGTTACTCATGCAAATTTTTGCAGCCAGCTTGAATTTCTCCTCAGAAAATGGGATTTTCCTTTCTATCACATTGTCAGGCTGTAAATTTTCTAAACTTTTATGTTCTGTTTCCCTTTTAAAACTGAATGCCTTTAACAGCACCCAAGTCACCTCTTGAATGCTCTGCTGCTTAAAAATTTCCTCCACTAGATACCCTAAATCATCTCTCTCAAGTTCAAAGTCCCACAAATCTCTAGGGCAAAGGCAAAATGCCACCAGTCTCTTTGCTAAAACATAACAAGAGTCACTTTTGCTCTAGTTACCAATAAGTTCCTCATCTCCATCTGAGACCACCTCAGCCTGGCTTTCATTTTCCATATCATTATCAGTATTTTGGTCAAAGACATTCAACAGGTCTCTAGGGAGTTCCAAACTTTCCCACATTTTCCTGTCTTTTTCTAAGCCCTCTAAAGTGTTCCAACCTCTGCCTGTTACCCAGTTCCAAAGTCACTTCCACATTCTCAGGTATATTTTCAGCAGCGCCCTACTCTACTGGTACCAATTTACTGTGTTAGTCTGTTTTCATGCTGCTGATAAAGACATACCCGATACTGGGCAGTGGAAAGTCTGGGCAATACCTGAGATTTGCGCAGGAAAACTCCGCTTTATAAAACCATCAGATCTCAAGAGACTTAGTCACTATCACAAGAATAGCATGGGAAAGACCCAACCCCATGATTCAATTACTTCCCACTGGGTTCCTCCCACAACATGTAGGAATTGTGGGAGCTACAATTCAAGATGAGGTTTGAGTGGAGACACACACAAACCATATCATATGGTAAATGTACATATTACTTTAAAAGAAACTTCCAGATTGTTTTCCAAAGTGGCAGCAAAATCCTGCATTCCTATGAGCAACATATGAATGTTTCACTTGCTCCATGTTATTGCAAGCACTTAGGATCATCAGATTTTTAATATTTGTCATTCTAATGATCTCTTGTTGTGATTATAATTTGCATTTTCTCAGTGACTACTAATTTGAAACACTATATGTTTGTTTGTTTGACAGTCATCTATATATCTCTTTAGGTGAAGAGTCTATTCAAATCATTTGCCTATTTTTTTAAATGAGGTTGTGAGAGTTCTTTACATATTCTTTGTACTAGACCTTTATTTGGTGGGTAGTTATCAAATATTTCTTTTGATGTGTGGCTTGCTTTTTATTTTCCTAAAAATGTCTTTTTACAAGCAAAAGATGTTGTGGATCCCAATTTACCAGTTTTTTTCTTTTGTGATTTATATTTTTGTATCTTGGCTAATAAATCCTTATGGTTAGCTGGAAAGATCAAGGTTAAGAAAAATGAGTGCTTTGGTTCCACTTCACTTACAAGGAACTAAAGTGGCATGTAATTTATCATACATGCCTTTGGTATAAAGCACAGTAAAACTCTTTCTGTGTTTTTCCCCAAATAAAAGAGCAGTTCCAGAACATCCTATAACCGGCTGAAATTTGGCTGCTGTTTTATTTTTCCTTGCTTCAGAAACAGAAATTCTAAATTGCAGCTACCTTAAGATAAGCAAGAGATGAAGTTTGGGCCATGCAGGCTTACCTCCAGGATCTCTGTCATTTTACAGAAGACTGGATTCCTCAGGAAGAAGTGCTCATCCTATTAAGTAACATGAAAGTTTTCCTTCCTGGCATTATCAATTCAGATGGTATGAGAATGGAATGATGGTACTTTCTAACTAGAAACTTCCTTGCTTTTCATCAGCTTGGTCACATCTGCAGAGAGTTTTTATTTCTGTTTTAAGAGGGCTCCCAAGTAGTAAGCTGTGATGCACACGGCTTCAATGAGTCAAATTACTGAATTAAGTCAAACAGGATGCACAGCCAGATGGATGGCACCTGGCCAGCTTGAATGGGGGCCAAAATACCCTTTCTGGGGGTGTCAGTGGATACACGTTTGTTTTGTCCTTTGGGAGGAATACATGCTTCTTGAGAAACTTAACTTGCTTTCTGTAATGGGCATGACCTAGAAAATCTTATAAATTTATCCCTATAAAGAAGAACAGAAAGTATGGCTAGTCTTAAGAATGATGAAATTATATCATCATACCACAAAGATTATGTAATGGGAGAGCACAGCATGATGGTTGAACAAGAAGCCTCTGAAGTCAGATGGCACAAGGTCAGATTCTATTCTACCTCTTACCAGCCCTGACTTCAGTCCTTACTCTCTTGGTCTATAAAGTGATAAGAAGAGAGCCTACTCTACAAGATTTTTGTGAGAATTAAGTGAGATGCTTTACTCATTTAACACCATGCCCAAGGCCATAGACACTACCAACTATCTTTATTATCACCATATATATATATAATGTGTGTCCTAATAATAGAGCCTTTATTTCTAGGTTTCAGTGACTGTCCTCTACTTTCTAAAGGCTGGTTCTATCTCTGCCATTTTATGTCAACAGGTCCAAGAAATCCTGTCAAACTTCCTTGCCTGCAGATTTCAGGGTCTGTACACGGCTGCTTTTTCTGTGTCAGCCTTGAGACCACCCCTTCGGCTAAGGCTGAACCTTTCCCTAACAGGAGCCTCTGACCTCTCTTCCACCTTCATCTTTCACTCCTCATCACCACTTGTTCCCAAGACGGTTCTCTCCTGCTGCTCCTGCTAGGCCACTGACTTCAAAACTTCTCCTTAAAGAACCATATTTCTTTTTGCCCCAAGTGGAAAAATTATTTCCCTTTATTGATCACCACTCCTTTAAACAACCTGAGTCTTGTGGCTCATACCTTCTAATAATGCAGAAGTTACTCTTGGTCTTTCAGTTTTAAGTCTTCCTCATGGATAAACTTTAGACAGTATCTAAAGTCTGGCCTGGGAACAGTTTGGGTGAGAGCCCTCTCAGCTAGGATGAGTTGGTCATATGTCTGTTTTCCTTCAGTTAAGGTCCCTTTCGTGGCCCTCTCCTGTTCTGACCACTGCATTTTACATTACCCAGGCTCTCTTAGGAGCTTCTTTTCTGTGAGACTGGGCAGTAGGAGGCTCTGGCAAAAGACAAGTGTGGACAGGTAGGAGAATCCAGGATAATTTTCCCCTCTCTTTGCTTCAGTCAGCATCTTTGTGAGAGCTCAATTCTTCTCTGTGGTTCCAGCTCCCACCAGGCAGACCTACCCTCTAGGACCCAACTCCTTCTTGGTGGCTGCCTGGTGGTCTCCGCTCTGGTGGGTGGCCCCAGCTTCAGGGCTCAAGTGAATCCACTTTCCTTCCCTTTTGGCTCTCCAGACAGAGAAAGCAGTGGCTTCCTGTAGTTTGTAATGTCTGAGTCCCCTCACCTTCCTCTATTTCCTCTGTTGGAAAATTTAATAAAAGCACACTAAATTGCTTTTTGGGGCCACCTGTTCCTCATTGGACCTTGACTGACACACATTGCCCCACCCTTCTTCACTGACAATAATTCTGAACGCTGTTAAAGGACACTTAGCTTTTGACTCTCTTCCGCATCCAGCAAAGCTCCTGTTCCTCTGGAATACACCTATGCCCCAGGTGGAAGAAACTTCAGATTTCTCCATGTTCAAAAAGAGTATTAATTCCGCATCTGAGGAACTATCAGTCCTCAAGTAATCCTCATTTACCCAAGGGAGTCTAGACTCTCCTGTGCAAGTAGAATCCAGGTCAGATGTGGGTAAACAGATAGAGCTCAAGCTGATTTGGCAATAATAGTACCAAAGTATTGTTTCATACAATTTTTTAAAATATATAGCAGTTGGGAGTTGAAATGACAAACCTCCCAAAAACAGATTCCCAGTGTTACTTCTGGGAAAGATTACTATACTAGAAGGTCTGAATTTAAATTAAAATGGGGTATTTAAAAAATCTGTTTAAATACATTAATTCTCCATATATATTGGTTTGGGAAACCTTACCTAACAATTCAGAGAAGTACGAGATATCCTTAATTGGCTTCTCTGTTGTTTAACCCTGACTAAAACATAATCACTAAAGGAGGGAATTTCCAACACTGTGGATCCCACGTAGCCCCCACTTGACAGATGCTCCCATATGCAGCAAAATTCTAGTTTTAAAATGAGACATGCATTTCTTTTCACTTTAATATACAATTTGTGTTCTATGCTCTTTCAATGTCGATTTGGTTCCTGTAAAAAGTTTAAATCACGAATAATAATGTTTATTTTATTGTGGTTGCTGACCTTCAAGCTAGTAATAAGACCTGTCTCGTTGCTCTCCCATTTTATTACAAGGTGGCACACTTGACTTTTTCTTTTTGAAGGTCATGAAATGAATCATTGTATAGGTCTTTGTCTGTCCTCAATAGTAAAGGTAAATGTTGCTTTTATTTAGAAGTGAAATGGAATTCTTTTAAACAGAATGTAGTGATTTCCATTTTCAATGCATCTTTTCTCAAGAGAGCTAATTTAGGAAGTATATGTTAATAAGGAAAATTTTTTATATCTCTCAATACTCATGTCCAGATTGTGTTCATCTACAAATCTCCCTTTTTGTGTGGTGTTAATATTTTATTACAGGAAATAGTGGAGTTTTAAATTATTCTACAGAGTGGTTCTAAAACTTCAGAGCAATTTCTATAGATATGAAATTGGTAAGGAAAAGAGAATCAAGAGATATCAATGAATAGAAAGACAAAAAGAGAAAAAATAACAAGAAGGAGGTCTGTTTCAAAAATAAAATGAAATTCAAAAGAAATTCAAAATTTCATTAGAAACAAGATGTCTCATGAATTCTGTTTATTTATTTATTTTTTTTATTATACTTTAAGTTTTAGGGTACATGTGCACAACATGCAGCTTTGTTACATATGTATACACGTGCCATGTTGGTGTGCTGCACCCATTAACTCGACATTTAACATTAGGTATATATACTAATGCTGTCCCTCCCCACTCCCCCCACCCACAACAGGCCCCGGTGTGTGATGTTCCCCTTCCTGTGTCCATGTGTTCTCATTGTTCAATTCCCACCTATGAGTGAGAACATGTGGTGTTTGGTTTTCTGTCCTTTCGATAGTTTGCTGAGAATGATGGTTTCCAGCTTCATCCATGTCCCTACAAAGGACATGAACTCATCATTTTTTATGGCTGCATAGTATTCCATGGTGTATATGTGCCACATTTTCTTAATCCAGTCCATCATTGTTGGACATTTGGGTTGGTTTCAAGTCTTTGCTATTGTGAATAGTGCCACAATAAACCTACGTGTGCCTGTGTATTTATAGCAGCATGATTTATAATCCTTTGGGTGTATACCCAGTAATGGGATGGCCGGGTCAAATGGTATTTCTAGTTCTACATCCCTGAGGAATCGCCACACTGACTTCCACAATGGTTGAACTAGTTTACAGTCTAACCAACAGTGTAAAAGTGTTCCTATTTCTCCACATCCTCTCCAGCACCTGTTGTTTCCTGACTTTTTAATGATCACCATTCTAACTGGTGTGAGATGGTATCTCACTGTGGTTTTGATTTGCATTTCTCTGACGGCCAGTGATGATGAGCATTTTTTCATGTGTCTTTTGGCTGCCTAAATGTCTTCTTTTGAGAAGTGTCTGTTCATATCCTTCACCCACATTTTGATGGGGTTGTTTTCTTCTTGTAAATTTGTTTGAGTTCATTGTAGATTCTGGATATTAGCCCTTTGTCAGATGAGTACATTGCAAAAATTTTCTCCCATTCTGTAGGTTGCCTGTTCACTCTCATGGTAGTTTCTTTTGCTGTGCAGAAGCTCTTTAGTTTAATTAGATCCCATTTGTCAATTTTGGCTTTTGTTGACATTGCTTTTTGTGTTTTAGACATGAAGTCCTTGCCCATGCCTATGTCCTGAATGGTATTGCCTAGGTTTTCTTCTAGGGTTTGTATGGTTTTAGGTCTAACATTTAAGTCTTTATTCCATCTTGAATTACTTTTTGTATAAGGTGTAAGGAAGGAATCCAGTTCCAGCTTTCTCCATATGGCTAGCCAGTTTTCCCAGCACCATTTGTTAAATAGGGAATCCTTTCCCCATTTCTTGTTTTTGTCAGGTTTGTCAAAGATCAGATGGTTGTAGATGTGTGGCATTATTTCTGAGGGCTCTGTTCTGTTCCATTGATCTATATCTCTGTTTTGGTACCAGTACCGTGCTGTTTTGGTTACTGTAGCCTTGTAGTATAGTTTGAAGTCAGGTAGCGTGATGCCTCCCGCTTTGTTCTTTTGGCTTAGGATTGTCTTGGCCATGTGGGCTCTTTTTTGGTTCCATATGAACTTTAAAGTAATTTTTTTCAATTCTGTGAAGAAAGTCATTGGTAACGTGATGGGGATGGCATTGAATCTATAAATTACCTTGGGCAATATGGCCATTTTCATGCTATTGATTCTTCCTACCCATGAGCATGGAATGTTCTTCCATTAGTTTGTATCCTCTTTTATTTCATTGAGCAGTGGTTTGTAGTTCTCCTTGAAGAGGTCCTTCACATCCCTTGTGAGTTGGCTTCCTAAGTATTTTATTCTCTTTGAAGCAATTGTGAATGGGAGTTCACTCATGATTTGGCTCTCTGTTTGTCTGTTATTGTTGTATAAGAATGCTTGTGATTTTTGCACATTGATTTTGTATCCTGAGACTTTGCTGAAGTTGCTTATCAGCTTAAGGAGATTTTAGGCTGAGACAATGGGGTTTTCTAGATATACAATCATGTCATCTGCAAACAGGGACAATTTGACTTCCTCTTTTCCTAATTGAATACGCTTTATTTCCTTCACCTGCCTGATTGCCCTGGCCAGAACTTCCAACACTATGTTGAATAGGAGTGATGAGACAGGGCATCCCTGTCTTGTGCCAGTTTTCAAAGGGAATGCTTCCAGTTTTTGTCCATTCAGTAAGATATTGGCTGTGGGTTTGTCATAAATAGCTCTTATTATTTTGAGATACATCCCATCAATACCTAATTTATTGAGAGTTTTTAGCATGAAGGTTGCTGAATTTTGTCAAAGGCCTTTTCTGCATCTATTGAGATAATCATGTGGTTTTTGTCTTTGGTTCTGTTTATATGCTGGATTATGTTTATTGATTTGCACACGTTGAACTAGCCTTGCATCCTAGGGATGAAGCCCACTTGATCATGGTGGATAAGCTTTTTGATGTGCTGCTGGATTTGGTTTGCCAGTATTTTATTGATGATTTTTGCATGGATGTTCATCAGGCATATTGGCCTAAAATTCTCTTTTTTTGTTGTGTCTCTGTCAGGCTTTGGTATCAGGATGATGCTGGCCTCATAAAATGAGTTAGGGAGTATTCCCTCTTTTTCTATTGATTGGAATAGTTTCAGAAGGAATGGTCCCAGCTCCTCCTTGTACCTCTGGTAGAATTCGGCTGTGAATCCATCTGCTCCTGGACTTTTTTTGGTTGGTAAGCTGTTAATTATTGCCTCAATTTCAGAGCCTGTTCTTGGTTTATTCAGAGATTCAACTTCTTCCTGGTTTAGTCTTGGGAGGGTGTATGTGTCGAGGAATTTATCCATTTCTTCTAGATTTTCTAGTTTATTTGCGTAGAGATGTTTATAGTATTCTCTGATGGTAGTTTGTATTTCTGTGGGATTGGTGGTGATATCCCCTTTACATTTTTTATTGCGTCTATTTGTTTCTTCTCTCTTATCTTCTTTATTAGTCTTGCTAGCGGTCTATCAATTTGTTGATCTTTTCAAAAAACCAGCTCCTGGAATCATTGATTTTTTGAAGGGTTTTTTGTGTGTCTATTTCCTTCAGTCCTGCTCTGATCTTAGTTACTTCTTACCTTCTGCTAGCTTTTGAATGTCTTTGCTCTTGCTTCTCTAATTCTTTTAATTGTGATGTTAGGGTGTCCATTTTAGATCTTTTCTGGTTTCTCTTGTGGGCATTTATTGCTATAAATATCCCTCTACACGCAGCTTTGCCTGTGTCCCAGAGATTCTGGTATGTTGTGTCTTTGTTCTCATTGGTTTCAAAGAACATCTTTATTTCTGCCTTCATTTCGTTATGTACCCAGTAGTCTTTCAGGAGCAGGTTGTTCAGTTTCCATGTAGTTGAGCGGTTTTCAGTGAGTTTCTTAATCCTGAGTTCTAGTCTGATTGCACTGTGGTCTGAGAGACAGTTTGTTATAATTTCTGTTCTGTTACATTTGCTGAGGAGTGCTTTACTTCCAACTATGTGGTCAATTTTGGAATAGGTGTGGTGTGGTGCTGAAAAAAATGTATATTCTGTTGATTTGGGGTGGAGAGTTCTGTAGATGTCTGTTAGGTCTGCTTGGTACAGAGCTGAGTTCAATTCCTGGATATCCTTGTCAACCTTCTGTCTCTTTGAACTGTCTAATGTTGACAGTGGGGTGTTAAAGTCTCCCACTATTATTGTATGGGAGTCTAAGTCTCTTTGTAGGTCTCTAAGGACTTGCTTTATGAATCTGGGTGCTCCTGTATTGGGTGTATATATATTTAGGATAGTTAGCTCTTCTTGTTGAATTGATCCCTTTACCATTATGTAGTGGCCTTCTTTGTCTCTTTTGATCTTTGTTGGTTTAAAGTCTGTTTTATCGGAGACTAGGATTGCAACCCCTGCCTTTTTTTGTTTTCCATTTCCTAGTAGATCTTCCTCGATCCCTTTATTTTGAGTCTATGTGTGTCTCTGCATGTGAGATGGGTTTCCTGAATACAGCACACTGATGGGTCTTGACTCTTTATCCAATTTGCCAGTCTTTGTCTTTTAATTGGAGCATTTAGCCTATTTACATTTAAGGTTAATATTGTTATGTGTTAATTTGATCCTGTCATTATGATGTTAGCTGGTTATTTTGCTCATTAGTTGATGCATTTTCTTCCTAGCCTCGATGGTCTTTACAATTTGGCATGTTTTTGCAGTGGCTGTTACCAGTTGTTCGTTTCCATGTTTAGTGCTTCCTTCAGGAGCTCTTGTAGGGCAGGCCTGGTGGTGACAAAATCTCTCAGCATTTGCTTGTCTGTAAAGTATTTTATTTCTCCTTCTCTTATGAAGCTTAGTTTGGCTGAATATGAAATTCTGGGTTGAAAATTCTTTTCTTTAAGAATGTTAAATATTGGCCCCACTCTCTTCGGGCTTGTAGAGTTTCTGCTGAGAGATCAGCTGTTAGTCTGATGGGCTTCCCTTTGTTGGTAACCCAAACTTTCTCTCTGGCTGCCCTTAACATTTTTTCCTTCATTTCAACTTTGGTGAATCTGACAATTATGTGTCTTGGAGTTGCTCTTCTCGAGGAGTATCTTTGTGGCATTCTCTGTATTTCCTGAATTTGAATGTTGGCCTGCCTTGCTAGACTGGGGAAGTTCTCCTGGATAATATCCTGCAGAGTGTTTTCCAACTTGGTTCCATTCTCCCTGTCACTTTCAGGTACACCAATCAGACATAGATTTGGTCTTTTCACATAGTCCCATATTTCTTGGAGGCTTTGTTTCTTTTTGTTCTTTTTTCTCTAAACTTTCTCTTCTCACTTCATTTCATTCATTTGATCTTCCATCACTGATACCCTTTCTTCCAGTTGATCAAATCGGCTACTGAGGCTTGTGCATTCGTCACATAGTTCTCATGCCCTGGTTTTCAGCTCCATCAGGTCCTTTAAGGACTACTCTGCATTGGTTATTCTAGTTAGCCATTCGTCTAATTTTTTTTCAAGGTTTTTAACTTCTTTGCTATGGGTCCAAACTTCCTCCTGTAGCTCGGAGTAGTTTGATCATCTGAAGCCTTCTTCTCTCAACTCATCAAAGTCATTCTCCGTCCAGCTTTGTTCCATTGCTGGTGAGGAGCTGCATTCCTTTGGAGGAGGAGAGGCACTCTGATTTTTAGAGTTTCCAGTTTTTCTGCTCTTTTATTTCCCCATCTTTGTGGTTCTATCTACCTTTGGTCTTTGATGATGGTGACGTACAGATGGAGTTTTGGTGTGGATGTCCTTTCTGTTTGTTAGTTTTCCTTCTAACAGTGAGGACCCTCAGCTGCAGGTCTGTTGGAGTTTGCTGGAGGTCCACTCCAGATCCTGTTTGCCTTGGTATCAGCAGCGGAGGCTGCAGAACAGTGGATAGTGGATATTGGTGAACAGCAAATGTTGCTGCCTGATCGTTCCTCTGGAAGTTTTGTCTCAGAGTAGTACCCGGCCGTGTGAGGTGTCAGTCTGCCCCTACTGGGGGGTGCCTCCCAGTTAGGCTACTCGGTGGTCAGGGACCCACTTGAAGAGGCAGTCTGTCCATTCTCAGACCTCCAGCTGCATGCTGGGAGAAACACTACTCTCTTCAAAGATGTCAGACAGGGACATTTAAGTCTGCAGAGGTTTCTGCTGCCTTTTGTTTGGCTATCCCCTGCCCCCAGAAGTGGTGTCTACAGAGGCAGGCAGGCCTCCTTGAGCTGCGGTGGGCTCCACCCTGTTAGAGCTTCCCAGCTGCTTTGTTTACGTACTCAAGCCTCAGCAATGGCGGGCGCCCCATCCCCCAGCCTCACTGCCGCCTTGCAGTTTGATCTCAGACTCTTGTGCTAGCAATGAGTGAGGGTCTGTGGGCGTAGGCCTCTCTGAGCCATGTGTGGGATATAATCTCCTGGTGTGCCGTTTACTAAGACTGTTGGAAAAGCGCAGTATTAGGGTGGGAGTGACCTGATTTTCCAGGTGCAAACTCTCACCCCTTTCTTTGACTAGGAAAGGGAATTCCCTGACCCCTTGCACTTCCTGGGTGAGGCGATGCCTGGCCCTGCTTTGGCTCACACTCGGTGCGCTGCACTCACTGTCCTGCACTGACTCTCTGACACTCCCCAGTGAGATGAACCCGATACCTCAGTTGGAAATGCAGAAATCACCCATCTTCTGCATCACTCACGCTGGGAGATGTAGACTGGAGCTGTTCCTATTTGGCCATCTTGGCTCCACCCGCTCAAATTGTGTTTAAATAGAAAACACTTCACTTACGGATGGGATTAGTCACATTGAGGCAGGAAGATTGTTAATATTAATGCCCTCTTATTTTCAATCATAGATATAATAACTACCTGAGAGAAACTGAAAAGGAGCTCAGGAAATATGGGGAAATTAGCAAATTGCTGGGAAAACAAAATAAATAAAAGGAAAAGGCACATGGCCTTACTGAATTGTGTCTAATAATTTATTGGCTAATTCTAGTAATAAAAGAATGTGATAAGAAGAAATTTTCAGCTTCCAAATACCCTGAGTAGCAGGGTATACAGTGCAACACAGCTGCAGTTTTATTTTACCAATGGAAGTACTAAAGTGATGATATAAATATAGGACAGCTTTAAATACATGTGGTAGTGTTTATGCATAGAGAAAAATACCTGAAAGAAATACTCTGAAATGTTAACAGCAGCTTATTCCTGAGTAGCAGGAATATGAACAGTGATAGATTAGATAGATAGATGGTAGATAGATAGATAGAGAGATAGACAGATAGATAGATAATAGACTTGAAAGAAATACTCTGAAATGTTAATAGCAGCTTATTCCTGAGTAATAGAGATATGTGTGGTGATAGAACGATAGATACATACATACATTCATACATACATATGTAGAAATACCTAAAAGAAATGCTCTGAAATGTTAATAGCACCTTATTTCTGAGTAGTAGGGATATGTGTGGTGATAGATTAGATAGATGATGGAAAGATAGATAATAGATAGATAGATAGATAGATAGATAGATAGATAGATAGATAAATAGATAGACCTAAGGAGATAGAGATATGTAGATATATAGCATTTCTGGTTTTTCTAGATTCTCATTGTGATACTTTCATAATAGAAAAGACAGCTTTAAAATATTCCATGCATTTTTTCTTTCATTAGTGATGTTATTTTTAAAATGTGCCTATCATCTCTGTGAATTCTATTTAAACTTGGTGTGAGATAGAGAAAAATAGCTTGAGCTATGAATGGCCCACACATATTACACAAAATGTAATCTAGAACTTATGGGAATTTTTTAATTTGTGCTTAAGTAGGTGTATGTATTCGAACATAAGACAGGCCATGTTTCATGCAGATTGTGTACATTATGAGTGAAGACATATTTTGTGCAAGTCAGAAAGAGGCATCACTTTCACCACAACTCGCCTGAGGTAACTGTCTCTGTTGCAGAGCTTCTTGGTGACCAACATCTGTTAGTCCCTTAGGAAGCAACCTAAATTAGACAGGTGGCTGCAAGAAAGAGAGTGACTCTGTGTGTGTAGCTCCAGAAAGTCAGATATCTTCAAATGGTAATCTTAAGGTAATTTGGGGTACTGTCTTATTTTAGTAAGTTTTTCTGATTATAAAAATAATACATGGTAATCATAACATTGGAAAATACAAAAATATACAAAGAACAAAATTATTTAATCCTGTGATTCCACCTCCAGAGATAACAACTAATAACTTTTAGATTTCTTTCTAGTGAATTGATCTTTAAAAGCCAAGGACAGGAAGATAAGAAAAATGAAGATAAATCTAGTAAGATAAATATTTACTTTTAGTCTGTATTTAAGTGTGCATCATTGAGGTAATCCATAAAAACTTCAGGAAAGTTTTAGTAAGGATAGAAGTTATACTTGCCAACACATTAACAATTTATGTTTAGAAACAAGAAACTCAATCTCAAGTTATATTACACTCTATAAGCCACATTTAGCTTTTTAAAAATCAAGATGTTGAGATATATTAGATATATTGTGAAATTGACATTTTTCAGTGTACAGTTTTATAAATTCTGACAAATGCACACAGTTGTGTTTACAACACCACAAACAAGAAATAGAACACCAGAAGGACATCTCAATGGAATCCTATAGTACGTAGCCATTTGAGATGGGCATCTTTCTCTTAACATATTTGAGATTCATCAGTGTTGTTGCATGCATCTGTACTTCATTCCTTTTATTGCTAAATAGTATTCCATTGAATAGGTTTACTACAATTTGGTTTATACATGCACCACTTGATAGACATTTTTGTTGTTTTCAAATTTTGGCAATTATGAATAATGACAATATAAACATTTATGTTCAAGTATTTATACAGACAAGGGTTTTCATTTCTTTTGATTAAATTTCTATGAGTGAGATTTTGGAGTCATAAGGTAAATGTATGTATAAGTTTAAAAGTAACTGCCAAAATGTTTTTCCAAACTGGTAGTAAAAATTTGCATTGGCATTGGCAACGTATGATAGTTCCACTTGCTCAACATTACTATAAGCACTTAGGATCATTCAATTTTTAAAATTTTAGCCATTTGAATAGATGGGTGTGATTATAATTTAAATTTCCCTGGTGACTAACAACAATGGGAATCTTTTCATGATTTTTTTTTTCACCATCTGTATATCTTCTTTGGTGAAGTATAGGTTCAATGCTTTTGCCGATTTTAAGATACAGTGCATTTGTTTTCTAATTATTGAGTTGTGAGAGTTATTTATATATTCTGCATACAAGTGATTTATCAGGTAAGTGTTTAACCAACATATTCTTCCCACATGTGACTTGTTTTTCTTTTTTTTTTTTTTAGGTTTTTTTTAACTTTTAAGTTCAGGGGTACATGTGTAGGCTCATTATATAGGTAAACTTGTGTCACAGGGGTTTGTTGTACAGATTATTTTGTCACCCAGGTATTAAGCCTAGCACCCGTTGGTTATTTTTCCTGGTCCTATCCCTGCTTCCACCTTCCATCCTCCAGTAGGCCCCAGTGTGTGCTGTTCTCCTCTATGTGTCCATGTTTTCTCATCATTTAGCTCCCACTTATAAGTGAGAACATGGGATATTTGGTTTTCTGTTCCTGTGTTAGTTTGCTAAGGATTATAGCTTCCAGCTCCATTCATGTTCCTGCAAAGGACATGACCTCATTCATTTTTTCGGCTGCATAGTTTTCCATGGTATATATGTATCACATTTTTCTTTATCCAGTCTGTCATTGATGAGTATTTAGGTTGATTCAATGTCTTTGCTATTGTGAATGGTGCTGCAATGAATATATGCATGCACGTGTCTTTATGATACAACAATTTATATTCCTTTGGTATATACCCAGTAATGGGATTGCTAAGTCAAATAGCATTTCTGTCTTTAGGTTTCTGAGGAATCACCATACTATCTTCCACAATGATTGAACTACTTTACACTCCCACAAACTGTGTGTAAGTGTTCCTTTTTCTTCACAACCTTGCCAGCATCTGTTATTTTTTGACTTTTTCATAGTAGCCGTTCTGCCTAGTGTGAGATGGTATTTCATTATGGTTTTGATTTGCATTTCTCTAATGATGAGTGATGTTGAGCTTTTTTTCATATGATTGTTGGCCATATGTGTGTCTTCTTTTGAAAAGTGTTCATGTCCTTTGCCCACTTTGTTTGTTTTTCTCTTGTCAATGTGTTTAAGTTCCTTATAGATGCTGGATATTAGACCTTTGTCAGATGCACAGTTTGCAAAAATTTTCTCCCACCCTGTAGGTTGTCTGTTCACTCTGTTGATAGTTTCCTTTACTATGCAGAAGCTCTTCAGTTTAACTAGATCCCATTTGTCAATTTTTGCTTTTGTTGCAATTGCTTGTGATCTTCATCATGAAATCTTTGCCCATTCCTATGTCTAGAATGGTACTGCCTAGGTTGTCTTCCAGGGTTTTTATAGTTTTGGGTTTTACATTTAAGTCTCTAATCCATCTTGAGTTAATTTTTGTATATGGTGTGAGGAAGGAACCGAGTTTCAGTATTCTGCAGATGGCTAGCCAGCTATCCCAGCACCATTTATTGAATAAGGAGTCTTTTCCCCATTGCTTGTTTTGTCATTTTTGTCAAAGATCAGACAGTTGTAGGTGTGTGGCCTTATTTCTCAGTTCTGTATTCTGTCCCATTGGTCTATGTGTCTGTTTTTGTACCAGTACCATGCTATTTTGGTTACTGTATACCTGTAGTATAGTTTGAAGTCAGGTAGCGTGATGCCTCCAGCTTTGTTCCTTTTGTTTAGGATTGCCTTGGCTATTAGGGCTCTTTTTGGTTCCATATGAATTTTTAAATAGTTTCTTTTAGTTCTGTGAAGAATGATATTGGTAGTTTAATAGAAATAGCATTGAATCTACAAATTGCTTTGGGCAGTATGGTCATTTTAACAATATTGATTCTTCTCATCAATGAACATGGAAGGTCTTTCCATTTGATTGTGTCATTTCTGATTTCTTTGAGCAGTGTTTTGTAGTTCTCCTTGCAGAGATGTTTCACCTCCCTCATTAGCTGTATTCCTAGGTATTGTATTCTTTTTGTGGCAACTGTGAAAGGGATTGTGTTCCTGATTTGGCTCTTGGCTTGACTGTAGTTGGTGTATAGGAGTGCTGGTGATTTTTGCACATTGATTTTGTATCCTGAGGCTTTGCTGAAGTTGTTTATCAGCTTAAAGACTTTTAGACCAATACTGTGGGGTTTTCTAAATATAGGATCATGTCATCTGCAAACAGGGATAGTTTGACTTCCTCTCTTTCTATTTGGATGCCTTTTATTTCTTTCTCTTGCCTGATTGCCCTGGTCAAGACTTCCAATACTGTGTTGAATAGGAGTGGTGAGAGAGGGTATTCTTGTCTTATTTCAGTTTTCAAGGGGAATGCTTCCGGCTTCTGCCCATTCAGTATGATGCTGGCTGTGAGTTTGTCAGAGATGGCTCTTACTATTTTGAGGTATGTTCCTTCAACATCTAGTTTATTGAGTTTTTAACATGAAGGAAGGGGTGTTGAATTTTATCAAAAGACTTTTTTGCAAATATTAAGATAATCATGTGGTTTTTGTCTTTAGTTCTATTTATGTGACAAGTCACATTTATTGATTTGTGTATGGTGAACCAACCTTGCATCCTAGGGACAAAGCCTACTTAATTGTGGTGGATAAGCTTTTTGATGTGCTGCTGGATTTGGTTTGCCAGTATTTTTTGAGGATTTTTGTGTCGATGTTTATCAAAGATATTGGCCTGAAGTTTTCTTTGTTTTGTTGTTGTGTCTTTGCTGGGTTTTGGTATCAGAATGATGCTGGTCTCATAGAATGAGTTAGGGAGGAATCCCTCCTCCTCAATTTTTTGGAATTGTTTCAGCAGGAATGGTACAATTTCTTCTTTTTACATCTGGTAGAATTCAGCTGTCAATCTCTCTGGTCCCGGGCTTTTGTTGGTTGGTAGGCTATTTATTACTGACTCAATTTCAGAGCTCGTTGTTGGTCTATTGAGGGATTCAATTCCTTCCCAGTTCAGTCTTGGGTTTTTTTTTTCATTTTCTTAACATATTTTTTCTCTAATGATTCATGCTTTTTGTGTCCTACCTAATAAATAAATCCTGGCCTAATACAAAGTCCCACAGATTTTTTTCTTTGTTTTTTGTTTTGTTTTGTTTTGTTTTGTAGTTGTTGCTGTTTTTTCAGAGAAAGGATCTCTCTTTGTCACCTGGGCTGGAGTGCAGTGACACAATTATAGCTCACTGCAGCATTGAACTCCTGGGATCCAGGGATCTTCCCACCTCAGCCTCTTGAGTATCTAGGATTACAGGTATGCACCACCATGCCCAGATAATTTTTTTTAATAGGCTGGTCTTGAACTCCTGGCCTCAAGAGATCCTTCTGCTTTGGCCTCCCAAAGTGCCAGGATTATAGGCATGAGCCACTGCATCCAGCTCTTCTTTGCTTTTTATAAAAGTTTTATAGAGTTAGGCTTTACATTTTTTTTTCTGTGATTCATTATGGGTTCATTTTTGTACACAGGGTGAAATAGAAATCTAAGTAATTTTTTCTTTTTTCCAATTGGATGTTCAGTTATGTTGGCATCATTTGTTGGAAAGATGATTTTTCTACCTTAAAATATTGATCCCTTTGTTGAAAATCAATTGCATGATTCTATTTCTCAGTGTTCTATTCTGTTCCATTTATCTGTGTGTTTGTTCTTTCACTGACATCACACTGTTCTGATTACTATAGATTTAGAGTGAGTCTTGAAATCAGATAGTTTGAATGTTCCAACTTGTTCTTCTTTTTCAAAGATTTTTGGCTATTCTAATTCCTTTGCTTTTCCACATACATTTTAATATTTACTTGTAAACTTCTACAAAAAAACCTGAATATAGATCAACATGTGGAGAATTGACATTTTAACAATACTGAGTATTCCAAACTCAATATTTCTAAACCTGATTATAGTAAATATCTCCATTCATTTCAATCCCCTTTGATTTCCTGCTCAATGTTTTAAAGTTTTCAGTATTCAATCTTGTACATATTTTGCTATATTTACAAAATATTTTGTGTTTTTGATACTATTATAAATGGTAGTATTGTAAAATAATTTCAGATTTTTATTGCTGGTATATAATAATACAGTTAATTTTACATCCTAAACTCTGCTAAACTTACTTATTAGTTCTACTAGCTTTTTTCATACATTTTCAAGATTTCCTACTTAGACAATCATAATATCTGTTAATAGAGACAATTTAGTTCTTTTCCAGTCTGCAAATATTACATTCATTTGTCTTGTTTTGTTGGACTGATAGAAATAATGAGATTGAGTAGGAGAGGTAAAAGCAGACATCTTTGCAATATTCCCAATCTTACGAAGAATGCATTCAATCTTTCACCATTGAGTATAATGTTAGCTATAGGACTTCTATAGATGCCTTTTATTATCTTGAGAATGTTCTCTTCCATTTCTAGTTTTCTGAGATGCTTTTTTAAATTCATGAATGGATGTTGAATTTGTTAAAAGTTTTTTTTCATCTATTGAGATTAGTCATATAATTTTTCTTCATTTTTATCAACACAGTAAATTGCATTGTTAAACTTTCAAATGTCAAATCAACTTTACATCCTGAGAATAACCCCTACTTTTTCATGATGTATATCTGTTTAATATACTGCTGGTTTCAGTTGGCTAATATTTTATTGAGAATTTTTGTGTCCTCTCTTTATGATCGATATAGTTTGTAGTTTAACTGCAATGTCTTTAGCTGGCTTTTCTACAAAGATAACAGAAAATTGCATTGGGAAGTGTTTTCTACTCTCCTATTTTCTGGAAGCGTATGTGTAGAAGAATAATTTCTTCTTTAAATGTTTGGTAGAACTTTTCAGCAAAGTAATCTGGACCAGCAGTTTTCTTGAATAGAAATAGGACTACACAGATTCTCTATTTCTTATTTAGTGATTTTTGGTAGTGTCTTTCAAATAATTTGTTCATTTCATGTAAGATGTTGTACTGTCATAAAATAGTTCATATATTTCCTTTATTATCTTTTTAATATTAGTATGATCTTTAGTGAGGACCCATCTTTCATTTCTGATATTGGTCATTTAAGCATGCTTTTTTTTTTTTTAATCAATCTGTCTAGAGAAGTGGTTCTAAACTGGGGGCAATACTGCCTTCCAAAGAACATTTGACAATGTCTGGAAACATGTTTCATCATCCCACAAGTTTGGTGGGATGCTACAGGCATGTAGTGGGTAGAGGTCAGAGATGCTGTCAAATATCCTGTATAGGGCAGCCCTTGAAAAAGAAAATATTACCTAGCTTGAAATTTCAGTTGTGTCAAGGTTTAAAAATTCTAGTGTAAAGATTTATCAATTTTATTAATTTTCTCAAAGCACTAGCTTTTGATTTCAGTGACTTTATTGCTTTTCTTTTTCATTCTTCAATTTTATTAATTTCTGTAACAAATTACTTCTGATTTGGGGGGAGTTAATTTGCCCTTATTTTTCTACTTCTTAATAAGGAAGCTTAAATCATTGATTTGAGACTTTTCTTTATTTAATACAAGCATTAACATTTAAAGCTGTTAATTTCTCTTGAAGCAACATTGTCAATGTCTCTCTCAAATTCCAGTATGCTCAAATCAAATAAATATACATATTCATTCTCATTCAATTTAAAATACTTTCCAATTTTCCTCGCGGCTTCAACTTTGACCAAAGACTCAATTAGAAGTATGTTGTTTAATTTCCAAATATCTGGGAATTATCCAGGTAGATTTCTCATTGATTTTTAATTTAATTGTAATATGGATAGAGAACATGTTTTGTACGGTTTTAATTCTTTTGAATTTGTTGAGGTTTCTTCACAGTTCAGGGTATGGCCTATCCTGTTGAATATTCTGTTTTTACTTGAAAAGAATGTGCATTCTCTGTTGTTGGATTAAATGTTCTATAAATGCCAATTTGGTAAAATTGGTTGTTCAGATCTTCCTTGTCATTACTGATATTTTGTCTATTTGCTCAATCAACTATTGAAAGAAGAGTGTTGAAATCTTAAATAATAATTATGCTTTTCTTTATTTCTCCTTCAGTCTATCAGTTTTTGCTTCATGTATTTTAAAGCTCTTTGGTAACCATATATACATTTAAGATTTTATGCATTTTTGGTAAATTAATCATTTTATCATTATGAACTGTCCCTTTCTTCTGTGGAGATATTCCTTTTTCTGAAATCTACTTTATTTAATATCAACACAGTCTCTCTTGAATTGTTTTGATTCATTTTTATTGTATATCTTTCTTAATCATTTTACTTTTAGCCTAGCTATGTCTTTATATTTGAAATTAATTCGTTGAAGTAAGTCCTGCCTGCTGCCTTCCTCAACTTTGGCAAACTTGTCTTTTAATTTGAGTGCTTAGGATCATGTAATACAATCATTGACATAGTTAGATTTAAATCTACCATCTTGCTAGATTTTGTTTTCTATGTTTTCATCTGTCCTTTGTCCTCTTTCTCTGCTTTTTCTGCCTACTATTGGATTGGGTACCTTTTAAATGATTTGTTTATCTTCACTATTGACTTATTTATCCATCTATTTCTAATTGCTTTGTGCTTTCCCTAGCTACCACCTTGCTAGATTTTGTTTTCTATTTTTTCATTTGTTCTTTGTCCTCTTTCTCCCCTTTGTCTGCCTACTATTGGATTGGGTACTTTTTAAATGATTCCTTTATCTTCACTACTGACTTATTTATACATCTATTTCTAATTGCTTTGTGGTTTCCCTAGGCAATATACATCTTTAACTTATCACAACCTACCTTCAAATAATATCACAGCACTTCAAGTAGACTGTGCAAACCTTATAGCAGTGTGTTTGCAAACCTTTCTCCCATCTTTGTGTTATTGTTGTCATACATTTTAATTTTATGTTATAAATACCACAATATTTTACAATTTTTCTTTAATCTCTTATCTTTTTCAGTAAATAAAAATAAGAAAACTTTTAAATATTTACCTTAACTTTTTACAATATCTGGAACTCTTCATTTCTTTTTGTAGGTACATGTTTCTGATTCACATCTGCCTGAAAGACATTCTTTAATATTTCTTCTAGCATGAATCTGATGGAAATCACTTCTCTAAACTTTAGATTGTCTTAAAAATGCTTTAGTTCATGTTTGCATCTGAAATAAATTATCACTGTCATAGAATTAAGAATTGACAGAGGGTTTGTTTTTTCTTTCAAAACTTTAAAGATGTTATTCAATTTTCTTCTAGCTTGCATAGTTTTGGATGAGATGTATACAGTCATTTTTATCTTTGTTATTCCATATGTAATGTGTTTAACCCCCTCTGGTTGCCTTCAAGATTTTCATTTTATCTTTGGTTTTCAGCAGTTTGAATATGATGTGTCTAGTTTATATGTGTGTTTGTGTGTGTTTGTGTATGCGTATTTTAATTCTTGTTTGTGATTCTTGGTATCTCTTGAACACATGGCTTAATGTCTTTATTTTGGGAAAAAAACTACACTATTATTTCTTTAAATATTTCTTCTGTTTTGTCTTCACTCTTACTCATCTTGGATTGTAATTACACATATTTTAGACCAGTCTATGGTATTGTTTGGAAAAGACTGAGGTAAATAGTATATGTGCCTATAAATGGGCACAGATCTTTTCAGGCACTTAGTAAGAGGGATTGTATCAATCTAGTCAGAATTTAGTTATTTAGTTGAGTTTAGATTTCCTTGTTGGTATGAATATCTTCAGTGCTCTATAAAGCATCTAATTGTTCTAAGAATGCCCTGAGTTTAGGCTGGGAAGTGAGATTGCTATGAGGTTTTTCTCAGTATTTGTGATTCATCCTCATCTTACAATCACTCCTTTATACCTTTGCCACAGGGGTGAGAGGGAGAGGCCTCTCCCCAGCCTCTTGCCCTTCCTTCAGGGGTAGGCTGAAATAGGCTGTCACTGCTTGCTAGGCTAGCAGAGAGAGGGCCCTGTTGTCCTGGTTGAGCATCAATCCTAAGGAAGCCCTGTGAGCCTGAGCCTTCAGGTGGAGTTTTATCATATTCCTTTCCCTCTTCCCCACAGCAGTCAAACTCTGCCTGTGTCTGTGGTGGTGCTTTGTGAGAGCATATGTTTTCTGTCCCTTCCATAGAAGCAGGAGACCTCTAATGGTATTAGTATTGGTTCAGCCCTCTTTCCTGCCCAGGAGTAAGGGAGTTTTTTTGTCTCTTTCTCCAGCAACCCTGATTCTTTGCCCTGAGTGTGACAGACCTTTCCTCATGTTCAACCCCTAATTGTTTTTCATGAACACTCAGTGGAAATGGTATATAGTCTGTGAGGGTGCTGCAAATGCCCCTTGGGTCTGAGGCTCCCAGAAAGTCTATACTGTCACACTAGCTGAATCTCAACCTTTGACAATTCATACAATTTTAGCTAATTCTTTCTTCCCTCTTATGGGGTGGCCCTTTCCTCCTACCATAACTCCCACAGTGGAGGTAGTACATGTGTTCCATCTCTCCTTGCAGGAGGTTGGGGGGTGGGGGATCTGCCCTCCCGGGATTTGAGGTGACTTGATTTATCTAGGACCTCAGCCCACTGACAGATTTAAAAAAGTCATATTTGTAGTTTATATGTATTTTCCTCATTATTAGTGAGGGAGCAACATTCTTTCTATTACATTCTATGCAAAAACTTATTTTTATTTTTATTACATAGTCTATTATATGTCTCATGAACTGAATGTTTGTGTCCCCCTAAAATTCACATATTGAAACTCAGTATGTTGGTATTTGGAGATGAGGCCCTTGGGAAGTAATTAGGTCATGAGGGTGGAGCTCTCAGATGGGATTAGTTATTTTATAAGAAGAAACTGGAGAGAATGCTCTGTTTCTCTCATTTCTCTCCATCATGTGAGGATACAATGAGAAGACAGTAGTCTGGACGCTAGTACTCCAGCCCTTAATAGACACCAGATTTGCTGGCACCTTGACCTTTGGAGGTCCTTTCAGCCTCCAAAATGGCGAGAAATAAATGTGGTGTTTAAGCCACCCAATCTATTATATTTATGTTTTAACAGTCCAAGCTCAAACAATAAGTAAACATATTTCTTAAAAATATGGTATAATAGATTATGCTAAAAATATCAGCTTTTAAAGTTAACGTCTCTTCCACAGAGATTAAAAGCAAGACTCTTAGAGATTCGAATTCAAATTGTGCTTTCCCTAGGTGATAAAGCTTAATGGTCATGGAGTTCTGGCTAGATTTCCTAGTTCTTCTCAAGTATAACCCTACTGAATCTGAGTTCTCCTTTTCTCTTGACCAATTGTTTGTATTATAATACAAAGGGACCTTTTACTTTAGAAAAAGTAAAGTAAAATTATATTTTTCACCCCCTTGTGGATGAAAAATATAATTCAGTTTACTAAAATTCAAGGTATAAACAAACAGTGAAAAACAATATTATAGGGTAAGGTAAGGGACTCCTGTTTGGTACACTAACAGAACTGACCATATTTACACTGCCTTCCTACCACCATAGGCATTCTCAGCACCACAGACACCCGCTCATAATATAATAAATAACAAAGGAAATAGAACAGCAAGAAACTGTCACTTGTCAATTAAATGTGTGGTTCCATTACTGACACAATAAAGCAGGTTTGTCACAGAGGAGCCTGGCTGATTTTTTTTATCACATAAAATGGGAACAATTAATTTGAAATATGTTCCCCTTTGGCTTACCAAGCTGCTGAAGCCTCATGGGAATTTATAAAACACATTCCTGATAGAAGCTGGTTCATCAGCATACGGTTGCTACAGTTACGGTATCACTGCAACAGCAACCCAAATAGTGATGCCTTGACAGCTTTTCATTTAGAAAGACCAGAGAAAGATTATTTCCAAGTGTCCAGTTGCCTTTAAATTTATTAATACTGGGTAGGGGAAAGAAGATTATTAAAATGGTCTGAACTTTTCTCAAGTCTCACTCTAGTGCCCACAATATCTCATATGAATTAGGATGAATTACTCTTTCCCATATGGATAGTTTTTAACTAAATTTTTTATTAAAAATTAGATGCAATTACAGTAGGTAATTATACAAGGGATGTTTTTCTTGACTTTTAATATATTTCTGATTTAAAATTATGAAGTCAATCTTTTGTTTTTTCAAAGAAACTGATTAACATACTTAATCTTGACTTAATAGAAATCACATCAATTTTTATTGTCTTTTTAAAAAAGAACTCCTTATTTTTCATGGCCCTCTAACTAACAGCAAAAAATTACCTTTTGAAGAACATTGATTAAAGTAAAGGAGCTCTGTTTGGTTTTGGGTTTTTGTATTTTCTTTTCATTTTTTAATTAGTTCCTACCTTTTGGCACCATTCTCAAATTAGTACTCATTTCTAGCCAAATTTCTCAAGTTTCAAAATGAGCATCTGACAAAGAAGGTGGATTTTGGCAAATGTGAACTTTCTAAATCAGGATGAATCACAACAATTCTCTCCTATATTTCGACAGTGTTTCAACCAAATCAGAGGCTTAACTATGAGACATAAAGCAAAGGAACATGTTGGCCCCCTAGACTGGCATTTGTTAGGATGGGACTTATTACTATAAAATCACTGCCAAATGAGAAAAAAAAAAGATCAGATACAGAAAGGAAGTGACATTACTGTGTTGTGCCAATGAGGAACAATGTTTTTGGATGCTGTATCTTTTATTTCAGATGAAGTATAAATATATTTGCAGAAGTAATTCTAGACAAATTACATAAGACACCAACTCTAATTCTTTCAGAGATATAGCTCTTGAGCAATTATACTCAACAAATATGAACAACGGCATATATTCCCTACTAAACAGTGTGGAAAATAACACAGAATGAGACAATGGCATGTTTCCTAACATTCAAGAAATTTTATTCGGGTTAAGAAAAAGAAGATTAGAAGATAAAACAAAATTTGAAAAGCATGAAAATTATGTAATTGAATACTAAATTGTGTAGCAAAATCTATGTGTGGAAGAAAAGAACATTAGTAAATGCTGAGAATAATGGGAGAAGGCTTCATTGGGAAGGTTGAACTTAACTTGAATCTTAAAAGGCAGACATTTGTTCATTCATTCATTCACTCATTTGGCATTCATTCACTAAGAACTACTCTCTACCAAGCACTCTGTTAATTTCAAAGGACATAAAGTTTATTTATGCCCTGACTTAATGGTACACACAGTTATTCTGGGAAACATAAATATATAAAACGTGATGTCAATACAATATTAGGGCAATTATACAGATAGGGGAGCATTGTTGAAGTACAGGGATCAGAGAAAGCTTTCTAAATCAGATAATGCCAGAACTAAATTTTTTGTTTTTGTTTTCTGTTTTTTTGTTTTGTTTTGTTTTGAGATAGAGTCTCACTCTGTCACCTAGGCTGGAGTGCAGTGGTGCGATCTCGGCTCACTGCAACCTCCGCCTTCCGGTTTCAAGCAATTCTCCTGCCTCAGCACCCCGAGTATCTGGGACTACAGGTGCCCACCACCACACCCAGCTAATTTTTGTATTTTTAGTAGAGATGGGGTTTCACCATGTTGGCCAGGCTGGTCTCTAACTCCTGACCTCGTGATCCACCAGCCTTAGCCTCCCAAAGTGCCAAGATTACAGGCGTGAGCCCCCACGCCTGGCCTGAACTAAGTTTTAAAGGATAATTTGCCAGCTGTATGTTTGCTGAAGCATGGAGCTATATCAGGCCAAAGGTGTAGAAATAACAGGTAGGACCTGGACAGATGGAGGAGATAATGCAGCAGCATTTCAAGTGAAGGCCACATTTCAAGTCATGGAGTGAGGAATGCACATGGCATTTCTGGGATAAACCAGCCTGACTGAGTGGAGGGTTTATATTGATAGAAGGGAGAAATTTGATTAAATATGTAAAGCTGAATCTGTATATTCTAATTAATAAAAGCCAGGAAGAGATGCTTGAGTTTTGGTAGCAGTTAGAGGTGCACTTCTAGAGGGTTAGACTTTTTAACAGGAATCCGATAATTTACTTAGGAATATTAATCTAGCAGGTGAATGTAAGAATGATTTAAATCCCTACATCTTAGTGTTAATGCGGTGAACTAAAAAGCTATGACTACAACCCATGTGTGATTGACTGAAAAGTGGTACTGGGGTAAGGACATGTTTTTTTGCAAGAAACAAAATCTCAATCCAGTTAACTTAAGTAAAGGGAGACAGTACAAGAATTCAAGCTGCAAACTCACAAGTATCTCAGGACAAGAAAGAAACTAGGTCAAGCCACCCAGAGGCTTGACCAGAAAGCCAGCAAGTGAGGCTCCTCCCTCAATATCTCAGGAAGTCACCTGACTCTTGGCCCAGCCCCTTCTCTGCTAGGTAGCAAAACATTCTTGCTTCTCTTAGTACCCTTTAGCTTGCCTATCACCTACACAGTATACACATAGACAAAAAGCAGTTATTCCCATCCAACATGACCTTTGTTCATCTGCCTGTCATTTGAGACTCCAACTCCAAATTCCTGGCTTAAATAAATTGCCCAGCCATGCTCCAGTTGGGGACAGGATGTGGTAAGGCACATGCTAGGGAGCGCTGCAAGTTCCTGATTTTGGGGATGGAGCAGTCGCACTAAGCGGGAACAGTGAGCGAGTGACTGAGATAATCCACAAGGAGAGCCTGAACTTTGACTACAGCAATGGGCATGGGAAAAAAAGGCATTTTTTGGAAGAAACAATAAAAGAAGTTGATGACTAGCTACACACAAAGGGTGAAAAAAGAAAATATTTTGAAGTTGATATAAAAGTTTAAATTTAATTAATCTAGAGAATGATGGTGCTTTGGTAAGGCTAAAAAATTTAGGAGAAATATCTGACTGGAGCAGAAAGGTAATATATCCCAATGGAAAGAACAATAAATTTGAGATAATTAAAGGCATTCACATGAAATTAAGTAGACAACTAAAAATATGGAACTGAATCTAAGGTTAAAAATAGAATTGGATGTTATGCATTAAAATCAGCTATATGATGATGAGAGTTAAAGCTATTTAAAAAGTACAGTGGGAAAAGGTATTTTTTTCTGAAGAAGAATATGGAAAGGGAAGAGCTAGGAGTCAAGAACTGAGACTTTGGGAATAACTACAAGGAGGACAATTTGGGACCCATAAGTAAATGTCCTGTCCAGCAAAGAAAATAGAGAATGGGAGGCCAGAGAAGTATGGGGAAAATACAAATAGAATCATGCCATAAAAGAAAAAAAAGCACCAACTTCTCTCGAACCCTTTTTTAAATGCTATGTTTTATGCCAAATTCAAACTCAGAATGGGAGCCGCTGACCAGCTACAATTTTTTTTTCCATTTCTGGTTTTTACTTTTTCTGAAACTAAGAATTTTGTTTTTTCAGTTTTAAATATCACTTATTTTTAAATTCAATATTTCCTAAAAGAGTTATCAGGACTTTTTTTCTGATTGGAAATTAGTAAGCTAGTCTATGTAGATAGCTAGGAAAAAATAAATGGTTTTCATTTAAGCCATTTTTTTCCTTCAGTAATCTTCTTACCTGAACTAAGACTAAACTTATGAACTTTTAAGTTCAAAAGAGACCCATTTCAAAATATTAGGAGTTGGTGAAAGAGGCATGAACAATGGAAGTCAATTTTCAATGGTAAATGCTATAAGAAGAAATTGGCTACAGCTTCCTCCAAGCTGGAAAAAGGAAAGAGAAACTACAGGAAAAAGTTTGCTGCTCTTAAATTAAAAAAGAAAAAAATCAATGAAATCTTTCTGAAGTAAAATTAAAATAGACCAAATGAAAGACTATGTGCTTTATAGTTAAATCTGGCTTTGGTATAATAAGGAGGTATTGGGAACATGAACCCAGCCTCCTGCTAGGCTCCTTTCTTTCAAACACTGATATTGCCTTTAAACTAAAAACGTAGCAAATACCGTGACTGTATTAAATCTAAATACTCTACCTCTCTATATAAAGCTCATAGTTGTACTAATTGTTCTAGCAGTCACTTCATACTATTCATTCATATTGAACTAAAACCCCCTAAGAATTTTTCACATCAACCTCAACAAAGACTGTTTGTCTCGATTCTGTATTTAATCAAGTGACTTTTGAATCTGAATTTGAAAATTTGCATTTTCTTTATGAGTTTTATCTCTTTCATTTTGGCACACACCTTTCAAATGTTTTTTGAATTCTTATGTTGTCAAAGACATACCAGTTATGTTCATAGCTTTCTGGTTCCCAGAAATGTAATTACCAAGCCATATTTTTTCCCTCGTTCATTTTAAAATTGAGTTTCTGCTGAATGTTAAACTCTTTTCTAGATGTCAGGGGTACAGAAAGAAATCAAATAGCCTCTGCCCTTAAGAGCCCCACAATCTTGTTGGGGAAAAGGGAGAAAATATATATTTTGCAAACATTGTGACAAATGCAATAACAGAGATAGGCTCAGTTGATTATAGAATTAAAAGGGTGATGGCTTGTGAGAGTGTGAAAACAGGGAAGTTGGAGGATGGTGTAGGGGGCAGAAGAGGCCTTACTACATGAGAGTAGGCTTCCTGGGAAAGGCAGTGCTTTCTATTGTTTTCCTGTTAATCAAGGGTATTGATCTGATTACAGGGTCCTGCAGACAAATGCTGAGGAACTCTAAATCAGTGATTCTCGAAATGTGGTCTCCAGACATCAGCATTAGCACCATCTGGAGATGTGTAGAAATGCACATTCTTGGGCCTCATCCCAGACATGCTGAATCTGAAACTCTGGAGTAGGATGCAGAAATCTGTGTTTCAACATGCCCCCCGCAGGTGACTCGGCCACCCACTCAAGTCTGAGCACTGCTGCTGTAAATGCCAATCCTTTAATTAGTATCTCATAGGTGGCCAGTCACTCTTACGGTAGCAATGGAGAAGTGGAGACACCTGAAGATGAAGTCAAAGGCTCTGCTTGGGAATACCAGCTCAGCCACTCACTAGTCTGGTTGGAGCAACTTACTTAACCTTACCATTCGGACTACTGATTGATCACATCTTCCTCAGATTACTATAAAAATAAAATGAAAATATGTGTTTGTAAGTACCTAGCCCATTACCTAGAGTAGGCATCTTTTGTTTCTTTCACAACAGACTAATGAGTTTACCTATGTTGATACTATGAAAAAGCCATAGAAGAGTCTGAAGAATATAGAACTATGTAAATGTTTTCCTCTGGATAAGTTGACATGAGAGTTATCTTCAACTTTTGGAAAGCAGTACTTTAATCCATCTTAAGATGGATTTTCACTCATCAATCTAAAGGGAAATAATTGATAAAAGGAAGATTCAATTCAGTACAGCAGGAAATAGTCTAACAATGGAAAGGACCAGGGCAGAGGGGTGGAGAGTCACTGCAGTTTTCCAGATAAGAAGACATTTTTACTTTGGTGGGAGAAACCACCATACACCTTCCCAAGCAAGCATCAGAATCTAATTCTGTATGATTATTACCTTTAGCAGGTTATTCTTCATGGTTTCTGAAGATTCCCAAATATTTCACAGCAAGAGGCAATGGCTCTCCAACTGAAGATGCTTCTGCACTCTGCAAATAAGAGAATTTTTACAAATGAGCCATCACATCCATATTGTCTATATGTCACAAATATAAATACTTTCTGTATATCCTGAAAATCTTCATGACCCACTTTATTTGTGGCATCCTACTAGCTAATGCTCCAAGTTTACACAATTATACTTTGTGTCCCATTCTCTTCTGGGTTTATAAAAGAGGAAATAAATGTGTAACTACGCTAACCTTATTAAAATTTATTTACTTACCTATTTTATGTCTTAGATATTGAAACATGCATCATTTTAAAACAATATATTTTCTGTTAATATTCTTTTGCATGATGTAGTCTTTACTCTTTGCTAAAATGAGGTAAATGCATTTTTTTTTAAATCTGAGAAAGGCCTGGGATCTATAAAAAGGGGACATTTCCAATGAGATTAAATTTTAATGTTCATAGCACTACATCCAAGCAATTAAAAAAGAGTGAGTTAAATATAGCTTTCCCCTGACAGAGATGCTGCCCTTAGTAGGACACATTGCTATATTCTGTAACCAAATACACTGCCCCAGTTTACTTTAATTCTATCTAAATCTGTATACCCTCCAGAGTGGTATCCTTGAGAAGTTAAGCACCACGGTTATTTAAATCAATGATAGTGTGAATAGCAATAATGGGGCTTGCCAAGTGCAAGTGATTGGCAGATCTGCATACCAGATTCAAGCAGACTATACACACTGACCATATAGGCCACACCCAGGAAAACATTGTGATAGCAAATATTGTAAGGGCCACTGATCAGAGGCCATCTCTTCTAACAATTACTTACTGTGCTAGCACAAGGCATGCTCCCAAAGTTAAACAATGGTACTAAAATTATGATGGAGCTATTTGCCATGTTAGGTGAGTTTCTTAAGAGCAAGAACCTTGATTTTCCCATTTCTATATCCCCTAGAACTTGGCAAACACTGAATGTTTAACGAGTTATTAACAAACAAATAAATGAGTTAATTTGTAAGAGTTGACATCTCCAGATTGCCATTTTCTCCCTTTGATGCATTGCTTTTCATGTGGACTCCCTCTGCTTTAAAATAACCGCCAGGGGTTGCTGTTTTATATTTTTTAACTTGCAATGTCTTTAGCGTACTTTTTAAAAAACTCTACCACACTTCTGCAAATTGTATTTTTCAAAGAAGTCCACGATAATATATACCATCCCACATAATATTCTTACAGGTGACATTGACTTTCCTGCCATTGAGCAGTGAGGTCTATGCCCTTCCTTTGAACCTGAATAGACTTCCCTTAACCATTGGAGTATGGTGGAAGCAACACTGAGTCACTAGATTATAAAAATACCTTGCTCTATTAGTAGGCTCACTCTTGACACCCAGCCACCATGCTATGAGAAAGCCAAGCAGCCATATGGAAAAGCCCTTCGTAGGCATTCTAGCCAAAAGCCTCAGATGAGGCCCCAGCCAGTAGTCAGCATTAACAGGCAGATATGTGAGCAAGGAGTCCTCTGATGATTCCAGCCCTCAGCCTTGAAGCCTTCTTGGTCTTCAAGCCACTCCAGCTGATGAAGCAAGGAACAGAGACAAACTGTCCCTACTAAGCCCAGCCCAAATTGCAGATTCATAAAAATGATAAATGACTGTTCTTGTTTCACGTCACTGCAATGGAGATGATTTGTTGCAAAGCAATAGATAACTGGAACACATACATACCAATAAGTGGCTAATAACTGTACAGTTCAGTCATCACTAAATGAGCACACCTGTGTAATCATCATCTAGTTCCAGAAATAAAGCGCAGCTAGTATCCCAGAAGCCTGTCCAGATCGCTTCCTGTTGTAACCCCCCAAAAGGTAACCAATATCCTGATTTCTAATACCAGAGATTAGTTTGGAATATTTTGAATTCTACATTAATGGACTCACACAATAGGTACTCTTTTGTGACCAATTTCTTTATCTCAATATTATGTTTGTGTACTTAACCCATATTGTTGCAAAATCTGTAGTTTATTCAATTTAATTGCTATGAACTATTGTATAAACATACAATACTTTCTCTGTTCTACTGTTGATGAATATTTGGGATTCTAACAAATGATACTACTGTTAGTATTCTTGTGCATGTCTTTTGGTGTACATATTCATTGTTTATTTGGGGGTGTTATGCCTAGGAGTGGAAATTCTGATTCATAAAATACACAAATGTTTGTTTTTTACTGATAATACCAAACTATTTTCCAAAGTAACCGCACCAATTTACACTCCCATCAACAATGTATAATATTCTTCCCCAGCACTTTGTAATTTGAGTCATTCTGCTGGACAATATTAATGTGCATTTTCTTGATGTCTAATGAAGTTGAGCCCTTTTTATGTTTGTTAGCTATGTGTGTATTTTCTTTTGTAAACTGCTTGTTCAAGTCTTTTGCCAATTTTTATATTGGGTGATCTTCTCATTTTCTTATATGTTTAAGAATTCATTATATATTCTAAAAGAGACTTGTCAACTGCCAACTCCCCTCAGAGACTATTAAATTAACCTAATGATGAAGCAAAACCAAATATCTTAACCTACTATTGTGATGAAAAGCATCAGTTTGACACTCTTCAGTCTCAGAAAAGGGAAGACAAGAGCGGATATCCGTGGAATTTTTTAAAATCTAAAATCAAATGATTTATGAATCTTTCAATACAGACATCTGATTGGGACTGGGAAAAATTCATAATAAATTAGTATAGGATTGAGGGACAACAAGGCAACGGTCATAAAGTGAGTCTTCATAAACAAACAGTTGTTTTATGAGATTTTCCACTAAGTAAGCAAACTACCGTCCTGAGAAGGGGGCCGTTTTTCTAGATGAGCAATCTACTCTTTGGAAAAATTAGTTTTCATGAATTTCCTGAAGCAAGTAGTGAAGTTATGTATTGTTTTCAGTCTTATCTTTCTTGGCAAACTTTTCAGAACAAATTGTAAGTGGTCTGTTTCCAGTCTTGAGAACTAAGCCCTGTAGATGCAGGTGGTCCCAGTTGTCAGATCCTACAGACATTTTGCAAATATTGTCACTCCTTTGTTGCTTGTCTTTAGAGTGACCATCCTGATTTGTCTAGGACTCTTCCAGTTTTAGCACTAAAAATTTATGTTGCAAGAAAGCCCTTAGTCCTGGGCAAACTGGGATGGTTGGCCATCCCACTTGCTTTGTTTCTCTTAAATGTATCTTTTGACAGACAGAAGTTCTTAAATTTAATGTAGTACAGCTTAACAGATTTTCTTAGGATTAGTGCTTTTTGGAGTCCTGTTAAGAAATCTCCTACACAAGTCTTTACATATAGCCTAGATTTAATAAACATATAATGTAAACTTTTATAAGAGTTTGATAGTTCAAATGGATTTCCTATGCTTAAAATTCCTTGTATATATTAATTTTGAAAATGATTCTTCAGTGCCAAAAGCTAAGCTACTTAAAGAATCCATTAAGTCTTTTTTATATTGTTATTTGATATAATGAAAGGATGAGCAAATTTTGATAAATGATGGTAGAAATTTCATGAAAAGATTGTGCTATTAATGATCAAGCTTCATGACTCATAGTCTTTTTTTTGTCTTTTTTTTTCCCCAAATACTGCTGAAACTAGAGCCTAACATCACAAATATCACAAGCTGCTGGTACCATTAAATTTTTTGACAAAATACTTGCTGATCACTTTCTGATTTATTTTTCTTTCTTTTTTTTCTTTTCTTTTCTTTTTTTTTTTTTTTTTGTTGTTGTTGTTGAGACAGGGCCTCACTCTGTTGCCCAGATTGAAGTGCAGTGGCATGAAAATAGCTCACTACAGTCTCAACCTGGGATCAAGTGATTCTCCCATCTCAGGGTAGCTGGAATCACAAATCACAGGTGTTCACCACCATGCCCAGCTAATTTTTTTTTTTTTTTTTGGTAGAGACGGAGTCTTGCCATGTTGCCCTGACTAGTCTCAAATTCCTGGGCTCAAGTAATCCTCCTGCCTTGGCTTTCCCAAAGTGCTGAGATTATAGGCATGAGCCACCATACTGGTCTTCTTTTTCAAAGTTAATGTCCTCAACAAGATGGGTCCATCTCATCTCCATCTATTCCAGTCTTGATACCCTACAAAATGTTCATCATCTGACTAAAACAATTACAACAGGACTCACTCTTGATCTTTTTCATACCAGCTCAGTAATTTCATTGCAGTCATTATCAGTTGAACCTTTCTTTGGGCATTTATGTCATTACTATGTGTAAGGCACTGTACTAAACACCATTAGAGAGACAAAGATATATAAACAGCAGTCTGCCAGGCAATTCTCCTCCTTAGCACTTTGTAGTCTAAGTTTCAGAAGTCTACGCATTTTATGAGTTTTCTCAAACCACTTATCACCTTTGCTGCCTCCACCTTCATTATAATACCAAGCCTTATATCTCCTTATTAATGTTCTTTGATGTGAGTTCAATTACTCCAAAAGTAAAGTGTCATAGTCCTACACTAGATGGAAACTGAGACGTTGTTGATTCAATTACTTAATTTATTAATCTTTCCATAGATAACCATATACCTTTTTATCTTGTCTCATATTTCTAACTTCCTGGATTTTTCATTTTATACTTAAGATACTTAAATATTTAAAACCTGCTTCATATTTCCAGAGTTGGCCACAATGGAGTAAGCACACCCTTACTTGTTTTTCGACTGATTATACCTAAAAATTCTGGTCAAAATTTAAAAAATCAAAATCTGAGAACTCTGAAAAGATGAATTGGAGAGGTGTGCCAAAACCTGAAGAATGAACCATAACAGGCATGATTTTCCTGGTTTTTTCATTTTTTACCTCCTGACTCTAACCCAATAGAACCTGAGCCACAGAACTGCACTAAAGCAATGGAAAAATAGTTCAGATACCTTAAACCAGTCTTTCTAGCCAGAAGAACTGACAGAGATGGGTCCTGTGATCCAATTAATGTAGGGGAATCCTCATTGTTTTCTTCTCCTTCTTTTCTCACAACTTTTCCCCAAAGGCAGCCCCACTCAAGCAGAACTATGTAGCAATATGAGCATATAAAATGCTAAGATAGATTTTTTTTTTCTATCCAAGTGACGGAAAGAGGAAAAATTATATGCCTGTATTTACCCTTTTAAACTAGAGACACATATCCCTCATGAAATTTTGAAAAAGACTGTGTTATTTCTTCCAAAATTTTCTGTCATCTGTTTCTCTGTTACTTTCTGAAACTCTTTTTAACTAGATATTGAGCTTCCTGGCTTGGTCTTCTAGTCTATAATATTTTCTCATTTATTTCCCAATGGTATAGGTTTTTTATATTGTTTTTGTTTTGTTTTGTTACTTGCTAGAAAATTTCCTTGATTTTTGTTTTCAACCTTTAAATTTATTTGGGTTTTTTTTCTTCCATTCATCATTTTTTGCTTTCCCAAGGGTTATTTCGTATGTTTTCTAATTGTTTAGATATTGTTTTTGTTTAGTGTCCTATTTTTGCATTATCAATGCAACCTTCTCAAATAACCCTAGAATACTAATTAGTGTTCTATTATGAAATATTTTCTTTTTTTTATTATTATTATTATACTTTAAGTTTTAGGGTACATGTGCACAATGTGCAGGTTAGTTACATATGTATACATGTGCCATGCTGGTGTGCTGCACCCATTAACTCGTCATTTAGCATTAGGTATATCTCCTAATGCTATCCCTCCCCTCTCCCCCCCACCCCACAACAGTCCCCAGAGTGTGACGTTCCCCTTCCTGTATTTTCTTTTAATTTTTAGAAATTTCCTATTAGTTGTGTTTTCTATTTCCTCTGTGGTTATTTTTTTTCTCTCTTTCTGTATTTGCCTCACTCTTTCACATTTTATACTTGATTTGACTAGTCTAGGGATAACCATTTGTGTTCTTTGGAAGCCAGATTGGCAGATTTTGCTTTATGGCATGAGAGCAGGCAACTGGCCACCATGCTGGAGAGTCTCTGAACCACCAACATGCAAGTCAAAGCTCTTAAAGCTGCCTTGCCTCTGCAGAGTGCAGATGATTATATTTCTTCAGAAAAGTGACTTTGCTATTTTTTGACTTCAATTGTAGGCAAACCTGATGATGAATATTATGTGTGAAGAAAGTTAGAAAAAAGGATAGGGCCATTAACTTTTTTTTCATATAGATTTCAACTAATGACCTTCTCTATTAGTTACCTGTTGCTGCCATACTAAATCACCAGATATACTCAGTAACTTAAAATAACACAGACATATGATCTCACAGTTTCTGTAGGTCAGAAGTCCATGGGACCTCAGCTGGGTCCTCTGCTGATGGACTCATAAGGCTGCAATCCAGGTGTTGGCAGGGCTGCATTCCTTACTGGACACTTTGGGGAGAATCCACTTCCAACCTACTTCATGGAGTCTGTTGGCCGAGTTCAGTTTCTTGTGGTTGCAGGAATGAGACCCCCATTTCCTTGCTGGCTGTCAGTTGAGGCAGGTTTTTACTCTTCTATGATACCTGCATTTCTTCCCATGCTTTCCATGTGGTCCTCTGCAGCCACAGCAGGTTGAGTCTCTCTCATGCTTCAAATCTCTCTGACTTTTCCTTCTGTCTTATCCCTCTGACTCCATCCAGAGAAAGTTCTTTGCTTTTAAGGTCTCCTGTGATTAGACTGGGTCCACCCAGATAATCCAGAATAACTTTCCTGTCTTAAGGTCTGTAAATTTAATTATATCGGTGAAGTCACTTTAGCCATGTAATGTAACATATTCACAGGTCCTAGGAGTTAGGGTATGGATAATTTTGAAGAAGCCACTCTGACTACCACACCGACCTTTTAGTCCTATCTCTTGTTTCTACATTCTATTATTATTGAAATGTCATAGTCCTAGCCAACTACAGAATTTTGCAAGGTAGATAGATCAGCTGGCCTCAATTTCAACCCACTCCATACATGTTCTAGGTAATAATTACAAAGGAACTGGAATTAGACTACTTATCAGTAACATGAGATGTTAAAAGTTATGGAAGAATGCCTCCAGAATTTTGAAGGAAAATTATTTTCAATCTAGAATTCTATACCTAAAAAACTATCAACCAAATGTGACTGCAGAATAAAAAATATTTCTAAACAACCAAGAACTGAAAACTATGTCTCATGTATCCTCTTTTATAATATTACTTGAAAATGTGCTCCAGCCAAATAAAGAGATAAATCAAACAAGAAAAAAGACATAAGATCCAGGAAATATCAGCCAATGCAGCAGATTAATTTTAAAAATCCCAAAAAATTGGCGGTTCAATGAGCCTAAGAGAGCAATCAATTCATACTGGAGTTAGAATATGAAAGGTTCCAAGAAAGATATCTGGGAAATAGAGATTTCATAGATATACTATCCTTGAGAAATTTTAAGAATTGAAGAATGCAATAATGATAGAAAATAAAATAAAAATATGTAAGGCAAGTAGTAGCCCCAGGGAAAACAAAAAGTTGTGTCAGAAAGGAAACTTAATCAGAGTTTGATTCTTGGCAGTCAAGTGAACAATATTTAATAGTCATGGTACAAATATTGTTTACATTTTAAAAGTTTATAATTATTCTGTATAAAAGTATTAAAAGTTATAGTTAGGGAACTGAATACAAATAAAAATAACACTAATGTTGTAAAAGTAATTGCATAAGCTGGGAGATGAAGCTAGAGAAGGAGAGATAACAGGAAGGGAAAAGACACCAATAATCTCATTTTACAAACTGTGGA
The DNA here is from genome assembly GCF_000001405.40 of Homo sapiens. NCBI lineage: Eukaryota > Metazoa > Chordata > Mammalia > Primates > Hominidae > Homo > Homo sapiens. The sequence continues at coordinate 90,238,431 of NC_000008.11, read as the reverse complement.
GTCCAAAGGCACTACCCACAATTAATAGAACAGAAAATAGAGCTATTAATAGTTGTATATTACTTACAGTTGCAAATTTCATTAATAGAGAACTAAAAACTAAATACATAGAAAGGGACAAAGGTGAAGTGAAAGTGAATTATATTCTTCTCTAGCACAGATAAAAATCAATAGATAAGGTCCAATGTTAATAAATTATTTTTAAGGTATATATTGTTAAGAGCAGGGGTCAGCAAACAATGGCTCGCAGGCCAAATCCAACCCATGACCTGTTTTTGTATGCCTGGTGAACTAAGAATGCTTTCATTTATCTTTAAAGAGTGGTCAAAACAGAAGAATGTGTGACGGAGACTATATGTGGCCCATAAAGCCTAAGCTATTTGCTATGTAGCCATTTAGAGAAAAAAAAAGTCAAATCCTGATTTAGAGATGTGGGAGACACTCCTCCTGGGGTCTCGTGCTCAAACACACCTTGCTGGGTATGCTAGAAATGCAAGGCCCAGACCTGAACCACATGTCAGACTGCGTTTGCTGTCAGCAACCTTAAATAATGAAGTAATATCTCCCACAGGTCAGAGAGCAGGCTTGTTTACTGCTTATAATGAAACAGTGGACTCCCTAAGCTCAGTGATCCTGTCACACAATTCACTGCATGTGCGGCTGACATTTGTCTGGACCCTCCTTGTCATCCCGTGGGACTTGAGAGGACAAAGGGAACTAACACAAACAAGACAATGCACATGTTACTCGCTGTGCTGTCAGTAATGCATCATTTTTCACAGACCTAGGAGCATCACTCGAACAGTAACAGACTAAGTCATTCACTTGTCAGCAATGTACATTCAAATATCAGAGGCTGAGGTGGGAGGATCGCTTGAGCCCAGGAGTTTGAGACCAGCCTGGGCAACACAGTGAGACCTTGTCTCTACAAAAATTGTTTTAAACATAAAACAAAATATTAAATTCAAATCCCAGACCCTGATTGAGACAGCTATCAAAATAACTGAAAACAGTAACAAGTAAGTGTTCATCTTTGCAGTGGAGCAGAGAGTGGAGGCCAGTCAGGGACTCATTACTTTTCACACAAGACCTTCTTACTATTTGATTTTTAAAATATATATGCATATATTACTTTGATTATACATATATATAGTAAGATACTCCCACACATCACCACTGTAAATTGAATCTGGCCAGATTCAAAACTAGTTTTGACAAGTAGAAAGCAGCAGATGTGACAGGTGTAACTTTTAAACTTGGGCCTTAAGAGATCTTCAGCTTCTACCTGGAATTCTTAATATTCAAACCCAGCCATGGTGTTGTGAGAAGGCCAAGATATATGGAAAACCACATGGAGGAACAGAGAGGCATCTTGGTCAAGATCCCCAACTGAACTTCCAGCCAACTGCTAACCAAGTGCTCTCAACAGTCCTGCCCACTTGAGTACTCAGTTGTCTTCAGCCCCTAACAACTCTTCACGAATGAGAGGAACTGCACAGCTGATCCCAATCCATCCATAGACTTCTGCACAATAATGTCATTATTGTTCTTTAAGCTGCTAAATTTTGGAGTGGCTTATCATATAGCAAGAGATAGCCAAAATAGTATACATTAAATGTATTTAACCTACATGATAGATTAAAGAATCTGCATTAACATATCATCCTTGGATTGTTTATCCAAATACCTTCTTTCTAACCTTTTATATCTTTTGACCATTGACTGGTCATGCAGAAATTATTATTTCTTACTAGTAGTCATGAGTGAGGCATATGTCTTGTCTCTTTTCAACACAATTTATTGCTTTCCTAGAAATAGATCTGCCACATGTATACCACTATTAGAAAATTTGCTTTTGAGGGACAAAAATAACTACAGTTTACTCTGACATGCCTTATTCAGAATGTTTATTTTGCTATCATCTTACCAAGGACCTTTACATAAGCTATTTTTATCCTAATTGTTTTGATTCATTTTGATACATACATACACACAATTTTTAAAAACCTCTATTACCTACAAAGAGTACATGCTTAGTTACCAAAAAAATGCTAAGATGGATCTCCAGATGTATACCCTATGCCATCTAGTGACCTTTAAAGCTATGCCTTGCATCTTCTCATTCACATGCAATACACTGACTTTATGAGTTAGGACCCTGTATTTCAGTTGTAATCATGGCCCCCAAGTCTTTCACCTCAAACAGCCTTACCTCCACTAAGCCTGTTCTTTGCTTTCATTGCTTTTGCAGGCTTCTTTCTCCTTTATATTCCCCCATCCATTAACCTTTTCTGGTAGTATTTGCATGATTCCTCTCCTGTCTGTCCTCCACGATCAACCGTTTCAGCAATTCTACACAAGCATCACCAGGCCTCTTGATTCTCTGCAGTGTTAATACCTATGGCATCTGAGCATGAATAGAGAAAATCACTGGTGATTTGTTTGATTATGACTCATTCCAGCTTCAACTGAGACCTCACTGCTACTGAGCAATGATTTCTCATCTTGTGTCAGTTCCATTACATATTTCTCTCAATAGCTGCTTAAAACCTTTACCTTTCCTCTTGCATCCCTAGCTTACCTGAAACCCATCTGATTCTCAGTCCATGATCTCATCTCTTCTTATCCAGCCTCCATTATTTTCTTTTGCTAATATTTGGGAAAAGTGTGTCTTCTCTTTTCCAAAGTCAAGTTATTCAAATGTAAATCCCTAATTATTGCTTCTTTTTTAAGGACCTCTCCATTAATTTCTTTTATAGGACCTACCAACACATTGGATGGCCTTTCATAGACTTGTGGTCTTCATGTGGCTCTCATGGCCTTCCTCCTGGACTTCTGTAATAATATATTAAAATTCATTTTTCCATAGGCCTTATTAGGGTCCCATTAGTAACATTAAGTCAAGTTTCTCTAGCTTGAAAGCCTGCCACTCTGCTTCATTATTTCCCAGTGTTCACTGGATTTCTTTCTAGATTTCAGAAACTTATTCTGATCTCACATTTTCTAGTTTCTCACTCCACTTATGTAGGTTTATACCTTTTTATTTTACTATTGTTTTCATGGAGTCAATAGGAAAAAGAGATCAATGCATGTGCTGATCTGCCATCTTGAATTGGAATTCATTTTTTATTTTTTACAATATGCTTATCTCATTTGCATATGTAGTATAGTCATAAAAATATCTGAGGTCACCAATTTAAGGATATAATTCTTTTTGCATTATTGAAATTTTTCCTGTTTTTCCTGATGCATTTTTTTCATCCAGTCTCTCTTGTGTTGCAGGCTTTCCTCAAATATCTATGATCCTTTGTTGCTTGTTTATATATAAGAATAAGGCAACAGAAAGGCTGACTGGGTGCTGTATGTGAGTTGAGCTTGCTGGCTGGCAGACTTTGCTTTAAATTGAGTGAGAAGAAAGCCAGTCGTTATGCTGGGGATCTCTTCTTTAAATCTATAGCACCTATGGGACCCTACAGGTAGATTAGAGGCCTCTTTCACTGCAGTGGCCCTCAAGGATATTCTAGGCTATGGTTTCCTTCACTCAATTCAGTAGTCACCATCCCTTCCTCAGCTTTCTGACTTCCACAGATTTTATTAAATGTTATGTCCACTGATGATCCCTTCTACAGTTCATTATTTCTGTTGGAAATTATGTCACTTTTATGTCATTCTTTAATTGGTTGCCTTCTTTAATGTCATTCCTGTTTCTGTAATTAGGTCATGGGAGGAAGAGTTGATAAACTTGTCTTTAGTCTGACATTGAAAACTTGAATCCATTTTTAAGTTTCTGTGATTGATTTTTTGATACATGGATCTCACAACACCTCTGCTTCTTCTCTCTCCTGCCAATCATTAGCTCTAGAATTTCCCTGATTTCTGATTATTAGCATATTAAAGAGTAATGAAATAATTGATCTTAGTATTAACAGATTAATGTAGTTCAGTCTTATCTGACTGTGCACAGTGATTTATTCCTGGAGTGCTGAGAATATAGAAAGATTTCCTGTCCTTTAATATCTCTATTCACAAGGGGTCTTACCATCTTGGTTCCCAGCAACAGTAATCTGAGACTGTATTGACCTTTTCTAGCAATTTATTTACTTTTACCTCCCCTGAAGTACCTACAACCTTAGCCCTTTGTTCTCATGAGATCTTAGTAACCCCAATATCTTGAACAGTATTCTAACCCTTCTCACCTGCTTTTGTAAGTTTCAAGTGGTTATTTTCTACTCTAACATACCCATGTATATCTAGATAGAAAAGAGGATGGCAAAGTCGTATTAATTTCCTAATGATGACTGATGATACAGAACTAACTGGGACAAGCAATTCTGCTTCTTCTCTCTCTTACCTCCCAGGACTCTAATTAAAAGTCAAGGAAGTAACATTAAAAAAAGAAACACAGTTGAAGATATAAATCACTTAATTGTTTATAAATTTAGCACATATTATAATAGGCAATTTGTTCATGGTGGAGCTAATGCAGTCCCTACAAATTTGTAATGAAACACAATTCTTGGTCACACACAATTCAAACATGTAGAGAATATTCCCCTGAATTGACATATAATATAGTTTGGTTCTTTATTTAGGTTTGCAGATCAATGCAGATATAAATTACTCTGATAATAGGTTGCTGAAGTAGGAAAATTTTCTAGCACTCTGTTCATTTAGGTTTTACTATACTCTTATAACAAAGAAAAATCTTTCCATTTTTTTGCTGTTACATCATTTAAAAATGACCTTGTTAGGATATTCAGTCTCTTTGTTAGCTGCTCATCATGAAATCTTGTATATAAGTCTGAGAGTAGTGTGCGTATATATATATACACACACACACATATATATGTGTATATATATATATATACATATATGTGTGTGTGTGTATATACACATATATATGTGTATATATATATAACCTCAATGCAATTTTTGTCTTTTATACAAGATCACGAAATCTTGTATAAAAGTCTGAGAGTAGTGTGTGTGTGTGTGTGTGTGTGTGTGTTTATATATATATATAAATATATATATAAATATATATATAAATATATATACATAAATATATATACATAAATATATATACATAAATATATATATAAATATATATACATAAATATATATATAAATATATATACAAATATATATACATAAATATATATATAAATATATATATAAATATATATATATATATATAAAACCTCAATGCAATTTTTGTTTTTATAATTTGTTACAGGTAACATCAGTCTTTTTTGTTCCTTAGCCTTATTTCATCAACATAGAGAGGAATATTGGAATCCTTAAGAATTGCAGGAATGCATTTTGACCCCAAAGGCAGCTATCTTGGGTGTACAGCAGCCAAAAAATAAAAATAAAGAAACATGAACTAATTGTAGTGGGATGTTTATTTTCATATAGTTCAGTCCTGAGTCAGGAACTCCCTCAAGGAGCAATAAATTATTTTTATAACTGAACTTTCCATATATAGTGTTTTATCATCACTTACACCTGGACACAGATGCCACCAAAACACCCAAGCTGCTGTTAAGTCTTGAGAATTTCCTTTTATTTTTTAAACTTTTTAAACATTTATTTACTTATTTATTTATTTTGAGATGGAGTCTCGCTCTGTCACCCAGGCCGGGGTGCAGTGGCTTAATCTTGGCTCACTGAAACATCTGCCTCCCAGGTTCAAGCAATTCTCCTGCCTCAGCCTCCCAAGTAGCTGGGATTACAGGTGCCCACCACCACACTAGGCTGATTTTTATATTTTTAATAGAGATGGGGTTTCACCACGTTGGCCAGGCTGGTCTTGAACTCCTGACCTCAAGTGATCTGCCTGCCTCGGCCTCCCAAAGTGCTGGCATTATAGGTGTGAGCCACCATGCCAGGCCAAGAATCTCCTTTCAAACACATGTTGCCAGAATAACTGGTTACCCAAATGCAAAAGAATAAAGTTGGACACTTCTCTCATATTATATACAGAAATTAATTCAAAATGGATCGTTGGTATAAATTGAAGGCCTAAACTCTAGAACTCTTAGGAGAGAACATAGAATAAATTTTCATAACATTGGGATAGGCAATGGTTTCTTAGATAACAGTAAATGTACAAGTAACAATAGAAAAGATATATATCGGATTTCAACAAAATTAAAGATTTTCATGCTTCAAAGGACACCAAGTAAACATACAACCCACAGATGGGAAGAAAATTTTGCAATCATCTATCTGATAAGGGACTTGCATCATAAATAAAGAACTTTTAATTAACAATTAAAAAGTAATTAATAAATGAGAAAAGCACATGAATATACATTTTTCCAAAATATATACACAAGTGGCCAGAAAACAAATGAAAATATGTTCAACATCATTTGTCATTAGGGAAATGCAAATCAAAATCAGTTTACCAACACTAGGATAATTAAAATAAAAACAAAAGGTAATAACAAGTGTTGGTGTGGATGTGGAGAAATTGGAACCCTCATACATTGCTGGTGGGAATGCAAAATAGTGCAGACACTTTAGTAAACACTTTGGTAAACACTTCCTCAAAATGTTAAATATGCAGTTAGTATATGATCCAGTCCTAGGTTTATACCCAAGAGAAATGAAAGCATGTCCACTCAAAAATTTGTACACAAATGTTCGTAGCCACATTATTCATAATATCCAAAAATTGACAACAACCCAAATGTCCATCAAATAATAAATGTATCAACAAAATGTGGTGTATCCATACAATGAAATATTATTTGGAAGTAAAAAGTATGAAGTAACAGTGGAAACTACAACACGGATGGATCTTGGGAACATTATGCTGAGTAAAAGAAACCATATACAAGAGGTGATATGTTGTATGACTCTATTTTTCACTTTCTTTTCTTTTCTTCTTTTTCTTTTTTGAGACAATGTCTCACTCTGTCACTCAGGCTAGAGTGTGGTGGCGCAACCACAGCTTACTACAGCCTCAACCTCTGGGGCTCAAGTGACCCTTCCACCTCAGCTTCCCAAGTAGCTGTGACCACAGCTGCATGCCACCATGCTGACTAACGTTTTTGCTTTTTTGTAGAGATGGGGCTCTCCCTATGTTGCCCAGGCTGCCCTGAACTCCTGGGCTCAAGCAATCCTCCCGCTTCAGCCTCCCAAAGTGCTAGGATTAGAAGTGTGAGCCACTGCACCCAGCCACTTAACTTTTATTAACTGTTCAGAATAGGCAAATTCATAGATACAGGAAGAAACCTCTGGTTTCCAGAGGTGTAGGTAGTGGGCAGGGAATGGGGATGACTGTTAAGAGATATAGGGTGTCTCTTGAGGGTGATGAAACTACTCTAAAATTAGTTCTGATGGTTGCGTCATTCTGTGAATACACTAAAAAACAGTGAGTCATACACGTTTTGAAAGTTGAATTTTGTGGTATATGAATTAAATCTCATTAAAGTAGTTAGGTTTCTTAAAAAACTCAATTGTGGATTTTTTAAAAGAGTATTTCTGCAATTATGTATTCATTGCGCATCCTTTCTATAAATGCTTAACCATCTAGCCAAGCTGCTAGGTGTTAAAATTGATATTTCAACTAAACATTAACTTATAAAAGATGAGGGGCTCGTGGTGAATTGCGGAATCATTAAATGCAAATTTTCAGAGGAAATTCCCAAGAAATTCTTCCTTATCTCTTGAACCTTTTTATGCACTTTGAAATATTAAATGTGTGCAAAAGTGTAGGAGGGAGAATCCTGTGAGGAGGATTTGTTGAGATGTCACTGAAGAAAGCTCGACTTTGAGCCCTCTCCTTTAACTCATGAGAAAGGTGGCAGATGCCCCAAGTCTGGTGAGAGTGAGTCCATGGGGCTACTTGGAGTGCCTATGTGACTGCCTAACGTGGAGGGCAGGACAGACCGGGATCTGACACCTACCCAGGAAATTTAGACAGTGAGAGCCAAGTAATACCTAGATAGGAGTCAGGAGAAGAGAAATAGACTCCTATAATTTGTTGGGGGACAGTGGGGAATCAGTGCTTCCCTCAACAGAGAGGGGTGCCACATGGTAGAGCAGATTCCAGATCACTCTGGGCTCTTTCCAATAGCATAGCTTGCAGGTGCAGAAGAGGCACAGAAGCAACAAGCTGGGGATAAATGGCTGTGGAAGAAACTGCAAATCTACCCAGAATAGGATGCATCTACTTGGGTCAAGAGGATTGCTGGGAAGAAAGAATGAGACCCAGAAGGTACACTCTTTCAGCCTCTGAAAAATGTTTTTCACAACAGAAAGGGCCAGCCCCAGAGGGCAAGAAGCCATGTTACTTTGATCTAGTAAGACCTAGACCCTACCCATTTATTTCTTCCTCTCTTCTCCCTGCTACTTCTCCACTCCAAAGTGTTTAGAAACTAGTTAGCAAGAGGGAGCCATGAGGCAGGAAAAACAAATAAGAAATTAACTCCATCCCACCACTTTTCTACTAGAATTTTCCAGACCAAAGTAAACCCAACCTGTCAAAAGGAGTTTACCTGTTAAATAACATTTGGGGTTTTGATTACTATTTTCCAAAGATAAGCCTAATTCCTGAACTGAAAACATTTGCATTTTAAAATGACTGTAGAACTGTCTGTTATCTCAGTGTGGGCACAAATAACATGAGATTAGTTTAATAAATTTATTTGTCTTGCTCTAAAATTTAAAACTACTTTTGTATCTTAATGTTAAACATTCTCTTCTGCAATGTATGGCTTTAGAGTATCTATAAGATTTTTTTCCAAAACAGTCTTAGAGCTAAAAGACACAGTGGTGATAATACCGTCCACAGAGCAGGACCAGGTCCAAGATGTGGAATGGCTATTTCGAATGTGTAAAAGAGACCATTCTTCTTGACTGCCAGCTTAGGACTTTATAAAACCAAATATCAATTTTTTTATAGAATTTGCTGTGTGCAGAACCTAGCACAGAATATATATGCTTTAAATGGGCTTGTTTCATTAGGACAATTACATCTACAGGACCCATGGCCTATAGATGCTGACGGACTATATCATGGGTTGATGGACTCCACTTTATGAAACTCATGTATTTTAAGGTTTTCTCACATCAAATTATGTCTACAAGGCTTGTAATACATTTTCTTTTCTCTTTTTAACATAATAATTATGTGGTGCAGTATAACTGGGAAAGAAGATGACATCAGCTCAATCCTCAAAGGTTTTAGGATGATAACATTCAGATTTATGGGCATTTTTAGTTCTTTTTGATTGCAGAGTTCAAAAAGTTTGATACACCTTTTTGTGGTGATAGAACCATAAATTATCATTGACTTAATGACTGCCTACAGTTGCAAGGACAGTACCTTATGGTAGCAATAAACTATGTTTACCTCAGTTATTCAAATGCAGGATTATATCTGTGGAGTAAATTGGATGAGTTGTCCTGCCAGCTGCATGAGGTGGTGCTAAGTGTAATTTTACCCTGGGGGCAGGGGCTGATTCAGACTTCTGAAAAAACAGTGGAAAGGGGACAGTTGTTTCTTTAAATATACAGTTAAAGCTCAACTTTTGTGAAGGCCAGTCCTCAAAACAGTCTTTTGGTGTGGTATGAAGAGTATGATGTATAAAACTAATTTGATGTAAAAAACTCAAAAATATAGTAGCATGGAGGATTGGTTCAGTGTTTATATAACAGAGTAGTGTGGTCCAGCTATAGACAGAAAAGCATAAATAAATGGCCTCTATAAACCAAAATTTATTAAATAACCCAGGCAAATACATAAAAGCTCTTTGCCTGTAGAAACAAATCCTTCTAGCACAGCAGTAACATTTCCACACGCTGCTGAATCACCAGAAGGTTTTAACATCCATTTTCTGGGATTGCTTAAAAAGCGGAGCAGGTGCCAGCCAACAATTCTGCTATTGGGAGAACATACAGAGGCAAACTGAGTCATCTGTTAATAGTTGTGAAGAGTTTCTTGTGAGCACTGACAGTTTTCTAAGCCAGCAAGCAACCTCAATACTCACAAAGAGATTTTAGAGAATCCAGATTGAAATTCCCAGTCCCATGGCTCTTGAGTTTACCCAGATAGCTGAGCAATTTCAGGAGCTTCTGCCTTTCCACTCTTTCTAGCAGAAAGCATATTTGCTAGGTAACTGAAGAGCCAATAATGGCCTGAGTTGCCCATTTGGGGAATTCAGTAGAAGATGTGCACATTTTTCTCAGTTTCTTGACTCACATTATTTACATATGTACATGCAAGCTAAGGTGGGAAAGATGTGTGCAAAGGGTGTGATATAAATGGCTGAACCCACTGCTTCTTTATCTCTGGCTTGGTTATAAAAAAAAAATCATTATAAGACATTCCTTAAAGGGAGCATTTTTGAGTTCCAAACAGAATTTCCAAAACTGGAGAGTATGCTGTCTGTGGAGGATTCTAAAGAACAATGCATATAAAAATGCTTCTAAAGGGAAAGGGGAAAAAATGTTATCTTGGGCAATTTGGACTACATTTAAATCTTAAACTGACCCAGCAGACTCTCCTTAAGCCCCTCAAATGATAAGAATTGTTATTTAATTGCTCTGACAGTTAATTAACATCCAAACAAGTACAGCAATAAACTAAGACATACTGTTCATTGAGAATCTATAAACAGACAAATAATTATACTATTAGGCATCACTGTCTTTGAGACTTAATAATGATAGAACTTAGGTTATTACTCTATTTAAAACCGCCATAGCGAGGTGGCCATAAAATCCATCCTTTTCTTTTACAGGTTTAAGATGCCTGGATTGTGGACAACCAACGGCATTCAAAGCTGAAAGTGCACTAATTAATGGCACATAGGGGTTGGATTTTGTGACTATCACTGAACATTTCTTGTTATCTAAATGCACTTTAAAATGTCTTGACCTATTTTTCCAGTTGTAGTGCACATTCTTCAAAAGACAAATTTTATTTCTATAAGCAGAAGTGTTGTGAGCCATGGGATTCTAAGAAAGTTACTATTTTCACTGTTGCAGAACTTCAGGCAGATTGGTCATAGAATTGACACATAGGCTTTCTGTGGCCCCAATGCCTACTGCTAGGTAACAGCACATCAGCGTCTTGGACAGCAGCCAAAGCTGAAATAACAGCCGTGTCTAACCTTTTCTCCTATTCCCATTCGAACTGGAAGACTATTAATTTGAGTACCGGTTTTTAATGAAAACCCTTGAGTATCTGATAGCTATAAGAGTGAGTTTGCTATAAGCAGACCATATGAAAATAACTTATGCATTCTTCCAGTGTAATGATTAGTACATGTTGAGAATAAATAATTATCAATTCCCCTCAATATATATTCATCTTTGCCCTTTTCTGGACAGTTTTTTAATTTTTAATTTGAGTATGATGGAAATATAACTTAATTTTACTTATGTTTATTTGGGGGTGGCCACTGCCAGATGCAGAATGGTCTTTCTCCACTCACAAATAAGTGCATTGCCTTGTCATGATCTAAATAATTGAACTCATGCTCTCGTCTAAGATTCACATTCTTCTCCTTTCCAACCTTCATGGACATGGTGTACAGGTAGACTAGCTCCTGGCTGTAAAAGATTTCTATGCCCTGAAGAGACGGCAATAAGGGCAGTTTTAAAACAGCACATTCATTCAAAGTGTTAACCAACTACCATTTCAGTAATATATGTGGAACACCAGCAAGGTAGATAGCATCACCATTACCCCTTTGCAGCTGAGGAAACCAAGAAAGCATGACTATACAACTCACCCAAGGTCAGCCCATTCATCTGAGTCTGTTTCCCCAGGTAGCAGCACTGCACTTCCTGGAAGTAGCATTACACACAGTATCACACTCTGTTACTGGGCTCACTGGATTTTCCATGACCTATGCTAATGCCAAGCTGATACTCTGAAGAATATTTTCTTGTTTATAGGTGAGAAACTTATAGGAGTGGAGTAGGGAGGCAGAGACAGAAGTGTTGAGATAAGATTTATCTCTAAAATCTGAGCTTATATATTCCACATAAAGAAATGTCATTTCTAAGGCTACTTGTTTTGCTAATATTTAATTGGTTTGTGGAATGTGCCAAAGTGCCATACTCCCTTTTTTCCTCAAGTGAAGTAATTACCTTGGGTTCTCATTTTGAAAACGTAATGTTTCTTCCATAAGCTCATAAGCAAGTTCTCATTTTTCTCCTTCTACCTTGGAGCCATTAATGTTCCAAAAAGAAATGACTTTGTTCAAAATAGCCAGAAACAAGTGCTCCTAATATTTTTTCATTCAAATTAATTTTAAATTACAAAAGTTAAAGAGCTTGTAGCAGTCTGGGTCAGCTTTCAAGAAAAAGTCATCAGGTTTTGTACAGTATGTCTAGTTCTTTAGTTCAATTCAGCTTCATCCTGCCTCACAAAAATAATAACTTTGGATAATGCTGGAATAACAATGTCAAGCTTTCACAATGGGTCTTGATGGTAAACTCAGGTTTCTTGTGAGTGTGACATCATAACAGCATCTACACTTACGGGCAATTTTAAAACCAAGAGACCAAAATCACAGGCATGAATCATAGCATCCTCCCTTATTTCTAAGATGTATACATGAAGATGAGATAAATAGCATTTTGTAAAAGGATAATTGGCTGGTAGTAATTCTCCTAAGTGAAGGAAAGAATGAGTCTTTAGATACCTAGTCTGTTACATTGTCCCACCCCTTTACTAATTAAATGCTAACCTCATGATTCGAATGGGAGAAAACCTGAAGCTGACTGAAGACTTTCTCATCTATCCTTTAGCACCACAGTATCAAAGGTGTTTCATATTTATTCTGTGAGCACATTCCCTGTTATAGCCTTTTAATTACCTATCACTCTAAAGATTGTAAATTAACAGGAGAAATGTTGGCTTCAAAGGTGATATTTAAAACCAATTGCCTCAGTGAAGATCCTGTGTAGGTAGTGGTTATTCAACTACAAAGGAGGTCACCAAAAAGCTCTATTTTATCTCTAACTCAAAGGACCATCTTTAGTTTATAGTTGCTAACATCTAAAAATCACTTCTTTAACATACAAAAATTCCTGAAACTCTCTCCTTTCTTGTTATGTTGGTTAATTCAGTAAACCAGTGGAAGTAATAAACATAGATGCTTTTCTTCTTTCCATTTTGCCAATAGTGAGATTTAAGACATAGCAAAGTGTCTGCTTTTAGACTGACTTGCTTCAAGGTCTCCAGATGGCTGCCACAGTTCTAGATATCCCCATGCAGATGACCATGCCCCAAAGAAAACTTTAAAATCACTTTATTTTTTGCAATTATCTTCATGTATCATTTTCTAGTTTCACCCTAAAATGTTCTCCTATCTCGCTTTGCGTGGGTAGAGCTGACTTTCACTAGGGCATGTCTGCATTGTCCTGAGCAGCAGTGGAGAGTGATTGGGCGAGAACACAAAGTTCTGCCTCTCCCTAGAGACTAGCTTCTCAGATTCTATAGAATGCCTGCCTGGGGCTCATGTGAGCAACAGGGTCCATGTTCTGGTTTAACCTTTGCTGCTTGACTTCTTTTGATATAATGTTTATTTCCAAAGTGCAGGTGCCTCCACTGTCATCAGTTCACCAACAAGAGCTGACCTATAGATGACCAGAAGGGCTCGCTTCAGCAAAAGCAAAAAAGAAACCCTTTTTTTTTTTTTTTTTGGCCAAATTTAAGGCTAGCCATCTATGTTACAAATCATGCTGCAAAAAGTAAAAAATTTAAAGCTCAGATTGGATCAACATTAAGGAGAGGTAAAGATGGGTGGGTTTCCTGGTCTTTTCAAAATAAATGTGACTTTTAAAAGGATGAAAAAAATGTTTTATGCTCCAGTATATTTGACTCACTGACCTTGACCTTAAGAAATCTGATAACAATCCTAATGCCCTAGAACAATGGAACTTTAAAATTAAATGGAAAAGCATGCACAGCAGCAATGGCAGCCCATAAAGCCCCCAGCATAAATGCTGCATAACTGGAGTAATGGGGAGTTTGAGTGAAAGGCAGTGGAAAGTTACAAGAAATTCAGAAATTATTAAAAGAGAGAGCCTTTATTCTAGGTCTTTTTATCAGTATCTGTTTACAAAAAGGCAAAACTATCCACAGTTATTTATCTATTTCCCCAATTTATGAAGCTTTGACACATGACAGTCACTTTACACCATGTAATCCTCATAAAGAGAGCATTGTTGTCCACTATCTAACATTTTTTTTCTTAATGGAGACTCTTGAGATGGTAAACAGCTTACTCAGATTATACAACAAATCCATTTTTACTTAACAGACAGAAACTCAGATCCAAAAGTATTCTCTTCCTCAGGTCTCTTAACTACCTCATTTGATGAGAATACACAAGTGATCACTCAGAAATTTAGTCAAGAATTTTAAGGTCACTTAATTATTTTAAGATTTGATTGAAAACTTGGCCTATTGCTTAAATCCTCTAGTGGACTTCCTCATTGCATCAGGTCAATTGAGTCAATCTTCAGATAGCTTCACACTTTTTTTTTTTTTTTTTGAGACGGAGTCTCGTTCTGTTGTCCAGGCTAGAGTGCCGTGGCATGATCTCGACTCACTGCAACCTTCGCCTCCTGGGTGCAAGCTATTCTCCTGCCTCAGCCTCCCAAGTAGCTGGGATTACAGGCACCCGCCACCACACCCAGCTAATTTTGTATTTTTAGTAGAGACAGGGTTTCACCATGTTGTCCAGGCTGGTCTCGAACTCCTGACCTCAGGTGATCCACCCGCCTCGGCCTCCCAAAGTGCTGGGATTACAGGCGTGAGCCACTGCAGCCAGCCACCTTCATTTTTCAAAATGATGAATGTGTTATAATAGAAACTTCTAGTCTTCTACGGTACCCACCATAGAGAAAGTTGCCTTATATAAATTTAAAACAAAAAAAGCATGTGTTACTGCAGCAAGATTTCCAATAGAGAGCGAAAACCTATTTGACATTAATCAATCACTTTTGAATCCTTGCCACAGCAAGTAAAATGTGAGGACAAAGGAACACAGACTGGGTCATGATTCATTAGTACTTAACTTAGATCAAGCTAAAGCAGACAAGAGGAGATAAATTTCTTATCAAACAGCTTTAGTGATGATGGAAGATTTAGACTCTATTTCAGCATTTTGCTTATTGAATTCCACATAGACAAATTTATCATTTTGAATCTCCCCAGTAAATTTTCTCTGCATTCAAATAAATGATAAGCTATGGGCGAAGAAATTCTCTCCTTTAATACTTTAATACCATATACAAATCTAGTCATCACATTAGTTGAATCCTAGAACCTCCTTCCTTTTGTGAATTAAAAACTTACAGCTCTTGGAAGACCAAGATATCAATACTGAGAATAATCAAAGGGTACATGTATAAGGATGGTGATGGGAGGTTAATCTCAACAGATACAGAAGTAAACAAAGCTTGGCTTAATAAAGCAAATGGTTATTTTAAGCAACATCAAATTTTTATAACGAGATCAGTAATGGAGAATATATAATGAAGCTTTTCAATAGAGTTCAAGGATTGAAACGAAGTGTGAAAAACACGACATTTTAGAAGCACACATCTATACAACACTGAAATTAAGATTAGGGATAGTAAGTGACATGGCAGGAATTTCTTTCCATTTTTTTTTAATTTCATAATTTTTTTTAATTTCACAGATTTTTTTGTTTAATTTCACAAGGATTAGTACATGAGCCATTATTTATCTGGCTTAGTAAAAAGTTTTCTGCCTATCTTAGCTAAGAGAAATGGAAGGCAACACTTTGATATGAGTGAATATAGCAATAATCAAGAAATTCCTATTCTATGAGATGTGGCAATGGTCGCAAATAAAATGTGACTAGTGTCCATGGGCAAGGTGAATAATTAATATATTCATTCACTGGGGACCTACATATAGTTCCCAATGAATGGGAACTTTTGGTATTAAAAAATTTGTATAAAGGTAATTTTTTGGTATAAAAGAAAATTATTAGCTTAAATTTCATCCTGTGCTCTCAGGAAAAAGAAAAATACTATTGGTCGTTTTTTAGAGAATGATACTAGGTATCAGCTAGCGTACTCAAGACCTGTGATATATACACATCATGTAAAATTTAAACACACCAACACTTACTAACATACAGCAATAGCACCAATATATTGAATAGACTTTAAACAGATTATTTTCATTAATTAAAGAAAATACCTGATATACCTCACACAGCTACCTGCAAAATGCTGCAAACACAGCAGAAGCTCAATAGAGATATTAATTAATCCAGTCAGCTAATGGTGATACCGTAACTACAAAAGCTGTATCCAAGATGATAGAGTTCTTAACTGGCCTCTCTGTCTTCAGTCTCACTGAAGTCCCACCCTCTAGACTGCAAAATAATCTTTCCAAAGATGAAATTTCTACTATGACACTCTATTTTTTAAATATTTAGTGGCCCGCAAAATAAGTTCCAACTTCCTTAGCATGTCTTCCTCACACGGCCCTTCATGATTTGGCTGTTATGTATCTAGACACCCTTAGATCCTGATACTTCCACACTTATTCCCTACACTCCCAGAATGCTAGACAACCAGCAATTCCTTGAGTATACCTTGTAGTCCCGTTTCATGCCTTGATCTCTATAGCAGCCATCATTGATACCCACCCATATCCGTTCAGCACTCACCATTTCTGTGAACCTCTAACTGCTGGCTTTCACCTGCGACTCTTTGCCTGAGGGCTTTCTCAGGTGGCCAGAGCTAATGGGGCCCACACCTGTGGAAAATCTAAAATAGAGAAGAATTAACATCCATAGGGAGCAGCTCTCAACCACAGAATGACTGGAACTGGTGAGCAGCTCCAAGTCATAGCCACACTGTTTCCCAGGGTGCTCCCAAAGAACTGAGAGACCCAGTTGCTCACAGAAGTAATCTGCCAGAAAAGACACTCTTTACAGTCATTCTTCCCTTCCTTATCTCACTTCCCACTCCCCTACTAGTGTTTCCTCCCAAATAAACTGCTGTACTCAACTCTTTGCCTCAGAGTGTGCTTCTGAGGAGAATCTTGTCCAAGATAGTCCCTTTACAAGTATCGTTCCCACTTCTGGAGAATATTTTTCCTTTCCTTCAAACCTACTTGGGAATTCTTCACCATCCTTTAAAGCAAACCTTCTTAAAATTTAATGTCATACAAATGACCAGAGATCTTATTAAAATAGAGATCCTGATTTGGTATGTCCTGAATGGGATCTGAGATTCTGAAGTTCTAACAGGCTTCTGGAAAAGGCGAATACCCCCAGTTTGAAAACCACACTTTGTGAGTAGCAAATATTTAAGACACAGTTCAAAAACCTATTTCTTTGGAAGTCTTCCCTAAAACTCCTTCATTCCTATCCTGATGATTAATTTTTCTTTTTCCCCTATGTTTATTACTGTGTGTGGTAATTCTTTGTTTACAGGTCTATCTCCAATGAGTTTGTTCCTTTAAGATGAGGATTGTCTTTTTCTTATCCATGTATCCACAATAACTAGCATATAGCCTGACATATTACCCATACCTAAGAAATGTTTGTGAACTGGTAAAATTAATGAACAAATTATAATTTTATGGCATACTTCACCAAAAATTTTATATGTACACATATTGTGTTCTGACACATTCAACTAAGTCAACTGTGTTATAAATATAAATTGTATAAATTCTTCAGATTTCTGGTCTATTTTTACATTAAATCATAGACTTCAGGACTTCTGAACAATGCAGATTATAGAATTTCTGCTGTAGAGATATTTAATAGGCTATGTCAACATCAGCTTAAAATGGTTTAGTTAACTGTTATCTAAAGGTCAGGAAAAGTATCAATCACTAGAATCCCTTCTTTGTATTCATATTTAAAATCTGTGGATGAATGTTGTGCAAGTTAGTCATTCATTGGGTTTAGGGAAGTGGAGAAGGTGGTGGCAGTGTGTGTGTGTGTGTGTGTGTGTGTAGGCACTTGCATGCATTTTGGGGGTGGGAGATATATTAGAGCAGAAATCACAAGAACATCCTAGGAGGAAGTACTTTATGGACTGCTCTCTTACCTGCCACAAATTGCTTGCAAATGCCATTGCCCTCAGAATCTCAGGATTGAACTTCTTGTTTATTTTAGTTGCTTCCTTCTTAAGAAAAATTCAATGTAAGGTGGTGAAACTAAATCTATCAAGGGAATAGCTATATGGTATCCTTAGATGGACAACTAATGGAAATAGCATCTGATCTTTCTACTTTAAGATGCAAGAACAGAAACTAGGGTGTTTTGAGCATATCAAGTTCTGAACTAGATAATAGCACTGATAATGGACTAAAGAAAAGTGATATGTGGAGCCCACAGTGTTGACTGGAAGTCAGCTCCTATCTCATTCCAACCTCATTCTCTTACCATTAGAAATCAACCCTGAGCATGTTAGAAAGATGTTCTCATGACAAGGAAAATGGCAACTGAAAGCCCTTGACATATTAAGATTTGACTAGATCAGAACTTGAATAACATTTTGTACTTTATTTGCATCTACCACATTGTATTTTAATTCTTACTGTCTAGGTCCATGTTTCCAATTAGGTTAGTCAAGTCCTTGAGAGCAGGAATCAATTTAATTCAGTTTTTTATTCCTGGAATATCGCTTGACCTATTGCAGATGTTCAGTTATCACTGTTGAGTTAATGAATCAATGAATGAATTGATCAATGAATAAATTATAGCCACATCATAATTGTTAAAAGAACACTAAACAGTGGATTAAAGCTTTGGGAGTCCAGAGAGCTAGGGAGGAGTCACAGTTTCTCAAAGATTTTACTAGTTCGAAAGGGTGTATTTAACATTAAAACAACAAAGAGATATACTTAGAACCCACTCTAAACAAAGACTAATAATAACAAGGACTGACGAGAATGTAAGAACTGGAACTCTCATGCATTGCTGGTGGGAATGTGAAATGCTACGTTTACTCAAAAATTATTATTTACTATATAACCCAGTAATTTCACTCTTAGATCTATACTCAAGAAAAATGAGAATCTGTGTCCAGACAAAGACTTGTGCATGAATGTTCGTAACAGCATCATTCATAATAGCCAAAATTTGGAGACTACTGAAATGTCTATCAACTTGTTAATGGAGAAGCAAAATATGGTATGTCCATATGAACGGATATATTCAACTATAAAAAGAACAGACTTACAGATAGATGCTACATTTATAAATTTTACCAAATGTAAATTTTTCCAACAGGACTGTTGCTACTCATTATCTCTTTTGTTATCCTGAGAATTTCCATAGAATGCTTTAACTATCCATTGAACACTTCCCACAAAATCTTGTTATTGCTCATAGTTCTAGTTTTTCCCTTTTAAAAAGGGGTATTTATATTTTTATGATTAATGTTAAAGTAAATTTACCAATACATGTTCTAAAACTGTAGTTCAACTCAGAAATTCTTAGACCCTCACCTTCATCCTGAGTTCACTGTCTTATTGCTAAAGCACAAACTTTAATAGTTCTTTTACTTCAGTTATGTGGACAATAAATTGTATTATTCTTTTTGTGTGCGAAAAATGCTTCTATTTTGCCATTACATTTGAATAACAGTGTTGGTGAGGATGTGGAGAAATTGGAACTTTTGTGCACTGTTGATGGGAAAGTAAAATGATATAGCCACTATGGAAAACAGTATGGCAGTTTCTCAGAAAATTAAAAATAAAATTACCATATGATCCAGCAATTCTGTTTCTGGGTGTATAACTAAAATAATTTAAAGTAGTGTCTAATAGAGATGTTTGTACAAATATGCTCATAGAAGCATTAATCACATTAGTCAAAAGGTAAAAATAACCCAAGTGCCCAATTGATGAGAAAATGGATAAACAAAAGGTAGTCTATACATCTACATATACAATGAAATATTATTCAGCCTTAAAAAAATGAAATTATAATGCATGCTACATACGTATAAACCTTGAGGAGACTGTGCTAAGTGAAATAAGCCAGTCATGAAAACACAAATATTGTATGATTCGCTTTATAAGAGGTATTTAGAGTAGTTAAATTTGTAGAGACAGAAAGTAGAAAGGCACTTGCCAGTGGGGCTGAGAGGAGGTTGGAATGAGGGGTTGTTGTTTAAGAGGGGTAGAGTTTCAGCTTTGCAGGATGAAATGAGTTCTGGATTTTGATTGCACACCAGTGTGAATGTACTTTACACTCCTGACTTAAAATGATTAAGCTGGTAAATTATATGTTACATATATTCTGTCACAATCAAAAATAAAAATAAAGGAAATGAGGGAAAAAAGAATGAAGAGGACTGAAACACATGGCAGGAAATTGACAAATCATAAATAGGAAAAGAAAAATAGAAATAGCGTCTGAAAATCTATTCTTTCACAAATTGCCATTGAGGGAGACTCTCTGCTCACAAAAGCATTGAAGGAAAATGCAAAGTTAAAGATCAACAAATCCAGCCACCTAAAGTTTAACACATTTGAAGATTAAAACCTTGGATAAAAGGAAGAGGCAAGTATTAAATGAAGAAGGATATTTTTTAAAAAGTGATCCACAAGGAAATAATATCCTTAATATTTAAATAGCTAATAATAATAGATAACATTTATGGAGCATATACTATGTGCCAGGTAGTGTTGTGAGCACTTAATATATTTTATCTCATTACTCCTCACAACTACTCTGAGACATAGTCATATCTACTATTACCCATTTTAAAGATGAGAACTGAGGCACAGTCATTCTGCAACTTGCCCATTGGTGTCCCATAGAAGTGACAGAGTCAGCATGATGCTCGGAAAATCGGTGCTAGAGAGCCTATGATTCTAAGCACTAAACTCTGTTAAGAAAAAATAGAAATACTCCAAAAAAAGACAATTATAGGAATAGGTAATACTCTAGGAAAGAAAGAAGTGATCAAAACTATAACCATGTTCAACTCATGAGTCATCAGAAAAACACAAATTAAAATAATGTTACCATTATTTACCTTTCAAGTTAACAGAGTTCTTCCAATTATAGCACTCATTGAGTGCAAGGCTACAAAGAGACAGATTGCTGAAGAAAGTGAGAATGGTTGGAAATTGGTAAGACAAGGCTTCCAAACAAAACAGACCAAAAAAAAAAAAAAATGATGTGGAGGTAGGGGAGGAGAAAAGTAACCAAGTAAGAGTTCAAGCAAGGGAGAAAGACCCTGCATTTGTCCTTTTGTTTCCATTTCCATAAGAGTACATAAACCCTTAAAATAATCCATCTAGCCTGTCATTACAGGGAGAACACAGTTTATTGTGGAGCTGACAAAAAGTAAGAGTCAACTCTAGGATATTTGATTGGGGTCCATCCAGGTGGGGCACTGGTCATCCTCATAGCAAATAAAAGCAATTTTTCTCCCTTGTGACTCTGTCTTAATCAACTGTCAGCCAACCCAGAGTTAGTGTTTGCCACCTCTGCCCTTTCTGCCTTCTCTGCCCGCAGTCTTTGTTTCTGCTCACACTTGAGTTTGGTGTAATCAAGCCTCAACTCTAAACTTCACACTCTGCTGGTTTCAGGGGACTTGGAGGACAAAGAAGGGAACGCTGTGTGCATTAACTACAACAGGCTTCCGGGCAGTGACTCTTCTCTTTGGCTTCATTCCTGTCATTTTTCAATAACTTCCCAGTTACACTATGATCCACCACACACTCTTCTTCCCAACAGATGCTATTAGCATTTCCTAATTTGTAGTCAGTCTTCCACTGTTTCTTCCATGAAGAACTAAAGATATTCAAAGAGCAGAAGTGTTCATATTCCACCATATCGAACATTTTGAGAAGAATTGAAGTGTGATAAAGTATTTTTTTCAATAATATAAAATCAGGTTGTCAATAAGGAAGCAATCATTTTAAGTATTTTATCTTTTCTTAGCCTGAACTTAAATTCAGCTATGATTTGTATACTAGCTATGATTATTTAGGCAACATTTTTAATCAAATATTTATTATCTACTATTTGCCTAGTATAGTCTGGACCCTGAAAATACAGCAATCATGAAATAAAGTCTCAGCCTTCAAGAGATTTCAGTGGTCGAAAATGTAAAATAAGCAGAGTAACAATAATTTCATTTATTCCAGAAGATAGAAGTGCTTTAAAGAAAATATAATGGAGGAGGTAAGAAGGAATTCATTTAGACACGATGACCTGAATGCCTAGAAAGTCTCGGCCTTGAGAATTTCTGGAGTCTCCAGAGCATGAAAGAGCTAGGATAATCAAGGAACTGGAAGAAGTCAAGGTGGCTTTGGCCTTGTGAAGGAAGGAGAGACTGGAGAAGAGGAGATCAGAGGAGTGAGCAGAGGCCAAATGAAGTAAAGTTTAGGGCCACAGTGAAGAGTGTGGACTTCATTCTGATTGTGATAACAAACCATTGAGGGTTCAAAGGAAGTGACACAATTTTCCTGGAAATATGAGGATATACAAAATGTTTTCCTAAATTTTCTACCATCCCAAATCTTGATGTGGTTCTCCCACCACTCTGGGAATAAGACTAATCAGAGGTCAATAATTCAAGCCCCAAAGAAGCCCTCTCACACTGAAAGATGTCTCGCGGGTATCCAGTTAATATTAAAGTTTCAATAATAGAAACTGATTTATATCATTTTCAGAGATTCATACTGTGATGCAACTATTAGGTCATAATACACTATTTAAGTCATTAATAAATTAGCGTCCACTAACTTGTCAATTTGTATAGAAGAAATAAGTGAATTGAGGAGTGAGGGAGAATATTCAAAAGGAGAAACTCCCTCAGAATGGCAGACCATTATTAGAACATCTCAGTGGGAGAGCTTAGAAGTACTGATCCTAGGGCAAGGAAACACCTCAGACAGGAGAAGAAGGGACAGATGGCAGACAGAAAGGCACTGAGGACAAGTTTAAAATATTTGCATGAGAAAAAAAGTAGTCTTCCTAAAAGTCAGGACTATACTTTCAGTAGAAACTATTCATATGCTGAGCAATCACATAGCTCTTACAGGTGGCCCTTATTGGCAATAGCTGCCCACAAATCAGACTGAGGAAACCAGAAACTTTTATCTCATCTTTCTCACTGATGCAGGGAAAACAAAATCAGGAAAGCGTCACTCTCCTACCACTTGTAACTTCTATGCAATTTAATCAAAAACTAGCTGGTATCATCAAAACTGTGAAAACAGAAATATCAACATGTTTAAAGCAGATAAACTGCCCCTTCTTCCAGTTTCAACCTCAGAAAGCTAAGCCAGGATTTTCTATCTATGAGTGGGTATTTAAAGATACCTTGCTAAAGAGCTTAATAGTACTAAAGGCATATTGACTTAAAAATCTGAGGAGTTTTTCTCAAATGCTTAAAATAAATCTTCATATTTGTTTAGGTAGTCCTCTAAATAACCTCTGAAAATAAGTGACATTTTCCTCTGAACTTTCAAACAAAAGAAATTACAGAACCTAAATGTCTTTTGTTGTTGTTGTTTTATCAGAAGGCTAGCCCTAGACTCTATGACAACCATTGCGTATTTTTTCATTTGTTTGCCTTATCTCTCCCATTTCATCATAAACTCCTCAAGGACAGGAGCTGTTTCCTTTATAGCTCCCCAGAGTACACAGTGGACGCTCATTAAATGCTGTTGACTGACTGGCTATCTGACACACACGAACACAGAAGGAAAATAATTGACACCATTCTTACAGAAAAGGATTAAGGAGACATAAATTTGACATGTCACATTGTTGATACCTACCCTGTGTCATTCACAGATTAAGTAGGGTTTTGATCTTTAGGGTGGCTCCACAAATCCCAAATAGCATTCCTTTTAAAAAATCAGTTTGTCATGGCCAGTAAGCACTGGACTGACCTGGATAAGATGTGGCCAAATTTAGACCCCATAGATGGATCTGAATGTTGTTAAATATTTGATGTTTTGTTTCCAAATTTCAAAGGCAGGCACTTCACATTGAGACTTTTGCAGATGCTTTCCTCTCCTTACCCTTGTGAGCTGAGATGAATCTTCCTGTGGATTTATCTTGCCTTAGGCATTTTAGCATTATTGAAGTGGAATATGCATGTGTTGCTATGGTCAATATGTTCTGATTTAATAATCAGAACAACCAAGGCATATTTCTTTTCTATATCTTTTACTCTGTGGATGCCTCATGATTATGAATCATAATGATGAAGTTATATTTGATCATATTTATATCCATTTATATTTTGAAATGATGATGTCCATTTGTCTTTCTTATTCAGTGACGATAAAATAGTTGATTGAAAGCAAGTGTGTAAGAATGCTTAATTTGCATATTATCTCAATGCCATCAAGTTATTTCACTTTCCTCTCCAAGGATCCTCCCTTATGACAGGAAAGAGTTTGAGAGAAGTTCCTGCTGAGCAGCATTTCTGAATGAGAAGCCAATAATATCTACAAATAATCAGGTCATTTGAATCCTGCAAGAAAACCACTGTGGGACTATATCATCTAACAAGCATCTTAAATTCTGATTTACTATCCCTGTTCTGAAGGAATTCCAGCTCTTCAGAAAGACACTCTGTAAGAAAACAGAAATCTGATTCAGATGTGGGAGCTTCTTGCCAGGGATATCTTCAGTTGAACAGATAAGAGATTACATGTAAACTACCTTAAATCTCAAAGAAGACACAGCAAACTGTAACTTTCCTACTAGGATAAAAGATCTCTTTCACTTTTGAGACTGAAAAAAAATGACTTCTTTAACTGGTAAGAAACCCTCATGGGGGTTAAAGCCGTTGATATCAAGTGAAACTGTAATCTCTTTGCCTGTCTGTGGCAAGGAGAAATCAGCAGGAATTCAGAGAGAATTTCAGGTCTTTCTGGAGAGTAAGAAGGCTGAAAGAGAAATCCCAAGCCCTCTTTTATTTGCATCTATTAGCCTCCTAATGAATAGCCCATACGGGAGTGAAGAAAAGGAGTATTCCTTCTTTCTCAAACAAATATTGTCAGGCACAGTGCTAAGTGCTCAAGTTTCAATGGTGAACAAGACACTCTGATCTCTGCCTGCACAGGGCTTATATATGTGTTAGAAGGGAAGATGGACTTCAAGGATGCTTTTATCAAATAGCCTCCTCTGTGAGATCCAATAAGTCTTGATGGGGAAAAAAAAATGATTAAGCTATGACCTGAAAGATGAGAAGCAAAGGGCCAAAACAGGAGAGAATAGTGTTTAAGAAGGGGTTATGGCCACAAAGTCAAAAAAGTTTAGAGGCCCTTTTTATATCAAACTAAGCTAACATTGGCCCTTCCTTGGAGGTACCTATCTTTCTTCTATCCAACATAACCTCATAAAGTATTCTAAGCACTTTATAAGACTAACTTATTTAAACTTCAAACAAACCTGTGACATAAGGACTATCTATAATGATTTTTCAGATGGGAAAATCAAGACAGAGGCTAAGCAACTTGCTCATAAGGTAGAGCAAGTCAAGGTAGAAACAGAGATTCAATCCTATGCTGTCTGCTTCTAAGTCTCTGCTCTTCATCACTATAGTAAACAATCTTTCTATCTACTTCCAAGATAAGATGGTTTGGTGAGTTTGAGCCCAGACCTAGAAATCAAGATTTGTTTGAGTAATGACTGAAAATAGTTAACAATGATAAATAAATTACCCAATTACACTTATTTTTAAAAGAAAGTTATACCATTGAATTCACTTTTAGATATTCTAGGTCCAAGTGCATAATAATATGTACATTCCACATATTAGCTTATTGAATTCTCAAGAAAACAACACTATGAGGTAGGCATTATCCTCGCTTTATGGATTTTAAAAATTGAGAATCAAAGAGATTAAGAAATCTCCCAGTGATTACACTTTTGTAAATAGTAGAACTGGGAGTCAAACCACATTGGCTTATACATTAAAATCTAGATTTTTTAAAAATTATAATGATTATAAACCCAAAAAAGTTTATGTAAGAATTAGACCTTCAAGAGTGACCATTGTATTTTATAGATTAAGATCTTTTAAAACTATCTATTAACTACAAAACCTGGCCCATCCTATTAAATTATAAATGTGATGCAAGCATTAGGAAACTCACCAGTATACCATTTTCCTACACACTGACTTCCACCCATGTCAGAATTCAGGCTTTTATGGATTCAGATAGTAGAGGTGTCAGGGAAAAGGGAACCTTTCCAAATACAGGTAAAATAGCTACCTGAGAAATTAAGAAAAATAGATGCAAGTGCTTACAGGAGAAGAATCTGCAAATGCATGTCAGAAATGTAGGCGCTGATCTGAGCTTATGGGAAGAAGGTAACCCAGAGGAAGAGGAATGCTGAAGGATGAATCAATATCCCTGTATCAATCAGAAGTATATTTAAACTCTTAAAATGAGGAAAGGTAATAGCTGCATAGTCCTTCTATAAAAATTTTAGGAGATTTATCCTATACAAACCCTCTGAAAAAAATAAAAATAAAAAGCATGTTGCTATGTTTGGATCTGGTTGGTTTGTCTCCACCAAAACTCATGTGGAAGTCTGATCCCCAGTATGGCAGCGTTGGGAGGTGGAGCCTAGTGGGAGTTGTTCAGGTCACAAGAGCAGATTCCTGATAAATGGCTTGGTGCTCTTCTCACAGTAGTGAGCAAGCTCTTGCTCTCCTGAGATTGGATTCCATCTCTCAAGAATAGATTCGTTCCCATGAAAGTGGGTGGTTATAAAGCCAGGATTTCTTCTCTTTGCACATGCCAGCGGCTTCCGCTTTGACTTACTATTCCATGTTGGGACACAGTATGAATGTCCTTGCCAGAAGCCAGGGCTATGCCCTTGAACTTCTGAGCCCACAGAACTGGGAGATAGATAAGTCTCTTTTCTTATAAATTACGCAGTCCTGAATCCAGAGGCAGTGGCACATGCCTGTAGTTCCAGCTACTTGAAATAAGATCACTTGACCCCAGTAGTTCATGACTAGCCCAGCCAACATAGTAAGACTGCCTCAACTAAAAAAAAAAAAAGAAAGAAAAAACATAGAGAAATAAAGAAATTACTCAGTCTCAAGTATTTTTTACAGCAATACAAAATAAACTAAAACACTTATAGAAAAAAAATATTTAAAGTTTTTTGTTTGTTTGTTTTTTCAGACAGGGTGTTGCTCTGTCACCCAGGCTGGAATGCAGTGGTGCGAACAAGGCTCATTGTAGCCTGAAATGACTGGGTTCAGGTGATCCTCCTGCCTCAGCCTCCCGTGTAGCTGGGAGCACAGGCACACCACCAGGCTTGGCTCATTTTTTGAGTTTTTGTAGAGACAGCCCTGTTGCCCAGGCTTCCCTGGGCTCAAGCAATCCTCCCACCTCAGCCTCCAAAAGTGCTAGGATTTATAGGCATGAGTCAGCACACCCAGCCATTATCTTTTTCTTAATTTTGGAAGTTTAAAAATATATTAACGCATTTAGCTACTAACATTTTGTCGCATTTATTATTTAAGAGAAAATGTTCCATTATTTGTATAAAATTGATTTATGTTTACAATAAAAAATTAATGCTGAAAAGAACAAAAGTTAAAATTTTAAAGTAATTCTAAATTCCATTACACAGAAATGACTGTCAGTTATTTGGTGAATGTTCAAGTTATCATTCAGTATGTATATTCAAATAATTTATAATAAGATAAACAGAATGAGAGAAAATCTTTCATGAAAACAAGATCATATATAAATTCTAACATTAAATTTTATTTAAATTAAATAATAAAACTAAAATTGAAAGGATTGTTGAATTGCAAACAAATGTTTTTCTCACTACGAAAGTATGATTTCTTAAGAATTTCTCTAAAATTAAAAGAGAATGAGATTGCAATAATAATAATAAAAGGTTGCAGTTATGGCTTTTATACTCATGTTTCATTTTAGATATCATAACATGAAGGCTTTAGCACTCTCACACTTTCTCTAACCTCCCAAAATATACTTGCACTGCTATCATTGCATTATTTAGGTATATAACATGCCCATTGTGCTCTATAGTCCTAATACCAATAGTTGTGTACTCTTAGGTTAACATTTATTTATTTATTTATTTATTTATTTATTTATTTATTTATTATACTTTAAGTTCTGGGATACATGTGCAGAACATGAAGGTTTGCTACATAGGTATACATGTGCCATGGTGGTTCACTGCACCCATCAACCCGTCATCTACATTAGGTATTTCTCCTAATGCTATCCCTCCCCTTGTCCCTACCTCCTGACAGGCCGCCCGATGTGTGATGTTCCCCTCCCTGGGCTCATATGTCCTCATTGTTCAACTCCCACTTATGACTGAGAACACGTGGTGTTTGGTTTCCTGTTCCTGTGTTAGTTTGCTGAGAATGATGGTTTCCAGCTTCATCCATGTCCCTGCAAAGGACATGAACTTTCTTTTTTATGGTGGCATAGTATTCCATGGTGCATATGTGCCACATTTTCTTTATCCAGTCTATCATTAATGGGCATTTGGGTTAGTTCCAAGTCTTTACTACTGTGAATAGTGCCGCAATAAACATACATGTGCATGTGTCTTTATAGTAGAATGATTTATAATCCTTTGGGTATATACCCAGTAATGGGATTGCTGGGTCAAATGGTATTTCTGGTTTTAGATCCTTGAGGAAGGGCCACACTGTCTTCCACAACAGGTGAACTAATTTACACTCCCACCAACAGTGAAAAAGCATTCCTATTTCTCCACATCCTCTACAGCATCTTTTGTTTCCTGACTTTTTAAAGATCCAATTCTAACTGGCATGAGATGGTATCTCATTGTGGTTTTGATTTGCATTTCTCTAATGACCAGTGATGATGAGCTTTTTTCATATATTTGTTGGCCGCATAAATTTCTTCTTTTGAAAAGTGTCTGTTCATATCCTTTGCCCACTTTTTATAGGGTTGTTAGTTTTTTTCTTGTAAATTTGTTTAAGTTTCTTGTAGTTTCTGGATATTAGCCCTTTGCCAAATGGATAGATTGCAAAAATTTTCTCCCATTCTGTAGGTGGCCTGTTAGCTCTGATGATAGCTTTTTTTGCTGTGCCAATGCGCTTTAGTTTTATTAGTTCCCATTTGTCAATTTTGGGTTTGTTACAATTGCTTTTGGTGCTTTAGTCATGAAGTCTTTGCCCATGCCAATGTCCTGAATGGTACTGCCTAGGTTTTCTTCTAGGGTTTTTATGGTTTTCGATCTTATGTTTAAGTCTTTAATCCATCTTGGGTTAATTTTTGTAAAAGGTGTAAGGAAGGGGTCCAGTTTCAGTTTTCTGCATATGGCTAGCCAGTTTTCCCAACACTGTTTATTAAATAGGGAATCCTTTCCCCATTGCTTGTTTTGGTCAGGTGTGTTAAAGATCAGACGGTTGTTGATGTAGATATTTCTGAGACCTTGGTTCTGTTCCATTGGTCTATATATCTGTTTTGGTACCAGTACCATGTTGTTTTGGTTACTGTAGCCTTGTGGTATACTTAGCATGACGCCTCCAGCTTTGTTCTTTTTGCTTAGGATTGTCTTGACTATATGGGCTGTTTTTTGGTTTCATATGAAATTCAAAGTAGTTTTTTCTAATTCTGTGAATAAAGTCAATGGTACCTTGATGGGAATAGCATTGAATCTATAGATTACTTTGGGCAGTATGGCCATTTTCATGACATTGATTCTTCCTATCCATGAGCATGGAATATTTTTCCATTTGTTTGTGTCCTCTCTTATTTCCTTGAGCAGTGGTTTGTCGTTCTTCTTGAAGAAGTCCTTCACATCCCTTGTAAGTTGTATTCCTAGGTATTTTATTCTCTTTTTAGCAATTGTAAATGGGAGTTCACTCATGATTTGGCTCTCTGTTTGTCTGTTATTGCTGTATAGGAATGCTTGTGATTTTTGCACATTGATTTTGTATCCTAAGACTTTGGTGAAGTTGCTTATCAGCTTAAGGATATTTTGGGCTGAGAAGATCGGGTTTTCTAAGTATACAATCATGTCATCTGCAAACAGAGACAATTTGACTTCCTCTCTTCCTATTTGAATACACTTTATTTCTTTCTCTTGCCTGACTGCCCTGGCCAGAACTTCCAATACTGTGTTGAAAAGGAGTGGTGAGATAGGGCATTCTTGTCTTGTGCCGGTTTTCAAAGGGAACGCTTCCAGCTTTTGCCCATTCAGTGTGCTATCAGCTGTGGGTTTGTCATAAATAGCTCTTGTTATTTTGAGATACGTTTTATCAGTACCTAGTTTTTTGAGAGTTTTTAGCATGAAGCAGTGTTGAATTTTATCGAAGGCCTTTTCTGCATCTATTAAGATAATCATGTGGTTTTTGTCATTGGTTCTGTTTATGTGATGGATTACGTTTAGTGATTTGTGTATGTTGAACCAGCCTTGCATCCCAGGTATGAAGCTGACTTGATCATGGCGGATAAGCTTTTTGATGCGCTGCTAGATTCAGTTTGTCAGTATTTTATTGAGGATTTTCACATCCATGTTCATCAGAGATACTGGCCTGAAATTTTCTTGTGTGTGTGTGTGTGTCTCTGCCACGTTTGGTATCAAGATGATGCTGTCCTCATAAAATGAGTTAGGAAGGAGTCCCTCTTTTTCTGTTGTTTGAAATAGTTTCAGAAAGAATGGTACCAGCTCCTGTTTGTACCTCCGGTAGAATTCGGCTGTAAATCCATCTGGTCCTGTGCTTTTTTTTGGTTAGTAGGCTATTAATTACTGCCTCAATTTCAAAATTTGTTATTGGTCTATTCAGAGATTCGACTTCTTCCTGGTTTAGTATTGGGAGGGTGTATATGTCCAGGAATTTACCCATTTCTTCTAGAGTTTCTAGTTTATTTGCATAGAGGTGTTTGTAGTATTCTCAGATGGTAGTTTGTATTTCTGTGGGATCAGTGGTGGTGTCCCCTTTATCATTTCTTATTGTGTCTATTTGATTCTTTTCTCTTTCCTTCTTTATTAGTCTGGCTAGCAGTCTATTTTGTTAATCTTTTCAAAGAACCAGCTCCTGGATTGATTTTTTGAAGAGTTTCTTTGGTGTCTCTATCTCCTTCAGCTCTGCTCTTATCTTAGTTATTTCTTGTCTTCTGCTAGCTTTTGAATTTGTTTGCTCTTCCTTCTCTAGTTCTTTTGTGATGTTAGGGTGTTGATTTAGATCTTTCCTGCTTTCTCCTGTGGGGATTTACTGCTATAAATTTCCCTCTAAACACTGCTTTTGCTGTGTCCCAGAGTTTCTGGTACATTGTGTCTTTGTTCTCATTGGTTTCAAAGAATTTATTTATTTCTGCCTTAATTTTGTTATTTACCCAGTAGTCATTCAGGAGCAGGTTGTCCAGTTTCCTTGTAGTTGTGTGGTTTTGAGTGAGTCTGTTAATCCTGAGTTATAATTTGTTTGCTTTGTGGTCTGAGAGCCTGTTTGTTATGATTCCTGTTCTTTTGCATTTGCTGAGGAGTGTTTTACTTCCAATTATGTGGTCAATTTTAGAGTAAGTGTGATGTGGTGCTAAGAAGAATATATATTCTGTAGATTTGGGGTGGCGAGTTCTGTAGATGTGTATTAGGTCCACCTGGTCCAGAGCTGAGTTCAAGTCCTGAATATCTTTGTTAATTTTCTGTGTCGTTGATCTGTCTAATATTGACAGTGGTGTGTTAAAGTCTCCCACTATTATTGTGTGGGAGTCTAAGTCTCTTTGTAGGTCTCTAAGAACGTGCTTTATGAATCTGGGTGCTCCTGTATTGGGTGCATATATATTTAGGATAATTAGCTCTTCTTGTTGCATTGATCCCTTTACCATTACATAATGCCCTTCTTTGTCTTTTTTCTTTGTTGGTTTAAAGTGTATTTTTTTAAATTTTCTTTTTAATTCTCAGCAAGGCAAGTTACTTCTATATAGAAGGGTGCACCCTTACAGATGGAACAATGGTGAGCACACATTTGGACAAGGGAGGGGAAAGGGTTCTTATCCCTGACGCATGTGGCCCCTGCTGCTGTGTCGTTCTCCTATTGGCTAGGGTTAGACCACACAGGCTAAACTAATTCCAATTAGCAAATTTAAAGAGAATGACGGGGTGAGTGCTTTGGCAAGAGTCAGGGCAGAGCAGGTAGCAGGTAATCAGAATGAGTTAGGGTGGAGCAGATGATCAGAATGAGTTAGGGTGGAGTAGGTAATCAAAAAAGGTTGCTTTACAAGGAAGTTAGGTTTAAAAGTAGAAGGTAAAGAATTGAACATACTGACATATTAATTCTTTGAAAAGAAATTTATAACTCATATCTAACAATCCCTGCCCTTGTATTTTCATACAGCTTTCTTTTAAATTGTTTTACACATGTTTTGGCTTAGTTGTTTTGCTTGATTTTCCAAAAGAAGAAGCTTCTCTGGATAAGGTGAGGATAATTAACGGAGGTTTTAGTAAGTGCCATATATATATTTTTTTGAGACGGAGTCTTGCTCTGTCGCCCAGGCTGGAGTGCAGTGGCGCAATCTCAGCTCACTGCAAGCTCCACCTCCTGGGTTCACACCATTCTCCTGCCTCAGCCTCCCAAGTAGCTGGGACTACAGGAGTAAGTGCCATTTTTATGAGCCTCAGCATCTACTTATGGATGCATAAGTATGCCATAGCACTCGACAAGAATAAGTACAACTATTACGGCTGTGAGGGAAATAAGAGTTAAGGCTATTATTCATTTCCATTTACTGAACTACCTTTTTTTAGCCATTCTGTAAAGGAGTCATTTACCCCTGGGTTGCTGGCTAACTCACTGGATATAGCAGTCAGACCTTGCAATACGTTTGTTATACTTCTATAAGGGGCAGTGTCATTTGTGATGAAGGTATAACGTTGAGTTTTAATCATGACGCAAATTCCTCTTTCTGCTAAATCAGAGACTAGGATTGCAACCCCTGCTTTTTATTGCTTTCCATTTGCTTGGTAAATATTATTCCATCCCTTTATTTTGAGCCTATGTGTGTCTTTGCACGTTAGATGGGTCTCCTGAATACAGCACATTGATGGATCTTGACTGTTTATCCAATTTGCCAGTCTGTGTCTTTTGATTGAGGCATTTAACCTGTTTACTTTTAAGGTTAAAATTGTTATGTGTGAATTTGATCCTGTTATTATGATGCTAGCTGGTTATTTTGCCCATTAGTTGATGCAGTTTCTTCATAGTGTCAACGGTCTTTACATTTTGGTATGTTTTTGCAGTAGCTGGTACCGGTTTTTCCTTTCCAT
This sequence comes from Homo sapiens, assembly GCF_000001405.40. Lineage (NCBI taxonomy): Eukaryota > Metazoa > Chordata > Mammalia > Primates > Hominidae > Homo > Homo sapiens. The sequence continues at coordinate 90,205,162 of NC_000008.11, read as the reverse complement.
ATTTAGTGCTTCCTTTAGGCATTCTTGAAGGCAGGCCAGGTGGTGACAAAATCCCTCGGCATTTGCTTGTCTGTAAAGAATTTTATTTCTCCTTCACTTATGAAGCTTAGTTTGGCTGGATATGAAATTCTGGGTTGAAAATTCTTTTCTTTAAGTTTGTTGAATATTGGCCCCCACTCTCTTCTGGCTTGTAGGGTTTCTGTTGAGAGATCAGCTGTTAGTCTGATGGGCTTCCCTTTGTGGGTAACCCAACCTTTCCCTCTGGCTGCCCTTAACATTTTTTCCTTCATTTCAACCTTGGTGAATCTGATGATTATGTGTCTTGGGGTTGCTCTCCTCCAGGAGTATCTTTGTGGCATTAACTGTATTTCCTGAGTTTGAATGTTGGCCTGTCTTGCTAGGCTGTGGAAGTTCTCCTGGATAATATCCTGAAGAGTGTTTTCCAACTTGGTCTCATTCTCCCTCTCATTTTCAGGTACACCAATCAAACGTAGGTTTGATCTTTTCACATAGTCCCATTTTTTTGGAGGCTTTGTTCATTCCTTTTCATTCTTCTTTCTCTAATCTTGTCTCCATGCTTCATTTCATTAAGTTGATCTTCAATCTCTGATATCCTTTCTTCTACTTGATCACTTTGGCTATTGATACTTGTGTATGCTTCATGAAGTTCTTGTGCTGTGTTTTTTCAGCTCCACCAGGTCACATATGTTCTTCTCTAAACTGGTTATTCTAGTCAGCAGTTCCTGTAACTTTTTATCAATGTTCTTAACTTCCTTGCATTGGGTTAGAACATGCTCCTTTAGCTCAGAGGAATTTGTTATTACCCACCTTCTGAAGCCTACTTCTGTCAATTTGTCAAACTCATTCTCTATCCAGTTTTGATCCCTTGTGACCCTTTGGAGGAGAAGAGGCATTGTGGTTTTTGGAATTTTCAGCCTTTTTGTGCTGGTTTTTCCCCATCTTCGTGGATTTATCTACCTTTGGTTTTTGATGTTGATAACCTTCAGATGGGGTTTTTGCATGAGCATCCCTTTTGTTGGTGTTGATGTTATCACTTTCTGTTAGTTTTCCCTCTAACAGTCAGGCCCCTCTGCTGCAGGTCTGCTGGAGTTTGCTGGAGGTCCACTCCAAACCCTGTTTGCCTGGGTATCACCAGTGGAGGCTGCAGAACAGCAAAGATTGTTGCCTGCTCCTTCCTCTGGAAGCTTCGTCCCAGAGGGGCACCTGTCAGATGCCAGCTGGAGCTCTCCTGTATGAGGTGTCTGTTGACCCCTGCTGGGAGATGTCTCCCTGTCAGGAGGCACAGGGGTCCGGGACCCAACTGAGGAGGCAGTCTGTCCCTTAGCAGAGCTCAAGTGCTGTGCTGGGAGATCTGCTGCTCTCTTCAGAGCTGGGAGGCAGGAACATTTAAGCTGGCTAAAGCTGCGCTCACAGCTGCCCCTTCCCCCAGGTGCTCTGTTCCCAGGAGATGAGAGTTTTATCTATAAGCCCCTGACTAGGGCTGCTGCCTTTCTTTCAGAGATGCCCTGCCCAGAGGGGAGGAATCTAGAGAGGAAGTCTGGCTACAGGGGCTTTGCCACCCTGAGGTGTTTTCCACACCCTGTTAAAACTTCCCGGTGGCTTTGTTTACACTGTGAGAGGAAAACTGCCTACTCAAGCCTCAGTAATGGTGGATGCCCCTGCCCCCATCCCAGGTCGACTTTAAACTGCTGTGCTGGCAGCGAGAATTTCAAGCCAGTGGATCTTAGTTTGTTGGAGTCTGTGGCGGTGGGATATGCTGAGCAAGACCAGTCAGCTCCCTGGCTTCAGCGCCCTTTCCAGGGAAAGTAAAACTAAGCCAACCATTTCACACCCTCTAGATTTTAGAAAACTTAAAGCTAGATGTTCATTAAGTGTAGGAAACAATACCTAGCATTCGCAGATGCAAGTGGCAATGCAATTTAATATCATGTCATGATGTTAAGATGCACCAACCGGCCGGGCGCGGTGGCTCACGCCTGTAATCCCAGCACTTTGGGAGGCCGAGGTGGGTGGATCACGAGATCAGGAGATCGAGACCATCCTGGCTAACACGGTGAAACCCCGTCTCTACTTAAAATATAAAAAATTAGCCGGGTGTGGTGGCGGGTGCCTGTAGTCCCAGCTACTTGGGAGGCTGAGGCAGGAGAATGGCGTGAACCTGGGAGGCGGAGCTTGCAGTGAGCAGAGATTGTGCCACTGCACTCCAGCCTGGGCGACAGAGCGAGACTCCGTCACAAAAAAAAAAAAAAAAAAAAAAGATGCGCCAACCTTCCCACTCCCAGCGTGTATCTTAGAAAAATTCTTGAACAATTGCACCAGAAGAGAGGTAAATAATATTTATAGCAGCATTTTTTTACAATAAAAATAATAAAATAATACTCATTGAAATACCCATCAATTATAGAATGAATACAAAGTTTTGGTATAGTCTTACATGAAATACTCTGCAGCAGTATAAATGAATGCATTTCAGCCATATATATTAAAATAGAGTCTCAGGGACATAATGCTGCATTCAAAAAGCAAATCACAGAAGAATGAATATAGCATAATTCTATTTATGTAAATTTCAAAAACACAAAACCAAATATTATTTAGAAATACAAACATATAAGGTAGAGGTATGGAATTGAAGAAGGACACACAGAGAAACTGAAGTGTACTGATAGTGTTCTATTTCTTAAACTGGTTGACAATACCTAGATATTGATCTTATTGCTATTCTTTTTACCTTATTCAAATATTTTACTCTCTTTATATATTCAATATTTAATAAATTAATTAAAAATACATCAAGTGAAGAAAAAGGAATCAATTTTTTCCCTGCTCCAATGCGGTATAATTGCAAGTCACTATCAGAATGCTTCTTCATAACAAGTGACTCCTGAAGAATTCAGTTCTGCACAACACACAATTTGTAGGCATAAAGATGAGATGGCTGCAGAGTATGCACAATTTATTGTCATCCTTTGAAGATCAATGTGCTTCTTAACCACTTTGTTAAGCAAGAAAAAGATGCACAAGCAATAGTTTGTACCTTTCCAAATGTCCTGCCTGTCTCATTCACTTTTGCTAATCTTCCTATCTTAGCAACTTATTCTGTACAATGTATTTTTCATCTTTTTTTCTCTACCTCAAATGTCCAAGGACATATGGATAAAATGGTGAAATTCATCTTCAAATCAATATACAATCCTAAAAAATAACCTGAAGATATTGCAGTAGTCTCATATTTCATGTTGCTAGTAAATTTTCTGCTTCCCGTTTTTTTGTGCCCGCAATATTTAAAGATTTGGGACACGTGAAAATAAGAAACTGTCCACTAGAAGAAATTTATTTTTAATCAAGTTAGCACAATAATTTCATTACTATTAAAGCAATTAAACACATGGTAACACAAAGCTTTCACCTAAAGTCATATAATCTATGAGAGAATAGCACCTTTTTGTTAAAATTCAGTTTCATATTTTAATGTAGTATTGATAGAGTAACTCCTAGGTTTTTACCAATAAATTAATCCCATTTAAAATATTTTCTACCTTGGATACTTACTTATATTTTCCATATAAATATCAGTGTAAAATAGTCTATGTAGTACCAATTTGGGGGTCTCTTGAAGTTTAAAGTGGTATGTTTTTCTATTCTTACAAATTTGGTCAGGGTTTATCCATTTCCAAGATATCCATCGAAATTTTAAAATATGAAAGCCTACAAATGAAGAGTATGGTGGCAACCAGAATGGGTGGGATACAGAAAGAAACAAACGATGCCATACAACTTTAGTGAAGAAATCTAAGCATTGCTTTTTAAAATTAAAATAATAAAGCATCAAAGCAAAGATCTCACAATAATCAGACAATTTTCTTAGGAGTGTAATGGGAAGAGGTTGTTGCAGATATGGCTAATCTAGGAAGTCTTACTGGAAAACAAGATATGAAAGCTGGATATAAAACAATGGGTACGATGTGGATAGATAAGGAAACATTTATGTTCAAAAATTTAAGCAGATAATAAAGACAGAGAAGCAAAAGATATTTAAAGACAATGAGTAGGAAAGTATAGTAATTGTATGTCTGTCTTTGCTTTCACAGGAGAAGGGGAAAATAATGTGACTACCTCTGGCCAAAGCACTGAATTCCACTTCAAGACCCACCTTTTCCCTCAGCTACAATGACTGGCACTGTTTTATAAAGTGGTTGTTTTATCAGCCTGGGATCTGGCACAAGGACAGTGATGATCAGAGGCCCAGCTGAGCCTCAAGCACACATAACATGCATTTTCAACTCCAAGCCCCTGAGATTTGGGAGCTGCCTATTAAGAAGCGTAACCTATTCCATCCTGACTATTTCACAGAGGGAACAGTTAAAAGAATAATGAGATATTATTTCAAATAAGGAAATTATGGAGAAGTTTAAATGACAGGCAAACATATTTGAAGTTTATTAAATAAAAAGTCAGTAGGAAATTATTGAAGCTTTGTGAAGAGGGAAAGCAATTAGTCAATGGAGAGTTTTAAAATCAGTGTGGTCACAGCAGTAGGACAAATTAAAGAAGGAAAGAACAGAGATATGAAGACTAACTAGTTAACAGTCCATTGCAAAATCCCAGTGAAAAATGGTAAGCTCTCTGAACAGAGAATGATTGAAAATTGAAGAAGAGAGAGGGAACAGTGAGAAATGAATCTAGCATTTCAAGCCTGAGTACCTGGGAGAAATGTAGGACTATAAATAACAGATATAGAATAGCGCAATTAAGAGGACTGTCTATTTCTGTTGATAATAGTATCATTTTCTTAAATTTGTTTTGACAAAAATTATTTTAGATATGTCAGGTTTGGGGTGACAGACAGTGAGTCAGATATGTTGATGTATCCAACAGGAAAGCAGAGATATGGAAATACAGAAAAGTTCAAAAGTCAGTGGTAAAGAATTGGACCTGGTAGCCATCTGCGTACGGGCTGGCTTGGGTAGTTGTCTAGAAGTGGTGATGTTATCCAAGATAGAAACTGCACAATGAGAAACAGTTGCGGGGTTGTATCCATCAGGGTTTAGTGTAGAAAACAGAATTTACAGATGAGGAACTGCTCTTTCCACCCTGCAGTAAGGGCACTGCTGCCAACATCACATCTGGGGCATTCAGAGCGCCTGATGCCAGAAGTTTTGTCTGCTGGAGCTGCTTTTCTGCCCACAGCACTATAAAAAAGAATCACCTCCGTTTTCCAAATAGTTCGTGAGTGCATTTCATTGGCACAACCTTAATCACATCCAGGACCCTAGCCACAAAATGTCTTTAAAACATAGTGTTTAGACTAATAGCCCCTATAATATTATGTTAATGGTGGAAGAGTGTAGGAACATACAAAGGAGATACAAATGGATGCTGATTGCAAGTAGACAATGCAAAGTCCCCATGGGACATCAAAGTAGAGAAATCTAACATCCCTTAGGTAAATTAAAAATGAAATTCTGGGACCTTAGAGAAAGATGGGGAAATATCAACATTTAGATCAGGGGTGTCCAATTTTTTGACTTCCCTGGGCCACTTTGAAAAAATTGTCTTGGACCACACATAAACTACGCTAACACTAACAATAGCTGATGAGCTAAAAAAAAAAATCACAAAAAAAGTCTTATAATGTTTTAAGAAAGTTTACGAATTTGTATTGGGCAGCATTCAAAGCCATCCTGGGCCGCATGCACCCCACAGGTCGTGGGTTGGACAAACTTCACTTAGATGATAAGTTGAAGCCGTGGAACTAATTGAGATTGTTTAGAGAGAGGATTTAGATCATTTGAGGTGTTAAATCCCCATCCTGGTGACCACAGTGTTTAAAAAGAAAGCCTATGTTTAAAAGGCAGGAAGAAAAAGCTGCATCAAGGGAAATTTGCTCCATATCAGGCTTTAGTAGCCCATTTCTGACAAGGAATTTCCTAATACTGTACTTAAAATACCGTAGATTAACCCTATGTAGTGAATTAAAAGAAGAACATGTGAAGGTGTATGTGGTTTGAAACAGGAAGAACTGAATGGAGCTGATAACCAGTTAGAATTAACCAGTTAAAATATAGTAATGTATACAATTTCCCAGTGTGAATGTAAATATGCCATGCATGTTACCTGAAAATTAATATTAAGCTCTGATAAGATTCTTATTTCTAAAAGTTGACACTGTTGTATTGCCTTTAAATTTGAAGGTGAGGTATAAAATTAAAACCTATACTATTTTTTCATAGTTTTCCACTTGGACCAATTTCACAACTAAATTGTTTTTTGAAAAAGTACTTTTTAAATGAGCACTTATTCTGTTCAAACAGTATTAGGCATTATGTGGGATCCAAAGATAAGACATTGTCCCTCCTGTCAAATGCACCAAAATTGATTAAATTAAGATGTAACTTGGGGTCATGCTTATTGCTAGAGCAATTTTTTCATTTTTCCTTCTTATTTTCAGAGAGAATAAAGTCTCCTTCTACTGAGGTAATAGCTACCACAAAGATTTTATAACTTAAACTGTTTTGTAATAATTTTTATTTCTCTATAATTTGGGTCTAATGAGACTGCAATTTTATTTTACATTTTATCCTTTTTTGTTAAGTATATTCTTCCTATTACTTTAATAAAAAAACAAAATGAAGTTTTTAACATTGTTAAGAAGTGTCTGCTTGATTCTTCTGTTAGTTCAAATCTAAATCTGTTCATAAGCTTTATGAAATTACATGTAACAAAATACATTATCTACACATAGACAAATATACCCATAGAATTTTGAATTAACATTATTAATGGTTAATAAACAAATTCATCAATCATGTCTTCATTCGCACTTTTATTGTCAATGCTAATTATTTGTTATTATAAAGTCAGAAGTTTCTATTGAATTAGGATTACTAGTGATAATGAATAAGTTAAAATGTGTTTGAAATTGCACAGTGCCTACATTAGGCAGCAACTCAGATATGAACAGCATTTTCACATGGTAATATCAGTTGTCTTGGGACATCAAGATTTCTGACCTTTAAAAAAAGTCAGAAATTTACTTTTCCAACACCTGTTCTGTGTGTGCATGCGTGTGTATGTGCAAGACCCCATTATTACAGCAAATATATCTATAATATTGTAAATATTTAGGCATTCTACATTTGCACAAACTTGAAAAATTGTAACCTAGAGCTTTCTATCGGCCCTTATTGTTTAACTCAGACATTTAGGGTTGCTTTATTGATTTTTCATTCAGTCCTAAAGTGGATTCTAAACACTGTGAAATTACAAGGCCAATAATTGCTGTCTTAAAGTTTTTACACTTACTGGAATAGTTAGCATTTGTTTGTATTTTGATTGGATTTGAACAGGAAACAGGGAGAGGTCCTGCTGACAGTTTGCTTCCATGGAACTGCATAAGATTTCAACATGTCACTGTATTCAGTTTGGGGACTAAAGGGACAAATCCCAGACAAGTTAAGTAGAAACTGAGAGTAAAAATGCCCAAGAAACCAAATAACAATTATATCCAAATTGCCAAGAGGCAGAAGTCTGAAATAATCATTATCAGAGTAAAAACAGATAGGAAAAACAAAAAAAGTGATGGTTCAGTGGCAGTTTCTGGCAACAGCTTTATGGTGTCTGTTGCTCGACCGCATTAATAGATAAGAGTACATGAGGAATTATGACAGCCTGGCTTGAAGGTAGGGTGACCAACTTTTTAGAAAGCCAGCCTGGGACACAGTCAAACCAAACCAAATAACCCACAATAAAACACTATATAATAAATAACACTCATATGTGCCATTACTTTAACATTAAAATATGAATAATAGGTGTTTATCAAAATTATAGATTATTCTGTATTATTTATTTTTCTTTTATGTAACTGCTATAATTTAAGCAAAACAACAGTAGAAATAGTTAATAGGCAATAAACAATAGTTACTTATAGTAGGACAAATTAAATAATATGTGAGCAAAATATATATTGATATTTTTACAATGTTTCTTTAAAGGAATTTTTAAATTCTTTTACAATGTTTCTTTAAAAGAATAATTTAACTTTTTAACTTCATTGGATATTTAAATTTTGTAGGCATTATTACTGTGTACTCCTTAAATATATAAATGTGACTTTAAAAGAAGAATGTAAGCATTGCTAAACAGATATTGCCTGTATTTATTGAAAAAAAAAGTTGACATGTTTTTCTTTGTCCCAGGATATTTTTTCTCTTTCTAGTTTGCTTTCCAATAATACTTCTCTGAACTGACTCAGTCTTTAGGCATCCGTTTTTCTTTTATGTAGTAGTAAAATTGAATACAGTCCAACATAAAATTCACTTTGACTTGCAGCTCTTCTCATATCAAGCCCACATTGCACTGGCTCTTGGTGTCAGTCCAAAGCTATAGTATCAAGTTAAATATCCTTTCCGCCCAAGTGTTTAATCATGGAATACTTAGAATTTTGCTTACTTGCAAGAGCAAGTTTTTAGATTTGAAGGAATTAGTTTCCAGTGCTCCAAAACTTTCCAACCACTTGTATCCTCAGGCTGGTTTTGATAGAGTAGTTATCTGTCAAGCGGGTTATTTGCATCTATAAATTCGTTATAATGACTATCTATGTCTGAAATGCCCATCATCATTAAACTCTTTATAGCACAGTACACATCATCCTACCTTATAACCTCTTTTTCTTGGGAAACAGGTTAATATGTACTTGAGGCTTTGAAGTTAAAATAATTTGAATTCCAGATAAATTAGTTCCAGTAAAGAAATTGAAGAAATTATTTCTGGTTGGTTTCCCTGTTCATGATATTCAGGAACTGAAGTGCAGTTAGTTCATCCTTTTCTAGGCACCTTATGTCCTCTTGAAAAATTATCAAACAGTTTTGAGAAAACTGCATCCAAATTTCTCTTTTACTCTAATCCTCTTCTCCATTTTCACCCTCAACATAATTCCAAATTAGAAAAACTCATTCGTCTTGTCTCACACTTTGAAAACATGATTTGATATCAAGTCAGAATTTAAAAATCTTTCCTATGGGCAGCAAAAATTACATTCATCTTGTAGGTACATGTTTAAGGAAGCTGTCTCCTTTCATTTCTATAAAGTCAAATATCTCATTAAGTGCTTCTTCACATTTTAAGAAAACTAAAAAGTAACCAAAAACTTTTATTATAAATATTTCAATACTACAGGTAATCATATCATGCCCCTATTTAGCAGTATTCTGTACAAAATGTTCAGGACATTTCCCTGGTGAGATCTTCCTCATTATTTTGGGGAAGAAGTTTATAGATGGAATGGAATTTCCCAAAATTTTTATTTGCAGTGTCTACGGAATGTGCAGACAGATAAGCAAAGCCTAATTTGTACTCGGACAAGGTATCAACCATCTTTTGTTTTATGTTTTCTGAGACTTCACTAAAATCTTCATAGAATTCAAGATGTTTTGCAACTCCATTTTTCGGATTAAAGTGCTTAAGAGCTAGGAGGAATATTTTGTGTTACTTTGATTTGAAGCGTCACTTGATATGTTAATACTATAGAAAGAATGAAAGAATAAATGTTAAATCTGATAGAATCGGCTGAACCATTTGTTATCAAAATTTCTCTTTTCTGAGGTTAGTTGCACAAGCCATTCTGAGCTTAGGGGCAACCCCAGAAACTAACTTTACTCAGTTTCACAGAACAATCATGGGAACAATAAAATAATGTGTGTTCTTTCGTGTACTTTGTACAAGCAAATTCCGGAGCTACTATTTTTGGTTGAGCATTGGTTTCTTTTTGCTATCCAAAACAACTTTTGATTGACTTAGAATTACTTGCTTGTCTCATCCTGACTTCTGAGACCCATTCTCCATTAGGAAGTTCTCCAACTTATGATGGTTTGACTTAACGATTTTTCTACTTTACAATGGTGCAAAATCAATACCAATTCAGTACAGACAATTCTTCTTTTGCAATGCTGGGTAGCAGTAGTGAGCTGCAGCTCCCAGTCAGCCATGCATATTCAAGTTAGGGTTATTGGGACAGAATCCCACTGTCAGTCAAGGAGTATCTGCATATGCTTTTATATCATCTTCTCTACCATGCCCAATCCCCAATTTTTTTCTGCATATTATACAGTCCTATTTAGGGTGTTTGCCCACATAATCTAGTTCTATTTTTCCTTCCACCTATCATTAAAATAGTATATTCATTTCATCTTCATTTTTATAATGTTTGGGTCATTGGCACTGTAATTGGCACTGTAATTGGAGTTGGCACTGTAATCCTTCTCATTGTCATTTTCTGAACTATTAGAAAATGTGAGCCAGGCACTGTGGATCACTTGTAATCCCAACACTTTGGGAGGCCGAGATGGGAGGATTGCTTGAGCCCAGGAGTTTGAGACCAGACTGGGCAACATACTAGACCCCATCCCTACAAAAAAAAAAGTCAAAAAATTAGCCAGGCGTGCTGTCACACATCTGTAGTTCCAGCTACTCAGGAGGCTGAGGTGGGACGATCACTTGAGCCCAAGAGGTCAAGCCTGCAGTCAGCCATAACTGCACCACTGCACTCTAGCCTGGGCAACAGAGCAACACCCTGTCTCGAAAGAGAAAAAGAATCAAATCAAATATGGTTGTGCATAAAAAGCAATAGCAGTTTGCAATCTTAAAAGTTAAGATAGTACTCTCTCAATACAAAAAAACAGTGATTAATCCACAGGCAAAGTCACTGACTGTTAACATTCACAACCATGATTGCAACACGGAAGTTGCACATTTCCATCACATCCATTTCTATGAAGCACAAATCATGGCTGTCAGCATCAGTGATCAGGGGAAAAGGAAGGAAGAAAAAATAGTGACAGCAACTATAAAAGGTAGATAATCTATGCTATATTCATTTAACACTCAAAACAGTGTTGTTTCCAGGCCCTTTTTTGGGGCCACTATGTGTAATTTGTACTCTCCCCAGAAACTTCCTCACTCACCACTGAAAACTGGGACTTTTCATATTCTAAGGAGGAGTTTCCTAGGACTCAAAGCTTTCAATACTAAATCGTTGACAGTACCAAGACAATAGATCACCTACCTACGTAAAGAGCCAGAGACAGTCAACCATACCTACACAACAAAACCATGTTGCATAAAGTAAGTAACTATTTAATACCTGATTGTTTCAACAAACAAACACAGACTACAAAATGACCTCAGGTTAAAAGAGGTCATTTAACCTGAGTGGTTGAGCTGTGTGAATACAAACTGAGCAATAGTGTTCAGAAGAATATAGCACTTCATGCGGGGCCTGATCCACTCTGGGTATGAAGGAGTCTGCTTTTGGCTGATGTGAAGAATGTGATTTCTTCATAGAAATCAGTAGAATTTAAAGTGTGTTTGATAATTTGTCTCAATAACCAAATATGAAGGTTGAGGTTTCTATGCTATGATACCTGTAAGTTTGAAATATGGCCAATGGAATGTCCTTATCCTGTTATAAGCTAGATTTCCATCTTTCAGATCCCAGGGACCACATTTAGCTAGTCTGCTTACCATTTTAGCAAATTTGATAAAGCCTCTGGGTAAATGACTGGACCAACTGTTGTACAATATGCATAATCACATTAGGCAACATATATAGGTACCTACACTTTTGGAAAGCAGCTTCCCAGATAGGACTTCCACACAGGCTCAGAGTTTCTACTTAAATCATTTTACAAGCTATAAACAAAAAACCAATAAGCTAAAAACAACTTGGCTCTCAGACACCTGTGCATTTCGAATTTTTAACACTTGCTGAGAGCTCTTCTTTGGGAGCCTGCTGAACTAGGAGAACTTCAGAACACCACGTAATGGATGCTCCATTTCCTTGTAATATATAGCTTGGGCAAAGTGCTCCTTAACCAAGACCAGGGTAAAGGGTTATTATCTCTCCTGTGAAAGGCAACCAGGTATTTAGTTTCAAGCAGAAATTCAGACAATTTTATAGAATTCATAATTTCAAGCCTTTGGTACTCAGAAATGAGCTCAATCACTGAACATAAGCAGGTAAGTTCACTATTTAACTTCCTTTCTCCCATTTACTCTGAATAGAAAGTGCAATTGTGAGAGATTTATATTTAAGGTATAGTTATTTTAAAACAGTATGAAGCAGGTTATTTGAAACACTTCTTTTTAAATTGTTTGTTATAAGATTCTTTGTTCCTCGTAAGAAAAGCAGAAGAAACATACTAGAAGTCAGGAAGACCAGAAGTTGGTCTCAGCCCAGCCGCTCTGTCTCTGACCTTCAGTGAATCAGTTGACCTCTCTTCATACACAGAGGTCCATCTTCCACCAGGCCAGTGAAACAAAGTCTAAAGAGTCAGTGTCTCCTGTGTGAATTTCACCTTCTGATCAGGGATAGCTTCTCAGTAATCTATTTTAAGGAGTCCGGGGGAAGATGTTTCCTTTCCATGCATACAGTACTGAAAACATTGCCTATGATACTTCACAGTATACACTGTATAAATAAATATATAATGATGATTATATAAAGTGTACAAATTAAAAAGTGATTACATTAGTAAATGTTATAATGCGGTTTTATCTAATATTTCTAAACTTTAACCCTAAATAGACTGGTCATTTATAATAACTATGATGATTAAAAGACTGGCTTTCATATATGTAGAAAAACCACCCAAATAATGAAAAATAATAATACTCAATATTTATTGAATCTTTAACATGGATCAAGTACTGTACTAAATGTTTTATGTGTATCAACTCATTTATTCCTCTTAGTAAACTTTTGAAACACCTACAATTATTTACCCCATTTTTCAGATAAGAAAACTGAAATACACAGAGATTTAAGTAATTTGGACAAAGTCATATGACTAGTAAGTGAATGATCCAAGAAAAAAAATGTTTGTTATTCTAAGAATGTATAGTAATGAACTATTCCCACTGGGCAATAACTCTATTTATTTATTTTATTTATTAATGCTTTTGAGATGGAATCTTGCTCTGTCACCCAGGCTGGAGTGCAGTGGCGCGATCTCGGCTCACTGCGACCTTGGCCTCCCGGGTTCAAGCGATTCTCTTGCATCAGCCTCCCAAGTAGCTGGGATTACAGGCACGTGCCACCACACCCAGGTAATTTTTTGTATTTTTAATAGAGATGGGTTTTCACCATGTTAGCCAGGATGGTCTCGATCTCCTGACCTCGTGATCTGCCCACCTTGGCCTCCCAAAGTGCTGGGATTACAGGCGTGAGCCACTGCGCCCGGCCTCCCACTGGGTAATAACTCTAAATATTTATACTCCTTAAAAGAACCCTCAATTTTAGTGACATTTTAATATGATTTGCCAAACAGCTGATTTGACCATAGGCTGTTTTGGCCAATATGAAGATGTCATCAAAATCACTTAAGCCCAAAAGTTTAAACAGACTGCCCTACAGTACATCTATGTCCCAGAAAAACATATTTTTTCTCCATCAAGCTATGTTGGGGACAACAACCTCTTTTACTTTTATAAGGAACCTGGCAAAGAAGCTCCAGTTTTCACATCTAACCATCCAGCAGAGTGCTAGTGGCCCGCTAGTGCTTCTGTGAATCACTCGAAGCACTTGTCCTGTGTGGAAGCACCCGGGACAAGCTGGATCACAGAGATTTTTCAGTTGAGTGTGTAACTGTACTTCCTTAGTCCTTATTTCATCTTTGAGTCCTCGAACAACATTCAGAATATAAGGACATCTATCAATTGTCCACAACCTCCTTGAAGCCACCACTAAGATCACTCTCCGAGGCTGGGTGCCCTGGCTCACGCTTGTAATCCCAACATTTTGGGAGGCCAAGCCAGGAAGATAGCTTGAGCCCAGGGGTTAAAGACCATCCTAGGCAACATAGCGAGACTCTGTCTCTACAAAATTTTTTGTTTTGTTTGAGACAGGGTCAAGCTCTCTCACCAAGGCTGGAGTGCAGTGGCACTATCTTGGCTCACTACAACCTCCACTTCCAAGGTTCAGGGGATTCTCCTGCCTCAGCCTCACAAGTAGCTGGGATTACAGGTGCGCACCACCATGCCTGGCATGCCTGGCTCAAAATTTAAACAAACAAACAAACAAAAAACTAACCAGGTGTAGTTGCATGCACCTGTAGTCCCAGCCACTCAGGAGGCTGAGCTAGGAGGATCACTTGAGCCCAGGAGATCGAGGATGCAGTAAGTTGTGATCACGCCACTGTGCTCCAGCCTGGGTGACAGAGTGAGGCCCTGTCTCAAAGAAAAGAAAAAAGATCATTCTTTGGCATTATTTAATTTTTTGTTTTATATGTGAGGAAATAGAGGCACAAAAAGATACGCAGTGTCTCCAACCTCGTCCAAACTATCCAGTCACTGCATGAAAATGTGCTCAATTAATTATTAATGTGAACTTTTATTACGTTTATAACACTCCTTCCAAGTTCTAATGTCTTAATCATAGACACCAAGAATCAAAAATTCAGTGAGTGGGGACCGAGACAAATAGAGAAACTAAAGGAGGTGGAGCTATTAGCCCAGAAACAAGAAAACTCCTTGGAAACTTAGTGACTTTCTGCAAGACTTACTTTAAAGGTGTTCCTGACCAGCTATTTTCCGTCCATCATCATAGAGATTATAACTAAAATAAATGACTTTAAAGTGCCTTAGAGATTACAGTTGATAAATGGAGGATCTTTTTGAGAAGCAAGAGTAGCTGAAAACAGTTGTTGCGACTAGTGCATTTCCTTCTGAAGAGCTTTTTAAAGCAATTATATATTCTACATGGATTATAGTTAATTTTATTTTTTCTAAGCCTAGGCTTTGGACTAAACTGGTAGTTCTTATTGTTTTCAAGGGCCATAAATCTCTTTGAGAATCTTATGAAACCTACAGATCATCTCAGAAAAATGCATACAGTCACACAGATCCTGAAGCTCTTTAACAACCTCTGGGTAGGACGACATCTTAAGATTCCTTCCCACTATGAGATTTTGCAGGGAGCTCTGAGATGCTTGTGAGAAAGGAACTCTCTGTTCTAAATATCACAAGCATGTGGATATAAGAGAAATAAGAGATTTCCAATGATCTATGACTTCTGGGATCAGGTTGGAATTCCTAAAATGTCTTTCTTCTTGCTCCGTATCTCATCTAGACACTGTAGGCTACAGCTGAAATGGTGCATGCTGCTTGGGTGGGAAAAGGAAAAAAATACTCTTGTTAAAGCAAATATAGATCTTTACTGTTCCAGCAAACATCTTCCATAGCTCTCTGATGTTCCAATCCTCAAAGGAGGAAACCATGGCCATGGCCATTCCCACACTCCATATGCCCTTCATCAGGAGTCAGCCAGAGCTGCCACACTGAACAAATGCTTTTGCACAAGGGAGAGGCCATTAAGCCCTCCTCAGTCAGCTTACCAAGCATATTAAGGCTGGCCTGGCTGAAGGGGTTCTGAAAAGAACTGTGGTTTAGCTTGAGCCCAATTTGCCTTAACAATCTGAGTACATAGCAGCAAGTTTGAGGACAGGTAAAACTAGCAGACTTTCTACTTACATTTTATTGTCTCTCTAGTGCTCCCTAAGGTTCCCCAAGCTGGTGTTCCTGAGCACCCACTATAATCACCACCTTAAAAAAATTATTGGTAAATTTTAACTTCTCTATCCTTAACATATCTCCATCAACCATCATTCATAAATTAGTTCATGTTTGACGTTAGAGAAGCATTTGAGCATTGCAACAGAGAACCTATATTCTGGAATCATACTGAGTAGTTTCAAGTTCCAGAGGTATCACTTACTAGCTGTGTGACTTTGAGCAAATCACTTGGTCTCTGTACTTCAGTAGCCTTATAAGTAAAATACCAAAAGTAATTCTCATTTCATAGAGTTATTATAAAGATTGAGATAAAATTCATAAAGTTCTTGAAAATGTGCCTGGGGCACACAGTGAGTTCTCCCTATACCAGTGTTGGTTAATATTTTCACACACATTATCTTATTTGAACCATATGATAGTACTTGTGGAGGAGGCAGGACAGTTAACTTTACACATATTGGAAACAAAGGTTCATAGAGGTTAAGTGACTGATTCACATACAGAGTAAGTTTTGGAGTGGAATGGTGCTCTTTCCTTTGACCTTTGGTTCATAAACTTTATTGGATCATAGACCCTTTGAGAATTTTTTTTTAGTCAGAGTCTTGCTGGAATGCAGTAGCATGATCATAGCTCACTGAAGCCTTGAACTCCTGGGCTCAATCCATCCTCCCGCTTCAGCCCCCCAAGTAATGGGGACTATAGGTATGCACTACCATCACCACCATGCCCAACTAATTTTTTTTTTTTTTTGATAGATGTGCTTTCCTAGGCTGGTCTAGAACTCCTGGCCTGAAGTGACCTTCCCATGTTGGCCTCCCAAAATGCTGGGGTTGAAGGTGTGAACCACCATATCAGCCCCTTTAGAGAATTTTATAAAAACTGTGAGCCATTTCCTCTCCCCCAACCAAAAAAAAAAAAAAAAGCATATCTGCAAACCACTCGAATGTTTGCCTATATTTTTAAGAACTCAAGAACAAAATGGAGCCCATTCATGAACCCTCTTTGGACCTTGCTTCAGAATTCCCTGTTTTTTCCAAGAATTTCAGAATTACCCATTCTTCTCCAAGAAAATCATTTTTTGTTATGATGTTTCTTTCCCAGATTTCAAAACTGCTGTCTACCAGTGATTCTCAGGCACTATGGCAGCTAACACATCTTAAATTGTGGATCTCCTGACTCTCCTGCTTCTACATTTAAATCAAAAAGTTTATTCCATTTGTGTTTGAACTATCGGCACCCATTACCTCAGTCTCTGCATTATTTTTCATTTGTTTCCTGATTGCCTTCTGCTTCTATAAACACAAATGAAGGTAATAAGCCCCAGTTGCATTTCCACTTTAACCCTTCTTTATTTACACCAAAATTAGATAAAGCTGGCTTGACCAAAAATCATAGAAATTCAAGCAACTATTAGCTTTTCTGAGGCTCAATTAGTTCACTTTTTTTTTTTTTACTGGAAAGTTAGAGACTATGTTACATGTGAACTCATTTTACCCAAATCTTTTTGTTCTCATAACCACCATTTTGCTTTTCAAAACATCTGTATCAGTCAGTATCACCACTAAGTTTAGGTAATTTATTTATATTTGCTGTTTCTTCATATTTGCATGGGAGTAGACCATGGGGAGAAAAAAATGCATTCACCAGGAATTTGACAAGAAAATCTTACTTATCTTAGTTACTCATGTTAATGAGTCATCTTCTTGGAAGACAGGCAGTTATCTGCATTTGCACAGCTGATGTCAGCTGAATTTTATGCAATTTCAAAGAACAGAAATAGGAAAAGTCTAACTCTGGAGTAATTGGATCTCAATCATAGATGACCATAGTAACATTTTCTTTAAAAACAAAAGTACAATTATACACTGAGCCAAAGCAGTTTAAGCTTTGCTTTAAAATCCACACTTCCTAGGAAGAAAAAAGTGGCTTAACAAACTATGGAAATAAATTTGCTCTTGACATAGTTTGTTAACTTTTCAGCATCAGTTAAAACTCTCTTCATTTTGGTAACATTACACTAGAATTCTAAAAACTGGAATAGACAATACCTCCTGATCCATCTATTTCTAAGCTAAAATAATACCAGCATTTCTATGAATTTCTGAGCCATGCAGTGATATATCCATGAGAAATAAAAATAACATTTTAAACTACTTTAAAATAAGTAAATCCATTATTAGCTTCATTGTCATGCAAAAAAGAAAACATACGTAAACCTTTTGAATCAATGCAAGATGTTCTCAAGAAAGAATAGAAAATAATTTACTCCAAGAACGGTGGCTCACGCCTGTAATCCCAGCACGTTGGGAGGCCAGGGTGGGTGGCATTCCAGGCCAGGCTGGGCAACACAGAAAGACCCTGTCTCCACAAAAAATTAAAAATTATCCAGGCATAGTGACACAAACCTGTAGTCCCAACTACTCAGGACGCTGAGGCAGAAGGACTCCGTGAGCCCAGGACTTCAAGATTACAGTGAGCTATGATTGGTCCACTGCACTCCAGCCTGGGCAACAGAGCAAGACTCTGTCTCAAAAAAAAAAAAAAGAAAAAAGAAAAAGAATTTAACAAGTAAGGAAAACAGTCTCCAAGGGTGCCAAACTACCCTTTTGCTTTGTTTCTTTTTCTCCCTGAGTTACTTTGAGAAAGAAAAAGAGGTCTGCACTAAAGGCAGCACACCTGGCATGGAACAACATATGGTGGAAGGCAGCAAGGAGCCTCATCCAGGAGCAAGGACATTTCCCAGGCACTGCCGCAATGGTGGCTCTGCAACATTCACCAGTCCCTCTAAGGGCTTCTCCAGAGAAGCAGAACAAACAGGAGATATAGACAGATATAGATATACATATACATATAGATTAATTGATATATAGATAAGATATAGGTATAGATAGATAGATATCTAGATATATCTCTATATATCTATATCTAGACATATCTCCATATATCTGTATCTAGACATATCTCCATATATCTATATCTAGACATATCTCCATATATCTATATCTACACATATCTCCATATATCTCTATATATCTATATCTAGATATATCTCTATATATCTATAGATAAATGTCTATATAGATATACATCTCTATATCTATACATCTATATAGAGCTGTAGATCTAGATAGATAAAGATATATCTCTATCTATAGGTAGATATCTATCTACATACATATACATTTCTATATCTCTCTGTAGATAGAAATACAGATGTAGATGGATATAGGGATGTGTATAGATATGGAGATGTATAGACACAGACATATACATATAAATTTATTATGAGAATAGTTTCATGTGATTATGGAGGCCAAGAGGTCCCAGGATCTGTCTGCAAGCTGGAGAACCAGAAAAGCCAGTGTTGTAATTCACAAGTCAAAAGGCCTGAGAACCAGGGGACTACTTGTGTGAGTCCCAAATCAAGTCCAAAGGTGCAAGAACCAGGAGTGCTGATGTCCAAGAGCAGAAGGTGGAGGTCCCAGTTCAAACAAAAAGAACAAATTTGCCCTTCCTGCCTTTTTTGTTCTTTTCAGTCCTTCAACAGATTGGATGGTATCCACCCACATTAGTGAGGGCAATCTTCCTTACTCAGTCTACTGATTCAAATGCTAATTTCTTCTGGAAACACCCTCTCAGGCACACCTGATAATTGTCTTAACAGCTATCTAGGCATCCCTTAGCCCAGTTAAGTTGACACATAATTATTAGCTATCATGAGTAGCATGTGCCAAGTAATCATTGTTTCATTTCTGAGCAGTTACCAGGAGTCAAGACATTTTCCTAGGCAGAGGGGACATAAAGATACATCCAGCATCTCTCCTACCTCCACGTTGACATAACAAATAATTACGTGTAGCATAATAAGTGCTATAAGATTTTTACCAGCTGCTAGGGCAGCTACTGTCCAACACCATAAAGCATATTAAGTCAGGAAGTTGCCCCAAGGCCACGGCATTTATGCCAACCAGAACCCTCAGATAGGGGCTACCTCAGCCTGCATCTCCAAACTGGATTGCGTGTGTGGTCTTTAAGACCCTTTGGGGATATGAATCTCTAAGCCTCAGGTCCAAGAGGTCAGTGGCATTCTAAAGCCAGAAAACTTCCTCTGTTAGACACAGAGGACCCTGAAATTGAATCCAACACCACCCTTATAACCCTGTGAAAGAGTAATTGTGTTTAAATTTACATAGCACATTGTATTTTTCAAAACACTTTTATAAATTTTGAGTCTTACGCCTTTTGTGATGTTTAGGGGAAAGACATTATACCTCTTTTCATTATAAACTTATTACCTGAAATATATCATATATTATATAACAGCTTTATATATCTTATAATTACTTAACAGGCTATGTATTAACAGATCCCAAATATATGAAGCACACATTTATCATATGGGAACAATAATGTGTTATTCATTCATAACGTATGTTTGCATTTTGATTGTTTAATATCTACCTATCCCATTAGAATTAAACTCTCAGAAGTCTTCTCTGTTTTTTCCATTGTTATATGCCCATGTTAGAGCAGAGCAAAGCACAGAGTGGGCATTGATTGAATGAAAGTTTAATGAATTTTACATTTGAGAAAACAAGAGTTAAGTGACCCACCCATAGTAAACCAGCTATTTAAAAGTACATGGAAGAGACAAGAGAGAACAAAAGTCTCCTGGCTCCTTTAAGTTTCTACCAGGTTTCTCCCACCATCGTAGAAACTTAATGAGGAAATGGCAAGCAGTATGGTTTTTCCTTCCTTCCCCCTGTCTGCCCACACTGTCTTCTCTCTGTTATACCCAACCTCTCACAACCACTGGATCCATCAATCACAAAGGCTTATGGATACCATCTCGGAAAACAGCACCAATGAAGGGCTTGGTTTAACAATCTGATCCTTTCAGGCTTGTGACTTACCATGTTGCCTCCATTTCCTTCACTGTAATGAGCTGGTACAATATGCCTTTGGTTAAATCCTATCCTGTTGTTTTTTTTTTTTTTAAGTTTTCCATTTAACTTTGGATCACTCTGGTAAAAATATCAGAAGTAGAGTCAGACAAAAATATCTAACACCCTCTGCAGTAGCACCGGTGTTGTTTTAATAAAAGAATTTCCGTTTTTCAGACTACATAGAACAGTTACAGTGTTTTGTAAAATATGGGCTATGGGATGAAAGCAGGTGCCAATATCAACTGTGATAACTGTGTACAGAATTATTCAAGGCTTTACTTGAGCATAAGAGAAATAAAGAAGATTTTCCTTCCCCAAAATATTGTCTTCATGGTCCCTGGATGGTGCTTGAAATGCTCATATTAATAAAGCCTTTGATTTAGGCATTGAAAACACTGTTAAAACATCAGTGGTCTTTGGTGAGGACATCATAAAATAGCATCATAAACCAAAGAACCCTTGGGTCAAATTAAAATATCAGAAAAGTTAACAAGTCATGTGACAGTACTGTCAAAGAATGAGATACAAAACAGGGAAGTTTAAGAGGAACAATTACAAATGATTCATTTTTTTCTCTATTCTCAGTCCCACTTCCTTTCATCAACTTTTATCTGGATTATTAATTAGTTCCCTGGCTCTAGTCTCTTCAAATTTCCAAACTTCCGATTTATCCTCTGGCTGCCAACAGAGTGATAAATGTAAGCATAAATCCGATTGTGTCATTCTCATATGTAAAATTAATATGTAGTTCCCCATTTCTAAAACTGAAATCCAAACTCCTTGGCATATAATAAATAAAATGGCCTGCTTCTTGACTGCTTTTCAAGATACATCTTCTCCTACTCTTTCATGAGTACCAAGATACTTTTGTTAATCATTTCCAAGTGAGACAGGAGTGGCCTTCCACTACACCTTGTTAGGCCTTTCAGGGTTTTTTTTTTTTTTACAGCTCAGTTGACAATATTAATAATTAAAAGTTTGTGATCCCCTACAAAATTCCAGGCTCTGTTCTAAGTTATTTAAATATCTCATTTAACACTCCTGTATGTACATCTTTGTAATATAACCTTTATTTTTTTTTTTTGCATGTGGAAAATGGAGCTTGCAGTGATTAAGTAACTTGTCCAAGTTGGTGGTAAGTGGTAGAAGTAAACCTCAAACTCAAGTCTGTTTGGGTTTAAAGCACCAGCAAACAACTATGACATCATGGTTACTAAACACATACAAATATGTCAAATATATCAACTCAACAGCTAATATTAGGTTCTGGAATGGAAACAGAATTCAAACAGTGCCCTTGTAGTTCTCAAAATTTGATTGAAAGAAGAGGTATTTTTGGAAATGTGACTTGCATGACATAAGGGATAACATGTTTTTATATGCTACTGTATATCAAGTACTGAGCCCATTAATTGTTCATTATCGATAATAAATATTTGTGAGTAAACAAGTGGAAGACCAATTGCTAGAAAAATCTGTGGTTTACTCTTTCCTCTATTCTTAAAATAGACTATGTTCAGAAACACTGGCAGAGCACTAATGCCTAAATAATATATTAGATCATTTTAGAATTGCTAATACAGAATTATGCCGTGAGATGTCACGGCCTATTGAAGGACACCCTGGGAGCTACTAAAGATATTCCATTACCTTGCACTGTGCTTTTCCTTTTTAGAACTCTTGGGGAAAGTGGCTCTCTGGAATTAATTTGCTTTGCCTGAGAAACTGCTATGCCTTAATTTTGAGTCAGCATTTTGAACCATGACACTATTATTTTTTTTCCCCTCTCACATTGTCTACTGTATGCCTTAGAGTCAAATTTCTGATTTACCCTAAGCAAAAATATTGATGTTTGATGTTCAGGATACATCATTTAGCCTAAATCTTAACTTCATTTTATAACTCTACCTTTTTTTTTCCATTTGTCTAATTATTCTCCACTGCATTCATGTTATATAGTGTGTCATTTATTCATTATTTAACAAATTAATATGCCTGAAGTGTCCTCATAGGATTAATTATGTTGTTCATTCATTCATTCAATGATCTACCTAACTGTAGATCACATATTCTGAGCCAGGAGCTTTTCTAGGTACTGAGAATAATACAGAAGTGAACGAAAAAAACTAAATAATAAAATGCCTGTGAGGTTTGTATTCTAGTCGAAGAGGTAGACAACAAATAAAGTAAATACTTAAAATATGGAGCATGCTAGGTAGTAATAAATGCAAAGGAGAAAAATTATCCTAAAATAGGAGCTAGGAAGTTTTAGGAGCTGGAATGGTGAAGAGCAGCAATGATATAAAGGGAAGGACTCATCAGGAAAGCAAGATTTCATTAAAGACTTGAAGCAGGTGAGACAGTGATCCATGAGGATATCTGGTAAATGGAAATTCAGAGAGCTAATGGGGTCCAGAGTATTCAGAGCCTTGAAGATTATTTTAAGAATGTTGACTTCTACTCTGAGGGAGATGAAAAGGCACTGGAAATTTTTGAGTAGAAAGCTGATATGATCTAACTTATGTTTTCACAGAATCACACTGGCTTCTCTATTGAGAATAGACCTTAGGACATAATGGTGCAAGCAAGGTGACCTGTTAAGAGATAATTTTATATTACAGGCAAAAGATGATTGTGTCTTAGACCAGGAAGATAGCAGTGAATGTGAAGTCATCAAATTCTGGATATATATTTTACGATAAAGGCTACATTATTAGCCAATGAATTGAATGCTGGTTGTCAGATAAAAAGAGAAGTCAAGAATGATGCCAATGATTTTAGGTGTACACAATTGGAAAAATGGAGTTGCCACTAGCTAAGGTGGGGAATACTGTGAACAGAGCAGATTGTAGAGGGGTTAGGGATAGCAGGAGTTCAATTTTAGTCATATTAAGTATAACCCTTTTATATGTATCCAAGTGGGGATGTCAAATACACAATTGAATATACTTTGGAGAGGTCCAGGATGGACAGATATGTGGCACATGTAGAAAGAGAGAGGTCCATGGACTTCCCTGGGGGCACTCCATGTTTAAGGTTTAGGAGAAGATGAGGAAGAACTAGCAAAGACCGATACTGAGGAGAGCAGCCAGAAAAGTAGAAGCAAAACAAGGAAAGTGTCTTTCTTCAGCACCTAGAACAGCCCAGGCAATGGTAGGTCCTAAAAAAAGCACTTGCTGAATGATTGAGTAAACGAATGTGCAACTGATGTCAAAAAAGATGGGAACTGAAAAAGACCATATAATTTAGTAAAATGAAGATTTATTGTTATCTTTGATAAGTGTACTTTCAGTGAAGGCACAGAAGCAAAATCCTGACTGCAGAAGAGATAAGGGGATATGTTTATTTGGAAACAGTGAGTATAGGTAACTCTTTTAAGGACATGAAACAGGAGGGCATGAATAAAAAGGAAGACATAAATAGCTGGAAGGAAAAGAGACTGTGGTTTTAAGATACAAGAAATAAGAGCGAGTTTGATCTAGTCGAGAAAGAAAAATCGGTGAGGCAAGAAGGGTTGGAATCTAGTGTGCTTGCGTAGGTGTTGGCTTTTGCTAGGAGCAGAGACAGATCAAACATAGTAACCCAGGAGAAAAGTCACTTGGAACCGATGCAGATGGGAGGATGATGCAGCGTTGAGAGCTAGTGGAAGTTTTCTTCTGTCTGCCTCTATTTTCTCAGTAAAATACAATGGAAAACCATGAGTAGCAAGCAATGATGTGCAAGAAAGTCTGGGAGGTTTGAGAAAAGTGAAGATATCAAAGAGATGGTGTAGAGACAGAGAGAATGACTGGGCCAGGAAAATACAGTATACTTGCTGAGTAGCATTATGAATTCACTTGAGACTGGGCATGGTGGTTTATGCCTGTAATCACAGCATTTTGCGAGGCCAAGGCTGCAGCTCACTTGAATCCAGAAGTTTGAGACTAACCTGTGCAACATGGCAAAACCCTATATCTACAAAAAATACAAAAATTAGCCACACATGGTGGTCTGCAGTCGGGAGGCTGAGGTGGGAGAATTGCTTGAACCCAGGGAATCAAGGCTGCAGTGAACAGCGATGGTGCCACTGCACTCCAGCCTGAGCAATGGAGAGAGACTCTGTCAAGAAAAAAAAGAAAAGAAGAAAGAAAGAAAGAGGGAGGGAGGGAGGGAGGGAGGGAGGAAGGGAGGAAGGAAGGAAGGAAGGAAGGAAGGAAGGAAGGAAGGAAGGAAGGAAGGAAGGAAAAGTTGAAGGACAAAAGACAACATATTGGGTAGAGTGTACACTGCTTGGGTGACAGGTGCACTAAAATCTCAGAATTCACTACAAAACAATTCATTAATGTAACCAAAAACCCCGTGTACCCCCCAAAATATTGAAATTTTTAAAATTATAGTTACAAAAAAAGAAAAAGAAGAGTTCACTTGATCTTAGTGACCACATATGTGAGGTGTATGTTTTCCTCCAGCGTAATTTCACCTTGCAGGCCTAGATGCAGAGGAGACATGGGTTGCATTCAACCTGGTTTAGGAAGTCACCAAGAGAGGTGAGACACTGAAAAGATATTATAGTAAAATAAGTGGATTGAAGGTCCCAGTCAAAAAGTTGTTGGCATATCAAAGACTCTATCTTTCCTGCACCTTTGAAAGTCATCTTAAATAAATCTTTTTTTATAAGTGGGCGTAGCATATAAAATTAATTAAACTAATATTCATCATACAAGACTCCTGTCTAGAGTAGGAGTCCCTCGTATGTTCTTTCATCAACCTTTGTATTTTGTTTAAATCAAATTTGTCATGTTTTGTTTGCTGAGATGTCTACTCCATTAGATTTTGGGATACTTGAAGGATCAAGCCATTTTCAACTTTTCTTTATATCATTAGAGCTAACACAATGCAAGGACATGGTTTGTTTACTTAACATACATACACTTGTACTTATGGATGACTGGATAAAAAATGTATCTTTGCATACAGCCCAGTGGTAACAATGATGGCTCAACTAGGTACAAAACCACTTTTACTACTTACTGCTTGTATTTGACAACTTAACCTCATTGTGCCCCAATGGATACAGTAGGAAAATGGCAATAGTATTGCTACTAATAATAGGGCTGTTGTAAAGATGAAATAAGTTTAATATATGCAAAGTCCTTAGAAAAACTAGCAGCTGGTAAATGCTCGATGAATGTTAACTGTACAATTGGTATATCCTTCCCCTCCTCTCTCCTATTCAACCTTTGAAGACTTCCTTAATCCCCCAGTATCCATGTAGAACTTGGTTTATATCAATAGATCACTATATACCCACTCTGAATGGTTTTAGAGTAATGCAGGGGAAGGGGTCTCACTAAATTGCAAGACTCCTTTGAAGCATGGATTGTGCTTTATTCAATGTTTAATTCCCTGGGTCTGGGACAGTTCCTGGCATGCAGAATGTACTCAATATATGTTTTTTGAATTGAATTGAACAGGACTTGGTACAGTGCTATATTTGGTTGATAAACTCGGTTCCTCAGAGGCAGTAATGAAGATCCTGGGTGTCTCAAGGTGGGGAAAATCCTAGAAAAAATCTACATTAAGAGAGGTAGAAAGGTAAGAAATGTAAAGTGTTCCTATTTCACAACTTGCCTTGGCATGGACTGGGAACTTTTCCTCCATCCCCTTGGAATGTCTCTGCTTTTTAAACCTGGCCATTTATAACACAATTTTTCCTACCTGACAAGTTGAATCAAAATAAATATCCACCTGGAATTAAGGGGAGATATTAGAATGATTTACCAATAACATGTCAAAATTCCACCTAGAGGGTGTTTGAGGGTAAATAAAATTGACAGAGTAAGAATCATCTTAACTCTCCGCATCTTTTTCTTTCTCCCTATTGTTGTCTTTCTTTTCCTCAAAACACCAAAATTCCAAGTACAATACCATGTACTCCCCACTTCTTTTGACAAAGTCAGTTTGGTAAAAGTATACCTCCCAAAAAACACTCCCTAGACTCCAAATCTGAGGAACTACCCTTGAACAAAGATACTTAAAAAAATCAATAAACTTAATAGCCACATTAATAAAAGCAAGACTTATTTAAAAAAAAAAGAAAGAAAAAAAGAACTGTAGCACTTAAAGGTAACTATTCAAGATGGAGGAAGATGTGAATGCCTGAAAAAGTTTCCACTAACCATGCACTTGAACAATCTAAAGGAAGTCTTTGGTTTACCAGGAAACCAAAACAATAGCTGCCACCAGCAATTGTCCTACCCAAGTTACACTCATGATGCCAGAATTTTGTGCAAATCTCCCCTGAAGGTTTATAGTGACAGGGATGCTTTCACTTAGAGTAAATATTGGATTTGCTGCTGTTCTCAGGGGCAAAATACTAAATGTACATAAATAAATGTCCTCACTTTATCCATTAAGGAAGATTTCTCACATAGTCAAAGTAAGATGAAAGCCAGTCTCCACTGTGAATATTACTAGACATCTGATATTTATCAAGTGGTATGTGGGTGACATTATTCTCTGGGAGAAAAAAAAAAAGCCCTGATTAATAGCGTTTGCCAAATTCCTTGGTGTAAATACTCCCACTATGACCACACATCTAACAAGATGTTACTAAATGCAAAGATGCAAGCCAGTACCAGCCAATGCCAGCATATCACTGGCGTTACCTGTAAACTAATTAATTGCCCCCCTCCCCAGAATTAGAGCTGAAGTGGTTATCAGTCTAAACACCCTGCCCCCCAACCAACTGCAAAAGAAGAGATACAAATAACAAAGCATCCAATTCCCTCATCTTTAAGTTATCTTTCGGATAGAGCAGGTCCTTGTCATAGGGTGAGTTTGCAAGTTTGAGAAATTCATGGAATGCCCCATCAGAAAAGAAAATACTTGATGCTGGCTGCTGTCATTTAATTGCACGTTCAGCCATACACTGACATTAGCTGTAGCAGTGAAAAAAGTAGCTGAGGAGTAGGTGCTGGTTCTATCTTGGTTTCCCACGCCTCCTCGTTCCCATTGACCACACTGTTAAATCCAGAGCTGTCACCCCACTGGTCTATCATTGGAAGAAGGTGGGGGTGTTTAAAGAGACCAGCAAAATAATTTCATTCCACCTCTTCACAGTTCTGCCCATACTTGGGGTTATATAAAATTGGCCAATAGGAATAAGGAGAATTTAAATAATGAGATCTTTATAGATCGTACATATTCTCAAGGAGTATATTTTCTTTTTTAATATAATTTTCCTGCTACAGCTAAGCATCAGTCTGCTTCTGAAGGCATGCCATCAACACTTGCCACTCCGTGGTTTCCTGGGCAAAGATTAACTAATATTGTCTGAATTGTGACAAGCTTTCTATTTGTGGCTGCAGACAGATGGACCCAGTTCTGTGTGTGCCTCCATTGCAACCATTCTGCTCTGAAATTCTTTTAATTGTGGAAAAAAAAAAAAAAAAAAAAAAACCCTGAGCAGGGCTAGTCCAAGGATCTATATTTCCAGTTTACTTACACTCTATAAATAAATTCTATCATATATCATCAGACATCCCCTTTGGAATTTAAGAAATCAAGTATCTTCTCATTCTTTCATTTTCCTAAGTCTGGGTAAATCTATGGGGAAAAAAATCTGCTCCTATTAACATCCCATGCCCTAATGAACAGCACAGCATGTGGCAAGTCTCAAGGTCAGGCTGTTAAATTTGTTCAGAAAATGAAGTTGATTTTCAGAGTTGCAGAGCATAAGGGACAGTGCAGCATATCCTGACTTCACAAGATAACTGTTCATGTGTGTGTTATTTCTTTGAAATTACTTTAGTTCTGGTGAAAAATATCCAGAGAGAACAGGGGAGGTGAGGATCCTCTTTCCGTTCTTAAGATAGCTATAGCATAAGCATCCAAACAAATAGTTTTTTGTATCTTTGCCACAATTCTCTCAGCCTCTATTTTAGCCCCTTTCATTGTAATTTACAATTTTTCTGTCAGCTTACACGTGTTTACTTTTCTTTCCCGAAAATGCACACCCCATGAGGCAGTGATCAGATCTGTTTCCAGATTATTTTATGCCCAGTGCCCAGCACCAGGCCTGGCACACACTAGTTGCCCAGTAAATATGTTGGTATTCGTGTATTTCATCTTTGGAGGCAGGGTGTCTGCTTAGTGCCTCAGTCCCTCTTTACTACTTGTCCTACATCAGGGCATTACCTCTCTAAATGACTAACTATGATGTGTGAGACAGATGGGTGAAAAATACAGATTTAAAACTAGATCCTCCAACTCCAACAAGGGTACAGACCCTGCTGCAGGATCTGACAGGGAATTCCACTCTCCCCTCAAGCAGTCACCATTGGGGAGCTTCATCACAGGGTGGCGAACGACAGCCCACTCTCAGAAACACCTGAAGAATAAGACAGTGAAGAGATTCAAGCAAGCAAGAAATGTCAGGTAAGTCTGAGAAAATGAGCAGGTAGTTCACGAGATTCTAACTTGGACACAGGGGTAAGGTCGGGATCCAGGGGTTCAAACTATGGAGTATGTCAAGCCTCGGGAGTGGCAAAGAAAGCCAATGATTGTAATTGATGGACCAAGTCAGAGCCAGAATGGGAACCAAGGAGATGATGCTGATCTCAAGAGCATGTATCTATGGCTCTTTAAATCCCTTATTCGCAAGGTCAAAGCTGATCCTGAATCCAGAGTGAGGCTTGACTTACATTTGGAAGTTGAGTGGCCCCAGCAGCAAAGTGTAAAGCACAGTAGCTAATTACAACACAAAATACCTATTCAACATTCCAGATAGCCAACTGTACTGAAAAATAAGGAAGGCATACACACACACACACACACACACACACACACACACACACTCACACACACACCACACATTTCCCTCCAGGATATTAAATCTACTTTCTCACATCAGCTTGACCCTACTCCTCAGAGAGAAATAAGTGTACTTTGATTACAGAAAGAATATAAAGACCATATGAAAGCTCAGACAATAGAAGGTAGAAGGTATGTGGATGCAGGGACCTCAGTCCCCTGATTATCTGATTCAGTGCTCTTTTCAAAAGACGCTGCTGTTTGCCTTTTGTAATGTGGAAGTTTATACCAGTATTGCAGTATCAATTTAATTTATCATTAGACAGCTGTGCCTGCAAGCATTGCAGCCTGGATTTGAAGAGATGATCCCAAGAGGAAAAGGTCTCAAGGGGGTGCAGTGATAACAACACTTATAAATTGGCTTCCACTGAATTTGATTCTTATTGTTCTGTTTTTCTTCAGAGGGAAAAAATGAAAACTAAAAAATTTTAGTAAGGGAACTAAGAGCACAGGAGACTGAGATCGGTTTCTTCATGACTCACCTTCACTAAGCACACATCACATGTTAAATGAAACCGAACAAAACCAGATTCTCTGTTGAGGACTATCCCTAGTCTTCTGTCTGGAAACCCAAGGCCACAGGCAGTGATAAAGGCCAGAGGTCATCAAAGTAGTGCCCCTGCCCCCAACCAAGCGTACTGTCTCTGGACTCACTCTACTCCTGCTGCCTGGCGAGAGTCACTGACTTGGAGGTTAGTCTTACAGTGGTGCTTCTGGAACAGAAAAGAGAAGTCTTGTTGGCCACCAGAAAAAAATATGCCCATCCTCTAACAACTCCCTTTAGGAGACAATGTACTCTTCTCTCAAGCTCTCCTCTAAACTTTTCTGGGTCTCAGAGTCCCCATTTCTTGGACACATATCCAATCCCAGTATGCTTTGCAGGATGGAAATGAACTTAAATCTGAACATCTAAAATAAAAGCCTTGGAAAACATAGGGATAATGACAATGGTTTATGCAAATGCTGAGTAGAACAGAAAATGCACACAGTTGTTGCATTTGGCCCAAAATTTGAATCTCTGGATACTAGGTGAATCAATGTTTTTGAATTATAGTGCAGAAAGGGTGCCCATAAAAGCCAGCAGAAACACATAGTTTCTGTGTAATCGAATTTGTCAGTGTAGTCACTACTTGTAGTACCTGTCACGACCAGTTGCTAATTGCCCCAGGATGGAGCTCTGAAACCTGTGGAGATGCTTATGACTCCAGGAACTCGTAAAGCAGAACTGTAAAAATATTCCTGCTGCCTGTGCAGCAGGAGCCCTGGGAAATAATTAGCTCTAGTAGCCCTGTCCAGATACACCAGACTCTCCAGTTAGAAAGCAAACTCCTTAATAGATAAAATATAATGTATAAGCACAAGGAAATGGATGTGCAAACGTGCGCCCACACTTGAGACAACAGAACACTGCTTCTTTCCAGGGATTTCATGTCACTGTTTCCCCTTCCTTCCTTCCTTCCTTCTCTCTCGCTCTTGCTCTTTCTCTTTCTTTCTCTTTCTCTTTCTCTCTCTTTCTTTCCTTCCCTTCTTTCTTTCCTTCCTTCCTTCCTTCCTTCCTTCCTTCCTTCCTTCCTTCCTTTCTTCTTTCTTTCTTGACAGGGTCTCACTCTGTCACCTGGGCTGGAGTGCAGTGGCACAATCATGGAGCAATCACTGCAGCCTCTACCTCCTGGGCTCCAGCCTCCCAAGTAGCTGGGACCACAAGCATGCACCACCACACCTAGCTAATTTTTTAATTTTTTTGTAGTGATAGGGTCTCACTATGCTGCCCTGGCTGGTCTCTAACTTCTGAGCTCCAGCAATCTTCTCACCTTGGCCTCTCAAAGTGCTGAGATTACAAGCATGAGCCAACATGTCCGGCTACACTTTCTTGATTTGACATAAATCTTGGATAAATAAATGTTCTATTCCTTGTTTCAATAACAAATAATGTGTATTAATTATTTATTTTCCTTTCTCATTGAATTTTTTTGTTATTTTAAGGTATAGATTCTTGCCTTCACAGCAGACAAGGCCTCAGCATCAGTCCTGGCCTCTGTCCCATCAGGGTTTCCAGTTTCAAACAATAATATCCCATTTATATTAAGAAATTCATATTTTACAAAGGGTTTTCCTGGATATAATTCCACTTGCTCTTAACAATAGCCCTGTCATACCCATTTCAGACATGAGGTTTGTATGTGCTTGGCGTTCTTCAAAGCATTGGGTTACAGAGAGAAGACTGAAAGCCCAAAGAAGTTTACACTGTAATAGAAAGAGGACAAATACAAATAAGTAAATAAGATGCATTCTGGTAGTTGTGCTTCAAAGAGAAAAGATGGGGGTAGAGGGGTTGATGAGAGCTCTGGAGGTGGTGACAATTGAAGTGAGATTTAGAGGACAAGAAGGAGAAAACCATACAAAGACCCAGCAAGGTGCATCCCAAGAAAAAAACAGCAAATTCAAAAGCCTAAAACAGGAAAGAGCAATAAATTGGAGGCCAGCATGGCTGGGGTATAGTGAATAAGGTGGAGACGAGAGAAAGAAGTAGGATTCGAGATTAAATCAAAGAGGTAAGTAGGAGCCAGGCCTTGCATCCCCCATAAGGAGCCTTTAGAACATTTTAACCAGATGAGTGACATAAAAATAATAAAATACAGTATTTAAGAGCTCAAGTAACAGACTTCCCACATTCAGATCCCGCTTCTGTCAATTACTAGCAATATATCCTTGTACAAGTTTCTTATCTTTCTTATGCCTCAGTTTTCTCATCTATAAAATGGAAACAGATATAATATCCAACTCAAAGGGTTCAAAGGAACAAATTCAGGTAAAGAGCTTAGAATGGAACCTGGTATTATAAATAATAAGTACTCAGTAAATATTATTGTTATTATGTTTAGAGAAATCATTCTGAAAGCTCTGTAAGGATGGACTGTGAAAGGCAAGAGTGAAGACAGAGAAGCCAATTAGGAGTCTGTTGCCATGTCTAGGTGACAAATGATAGATGCTTAGATTAGGGTTGAAATGGTGGAAACAGGGAGTAGTTAAAATCAGAATCTATTTTGAAATTCTGCCAACAGGACTTACTAACAGAGAGAAAGCATGGTATGAAGGAGAGTCCAATTTGACTCCCATGTTCTTATTATTTTTCCGGAGAACAAAATGGAGGCTGGTGCTCTGAAGCCTGTGAGCATATGAGGACAGGAAACCAATGGTTCTGCTAGTTGGAGGTATCTATTAGATATCCAAATGGGCGTGAACATATGGGTCTATATCCCAAGAGAAGGGTAGAAATGTGAATTTTTTAAGTTATGGGACTTGATGGAAATAACTAAGAGGTGAATGTCAATAGAGGAAAGAAGGCCAAGGATTGAGTCATGAGGATATCCAGCATCAAGAGGTGTGATGGAGGGGACAGAAGGATCAGAAAGGAGACTGAGAAGGAGGGACAGGTAAGATAGAAGAAAATCCAGAAGCATGTCTCAGAAGCCTAGAGAAGAAACCATCTCAAAAACTTGAGCACATCTGTGGCTGTGTCCATTCTACAGATGAGCATTCAGAGCTGTAAGCATCGAGGTGCTAAGTATAGATAATCAGTGACCTCAATAGTGAGAAAGTAGTAAGTCTCAATGAACGTGGAGAAATGGTGGAATAGAATGACAGTCATGCATCGCTTAAAGACAGGGACACATCCTGAGAAACGTGTTGTTAGGCAATTTTATGGTTGTGCAAACATCACAGACGGTGCTTACACAAACCTAGATGAGATAGCCTACCACACACATAGGCAACAAGGTATAGCTGTTTCTCCTAGGCTACAAACCTGCACAGCATGTTACTCTACCGAATGCTGTAAGCAACTGTAACACAATGGCAAGTATTTACATATCTAAACATATTTAAACATAGAAAAGGTACAGCAAAAGTATAGTATCATAATCTTATAGGACCACCATCATATACGTGGTCTGTTATTGACCAAAATGTCACGTGGCACATGAATATAACAGAATAAGGGAAGTCAAGAGACAAAGAGAGTTGACTGACTGAAACAGATTTCGGAAGTCGAATAATTATTGGTGTTGGTCTAGGATTTTACCATGTGAAGAAAACTGTTAGAGCTGAAAAGATCCAAGATCAGAAACAAGGAACTGGGACTTAGGGAAAGGAAATGACATGTCTAAGAGAGCAAGTTGAGCCGTGGCAGCATTTACTAGGAATCCTGTGCTCTTGACACAAAGGTATTGCAACCTTAAGTATTGGCAAGAATAAAGGTGACATGTTGTCAGATGAAATGGAGAATATGACCTATTTTAATTGTTTCGACCATGTCATACAACTTGGATGCTGGTTTAAAAAGTATCCTTTTATCTTGAAAAAATGGAAGGAAATGTTTCAAAAGAAGAAAAAGCTAAATATCCAAAGCTGTACATTGCATCATTACTTACAATAGAGAAAATGGAAATGATATGCAATGGAAAATCATTCAGCATTGTGGTTTACTAGAAGAGACCTTCAAAGAGCAGCTGATGCACCCACAAAATCTAGAAAGTCATCCCCCACTTGTTCAAAGCAGAAAACACACATTCTGTGCCTAAAGAATTCCAGGGTAGAAATGCCTTATAAAAAAGAATGGGGACAGCATGTTCAAACTTCTTTTTATTAGAAATAAAATAAACCTTTTTGGAAATAGGCAGTGACATTTTTCAGAAAGCTTAATTTTGGTTCTAGTAATATCTTCTTTTAATAATCACTAACAGCAGAATTTTAATCAAAGTGTGCTTATATTTTACTTCTGTAAAAAGAAAATTAGTTTGTCTTTAGTTTTTTAAAAAAAGGATTCAATGAGATATCCGTGTAATTAATTTTGAAATTATCTTATTTCCAGACTTATCTTTAAATAGATATTGGTGAAATAGATATTTTCAAAACCTCTTGACAGGATATTTTTGAAAAGTAAAGTGTTTTGTAAATAGATAGAATTGTATAATATCTCTAATGCAAAAAAATGTATAAAGGACTTTAAAACTTATGATATAAACTGTTTTTGCTGTTCTAATAATTTGCTTAGAAATGACATCCACCAAAACCCCCCAAAATATTTAACATTAATTTTGATGAAAGATGTCATTGAAAAGTTTTCCCTCTTGGAAGTAAAACATTAAAAATTGTATGTGTGTGACGGTTGAGGGAGAGGAGTTGCAGGACTTCATGATGCCCTCATCAGCTGAAGACCAGGAGAGAAACTTATGTCTGGATGTAATAGAGGCTCCATTTTGAAAACTTCAAAAGGCCAAGAAAATTAAAATGTAGCTCTGGCCTAATCAAAATTGGGTTTTTAATCAGTTTCTAGCACTTCGTTAGCTCTTTTGCCATAATAATTTCATTTTCCAATTTTATGATAACTTGTGGACATCTCATCATGCCACTATCAAAATGCATGCTCTTTGGGGACTAGATCTGTTTTTTTTTTTCTATCACCCACAGAAATGCACAGTTCCTACAGAAATCTAAATATTCAATAAATATCGATTGTTTTAATAAATGTCTGAATAAATTGTTAAAGTTGTAGCATATAATTTGCATGCCTTCTGTGGCTGATTCCTGTTAGGAGTTCTGCTATGCATAAAATAAAATGTTAGACTAAAAACACTACATGACCAGTATACTCTTACCTATAGATTTACGGGAACATTTGGACTCTAACTTGCTAGGTTTTTAAGGTTTTTAAATTAAAGAAAAGTTGTATCTAATATTATAAATGAATCAATGTTGAGCTTATTGTTCCAGAAAAGATAGCAGTAGTAGAAACTGTTGGTTGTTAACTGCCTACCAAAATTCATCCTCCCCAACCTAATTATATTTCCCTATCTCCATTGCAATTGAGTATGGCCATGAAACTAAGTTCTCTCTGATGGAATGTGAGGGGAAGTGGTGTATCTCTTTCAGATATGGCCCACAAAAACCGTCTCAGGAAGTTGCCTTCATCACTCCAGCTTACAGGGATGATGACATCCAGAACATTACAAGTTAAAGATGGCACTACCACTTTTACTTTGGTTCCCTGAATGGTTGTGTGGAGCAGAGTCCCCTTTAGTGATGTGTGACATCCATTTTGGGCTGTTTTGTAAAGAAAAAATAAACTTCTACTGAGTTTGAGTCAATTATATCTTGAGTCAATCTGTCATAACACTTTAGCCTATCCTAATTAAAATACATAGGACTTATTGAGTGCCTCCTCTCTGCTAGGCAAGAGGCTAGAGAGACATTTCCATTCCATTTCCATTTCTAAGACATTATTAAATACTATATTTTTCAATCTGGTTTTGAACTCTGATGTGTCAGGCATCACTGAGTATTTTATATTTACTGTCTTATCCTCCCAATAGCCCTATGAGGTAAGTACTGCTATTTCCCCACTTCACTAATAAGAAAATAGAGGCTTTGGAAAATTTAGAAATTGGTCCAGAGTCACACAGCTAAGAAGTATTGTAGCAATAACCAAACATAAACAAAATCCATGGGGCCATCCACTGAGCTATGCTGTCTTGGCCAGACACTGTATCCTTAAGGGATACCTCCAAATGCAATTGCTACATCAGAACTGATGTTGAAGGATGTAGGTCCCTTTGTGCTAAAAACTCTGATTTGTGCCCTAGTGTGAATTCTAAGAGGTATGTTGCAACATGACTGAAAATGGTCAAGTGTTCTGTCTAGGACAAGTGATTGATTCCCATCAGAACACTTTTATACTCACTTCTATGCTATGAAGCCCCATACATCAATAGACCCTGTGTCTTATTCTATGCACATCAATAAACTGGATTAGGAGTTGGGGGTTACAAAAAAAGGTCAACAGTACAAATTTTGACTTTGTGGGGAGATCACAGAGACTAAGTACACATCTACATGAAGCAAGTAATCAATGATAAGTGATCCTAAAGGTTAAATAACCATGGAACATAACTCAGGGTTTGACATCTCCAAGCCCGACCTCTGCTGTGCAAGAGATTTTCATAAGCAGTAATGCCCTCAGCAGCTATTGCAGTTTTTACACTCTTTAGAGAAAGATTTGAGTATAAACACACTGGACACAAGAACCTTGAATGTGATACTAACAGTGGTCTGTATTTGAGTTTCCTTATATAAAAGGAAACTCTTGGGATGAAAGCTATCAAGAACATTTTAATTTGCTTGGTTTAGTAAAATAAATGCCCCCATCGGTGGATACAACAACACATAGATACATCTATAAGTAATTTCTTTAAATCACTCTTCAGATACAACTTACATTGAAGTTTCTCTATTTTTAATTAAGGCAGCTGCTTGTTTTGCTATGATATAAATTTTATTACCAGCATTAAAGCCAATAATGTAACTAGCTTTCAAATAGTGGAGTGCCTTTGAAACTCAAATTCTCATATCTGGAGTTATGTTTGCTAGGTTTGAGATTTTGCCTTTTGCAGCATCAGCTTTTGGTTCAGACTTGCCCTTTGAATATGGTCTTCTGATGAGTCTTCTGCCTAAAGAAGTAGGACTACACAGCTAATTTTTCTAGGAAGAATTTCTTGGCCAGCCATGCATCATCTCTGTGTTGACACTGTAGTATATCTTATCATCCTGCCACAGCCTTCTTCACTTTTTCCTGAACTTTTGTGACTTTGGCAGCCTCACAGGCTCCCACTGCTAAACTATGTAGGAACTCATGCCCCTGAAGAAACAGACAAGTAAGGCAGAGGATTTTAGTATTGTTTCTCCATCTCCAGCTGGGTACCCTCAACCACAAGCTTATCTCTTCTTGCTTTCCTGTAGAATTATTCATCAGAACCGTTAGATTCCAGATCCTTAATGTAAGTTTCTGCTGACTTCATCTTACTAAACATGAGATGCTTGAGAAGATAAAATGAGATAATGCATACAAATTGCCATAATCTCTGATGTCATTAGAATTTAATTATTATCACCTTTTTTTCAGATCATTTATTGAACCACAGTTCTTTTTTTCAGACAGGGTCTTGCTCTGTAGGCTGGGCTGGAGTCCAATGATGCAATCTTGGCTCATTGCAGCCTTGAACTCCTCAGCTCAAGAGATCCTCCCACCGTAGCCTCCTGACTAGCTGGGCCTACAGGCATGTGCCACCACGCCTGGATTTTTTTTTTTTGTTTGTTTTTATAGAGATGTGTTTCACCATATTGCCCAGGCTGGTCTTGCAATCCTGGCTAATTTTTTTTTTAATTGTAGAGACAGGGTTTCGCCATGTTGCCCAGGCTGGCCTCAAACTCCTGGGCTCAAGCTATCCACCTGCCTTGGCTTCCCAAATTGCCAGGATTACAAGCATGAGCCACCATGCCCAGCCTGGACCATAGTTTTTAATGGGTGATATTACTATACTTTCACAGGCATGTGGCCACTCTCCACTCCCTCTTATATATCTGATTGATTTCACTGTGATGAGGTTGGTCCACCTTCTTGGACAAGGCTTAGCATGTGTTATTTGGTGGGTTTGTCAGTTTGGTCCTTAGGGAAGCAGATGTCATGATGGAATTAGAAGCACAGGAGATTTACAGGGGGTAACATCTATGAAAGATAAAGGGGATCAGGAGTAGACAAAGCCTTCAGATAGCAATATGGGCCTCATGTTCTAAAGGAGAGAAGGGAAAAGGTGAGTAGTAGGAAACTGCGGTGCAGCTCTCAACAGCCTGGGACAGCACAATGGAACATCAGCACAAAGTTACCTGTAGAGGAGTCCTGAGCTGGGCAGAATGGTCAGACTGTGTGCTCCACTGAGCTTGGTCATTGGTCGTGAGCTCCCAAAAGAAGCATGTCCTCAGCTCTAACGCTGTGGCAGATACCAAAGGCCTACAGCTAGAGAACTGAGTGGTGCACATTCTTGATGGCCTTGATGCAGTTCCATCTGGGATGTGAGCGCAAGTGGTTTTTGTGGGGAGGGGAGCCCAGAAAACACCAGTAGGGGGATGGGAAGGGAGCAGACCAAGAGTGTATGCCTTATGGTATTCATGTTCTGTTGAAGTCATAGCAAGTTACCACAAACTTAGGGGCTTTAAACAACACACATCTTTTTATCCCATAGTTTTTGTAGATCAGAGGTCTGGGCACAGCATGGCTGAGCTGGCTCTCTGCCAAGCATTCCACAACACCAAAACCAAGGGGTTTTCAGGTCTGGACTCCTGTCTAGAGGTCCTGGGAGAGAATCTCCTCCCTGGAGCAGAAGCTCATTCAGATGGTTGGCAGAATCCAGTTTCTTGTGGCTATAAAACTGAGGTCCCATTTCCTTTCTGGCTATCAGCTGCAGATCACTTGTAGCTCCTAAAACCTTTCTCTGATCCTCGAACACCGGTCCTTATATCTCAGCTCTAGCAAAGTTGCATCAACTCCTTCTCCTGCTTCAAACATCTCTGGACTTCTCCTGCT
Source organism: Homo sapiens (assembly GCF_000001405.40). Classification (NCBI taxonomy): domain Eukaryota; kingdom Metazoa; phylum Chordata; class Mammalia; order Primates; family Hominidae; genus Homo; species Homo sapiens. Next base: position 90,166,357 of record NC_000008.11, on the reverse strand, counting down.
GCTGCATCTCATCTGCTGCATTTCTCCAAATAGAGAAAGTTCTGTTTTTAGGGCCCATATAATTAGACTGGGCCCACCTGGATAATCTAGGCTACTCTCCCTATCTTAAAATATATAACTTTAATTACATCTGCAAAGCCTCTTTTCCCACATGTGCTCCCACAACTTCACAGGTGCCAAGAATTAGGATGTGACCCTCTTGGGGAATATCATTCTCCCTGTTACAATTATCAAGCAGGTCAGCCACTCTAGGCAACTGAGTTTCACCTCTGATGGAACTCTAGGAGAAAGTGCAGAATATGCTCCAGACTCATTCCACCTGGGCAATGAAGGAGCTGGGGTATTTATCCTTCAACTCCCAACAGCTAGGGCTGTTTCAGGGGTGTTAACTACCCAACATTTGCAGCAGGCCCCGCTGAGCATAAACCCTCACGCAGAGAATCCTGGGTGTGTGCCATAGGATCCTTTGGTATACACCAAGAGGGTTAAGTGCTGAGAGGGTATGGGTGGGGTATTGCTAGTTTCCATGATCCTGTGCATGTGTAGGTATGCTCAAAGTGAAGCCCGGTCATCCCTGGGGGACCAACAGGCCAGGCAAGTTTACCAGGGCCTATTGGTCCCAAACTTTCCATTTTGAGAGGCAGGACATGAGGAATAGATGATAAGGCCTTGCTTAAGCCTCAGTGATAAGCCTCAGGCTTCAAGTCAGTCTTTTACCAGAGCTCCAGTATAGGTTATAAGATTTATGCCCAACTATGACTAAGGTGAACTTTGCCTCATATGTTGCTAGATTCCTTATTTGTGGTATTTCCTTTGAGGCCCCACACAAAGGAGGTGTGATTAACAAGTCAGGATCCAGTTATCATAATGTCAGGAAAACTCCTCTATTCCTTATAATCTTCTGACAACTGAGAAGAGAAAGACATCGATATGACAGAACTTATCTATATGATGAATCCAAAGGGCTGCCTCTGGAAGGCAGAAATACCAAGCAATGGCAGTGAGGCACAGGGTAAGTGGTGCCCATTTAACACACACTAAGTCAATAAATAGTCCTGGCCGTTCAGATGTAGACTTCAACAATACTCAGTATGTTTCAGAATCATTTGGTGGGTGAATTTCCCCACTTGTGACAAGTTCATCACTGCTTTTGTCTGGCTGAACTTTCAGCCCAGACAGTATCACAACACCATCCTCAACAGATAGTCTGAGGCTGTCTTGGGTGCTAAGATTATCCCTGCCATTGAGTACATTCCTCAAACGCAGAACAAATAACAAGACTGGAGAACAGGGGCTTGGAGTCAGACAAAACTGAGTTTAAGCCCCAGATTCTATACCTCCATAATGAAGGATCTCACTCACCTCATCTTACTAAACATGAGATGGTTGAGAAGATGAAATGAGATAATGCATACAAAGCAAATTGCCACAATACCTATGTAATCAGAATTCAATTAATGAGTTGCATTTTTGTCAAGTTAGTGCAGTCACCTCCTAAGAGCTGAAAAGTTTGTTTTGTCTGTAATGTTCTTTGGAATTGGAACTAATTCAAACAAGAGACTTAACTGGCTGGGTGCTGGCCTCATCTCTCATCACCCTCACTCTGCACTCTGCACCCTGCACCCGCTTGAGAGCTGGAAGCTGCTCTGGGTCTGCACTGCCTGGTTCCACGCTGAGTCAAAGCTGCTGCTTTCTACCTCATGAGAAAAGAAATATGCTCTGTACTCTATTGACAGAAGATTCTTTGTGTACACAGAAGAGGTTCTTATTTATCCAACAGAAATGTTATCCTCTCGAGTGTTAAAAGGAGCCACAATTCTCATCATCAGGTTTAGGAAATCAAAGTACATTTTAATACTACTTTACAACCTACTGGGGAAAGAACTGCTCTTAGAGTAGCATTATTATTCATCAGGAAGTAGGTTTGGGATCACATTTTGAATTTTCTGTGCCCCTACTCAGCTGTTAGGATGGTTAACTGAGAACTGTGTACATGCCACCTCCTGGATTTTTGGGATGCCTTGTTTTAAGGGCCTCATGTTTATAGGCCTTTCTAGTTTCCCACATCCAGCTATTATCACAAATTCCCAGAAATTTAGTTTCTCAAGAAGCAAATTAAAATGCTCTTTCCTGTGTAGCAAGATGCCTTAGTTAAGTTTTGTGTCAGCTACCTTTCAGGGGTGAGTACTAGAGATGGCCCCCTGCTGTATGATTTTGGGGAATTGAGAACACAGGTATTTAATTATACTACAAGGAATGCTCTGGTTTTGTTAAAAACAAAGTGATTTCCAATTTTAATCACATACAGAAATCTATAGCTCCAAAAGAGCTAACAGAATAGGGAAATACAATGCTGTTTTGATAAGATCTTAGGGTATTTCCAAGGTCCAGGTTAATATAACATTTTAGATAAACAGTTACTATATTTACTGAATATTCACTTAGAGATCATTGTGCAAGATGCTATGGGTGATTTTTATAATACATGACAAAATCACTGCCTTAAGGGAGTTTATAACCTAACGGAAAAAATAAGATTATATTAAACATACTAAACATTGAAGTATAGTATATGATTAAGTGCCAGTTGGAACACCTGCAAACATTTGTGATAAAATTAACAGTGGGAACCACAAGATTGCCAAGGAAGGGAAGGTTGTGGGAACCTTGTGTCCCCAACTTTACCTTCCCTTTGGAAGTTATTGCTAATGGCCCTTGTCCTAGCTTCACTGACCCCACTGGGAGGGAGAAGAGTGTCTGAGTAGGGGGTTTAGGTGGGCTAGAACCCAATAAACATCAAGCTCAAATAGGGAAAATCACAGTTTCTTTCATGGCCCATGGCAAATCTGAAATGAGATGAAAATCAAACTAGACTGAAAAGACTGGAGGAACAAAAGCGAAATGATCTGTAATTTGATCATCTGACCTACCAGCCATACTTCATATATCTTCAGATAGTCGCCACAGAGTTACCTCCTTGTCCGTATCCCTGTATGGCTCCTGAACTAGCTTTTCCTCACCCAAAAAATCATCTGGACACTTCTAAGTCCAGATCTTCGAGAGAGGCAGAAGTTACTTTTCCAGCCTAAGACCCAGGTCTCCTGAGTTCTGGTTTCCTTTCTGAGGGTCTGGCCTCCTCCCCAAGTGATTGACATAATGCCTGCCCCATTGAGGATGGCTCCTACTGTTCCTATGTGGCTACCATTACTATTATTTATAGTGTTACTGCTGCTACTACTGATGAAATAATAGCTACCATTTATTGAGTGCTGATGCCAGGTACTGTGATAGGCTCTCTATACAAATCATCCTCACTGTAAGTCTATAGGTTACTAAGGTTTAGAGAGTTTAGGGTGACTGGCCTAATACTGTATCTCATGCTCCCATTCACCACACAACTCTATCCCCTTGAGGCCCTACCCCATGACTTGAAGACAATTTTATAAAACTCTCGCCATTTAAGGAGCACAGGAACATATGATATGGCTTGGGTTGGGGGCTGGTTTTATTACAGCACAAAGATAAGACAATAATTATGCTGTATGAACAGTAATTGCTACCTAAATACCATGTTTTTCTTTATTGTGGATGGTGGGGCACCACCTTTGATTAAGGTAACTGGTCTGTTGATAGGCCCAGACATTTTCAAATAAACATACCTGAGCAGGTGGGATTCAGACATTGGGGAAGACAAGTCCTTATCAACCCCTTGTTGTTTTTTTATTTTCTTATAAGGAGATATAATTATTCTCCAGCTCAGATTCTGACGTCAAACTTTGGTTTTCAATGACCCTCATCAAATTCCCCTGATTGCAGGTTTGTTCCCCTGTCTCAGTCCTCTCAGCTGTGCTTGGCTTGCTGCCACATAACCTGCCATTATCACCACTGTGATTTAAACAGTGCCTCTTCAGACACACTGAACAATGAGAAATGCTCATATTTATAAATGAAAGATACAATTGGCACCTTTCACACTAACAGCCAGTTTATATTTTCACAGGTACAGAAATTGTCACACCAAACTAGCCAAATAACAGGTTATTTGGCTCAACAAATATTACTTGAGAACTATGGGGCCGTGCACTATGCTAGTTGCTGGGGCTAGAAAAATAAATGTTTTATGCCCAGGAGTTGTCTGACTCGGGAGAGAGACTATTACATGTCGTACTATGTCCACAGAAACAGCCTCAGTGAGAGAGGGGTTCAGAGGGGCCCTGTGAGCACAGTGAAGTGGTATTTACAGCAACTTGCAGGTTCAAGGCTTCTTGTTCTATGCGACAGTAGGGATCTGCGCATGTAGTTAAAATCGCAGGTATACTTTCCAATGGAGCACTGGATTCACTACAGCTAGAAAAATGACACATAATCGTAAATGGTCCTGAAATGAAGACACTCTTCACAGATGCTATAATTTTGTAATTCCACACAGATACTGACATGATGACTATTCTGTCAGCATCATGGTTGTCTTTATACAGGCTAACAATAGGTTTTGGCAGAATAGAGGACTGTCCAAGAACAAATTCAGAGGGCCCCTTTTTTCCACTAGGCCTCTCCAGCCTGTTTTCAGAATATGAAACCCCTTTAATGAAGAACAGGGTCTTATAGTACACAATTAGAGATAGAAAATGTAAATGTAAGCCCTCCTGAGAGTACTAATCATAATAAAAAGACACAAGAAGGGCCTACCCTGGAAGGCACTGCACTAAACATTTTTGTGTAATTTTCATTTAATCCTCACAATTAGGTGGATAGGCACTAGTATTCTTCCCCCTTCACAGTTGAAACAAACAGGAGGCTCAGAGAAATAGAGGAACCTCTCTGAGCCTCACAGCCTGGGTCAGGGTGCAGATCCAAGACTATTCAACGTCAGAGCAAACAGGCCCAGCTGATATGAGTGAAGATTGGGTGGAAATGACTGATACAAGAATATTTCCTTAAAAAAAAAGTCAAAGTGCTAGGAGATTAGGAGGGCCTCAATAAAACTATATCTTTTTGCAAATTTTGATGAGTGAAACTTACCCAGGCTTTAGTAAGTGTGATCCTATTACATTCACCCTTCTTGATGCCTCCCCAAACCCCAACACACACACACACCTCCCTACATACTTTGAAGAGGCTTAAAACTCAATTTATTCTTCCACCTAAGAAATTCCAGGATCAGTGCACATTAGACTTATAATAGGCAAAGGCCCAATTCTTCCTCCTCACACAGCAGACACATTTGGGGTACTAAGTTGCAGGAAGCGATCTTTATCATTTACAACATAGGAACTATCTTTTTAAAAGCTTGTCTTAGAGTGAACAACTGTGGAAGCAGCTGTTGAGCATGGACCCCCTGCCAAGTACTTGCCTACAGAGAGGGCTCTGCAAAGCCCTCATTCTGGGAAGCCGCGGGAGTCATTCTGCAGGGGTATCTATACATTCCTCAAGGCCCTCATCACCCCCTCCAGGAACTAAGACTTCTCATACAAAGAAAAAGCATTCAACAACTCTAGAAACTGAATCGGACAAGCTACATTCTAGTCTATACTTTTCAACTAATTAGCATGTGACCTTTAGAAATTCATTCTTTTTAAAATCCCACTGTCTGTATGAAAAGAAGAGAACTACATGATCACTGAGGCTTTTCCTACTTTAAATGCATGATTCTATAAGATGTCATTCTAACACATAGGCATAAATCCACACAGGGTTCAAGGCACTGTACTATGAGATGAGGGACACAGAAACGGGTAAACCATGTCCCCTCTCCACAGAGAGTTGCTTTACCTTAAGAGCCATTAGGAATACTAAAATTACAAAGTTAAAAATTATTGCTGTGATTTAACATTTCAATCATTATTTCATGTCCTCATACTTCTTATAAAAATATATATAGTGTATATGTACACAATCATATGGACTTCACATCATGGCTGTCAGGGTTAAACAAATACATGAAAGTGCCTAGAACACAGTGAACATTGAATAAAACAATAACCACCATATGTTAAGAATTTTCTATTCATCAGGGTTTTTTTTTTTCTTTTCTTTTTTTTTTTTTTTTGAGACAGAATCTTGCTCTGTTGCCCCAGCTGAAGTTCAATGACATGATCTCAGCTCACCGCAAGCTCTGCCTCCCGGGTTCATGCCATTCTCCTGCCTCAGCCTCCAGAGTAGCTGAGACTACAGGCATGTGCCACCATGCCTGGCTAATTTTTGTATTATTAGTAGAGATGGGGTTTCACCATGTTGGCCAGGCTTGTCTCAAACTCCTGACCTCAAGTGATCCATTTGCCCCAGCTTCCCAAAGTGCTGGGATTACAAGCATAAGCCACTGCACCTGACTGCATCAGGTATTTTTAATACATTATCTTTTCATATGTTACCTAATGTCCAGGACAGTCCTTAGAGATATGTATACTCACACCCATTTTATGGATAAGAAACATAAAGCTTAGAAAAGAAAATACCTTGCAAACCTCACGTCAAACAATAATTTGAATTCATTTCTGTCTGATTCTCAACTCCTATACTTAACCAGCTCATTATTTTTGCTTTCTCACCACCCCTTCTATATTCAGTGGGCTATGTTCTGTATCTAAAAGCATGGTCTCTCTCTTCAGTTTTGCATCTGAATTTCTATGTATACATACCTGGTAAGCAGTATTGGTAATTGTAGAGGCTCTCAGCTTTAAATCTACTGTTCTCTTTTAAATATAAACTTAACATCATTTGTTCCATTCTGTGAAATATCTCAGTTTTTCTCACTGTATTAGGTAAAATAATGGTTAAGACTTTCTTTGAATCTTCCAAAGTTGTAAGAAGTCAGCAGAGGTTTCCATAGCCACAGGAAACTCTCCACGTCCACAGTCATTTTATACTGTTTATTCCTTGGGCTGTGATATCTATTAGGAAATTCCCCCATTTTGGACTGAAACCCTAGCACTAATGCACATGCCTTTGTCTCCTGGATAAATCTGTTATTGCTTTTGAAATAGTTCTTTAAACATCTCCATTCATCATCAGCAAAAACAACTGGTTAAGGAGTAGTTGTCTCTCTACGACAATTAACACACATTGCTTTTACAAATGTTTGCAGAACGCCTCCCCTACAGTACATTCTCAGTGTTGATCCCTTCCTTGTCTTCCCACATGCATTAAATTTTTCATGCCCCCAAGTTCAATAACACCGACTTTTATCTTAGCTTGTCTTCAGCAGAACAAAGCTCCCTCCTCCTGGTTGTCCCTCTTGACATGTTTTCTATTTCTTGCTGTTCTAATAGGATTCTGTCACAGTTCCTCTCTTTTATTGCCACCTCAAACTAGTGCTAAAATGTCCATTCCAGCTTTTACTACTTTCAGGTTAGAAGAGTGGCATCTTTTACTTTCCCTACATCAACCTCAGTTCTGTCTTTTGCACAGATCTTGTCACCCCTACCTGCCCACTCCTGGGCTGTCGACATATTTATCAGAGGGTTTTAACCTGAGACTTGAGTTTCACAAGCTTGGAAAACATCCTGAACCTGGAAAAATGGTGTGTGTGTGTGTGTGTGTGTCTGTACTTTTCTAATGCGAGTATGAATAGCTCTCATGAGATCACAGAAGAATCTTTAAACAACAACGACAAAATCTGAACTTTCAGATATAGATGTAACTAGAACCAGAGAATGTTGAGCCAGGGAGAGATTTTAAAGAGAATTTTAGTTTGGTGCCCCTATTGAGTTACAGACATTTGGAATTCTGTAAGAAGAGAAATAGGAGTACTGAGCTATTTCAAGCACTTTCTATACTTTATTATATTTAATCATTGAATAGCAAATATTTTATGATTGTTTTTTCTATGATGGAACTGAGGTTTTTTAAAAGAATCCCTACCTTTGCCCCTGGTCAAATATACCAGACAGCCAGGATTTGATCTGCAAATGCAGTTGGTCTATGAAGCGAAAGACTTTTATTTGCCTCATGCTCTGTCAGTTACATGTGTTTGACTAACATTATGTCAGTTACATAATAAAAATAGATAACTATAATATTAACAAATATATATTGCTTAATTTTTGTTTTCCTTTAAAACTCTGGTTCTCAACCAGGGATGATTTTGCTTCCCAGAGGACATTTGGCAGTGCCTGGAGACATTTTTGGGGGTCACAAAGGAGGATTCTATTAGCATCAAGTGGGTAGAGGCCAGCAATGCTGTTAAATCACCAACAGTGAAGAAGACCGCTTCCCACAACTGGCCCAAAGTGTCAGCAGTGCTGCTGTTGAGAAATCCTGCTCTAAGCATGGTTCATAAATTAACCGGATGATGGGAATAACAAAAATGATTCTTTGTGATGAAAATGTTGAGATCCATTAATCTTGTTTAACCATTGTACAGTAAACAATCAATAACTTTTTGTTGAATACACGGACCTCTATATTTAAGGAAGAAAATTGTTTTCTTCCTTTTTGGATTCACTTTATTTTTGTGATATCATCCCATGTGCCCTCTAACCCAGTACTCTCAAACTTCAGCGTGTAATAGAATCACCTCGAGGGCTTTAGAAACACAGATTACTAGACACCAACCACAGAGTTTCTGATTCATTAGTCTTGAGGTGGGGCCTCCTGAGATTCCATGTTTCTCACAAGCTCCCAGGTGATGCTGCTACTGCAGGTTCATGGCCCACACATGACTAGTAAGGCAGTTCACCCTGTCCTTCTGGAGACTTCCCAATCCTGCAGAAAAGAACACACTGCTTCTGAATCAAGCCACTGTTCTTTAATCTTTTTGCCTCCCTTAACCTGGTAAATATTCTACTTGTTTGGAAGGGGAAGCAGCCACAAATTTTAAACGAATTCTTTCAGATTCTTTATGAATATCCTTTCAGAGTATTCATAAGACTGATAACCACTTTCTGATAACTTTTAGTAAATTATAGGGAGACCTGTAGTCTCCTAACATCATGGTTTTCTTATGCAAAAAAAAAAATTGGATCTCCCTTCCTTTAATTGTCTGTAAATTCTTTTTTTTAATATTCCTTTTATTCTTTTTCCTTTTGGGCTTTGGAAAAGTGCAAACACATTTTTAAAGTATCAAATCTTCTCCCATTTCAATCACATGCCTTCTAAAACAGGTATTACACAACATTTAGACATCTACATTTTGTATGTCTGCACGTGTGTGTCTATGTGCATGTGTGTGTATGGAGTCCTCATTCCAGTGTGCCTTTCTTCTGCTTTGTAAATCAGGGAAGGAAAGTCATGACCTCTTTCTGAAATTTATTTGCATTCAACAGATTTCCTCTTTTCTATAACGAGAAGTTGCCAGTTTATTTTCTCTGTGAGAGACTCTAGAAGTTCTTCTAGCTTTCTTGTGTGCTGTCTGTGTTACATGTTCCTACCTGAGGTTACATATTTTCCACACTTGTGTAGAATTTAACTATCATAGATGCTTCCTTTGAACATCTTCTATTTCTCTCCCTTTTAATTATCCTCTATCTGAATATTTTAATCACCTTGAATGCAGTGCACGGCCACATCTTTCCATCTATATCGTCTCCTCTGTAGGTTTTTTCTAAAACTTCTTCCCATCTTGTTTTCTTACCCTATAGATCTTAGACAACATGCCCTTTCCCATGGGAAATCTTCCTTGTCTCCTCTTCTTGGCTACCCTCTCCTTGATAATTTAGTGCTGTATATGATTTCTATCCTGACAGTTTTATGTAAACATAAGGTTGTTATAAGGGCTAAAATAAATAATACAAAGCCCTTAGCTCTCAAATGTTAGTTATTAATATTATTCTCCACAGACATATTTATTTCCCTAACAACGCCTTAAATTCATCTTGCTTTTTTCCTATTCCATCACGAAGCCCTCCCCACATTTTTCACAGCCTCCCCCTGCCCTGCTAAGATATTTCATTTCCTTTTTCTTTCCACGCCCCAGAGCAGATCCAGGTTAACTATCTCCCTGTATTAAAACGTGTTATTGGGCAGTTTGCATAATAATGCACCTCTCACCACAAATACTGAGTTTCACCTTTCACCCAGGCACAGATTATTGGGTTCTTTCACATACATCCAAAACATGTACTTTAAAGCCACAATAATTGTATAAATCATTTTTCTCAGCAGAATTTAGGTTATTTGGGATTTTCCCCTCTACCAGTTATAATTTATCTTTGCCTCTGAATGAAAAAACGCCATCATCATTGTTTAGCAGGGTTTTGTTTTACATGTATCCAAAATTAAGTCTTTCACCATAACTGGAGCTGCAAATATATCACACATTCTGGTGGACTGATTGTTCTAGCCTTGTTTTGTTGATACTTCTATATCCATTGCCTTTCATGTACTATTCTCACACAGGCTGGGCTTGGCCACCTAGCTTTTGGCCAAATGGTTAGCAGAAACTGTGACACAAGCAAATAATTGAAAAGTGCTTACGCATTAGGAATTTGTTTTGCTGCTTCTCTTGGAACTCTGAGTGGTATGAGAACAAGTCCAGGCAAACCTTCTAGAGAATGAGGTCACAAAGATTGCATAGCCATTGATGAAAACACCACTAACCTCTCAGCCGTTTCTACTTATTATTATTATCATTTTTTGAGATGATTTTTTTTTTTTGAGATGGAGACTCACTCTGTCACCCAGGCTGGAGTGCAGTGGTACTATCTTGGCTTACTGCAACCTTTGCCTCCTGGGTTCAAGCGATTCTCTTACCTCATCCTCTGAGTAGCTGAAGCTATAGGTGTGCACCACGACACCTGGCTAATTTTGGGTGTTTTTTAGTAGAGATGGGGTTTCACCATGTAGGCGAGGCTGGTCTCTATCTCCTGACCTCAAATGACCCACCTGCCTCAGCCTCCCAAAGTGCTGGAACTACAGGCGTGAGCCACTGCCACGCCCGGCCTCAATTCTACTATTGCCATCATCAGCCACCCTCAGGCCTGTCCAAGCCACCAACTAGCCACAGGCTCTGAGTGTACCTAGCCACAGTGAGCCAAAGCCAGCCCAGAGCAGGCTTCTCACGCTCAGAATGGAGAGCTAAATAAATGATCGCTGTTGTGAGCCATTAAATTTTGGAGTAGTTCCTTAGTTTAAAAAAAAAAAGAGAGAGAGAGAGAAGCGATAAAACATACTTTCAACCAACTGACATTATTTTCATTGATATTGCTTTATTTCAAAGAGGAAGAAGTCCGTCTTTGGCATAATCTGTGAAATCCCCATAAAATTCTCTGAACAGTTTAGGTCCACTTACTCCTGACCAAGACTCATGAGCACTTCTTCCAAAATAAAAATCTTCATTGAATTGAACAATTCTATGCTAATTTGTTTCTTTCTAAAATTTACTTGAAAGGGAAAATCCTTGAAAAATACAACTGACTCATAAGACATGGAAAACACAAAATACTGTATCAATTGCATGAATTATACTGATAATTTAAAAATCTTCCCCAAAAGGAAATGTTAGGCCCTGGTAGCATCACTAATGAATTATTTTAAATATTTAAGAAGGAAAGAATAGCCATCTTACAAAAACTGACTCCAGAGCTCCAGAGCATAGGAAAAAAAGGAAAGACTTGGGTTGGTTGGTTGGTTGGTTGGTTGGAGACAGGGTCTCACGTCACCCAGGCTGGAGTGCAGTGGCACGATCTGGGCTCACTGCAACCTCCACTTGCCAGGTTCAAGTGATTCTCATGCCTCAGCCTCCTGAGTCGCTGGGATTACAGGCATGAGACACCACACCCAGCTCTTTTTTTTTTTTTTTTTTTTAGTAGAGACGGGGTTTCACCATGTTGGCCAGGCTGGTCTCAAACTCCTGACCTCAAGTGATCCGCCTGCCTCAGCCTCCCAAAGTGCTGGCATTATAGGCATGAGCAACCGGGCCCAGCCTAAGACTTCTTGTTTTAAAAGGTTAACATAAATTTGATACCAAGGCATGATAAATATTATAATATAGAAAACTTACAGGTCAATGGCTCTCATTAATATAAACACTCATTAATATAAATTTTAAAAATTAAAATATCAGGAAATTGAATCTAATAAAGGAATCTTTATTCCTGAATCTTTAAAGGAATAACATATCACAACTAAGTTGAATTTATTCCAGGAATGCAAAGTTGGTTTAATATTCAAACTCCATTAGCAAAATACAGGGAAAAATTTTATGATCCACTTAGATGCAGATAAAATTTAACAAAAATATCCATTCATGTTTAAAATGTTTAAGCAAGGTAGAAATAGAAAAGAACTTCTATCTCCAATAAAATAAAAAAGCCACAGCAAATACCACACTTAATTGTGAAATAGTGAAAAAATTTTCCTGTGAGATTAGACCAAGGAAACAATGGCTGCTGTCACCACTGCTCTTCAACATTGCACTACAGGATCTAGCCAGAGCAATAAATGAAGAAAAGGTAATAAAAAGTTTAAAAATTGAAAAGCAATAAATAAAACCTTCATTATTTGTGAATGATACAATTATGTACCTAGAAGATACAATAAAATCAACTGATAAGCTACCCTAGAACTAAGTGAATTTATCAGGGTCCCAGGATCCAAGGTCAACACATAAAAATAAACTATATTTCTATATTCCAGCAAAATGCATTAAAAACAAGTTTAAATACAATGTATAATAACATCAATAAAATAAAAAGATGTGCCATATTCATGGGCTGGAACACTCAGTATTATAAAGATGTCAGTTCTCCCCAAATTGATCTCTAGATTTTACACAATTCCAATCAAAAGCTTAATAGGCTTTTTATAGAAATTGTAAAGCTAATACTAAAAGGTGTGGAATTTCAAAGAACCAAGAATAGCCAAGGAAATTAAGAACTAAGTTAAAAGATGTATACTACTAGAGGTAAAAACTAAGTATGAGCCACTAGTAATTACAGTAATGAGACAGGACAGGCAGAAAAACCAATGGAACAAAAAAAAGTCTATATTTTTATTTACGCACACATAATAACATAATTTAAGGCAAAATTATTGCAATGAAACAGGGTCTTAAAAATAAATGATGTTTAAGTGCTTATCCATTTCAAAAAATAACAAATGTTAAACACTACCACAACACATAAAAAATCAAATCAACTGGGTGTAGTAGCTTGTGCCCATAATCCCAGCTACTCGGGAGGTGAGGCAAGAGGATATCTTGAAGCCAGGAGTCCAAGACCAGCCTGGACAACATAGCAAGACCCTCATCTCTAACATTTGTTTTTAATTAGCTGGCCTGGGTAGCAGTCAGTTGTAATCCCAGCTACTCTAGAGGCTAAAGCAAGAGAATCTTTTGAGCCCATAAGTTCAAGGCTGCCCAAAAGTTCCTGAGCTATGATCAGGCTACTACGCTATAGTCTGGGAATCAGAGTGAGAACCTATCACTAAAAAAAATAAAGAAGAAATCAGATGGATCAGTGGATCCTAGGCCCAAACGCGAAAGGTCAAATAATAAAGCTTTTAGAGAAAAACATACAAAAAAATCTTCATGACCTTGGAGTGAGCAAAGGTTTCTGAAATGGGGCACTAACCATGACAAGCACTAATCCTAGGAAGAGCTTAATAAACTGAGCTGCATTCAAATTAAAATCCTATTTTTATTTAAAAAAATTAAAAGGTGAAAATGCAACATATAGAATAGGATGAAGTATTTACAATATATACGCAAGAAATAGGACTTGGATTCGATACATAACTCTTACAATAAGAACTGATAGATGATAACTTTTTAAAAGAGAGACAAAAGACTTGAAAAGCACTTCACAAAAGAGGATATGTAAATTGCCAGTATGCATATGAAAAGGTAATCAACTCATAATTTTCAGTGAGCGCAAATTAATACCAGTAAGCGCAAATTAATACCAGTGAGCTACCACTACACACCCACAAGAACAGCTACAATAAAAAGGACTGACAACACTGTTACCAAGAATGTGGAGCAACTGGAAATTGGTAGAAACACGTTAGAAAACTTACTGAGGGTACCCATTAAAGCATTACTTATGGCCCATTATTCTACTCAGATTAAAGCCAAAATAAATGCTTACATATATGTACCAAACAACATACTAGGATATTTATAAAATATTATGTGTAATAGCCTAGAGATAGAAACAACCCAAATTTATTTAGTATGAAAAAATAATTTGTGATATAGTCATATATTCGGACTACTGTTATCCAAAATGATATAGATGAATGATAGATATATTGTGAAATGAAAGAGACTAGACAGAAAAGAATACATGACTCAACTTACATAAAGTCCAAAAGCAGGCAAAATTAATCTTTGGAGCTAGAAGTCAAAGAGCGGTTACATTTGAGGGTGTGTGATAACTGGGAGGAAGAAGAAAGAAAGCTGTGACAGTATTGGAGATGTTCTATTTCTTTTTTTTCTTTTCTTTTTTTTTTTTTTTTTTTTTGAGACGGACTCTTGCTCTGTCGTCCAAGCTGGAGTGCAGTGGCGCGATCTCGGCTCACCACAAGCTCCGCCTCCCGGGTTCACGCCATTCTCCTGCTTCAGCCTCCTCAGTAGCTGGGACTACAGGCACCCGCCACCACGCCCAGCTAATTTTTTTGTATTTTTAGTACAGACGGGGTTTCACCATATTAGCCAGGATCGTCTCTATCTCCTGACCTCGTGATCCACCCGCCTCGGCCTGCCGAAGTGCAGGGATTACAGGCATAAGCCACTGTGCCAGGCCAAGATGTTCTATTTCTTATTTTAGGTGGTTACCGGAGTGTCTTACTTTGTTAAAATTTATAGATCTTATTGGGGCACTTTTCTATATTTATACTAAGCTTTAATTAAGAAATACAAAAAAAGAGAAGAGCTTTATTCTTTACTGGTCAACTATTTTCTTTCTCACCTACTTATCTTTGTTTCTTCCCTTTTCCTTTAGGTCAATTGTTTTTTCTTAGAAATCATTCAAATATCCAAATAGATATTCTGCAAATGTACCAGACCCAGCTACTACATTCTCTCCCTTCTTGCCATTTGATAGAAATTTTTCCTTTTTTTTTTTTTTTACTAGAACACAGAATAAGAAGTCATAAGCTTAAATGACACTGAAAGAATTTTTTCTCCCAGCACTTACTGCATACTTGACCAAGCTACTCATATTATTTGGCCGTAATTATCTGCCTGTGTGTTGGTCTTCTCATTTGGTCTAAACTTCTTCAGATAAGAGGACGTATATAATTAATCTCTGTGACCCTGCTCCTATCTTTAGTCTTTGCCACATAGTAGGAACTCAATAAATTGTTGTCAACCTAAAAAATGTATAATCCATTTTAAAATCTTTAAGAGAAGCTGGGGGGCTAGAATTGAAAGAGGCTGAAATATCCTATTTCTCCAGGGCAAAGAACTAGATTATATGACCACTTGAGAGCCCTTCTCTCTCCCAGAGTCTATGATTGAATGACTTGCTTAGTAACTTTTATAGCCTTCCTTAGTTACTCATTGTACCAGTTGATATACCACTGAGATTTGCTTTGTTCTTGTTCTTTTTCTTTATTTTCGTTTTCAAACACACACACACCCACACAGATTTGTATTTGTTGGTCCTTTCCAAATTACTGCTATCTGAGCCACATAGATTTAAAAACACCCTTTTTAATTTCACAGCTTATGTTTGAAATTCGGAGTTCTGAATATTATGTCAGTGACCCAGATCCATTTCCAGATACAAAACGAGGGCTTCAAGTTTCCTGCAGCTCTCATTTGCTAATAGGAATGTGTTTATTTTATACCTCATTTTTTTCCCTGCTCCAGACAATAGCTAGTGCTTATGGTATCACGTGTTGGAACAACAGAAATTATTAATTATAAAACAGATTAACCTGATCTAGTAGGATCTAATCAAGAAGACTTGATGGTGGAAGACTTTTGTCATAGGGAAAAAAAAGTTTGAAATGAAAGGAAAAGAAAATAGAAATTGGAAAGTATCTGTCTCTAGGCATTTAATATATTTTTTCCCTTTTTATCTCCAAAGCAACACTAATGACCTCTCAAAAATACTTGTTTGTTATTAAATAGACAGATTTTGAATGGTCCTAAATTCACTCGATAGCATTTCATGCTTCAACCTTAGTGAAATTCGGGATATGAACAAATGTTGAATTTCTTAAAATGTATTATTTTATTATAAACTTTTTTATTTGATTATAAACTGTAAAATTTAATTTCTCAGTGAATTTGTTTTCATATACTAAGCCATATATGCAAGCTATGAACTTACAGAACAATTATATTCAAAAGTCTAAATATATTTTATCAAAATAAGTACTAAAAATTACTAGGCTTCAGCTCTGCACTTTGATTCCCTTTGTTCACAACATGTCATCAAAAATAGATGAAATATCCTTTACTATTCAAGTTATTTCAAAGTTAAAGAAATATATTTGACTTCAAGTTTCTTGTAGCCCTCATTTCTCATTACAACGCACTTTCTTGTTAAAAGGTACAAAATACTCACTCCGTCTCCCTCTCTCATTTACGAGTAAAAGAAGATAACTTCCATTTTCTGCTACTGATTCAACCAGTTGAAGCCTCTTTTCTCATTCTCCAAGTAAAAATAATAAGATCACATATTATTCAACCTTAACCCAACTCTAAAGCTGTAGGATTGTGACATCCAGTTAGATAGGGATTATTTCAACAAATGTAACAATGATTGATAGAAGACCAGTAGCATTCATTCTAATTGTGGTTTGTCTTGGAGTATTAGAACTAGGCCTACAGGGAAAGAAAAGTTATTCTTGATGTAGCCTCATGTAGTCAGGGTATTGGCAAAGCCAGCCTTTGGCACAAGCTGAAGAGGCAGCTGACTGGTGTGGTCTGAAGAGTTTGAAGTGTTTTCCACTGTTTCTTCCAAGGCACTTGTAATTCCCACATTGCTCACTCTTTTGAGTTAAAGTAAATGTTACCTAGGAACTTTAACACTCTGATGTGAACTCATTTTCTAAACTAAGTTACCCAAGAACTTATGGGTTGAACAGAGAAATATAATAATTTGGGGGCAAGGAAGAGAGAGAGAGAGAAAGTGTTTAGAAAATCAGGAGAGAGGGATCAGCCAAAGCCAAGACATGGAGGAGAAAATCTCAATGTAGAACTAAGAGGAAGACAGTAAACTGACCACAGCAGACTTTAGAAGAGTTCTAAAAGATAGGTCTCAAAGATGACATAATATTGAATGTTTTCACTGGGCAGCAACATACAGTAGAAAAGAAACCTAACACAAGATATCCCACAAAAATGCAAATTTTCAAATAAATGACCAAAAAACTTGTTTGGTGGTTTTGAAGATCCCTCAGCCACAAAGACATATAGCAGCGTGCAGAGAAAGCAGATGAGGAGAAAATCTGTGAGAAGGCTGTCTTTGGAGGAAGCCAGTGACTGGTGGGGTACAGGCTGCTCCACTACAAGCCTAGTGAGAAGAGCTTCAGCAGGAGCACTCAGAGAGGGTCTTACATGTCTCCAGGAGCAGGGCACAAGGTGGCCGGCATTGGACTCCTGCTTGGAAATTCTCAGAAGCAGCGATGGGCTCCCTGGCGGCTTGAGAAGCAGAGAAAGGGAAATAGCACATTCATTGACATCTGCCTGGAGTCCCATCATTTTTCAGGGCAAAAGAATGCCACATAGGAGAAAGAGCTAGCCTGAAGCCACTTTAAATTCTTCCCTAGAAGACCTCTTGGGAAAATGGGGCGGGGGACATGGAAGAACAAGAGCAATTTAGAGAGAAGCAGCTGGAAGAAAATATGTTGTCCTTGTCATACAAAGTAAGCTCAAATATTCTCAGTGAGAGACTTTTACAAACCACACAAGAGGAGGCACCAGGTTGACATCTTTTCAGTGGGATACAGAAAGTCACTTTCCAACAGTACCAGCGTATAAGACCTTTCCTGCTCTTTTCCCACCTTCAACCAATAGGGATAACCTCGATTAGAAAGATAGAGGAGGACAGGGAGAAGAAACCGTTCTGGGTTTTCTGTTGTGGATTCTTTCTTAGCTTAATTCTAAAAGTGGATTGATTGCCCAAGCTGGAGTGCAATGGTGTGATCTTGGCTTACTGCAACCTCCGCCTCCCAGGTTCAAGCGATTCTCCTGCCTCAGCCTCGTGAGTAACTGGGATTACAGTTGCACGCCACCATGTCCAGCTAATTTTTTGTATTTTTAGTAGAAACAGGGTTTACCATGTTAGCCAGGCTGGTCTCGAACTCCTGACCTCAGGTGATCCACCCGCCTCAGCCTCCCAAAGTGCTGGGATTACAGGCATGAACCACCCCGCCTGGCCTAGAAGAGTATTTTTATGTGTGCATTTATTATGTGAAATTTCTAAGGAGAGCATCCTTCTACTTGCCCTCTTCATAAACCAGATTTCTCATCTGCAGCATGTTCCAGCTGGAAGGAGAAGAAAATATTTAACAAGGTGATTACTTCATGATCTATACAGTTTTAAATTAATATTATGTGACTTGGAGTGAACATAACACTTTGTAATTACTAATAATGACTGGAAAATTAATGGTACTGTCTACATTTCAAAAAGAGGCTGAAGCAGTTCCACCAGTAAGCATATTCCAAGGGGACAATGGAAAGCAACTATATTTTCTGATTAAATCCCATGAATTTTCCTTATTCAACATCCCTGTTACAATATTAATAGTAATAGCAATAACAATGCCCCAAAGTAGCTACCATTATTAAAGACCTATTATATGTCAGGCAGCATGACATGTACTTGGCACATATTATCTCATCTAATCTTCATGACGATCCTACTTAATATTATAGTTTCCATTTTAACGATGAGCAAAATGAGATGCAGAGGGGTAAGCAATTATCCTAGATTGCTCAGTTATAAGTGATCAAACCATTATATGACCACAAAGGGGACTTCAAAGTGATAAACTCTCATTTGACTATATCACATTGTATCAATGCCAGGTTACAGAATTTTATTCAACAAGCACTGAAGGGTGATTACGATAGGTATGAAAGAAAGAGAATGATAAGAAAAAAGAGGTGTTTTAAGAAAGAACTTAGAAGTCCTTTTCTGCATTGTGGCTCTACAGCATACATTTCTGCCACTCTGGCCACCATGACATGGCAACAGACAAGAAAATCAGTCACTACTCAACCCCCTTGCCCATCCCCAGAGCTTTATAAATGAGTCATAAAACATGCTTCAGAAGAAGGGAGTGGTATTAGAACCCATTCTCAGGTCTTATTCTTCCCAAAGCATAGCTAGGATACTCCACTTAGAAATTTCACATCATAAATACACAAATTACTAATATTCTTCTATTGCTAATCAATCCGCCTTTAGAAACTAAGAAAAAGTCTACAGTAGAAAGCCAGGAGGCCATTTCAAGAAATGTGTCCTCCCTTTTTTGTTCTCCTTTCATTATTATTATTATCATTATTCTCTTCAAGGACACTAGAACTGCATGCTAATGAGAGAAAAATCCATGAGCAAGTCTAGCCAGTCTTTTTAAGTAAATAATTCAGACGTTGAAAGTCTGATCTATGGGCTATTGAGTCACATAACTACCAACAGTTTAGAAATCAAGGCACAAACCTTTAAGCCATTTAATGGGTTCCTCCTTACTAAGATTAGAAGTCTACACCAAAATATATGAAAATTACAAATAATAACTTGAGATAGTTTTAACTATCACAGTGAATGTAAATTCTTCATAAAATTATTTAAATAAATCTTAACTTTTTAAAATATTACAGACCAAGGAATTTTCAGTCACTACTGGAAAGTACTGCAAATCAAGATTTTAATTTTCTATTATGTATTTTTTCACCTTGCTTACTCACAATGACTCATGCAAAGATCCAAAATGCAAATTCTACATCAGCTAGAGTTTTCCTTGACCAGAGACACTGCTGCCTACAATAAGGTTATTGTAGTCGATTAAATACTTTGGGTTCATTTTGCCCTTTTTTAAATCCAAAAAGATGTTTCTGTCTTAAGGCAATCAAATTAAGCAAATAAACAGAACTAGGCATTTTTCCTATTCAGTTGTCCAAAAAACTCTAGTTGACAAACTTTTTTTTCAATATGCCTACCTATAGAAGTACCTAGATAGAATGTCAGATATTTGGATAAAGCTCCAGGAACATTAAACCCAAGGTGAATTCTGAAACAACTGTGTCACATTGAAACTAAAGCTTCATTGATTAGTATCAGCCAACCACAAGGTATACATTCCACTGAGTGCCTGAGGATGAAATCGCCTCCTGGTTCCCATTACCTATTGGCAGCAGCATAAAAGCATTGCACCTGCAAATGTTTTACTTTACTGGGAATCTGAGTAATGAAAAAAAGATAAAACCACTGAAAAATCTTATTGTTGACCACGAAAGAAGGATAATAACTTTGGCCTCGAGGTTCTGAATGTATGGAGCAAAGTGGAAATGATGCTTCACTACACCTTCTTAATCCCAGAAGTGCTAGGAAATAAGACACCGTGACAGTCTCTTCAATATATGGTGTTTGGGAAAATTGAATATCCATATGCAGAAGAATGGAATTAGAACACTGTCTTTTGCCAGATACCAAAATCAAATCAAGATGAATTAAAGATTTAAGTCTAAGACCTCAAACTACAAAACCACTACAAGAAAACATTTTGGAAAACTCTCCAAGAAGTTGGAGTGGGCAAAGATTTCTTGAATAATATCCCACAAGCACAGGCATCCAAAGCAAAAATGGACACATGGGATCACATCAACTAAAAAAGCTTCTGCACAAAAGGAAACAATCAACAAAGTGAAGAGACAACCCAACGAATGGAATAAAATATATATAAGCTATTTATCTGATAAGGGATTAATAACCAGAATATATAAGGAACTCAGACAACTAACTCTATAGGAAAAAAAATCTAATTATCTGATTTTAAAATGTGCCAAAGATCTGAATAGACATTCCTCAAAAGAAAACATACGAATGGCAAACAGATATATGAAAAGGTACTCAAATCATTGATTAACAGAGCAATGCCAATCAAAACTACAATGAGGATATCATCTCACCCCAGTTAAAATGGCTTTTATCCAAAAGACAGTCAATAACAAATGCTGGAGAGGATGTGGAGAAAAGAGAATCCCCTGTTGGTGGGAATGTAAATTAGTACACCCACTGTGGAGAACAGTATGGAGGTTCCTCAAAAAACTAAAAATAGAGCTATCATATGATCCAGCAATCCCACACCAAAAGAAAGAAAATCATTACATGGAAGAGACATCTGTACCCCCATGTGTATTACAGAACTATTCACAGTAGTTGAGATTTGGAAACAATGTAAGTGTCCATCAACAGAAATATGATGGATAAAGAAAATGTGGTACATATACAAATGGAGTACTATTCAGCCATAAAAAATAAAGATATTTTTAATGAGATCTTGTCATTTGAAACATGGATGGAACTGGTGGTCATTATGTTAAGTGAAATAAGCCAGGCATAGAAAGACAAACTTTGCATGTTCTCATTTATTTGTGCATGCTAAAAATTAAAACTCATGGAGATAGAGAGTAGAATGATGCTTACCAGAGTTTGGCAAGGATAGTTGAGGGGGGGCGGCAGTAGGGGAAAAGTGAAAATGGTTAATGTGTAAAAACAGATAGTTCAAAAACTTGAATAAGATCTAGTATTTGATAGCACAACATGATGACTATAGTCAATAATAATTTAATTGTGATTTAAAAATAATTAAAAGAGTAAAACTGGATTGCTTGTAACACAAAGAAAGGATAAACGCTTGAGGTGATGGACACAACATTTACCCTGATGTGACTGTTACACGTTGCCTGCCTGCATTAAAATATCTCATTTACCCCATAAATATATACACCTGCTATGCACTCACAAAAATTAAAAATTAAAAACAAGTAAGATAAAAATAAAACTCCATGGTGGATAACAGGAAATAGGAGGGCACCAAAAGATGACAAGAAGATGTACACAAGCATGACTTGAACATGGAGACTCTGGACCATCTCTAATAGTCTCCTTCCTGGAATCAGTAAGTAAACTACAAAAGATATGCTTTGGGGACTCTAGTTAGCAACCAAAAGTAGAGAGGTAAGAATAGTAAGTACATGGATTGCTCTGCTCACTGGGGCTATTCACTGATTGATTTCTAAGTATTTATTAAATATTGCTTTAACTTTAAGTCTGAATTTGTTCATGTTCAGTATTTGAATCAGGAGACTTAGTGAACTCTTCTTGGCTGTATTATTGTTGTGTGACTATGAAAAGTAACCCTCCTTCCCTGCTTCAACTTTCCTCACCTGTACAATGTGGAGAATAATAAATCCCATCTATCTCTGGTGGACGTAATGAAGAGGATTCCAGGTTAATAATTCATAAGACTTACGGGGTGAATAATTCTATATAAATGCAAGCATGAATGGAGAATCCAGTAATAAACCACAGGTTATTTGACACCCAAGTTTAGTATTTGATCCACAACAATACCATTGTTTTTTAAAAAGTAACTGTAAATAGTCTCTCAGAGATTGCTTTTCATCTCGTCTGAACCACATCCTGCATGACTTTCTATTTACTATTTTGAATGAAGTTGTGTGTTTTCCAACAGAAAATAGATGAGTGCTGTCAATTGCTTTATTTTTGCTCTTTAAAATTTTTAGAAAACTTATTCATTGGATGAGTGATCACTTGCTCAGCTACTGAGTGGCATTTTAAATTTCTAAGTAAATAAAGTATCTTCAGGTTTCTGATTATATATGTCCACAATTGAAATCCAGCCTAGGAGTTTATCCTACTTAAATAACAGCCTACCCAACTGACAGTAACAGTGTGCATCTATTAGCTGGACTATACTCTAGTTTGCTTACTAAACTAGTGTCTGTCATAATTTAAAAGTAAAAGGGAGAAATGATAAACAACATAAGTCAAAATTTTATTTTGTTTCACATATTATTATATACTATTTGTATACATATATGTACTAGGAATATTACTTGAAAAATCCATATTTTTATCACATTTTCCTTTTTAGAGTTGTTAATAACTGATACATTTTTTAAAACCATAACAATATTATACAACCAAGCTACTTTACTAGTATGAAAGAAATAATTCTGCTCAGCTGTTTAGAACGTATCAGGCATACAGGTAACAAAAAATATTCAAGTGGCTCTTATCTGATAACAACATTATAGAGTAAGGCAGAAAGAATAGGAAACACTGGTAAGAACGTACTGAATCAGAACTTTAACATAGATGACATAAGTACCGAGAGGTTCCTGAAAACATCCTCAGCAGGCAGACAAACCTTCCACACAAAAATCAATAGAATTGGGCTCCTTTTGAACAGAAAAAAATAGTTCTATCAACAAGGCATTGGATAAACAAGTGAGTACCCAGCTGGAATAGATCCTTAAAATATTAATAGCAACCATAGCCCTGAATCAACAGTCTTCATAGGTAGAATTAGAAGTTAACACTTTCATTTGGTCTTTTCCGTTATAATCAAGCACAGATAACAACATATTATTGATTTTAAAAATCTGTACATAAATAGAAATACAAATATTACTTTTTTAAAAAAGGAGCAATCATCTGATTCTTCAAGGCAAACCATGGAATTTGTTTTACACTTACCAATAAAAGCAAGTCTTTAAGTTCTACAATAAAATCATGGGAAAATATTCAATAACTTTAGTTAAAACAGCAGGTCATTTCAACCCTCAAATTATGTGAGTGCATCCTGATAAGCACTGAGCACAATTAAATGTTGTTTCACATTTTTAAAATAATGACAACTTTTTAATAGTAAAAGTAATTTGTAGAGTCTGTCATTTTGGAGTAGACAAAAGCTCATTGAAAGCAACAATCATTTAGACATTAACAGCTTATTTCAATTGCAGCAGTCATTACTGTAATTGTCTGGTTATCTGTGGCTGCTCAACAAATTACCCATAAACTGGGTGGCTTAAAAGAACAGTTTCTTATTATATTTCATGTTTCCATGAGTTGAATGGGCTTACATAGGCAGTTCTTGCTAGATTTCTTATGTGACTGCAGTCATATGGTCGCTGGGGCTGAAGGCTCGCTTGGGCTATATGTTCAACATGGCTCCTTCACTCATATATCTGCCACCCCAGCTGATATGCCTGGAACATCTGAGGAATGGCCAAGCCCAGTATTCTATTCTCTCCTCCTTGCCCCTCCCTTCCCTTCTCTCTCTCTCCTTCCTCTCACCCTCTTTTCATGCAACCTCTCCATATGGCACTGTGAGAATTCTTAAAATATGACAGTCTCAAGAGTAGATGGTTTCTAATGTGGGGGGTGGATTTCCCCAAAGCACATGTTCCAATAAAATGTGGAAGATGCAAATCCTCTTATAATCCAGACACACAACTCTGTAGTGTCACTTTCACTGCATATTGGTTACACATGGCAAGCCCATATACTATGAGGAAATATATACTATATATTATAGTATATAGCATACAATATATACTATATATTATAGTTTATAGCATACAATATATACTATATATTATAGTTTATAGCATACAATATATACTATATATTATAGTTTATAGCATACAATATATACTATATATTATAGTTTATAGCATACAATATATACTATATATTATAGTATATAGCATACAATATATACTATATATTATAGTATACAATATATACTATATATTATAGTATATAGCACACAATATATACTATATATTATAGTATATAGCACACAATATATACTATATATTATAGTATATAGCACACAATATATACTATATATTATAGTATATAGTATATAATATATACTATAAGGAAAGAGGTGTGAACATCAAGAGGCCTGGTTCATTGAGAGGCCATCTGTAAAGATCAGTCACCACAGTAATGAGACAATAAGATCAATTAATCTTTTTGTAGTTGTTCTTGTTGTTACTCGTAAAAGTATTATAATTATTAATTTGTCCATTCAAAAAGGGCTAAGTATTATAGAAAGAACTAGATTTATTTCCAATGAAAGATTTTACATTCTCATAATTAGCAGCTGTGAAAAAAGGAAAAATAAAATGGTTAATTCTAAAAGCACTGATAGTCCAATATTGCTATTGCTTTGCATTGTAACCTTAGATAACGGAAAGTTCTTAAGCTTTGGTTCTATGATTGGTGTCATCACCTAATATGGCTTCTATCATTATATACAAAAAAAAATCTTCTCTCAGAACAGTAAAAGTCAATAGGTTGTATTTAACTGATATTAAATTTTAAAGTATTTAGTATCAGGTTTTTTTAAAGGTAGCATGCAAAGGTTCTATGGTAGTTCAATGTGGAAGGATTGTCTTTTAAATAAATTATGCTGAGTTAACTGGCTATTAATAAGAAAAAATGAAAGTTGTTGTTTACCTCACAACATTAAGAAAAAAATACAGTAGATTGCACTCCTAAATGTAGAAGTTAAATCAAGTAGGACTTCTGTCTTCAGTCATGATGGATTAGCTTTTACCAGAGCAACACAGTGATGATAAACAACAATAGAAATTTAAAAATACGTGAGTTGACAGTTTTCTACTTTTTAACAAAAGATGGTACACGACTGTGATCCCTGAGAGAAAGGAAACATGAGGCAAGCCCCAAGATCAACACAACTTTCTATCTAAAAGCACTTCTAGACCATGGCCTGGAGAACTGGAGTACAAGTCAGAAAAAAAAAATCCTGAGGAAAGAAAGATAAGAGTTTGGGGTTGCTGAGTGGCAGAATGGCAAAATGTTCCAGAGCAGGATACTAGAAGAAGAGAACAGAACAGAGAAGACACTCCGGAAATCTGCATGGGGGTCTCCTTCAGTCTTTCACTGATTATTAAGCTGTTAGAGTGAGGCTCTAAGGTATTCTGGGGAGCTGAGAGCTGAATGAAGATTCTGGAAGTCTCCCAGTATTAGGATACATAGGATACAGAAAAGGCATGCCTTAGATTATGCCAAGTCTATTACTAGTGTAGAGACTGCTTTAGAGTTGCCTGAACTGAGCTTAAAAATGGCCATCACAAAAAGGAGACTAATCCACTAGTAAACTTATTGTTTACCAGAACAAAAAGCAATACTCAAAAAAAAAAAAAAAAAGACAAAACTGCAGCAACAAAAGGCCCAGACTCTAGGCAATGTAGTAATCACTATGTCCTTAGGCAATAAAAATTACCAGATATGTGAAAAGTTCACAAAGTATAATACTTACCCTGGAAAACAAAAGAATAGTCAATATAAATCAAACTTGAGATGACCCAGATATTAAATTTTCTTATAAAAATTTATGTAGAATAAATATGGTCAAAGACTTAAAAGATAGTCATAATGAATGCACAAATGGAGAATGTCAATTTTAAAATGGAAGCTATGGCCAGGTGCCGTGGCTTATGCCTGTAATCCCAGCATTTTGGGAGGGTGAGGTGGGTGGATCACTTGAGCCTAGGACTTCAAGACCAGCCTGGACAATGTGGCACAACCACCCCATGTCTACTAAAATTACAAAAATTACATAAATTAGCTGGGTGTGGTGGCACATGCCTATAGTCCCAGCTACTGAGGACACTGAGGTGGGAGGATCACTTGAACCTGAAAAGCAGAGGTTGCAGTGAGCTGAAATCATGCTATTATACTCCAGCCTGGGTGACAGAGCAAGACCCTGTCTCAAAAACAAAAAAAACAAACAAAACAAAACAAAAAAAAAATGAAAACGTGAAAATGGTAGAACTGAAAATTACAAATACATGAAATAAAATATGCATGGGTGGGCTAGACACTAGATTAGAGATAGAAAAAGAAAAACATCACTAAACTTTAATATAGATCAGTACAATTAAGGAGTGAGAGAGAAAGAAAGAGAAACTAGGGAAAAATGCACAAAGCCTCAGAGATCTGTGAGACAATAGAAAATGGTGTAACATAGTATGATTGAAATCCCAGGAGAAGGAGAAAATGAAGAAGAAAACTCAATAATGGCCATAAATTCCCCAAATTTGGACAAAAGCATAAATGTATATTTACAAGAAGCTCAGCAAATCCTGAGAAAGATAAATACAAAGTAAACCATGTCTAGGTCAAACTGCTGAAAACCAAAGACATTTCACCGGTTATAAAACTCTTGTTCAATCTTTTATTTTTCTCAATACTTTAAAGATGCTGCTTTATTGTCTTCTTACTTGCATTGTTTCTGATTAGAAATCTGCTGCCATCTTATATTTATTCCACTGTATGTGATATGTCATTTTTTCTCAGGATCTTATTAAGATCTTCTCTTTATCACTTGTTTTGAGCAATCTGGTTTTATAATGGGCCTTGGTTGAGTATTCTTTATCCCTCCTGAACTTGGGGTTTGTTGGCTTCTTGGATCTGTGGGCAAAGCCTCAGATATGTGAGACAACAGAATTAAATTTATAAAATTTTTATTAAGTTAAATTTTTTATTTTCATTACATTTAGAAAAATTTGGTCATCATCTCTTTAAATATTTTTGTTCTCACTTTTGTCCTCTCCTTTGGGGACACCAATTACATGTACATTAGGCCACCTGAAGTTTTTGCCCAGCTCATTCATGCTCATTCAGTCTCTTTCCTCTCTGTTTTTGATTTTGGATAGTTTCCAGTGCTCTGGCTTGAAGTTCATTAATCTTTTATTCTGAAATGTCTAATTTGCAATTCATCCTGTCCAAAGTATTTTATACTTCTTATATTGTAGTTTTCATCTCTGGAAGTTCAAGTTAGGTCTGGTTATATCTTCCACGTCTCAACTTAACTTTTTGAACAAATAGAATACAATTATAATAAGTACTTTAACGTTCCTATCTGCTAATTCTGATACCTGTATCAGTTCCAGCTTAGTTTTTATTGATTATCTCCTCATTGTGGCTTATATTTTCTTGCTTCTTTACATGACTGGTACTTTTTTATTGGAAAGCAGACACTGTGAATTTTACCTTGTTAGGTTCTGGATATTTTTGTATTCCTGTACATATTCTTGAGCTTTTTTCTGAGACACAAGTTATAAGTTATTGGAAACAGTTTGATCCTTTCATATCTTGCTTTTAGAATTTGCTAGGCAAGACTGGAGCTCAGTCTGGGGTTAATTATTCCTAAGTACCAAGGACCCGCTGTGTAATCTACCCAGGGTTTCATGAATCATGAGGTTTTCCATGCTGGCTGGTGGTAACTGACATGCAAGTGAGCATTGGGCACTCTTAACTCCATACTTTGGGGCAGTTCTTTCCTCAGACTCAGCTTGTCTCCTAACACACATGTGTTAATCAGTAATCACCTGACTACTTCAGGAAGATGATCTGCAGATCTTCAGAGTTCTCTCTGTGCAGATCTCTCCTTTCTGGTACTTTGTCTTGTAAATTATAGCCCCTTTGATTTCCCTGGCCACTCAGCTCTGTATCCTTAACTCAGGGAGTCAGCCAATCTTTGCCTGCATTCCTGCTCCTTGCATCATGGCCTTGTAACTCTCTTAAGGCAAAAAACTAGAGCAATCATAGGAATCATCTCATTTTTCTCATCTCTGATAGATCATTATCATTCATTCCCTTTTCTTCAGTGACTTGAAATTTGTAGCTCCTTATAATTTGCTCATTTGTTAATGTTTCCAGAAGGAGGGTAAATCTAGTTCCTATTATTCCATTTTGGCTGGAATTAGAAGGGTATACTGATGTAAAGCTAACTAAAATTCTATGTGTAAAATATTAGGGGACAAATTTTTAAATGGAAAATTAATAAATGTAATAGTCAAGCTTAATTTTAGAAGAATCAGTTAATTTGGGGAACAAGTTAAAGAAAATATTATAATACAGTCAGGTCAGTTTGAAGGCCTGTCAACTTTAATGGAATGCTTTCTTAAAAATATGCCATTCTTCATCCCAGTAGTGTGTCGCAGAACATTTATACATGGAGACAGATGGTATTGAGGGACTTAAAAGCCACAGTAGAAAACACTTAAGAGAGCAAAGCCAGATGGCCAAAGAAAACCTGAATCCATAAGAAAATGCTTATTGCTCTGAAGGTGTAAATATAGATAGGTTAAGATTGGTAGAAGATTTTTGCTCCAGGACAACCTGTACCCATTTCACATATTTTGCTTTGAAACAATGCACCTACATACTATGTGCTATTCATTTTTAAATGGTAAAATGACTATCCTAAGATTCCAAACATTCTGGCCTGTGAAATATATGTTCTGCTTTATTTTTATATAATTAATATTTTTTTCTTTCTCTTTCACAAAAGAAACAGCACTCTCTCTGTGTGCAATGGCACAAGCGAAGTTCAAGTGATTCTCCTGCCTCAACCTCCCAAGTAGCTAGGATTACAGGTGCCCACCACCACACCCGACTAATTTTTGTATTTTTAGTAGAGACGGGGTTTCACCATGTTGGACAGGCTGGTCTTGAACTCCTGACCTCAAGCAATCCACCTGCCTTGGTCTCCCAAAGTGCTGAGATTATAGATGTGAGCCACCGTGCCCAGCCAGAAACAGCACTCTCTTGATTTCATCCTCATCCCCTTGTCCAAGGCATCACCCAACAATTCTTCTCATCTCTTGCGTTTCAACTTGCCCCCTATTCCAATCTTTGTCCTTAGCCTCCAGGTGTTTTATTTCTTCACCAACCCTAAATAAATTTCCTGTCAACCATTTTCCTCTTCAAACTCTAGCCTCATTTCTCCTTTTCTCTTTTGCCACCAAATTTCTTTTCCTGTTCCCTCTTGAATTGAAACCTCTTTTCAGACGGTTGCCCTCTGAAAAGGGTTTAACAAATTTAAAAATCTCTTTACAATACTCATTCTTCTCAAACTCTCTAATCTACTAAATATCTTCATGAGATATGAAAGATCTCATGAAATTCTATTTTCTTTGGTTTTTCTCTGCTAAGGGATAAACACAGATCATCAGACTCATGGTTACAGAGCACTACTCTTAACTGGCTAACAGTCAGTGTCATACAGAGACTTAAGCAAATGAGCTACGGCTGATTCCAGGCCTGCTGGAATTAATCCTCACAGGACAACCTTTACTAAAATATTTATCAAAATCTGATGTGTGGCACATATCTGTCTTTAAAAAATAGATTCCTTGAAAGCAAGAACTAAAATTTGCTCATCATGATCTTAAATATCCAGGTCAGTATCATGCATTCATTAAATGAGTTCTTCCTAAACTATATTAAAGACTGAATAAACTAAAGGACAAAAGCAGTGATAAGTGTTGACAAGTAAATAGGCAAATGGAAATACAATGAAAATTGTACAACCACTTAGAGATTGCATAATTAATAAAACTTATAGTTTCAAATTTGAAATTTGAAATTGCAGCAGCATAAGAAAAGCTACTTTTAAAAAGCTATTGAAAAACCTGGTTAGAAGACATATTTTTAAAATATTTTATTAATAGAAAAATTTAAACACTCACAAAAGTAAAACAAATTGAAAAATGATCCCATTGTCAAACCATAATGATCAATTCATGGCTACTCTTGGAAAATATATTTTTAAAACAAAAGAATCAAATTAGAAAAAATTTTAAAAGCAAAAGCATGTAGTTAATATTGTGGCTAAAATAAAAGAAAAATATTTCACAAGCATCAGCTATGTTAAGGGCCATGTGCTTTTTGCTATTCTTTGGAAATATAGTGTCTGTATCCATCACAGCCAGTGACACGCTCTTCTTAATAAAAGCAACTCCTTTAAGGGGTAGATTTCTGTCTTGATTTAACTTGCTGGCAATTGCACAGGCAGAACTACTTACCTTGCAAATAAACTCAGCTTCACAACAAACTGACAATGCACCTAAAGGACTTAATTTCACTATCACCTAACTTATCAAGCAGCCTCCAAGATAGCACTGCCCAAATTACAAAGAGAGTAGATGTTATATGTTCCTGAGTTACCACAAGTATCAGCTCAGGCTCCAGTTACAGGATCTGCTCCATCTTGCTGATACAGTAGAAGGATATTGTGGTGTACAATATCCCAAGTGCAGTCTCTGGAGGAGGGATGAGAGTAGATGCATCCTTCTAGGTAAGGCACAGACTTCTAGCTACATCAGGATTATATGTGGTGCTGTGTAAGGTTTTATTTGGTTGATGACATTCGTGTCTTCTGGGAGCTAACTCACTTGGCCTCCAGAGTTCAGTGAAGTATTAACCCATTGTAGTTATCAGAAGAATATCACGAGCTGTCTCGCTGGTGTAGTGACTAGAAGACGGGGAATAAATCTATTGTGAAGCTCTACTATGTCACTTGGCTTTTCTTGCTTTAAGCAAAACAATGAAAGAGGACCAGAAGTAGCAGTTGCCAACTATTACTGCTTCTTGGTATATTTCAAACTACATGAGAACCTATCTCTGATCTCTTTTTTGTTGTTAACAGCAATGTAGTTGGGAGTCTAGATAAAATCCACACTCCAAGTTTGAGCTTCACCTTCTTCCATTTTGGTTTTGATCCCCTCAACTGCCCTATTTAATTTCTGCTTTGTAGATGCATCAAGTGTTTCTTTGCTGCCCTAATTATCTCAGAATTCAAGGCTTTGAAGTGTTAGTTTTATGGGTTTTTTAAATATCCCACAACATTTGACTTTGTCTCTTCTTTTTATTAAGGAATACTCTGAAGAAATAATATATGGCTTAATTTCTCAAATCCCCTCTCTAGTAAGCTATTTCTCATGAATTTATATCTGAGAAAAATTGAAACAGGAAGTTCAACTTGCCCAGAGAAACTAGCATGATTAGAGGGTGTTGTCATAGGTAATGTGTTATTTCAGGGGTCCCCAACCCCTGGGACCGGTATCAGTCTGTGGCCTGTTGGGAACCAGGCTGCACAGCAGGTGAGCGGCTGGTGAGCAACCACCCGCCTGAGCTCCACCTCCTGTCAGATAGATCAGCTGCAGCAATAGATTTCTCATAGGAGCATGAACCCTATTATGAACTGCACATGCGAGGGATCTATTTTGTGCACTTCTTATGAGAATTCAATACCTGATGATCTGAAGTGAAATAGTTTCAATCCTGAAACCATCCCTCTCCCCTCAGCCCCATCACTGTCCATGGAAAAATCGTCTTTCATGAAGCTGGTCCCTAGTGCCGAAAAAGTTAGGGACTGCTGTGTTATTTGAAACTCTTCATCTGATGTAAGAAACACAGAAATAAAGTCTTGTCAGAGCCATTAAGACTTCTAGTCCGAGGAAAAGGCACTAATTTGGTATACCAGCTGTTGGATAATTGTTGTTGGACAATAAATGATTGAAGAAGAATCAAAGAGAAGACTCTTGCAATTTTGTAACACATGGATGAAATTTCAGGAGAATCATTTCTATGATGCCATTGCTGCAGTAGGAGCTACCAAATTCACTCCATTATGTCAGTAACCATTGTTATTCTGTATGATGATAATTACCTTAGTCGTAGCATCACTAAAATGGGACTGTTACTGTCTATTTAGGTACCTCATTTTCTTGAAGAATTTATGATTGTAGACTGTAGCATAAAACACAACTGTTTGCATATCAGATATCTCCTGGGAGAAGTTTAAAGATTACTCAGCATATTATTTGCCAACCTAGGTTCATTTACCTTTCTTATGAGTTCCAAATTAAATGTGAACTAGTCCATTCAGGCCATCCTTCACAGGGATTTTCTAGTGCCACAGCGATTTTTATCCTCCTTCTAAAAGTAACCTTCATTAGTATGAACAGTTAGTTTCCCTTTCCAGAGAGAACTGCCACATCCTTGAAATTCACCCTGGATAGGCAATATGTTGACGATTATTTCCTTTTACTCCTTTTTTTTTCATCACAAAACCTGCTCTTTTGGTATTTTCTATATCTGTTACTGGTATCACCATTTACTCATTCGTCCAAGGTAAACTTAAAAAAATCTTGTAATTGTTCGTTCTTCCTATTTAGAGATTCTGCTATGTCATGCCCATTTTGCCTCTTCTATTCCTGCTGCCTTAGTTCCAGCCATCCTCATGTCTTACCTTGACCACTGAAGTAGTTAAATAGTTTAAGAATGGGATAAATTTGCCTTTATTTCTTCCCTCTTTCACACTAATGCCTGAATTAATTTTTTAAGAGTTCCTTCCCATAAAATACTCAGTGATTTTTCTGTGGCCTACACACAAAGGCATTACTCAAGAAATATTTACAGAGTGTCTACTATGTATTACAAATTAAAGAGCTGAGTACACAAAGGTAAAAAAGATAGAATCCTTTGCTCTCACGAAGCTCACAATCTAGAAGGAAAAACAGCATATCAACATATGTGACAAGTGTTATGATATTAGAGTGATATGCAATGGACAGTGGTAGAATGATATGAAAAAGAGAGAATGATCCATCTCATCTGGAGTTATTGGAGAAAAATATATGCACGTATGCATTTGACTCTATCCTGACATATGTGTAAGTTTTTTCTAGGAAGACAAATCAGAGAAGGCCTTTCAGGCCAAGACAACAACATGTGCATCGGTTGCAATACCAGAGTAAGCATTGCTTATTTAGAAAACCATAAGTTATTAAACAATGGGTAAGAGAGTATAAATGGTATTAGATGATGCATGTAAAGAAATCTAAAAATTTGATCTGAAGGTTATGATAAGCCATTGAAGAAATTTAAACAGGAGTATAATACAGGTCAGGTTTTTGTTTTACAACAAAGAGGCTGGAATGAAAGGGAGAACAACTGGGATGTTATTACAAGAGGTAAGACATGACAAAGCCCTGAATTAAAACAACAGCAATTGAATTTGTCACGGCTGGAGTTAGGGCAGAGAGACAATGAATCATTACCAAGTAATAATACAAGGCTCTACAAATTATGGTCAAATTCTAGCATAGTGATTTCCACACAGTAAATACTTAATAAACCCAATAAATATCTGTTGAATGAATAAACAAAATTACCTTCTGTATCTATTACTTATCACTGCCTAAGAAACCATCCTGAAACTTAGTAGCTTAAAACAACAATGTTTATTACTTCTCACAGTTCTCTGGGTTAGTTGGGTGCTACTTCTGTTGATCTTGCCTGGGTTCACTCACATCCCTGCTTGTCAGCTGGGGCTGGTTCCTCCCAGATGATGTGGTCTTGTTCTTTCCATGAGAACCTTCTCTTCATGTTCTCTCTTTCCACATGGTCTCTCTCACTTTTTTTTTGAGGGGTGGTGGTCACTCTTTGTCTATGAATCTTTCAGCCTCAAATAGGATAATCTGAACACTTTCAGCCTTGATGATTTCAAGGCTGTAAGCAGGCAAGCCCCATGCATGAGCATTTATCATGCTTCAACTTACATCACACAGTCAAGCTTAGTCAATACTGGTAGGTGTGATTCTTTGGATACCATCATTAGAGCAACCACACACCTCTCTATTTATTTTATACCACTTCCCTCACAAGAACCTCATGTTTTAACCCATTGGTGTTCTCCTTTGTTCCCAGAAATGTCATGTACTTTCATGCCTTCTTGACTTTAGTCAGGTTTCTCCCCTTATACCTCACAGTGCTCCTTTCTGCACTGGAATATTATCTGCTCACAAATAAAAAGTATCTATTTTCAAAAGTTAGCTCAGATGACATCTCCTCTGAGAAGCCTTTCCTGCAAAACACATAGAAGGAAGATCTTTGCCTCCTCTCACTTACTTTGTTCATAAGTTATAGTAGTAACTTCAATGTGGAGGGTAACCCTGGCATTCTTGGCAGAACCAATACAGTGATTCATAACTAGAAATAACTTATATACAGCCTACTTCCAAAGAACTTATTTCAGGGCAGAAAGAAGAAACTTCTTGAACAAAAGAGGGATAATATATCAGAATTTACTTCTGGGCCCACTTTTGAGACCCATCCTCTTAGCCTCCCACAGGATCTACTACCTGTGTCAGAGACCATTTGTCCATGTGGTACTATTAATCAAAATAATTCAAAAAGCCTTCTAGATTACTTCACATTTCATGCTTGTATCAAAACATCTCATGTACCCCATAAATAAACATACCTACTACGTACCCATGAAAATTAAAAATTTACAAAACAAAGAGCACTCTAAATTATCACTTTAAACAATGTGACACAACTGTGAATGTTCAGGATACCCTAGTGCATGATGTACGTAGCGGTCAGGCTTATAGTCATTTTAGGGAATGAACTTCTTGTTATATACACGGACATTTGTACCAAAGGGTCTGACAACACTTCTAGAAGCTACATGCAGCAACTGCAGGTAAGAATTAGTTGCTAGTTTGCTTACCATGTTGTGACAGAGATAGTAATCTTCATTAAATATTCTATTTGCTCTCCAATGCTCCCCAGCCTCTTTGCATCTAGGTAAAGACATATAACTACTTTTAGCCAAATAAACAAGTGCAAAATAGGCTATGCATGAGTCTCCAGTCTCTCTCTTCCATTATTATAACATCTAAGTGGAGACCACTAATCTAGATAATACTGCTACAAGAGCATAGTCTCCATCAATCCTGGTGCAGAGCCCTCTGTCAACCATGATGACACATTGCAGAGCAAGAAATAAACTTTTGTACATTAAGTCACCAAAATTTGGAGGTTGGTTGTTACCAACAACACAACTTACCCTAGCGTGACTAATATATATTCCTCAAACATTGGATTTTGCTCCAGTCATCCTTGAAATAATATTTGAACAGACATTTATTGAGTGCCTATTATGTACCAGGCCATCTATTAGGTATTTGAAGTCAGTTGATGTTTTTAAAAATACTATCTTCTGGAGTTTATATTCTAATCAAGAAAATCATAATTGCTATCAATAATTGTGACAATTAAGCACAAACAACTTTGACAGGAGATACTGTCATAATATTAAGAACATGACTATATGTATATTTTTTAGAAAACATAAAAGTTGAATATGCTTATCTTAGCTGGGAACATAATATAATATTTATTTACATTTTATTCAAGTCTTGCTCTAAATTATTTAAAATGGGTAGCCTCTTGAAAGGGGCACCAAAAATTTTAGAATTCTGAGAAAAGGTGAATGAAAAAATAAATAGTCTCTACCTAGCCAAAGACTACTGTCATGCCAAATATAGTAATCTGTCTATACCCAGACAGAGAAGTCAGTCATCATCAGCTTCCACTCATTATTTTAAAAGCATGTAGACAGCAAAGCCAGATTTCTTCTTGTCATTTGCTAAGGCAAATCACTGAGTTAAGGGTCTCAAATCCAAATGCCTATAGTACAGGTAGAAGTAGAAAAGGAAAGTAAACCAGGTGTTTGTTTTTGAAGTATCAGCTGCTAAAAAGATTACCATTTTTTAATTTTTACTAAATTATGGCTCAAAAATATAATAATGCAAACATGTATTATAGTGGAGATTATATTTTAAATTGTGCATTAGACATACACATGAAAAGACAGAAGTTGCTAAGATTAATTTTCTTTTTTCTAATTCTTGCTTCTTTCTTTCACACCAAGATGACCACATCTGCTTGCATATTTTACTTGGTACATGCAGTACAGAATTTAGCCTTGAATCTTTTAGTAGAGAGTTTGACTGAGTTTTATTCAGAAAATAGCTATTCACAAACATATATATATCTGGACATGTATAATATCTTTGTACAATGTTTTTTGCCATTAATAAAACTGCTGCACAGAGATATTTGTAGAATTTTAGTATTTTAGACCTTCTATTTAGTTTTTAGTGACATATTTCTGCAATTCAGAAGATTCTTTCTTTGCATGATTAAAATTAATTGAGAAAGCTTATGTTAATTAAAACTGAATGTTAGCTTATTTTTATAAACTTTGAAAACAGAGAGTGTTTTCTAGAATTCAGTCTCAACTTCAATATCAGAGGGAACGTAGTTTAAGCCATAACTTTCACCTGTGGAAACCACTTCATCAGAAGAATATAAACCAATATTCCTTGTCAGATGGGTTTCCCTAAGATTCAATTTTGCCTAAAATGGGCACATTAAGTCATTTTTAAACACTTGTGAAGGTCATTTCAAGGTATATAGATATATTTTAACATCAACCCAAAAGCCTAAGATGTATCCACTAGTCTCTGAAGATGAAGCAAGGATTTTCCCAAGATGGCATGAGTCAGTCAATTTCTTTCACTCTTAAAAACACAAAAGTCTCTTCAACAGCACAGCTAAAGTGGTACAACTGAGTCACTAGTCTCTGCATAATACAACAGAAGACTTACTGAACAGTGCTTCTAGCACATAAAGTAAAACACTGAGTTATCTACATTTCAAGCCACAGAAGTATTTCCAGCTTGAGTGTCACTTACCCCAACCAAGTCAGAGTCTTTTTTTTTTTCCCCAC
Source organism: Homo sapiens (assembly GCF_000001405.40). Lineage (NCBI taxonomy): Eukaryota > Metazoa > Chordata > Mammalia > Primates > Hominidae > Homo > Homo sapiens. The sequence continues at coordinate 90,129,016 of NC_000008.11, read as the reverse complement.
CATTTAGTACAAAGTAATTCCTGGCAAATTGCAATGTATTCCTCCAAAGTTTACCCCCTGCGATTTTTATCCCAGGAGTTTGATGTTAACACAGACTTCCACAGAGGTTCCAGCTAGAGTCACTCCCTGGTATTTCTTGCCCCATCTTCATTAAGCATTGCAAGACTTGTTTCAACAAGTCTTCTGTTTTCTGATGTTGTACCTCTCATGGGCTTTATTTCCAAAAGTTATTAAGTTTCATTTATAACACATATAAATGTATCTAACCAGGTGATACTTGTTTTATCTCGGTTTTCATCAGCTGCAATAAAACATGACACAAATATTTTAACTTCTTCCCTCAACTTCTCCATTAGCTTCTTAGCTGTTTCTTCAAGACCTTGAGCTCATATTTCAAGTTGGAATGAACTTGCCAATCTAAACAATTATTTATGTTTAAGACGCATAATTTTCTGTGTCTTTATACTCTTTGATAAACTCCCCATCTATAAAAGGAGTTTCTGATGCCAAGGTAATTTTTGTAGGTAATACTAGAAAAATTGATAGCAATATGACTCAGATATTTTAAAATTCAGAAGCAAACCAACTAAAAAAAATTTCAGAACCTTTTCTCAAATCATTATGTTTCTCATCAAACAAGGTTTCCATTCATCAATCATATTTCTTATTGTGATTGCTTACATAATAGTATTAAAAGCTGTATTTTTAAAAAAAAAACACATTTTGTATATTAAACAGATAGGAATAATCTTCACTTTTGGAAAGAAATATGCTCTCTGCCATATGCTCTCCTCTTAGATTATTATTTGTTTTCTCTCTTTGATAAGGTATTTGTAAAAGAAATCATCTTTCTTTCTGCAAAAGAACATGACAATACAAATGCAATAATATATGGCAACTGAAATTCAGTCTCTTTATTAGGAGGGCAAAAAGGAAACTACATTCACTCTGCTACTGAATTTGAGCCTAGTGACGTCAGATCTTCTGATTCTCCAATGAAAGGCAAAACCTGAATTTTCTATAAAACCACCCAACTTTTACAGGTTCAGAACAAATTCCTATAATGTTTAAAATATTGTTCAGTCTAAACAAAAGTCAGAACAACATTCTGGCTTATGGTGGGTCATGTTTTTACATCACATAAATTCAGTCCCTTGTCCAACTTCCCTACATCTCACCTCAGATTGGGCTGCAGAGCCTGATTTCATAAATTCTTAAGTACATCAGTTATGTGTGGCCACTATCCATTGAAAGTACTGCTTGACATTCAAAGAAATAGTGAAAAAATGAATTTATCCAATAACTTATCAATGTTACATTAACATACTATCATCAGCATACATTGAAATATTTCAATGTGTTAAAGGAATTTTAATCAAGAACAATATGTCAATCATGGCCTATATAACCTGACTCACAAATTAATAGAATAAAGATCAAAACATTATTCTTATCCATTAAAACAAATAATAATTTTTTTCATCACATAGCCAAAAACAGTCTGAAGAGAGTTTGTTTTACAAATCCTACACAATAGTTTTTACAAATCCAGATACATGCATAAAAAATATCAGACTATTTCATTCCATGAGAAACAATGTGCAAGGATTGGCTTTCTGACATTCTTCTCCAAATAGGGAGACAAACTAGCAAATAAATTATTGAATCACAATGAACTATCTGCATGGTCTTCAAATTCAACTATCATTTAACATGTAAACATTCAGGACCAATAAGGCCCAGGAGATAAAGCCTTAAGGAAAGGCCAGGTATTCAGCTTGGAGAACCCAAGTAAGAGTAAAAAAGAGTAAAAAAATAAATTTGATAAAATATTATAAATATATGAAAAATGTTTTACACACATACACACACACACACAGTTTGTCTCCAAAAGACAGAACATATTATGTACTGTATTTAAAAAAAAAAAAGGTCTTGAAAGTTACATTTTCTGTTAGCTACCAGGATCCAAGAATATCTTCTCTTAAATTCAGAAAGAGCCTTATATATCATTAAACATTTAGTCTCAAGGTCGACATTATGTCATACAAAAAAAACTGACCAAATGTGACCATCCCTTTCTTCTAAGACAAGATTTTATCCTGGGATACATTGACAGACATCCTGAATTCCTGAAGTCCCTGAAAGTATGGATAAAATTTTGTGTGTATGTAAATTTTTCTAAGAACAGAGCTTACAGTTTCCATGAATTTTTTTTAAAAATAACTGAAAACATCCCATTGGTTTTAAATCATTATTGTGCTAGGAGCTGTAATGAAAGAAAAAATTTGATCAGTATTTCTGATTAAGAACCTAAGATAGCCAAACCTTATTTAAAAAATAGCTTTCAAGTAAGTCATTAATAATTATTTGGCTGGGTCCTCATTAAATATGCAGTAAAGAATTAGGGCTGCTCAATAAATTCATTAGAAAAAGTAGTGAAGTATTGAAAAAATATATGGATTGAGGAGCCAGACAGACCTATGTTCTATCCAAGTTCTGCCTCTAATTAACTACATGACAAACAAGGTACTTAAACATTCTGAGCCACTATTTCTCCCTCTGTCAAAGGTAATAATTCCTACCTCAACAATGACTACCTTACAGAGTTTCAGAAGAATTAAAAATTCTAACAGTTCCTGTGCCCAGTAGTAATTCAATAACAGTAAGTTTCCTTTCTCTTTTCTTTCCTACTGATTACCTAAAATATCTACTACATTCATTCGTGGTAACTGTGAAGGCCAAATCTAGGTAACTTGTAAAAGTGGCTACAGGATGTAAAAACACCTCAACAATATCCACCAAAATAAACAAAGGGAACCTAATATTCTTTCAACAATGCTAAAGCCAAGAAAGGCCCCATTCATGTGACAACTCTAAAAACTATTAACAAAGAGCAATAAATATTTGACCGAACCTAGAGAGTAAACTGTCACTTATAAGCCTAAGGCTGAGTCACAAAAGGGAAATGGAAAACATTTTCAAGGGTAGTATTCCCTAGCTGATGGAAGAGACTGCAGAAAAAAATTATGAAGTCAAGAGAGTACTTTTCCTGACCAAAACTGGCTTTGGGATGCAACTGGAGAGACTAAATTGAAGGATTTCAGGACACCCACCAGGGCCCCTTAGATAAAGGGTGTGGCCACAGTGTTTGCACTCAGGGGTCCCTTGGTATGGACAGCACACAAAATAAAGTGGAGTTTTGCCACCTGAAAATATCCACAACTACTCTTGAAGTGGGCAAGTGTAAGATGAGGCCGAGGGCAAAAATTAGACTACATTGTCTCCCAATGCCCACAAGAGAAAAAGCTGCCATTAATCTGTATGGAAGTGAGAAAATAAAGATCATTGCCCTTACATATGTATACCGCCAGATTTCTATTTAAGACTGTACTTTATATTTTCCTACTTCAGAGAAATTAAGATGTTCTTTCTTTTATAAATCTGTGATAATAGTAGATAGAAGCTTCTCAATTAACTTATACTGCAAATTTAAAAATTGACAATATTATGTCTGCACAATTTTAAAAAATCTTATTCTCTTTGAAAACACACAGTCTATAACTACTAATCCACATAGCTGCCAAGGGACAGCATGCCTGCCAACATTTATTATCAATTAATCTAAATTCATCGTTTTAATCATTATTAATAATGACCAGACAACAGAAGTTTCCCAAAAATGTGGGGGGAAAATACAGAAGGCAAAAAAAGAAATTGACCACACTGGGTGATCAGAAGAAATAACTACTAGTGAATATGCTAATTCTGGAAACAGGACAGAACTTTAAAAAAGTTCTAATTAGAATTCTCAATGAGATTTGAAAAAAATAATATTGCTTTTTTGAGAGTAAACTGCTACAAAAGAGCGCAAAAGGAGAACACTTTTTAATAATTAGAAAATTGATTGACAGATTAGATAAATCAATAGAAGCAATGATTAGCAGAAAGAGTATTGCTCTGAAAACCAAGTTTATGAATCAAAACTTGAGAAATTCTTCAAGAAAAGGATTATGATCCTAGAATTATGTATGATATGTCAAACTATCACTCTTGAGTGAAAGTGAACATTTACTCAAGAAACGAATGAATGAATTATAAGTACAAAGCATTACAAACCTATTAAAATTGTGAAAGCTGGTAGCAGATGTTGTTTCTCCCCTATGTGGGCCTGACTTCAACTGAAATTAAAAAAAAAAAAAATTAATGCTATCTTTCTCTGCCAGAGCCCATTCAGACTACAGATGAAGCAGGCCCTACCCCTGGTAGCCTTCAACAAGTTAAATAATAAGAGAAGGTCCGTAAATCCACCAGCTCTCTCATTCTTTGGACAGTATAACTCTGAAATGTGTTTTCTACACTGGCTCCCACAACTGTCCCAGAGTGATTAAGCTGCAGTTGCTCAAAATGACAAATGCTTGCTAACGCATCCTTTACTGGCTTTCCTACCTTCTCTTTACCAATTCCCCATGCCGCTACCTACACTTCCTAGAAATGACTTGCCCTTGAAATCCTGCAAGCCAAGCTGAGATTACACTTCTGCTCCAAACAATTAGTCAAAATTTATAAGAAAAAACTATAATCAATGCAAGAAAGAAAACCACAAGCACAACTGGAAATTTTGGCAGACCTCCCTGAGAATTTGATAGAGAAAGGAGATGTGAGTAACAAATGGCAAGTTTGATATAATGACTTGAATAAAGGAGAATATTATCAAAGATCTGCCTTTCCCATACAGCAGCAAACCAAGAAGACTTCATTAATTTTATGAAACTACTATAACCTTAATTCTAAAAACTAGTCAAATTTGCATGTCTACGTGTAAGCATGCACTCACACACTAACTATAAAGTGATATCATTTGAGAGTGCAATGAAAATCATTCTAATGAAAATGCTAGAAAATCAAATCCAAAATTATATCAAAAACCTATTACCACATGACCAAGCTGACTTTATTCCAAGAAAACAAGGATTACACAATTTAGGAAATCTAATACTTTAGTTTGTTATATTGATATGTCAATAGATTAAAACCATACATTTGTTTCTATAGATGATAGAAAGTCATAAAATATATCTATCCCTGTATTATGAATAGAGCTTCCTTAAAGTGATTCAGACTAACAGAAAAAAGAAAGCATCATCATCTCTAATGGTGAAAATGAGGCACTTCTATTCAAGTCAAAGAGAAAACGAGAATATTTGCTGTCACTTCCATTACCTGACATTGCTCTGAAGTTTCCAGTCAACACAATGAGTCAAGAAAAAGAAGAGAGGTAAATATAGGAAAGCAAGCAAGCAAATTATCAGGATTTGCAAATGATATAATTATCTATCCAAGAAAATTGAGAGCACCAAATGAAGAACTTAGCAATAACAAAGCGTAGTAGATGACTAAATTACAATATTAGTACACAAAATTAGTAAATCCCGTTAGCAATAATCAGATGTTTGAATGGAACAGCCCTATTCATAGTCCTATAAAAAATAAAAACTATATTATTCCTAAACATGAACCTAAAAAAAAACTATACCACTATAAAATCTCTGTGAAGAACACTATAAAAGTTTACTGAAGGGCATAAAAAGACTTTCTAAATAAAGTTCATGACATACGGATTCTTAGATGGGAAGACTCAATTTTGTAAAGATGTCAGTTTTTTCCAACATAATTTATAAATTTAATGCACTGTAGTTCCCTATAGAAATAATGGGGAGAATGGAACTTACCAAACTGATTATTAATTTCCTAAGGAAGAATGTATTTGTGAGAATGACCAAGACACTGTAGACAAAGAAAAATAAGTGAGAATTTGTTCTACTGAACAGCAAGATTTATAAAAAGCTATAGTGATTAAAACAATATGTCATTGGCACAGAAAAAGACAAATAGATGTAAAAGATAAAATAGAGATCCATAAATGTATGAAAACCTTTGTATTATAAATGTGGCACTTCAAATCAGTGGGGAAAAAGGATAGATACATATAACAACTTTGAAACAGCTGGCTGAACACTTGGAATTAAAGTTTTGTGTGTCTCAGATAAAATCCAGGTATATGAAAACTTAAATAATTTTAAAAATAAAATTATTATAATAAAACAAAGGGGAATCGTATTTTAATATTGAAGAAGAAAAGCAAAAAGTTATTTCTTAGGTAATAAAAAATACAGAAACCATAAAGTAATGTAACTATGTATTTAAACTTTTATAAGACAAAAACATTATGAATAAAATTTAAAAACAAGTAAACAGAAAAATATCACAATATATACAATAGACAAACAACATTCATAGTATATAATGAATGATGTCCTATAACAAAACCCTAATATTATATTATTTAGTAATATGATCATAATATATAATACCCTATTAGGAAATTAGGCAGAGATTAAAAATAAGCAATTTACTGAATAAGAAAAACAAATGACTGCAGGAAAAATTTTTCATTAGTTATTATAAAAATATCAAAATTCTGTTGTCTTTCAACCTGACAAATTTGCAGTTTTAAAAAGTTTTAAAATGTTTTAAAATATTTTAAGGTAAAGTGCTAGCAAGGATGCAAGAAAACAGACACATATATTTTTTATGGAAATGTAGTGTGAAAATAACTTTCAGGACAGCCATCTCAATATCTTTCCAAATTACATACTATTTAATTTAGCAGTTTATTTCTGAAAATATATTACAAAAATAATAGGACAAAGGTATATGCACAAAGATGTTTATTGAGACATAATAGCAAAGAACATTAACTGGGATGTTGCTTGTGGAAAAACATGAAATAAGTTCTCAAAAAGATCAAGCACCCTTTTGTTTTACACGGTAAGCAGTCTACAAAATGCCTTTAGTCGAAGAAGCATCTTATATTCATTTTGTATCATTGTGATTATATACACATAAAAAATATGAATAATTTTAAAGGATGGAAGTACCCTAAAAAATTAACAGTAAATAACATTATGAAGTGGAATTACAGGGGGATTTTTCTGTTTTTAATATTTACCATAATTTGTATTACAAAAATATTCCATTTTTAAACAAAAATGAATAAGAAATTCCAAATTTTATGTATTTTTTCTTTTTCTTTTTTTTTTTTTTTTTTGAGACAAAGTCTCACTCTGTCACCCAAGCTGGAGTGCAGTGGGGCAATCTGGGCTCACTGCAGCCTCCGCCTCCCAAGTACAAGCGATTCTCGTGCCTTAGCCTCCTGAGTAGCTGAGACTACAGGTGACCACCACCACACCCATCTAATTTTTGGGTTTTCTTAGTAGAGTTGGGGTTTTGCCATATTGGCCAGGCTGGTCTCGAATTCCTGGCCTCAAGTGATCTGCCCCCTCGGCCTCCCAAAATGCTGGGGTTACAGGCTTAAGCCACCACACTAGGCCTAAAATTGTAATATTTTTTAAAAAGCCATCTGACTGGCATCTTTATTCCTAACTGCTCTTCCAATGAAATCGCTGCTCTGCATAAATGTTTACATTATCCATAAGCAGTGTAAAATAGGGGATTTTTTTTAGAGCTTGTGAATACAGTTGTGACTTAAAAGAAAGCACATATCTGATACTGATCCAGTCTATAGCTGAGTTTTAACAGTTTTGAGAAACAATATCTACCAACAAAACATCTATAGTTCCAAGATATTTGAAATTCTTAGCAAAGAGACTATGCATGCAATAGAAAAAAATAATCAAGGGTTTTTTTTTTTCATTTTTAAAGGTTAATGTTGAGTAAAAGTCAGCAGATGATACAATAAATGACAATATTTTGTAGATAAGAGAATGACTGATTTTAATATTAGGCATTTCAACCAGTTTGGACACAGCAACTCATTTGCCCACTTACATTTCCTAGCTACCCAAGGAGGTCATTTACAAGATCAAAGGATCTGAGTTTCATTAGATTGATCAAAAGATGCCGTATATGTACGTTCTTTCACAGACAGCCATTAGCGTGAATGAAAAGAACATGCTTATGCCAAATAAATATATTTTCTTGGTTAGTCTGATAGAACTAACATGAAAGTAGTACAATATTTTTACTTATACTAAAATTTTACTGACACCACAAAAAGACATGCAGAATATTTTTTTCATACACAAAGGAGTACTTCTAACACAGTGTATATTAGCCTAGATACAATGTAATTCTATGAAATCGAATCAGCCAGCCAACCAAGTGAACTTTTAACGTAAATACTCTTAAGTCTAGAAGTGTGAAAGCTTTTTATGTTCCAAACATTTATTTACCCCCTCAAATGCAATAGTTTGTAAAAACAGCACTGTCTGCTGTGTAAATAATGTGTATAGTCTTTGAAAGTTCATAGTTACGTAATTATCCTTTAAAGCAATCTCAGGTTTTGTCATGGTAGGCTAACAAAGGAGTTTGTATGAAAAATATAAGAAATGTTCATTTAAAACCGTTTATTTATAACAAGTTCTCCAAGAGCAGAAATACTGAGTGGAATATTTTTTTCTGGAAGATACAGGACTCTATGTTTGAATTCATTTTGAATTATAAACAATTTAGTTGTATAAACAAATTCTTTGTTGATGATTTTCCTCTATTTAGTAAATTAATTTGTGGATGTAACCCAGTCACAATATAATTTTCATAAGCAATATTTTCAGCAACTATGTCTACCAAATAGCCAAAGTGTCCATCTATTATTCTGATTAAATAATGAAAAAAGCAGCCAATTTGATTTTTATAAAATAGGTTAAACATGTATTTGATTTTAAAAGCAAAAGCAAGAGGGTGATTGAGTACATTTCCACTGTCAACTTCTCTGACATTGGTTAACTCTATCTAATCGTTTCAAGATAAAGTTGTTACTTAGGTTGGGTGTATTTAAAGGTATTGTGGAAGAGTAGATGCACACAATAAATGTAAGGTTAGTCAATTACAACAAAGCATATAGCCGAAGAAGCAAGAGAACACCAAGAGAGCACATGCACCGTTTCATTTAAGTCTTTCAACAATGTAGATAAGTCTTACTATTCTGTACTTCGAAGGAGGAAACCAGCATATGAAAAATGGAATAATCTTTCCAAAGTCACAAACGTGATAAATGTTAGATTCAATTTTAAAACCACGATCCCAAACCTCTTCATGCTGCCTCCACAAAGCTCAAAGCAGTAGGTAATGTAGATGTTTTTGACAATATGAATTTATCTTTATATTTATTTGACTGTTACATATGAATAATTATATTTACAAACTAGTACAAGTAGGTGGAGCCCAAGTTTCCTTGGTTAAAAAGCAACAGGGCTCAGACTGGAGTTGAAAATATGAAAATATTAGCCTACTTCTTCCATGCACTTGGCTAATAATCTTTTAAATTCTGTACAGTGACGGAAAAATAACAAAATATTAAGAGAATGAAACCCTCTTTCCAGGGTCAGGTAGTTTATTCAAATTCAGAGTACCCTGGAGAGAATTGCTTTGCCTATCTCAGACTCAGTTTCCTAAACAGGAAAGGATGCTAGATAATGAATATTTTATTGCTATCTCTGTTTTTGCTAAGGAGATAATAAAAGGAAAATTGAATTAATTTAGACATTCAGGAGAAATTACGACATTTTAAATAAAATCTCTTCCTCTCAAGAGTTAAAAAATAAATAAAAATAGCTATTATGTTGCTCCAAAGTTACCATAACTTGATAGAAGAAAAGGAAAGAAGGTACAATGACTGGCTTAACCTACCTGATTCTCTCCTGGGATTTAACAGCTCTTCTGGGATTCTAATCAGTTGCTTCTTTCCCCCTAATATTAATACCCTAGTGGCATGAAAGAGTTACTGCATCTTCTTACAGGGAACAATTTTTCCATCAACCTGATTACTCCTAGTACATTGCTTTGTTTTGAACTCTTTGAATGAAGCATGGTATTCTATAGTATTCTAGCTTCCTATTGGTTGTGCTACCCTGCCTAGTTTTTATTAAGCAATGCAATCTCGACTTTTTTCTATCAATAAGAAATCACAGACCGGAGAAACTTACTTGCTAATTTACACTAATGATGATGAGGACTATTGAAAATTATCACATTTTGTGGATTAGAAGGTAAATGAACATGATAAAAATTAAAGATATTGCCCAACTAAATATACATTTTCTCAACAATTGCTTGGTTGGAATTATTTACATAAACATCCTTTGATCTAAACTGTACCAAGATAGTCAAATATCACCAAGTGTTAGTATGTAACACTTTCAACCATTTAATCTTTTCTAAGCAATGGGGTGAGACACTCCAATTTTTCTGAGAAAAAAAAAAAACAGTCTCCACATTTCTTTTCTCCAGCAGAGCAAAAACAAGAGGAAAGAGGCTTAAATTCTATTAACAAGGAAAAACTCATTTTAAATGGTTGTTAAATGCTGGAATAAGGATAAAGGTAAAAAATAAAAGAACAGAGATAGGTTTTAAGTAGAGAATAGACTTTCTGTTTCCTGGAAGGATTCAGTTACCATTCAAAGACATCAATTCCTACATATCTAAAAAGCCTTAGTCTACATTAACACATTAAAAGATGGGCCTTACCTATCTCTTCAATTTATAGGCAAGGAAAAAGACACAGCAGGATGAAATGGCTGCTCAACACCATACCATGAATTTGGGAATCACCAAAATTAGAATTTCAGGAGTCAGACCTATATTTTTCCACCTTGGAAAACATACTTTTCACTATCATCGTTGTCTAACTAACTAAGTAAATAAATGGCGCTTGTGGTTTGGGGAACATGGGTAGCAGAGCGGATGAAAACTCAAATCACAATGCTGTACCACTCCAAAAAATATTGGAGCTATGTTTTTGTTTTCACTCTCTTCTCTTTACGTAAATCTTATGTCGCTCTAAGACTCTTTACTCTTCAGGGACCTGATTATACAGCCACTGGCATAGCTTGCTTGGATTTGTAAGTTGTACTAAAGAAAAAGGACTTTGAGCTCCAAATGTAAAGACATATGAAAGAAGCACAAGTTTCCAATTTGTACAACATCAAGTATTGAAATTATTAATGACTTTTAAACCTAAGACCAAGGAGTTAATTTTGTCTCCAATTTGATAAACAGGTTTCTCAAAGAATTAGCAATCACATTCACCTAATATAAATTTGAATTCCCGCTATTATTTGGAATAAAGATAATTGAAGCTGTTATCAAAGGATTCACCCAAAAAGGATTTTTTTTTTTTGAGGCAGAGTCTCGCTCTGTCGCCTAGGCTGGAGTGCAGTGGCGCGATCTTGGCTCACTGCAAGCTCCACCTCCCGGGTTCACGCCACTCTCCTGCCTCAGCCTCAGCCTCCCGAGTAGCTGGGACTACAGGCGCACGCCGCCACGCCTGGCTAATTTTTTGTATTTTTAGTAGAGACGGGATTTCGCCGTCTTAGACAGGATGGTCTTGATCTCCTGACCTTGTGATCCATCCACCTCGGCCTCCCAAAGTGCTGGGATTACAAGCGTGAGCCACCGCGCCCGGCCAGGACTTTTTAAGTAAGTGTTACAGTAAGTTTAGCGTATAGCTGCCTCCTTTCCTATGTTAAGTCCAGCCTGAAGGTTTCACACAGTGAACTGTAACCTAATTGGATGTGTAAACCGTCTGTAATCTATTCTGGTAACAAGTAGCTGAGTCCCAACCAATCACAGCAGTCATACTTCAACCACTGACAGGCGGCCAACTGTTCAAATTCTATTTAAATAAGGCAAATGCGAAGCTGTAACCAATCCAGCTGTTTCTGTGCCTCACTTCTGTTTTCTGGTCATCACTTTCCTTTTCCTGTCCCTAAGTCCTTCTCAACTATGCAACAGTACTAGAGTTGCTCTGAACCCATCTAGTTCAGCAGGCTGCCCGATTCAGGAATCATTCTTTGCTCATTTTAACTCTGTTAAACTTAATTTGTCTTAAGTTTTTCTTTTAACATAAGTAAAATTCACAGCAATAAAAATGGGAAAATATATAATGGAGAAATAAAATCTAACAACATGCACTTATTTTATGGCAAACTCTAGACAGAGAAACTTAAAGGTATTTTAAGGTGGAAAAGAACAATAATAATCACAGTAGTAATAATAATAATAGCAAGGTAAGAAAATAGTGCCTTCACTTAAAAAGAAAGACATTAACAGGAAGTAAATTGGCTAAAAGGTTTATATATACATCAATTCATATATGTATACACACATATGTATGCATGTAGATATATGGGTATACATATATATGTAGACTATATATGTATACATACATATATTATACATAAATACACATGGTTTATGTGTATGTATGCATACAGACTAAATAGTTAAATAAATCCTCTTCATTCTAATTCTCATCACATGTCAATCCTTTCTCACTAAATCCTAAATTTTACATTTTTAAGACTCTATTAGCCAACAAAGTTCCTAACCACCCTATATGACTTTTAGTTACTTAATCTTCGCCTGCATAAAACATTATTTATAAAAATTATATAAGGATCGCAATTTGAACATAAAAGAATATTGAAAAATCTAATCTTCTGGCCATTAACAAACAAAAAGCCCTGCAGCGATATTGCTCAGTAAATCCTTAAAAGTAAAAAAACAAAACAAAACAAAACAAAATACCACTGCTTTGCCACTTCTCTCATTTTGCAATTCATGATAACTGCAAAGGGAAATAATTTTTCCTTCACTGTTTATGCTTTACACCCACCAATGTTAATGAAAATGACACTTGAGAACAAATGCCAAATTGGTCTTTAGTGTTGCTGGAGCCCCCAATGTGGCTAGCTGAAAATATGCATAGCTGATGACATGGCAAATAAGTCTCATTGGGGGTAATTCCACAGCTGAATAACAACAGATTTGCATTAGCAAATTCTAATTACACTGACTAATTTCCTTATCATCCCCTATGGCAATACAGACCTTTTTCAAGTTCACAGGAATCAAGAGATGAACTAGTTAACCTTTTAAGGGTGTGTACCTTAGTTTTTGGGGTTTTTTCCATATAACACTTTATTGAGATGCCCATCATATAATGTATTTGCTTTTGAATCACATTATATTATTTCCATAATAAAGAGCATTTGGAATTACACAATCCAGAATCTCCAGTATTTAAGAATGCTATTACCTATGGATCTCCCTAGTTCCAACATGTGGCTAAAATAAATATATTCTCAAAGGATAATTATGACTTCTCAGATACAGACAAGTGCATAATGGAATATTGTATTACATACATGTAGGCAAAAATTTATATTTCATTAATTGAGATCCAAATGTTCGTAAATCATTCCAAATACTTTGTTATAAATTCACACACACATTTATTTTATATAAAGGCCAATGCTTTCTTTTTTCCTGTCTAGGATACAGAAAAATTATGTGGGCTAAATATCAGAAACATTTTTATAACTGATCATGAAGTTTTTAGCAGGCCAAACACAATATAAACATCGTGAAAACACAGCCCAGCCTCCTGGGCTCTTATAAGCTACTTCACACTCCTTTACAACCCCACATCCTCCCTCTGCTATTCTTAATCTTTACTGTGTAAATAAGAAAACACTGCATAATGGAAGGATCATGGAATACATCTTCAACCTGTGATGCCTCAATGCCACAACTCTCTTCACTAAGGAAGACTTTCTGAAGCTGCTGGTTTCCAAATATCAGATATTTAGAGTTGAAAGAGACCTTTTAAATGTTAGTGCAATCCCTTTTCTGATTTTTTAATTTCGTCTACAACAGCTAATGACACAGAATATTCCACTTACTACGAATCCCACTGTCCAGATTCCATTTCTGGACAGTTCTGACTTTCACTCTTTTTCTCAAATTTTGAAATTAAAATCTCTAAATGTTTTATCCATTGGCCTTAAAGATAACTCTTTAATAAAAGGTGAAAAGGCATACAGATTTTTTAGAACACTTTAAGTGCTAAAGAAGCCAACAACCCAGAAAGCCAGTTAACAGGTTAAAAAAAAAAACAAGAACAGCCAACTTTTTGTAGCCAAAGGATCAAAAACAATGGCAGCCTAACAAAACAGAAGACTTACTACAACCAACCAAAGAGAGAAAACTATGGCACACCCCAGACCTGCCAGCAAAAGCCAAGAAAGGAACATAGACTTCCACTCTTATCCAGCTATAACAAGGCACCCCTCCCGCTGGGGGGTGGGAGGTTAATCAGAGAAGTTGGAGTTGGGGAGCAGGACTTTCATCCCACCTGACAGTAACTCCCACCCACATGATGTCAGTGGAAGACACATGTGGGCAGTAAACAGCCTCCCCTTCCCTCCCAACCAGAGTGGTGTCAATGCAGCCAGCAAGGAGGTTTGATTCCCACCTATATCCACCAACAGAGAGACACTCTACCCCTACTCTAGGGTTTCAGTGGAGGCTGAGGGGAGACTTGCACTTCTACCTTCCAGAGATAGTAATGAGGCTGCAGCCATGTTTGCCCAGAGCTGCAGTGTCAGAAAAGACCTACTACATCATAAGATTTAAATCAAATCCACAGTGTCACTACATCATGCCAAAAATATGCAGGATACAATAAAAAATCTCCCATCATACCAAGAATCAGGAAAATCACAACTTGAATGAGAAAATACTATCAACAACACCAACAGAGAGGTGACACAAAGGGTAAAGTTATCTAACAAAGATTTTTAAAGCAGCCATCACAAAAATGCAAAGAAATAGTTCTTGGCAAAGAAATAGGAAGTATAAAATATAATGTATAAAATAGAACCAAGTGAAATCTCATAAGACAAAAAAAAAATCAAAAAATCTCAGCAACAGCCATAATATCAGAATGGAGAGGACAGAAGAAAGTATTGGTGAACTTGAAAACAGAATAATTAAAATTATCCAAATTAAGGAATGGAGAGAAAATAGACTGAAAAAAAGTTAAACAGGGTTTCAAATGGTACTATAACAAAAGATTTAACAGTTGTGCCATTGAAGTCCCAGAAGCAGAGGAGAAAAAAGGTAGGCCTGCAAAAATAATGAACGAAACAATATTATAGTTGAAAACTTCTCAAATTTGGCAAAAGATATAAACCCACGTATTTAAAAAGCTAAACAAAATCACAAACGAGATAAACCCAAAGTAATTTACGCCAACACATATCATACTTAAGCTTTTAACAACCAAAAGACAAAACAGTTAAGAACATCTACAATGTTAAAATAAGGGAACTCCAAGTCTGAAACCAGCAAAGTATGATCTTGCAGCTTAGTTGAATCATAAATATTTAGATGGGGAGCAAAGAACTAAAATTAAGTGACTGATAGTGTAAAGAAATTGTAGGGTTAGGGAGATTCTGAGGATGGCTAATGGCTGAGGTGGGGAAGGCTGGAAACGTCATAGAGGATATAGAGGATATATAACTGGTTCTGCAAATATTAGTTGTAACATGAGCTTCGTTTCCTAAACTCTTAAAGAGTTGTGCTAGAAAATTTCAAAGATCTCTTCTATAATAATACTAAGATTCTAAGTTCTGCTCACACAAGACTGAAAGTATCCCATAGTAAAATGAGCTGCAGATTTTGTGAGTATAAAAGCATGCATTGGAGTTGAGGAGGTAAGGTTCAGTTGCAGCCTACAAAAGGAAAGGTTATAAAAAGTATTGCTGGGTTACAATAACCAGTACATCTGCTTGTCTTTTTATCTGTAGTCTCCATCCCAATATCAGATCTATGCTGATCTAGTCTCTAGCAGTGAGTTCTGGGATGAATGGAACCAGCTTGAACTGGCTCTCAAGAGCCACTTGTTAAATATCCAGAAAAAAACATTTTGCAAGCCAGTTGTTCAATTATCGGTAGCATACAGCCATGGTGGGAGTATTTACACCACAGAAATGGGCAAGTACTACAAAACAGAGCATTTTATTCCAAGAGCAGTTTACTAGCATACCACTGAATGGCAATTCTTCTTCCACAGGCTATAGATTTATTCTTATTTTGGCCCCTGCCTACCTCTCCAACCTCATATCTCACCATCAAACTCCGTCCATTCCCCCACATTAAATTCTCTCAGCAATACTTAAAAGATGCAGGCCCAGAAGGACCTTATGCTCCCTCTAAGCTCTGTGCTTTTGTACATGTTGTTCCCTTTACCACCACCACCATCACTACATCCACCATCAGCACTAACCCCCAAATCTACCTTCGACTCTACTTTTGCCTACATAATTCCTTCTTGTGCTTAGATACCATCACATCCAGGAAACTTTTCCTGCCACGGTTGACTGGATTAGGTACCCTCTGTGTTCTCCCATAGGGCTCTATAGTATCTTTCTATAACACATATCACATGGTGTTGAAATTCCTTGTTTACTTCTCTGTGTTTCTAGCTAAAGAAAAAACCCCTTGAAAACAGGGAGCGCCTGATTTAGTATTGCATCCCCAACTTATATACAGTGGAGGGCACATAGTGATTGCTGAAAAATTGTTGCTGAATAAAAACTTTATTAACAAATTCCAGACCAGTATTTGCTGTTCAGTTTCATTATCACCCATGAAAAACATTTCCAATTATGTAAGTGGAATGGGTTAGAAAATATGATTTGCTTTTGGAAAGTCAGTTGAAATTCAACTTCATTAACGTAAATATATTTCATAAAGTGAAAAATGGCTCTATATATGCTCACATATCTACATATATACTTAGTGCATGTTTATCTACTTATAGATAACTCTGCTTATCTTCAAATAATTTTTAAACAATGCTTATCATCATTAACATTATAATTATTGGTGCTTTAGTTAATTTGCATTTCCATGACACCAAACACCACGGTGCTGAGTGCTGTGCATATAAGAACATTCTAATTGCTTTCCATCTAACTAACAAGATATTTGTTTAGTGCTCATCAAGACTCTCCCTGGGCACATACATGATGTTAAAAAGGAAAAAAAGAAAAAACAATGAAAAACAACACTTTCCTAGAGGAATTAAATCTTTCAATCTGATTCAGCTCTGCGTATACCAAAACTTCATTATTCCCAGAAACAAAATAGAGAAGAATCCAACTTTCCAATGCTCCCTAATGGCCAGGGAACATTCTTAATGTTTTGTTTCCTGAAAATGCAAACACAAAGATCTTAGAATAAAATTTGTTTTGTGTCAGATGGATTTTCAGTGTTTCTTTCTCTCTTTTTTTTTATTTGTTACTGATTAGCATATTTTACTCTCATTTTTGTTGAGACCTTAAAATACTCCTTTTTCATCTCCCTTGAAGACATTTTTCCCAGGAGATTTATTGATTTTGTGCCATAGCTAATTGAAAGGGGTTTTGATAACCTAAGAGTCACTGAGACTGCACTCAGCTTTGGCAATCACAAAGTACCTCAAAAATGTACTTATCGCTTATGATCAACAGACCTCACTTTGCTTCATGCTGGCATTGTTTGCGATGTGGAAGTCAAAAGGTCATTCAAAATGGCACCTGTGGTTAATGAATTATGACCCATGAATGGAAATTAACAATAACCATCCAATAATCATGCACCAGTAAAATCACCATGGAATTTTTCTAACATAAAGGGCATGGGAATGGTTGCCCTAGTCAATTATAATGTATCAGGATTAGATGCATCTTAAGATAAGAATCTTGAGTCTAAATTGAGCACTTTAATATGTTAACCTTAATAGATGCTTATTATAACTGCATTAAACACCAGCTACTTGAACTGGCTAGCATCCCACCAAGCACTTTACATATGGTTCTTTTTTAATTCTTACAACAAAATGAGGTAGAAACCACCATTTTTCAGATTTTAGAACTACTCTTGACCAAGGTCACACAATTAGCAAGTAGCAAAATCAAGATTTTAAGTAGGTTTTCCTAACTGCAAAGCCTGTGCTTTTTCGATTACCCTGCAGTGCTTAATCTGGGATAAAAGTTATCTTTTAATGTATAATAGGATAACATTAAAAAATGCTGAATTGTTTAAACTCCCCAAACTCTCAAAAAGAGATGTAAGTCCACTATTGATGTTGTTATGAATTTTACCCATGTATGCTGTTCTATCTCCCTTTCTACATATTCAACTTCAACCCACATCCTCCCTAACACTAGTTAAACCAGAAATGAATGCATTTGGAATCTACTATTTTTCTTTCCCTAAACAAAACAAAAAAAAAGATGACATTTTGGGCTGGATGACTAAAAAATTTATTTTAAAGAAAACTGAAACTAAAAAAATATACAAAATATTTTTTATATTCTGATATCCTAGCTTTCTCATGTACAAGAACAGTTAGTTGGCATACCGGCCTGCTTCATGCCCACATTTACAGACTGTCATCCCTGGTAAAAAAATTTTTAATCATGAAAACAGACGAATTGTCTGTTAGCATAAGTGACAGTAAGACGTCAGCATTTTTTTTCTTTTATTGACACAGCTATAAACTCTTTTTTCTTAGAGGGTTCATTGGAAAAAGTAAAAAGAAGCCAGAGTTAAATGCCCACTAACATGTAAACCAAAAGTACATTCATAAAATACGACAGCATAAACTGGCTCCTTAAATTTTTTTATACAGGAGAATCTGATTGGATGGAGCGACTGGGAAACTTGACTTAAAACTTGACTGAATAGCAAGTAGACTGAGAATTACGTACTGGGGGTTGTTAAAGCCCCAGGAACTTGATTATAGCTACTGAAGAAATTTCAAAGTAAAAACAAAGTTTCCTCTCTTCCAAAATTCTAATGATGGGTTTTCTGGTTTTGCGTGTAAGGAGCTTGGAAACGACCACTCCATCCAAACAAGTAAAAAGTTAAATAGATTGAAAAAACAACTCTTTTTGTGTATGTAAGAGCAGTAAGGTCACTAGATTAAACTGCTGATCCCAAAACTGGAGAAACAGACAGGCTAAAAGAGGGAGTCACAAGTTTCTGGAGCAGAGAATGACAAGTGGAAACTGTGGAAAGGCAGGAAAACCTGAACTGTAATTGACAAGTTGCTGGAGACTCAGTGCAGACAAGTCTGAGGGTTAAAAACTCCAGAGAGACACCATCAATGGGCACCCCCTACAACACACACACACACACACACACACACACACAATATTGTCAGATTCACCTCTAAGAGTTCCCAGATTTCTAAGTAAATATCACAGAAAAATCCCCTCTTGCTCTTCGCCGGGGTGGGGGAAATTGAACCATTCTGAAATAAGCCAGAGCACTCTGTTCTTCTTAACAAAGCCTGCCCTCAGGGGAAACTAGTTAACCAGACACTAACTTGCTGGGGTATTATCAGAGCCTAGCTGACCTGGGGAAAAACAAATCTCTAACTCCAACACACTCTAGCCTTCTATGTGAAGGAAGAGAAACACCCAACTCCTCCAGCCCACTCTAACCATCCTATCCAACCTAAGGGAGGAGGAAAAAACCTGAGAAACATTTGTGAAGTTCACAGGCCAGAAGCACAGGCTCACTAAAAGACTGAGACATATTCATGGAATTATAGAATGCTTCCCTTCCCCACACACCTTGCCACCACATTATTAAAGGCCTATTTATAGCAGTTTTTCTACCCAGTACATGATGTCCAACTATCAAAAATAAAAAAATTATAGGGCACACCAAAAGGTAAAAAACACAATTCAAAGAGACAGAGCAAGTACCAAAGCCAGACATGACTGGGATATTGGAATTATCAGACCAGTAATCTAAAACAACATCAATGAATATGTAAAAGTTCTAACGGATAGACGGCTTGCAAAAACTGATGGACAATGTAAGTAGAGAAACAGAACTCCTAAGAAGAAACAAAAAGAAATGCTATAGATCAAAAACACTGTGACAGAATTAAAGTATGCCTTTGGCAGGCTTATCAAATAGATACAACTAAGGAAAGAATCTCTGAGTTTGAGGATATATGAACAGAAACTTTTAAAATTGAAAAGCAAAGAGAAAAAAAGTGAAAAAAAACCAGACTATCCCAGGACTATGGGACGATAATAAAAGATGTAACGTACTCATAATGGGAATACAGAAGAAGAAACAGAGAAAAGAACATAAGAAATATTTGAAACAATAATGTTTGAGAATTTCCTCCAAATTAATGTCAGACATAAAACCACAGATTCAGGAAGATCAGAGAACACTAGGCAGGCTAAATGCCAAAAAACAAGCAAACAAACCAAAAAACAAACTACACCTAGGTAAATCATTTTCAAATTACAGAAAATCAAAGATAAAGAAAAAAACCCTGAAAGAAGCCACAGGAAAAAAGCACCTTACCTGTAAAAGGAACAAAAAGAAAACTTGTATTCAGCTTTTCCTCAGACACTGTGCAAGCATGGAAAAATTTGAGTGAAATATTTAAAGTGTTGAGAGAAAAAACACCAGCCTAGAATTTTGTATCCTTTGAAATTATCCTTTAAAAGTGAAGGATAAAAGAAGACTTTCTCAGACAACCAAAAATGAGGAAATTTGTTGCCAGTACATCTGCCTTGCAAAAAATGTTAAGTTCTTCAGAGGGAAGGAAAATGATATGTCAGAAACTCAGATCTACATATAGAATAGAAGAGCATTGAGGAAGGAATAAGTAATGTAAAATAAACATGTTATTTTCTTAGTCTAACAAATGTTTGTTCAAAATAACAATAGCAACAATGTGTCTAATTATGTACACTTTTTATATATATACTTATGCATGCTAATATATGTGAACTGAATGACTACAATGAATCTGGGAATCAAATGGAGGAATTAGGATTATTTTGTTACTATAAAGTACTCACACTATCTATAAAGCACTATGGTGTTATTTGAAAGTGGATGTGGATTAGTTGTCAATGTATATTGAAACTGGATGTGGATTTGTTGTCAATGTATATGGAAAACTCTAGGGCAACCACTAAAAACAAAGTTTAAAAAGAAGTATTAACTAATATGCTAAGGAAGGAGAGAAAATGAAGTCATATAAAATTCTCAATTAAAACTATAGAAGGCAGAAAAAGAATGGAAGGCAAAGAAGGAACAAATAACAAGGGCAACAAATAGAAAACAATAACAGATATGTAGATATTAATCCAACTATATCAATAATCACTTTAACATCAATGGTTTAAGAGACAGATGTTGTCAGAGTGGACAAAAAAAAAAAAGGCCCAACTCTATGTTGTCTGGAAGAAACCCACTTTGAATATAAAGACACATATAGATTAAAAGTAAGAGGATGAAGAAAAATATACATGTAACACTAATCAAAAGAAATCAGGAGTGGCTGTATTAATTTAAGACAGAGCAAACTTCAAAGCAAGGACAATTATCATGGATAAAGAGCAGTACACAATGATCAAGGGGTCATTCTGCAAGAAAATATAACAATCTTTAATAGGTATGTGCCTAACAACACAGCATCAAACCACATGAGGCAAAAAATGATGAAAATGCAAGGAAAGGAAAAATAAATGAATCCACTATTATAGTTGGAAACTTCAACATTCCTCTATTTGAAGTGGACAGATCCAGCAGACAAAAAAATTATTAAGGACATAGTAGAACTCAACACCATCATCAATTAACTGATGTAATCAACATTTATAGACGACTTCATTTAACAATAGCAAAATACACATTCCTTTGAAGCTCACATGAAACATACACAAATATAAAGCACATTCTGCACCAGGAAACATATCTTAACAAATGTAAAGGAACAGAAATCATGAAATGTCTGCTCTCAGACCACGGTAAAATTAAATTAGAAATCAATAACAGAAAGATAACAGGAAAATAAAAAATGTGTGGAAATTAACATACTCCTCTTTTATTTATTTATTTATTATTTATTTACTTTTGAGACAGGATCTCACTCAGTGGCCCAGGCTGGAGTGCAGTGGTGCAATCATGGCTCATTGCAGCCTTGACCTTCTGGGCTCAGGCAATTCTCTCACCTCAGCCTCCCAAGTAGTTGGAACTACTGGTGCACACCACCATGCCCAGCCAATTTTTTTGTGTTTTTTGTACAGACAGGGTTTTACCATGTTGCCTAGGCTGGTCCTGAACTCCTGAGTTCAAGCAATCCTTCTGCCTTGGCCTACCAAATTGCTGGGATTACAGGTGTGTGCTACTATGCCTGAGCTACCATAGTTTTTAATAACACATAGGTCACAGATGAAATCTCAAGAAAAATCTAAAAACATTTGGAACTAAATAAAAATGAAAACACAACAAAATTTTTAAGATGCAATGAAAGTAGTGCATAGAGGGAAGTTTATAGCATTCAATGCATATAGTAAAAAGCAAGAAAAATAGAAAATAAATAATCTAAGTTTTCACCCTATGAAATTAGGAAAAGAAGAGCAAATTAGATCTAAAGTGGGAGAAAATAAACAATAAGAATGAGAGCAGAAATCAATGAACTGAAAAGAGGAAATCCATAAAGAAGCTCAACAAAACCAAAAGCTAGTTCTTTGAAAAGATCAATAAGATCAATATGACTCTTGCCAGGTTAACTAAGAAACAAAAAGAGAGAACACAAATTACTAATATCAGAAATAAAAGAGGGGACATGACAACAGATCCTCTGGACATTAAAAGGATAATAAGGGAATTCTTTTTCTTTTTTTTTTTTCTGAGTCTCGCTCTGTCACCCAGGCTGGAGTGCAGTGGCGTGATCTTGGCTCACTGTAACCTCCACCTCTCGAGTTCACGCCAGTCTCCTGCCTCAGCCTCCCGAGTAGCTGGGACTACAGGCGCCCGCCACCATGCCTGGCTAATTTTTTGTATTTTTAGTGGAGACAGGGTTTCACCATGTTGGCCAGGATGGTCTCAATCTCCTGACCTCGTGATCCGCCCACCTCAGCTTCCCAAAGTGCTGGGATTACAGGCGTGAGCCAACGCGCCTGGCAATAATAAGGGAATTCTACGAACAACTGTATGCTCATAAATTTGTAATCTAGATTGAGCCAATGAACCAATTCCTTAAAAGACACAATTTGACAAAACTCACTCAAGAAAAAGACGATCTGAATAGACTTTTATTTATTAAAGAAATTGAACCAATAATTAATAACCTTCCAGAGCAAAAAGACCAAGCCCTGATTAGTTCACTGGTGAATTCTGTGGAATATTAAGGAAAAAAATTGTATGAATTCTCTACAATCTCTTTCAGAGGATTGAAGCAAAAATAATATTTCTTAACTTGTTCTATGAGACCAGCATTACCCTAACACCAAAACCAGACAACAACATTATAAAAGAAAACCACAGGCCAATATATCTGGTGAACATGGATGCAAAAATCCTCAATAAAATACTAACAAACTGAATTTAAGAACACATCAAAAAGATTATACTCCACAACCAAGTGGGATTTATCCCTAAGGTGCAAGTTTGGTTGAACATACACAAATTAATCAAAGTGATACATTGCATTAACATAATGAAACATAAAAAACCCCTTGATTATCTTTATAGGTATAGAAAGCATTTGACAAAGTTGAACACCCATATGTAACAAAAACTCTAAATAAAATATATATGGAAGGAAACTTCTGCAACACAATAAAGGCTATTTATGAAAAGGCCAGAGATGTCATAATCAGTGAGGAAAAACTTAAAAGCTTTTCCTCCAAGATCTGGTAAAAGGCAAGGATGCCTACTATTACCACTTCTAGTCAACATAGTAATGGATTGCAAGAGCAATCAGTGTAGAAAGATAATCCAAATCAGAAAGGAAGAAGTAAAATTACCCATTTGCAAATGATCTTATACGTAGAAAATGCTAAAGACTCTACAAAAAAAATAAAAATCTATAGAAACTAATAAACAAATTCAGTAAAGTGGCAAAATGCAAAATCAATATACAAAAATTAGTTGCTTTTCTTTACACTAATAATGATCTAATCAAAAAAGAAATCCAGAAAACAATCCCACTTAAAATACATCAAAAATAAAATGTTTCAAGATAAATTAAATCAAAGAAGTGAAATATCTGTACACTGAAAACTATAAAACCTTGATAAAAGAAATTAAGGAAGGCACAAGTAAATGGAAATATATCCCAGGTTTATGGATTAGAAGAATGAATCTTGTTAAAATGTCCATATAACCCAAAGCAATATACAAATAAAACATAATCTCTATCAAAATTCCAATGGTATTTTTTCACAAAAATAGAAAAAAATTCTAAAATTCATATGAACTGTAAAATACCTTTTTTAGTCAAAATAATCTTGAGAAAGAACTAAGTTAGAATCATTACACTTTCTCATTTCAAATTATATAACAAAGCTTTAAGTAAGCAAAACAATATAGAAACAGACACTTAGATCAATGAAACAGAAAAGAGAGCTAAAAAAACCCAACCATATGGGTTGATGTATCAGCAAATCACCAAGGCACACGTTTACCAAGGTAACACAAACCTGCACATCCTGCACATCTACCCCAGAACTTAAAAGTTGAAGGATAAATATTTTTTTTAATGGGCAAAAATCTGAATGGACATTTCTCTAAAGAAGGCCAAAGGGTATATAAAAAAGTCATCAACATCACTAATCATCAGGGAAATGCAAATCAAAACCACAATGAGATATCATCTCTTACCTATTAGAATGGCAATTATCAAAAAAAAAAAAAAAAAAGAATGGCGATTATCAAAAAGTCAA
This sequence comes from Homo sapiens, assembly GCF_000001405.40. NCBI lineage: Eukaryota > Metazoa > Chordata > Mammalia > Primates > Hominidae > Homo > Homo sapiens. The sequence goes on along the minus strand of NC_000008.11, from coordinate 90,104,390 downwards.
ATGATAAGTATTGGTAAGGATGTGAACAAAGGCACACCTTTGTAAACTGGATGGTGAGAATGTGAATTGGCACAGACATTATGGAAAACAGTATGGAATTTTTTCAAAAAACTAAAAATAGAACTACTCCCATGATCCAGCAATCCCTGTTCTGGGTATATATCCAAAGAAATTGAAACTGGGATCTGAAAGAGACATCTGCACTCCCATGTTCATTGCAGCATTATTCACAGTAGCCAAGGTATGGAAACAACCTAAGTGTCCTTCAATGGATGAATGAATAAAGAAAAAGTGACTATTTTTCAGACATAAAAAAGAATGAAATCCCATCATGTGCAGCAACGTGGATGAAACTGGAAGACATTATGCTAAGTGAAATAAATCAGGCACAGAGAGACAAAAAACAAAACAAAACATATATGGTTAGCTAATTTTCAACAAGGGCACCACACATACACGATGGGGAAAGGATAATCTTTCAAAGAATGATGTTGGCTACAGTGGATAGCCACATGCAAAAGAATGAATTTGAACCTTTATTTTATACCATACACAAAAAATTAACTCAAAATGAATTTAAAACTTAAACATAAGACCGAAAACTGTAAGATTTCCAGAAGAAAGCATAGGAATAAAGCTTCCAGACATTGGTCCAGTGATGATTTTTTAGATATCACAAAAAACCCTCAGGCCACAGAAGCAAAAATAAATAAGTGGGGCTATGTCAAACTAAAAATCTTCTGCTCATCAAAGAAAAAAATCGACAAAATGAAAAGGCAACCTACATATTTGAAGAAAATATTTACAAACCATATAACCAGTAAAAGAATAATATCCAGGATAATATAAGGACCTCATACAACTCAACAAAAAATAAAAATAAATAATCCAATTAAAAAATAGACAAAGAATCTGAATAGAGAGAAGAAATACAAATGGCCCAGAGGTGTATGAGAAGATTCCCATCACCACTAATCATGAAGAAAATGCAAATCAAAACCACACTGAGATACCACCTCACACCTATTAGAATGAATATTATCAAACAGGCAAGAGATAAGTGTTAGAAAGGGTGTAAATATGTAACCAAAAGAAATGAAATTGTCATTCTGTAGAGATATTTGCACTTGCATGTTTATTGGAATATTATTCACAATAGCCAGGATATGGAAACAACCTAAATGTCCATTGATGGGTGAATGGATAAATTGCTGAATGTAATAAAATATAATATAATGTATACACACACAATGGAATATTATTCAAATTAAAAAAAAAGAAGATCCTGCCCTTTGCAACAACATGAGTGAAACTGAAAGACATTATGTTAAGTGACATAAGCCAGACACAGAAAGAAAACTACTGCATGATGTCACTTATATGTGGAAACTAAAAATGCTGAATACATAGAGTAGAGTATAATGGTGGTTATAAGTGGAAGGGGATAGGGAGATGTTGGTCAAAGGGTCCAAAGTTACAGTTATGTTGGATAAATAAGTCTAGAAATCTAATGTAAACTATGATTACTGTAATTAATAAATACTGTATTGTGTAATAAAATTTACCAAAAGAGTAAATTTCAGGTGTTCTTACCACACATATACACACAACAAGGTAATTATGTGAGAAAAATGATGTAATTTGTTTCACTGTAGTAATCATTTTAGTATATATAGGCATATCTTGTTTTATTGTATTTATTGCATGCCTCAGATCCTGCACTTCTTACTAATTAAACGTTTGTGACAACTTTGCTCCGAGCAAGTCTATTGGCACCATTTTTTCTAACAGCATGTGCTAGCTTTGTGTCTCTGTGCCACATTTTGATAACTCTTGCTATGTTTCAAACTTTATTATTACTATGTCTGTTATGGTGATCCATGATCTTTACTGTTACTATCATAATTGTTTGGGGGCACCATAAACCACACCACATGCAATGGTAAACTTCACTCTTGATCTTAGCCAAAAGGCCGAGAAGCAATTGAGATGACAAACTTAATCAATAAATGTGTGACTTCTGACTGCTCTACCAACCAGCTATTTCTCCAACTCTCTACCTCTCCTCATACTTTCATATTCACTGAGACACAAGAATACCGAGATCAGGCCAATTAAAATACCCCTATAATGGCCTCTAAGTGTTCAAGTGGAAGAAAAAGTTGCACATCTCTTACTTTAAAACATAAGCTAAAAATGGGTAAGCCTAGTGAGGAAGGCACTTCAAAAGCTGAGATAGGATGAAAGCCAGGCCTCTTGTGCCAGGTAGTCAAGTAGTGAATGCAAAGGAAAAGGCTTTGAAGAAAACTGAAAGTGGTACTCCCACGAAAAACACAAACGATGAGAAATCTAAATAGCCTTGTTTCTGGTACGGGAAAAATTTTGGTGGTCAGGATAAAAAGATCAAACTAGCCACAACATTTCCTCAAGCCAAGGCCTAATCCAGAGCAAAGCCTTCACTCTCTTCATTTCTACGAATTCTGATAGAGGTGAGGAAGCTGCAGAAGAAATGACTGAGGATAACAGAGGTTGGTTCATAAGGTTTAAGGAAAGAAGCTATCATCATAACATAAAAGTATAAGGTGAAGAAGGAAGTGCTGATATAGAAGCTGTAGAATGTTATCCAAAAGATCTGACTAAGATAATTGATAAAGGTGGCTACACTAAGCATACACTAAACACAGAATTTTTTTTTTTTTTTGAGACAGAGTCTTGCTCTGTCGCCCAGGCTGTAGTGCAGTGGCACGATCTTGGCTCACTGCAACCTCCACCTCCCTGGTTCAAGCAATTCCCCTGCCTCAGCCTCCCAAGTAGCTGGGATTACAGGTGTACACCACCAAACCTGGCTAACTTTTTTGTATTTTTAGTAGAGATGGGGTTCACCATGTTGGCCAGACTGGTCACGAACTCCTGACCTCAGGCAATCCGCCCACCTCAGCCTCCCAAAGTGCTGGGATTATAGGCGTAAGCCACCGTACCCAGCCAACAACAGATTTTTTTAATGTAGACAAAATGGCCTAGTATTGGGAGAAAATTCCATCTAGGACTTTCATAGCTAGAGAGAAGTCAATGACTGGCTTCAAATCTTTAAAGAACAGTCTGAATCTCTTGTTTAGGGCTAATGCATCTGGTGGCTCTAAATTGAAGTCTACATCTTTTATGATTTCAAAAATTCTAGAGCCCTTAAGAATTGCCCTAAGTCTACTCTGCCTATGCTCAATAAATGGAAAACAAAGCCGGATGACAGCACATCTGTTTACAGCATGGTTTACTGGATATTTTAAGCCCACTGTTGAGACCTACTGCTCTGAAAAAAAAAAATGATTCCTTTCAAAATTCCTGCTCATTGGCAATGCATCTGGGCTCTCAAGAGCTCTAACGGAGATGTACATGGAGATTAATTTTGTTTTCATGTCTGCTAACACAACAATTCTGTAGCCCATGGATGAAGGAGTAATTTCTAATTTCAAGTCTTATTATTTAAGAAATACATTTCATGATGCTATAGCTACCAAAGATAATAATTCCTCTGATGAATCTGGACAAAGTAAACTGAAACTTTCTGGAAAGAATTCACCATTCTAAATGCCATTAAAAACATTTGTGATTCATGGTAGAAGGTCAAAATATCCACATTAACAGGGATTTGAAAGAAGTTGATTCCAACCTCTGTGGATGACTTTGATTCAAGACTAGTGCAGGAAGTAACTGCAGACATAATGACAATAACGAGAGAACTAGAATTAGAAATGGAGCCTGGCCAGATGCAGTGGCTCACACCTGTAATCCCAGCACTTTGGGAGGCCTAGGCAAGAGGACTGCTTGAGGGCAAGAGTTCAAGACCATCTTGAGCAACATAGTGAGACCCTATCTCTACAAAAATCAAAAAATGAGGCATGCATAATGGCACATGCCTATGGTGCCAGCTGCTCAGGAGGCTGAGGCAGAAGGATTGTTTGAGCCCAGGAGGCTGAGGCTGCAGTGAGCTGTGTTCATGTAACTGCACTCCAGTCTGGGTGACAGAGTAAGATCTTGTCTCAGAAAAAAAAAAAAAAAAAATGTGACTGAATTGCTACAATCTCATGATTAAACTATAATAGATGTGGAGTTGCTTCTTATGGGTGAGCAAAGAAAGTAGTTTCTTGAGATCAGTCTACTCCTGGTAGCGATGCTGTGAACACTGTTGAAATGACAACAAAGAATTTAGAAGATTACATCAACTTAGTTGATAAAGCAGTGACAGGGTGTCAGAGGATTGCCTCCAATTTTGATAGAAGTTCTACTGTGCATAAGATGCTATCAGATAGCATCTCGTGCTATAGAGAAATCTTTTATGAAAGAAACGGTCAATAAATATGGCAAACTTAATTGTTGTCTTATTTTAAGAAATTGCCACAGCCATCCTAAACTTCAGCAACCACCACCCTGATCAGTCAGGAGCCATCAACATCAAGGCAAAACCCCTCCACTGGCAAAAAGGTGATGACTCACTGAAGGCTCAGGTGATCATTGGCATTTTTAGCAATAAAATATTTTTAAATTAAGGCAGGCACACTGGTTTTTTTTTTTTTTTGACATAGTGCTATTGCATACAAGAGACTACAGTATATTGGAAATATAATTTTATATGTGCTAGAAAAAAAATTTTGTGTGACTTGCTTTATTGTGAGATTGGCTTTATTGCTGTAGTCTGGAACTGAACTCACATCTCTGATGTATGCCTGTGTATACATATCAAAACATATTATTTACCATATATAAAATAAATATGCTTATAAAAATAACTCAGAGAGATAGAAATTATTTTTAAAAAGAAAAGGATGAAATAGAAATTTGGGGTTGAAAATTACAATAACTAAAATGAAAAATTCACTCAAGAGGCTCAACAGCAAATTTGAGATGACAGAAGGGAGAATCAATGACTTGACAATAGAACTGTAGTTATAATTCAGTCTGAATAGCAGAGAAAAAAGATTGAAGAAAAGTCAACAGAACTTCAAAGGCCTTTGGAACAACATCAACCATACTAAGCATGTGTAATTAGAGTCCAAGGTGGAGAGCAAAAAGAGAAAAAAATAGAAAAAAAAATTAATAATGACCAAAAATTCCAAAGTTTAATGAAAAATATTAATCTACATATTCAAGAAGCTCAATGAACTTTAAGCAGGATAAAGTTTCTACACCCAGATGTGTCATAGTTAAACTGATGAAAGATAAAGACAAAGAAAAAATCTTGAAAGTAGTAAAATTGCTCATCATATGCAGTTAGAAAGAAGAAAAGAAAAAAAAGGCAAAACAAACCACATATATGATCTGTGTATCTGTGTGTCACTTCAAGTGATACACAGAAAGTGTTTAACAAAATCTGACACCAATTGATAATTTCAAAACTCTTAAACTGGGAAAAGAACCTACCTAAACTGATCAAGGACAGCTATGAAAAAAAACTACAGCTAATATCACACTTAACGAGAACACCAAATGTGATGGCAGTGGCCATCACGCTGGCTGCAGTAAGGAGGCATGGCTCAGGCTGCACGCACCATGGAGCCGGTGGCAGCCCCACCCCTTCTGAGTTGGAGCTGCAGCTCTTCCCGTGCCACTGCAGCTGCCCAAACCCAGCTGCAGACCCAGGCCTCCTGCTCTATGGAGCAAGCAGAAGCCCCTTCCTCCTGGATGGGACTACAGCTGCCCAAACTGCAGCCCTCGATGGGAGCCTCCTTGTGCTCTTGGGGAAGGCCTGGAGCAGGCTGGATCTGCCTTCCCAGGTGCGGCTGCGGCCACCCTCCTAGGCGCAGGACCTGGGCGTCTCTGCACCCTGCACCCTAGAGGGCTGCAGGAAGGACCCTCCCCCGTCGCAGGTTCGGGGGTGTCTGCTCCCACTGCCTGGCCTCTCTCTGCTTCTGATGCTGGTTCTGATCTTGAAGTGGGGTTGGGGCAGTGACCCGGGGCCTTGAATTTGAATGGCAGTGGGAGGCAGAAAGAGTCCTGGGTGGAAGGGGGTAGGTCCCCAGTAAGTCTCCACCTTCAGGACAGGGAGGGCCTGAAGGCTGAGGGCCAGGTGGCCAGTCCGTCACCAGAGTGGGAACTCATGGTGCCTCTCTGGGCCCGCCCATGGCCACCCATGGGCCAATCCCCATGCACTTCCTCCCCTCTGAGGTCTATAAGAGCCCTGGGCTCAGCCAGAGCAGTGCAGAGTATGGCCAGAGGACCCAGAGAGTAGAGAGAGTTCATGGGACTGGGTGACCAGCTTCAATGAGACGTACCCTCTCTGCTGATAGCTGGAGACAATGGGACGACTAACTGCAGAGAAGAGCACCCTCTCCGCCGAGAGCTGCAGAGACGACCTGCAGGCAGAGAGGAGCTACCCTCTGCACTGAGAGCTTCACAGACCCGGAGAGACTCCCGCGGAGAGGAGCCACCTCTCCAGGACCTCCTCTCTGATGAGAGAGGAGTACCCTCTGGGACAAGAGCTGCAGAAATTACCTGCCGGCAGAGAGGATCTACCCACTCTACTGAGAGCTTCAGAGACCTCTAGAGACACCTGTGGAGAGGAGCCATCCTCTCCAGGGCCTCCTCTCTGCTGAGAGCTGCAGAGACAACCTCTCCAGGGACTCCTCAGCTGAGAGAGGAGTGCCCTCTCCGCCAAGAGCTGCAGGGACGACTTGCTGGCAGAGAGGAGCTACCCTCTCGGCTGAGAGCTTCAGAGACCTGCAGAGATGCCTGCGGAGAGGAGCCACCCTCTCCAGAACCTCCTCTCTGCTGAGAGCTGAACACTCGACGGGACGACCTGTCCACAGAGAGGAGCTACCTACTCCTCAGAGTTGTTCTGACACTAAGTAAAACTCTTCTTCTTCACTCTTCACTTGTCTGCACACCTCATTCTTCCTGGGTGCAGGACAAGAACTTGGGCAAAGGCGCAGTGGCCACAGAGGTTTCTGGCCAGAAAAATCGACACCCCAGAGATCCCGGAACATTTTCTTCCTAAGAACAAGAACAAGGCAGAGATGTCCCCACCCACGTCTTCTATTCAAATTGTTCCGGAGGAGTCTGAGGAAAACTAGGGGCAGGAAATGGAGGATAAGGAAAAGAAGAGGAAGGGGAATAAGAAGAAGGAGGAGGAGGAGGAGGCAGTAAAGGGTGGGAGGAGGAAGAGGAGGAAAAGAAGAAAAGAAATTCTGGTTTAAAATGAAGAAGTCAAAATGCCTATTGCAGGTAAAATGATCCAATATGTAGAAAATCCTAAGGAAGCCACACACACACACAAAATTACTAAGAACTTGAATGAGTTTTACAATGTCACAGAACATAAGATCAACATAAAAAATCAGTTGTACTTCTACCATACTACCAGTGAACAATCTGAATATGAAATTTAAAAATGATTTTATTTAAAATAGTATCAAATGAATTCAATATTCAGAAATAAATTTAATGAAAGAATGCAAGATTTATAGACTAAAAACTGCAAAATATTTCTGAGAGAAATTAAAGATCTAAGTAAATGAAAAGATAATTCATAATGACATATAGATTAAATATTGTTAACATGGAAATTCTCTAACAAATTGATCTACAGATTCAACACAGTCCCTGTCAAATTATAGCAGGCTTTTGTGTAGAATTGCCAACGTGACCCAAAATTTTAAGGAAATGCAAAGGACCTAACAATGTCAAAGCAATTTTTGAAAAAGAAGAAAAATAATGGAAAATGTACACTACTCAAGGTCAAAACATACAATAAAGTTAATCAGGACAGTGTAGTATCATTATAAGGATAGGCATTAACATCAATAGGACAGGAATGAGTGTCCAGAAATAAATCCTTTTATTTATAATCAATTAATTTTCAACAAATATATCAAGATGAATAAATATAAAGAGAACAATCTTTTCAACAAATGATGGTAGGAAATTTTGAGATCCATATGCAAATGAGTAATCTTAGACCCTTACCTCACATCATACACAAAAATGAACTCCAAATTGATTGTAGACGTAAATGTAAGAACTAGAATGTAAAAACTAAATGATAATTTAGAAAAAAAATTTGTGGCATGGGATTAAAATCTCTTAGATGCTACACTAAAACATAAGCCATAAAAAGAAAAAAAAAAGATAAATTTTATTAAAACAAAACTTTTGCACTTTAAAAGACACCACTGTTAACAAAATAAAAAGACTAGTAACAGACTGGGGTGAAATATTTGCACATCACATATTTGATGGAATACTTATATACATTATAAATAAAGAGCACTTAATAGTCACAGGAAGAAAAACAACCCAATTTACAAAAGAACCAAGGCTTGAATAGACATTTCACCAAAGTAGGCATCTGATTGACTAATAAGAACATGAAAAGTGCTCAAAATCATTAATCATAAGAGAAATGTTCATTAGAGCCATGATGAGATACCACTACACATCGACTACAATGGCTATACTCAAAAACACAGACAATAACAACCGCTGGTGAGAATGTGGAGAAACTAAAATTTTCAAGAATTGTTAATGGGATTTGTCAGGCCTCTGAGCCCAAGCCAAGCCATCACATCCCCTGTGACTTGCACGTATACACCCAGATGGCCTGAAGTAACTGGAGAATCACAAAAGAAGTGAAAAGGCCCTGCCCCGCCTTAACTGATGACATTCCACCATTGTGATTTGTTCCTGCCCCACCTTAACTGAGTGATTAACCCTGTGAATTTCCTTGTCCTGGCTCAGAGGCTCCCCCACTGAGCACCTTGTGACCACTGCCCCTGCCCACCAGAGAACAACCCCCTTTGGCTGTAATTTTCCATTACCTTTCCAAATCCTATAAAACGGCCCCACCCCTATCTCCCTTCGCTGACTCTCTTTTTGGACTCAGCCCACCTGCACCCAGGTGAAATAAACAGCCATGTTGCTCACACAAAGCCTGTTTGGTGGTCTCTTCACATGGACGCACATGAAATTTGGTGCCGTGACTCAGATCAGGGGACCTCCCTTGGGAGATAAATCCCCTGTCCTCCTGCTCTTTGCTCTGTGAGAAAGATCCACCTACGACCTCAGGTCCTCAGACCGACCAGCCCAAGAAACATCTCACCAATTTCAAATCTGGTAAGTGGCCTCTTTTTACTCTCTTCTCCAGCTTCCCTCACTATCCCTCAACCTCTTTCTCCTTTCAATCTTGGCGCCACACTTCAATCTCTCCCTTCTCTTAATTTCAATTCCTTTCATTTTCTGGTAGAGAGAGACAAAAGAGACACGTTTTATCCATGGACCCAAAACTCCGGTGCTGGTCACGGACTGGGAAGGCAGCCTTCCCTTGGTGTTTAATCATTGCAGAGATGCCTGATTATTCACCCACGTTTCAAAGGTGTCAGACCACGCAGGGACGCCTGCCTTGGTCCTTCACCCTTAGCAGCAAGTCCCGCTTTTCTGGGGAAGAGGCAAGTACCCCAATCCCTTCTCTCCTTGTCTCTACCCCTTCTCTGCTTTTCTGGGGGAGGGACAAGTACCCCTCAACTGCTTCTCCTTCACCCTTAGCGGCAAGTCCCGCTTTTCTAGGGGGCAAGAACCCCCAATCCCTTATTTCCACACCCCAACCTCTTATCTCTGTGCCCCAATTCCTTATTTCCATGCCCCAACCCTTTCTCTGCTTTTCTGGAGGGCAAGAAACCCCCACCCCTTCTCCGTGTCTCTACTCTTTTCTCTGGACTTGCCTCCTTCACTATGGGCAAGCTTCCACCTTCCATTCCTCCTTCTTCTCCCTTAGCCTATATTCTTAAGAACTTAAAACCTCTTCAACTCTCACCTGACCTAAAATCTGAGCATCTTATTTTCTTCTGCAATGCGCTTGACCCCAATACAAACTCGACAGTAGTTCCAAATAGCCGGAAAATGGCACTTTGAATTTTTCCATCCTACAAGATCTAAATAATCCTTGTCATAAAATGGGCAAATGGTCTGAGGTGCCTGACGTCCAGGCATTCTTTTACACATCAGTCCCTTCCTAGTCTCTGTGCCCAGTGCAACTCGTCCCAAATCTTCCTTCTTTCCCCCCTCCGCCTGTCCCCTCAGTCCCAACCCCAAGCGTTGCTGAGTCTTTCTAATCTTCCTTTTCTACAGACCCATCTGACCCCTCCCCTCCTCGCCAGGCCAAGCTAGGTCCCAATTCTTCCTCAGCCTCCGCTCCTCTACCCTGTAATCTTTTTATCGCCTCCCCTCCTCACACCTGGTCCGGCTTACAGTTTCTTTCTGTGACTAGCCCTCCCCCACCTGCCCAGCAATTTACTCTTAAAAAGGTGGCTGGAGCCAAAGGCATAGTCAAGGTTAATGCTCCTTTTTCTTTATCCCAAATCAGAAGCGTTTAGGCTCTTTTTTATCAAATATAAAAACCCAGCCCAGTTCATGGCTCGTTCGGCAGCAATCCTGAGACGTTTTACAGCCCTAGACCCTAAAAGGTCAAAAGGCCATCTTATTCTCAATATACATTTTATTACCCAATCTGCTCCTGACATTAAATAAAACTCCAAAAATTAGAATCTGGCCCTCAAACCCCACAACAGGACTTAATTAACCTCACCTTCAAGGTGTACAATAATAAAAAAAAAAATTGCAATTCCTTGCCTCCACTGTGAGACAAACCCCAGCCACATCTCCAGCACACAAGAACTTCCAAACGCCTGAACCGCAGCGGCCAGGCGTTCCTCCAGAACCTCCTCCCCCAGGAGCTTGCTACAAGTGCCAGAAATCTGACCACCAGGCCAAGGAATGCCTGCAGCCCAGGATTCCTCCTAAGCCATGTCCCATCTGTGCGGGACCACACTGGAAATCGGACTGTTCAACTCACCTGGCAGCCACTCCCAGAGCCCCTGGAACTCTGGCCCAAGGCTCTCTGACTGACTCCTTCTTGGCTTAGCGGCTGAAGATTGATGCTGCCTCATTGCCTCAGAAGCCCCATAGACCATCACGGACGCCAAGCTTCCGGTAACTCTCACAGTGGAGGGTAAGTCCGTCCCCTTCTTAATCAATACAGAGGCTACCCACTCCACATTACCTTCTTTTCAAGGGCCTGTTTCCCTTGCCTCCATAACTGTTGTGGGTATTGACGCCAGGCTTCTAAACCTCTTAAAACTCCCCAACTCTGGTGCTAACTTAGACAATACTCTTTTATGCACTCTTTTTTAGTTATCCCCACCTGCCCAGTTCCCTTATTAGGCCGAGATATTTTAACCAAATTATCTGCTTCCCTGACTATTCCTGGATATAGCCACATCTCATTGCTGCCCTTCTTCTCAATCCAAAAGCCTCCTTTGCTTCCTCCTCTTGTATTCCCCCACCTTAACCCACAAGTATAAGATACCTCTACTCCCTCCTTGGCGACCGATCACCCACCCCTTACCATCTCATTAAAACCTAATCACCCTTACCCCACTCAATGCCAATATCCCATCCCACAGCAAGCTTTAAAAGGATTAAAACCTGTTATCACTTGCCTGCTACAGCATGGGCTTCTAAAACCTATAAACTCTCCTTACCATTCCCCCATTTTACCTGTCCTAAAACCAGACAAGCCTTACAAGTTAGTTCAGAATCTGCGCCTTATCAAACAAATTGTTTTGCCTATCCACTCTATGGTGCCAAACCCATATACTCTCCTATCCTCAATACCTCCCTCTACTACCCATTATTCTGTTCTGGATCTCAAACATGCTTTCTTTACTATTCCTTTGCACCCTTCATCCCAGCCTCTCTTTGTCTTCACTTAGACTGACCCTGACACCCATTAGGCTCAGCAAATTACCCGGGCTGTACTGCCGCAAGGCTTCACAGACAGCCCCCAATACTTCAGTCAAGCCTAAATTTCATCCTCATCTGTTACCTATCTCGGCATAATTCTCATAAAAACACACGTGCTCTCCCTGCTGATCATGTCCGATTAATCTCCCAAACCTCAATCCCTTACTAAAGAACAACTCCTTTCCTTCCTAGGCATGGTTAGTGCGGTCAGAATTCTTACACAAGAGCCAGGACCACATCGTGTAGCCTTTCTGTCCAAACAACTTGACCTTACTGTTTTAGCCTAGCCCTCATGTCTGCGTGCAGCGGCTGCCGCTGCTTTAATACAGTTAGAGGCCCTAAAAATCACAAACTATGTTCAACTCACTCTCTACATTTCTCATAACTTCCAAAATCTATTTTCTTCCTCATACCTGACGCATATACTTTCTGCTCCCCGGCTCCTTCAGCTGTACTCACTCTTTAAGTCCCACAATTACCATTGTTCCTGCCCCGGACTTCAATCTGGCCTCCCACATTATTCCTGATGCCACACCTGACCCCCATGACTATCTCTCTGATCCACCTGATATTCACCCCATTTCCCCATATTTCCTTCTTTCTTGTTCCTCACCCTGATCATGCTTGATTTATTGATGGCAGTTCCACCAGGCCTAATCGCCACACACCAGCAAAGGCAGGCTATGCTATAGTACAAGCCACTAGCCCGCCTCTCAGAACCTCTCATTTCCTTTCCATCGTGGAAATCTATCCTCAAGGAAGTAACTTCTCAGTGTTCCATCTGCTATTCTACTACTCCTCAGGCATTATTCAGGCCCCCTCCCTTCCCTACACATCAAGCTCGAGGATTTGCCCCCACCCAGGACTGGCAAATTAGCTTTACTCAACATGTCCTGAGTCAGGAAACTAAAATACCTCTTAGTCTAAATAGACACTTTCACTGAATAAGTAAAGGCCTTTCCTACAGGGTCTGAGAAGGTCACCACAGTCATTTCTTCCCTTCTGTCAGACATAATTCCTCAGTTTAGCCTTCCTACCTCTATACAGTCTGATAACAGACCAGCCTTTATTAGTCAAATCAGCCAAGCAGTTTTTCAAGCTCTTAGTATTCAGTGAAACCTTTATATCCTTTACGGTCCTCCGTCTTCAAGAAAAGTAGAACGGACTAAAGGTCTTTTAAAAACACACCTCACCAAGCTCAGCCACCAACTTAAAAAGGACTGGACAATACTTTTATCACTTTCACTTCCCAGAATTCAGGCCTGTCCTCAGAATGCTACAAGGTACAGCCCATTTAAGCTCCTGTATAGACAGACGCTCCTTTTTATTAGGCCCCAGTCTCATTTGACACCAGACCAACTTAGACTGTGCCCCAAAAAAACTTGTCATCCCTACTATCTTTTGTCTAGTCATACTCCTATTCACCATTCTGAACTACATGCCCTGCTCTTGTTTACACTGCCGGTTTACACTGTTTCTCCAAGCCATCACAGCTGATATCTCCTGGTGCTATCCCCAAACTGCCACTCTAAACTCTTGAAGTAAATAAATAATCTTTGCTGGCAGGACTATGCTGAATCTCCTTAGGCACTCTCTAATCAGATGTCCTAGGTCCTCCCAATTCTTAGACCTTTTATACCTGTTTTTCTCCTTCTCTTATTCCATTTAGTTTTTTAATTCATACAAAACCGTATCCAGGCCATCACCAATCATTCTATACGACAAATGTTCCTTCTAACAACCCCACAATATCACCCCTTACCACAAGATCTTCCTTCAGCTTAATCTCTCCCACTCTATGTTCCCACACTGCCCCTAATCCCGCTTGAAGCAGCCCTGAGAAAAATCGCCCATTCTCTCTCCATACCACCCCCAAAAATTTTCGCCGCCCCAACACTTCAACACTATTTTGTTTAATTTTTCTTATTAATATAAGAAGGCAGGAATGTCAGGCCTCTGAGCCCAAGCCAAGCCATCACATCCCCTGTGACTTGCACGTATACACCCAGATGGCCTGAAGTAACTGGAGAATCACAAAAGAAGTGAAAAGGCCCTGCCCCGCCTTAACTGATGACATTCCACCATTGTGATTTGTTCCTGCCCCACCTTAACTGAGTGATTAACCCTGTGAATTTCCTTGTCCTGGCTCAGAGTCTCCCCCACTGAGCACCTTGTGACCCCCGCCCCTGCCCACCAGAGAACAACCCCCTTTGACTGTAATTTTCCATTTCCTTTCCAAATCCTATAAAACGGCCCCACCCCTATCTCCCTTCGCTGACTCTCTTTTTGGACTCAGCCCACCTGCACCCAGGTGAAATAAACAGCCATGTTGCTCACACAAAGCCTGTTTGGTGGTCTCTTCACATGGACGTGCATGAAAGGATTATAAATCATAAAGCCACTTTGGCAAAAAGTTTGAAAAATTTTTTGAAAGTTAAATCTAAATGTATCTTATGGTTTAACAATTCTATTTCTGATAACCTACCCGGGATAAATTAGAACATTTGCCCACAGTTTTGTATGTGAATGTTCATAGCTGCATTATTTATAATAATGCATAACAGGAAGCAATCCAAATGTCTACTAACTGGTAAATGAATAGACAAAATATTCTGTATCTATAAAATGGAATACTATTGTATAGATAGAGCACATAAATAGTAATAAAAATGTAAGGGATATACAATAGAATAGTGCACAGGCATAAAAAGGAATGTATTAACAGCATTTGCAGTGACTTGGATGAGATTGGAGACTATTATTCTAAGTGAAGTAACTCAGAATGGAAAACCAAACATCATATGTTCTCACTGATATGTGGGAGCTAAGCTATGAGGACGTAAAGACATAAGAATGATACAATGGACTTTAGGGACTTAGGGGGAAGAGTGAGGTGGGGCGGTGAGGGATAGAAAACTACAAATATGGTGCAGTGTCTACTGCTCGGGTGATGGATGCACCAAAAATTCACGAATCACCACTAAAGAACTTACTCATGTAACCAACTACCACCTGTACCCCAATAACTTATGGAAATTTTTTTTTTAAAGTAAGGAAATGTTGATACATGTTACAATGTGGATAAACCTTAACAACATTAGAAGCTAAATGCAAAAGACTGCACAATGGATGATTCCATTTATATAGAATGTCCAGAAAAGTAAAATTTATAGAAACAGAAGTGAATCAGTGGATGCCTGGGGCTGGAGGAGTGTAAGTAGAGATTTACAAGCAGCAGGCCTAATATAAATGCAGGAGGTGAAGGAAAAGTTCTAAAACTGTATTTTGATGGTGGTTTCCCATGCTATAAACTTATTAAAAAATCAATGAATTATACACTTAAAATGGGTGAACTTTCAATAAATCTATTAAAACTACTAAATATTTAAGCAGTGTTCTTCAACGATGCTGGCACATTTGGACCATGTGGATAATTTTAAAATTTATGTCTGTGTCCCATTCTTTGATATTTTGATTTAATATTCTTACAATTGGGCATTGAGTTTTTTTTAAGCTGAGTGATTCTAATACGCAGCCATATTGGAGAACCACTGCAATAAAGTATTGTCCTTCCTTGAGGTCATTAATATATGGTATGCTAATCTTACTATTCTAACTCTCAGTTAATTTATTTAACATCTTGTTAAACACTCACTATGTACTAGGCACAATATTTGACACAAAGGAGACAAAAAATTAGGAACACTTCATTTCTGTCTTTATGGACTCATGGACAAGGGAGAAGTACAATCCTAAAGGTATATCAATGTAATAAATTTTATAATAAAAGTAAGTACAAGGTTAGTGGAAGTACAAATAAAGGAATGATCAGTTTTGAGCAACAAAAGAAAAGGTCAGGAAAAGCTTAAGATGTAGTGATTCTTCATCCTGGAAGATTAGAGGGAGAGGAAATGGCAGACAAAAATATTCAAAGAACTGAATATTTGGAGAAAAGCAAGTAATTCAGTACAGCCTTAAAAAAAATGAGGTGGGGGGAGAATATTGAGAAAACTGATATCAGAGGACAAGTGAAATTAGAGGGTATTTCATATGCCATACCATGGGAAACCACTGGATGAAAGGACATGGTCATGTATGTATTTTAGAAAGAGCACACTCACCAGGTGTGTTGGCATGTGCTGGTAGTCCCAGCTACTTGGGAGGCTGAGACAGAGGATCATTTCAGCTCAAGGGTTCTGGGCTACAGTGTGCTATGCAAATTGGATGTCTGCACTAACTTCAGTATCAATATGGTTATCTCCCAGAGCAGGGGACCAACCGGTTGTCTAAGGAGGGATTTAAAGTTGGGCCTTTGAAACCACTTTATAAATAACTGTCCAATAGTTGAGAGTCCAGGCAGGGAAGACAGAGAATAGCAAACTACTCAAAGATACTCTACAGACAGAAGTATTACCCTTGGCGAGAGGCCAAGAGAGAACAAGCTGGCACAGTCTATACCTGGGCAAGGCTGCTGATGGATAATACTCCAAAAGAAAAATGCTGAAGAAGGAAGGAAAGGAAATTTCCCAAAAAAGAGAATAACATGAGCAAAGACATTCTCAAAATATATAAGATTTTTTAAATTTTATTTTTTTGTGACTAGAGAGTTGAATATTATAGAACAGTGTTGCAAATAAGGCAGAAAATATATTACAAAGTTCTTTGGAGTCCAGGCTTATGGACTTAAAATCTATTCTTCATGCAAATGGTACCCACTGAAATTTTTGAAGATTAACAAATTTGCTCAAGTTTAAAATACAATCGATTTAAGATGCATGATTATCATATATCAATTTGCCAATTATAGAGCATTGGCTATAAGATGCATCACATATCAGAGATAAAATATGAAAAGTGGAGTTTAAAATTGATGAAAAAATTGGTATCAATGGCAGAAGCCTGATGACTTTAGGTAACTACATAAAAACTATAAAATCTGACTCATTTTTATATCGTTTTTTCTTTATATATGAGGGGATTCTCTATCTTTGAAGAGTGAAAATATAATTAATGTAAATTAAAATATTTGTAACAGTATTTTCTAGCTTTTGTAATTCAGGTGGTTAGATGAATTTAATGAGGCCAAGGACTTCAAAATTATCCCAAGTGTGCCAGTTAATAACCAGGAAAATCATTTTTGCTCAAGGCCACAGTCTATAATCCTTTCTAGAAATCAATTTTGCAAATGCATACTACTTATCACAAAACTACCAGAGTAGGCACAGTCACAAAATTATAGAATTAAAGAGGTGGAAGAGATCACAGAATTTATAAAGTCAAAACACCCTCAGTGTGTATATCCCCTCCAAGACACTCCCAGTAGAAGCTGGCCATTCAGCTTCTACTTCTACATTCTTCCCTGCAAACTGTAATCCTGTGAGGTCCAAGACTCTGTCTTGCTTACTGTGGTAGCATCCTGAATAATATACTGTAGTCAATAAATATTTCTGAGTAAGTGAATGAGTGTTCTTATGGGGGAATTGTACCATTCATGCAGTAGTACCCATTGCTGTAGAAGAGCTCAAATTTGAGAAGTATTTTTAAAGGGCAGTAAAAGTCACCTCTGGTGTCTCTGAGAAAATCTGCCACCTCTTCTTATGTAAGCCTTGCAAATACTTGCAGGCAGCAACTCCAAGCCACACTTTCCTATTTCAGTCCACAGTTTGCCACATATCATTGTTTCCAAGACTTTCTACTGTGCCCTATATGAGCTACATTTGGTCAGTTTAAAAAAAAAAAAAAAAAAAACTTCTGGTGCCCAGAATGAAATAATTATTTACCTAGCCAGCCCAGGCGACAGACTTCTCTGACCAAATGTATGCAAATCCCTCGCTTTGGGGGAAAAGTTCTTCAAATGGCAGTATCATGCTGATGAGGGATCTTTCAGGGAACATTAATAGGTAAAACTGTGAACTCCCCCAGCAGGCTTCATTCATCTATTAAGGACACCTCCGTGAGGGACTAGGATGCCAAGAGAGAGTGATGCATTATACTCCTCATCCAATTAAACCCATAGTAAAATATTTTGGAGGGTTTTCTTTCCTGAGTGGAGGCTAAGAAAGCATTCATTAAACCTGGGAAGTTCTAAGTCTTCCAATTTGCATAGTGAATTGGAACTGTGGTAGCCTGAATATGAATGGAGATGTGGTAATTCAGTAACATGAAATGGGAAATGCAGTTTAATTACCCCAGAGATTTTTTTTTGGAACATAAATTGCTTCTACTTTTGTAACAATATTGGATTATGAACCCATTCACCTTGATGTTGTGTAATGAAGCCTATAAAGCAAGTCATAAAAATGCTTTGTTTGCAATGCTGTTTTTAGAAACTCCAATCTTATGGAAAAATCTTCTCATTATTGAAAGCATTTGTAGTCTCCCCAGAATCCTAGAAATTAAAAGATTCCTGAGCGCAAGGTCCTTCCTACCTAGTTAATGAACGAGGGAAGAAATATTCCTCAAGTTACCTCAAATCTGTAGATCTGGATTATACAGTTCTTTACTACTACCATAAAGTATAATTTAATCTAGAAATGGCCCAAATATACATCTGAAAAGAGATATTGATTTGAAGTGACAGTCCAGGACCAATAACAATTTTAAGGGAAAACACTTTTTATGAAATTACATTTCTGCCATTAGAAAAAATATCTGAAGAATAACAAGTTCACCTTAGAAAACCAAAAGGTAAATTTTAAAAAATTAATATTGAATGAAAATTAAAGGAAGAATAACAATCTACTTTTTACTTATTACATTAGTATAAAGTTTAAAAAGCAATAACATTCAGAGTTAATGAGGATAAATCATCCTCAGACTTTGGACATTTGAGTATAAATTGCTACAAATTGAAGCAAATAATTTGGAAATGTGTATTAAAATCTAAAATATGCATTCTATTAACTAAAAATACTGCTTTTGGGACTCTGCCCTGTTGTATTCAGAAACATGTATAGCTAATATAAATGTATAAAGGTGTTTATTGCAGCATTGTGTGTCACAGTGTACTACTAGAAATAGATCCGTATATCTGTAATTATAGTTAATTAATAAAATATTAAACTGTAAAAAGTATACATTAGATGTTGATGTTAATACTGGAGGGATGCCCTTGAATTAATAATAGAAAGTTGAAGGATAATATACAAAACATAGTCCCTTTTCTGTAAAACCAGATAACAACAACAAAAAAAAAACCTTTAGATATGGATTTGTATATTTCCATAAGCATGGCTCTTTTAGTGTTGATTACCTCATGGTAGGGGCAGCACTAAACTGCTTTAGAGCTCCATAATCTACATTAGTTCCCTCAAAAGCCACTTCATATAAACATAAAAAGAACACACAAAAAAAACTATGTCCAAACTTGCTGTTTGGACATAGTTCCAAGGAAGTCTCCCATTTATTTCTCACTCTCTCTCAAGTCACAGCACCTATACATTTCTAAATGGAAATTTGGAAGTTGCCATAGCTTCAGGAAAGTGAATAAGAAAAAAGATTACTTTCATATAAATATTTTTAACTTTTACAAATTGTCTTGTAATACTTTTGGAAGTTAAGATAAAATTCTAAAAAACCAACAAACAGATTATGGTGAAAATGTTTAGGAATTTTTACCACAGTGTGTGGTCTCTTTTTAGGAAGAAAATTAATTTTAATTACTTTTTAAAATAGTAGAAATGTTGCTCTTTTTTCATCAGTTTGTTCAGTCCATATTCCTACATACTTTTTCTAGCATTTTTCTTTGTCTCAGAACTGTATCCAAAGTCTAGACATTGTTAGCTCTGTCAAGACTAGCAAGGGTCAGAGTGATTCTTCAAGTCATTCCTTAGTCACTGCATTCTCACTCTCTCTTCAAAGTTTATTCTCTAGCGCTGGTCTCCAAGTTCACACACTATATTTTTCACACAGCGACCCTGGCCACTAACATAGGACCAATAGGACCATCAGTGAGAATCAGATGAGGTATCATAAGTAAAAATAATGTATGAACTGGAAAGTACTATGGAAGTGAGGATTCCATTAAGAAGATTATTGAAATAGGCTAGCTTCAAATTGATGGGTCTCTGAAAAGGATACTTACAAAAAAACTCCACAAATATAATAATGGATAGAGCCCTAATCTCAAAAACATAAATTTGAGGGGTCCCAAACTCAATTACACAAGGTTAAGAATATAGAGCTTGGTAAATTCTCTCTCTCTCTTTTTTTTTTTGGAGACAGAGTCTTGCTCTGTCACCAGGCTGGAGTGCAGTGGCGTGATCTTGGCTCACTGCAACCTCCGCCTCCCAGGTTCAAGCCATTCTCCTGCCTCAGCCTCCCAAGTAGTTCAGATTACAGGTGCCCACCCCCATGCCCAGCTAATTTTTGTATTTTTAGTAGAGACGGGATTTCACCATGTTGGCCAGGATGGTCTCGATCTCGTGACCTTGTGATCTGCCTGCCTCGGCCTTCCAAAGTGCTGGGATTACAGGCGTGAGCCACCGCGCCCGGCCGGTAAATTCATTTTAATTCACTTTAAGCTTATATTGGCTATGTGTAGATTTTCTCTTGTTCCTTCATTTTGTTTTAGTACAATTGTAATTAGACTTTTGGGATACATTTTTAGTGGACTTCAAGGTCCAAAAGACTCAAAGCCAAATACTCCAGAAGTACTTATGTAAATAAGAAATAATCCAAGTATATAATTAATTATATTAAAATACATAACACATATACATATGTATATATAGTACAGAACATATATACATATGTGTGTATACATACATATATATTACATATATATATATATATATATATATATACATAACATAGCATACATTTAGTTAGATAGCTTTTCCAACTCTGATGGTGACTTCCAATTTCTGAAAAATTCTCCAGTAGGGGTTGCTTGAAACAGAAAGAAGGAGACGTGTGTGTTAAGGCGACTGAATGGGGCTGTGGTGGTAGCACTAACGTACCTACTTATGAACCTGGTCAGATCCTTCCTTTCTCTTTGTTTTAGTTTACTCACTCCTTCTAAACTGAAAGGCAGTAAACTCTAGTATCTGTAAGATGACTTCCTTATCTAAGATTTTAAGGTTTTATAATTTAACTGTATTACTTTCCAATTATAATTCTACTTCATGCTGAAAAGAAATCCATAATCTAGCTTTTTTCGTGTTGGCAAGGTTAGTTCATAGAAACCATCTTAAGAAACATTGACATGATGGCACAAAATAGAGTGATTATTGATAGCAATCAACTCATTGTATACATTAATCAAATTATTCTAATGCGTGCCAAGGTTTCACATGCTTTTTTTTTTTCAAACAAATACTGAAAAGTCTTGGAGAAATCACACAAGAATATAATAATCTTTTATGTGATTTTACCCGTCATCAGCTTTCCCCTTCTATCTGAACATTTAAACCTCTCTAGATAACAAGAGTTTTACTATAATATTCAGGAATAAGATTCTTCCTGGACTAGGAGGATGTAGGGGGAAATGAGCCTCTGTTTTCAGCATCCAATCTCTGAGCAAAGGATCTCCCACCACCTGCTGCTTCCAACAAGCCCAAACTCTCGCTCCAGCTAGCTTTCCTGGGAACAGAGCAGAAAACTGGAAGGGAGGGGAAGAAGGCTGGTGAGAGCAAGAGGCGGGGAGTGAGGAATGGGAGGCTGGAGGAGGCGTGGCCCGGCTTGGGGCCGTCGGGATAAATACTGAGAACTGGGTGCGGGGTGTAGGGAGAGAACTCTGGAGGAACGCTGAGCTGAGCAGCACCGAGGACAGCGCCCGGCAGCGCCCGCGCCCAGGTCTCCCTCCGCAGCCCTGACTCGCGCACACGCTGAGCTTTTGCTCACTCCCCCTCGCGCGGACACAGACACACGCATATTCACACACCCAGACACACACCCCGCTGTACAATGGCAGAATCCCACCTGCAGTCATCCCTCATCACAGCCTCACAGTTTTTCGAGATCTGGCTCCATTTCGACGCTGACGGTGATTATCTTCTCTTTTTAACTGTTTCAAGACCCGTTTCCATGCCCCTTCCCATTCTTTGCCCTTTTCTGAGCCTCCTGATCCCATTATCCCTCCTTTCTATTCTTTACTTCTTCCCCCTTCTGCCTAATCTTATCTTCTTATCTCCCCGACTGGCCGCCAAACTGTCAACCTGAAAGTTTATATTGTTTCCACCGTAATCCCAAAACCTTAAACTTTTGTCTTTCCAGGAACGGTAATGGTAGGAGAGAGAGAGCAGGGATTGGGGAATGCTGCCCCCCCAAAGTTTCTGTGGCTGCGCTTAGCACCCCAACCATCCTCCTTTGTCCTCAGTGGATCTAAAGTTTGATACCCCAGGAGGGGAGCGCTTCACCGTCTGTACACTTTGCTGGTTAATCAACGTCCAGGCAAGAGAGAGCCTCTCGGGTCGCCAGAAAGATAACTGTCTTGGAAAGTGAACGGGAAAGACACTTGGAATGAGATATCTGACACCTGGGTGCCTCTTTGTCTTTGCAGGAAGTGGTTACCTGGAAGGAAAGGAGCTGCAGAACTTGATCCAGGAGCTCCAGCAGGCGCGAAAGAAGGCTGGATTGGTAGGTTCAAGTTTGCGAAAAAGAAAAAAAGACTTTTAACCCCCAAATTAAAACATTCTTGTGTTTTCACAAAAAGCCAGTAGCGTAAAGCGCTTTCTGGGTAATGTAAACGTTTATTGACTGCGAAAGGCAAGAAAAAACACTTTTCCAACTCGAATACAGAGAAATGGGAAAGGGGAAAGAGACTGAGAAAGAGAGAGGGGGAGAGAGAGAGAGAGAGAAGGGAGGGACAGAGAAGGGAGGGAAGAAGGGAGAAAGGGAGACAGACAGAGAGAGACAGATTTTCTAAAGGGAAAAACCTTGCTATCTGAAACTGGAGCTTTAAATATATATATATTCTATACTAGTACTTGCATTAATAGGTCTTAAAAGGGAACTGTGGGTGCATGAGATTCTTTAGCGGATCACCACCTCTACCACTGAGTTTGATTAGGTAATTTTTAAATTCTCTTTTACTGTGTGAGAAATAAGGGGGTGGAAATGCATTTCTGCCCCTTGGTGGTCAAGAAACAGATCTGCAGATTATGGATCTCTTACTCTATCACCAATTATTATTGTTGTGATGTTGATGTAGTTGGGGAGATGAGAAAACATCTTGTCCTCACTAAGGGTAAGTTGCCCAACTTGCAACCTAACAGTGAGAAAGAATTTAGCAAGAAAAGATCTTCATTTCTGTTGAAAGCAAGAAACCCAAAAGGTAGAGAAGTAAAAAGTAAAACAATTTTAAGAATTTCATGTATTGTAAAAAAAGCAAAGTGATACTCTGATGGGCAGCAATTGATGGTGTTTTGAAAATGGCTATGTTCGTTATTTAAGCCATTAGTTAATTAAACAAATAACCATTCTTATTAATTATAAATGACTCCCTTTGGGCATAAATTAACCTGTTAAGAAAATATGTTGTCAGCATAAATATAAAATACAGTCAGCTTTTAAACATAGATGAGATGGTTGTCCAGAGGAAAATGGGTTAAAAATTGTACTACTCTATTGAGGTTTATGTAACACTGCCTTTCAGAAGGCAGTGTTGAATTGGGATGAGTTACACGTTAATGGTCTTTGGCCTTTTTGACTACGTTTAGAAAGAGATTTTACACTACCAATGATGTATATATTATATAGCAGATCACCACCTCTAATATTGAGTGATATATATAAAATTTAATAATAGAACTTTTTGCCCTATCTAAATTGAAAATTGTGTAATATACATTTCTGTACAGCATATTCAAAAGAATCCCAGAGGGCTCTAAATGTATTATAATGCACTATAGAACTATCAGTTACAAAAATCATTGACCAAATTGATTTTAAACCAGATTGTGCTCTAGGGATTGTTTTACCCAGATTTAATATTATATAATCTAAAAGTATAATAGAACGGAATAAAATAGCATAAAAATGTTTTATATACTCTCCACCCTCCCCATGTCTTATATATTGCCATGTAAATAAATTTATGCAATACTGTCATTATAGCTTTATATATCTTTGGCTAATCTAATAAAAGCAATTATCTTCCTCATTTAAAAATACATATTTTAAAATCAGGTTGGAAAAGTCTTACTTTCCATAAAATTTAGAATTAAAACCTTGGAAGATGCTTCCAGCAGGTAATGATTATATTTTATTTTGTGCAGAAGTAATTTTAATATTGAAATCTATTTTCAGCTTAGAAATTTAAATATTCATGAACTTTAAAAAAATATTTTTCTTCCTCTGATTTTAATATTTGTACCTTTTTGTAAGCAATATCTTCATGTTGGAGATTTAGAATTTAATTATTTTTCTCTGTTTTGGAATATTCAAAGCTCCAATTATTAGACTATAATGTAATGATACTAAACAAGCATAGTTATAGGATTATATCAAGTTGCTTAATACCTTGATTCTTGAGCATTTTTCTGGAATGTAAATACAATCTGGATTTTTCTGAATTTAGTATTTTTCTTGATTTGGGTAGTTAAAATCTAAATCAAGATGTGGATTCAGAGTTTCATATAGTAGATACATGTTTCATTATACTACTAACTTCATTGCATTAAACCTACTTGTATATATTTCTTCTCTTTCTTTAGAACATAAAAATTGCCCTTATAAACCAGGCTTTTTGCATTTCTAGCCATAGGATAACAGATTTCATTGCATTAATGGAAACATTGTTTGGCTTTTCGTATTAATAACATGAAATTTCAAAATTTTCACTAGGTGAATATAACATTAATTAAATATAACAATGCAATATATTTTCAGAAACTATCCTTTTACACTAAACATAGTGTTTGGTCTTTGTAGTTGCACTCATTTTTATACATTTTTAATTGGTGGTGATTATATGTTTTGCACTGTTTAAAAAATAGATTTTGACATACTTGTCAGAAACTTCACAAAGTAAATGTCAAGTCTGCTCGTGAAAGTAGTGGTATTACACCATTTTAAAATTTAAGGACAGATGCTTTGGTTTTTGTTTACGTTAAGATGTATGTAAAAATAAAAAAACTGTAGGACCTGATATTCCCACTATTGCCATGGTTGAACACTTTCATTTTCTTACAATTGTTTCTATAACAAAATTAGATAAATACAAATTGTAATTTATCCATAGTAAGTTTTATAAAGACTAAAATATAATTATATTGCTTTGTTATTATTTATTATCTTAGTTCAACTAAAGATGTCTACATTGGTTCCAAACGGCTTTTATAAATACTAGTAATAATGATATTTAGTCTCAATATAGCCCTTTAATTATATTAACCTATCTATCCCCAAAGCAAACTTGTGTGGTAGATAATACCACCATCTTGTTAGCTATGATGAAAACCGAGACCTTAATTTGCTTTCCCAAGGACGTAGAATAGAACATTAGTAAGGGCTGACCTATTTTAAATAGGCTTCAGCTAATGCAACAGGGCTATTTTAAATGGGCTATGTTGGAGACCCAAGGGTAAAAATTAAACCTCCTGAATACCAGTTCTATGTTCAGATCACTAGTTTATAGTTCATAGCTCTCTAATCTATTTAATTTTTAAATTTATTTAATTGATGAATGCCTCTTTTATGCTTAAAACAATCTTTGCTTACAAAGTGAGTTAATCTTTAACATTCACATTTTTTGCTTGTTCAAAATGAAAACATATATTACTCTCCATAGATAAAACATTATGTTAGAATGAGAAAAATGTTGTAAGACAAGATAGTGTAGCAATATAAGGTAATCTTTAATGAAGCAAGCATTGTTTAAAATATATTGATGGTGATGATTATGTTAAAATTCACTAAAAGTTATGAATGGAATGATTCTGACTACACTTTCAAAGGATAGCATAGTCTCAAAATTAATAATAGAAGATAAATCATATTAATTGAGAAATAATCATGATTACAACTCTTTCATTTGGAACTAATAAATACTGTGTATCAGTTATGCCTTTAATTTTTTTGAGAATAGTTAATCATTATGCATATTTCTAAATGGTTCTAATTTTGGTTTTTCTTTGCAGTAAGTTATTAACACCATCACAAGCATAACTGGTATTTTTTTAACAAACCTCCTACCTGCTTTTATATAATTTTAGGAGTTATCACCTGAAATGAAAACTTTTGTGGATCAGTATGGGCAAAGAGATGATGGAAAAATAGGAATTGTAGAGGTAAGGAATTTATGCATTTTTCTGATTTAATTTTAATAAATGAGTTTCAATTTTGAAGTTGTCTTCAAGTCAAGTAAGATATAGCAAGACCCATTCAGTACAGTTTATTTTACCTAAGTAATACATTATCTTCTGTTCAGAAGTATAAAGTTAAAAAATGTTCACAAATGAAAAACATCTAAGAGTATTCCTAACCCAGGGCCTAAATTTCATATATTACAAAATTGAGACCATGGAAAAACAAAATTGTTTGCCTCTGGTCATACAGCTATTTGCTGGCACAGGTGCAGTTAGAGGAACAAGTCCCTGACTTCTACATGAGTATCAATCACATTCCATTACCCAGCCCCACTTCCATACAGTGTCTAAGCACATGGTCCATCAGTATTTCTTATCACTTAACAGTGTAGACTTGACTTTTAAAATATAAAATAAAATGTTTGCAGTCCCTGTGAAATATTTACAGTCCTTATTTTTCATGGCAAAAAGCTGCATCCTGGTTTGACAGTTGGCCTTCGTAAAAACAGAATAATTTAACTAGAGTGAGTGAATATTTTATGATCTGTTATAGGTACAGATTTCATGTGAATCTTTGAAAGTTAAAACTGTGGGTGTCACATCTTATCCTTTCACAGTGACTTTTCCTATTAAGGGCAACTTATTTTTGTCTGTGAATCAAGGAAGCAAAACTGATTATGCATCAATTCTTCTGCATTCTCAGATTTGTGAAAGAGCTGTTGCTTCCCTTATATCTACGTTTCCAGCCTGTGGTGTCTTAGCCTCTTTCTTTATCTCAGCAGCCTATTAGAGAAATTGGGTGGAAGTCTTTGTCCAGAAAAATTAATTAGGTCATAATTTGAAATATGCCAAATCATAACATAATTATGTTATTTATATAGTGTTTCTCAGTGTATTAGATTGTGAAGTATTCTGGATCTCAACAACATTTAGT
This sequence comes from Homo sapiens, assembly GCF_000001405.40. Lineage (NCBI taxonomy): Eukaryota > Metazoa > Chordata > Mammalia > Primates > Hominidae > Homo > Homo sapiens. The sequence continues at coordinate 90,077,420 of NC_000008.11, read as the reverse complement.
AATAATTTACCTTTGATTCAGAAAAATAACCTGGTTTTCAAATAATTGATCTTATAGGACACTTGTGATGCCAGTGTGAAATACACTTATTTTTAAACAGCTGATACAAATAGAGTTAAGAGAGGACATACTATTATTATCTTTGTAATTAAAAATTTTCCCTGGAGTACATACATTCCCCTTTACCCGTGTGTAACTCATTACTATATAAATAGATAATAGTAATGGGACTTACAGATAGACATATAGGCCAACTAATCAAGGTATGAAACCATCAAGGATAAGAAAATAACTTTTAAATTAAACATAAATGAGATGAGGTAAATCTAATTATTCAAAACTAGTTTGGAAATATGACATCAGTGAAATTACGGATTGGCTCTTTTAGAGTTTGACATACTTTATAATCCTAGTTAAGGAAAACCTGTCACCTTACATTTAACATACTTCTCCTTGAAGGAGTCCAATGGACTCAGCTATTTATTCAATTTCATTTCTTCAGTGATACTAGATTGTGCAGTAAAAGGCATTGATCTGATTCACATGGATTTTACATTTTTATAAGGATAAAATGGATGAGCATGTTTTGAATCCCGGTTTTACTTTATGTGATACAGTCTAATCATTTATGACTTATTATTTCAGCGCTATTTTGAATGAGAGGTTAGAGGCCATTTAGCAGACGCATTGTCCTGGAGGTTTAATGAAGGAAATTTCCTCAGAAGTTTTAGATAAGGAACTGTTACAGGAAAGAAAAGGCTTTCTGTGGAAGGAAAGATATAGAAATATAGGTAACAGAAGAGGACAGAGAAGGCGATGAAGTCTGAAATAAAGAAGTGAGAAGCTTTTATAGCAACAAAAATAATAAAATAATTCACATTTGTATAAAATAAAATTGACAAAGTGTTTTCAAATATGTTATCTCATTTGATCATCATAACTAGAAAATTAAGTAAATTTAAATATAAAATGAAGATCTATTTTATAGTTATAGCATGTGAAGCTTCAATAGGATTTGCCTAAGGTCACAGAAAAAGTAAGAAATAAATGGTAGAACAGTCAGAACCCAGCCATGTTCCCCCAAACTATTCTGCCTTTTTTAAAATAATAAATAATCTGTACATTTTCTGCATTAAAAGGAAAACTTTTCAAGCTTCAGTTGGTTGATTACTTATGGCAAGTTTCTAAGTTTATCTGGGATGAATAGGGATGCACAAAGTGTTCTGCAGAGAAGTTATTTGGGCAAAGCACTCGAAACATAATTTCAGCAGAACTTTTGATCAGCTGAAGCAGAAATAATTTAAAGGGAGACAAATGAGATACATATAAACTGATTGGAAGGTTTTAGTGTTCCAGGACATGGAACTTTTTGCTAGATGGGACTCTTGGGAAGAACTAGCCAACATTCCTTATTTTAAGGATGAAGAAACTGAAGCCCGAAAAGGTCGAATGATGTATCCAAGGTCCCATTTGCAGGGAGTGACAAATTCTATATACAGACTTAGATCTCATTCCGATTTTAGAACTCTTTTCATTAATCTTAGTTATCAGCCAAGACATAGGAGTAAGGGGTCTGGAAGAGGGCATTAGTTTGAGAGAAGAGAAATGGAGAATAGGAGGAAAAATAGGAGATTGCTTCAATAGTTCATATGCATGTTGGTTCACTGTGTGATGGTTAAGAGTGAAGAAAAGAGAAATTCTGAAAATAATTGGGAAATAGAAATTAAAAGTTACAGATTACATGTAGAAAATGTGGAAAGGGAGAGTAGGAAATGTCTGAACTTATATTTTGCTCTCTACTGTAACCAGAAAGCTGTATTAAATGAAGTTCATCCTTTCTTTTTCCAATTTGACATATATCACTTGCTTAGAAATCCTATAAATAATATAGAACACAAATACACAAATTCTAGCCAGCTATAAAGGAATGCAAAATCCTATGTTTTCTACAATTTATAATAATCTACCTACTGACATCAAGCACACATTAACTTTGGTGTTCAAAGGGAAAGGAAGATGGATTTACTTATATGTTATGCTTACTTAATAGTTATACTCACAAACTCATCAAAATCTAATCAAAGTAAACCAAATGATACTCATGCAGTGGTCTGCGTCCCTGATGGAACAGGCCAAATTGGTTTGTCTCTGAAAGATGTCATTCAAAAAGATTAGAAAATGTAATGGTTAACTTTCAAAGTTCTAACGTGACAAAGTTAGCTGACACTTTCTAACAACATGCATTTGCTACCTAGAAACAAATATGTTTCTTTCTGAACTTTCTAATTTCTTGCCTTTAAATAGATTTAAAAATCCACACAAATACAGTTTAGAAATAACGAGATTGTTAACACAAACTCAAGACAGGAGCATCGAAATTTTGAGATAATTTAACAAATAATGTGATGGTCAAAAAAATGTTCCGAATTTATTCAGACTAATAGCTCTACTGCAAAGAAGGCTGATTAAAATAATTAAAAAGGAAGACTTAATGATTTAGCAGATAATAGAGCTTTCTTCTCTGGTGTTCACATGAAATATAGGTATTTCTCTTAAATGGGTGTCAAATCTGTAAGTTTTTCACCTGATCCTTTTGGCAATGTGTGAGAACCTACCATCCTCTCCATTCTTACTGTTTCTATCTGTCCAGGTCAGTGCATCCATTGAAAAACAGACCTAAAAGCTATTTTAGTCCTAAAACTGTAACAACCCTCCCAGGGAAGCAAGCTCTTCTCCAGCCTTTCCCTCTTTTCATCTGCAGTGGGATTTGAGCCTGTGAGTTTAGCCATAGTGAATATAATTTTTCATGGAAGACTACTTTTCCACCACAGAATTTTGGGAAATGACTGACAATGAAATCTGATTTTAAAATTCCCTCTGCATAGATCTTTCTAAGTGATTTATTAGGGATACTTTTTTGATTGAGGATTTTAATGGAGGGTGATGAAGGTAAGGGACAGAGTCTCTAAGCCAAGAAAGTCAGACTCTGCCTTCAAATCTGGCTCCAACTGCAATCTATGTGAGAGCAGGCCATTTACCCTCTTTGAGCCTCTGTTTCCTTGGTAGTGAACAAGGATGACAATGTATTAACTTCATAAGGTTGTTATGATCATCAGTATCAAATAATACATATTGAACAAGTAGATTGACCCTGGCACACTGTAAAAACTCAACAAATGTATTTGCAGTTATTGTTACATATAAAAATAACTTACTACAAAATCGACCCCATCTTCTGAATGCCAAGCCTTTTCCCCCACTTATTATATAATTTGTCAAATTCAAATTATTAAACTGAAAGAGCTTTACATTTTTGATAAAGTTATTTACCTTTCAAATTTCCTGGACTCACTTCTCACTGGCTAGGGAAAACGTTTTTCTGGTTCTCAAGTGAAAAAAAAAAATGAATGCTTGGCTAATACATGTTCAAGAATGTTAACATACCATGATTGTCTTTAAAAGTTAGGAATTCTGCCTCATGTGCACTGTGATATAATTTGTATCACTAATGAAGTTGCCTTTCATGTATACTCTCCTCACAACTAGTACTTAGCTTTATTGTTGTTTTTATCTCCTGCTTTGAAATTGTCAGGGGAAAAGTTGTTTGAAAGTATCTGCCTCCCTATATGGTTCTCACTAGTGGTGACTGTGGTCACCAGCACAGTGCCTAGTATTTAGTAGCCAAATGAGCCACAGCAAGGGATTTCAACTTACTCCAAAACATCAGGCAAAGTCTCTGTATTACGCTAGAAATAAAAGAGAGATGTAAAGTCCCCTGTTATGGGTAGAGTTCCCTGGGAAGCAGATCTGAGTGGAAGAGTAGCAATGAGCAGGTTTATTAGGAAGTGCTCTTGGGATCAATACCCCGGGACAGAAGTGAAGAGAATAGATCTGGGCAGAGGGAGAAGCTGGGCTGTGTCACAGTCTCAACGGGGACATCAGCTGACCCTACAGTGAGTTCTGAAGCTGGGATGACCCTTCAGGAATGTCTCTAGTTTTGAGTGAGACCGTTGGGCCTTTATATCCCCATGTTGATCAGTCATAGGATGCCACCTCCTTGGGGACACAGCTGTCTTCAGCCCAGGTATTCCTTCAATGGGGCCTCACAGGTGAGGCTGCAGCAACACTCCCAGCACTTGAAGGGAGTTCTGGGTAGCATATCACAATGTCCACCCCAACCCCTATTCACAGCTCAGTAATAAGTTATTGGAATTATCTCCAAAGGAACTTTACCTCCATTTATTTACAGCCTATCCTGATGCTAAACAAATAGTTAATTACCTTTATATATTGCTTCAATAAAATATTTACTAAAATTTGTGCAGTTTCTGGGCCACAAAACAGTAAATAAGACACAGACCCCATCCTCAAGGAGCACGTAGACTAGTAGGGGAGACAAGCAAGTAGGAAGTTGTTGGTTTTTTTTCCTACTCTTGATAACAAGCAATCAGTTCTCAGAAATGAAGCTCTGAGGGATTCTACTTATTTCCTTAGCTACCTGCCTTCCACTCATCCCCTTGATATTCTTCACTCTCTTTTCCAACTCATAAAAAAGTTTTGGGAGTTCATAAAAGAGCAGGCAGGCAGCCCAAAGATTACAGAATCACCAATAATATTGTAATAAGAAGTATTGGATACTTCTATAAACAGCAGTGACTTAGCATATCTGAGAATAAAGCAACTCTACTTAACACCTCCTATATGAAAGACCTTTGGCACATTATAGACATAGTCATAAAGGCTACAGCTGGAGAATTACTGTGCCCAGCTCTGAAACTTGAATATTGATTCATACGCATTGAGAGAAGAACCGAGAGACAACACAGGACCACCACATTGTGAAACATATCTTAAGAAAGATTTCTTTACATTCACTATAGCCACATCCTATATACACATAATAATTTTTATATGCTTAAGACTCCTTTCTAACATTTATAAAATAGGATGGTATCATGTTGAGTGTAACATTAATGGTTCAGTGAAATTAAAACAGATTGAATATGTTGCACATTGATGTAATCTGTATTTTTTAATAATTTAAGTATAAAACCAAAGCAGTATGGGCAAGAAATACACATTTATAGTAGACATGAAGAGCATTTTTACTATCTCTGTATCTGACATTCAGGAGACCTCTCAACTTTATGTGAGTTACATGAACTTTTATGTTGAAACAAAGATGGCAATTTCCCTAATTTTACATTTAGTGATTGCTTACTAGTTCATTCATTTGTTTTTTTCTGTTTTTATGTATTCAGTGAATTTGGAGATGTAAAATATTTAAAGAAAAATTATTCTTTTTTGTTCAAAGCAACACACACTAATTATAAAAATCCAAACAAAATAGAGAATTATGATGAAGATAAGCAAAAAATAACTCAATTCTTTTAAGTAGATGTTTTTAATAAAGTAAAATTACCAACCAATCCGCAAGCATTTATTTCAGGCATATAACATGCTAGATACCATGCTGGGCATTCAGGGGATGCAGAAAAGTATTATTCCCTGCCCTCTTGAAATTAATGGTCTAGAGGAAGGTCACGCAAAAATTGTAAGAAGTATCTAACAAGTTGCATACTAATAAATAAAGGACGAGTTGGGGTTAGCTATTTCCTGTTTCCTAAATGAACACTTATATTCATGAAAAAAACATAATAAAATGTGGCTAGACCTTCTATATCATGCAGAACCCTCCAAAATGTATACATAACATCCATTTCCATTGTTCAATCTTTCCCTCAAAATGTCTGCCTCTGATATATTTTCTTCTCTTTGATGTGTTTTATTGTCTTCCATCTTTGTTCCCTCTTCTTTCTTGTGTTACTTTTTCTTCTCTTCCCATCTTCTTTAAAATCCTCAAGGAGATATTCTTCAGAATCCCTCCAGGAAAGTATTATTATAGAAGAGGCCAGGCTCAACAAGACTGGAGGGGTGTGGCTCTCCGTCCTCCAGAGCCCCTCTCCATGCCGAGCCCACCCACTGCCATTCTCCCTCCCTTCTCCTCTTCCCCCTTAGCTCTGGGGGGAGACCTACATTCTAGGCCTAACTTACCAGATATCTGGATACTTTATAATGAAAATCATTTATAGCTACTTTCCACTAGGAGCCCACTTACAGATGAGGAAAAAAAAGGGATTTTTATAAGGAAAATGGTGTTCTAGATTTCAATGAGTAGAAACAGCTTATCATATTTAAACTATCTCATTGTCACGTGTAAAAATCACCAACAAATTCATTATTTGCAGTCCAAGAGCAAAGAAGCAACCAAACCACTCTATTACTGTCTTCAACAAGCATGTTGTTGACTTAATCTACTAATAATCACCAAATTAAAGTGATTTTCAGTCTGCCAATCATCAGGTCATCATTCAACCTCTTTGGGCCTTAGCATCCTCAATTGAAAAATTTGGTCTTGAATTAAATTAAATTATGTTATTTCTGAGGTATAGAATTTTATGATTCAAGTATTCAAAGGAATTGAAAGAATGCAAAGGTCACAGAAGTATGTCCTGAGTTTAATAAGGGACCTGGATAACACACACACACACACACACACACACACACACACACACACACACACTGCAATGATGCAAATGTGTTTATGTACCAAAAGCTAATTACATTTTTTTAAAAGCACTGGCACATTATAAACCCCCATTTTTACTTTTTAGATATATTATCATCTACCCACACTAGTGACCTTTCTTTAAAAATAAATAAGAAAATGTTTTATAACTAGGTCATATTAAACATGTTGACATAAGGTTTGGCCCTTTCCCTTAGTCTCACCCACATGTGTGGTGCGTATAAATCGAGTGGTTTTAATTTGAAATATTATTTCAAAAATCTAAACATAAGATAAGCTAAAGGGCATACACAGGCATAAGAAAAATTAGATTCCTTGCATATAAAGTAGAATAGTGCATTTTATATTAAATATTAAATTTTTAAATGAACCTAAAAGGATGAATTTTTTAAAAAAAGTTATGATAGTATTTTCTATAACTTGGTAGAACTTTTAGAACTGACTCTGACTTTAAGGCTGATCTAGACTACAGGCTGTTGGCCTAAAATCCACGGATGAGGGTCCGTCCATGCCCGTGATCTAGGGAATTCATCAAATCCTGGAAATTAGATGAAATATAGTGTGTGTAGATTCATTATTTAATGGTGAAAATGCAGTGCTTCCAACAGAAGGCGTTTTGAACCCAATATATTCAAGAAACACTGGCTTCTATTTCAAGTCCTTGTTTTAGTGATGAGGGTACTGAAGTCCAGAAATGGCTCGGGGTTGCTGGGGACCACAGCTAATTAGCTACTGTGCCAGAAATAGATCTCACATCTGTAGTGGAGCCATCAATCCAGCTCCTTCCTTCTCTGTACGCAATAGATTAGTCATAAAATGGGATATGGAATCCTTTTTTCTTCCAAAAAAAAAAAAAAGAGAGGAGGATTGAAGTTTTGAAATGAGATCTAAGGGAAAATGTCATAGAGGCATGCCGTGGAGATCAGAAAATAAACCCCAGCCCTGGATTCAAGCAGTGGATGTCCTTTCAGCAGAAAGCAACAATTTGAGAACTGGCTTTTCCTATTCCTGTTTAACGCCCCACCATTCATGGTGAATTTCTTTTCCATTGCCTTACGATTGTCTTTGGTTTATCTTCTCTTGTATCTCATGGTAGGCTTTCTCCTCGGGCTTGGGAATACATTTTCCCCCTTCACTCCCCTCCCCAACATTTATGTTCCTCATGGTTTCTTTCACTTCACATGAAATTTATGGCCCCCACATGTGCCTTTCTGTGACCCTGTGAGGAGAGAGGAGAGAGGCATAGAACACTAATCTGTGGCATAGAACACTTGAAGGGTTCAAGCCACGAGGATGAATCTGCCTGAATGTCCAGCAGACAAGAAGTGGCCACGCTAGTTCTACCTGAGCACAGGTCTGCTGCGGCCACCTCACTGGCCAAAGAACCAAGCACACAAGGGCACACGAGCGTTGGAGAATCGACAGCGCTCCATAGGAAAGTACCAGAAAGGGAAAGCCGACTCTAATGTTTTTCCTCTCCTACTTTTCTAGCCTGTGAGGGAACACGTTGAAGAAAAACTAAGCAGCAGGTAATGGCAGAGACTTGTTTTTGAGCAACTTACAACACGTTTCTCTCTTCTTAAATCTTTTCCAGTTGGCTCACGTATTACCCACAGAAGAGAATTTCCTGCTGCTCTTCCGATGCCAGCAGCTGAAGTCCTGTGAGGAATTCATGAAGGTATAAGAAAGCTGCCCCTTTAAGAAAGCTGCTTAAAGTAGGAAAATTGTTCCTTTTATTAAAAATGTGTTTGTTTTCCTTATCCAAAATTACTTACAGACATGGAGAAAATATGATACTGACCACAGTGGCTTCATAGAAACTGAGGAGCTTAAGGTAAGCAAATAAAAACTTGTACTAAGTTTTTCCTTTCAGATGCAATTATGAACTAAGAGTTTCCTAGCTTTTTAAAAAACCTCCCACAAAAGAAACTAATGTTGAACAGTGTCACATTTTCACCTACTCTTCGACATTGTTAATGAAGTACCAGATCAAAAAAGCATCTTCAATTGCTTCTGGAAATTCTGTACAGTAATGCAAAAAATTAACATTTTTTGTGGTGTACACAAATATAAGACAGACAGACAGATAGAATTATAGATAAGCCGAATAAGCCATTCTTTTATTGAAATTTGTAGTTTTAGTTCTCAAAATAAACACATATATATATAAATTTTCTTACAAAAGAAAGAAGAAAAAGTTACTGAATAGCTACTGTATGCCAACTACTTTACACATAATGCCTTATTTAATCTTTGCGTAAGTTGTATGACATTGTATTACCCCATTGAGGAAGAGTTGAGAGAAGTTAAATGATATACTGAAGGCCACACAGAAATCGGACAGAGCCTTGATGTGCAAATCCAGGCTTGTCTGCCTCCAAGGCCTGTAGACATTCTACACAACCTACTGACTCTCAGCAATGATGATAAAAAATAAAAAATCTTCTAAAATTAAACTTTTGAAAAACTGCAACTTAGAGAATGAATTTATCACTTCGGATATCACAGAGGAGGATATAAAGGAAAAGGCAGAGATCTGAAATCAAGTCTTAACTCATTAATTACTATATCTTTCCAATTTTCTTTAATCTTTAAAATGAGTGTAATAAATCCTTCCTCTCAGGCTTATTGTGAAGCTCCAGTAAGATTCTGCACATGAAAGCTTTTGTGACATGCAACATAAAATAAATTATATTATTCATGAACTCAATTTACTAGCCTTTCAGGAATATGGAAGTATTCTTCTCATTTCCTCAAGCCGACCCCAAAACATCGCCATCTGAAAGACCCTACTTTTTCTATTTTTAGAACATAGAGTGACTAAAATATAAGTGAGTTAATATTTACTGACTATCTGTCAGGCAGAGTACAAGGTGCTTGAAGTGTATTTTAAAATTTAATCCTCACAGAAAATATGCAAGGCAGGTATTATCACTCCTAATATAAAAACAGTGAGATTGGAATGCAGAGAGATTTGATGATTTTTCAAGATTACACAGCTGCCTAGGAAGAGAACCTGGATTTGTACCTAGAATATCTGATAATGCTAAGAATGATTCCCCACCCCACCCCCACAGCACTACATGCTTTCAGACTTCATTTATTAAGAGCTGCTCTTTTGCTATGTGGGGAAATATGAATATCAACAGTTCTAGTCATAATTCAACATAGTTTGAGTAGCATACAATTTTAAAGATGGAACGGGGACATTTGGGCCATGGCAAAATGGCTAAAACATACTCAATTTTATCCTCTTGAAAATGTAAACGTTTTTAATGTGAAGTCACTGAAAACAGTGTATTTTACAAACTTGCAGCTCAGCAATCCACAAGGTGACAGTTAAGCCACTGTGTTTTTATTTTATTAGTTAGACCAAAAATATTCTTTTAAAGATCCTTTTTAGTTCATAATGAAAACCTTAGCTCATTTCCAATACTGACCTCTAAATATTCTAAAAGCCTCCTTCTTTGTTCTAAATTTTATTCTCAGAAAGAGATTCTAAATAGAAGTCCTCTTCCCTGGGGAATTTTGAAGATAAGTTGGCATTCTTTTTTAATGGATCTTTCAAGAAAGCTAATTTTAAGATCCATAATAGAGTAAAACATCACTTGCTCTCAGACACGACTTTGAATCTCTGCGTCCCAAGGTTTCTCCGAGGCTATTTTTGTGACCACCATTTTAGTCTCTGATGAGGCTTTTTAACCCAATTAATCTCTGACAAAAGCCCCAGAAGGCTCAAAAATAAAATTCAACCCCAACAGATAACTTTGAATTTTCCATGCTTCACTTTGGATTTGAAGTGGAATATTTGAAGTAAAAAATTTTTATCAAACTAAGAAAAGAGTCTCTTTCCTTTAAAAAAGTGGCATCAAATCAGCCCAGAACTGGAACATTTAGGAGAGAGATAAGTCATTGCTAAATCAAAGAAATCTAATCCTTCAATAATATCTGGGCACAGTATCTGCCTAGTTTTTCCTAATTGCATTAATTCATTTTCTGAGAAAATAAAGGAGTTACGAATGAATAGCACTAAACAAAATGAATGACTATTATAAAGTGCTTACACTGTCACTTATATGGCAAATCTTTGTAAAGCTTTTATTTATGTTTCTGTTAAAAAAACTTAAATTCATTCCTAAGCTCCAGGTGTCAAGTTAATAATCATCTTTTTTTCATCCTTCCCACATTAATCTCTATTTTAATATGATTCATATATCTTTCAAAGATTCAATGACATCAACTGTGGCCAATTTTGTTAATTTAAATAGTCAGTGGAAGCATTTTAACCAAAGTGCTTTGGACTGCATTAGGCTAAAAACTACCCAACTGGCCCTCTGGAGAAATAAGCATCATGCTGGCTATAAACTAATGTGTAAATACAGCCTGGGGAGCAGAAAATGGATTTGAAATTAGGGATAGATCTCTATTTGGTTTACTGATATTTTTTCACAATATTCCAAAGGTATAAAGGCCCTTGTGTTTCTTGCAGAACAATCCAATGAGTACTTGTGAAGATATCAGTAAGAAGAAATGCATCCATTGGGCTGGCTGGTTTTAAAAGGTTTTATTCAGGTTAATTGAAATCATAAAGTCATGGTAATGCACAGACAATGATCAATCAAGTCTCAGTAAAAAGCAGGTATTATTCCTGTCAAAGGTAGTTTCATTGCTGGAATGCCAGGAGGACAACCTGGTTTAGTCTTTCTTCTATTATAAGTTCCTCTACTCACCTGCTTCTACCCCTCAAAAGGAGACTTTCTTTGCATTCCTGGTATGTCCTGTTCCAAGGCATTCTGAAATGAAAGTAGACGATATATTATTAATGAAATTAATCTAAGTGTTCTTTGTTTTAACAGAACTTTCTAAAGGACCTGCTAGAAAAAGCAAACAAGACTGTTGATGACACAAAATTAGCCGAGTATACAGACCTAATGGTAAGACTGATCTTGAAAAGATTGTACCCAAGAGCTCATGAAGTAGTATGATGTTCTTGCTAACTCCCAAGGCTACACAGGATGAAATAAATAAACGGTGGTGTGGGCATCATATGCACATAGGTATCATTTCATTTGAAAAGTGAAATACTTAGGGATGCTTACATCTTGTCATTTTGAGTTCTGCAGGCATTGGCTTTAAGACTCAACATATGAGCATTTTCTTCCTTGTAGAGCTGTGTAATTTTTATCTATCAAAAGATGACTTGTTTTGCTTCCAAAGCCAGTGTAATTATATCACTAAATTATATAACTTACACATATATAAGGTACACTATATATATATAAATTATATCACCAAAAACTCACTTATTATAGAGTTCCTAAATCCATTTTTATCATAGTTTGGGAAATCACACTTTGTTGAGTTTAAAGAGACCATCTAGCTACTTTATTAATTAAGCAAGTTAAAATGGGTCTCCTTCTTTCTTTTGATTTTTGTTGTTTTGGGGTTTTGTATTGGTGCTTTGAATGAGGAAATCTAAATATGCCCTAAGGTTGATGCTATGGTAAATAGTGACAACTAAGATCAATTATAGAATGTTGATAATAGAGCCAAGAAAACTGCTTTACACATAGGCACTTACTGTTTCAGGAAAAAAAAAAGAGCAGATAAATAAGGTTCCAGATAAAATAAACCAATGTCTATGAAGTTAGTTTCTATTGGACGAAGTTTGCTCATTTTGACTCATCACAGAATTAGGATTACCAGGAGATAGATATATTTATACAGCTTTCAGTACTGTGAAGGTACTGTGAATTCTTACTCCATGGATTTACATCAATAAACCATAAACATGGCTCTATACTATAAAAGCTACTGTTATATTAGATTGAAGAAGGAGTTAGACTTTTTAATTACTCTGAGAAACAATCTAATAAAGGGTTTGATTATATTTGATGTAACTGAGGTTTGCTTTCAGCATCTCAGCTTACTTTTATCTGGGTTGGGGAGGGGGAACTACTAGAACTTTACTATTGCCTTATTCACTAACTAGTGTTATTTATTATAAGGTGGGGCTAAGCTTTAATTTCAAAACAACCAAAAAGGTTTTCATGGTCATCTTTAATTCCTCATTACATCTCCACTTACAATAGCACTAGCAAACAAATGGGGGAGAGTTTCTTGCTATGTGTCACAATCAACAGGTCTAAGCTCTGAATAACTTTTAGGTAATGGACAATAACCTACATTTATCAATTTTCTATTTTGTTCCAATCTTAAGGGATGCCTATTTAAAGAAAGGCTCCTTTCCAGGTAGAATATTGAAGCAGCCTTTCAAAACCCACTCAGATGGGAGTTTCCCTCTGTTGGATTGGCCTGACATATCTGATTAAATGTCATAAACCAGTTCAAATCCAGGAAGCAAATTAATCGAGAGCTAATTAAAATTTAAATATATATGTTGGGAAATATTTCCCCATGGGCACAAAACTAAGTAATCGAGCTGTCCAGTATCTTGGTAGGTAGTGTGACAATATCAGAATTTATGGTCAATGGATTATAAAATGTTTTGTCAGCATGGGATCCTGAAAAAAATCTGCCTCCTACAAAAGATTCTTAGAATACCTCGAACCACAGAATGCCCTTCCTTTCCTTCTTAAAAAGATGTCACTAAATCTATATCCATTATAACACTGGACACATTCTGTTCTTTAAAAACAAAAATAATGTTAATTTTTCACATATTTAGTGTTCATTTAGTATACACATTTTATATATTTAATGTAATTCATATATACTACTTTGGTATAACATATTATAGCAATAGTTGCTACTATCTAAAAAGGTGAATGCTTCCCAAATACGGGTATGAGTGTGTTTACATCTGGATGTGTCTTTGTGAATGACGTATATATAAGTGCAGTGGAGAGTTGGAGAGCTTTATGGAGTTTCTAATACCCAATAGAAAATAAAACAATTCAAAATTATTCAAAAATTCTGTTCTGTAAGGATTTATTTGTCATCTGTTTTCTGCTTCTGTTTGTGGTATTCTATGCTCTAAAAGGGTGAAATAAATATTTATTTTCTTATTGGAGAGATTCCAGATGTGCAAAAACTGTCAGACACCATCCCTCCCACATCTTGATACACATATGAACGTATTTGCAATAAAAAAGTGACAGTATTCTAGAAACATAGCTAAAACCACTATTTCTCTGTTTGACTATTCTATATTATCCTGATAAACTCTAGCAATGGACACATTACAGAATTGAAAATTTGCATTGAAAGTTTTAAAAATGCTAGTTTTTAAAATTTTACTGCATATATACAAGTAGTTGATAACTCAAACAGCTTTATTTTGAAGTTCATCTCCTTCATGCAATAAATTATTCCTCAAATAGCTAGAATAATGGCATTCTGTCTTTCAGCTGAAACTATTTGATTCAAATAATGATGGGAAGCTGGAATTAACTGAGATGGCCAGGTGAGTTTAGGAACCATGAAAAATATTGTAAGTGGATCCTTTTCAAAAAATGTAATATATTAATATAATGTTTTTCTCTCAAAAGGTTACTACCAGTGCAGGAGAATTTTCTTCTTAAATTCCAGGTACTTAACTTTTTACTACCTTAAATAATATTTTCCTTGAAAAGCTAGAATGTGGGAGACTTGTCAAGGGAAACATACTGAAACATAGTAATAACATTTTAACATTTACTCTCTTCTCTATCTTTAGGGAATCAAAATGTGTGGGAAAGAGTTCAATAAGGCTTTTGAGCTGTATGATCAGGTAAAAGTTTGTTACTTTTTCCTTTCTTTTTTATTGAAGTAAGAACACAACATAAGATCCTCTTAACAAAATTTAAGTATAAAATACAGTACTGCAAACTATAGAGACAATCTTGACAGCAGATCTTTAGAATTTATCCATCTTATATAATTGAGACTTTATGCCCATTGATGAGTAACTCGTCATTTCTCCTTCCCCCAGCCCTGGCAATAACATTCTACTTTATGAGTGTGACTATTTTAGATACCTCATACAAGTGGCATCATGCAGAATTTGTCTTGTGCTGAGATTGATTGATCATATGCAGTTCTATTTTTAATTTTTTGAGGGCTCTCCATACTGTTTTTCATAGTGGATGCACCATTTTTGCATTCCCACCAATGTATACAAGAGTTCCAATTTTCTTCATTCTCACTAACACTTGTCTTTTATCTTTTTGATAATAGCCATTCTAATAGGTGTGAGGAGATATCTTATTGTTAATTTTTATTTCTCTGATTAGTGATGTTAAGCATTTTTTCATTACCTGTTGGCCATTTATATACCTTCTTTGGATAAGTGTCTACTCAAGTCATTAACCCATTTTTTAAATTGAATTATTCATTTTTTGCTATTGAGTTACAGGAGTTCTTTATAAATTTTGGAAATTAACCCTTTTTGGGATGTGGTTTACAAATATTTTCTCCCATTCTGTAGGCTGCTTTTGCACTCTGTTGATTGTTTCCTTTGCTGTGCAGCTTTTTAGTTTGATGTAGTCTCGCTTGTCTATTTTTGCTTGTGTTGTCCTTGCTTATGGTTTCATATCCACAATATCATTGCTAAGAACAATGTCATAAAGGTTTCCCTTATGTTTGTTTGCTTCTAGGAGTTTTACAGTTTTAGATCTTATATTTAAGTTTTTAATCTATCTTGAATTTATTTTTTATATGGTGTAAGCTAAGGGTCCAATTTCATTATTTTGCATGTGTCTGTATAGTTTACCTAACACCATTTGTTGAAAAAAGCTATCCTTGTCCCATTTTGTGTTTTTGGCACCCTTATCAAAGATCAGTTGACTATAACATGTGAAACTGAGAGCTCATTAGTCTATGTTTCGATTTTTGTTTCAGAGCTATACTGTTTTAATCATTGTAGCTTTGTAATATATTTTGAAATCAAGAAGTGTGATGTCTCCAGGTTTATTCTTTTTTCTCAAGATGGTTTTTGGCTATTTGGGATCTTTTGTGGTTACATATGAATTTTAGGGTTTTTTTATTTCTATAAATATTGCCATTGGGATTTTGGAAGTGATTACACTGAATCTGTAGATGTGTTTGAGTAATATAGACATTTTAACAATATTAAGCCTTCCAATTCATAAACACAGGACGTCTTTCCATTTGTTTGTGTCTCTGTTAACTTCTTTCATCAGTATTTTATGATTTTTAGTGTATAAGTTTTTCCTCTCAGTTAACTTTATTCCTAAGTATTTTATTCTTTTGGTGCTCTTGTAAATGGGATTTTCTAATTTCCATTTCAGATAGTTTATCATCATAACTAATTTCTGATTGTTAATTTTGCATCCTACAACTTTATGGAATTTGTTTATTAATTCCAACAGTTTTTGTGAGGTCTTTAGGGTTTTCTCTCTATAAAAATAATATCTGCAAACAGGGATAATTTAACTTCTCTCTTTCCAATTTGGATGCCTTAAAATTTTGTTCTTATCTATAATTTGATTCTTCAGAATTTGGAAAAAACGATTATGAAAATTACACAAATAACTCCTTCTTTTCATAGGAAAGGTAATACGGTATGCCCAAATTACACAAACTCCTGATTCGAATCCCACACTATCATTTACCTGCTTTGAGACTTTGAACAAGATACCAAACTCATGTGAGCCTCAATTTCTTCATTTGTAAACAAGAGATAATAATAACACCACTTTGCAGGATTGAATGAGGATTAAGCTAGGTGAAAATATCCAGCAAAATAAAGGTTATTTGTGATGTCACTAGGTCACATCCTTTGCTTCTAATTTGTTTACTCCTGGACCTGTGAGCTCTAGCAGAACTCTGCCACACCCTGGTGTGACATAGAGCCACATACCTTCCTCAGCCCTCAGTTTCCTCACTTGTCCTAGAAGATATTATTAACATTAAGTGAATTACATGTGTAAGTACTTTGAAAAGTTCAAGATCTTTTACAAATGTAAGGTGTTGAATGAGAAGTAACTAATACCTTGCATATTTTACAGCTTTGGAGCAGCTAAAAACTTGGGTGGCCTGACATAACAGATTATCTGCCAAGTATGCAGTTGGGAGACTTTCTAAGGATTCCAATTATTTCCATTTTACTTCATTTCCCACTACTGTAGATGGAGTTGGTTGTATACTATTTTATTTCTCCTCCCCCAGGACGGCAATGGATACATAGATGAAAATGAACTGGATGCTTTACTGAAGGATCTGTGCGAGAAGAATAAACAGGTAACTTAGTTACCATGGCACTTACTTCTTTAAGCAGACTCTGTGGATCCATCCAAAACCAACAGCACATCCATTTTGGAAATCTACTTTAACAATTTATAGAGGAGCAGAAATAGAATTCAATTCTTAACTCAATTTGGTTCTGGCCTAAATCAGGGTAACTGTGATAAATAGATTTTAAAAACAACCTTGTGATTATTCACATTTGTATAAGAATTTAATCCAGCTCTTTTGTTAATGGATTGATGTAACAAGTAGTTTCATCTCACATTTTATCACTTGACAGTGGTTAATTAACTTCCATATTTAACTGGATTACAATGCCATTTATATTCTGTACAGGATCTGGATATTAATAATATTACAACATACAAGAAGAACATAATGGCTTTGTCGGATGGAGGGAAGCTGTACCGAACGGATCTTGCTCTTATTCTCTGTGCTGGGGATAACTAGAGTTGGTGGCCGCAACCACTTGCTAGTGATACACTGTATCTAAAAAATAACTGTGCACTATAAGGGAGTAGGCTGTATTTTCTTTTATATCTGTAAATTTAACTGCATATAGATAATTATCCAGGATGTGTGGCTCATTCTTTTCAGCTTGTTTCTATACTGTTTGTAATATACAGTTTTTGTAACCATATGATTGAAAAGAAGAAAGTCTATGCTTAGGCCAGTCAGTACACCCAATTTTAAAAAATAACATATTCTTGCTTTCACAAATATAGTTGAACAAGATTTCCCTAAAAATTCCACCAGGATTAATCTCTAAAATTCTAGTCTCTGATTTGCAAATGCACATTTGTCACTGAATAATGGAATTATGTATAACAAGCCAAACATTCTTATTTTAGACAACCATAGAACTGTCCCACAAAATATTTCTAAGCTTATTTCTAACTATTAGGAGGAATGTGCTTTTCCATCTAAAATACTCACCAAAATATAGTTAATTGTGGCTTTATGAAGTTAACAGTCTCATTACAGATTTAGTTTACCAATCAACAGCATGTCTACTGCTTGGATCCATACAAAACTATCGGTTCAAGTTGATGTGACAAGGGAAGGGAGCACCAGATGACACATAAATCTGTCTGATTCTATGCCTGTATTTCCAACAAACTTACTGTCAGAGAATATGACCTAAATCCATTTTCTAAACTGTTTTCATGTGTTGCAAATTATTCTAGTCAACTGCTGTTTTATGTCATACTCTGTGTAATCTCTGATTAAATTTAATATACTGCATATCCTGGTGTCTAGTTTGCATACTTCCTGGATTTTCTTTCTATGTAGAACTGTTCATTTCCACCAAGGGTATCTGCTGCCTCTGAAAATATTTTTTTCTAGCTATAACAACTCTATTTTTTACTACATAATTAAATTTTAATGTAAAATTCATAGCATCCTGATTATTGAATGTTATATCATCAATACTTTTGTGTATTCTGTGGATTCTATATTTCATATTGAGATCAGCATTCAAAATAGTTCTATTTCTATCTGCAAATAGTTTCAAATGAGTTTAAAAAAATAACATCTGAAAAGAAATGCTAATGTAATCATTTATCTTATCTAGCAAGAAGATTCTAAAACATTCTTTAACATACATCTAAGTCAGTTTCACATATTTGTAGCTAGAATATCCTATACTGGTTATAGTTGATATGTAACAGTTGGTGATTTTAGATTTCTTTGATTGTGAAACAGGGAGCTATGAGAGATGTGTCCATGTGAAATTTACAGTTACTGCCTAGGAGTTAATGATCGTTCTGGGTCAGCTTGAATGTCCCCATTCTATAAATTCAACACTTATTTTCTGAATTCATAAAAATAACCAAAAAATGTGAGCTATAATGTTTCCCTCAAGAACAAACAGAAACGAGATTTGCCAAAAACTAAAATTCAACAAATGATGTTGAGTGGGAGATTGGCTTTGCCTTTAGCGTGTAAATGGAAGCACTGCCATTAGACTGAATTTAACTACTAAGAATAAATAAAGAAGAAAATAACCTTAATCTCTTGTATTTGTTTTTTCTTCAAAATGTCAGCTGACATGCAATCTATGATGGATCCAGGTGGAAATGTAGGATGAAATTATTATGGCCTAAGGAATCTAAATAAACGTAAATGTGACTCAGTGAACTACTGGATACTTTGTTGAATTGAGGGGTGTCTCTAACATTAAAATTTACAAAGAAATCTCAAAGTATCCAAATATTTGAAGTTTTCTGCCCAACTGACATAGTCAAATATTTCTTTTAATTTTTTTTTTTTTTTTTTTCAAGATGGAATTTCACTCTGTTGCCCAGGCTGGAGTGCAATGGCATGGTCTCGGCTCACTGCAACTTCTGCCTCCCAGGTTCAAGCGATTCTTCTGCCTCAGCCTTCCGAGTAGCTGGGACTACAGGTGCCCGCCACCAGGCCCAGCTAACTTTTTATTTTTAGTAGAGACAGGGTTTAACCATCTTGGCCAGGCTGGTCTCGAACTCCTGACCTCATGATCTACCTGCCTTCCCCTCCCAAAGTGCTGGGATTACAGGCGTAAGCCACTGCGCCTGGCCCACAGTCAAATATTTCTTCATGAAAGATATCCAAAGGAATAACAGGGACATACAGAATTTTCCTATATTTAATTCATAGAAAAATAACTGTTCACTACCAAGTATGCGCCAAAACTCTACCAGGTTTGGCATTCTTACAGTAACAGCATGAGCAAAGAAAGAAAAACAACAACAACAACAACAAATTATGATAGGGAAATTTCTGAAGAGACTTCCTAGAGGGCTGTCAGGAATAACTGACATGAATCTAGCATCAGGACTATCATGGTAGACTTTAATTCCTGAGCACTATCAGACAAAGAAATTCCTACACCTCAGCTACATCAGTCACACTTACCTATAAATGACAGGTCTGCTTCCTTGAGCAGAGAAGAGGGTGAAGAATGAAAAAAATGAATCTAGATAGGCAAATATAAAATTACAGGCACAATGCCTATCTCATACCACAAACAAAATTCATTCCAAGTTTATTATCAACATAAATGTGAAACATATGTAAACAACACAGGAGAATAACTTCAATACCTCATGCATGAAAATACTTCTTCACATCCAATTATGAAGAAACAAATTGAAAAATTGGGCTCCATTAAAATTAAGAATTTCTGTTCAGAAAATGACTACAAACTTTAAAAAAAAACTATTAAGAGAGTGAAAAGTCAAATTTCAGAGTGGGAGAAGATATTTGCAACACATATACTTGACAAAGGCACATATCCAAAATATATTAAGATTACTCCTAGAAACCAACATTTAAAAATATAACCCAATAGAAAAATGTATAAGAAAGTTGAGGCCGGGCGCGGTGGCTCACGCCTGTAATCCCAGCACTTTGGGAGGCCGAGGCGGGCGGATCACGAGGTCAGGAGATCGAGACCATCCCGGCTAAAACGGTGAAACCCCGTCTCTACTAAAAATACAAAAAAATTAGCCGGGCGTAGTGGCGGGCGCCTGTCGTCCCAGCTACTTGGGAGGCTGAGGCAGGAGAATGGCGTGAACCCGGGAGGCGGAGCTTGCAGTGAGCCGAGATCCCGCCACTGCACTCCAGCCTGGGCGACAGAGCGAGACTCCGTCTCAAAAAAAAAAAAAAAAAAAAAAAAAAAAAAAGAAAGTTGAACAAATATTTCACTAGAGGATACCCAAATGATGTCCAATAACATATGCAAATTAATCAACTTTATTAGTAATCAGGAGAAATGCAAATGGCCAGATGCAGTGGCTCATGCCTGTAATCCCAGCATTTTGAGAGGCTGAGGCAGGAGGATCACTTGAGCCCAGGAGTTTGAGACCAGCCTGGCAACATGGCGAAAGGCTGTCTCTACAAAAAGTTAGCTAGGCATGGTAGCATGCACCTGTAGTCCCAGCTACTAGGGAGGCTCAGGTGGGAGAATCACCCAAGCCCAGGAAGTCAAAGCTGTAGTGAATGGAGATCGTGTCACTGCACTCCAGCCTAAGCAACAGGAGTGAGACCCTCTCTCAAAAAAAAAAAAAAAAAAAAAAAGCAAATTAAAACAAATGAGATGCCACCACACACTCACAGAATGACTCAAAGTAAAGAGAATTTCAATGCTCACTACTGGTGAGGATGCAGCACAGTGTAAGTTCCCAAACAGCTTGGTGGGATGTTAAATTGTGAATAGTCTTGGAAGCCATTTGACAGTATCTACTAAATTTGAACACAAGCATACCCTAAAACCCAGCAATTTCACTTCTAGGTATTACCAATCTAACAGAGAAAGGTGTATATATTTTCGCCAAAAGAATAGAAGGTTCACGGCAGCTTTATGTTTGGCATAGCCTCAAACTAGAAACAATCCAAATGTCCACTAAGAGCAGAGCTAACAAATAAATGGTGGTATATTCATATATACCTTATATTCTATGGAATATAACAATGAGAATGCATAAGCAATTATTACACAGAAAGAAAGCCAAAAAACAGAAGAATACATATTGTGTGATTCTATTTATATAAATCTCAAAACAGCTTAACGATGGGGTTAGAAGTCAAGACAGTGGTTAGTTGTGAGAAGGAGGAAAGGAATCGCGATGGTGGGCAGAAGGGAGGCTTCTGGGTTCCTGGTAATGTTCTGTTTCTTGACCTGGAGAATGGTTACCTGAGTGCATTTGTATTGTAATAATTCATGATTTGTGCATTTTTAGAAGTCATACTTCAACTAACAAGCTAAAAAAATTGATGGGCTTTCTCCTCTTCTAGGCTTTTGTAATGTCTAACTGTTACCTCCTAAAAACCCTGTTATTGGCTCTTGATTTGAGTTATGATCCCAAGAAATATCTAACTGGGTGAGAGACATGAGCTTGACTTACTGTGTGACCTAGGGCAAGTCACATAACTTTCTAGGTCTGCAGTTTCCTCAACTGTAAAATAAAAACATTGAGAATTTGCATTTTCTAAGGCTTTTCTAGCTCTAAAATTCTATTATTCAAAGTCATTAAATTCTTATTGTTTTAGTTTCCACAAGAACAATAAGGAAACAATGGCTGTCACTCTATACCTGAAACATTTCCTGGAGGTGGTTTCACATGTTAATGGTAAGATGAGTGATATTGTTACCAATAATCTTTAATTTACTGAGTATTAACTCTTCCACTAGTACAATAGAAGCAGGACTCTTACAGAAGGTATTGAGTGACAAAGTAATAATTCTTAAGGTGAACATTGATGTGGTTACAGCCCACATGTGGTCTGTCATAGAATACAGTGATTACCCATAAACAATGTTTGTTTCTCTTTCAGACTCAGGAAAAAATATCTGTTAGTCAATATCTCCATGATCTCTCTTCTCTGATCCTCTCTGCCATGCTGCAAGCTTTGCTTTCTCATCAACCATTTGTAATAACACATAATAATGATGTAATAGATGACTAAGAAACTATTAAAAGAACTATTTTTGTCTTTAACAGAGGAAAAAATTGCATACAAACTCATACAAACCAAAAATTTTACAATACCCCATTAAGATACCAACAGGTAAAAAAGACAAACAGGAAATTCAAAAGTGTAGAAAAGTATTCAATCTCACTAATAATAAAATAAGTTTTTAACGGTACTATCATTCGTTACGTGTAAAATTGGTGAATAGTTTTAATTGTTGGCAGCTATTTGTTGAAACGGGCAGTGTCACACATTACTCAGGGGGGTTTAAACTCACACAAATCTTTGGAATAACAATTGGATATGTATATCAAAAAAACTTTAAAAGCTTCATAACTTTGATTAATAATACCACTTCTAGAAATGAGGAAAAAATTCCAAATTCTAAAAATGTGTTATACATAAAAACGTTCATAGTTTTATTTATAATACTGAAAAATAAAAGTAACCTGTGATCTCACTTATGTATGGCATCAAATAAAGTTGAACTCATGGAAGTAGAAAGTAGAATGATGATTGGCCGGGCACGGTGGCTCACGCCTGTAATCCCAGCACTTTGGGAGGCCTAGGCAGGCGGATCACCTGAGGTCAGGAGTTCGAGACCAGCCTGGCTAACATGGTGAAACCTTGTTTCTACTAAAACTACGAAAAATTAGCCGGGCATGGTGACGTGCACCTATAATCCCAGCTACTCAGGAGGCTGAGGCAGGAGAATCGCTTGAACCCGGGAGGTGGAGGCTGCGGTGAGCCAAGATCATGCCACTGCACTCCAGTTTGGGCAACAAGAGTGAGACACCATATCAAAAAAAAAAAAAAAAGAAAAGAAAAGAAAGTAGACCGATGGTTTACTAGAGGTTGAGGGAGTGGGAAGAAGGGGGTTTCTGATCAAAGCATACAAAATTTCAGATAGAAAGAACAGGTTTTAAGATCTACTGCAGGGTGACTATAGTCAATAATAATGTACTGTATATTTAAAAATAACTAATAAAAGTAAATTTCAAATGTCTCTCCATAAAGGCCAATAGGTAAGAGAGGTGATAGATATGTTAATTAGCTTGATTTAATCATTCCACATTGTATACACATATCAAAACATCACACTGTACCCCTTAAATGTACAGGGCACCCCATAAATGAATTCAATTATGATTTGCCAATCAAAAGTAATATTAATAATAATTTTAAAATGCATTGGCAAGGGAGGCATTAGCATTCTTGAAAAACATTAAAAAACAAAAAATTTTCAACAGCCAGGCTCAGTGGCTCATGCCTGTAACCCCAGCACTTTGGGAGGCCAACGCAGGAGGATCACTTGAGATCTGAAGTTCAAGACCAGACTGATAAAGATAGCAAGACATTGTCTCTATAAAAATTTAAAAAGATAAAAACAATAAATATAAATAACCCTATTCCCAATAAATTAAATAATGATACATCAAAACAATAGAACACTAAAAATAATATTTATCTAAAAAAGGACCTGATTTATCATGTAATCTGAATTTTTTTTTTAAAAAAGGTTGAGACAACACTGGAAAAAAATAATATTTATTAAGTTATATAAATGTAAACATTTAGTATAAATTTAACCAGAAAGAGAAATATGGCTATACTGGTGGAATCAGTGGAGGGAAAGAGTGTGTCTTTGTGTGTTTGGTGAGAGGTGGGTGGGAAGGTGGGTTTGGAAATGGAGTGAGTGATAAACCATCATTATTGGTGTGTGAACACAATATCAACACAATAGTGTGATAGTGAATAAGTCTCACGAGATCTGATGGTTTTATAAATGGGAGTTCCCCTGCACAAGCTCTCTTGGGTGCCACCACGTAAGACATGACTTTGCTCCTCACTCACCTTCTGCCATGATTGTGAGGCCTCCCTAGCCATGCTGAACTATGAGTCAATGAAACCTCTTTCTTTTATAAATTACCCAGTTTGGGTTATGTCTTTATTAGCAGCATGAGAACAGACTAATACACAGGATTAGTACTAAAGGTAAAATGGAGACTAGGTACCTGTCTGCGTTTTATTTTGAGAGTATTGTATTGCAAGCATGTGGAGAAAAAGTGCAACAGCCTAAAAAAAAGCCCAGTGAAAGTCAGTATAATTGGAAATGTTGGGCCACTTATTCCAAACCTATAACATCCCCTATATATACACAATTAAATGTAATAAATGTAATTTATGTACACAATTAACTGTCAATGTTAATTGGGGTTTCCATGGGCTTGTGGCAGATTTATTCAGATGAGGTAAGATGGAAGCTGGTTTCCTCTTGTGTCAACTTGGGCAATGGGGATAGTCAGTCTAGTGAACATGTTGTAACTGACTCCTGGGAAAGCAAAATGGACATTTTAAAAATATAGGCTCAAAAGTATAGCTCTGTAGACTTGAGACTTTGGATTCATTATTATTTGATTTTCAGGATGACAAATTAGTCAAACCAAAGATGAAATTTAATCAAATGATATACAAAAATATTTTATAGGCTTTCTTTACCTCTTTTACCCAGAGAAATCTATTCTTCTTTTACAGCTGGGATGGCATGCTATCTCTTAGGCATCACATTCTCCAAACTCTGGAGACAGAATGAATTACTTCCTCCTCTACACTTAAATACTGCTGGAATAATACTTATCACAATGTATCATAAATAATTATTTATAAGTTTGACTATCTTGCTAGATAATGAATTTAAAAAGGGCAACGGCTATAGCTTATTCAGTACTAAATAAAATGCCTGGCTACAAATAGGTCCTAGTAAAAATTAAAGGTTTGAGTTAATACTGAGTTACCCAAAGAAGATAATTCACAAGTCCAGTGAAAAGAAAGTATACTGGAAAGGCAAAGTCTATTATATTTAGTGTGTATCCTCTAATTTCTTTCTTTTAGGCCCTATTAATATAGGTATAGTATATTATGTAACTCAAATGCTACCGCCACCATTGAGTTTCTCCTGATTTTCCAAGTCACAAAGATCTGTTCTCTCTGCACTTCTAAGTACTTTTTACCTCTATCAATAGGTAAAGAGGAGCCTTTACCTACTCTCCCCATGCCTCCTTTTTTTTTTTTTAATGTTTTGAAGGACTATATTTCATTTTATTTATCTTTGAATATACAATGGCTATCACTGGCCTGGCACATAATACATATTCAATGAATGTTTGTTAATTAAGAATTTATTAGACTTGAAATAGTCAAAAGATGAGAGATAATTTGTTTCATTTCTATTCCCTTTTCTGTAACCAAGATGAAGGCCAAAGTGGTCTTAGGAACCTTTTGTCTTCCTGATGAGTTCTTCTATGGTGTCCCACTGCTCCTTGGTGACCTAACACAAAAAAGATGTCAATTTAATGTCCTTTTTACATGTTTTTAAAGCTTAGTATCCTAGCTGCTGATATTACATTATACACACAAAAGCATTACCTTTCTCAGGTCGTTGAATTCCCCTGAAATAAGTACTTCCTCTCCACCGTCAAATTTAATGACCTGGAAAAAACAAATTTTTAAACTCTGAAACTAACTCCTTTTAAAAAGTTTCTGAACCACTAGCCATTTTCCCATACTAATTGGATGGAATATCTCTTTGGCACTTTAAATCAAGCCCAAATTTTAAAGATAAAACTCATGATTAAACCTAAATTGATTTACTCAGTTTATAATTCTATTTCTAACATCTCCACAATTTCAAATATCTACCCAATATTGAAGATCATCTTAAAGGTATATCTACCAAGGTAACCTGCATCTATTAATTTATCACTTGATATGGTTTGGCTGTGTCCCCAAAAAAATCTTATCTTGAATTGTAATCCTCAATCTCTCTCTCTCTCGTCTCCCTTTTTTCTCTCTCTCCCTCTCTTTATCTCTATTGCCTGCCACCATGTTAAGTTATGACTCTTCCCCTTCAGCCATAATTGTAAGTTTCCTGAGCCCTCCTCAGACATGCAGAAGAGTGAATCAATTAAACCTCTTTTCTTTTTTTTTTTTTAATTATACTTGAAGTTCTAGGGTGAATGTGCACAATGTGCAGGTTTGTTACATATGTATACATGTGCCATGTTGGTGTGCTGCACGCATTAACTCGTCATTTACATTAGGTATATCTGCTAATACTATCCCTCCCCGCTCCTCCCACCCCACGACGGGCCCCCATGTGTGATGTTCACCACCCTGTGTCCAAGTGTTTTCATTGTTCAATTCCCACTTATGAGTGAGAACATGCGGTGTTTGGTTTTCTGTCTTTGTGAGAGTTTGCTCAGAATCATGGTTTCCAGCTTCATCCATGTCCCTACAAAGGACATGAACTCATCCTTTTTTATGTCTGCATAGTATTCCATGATGTATATGTGCCACATTTTCTTAATCCAGTCTATCATTGATAGACATCTGGGTTGGTTCCAAGTCTTTGCTATTGTGAATAGTAGTGCAATAAACATACGTGTGCATGTGTCTTTATAGCACCATGATTTATAATTCTTTCGGTATATACCCAGTAATGGGATGGCTGGGTCAAATGGTATTTCTAGTTCTAGACCCTTGAGGAATCACCACACTGTCTTCCACAATGGTTTAACTAGTTTACAGTCCCACCAACAGCGTAAAAGTGTTCCTATTTTTCCACATCCTCTCCAGCACCTGTTGTTTCCTGAATCTTTAATGAACACCATTCTAACTGGTGTGAGATGGTATCTCACTGTGGTTTTGATTTGCATTTCTCTGATGGCCAGTGATGATGAGCATTTTTTCATGTGTCTGTTGGCTGCATAAATATCTTCTTTTGAGAGGTGTCTGTTCATACACTTTGCCCACTTTGTGATGGGGTTGTTTGATTTTTTCTTGTAAATTTAAGTTCTTTGTAGATTCTGGATATTAGCCCTTTGTCAGATGGGTAGATTGTAAACATTTTCTCCCATTCTGTAGGTTGCCTGTTCACTCTGATGGTAGTTTCTTTTGCTGTGCAGAGGCTCTTTAGTTTAATTAGATCTCATTTGTCTATTTTGGCTTTTGTGGCCATTGCTTTTGGTGTTTTAGTCATGAAGTCCTTGTCCATGCCTATGTCCTGAATGGCATTGCCTAGGTTTTCTTCTAGGGTGTTTATAGTTTCAGGTCTAACATTTAAGTCTTTAATCCATCTTGAATTAATTTTTGTATAAGGAGTAAGGAAGGCATCCAGTTTCAGCTTTCTACATATGGCTAGCCAGTTTTCCCAGCACCATTTATTAAACAGGGAATCCTTTCCCCATTTCTTGTATTTGTCAGGCTTCTCAAAGATCAGATGGTTGTAGATGTGTGGTATTATTTCTGAGGGCTCTGTTCTGTTCCGTTGGTCTATATCTCTGTTTTGGTACCGTACCATGCTGTTTTGGTTACTGTAGCCTTGTAGTATAGTTTGAAGTCAGGTAGTGTGATGATGCCAGCTTTGTTCTTTTGGCTTAGGATTGTCTTGGCAATGTGGGCTCTTTTTTGGTTCCATATGAACTTTAAAAGTAGTTTTTTCCAATTCTGTGAAGAAAGTCATTGGTAGCTTGATGGGGATGGCACTGAATCTATAAATTACCTTGGGCAGTGTGGCCATTTTCACACATTGATTCTTCCTATCCATGAGCATGGAATGTTCTTCCATTTGTTTGTGTCCTCTTTAATTTTACTGAGCAGTGGTTTGTAGTTCTCCTTGAAGAGGTACTTCACATCCCTTGTAAGTTGGATTCCTAGGTATTTTATTCTCTTTGAAGCAATTGTGAATGGGAGTTCACTCATGATTTGGCTCTCTGCTTGTCTGTTATTGGTGTAAAAAATGCTTGTGATTTTTGCACATTGATTTTGTATCCTGAGACTTTGCTGAAGTTGCTTATCAGCTTAAGGAGGTTTTGGGCTGAGATGATGGGGTTTTCTAAATATACAATCATGTCATCTGCAAACAGGTACAATTTGACTTTCTCTTTTCCTAATTGAATACCCTTTATTTATTTCTCCTGCCTGACTGCCCTGACCAGAACTTCCAACACTATGTTGAATAGGAGTGGTGAGAGAGGGCATCCCTGTCTTGTGCCAGTTTTCAAAGGGAATGCTTCCAGATTTTGCCCCCTGGCTGTGGGTTTGTCATAAATAGCTCTTATTATTTTGAGGCATGTCCCATCAATACCTAGTTTACTGAGAGTTTTTAGCATGAAGGGCAGTTGAATTTTGTCGAAGGCCTTTTCTGCATCTATTGAGATAATCATGTGGTTTTTGTCTTTGGTTCTGTTTATATGATGGATTATGTTTATTGATTTGGGTATGTTGAACCAGCCTTGCATCCCAGGGATGAGGCCCACTTGATCGTGGTGGATAACCTTTTTGATGTGCTGCTGGATTTGGTTTGCCAGTATTTTACTGAAGTTTTTTGCATCAATGTTCATCAGGAATATTGGTCTAAAATTCTCTTTTTTTGTTGTTGTATCTCTGCCAGGCTTTCGTATCAGGATGATGCTGGCCTCATAAAATGAGTCAGGGAGGATTACCTCTTTTTCTATTGATTGGAATAGTTTCAGAAGGAATGGTACCAGCTCCTCTTTGTACCTCTGGTGGAATTTGGCTGTGAATCTGTCTGGTCCTGGACTTTTTTTGGTTAGTAGGCTTTTAATTATTGCCTCAATTTCAGAGTGTGTTATTGGTGTATTCAGGGATTCAACTTCTTCCAGGTTTAGTCTTGGGAGAGTGTATGTGTACAGGAATGTATCCATTTCTTCTAGATTTTCTAGTTTATCTGCATAGTGGTGTTTATAGTATTCTCTGATGGGAGTTTGTATCTCTGTGGGATAGGTGGTGATATCCCCTTTATCATTTTTTATTGCATCTATTTGATTCTTCACTCTTTTCTTCTTTATTAGTCTTGCTAGCGGTCTATCAATTTTTTTGGTCTTTTCAAAAAAAACAGCTCCTGGATTCATTGATTTTTTGAAGGGTTTTTTGTGTCTCTATCTCCTTCAGTTCTGCTCTGATCTTAGTACTTTCTTGCCTTCTGCTAGCTTTTGAATGTGTTTGCTCTTGCTTCTCTAGTTCTTTTAATTGTGATGTTAGGGTGCCCATTTTAGATCTTCCCTGCTTTCTCTTGTGGGCATTTAGTGCTATAAATTTCCCTCTACACACTGCTTTAAATGTGTCCCAGAGATTCTGGTATGTTGTGTCTTTGTTCTCATTGGCTTCAAAGAACATCTTTATTTCTGCCTTCATTTCGTTATGTACCCAGTAGTCATTCAGGAACAGGTTGTTCAGTTTCCATGTAGTTGAGCGGTTTTGAGTGAGTTTCTTAAACCTGAGTTGTCGTTTGATTGCACTGTGGTCTGAGAGACAGTTTGTTATAATTTCTGTTCTTTTACATTTGCTGAGGAGTGCTTTACTTCCACCTATGTGGTCAATTTTGGAATAAGTGAGATGTGGTGCTAAAAAGAATATATATTCTGTTGATTTGAGGTGGAGAGTTCTGTAGATGTCTATTAGGTCTGCTTGGTGCAGAGCTGAGTTCAATTCCTGGATATCCTTGTTAACTTTCTGTCTTGTTGTTCTGTCTAATATTGACAGTGGGGCGTTAAAGTCTCCCATTATTATTGTGTGGGAGTCTAAGTCTCTTTGTAGGTCTCTAAGGACTTGCTTTATGAATCTGGGTGCTCCTGTATTGGGTGCAAATATATTTAGGATAGTTAGCTCTTCTTGTTGAATTGATCCCTTTACCAATATGTAATGGCCTTCTTTCTCTCTTCTGATCTTTGTTGGTTTAAAGTCTGTTTTATCAGAGACTAGGATTGCAACCCCTGCTTTTTTTTTGTTTTCCATTTGCTTGGTAGGGTTTCCTCCATGCCTTTATTTTGAGCCTATGTGTGTCTCTGCATGTGAGATGGGTCTCCTAAATACAGCACACTGATGGGTCTTGACTCTTTATCCAATTTGCCAGTCTGTGTCTTTTAATTGGAGCATTTAGCCCATTTACATTTAAGGTTAATATTGTTATGTGTGAATTTGATCCTGTCATTATGATGTCAGCTGGTTATTTTGCTCGTTAGTTGATGCAGTTTTTTTGTAGCATTGATGGTCTCTACAATTTGGCCTGTTTTTGCAGTGGCTGGTACCGGTTGTTCCTTTCCATGTTTAGTGCTTCCTTCAGGAGTTCTTGTAAGGCAGGCCTGGTGGTGACAAAATCTCAGCATTTGCTTGTCTGTAAAGTATTTTATTTCTCCTTCACTTATGAAGCTTAGTTTGGCTGGATATGAAATTCTAGGTTAAAAATTATTTTCTTTAAGAATGTTGAATATTGGCCCCCACTTTCTTCTGACTTGTAGTTTCTGCTGAGAGATCCACTGTTAGTCTGATGGGCTTCCCTTTGTGGGTAACCTGACCTTTCTCTCTGTCTGCCCTTAGCATTTTTTCCTCATTTCAACTTTAGTCAATCTGACAATTATGTGTCTTGGAGTTGCTCTTCTCAGGGAGTATCTTTGTAGCCTTCTCTGTATTTCCTGAATTTGAATGTTGGCCTGCGTTGGTAGGTTGGGGAAATTCTCCTGGATAATATCCTGCAGCATGTTTTCCAACTTGGTTCCATTCTCCCTGTCACTTTCAGGTACAATCAGACGTAGATTTGGTCTTTTCACATAGTCCCA
Organism: Homo sapiens; assembly: GCF_000001405.40. Lineage (NCBI taxonomy): Eukaryota > Metazoa > Chordata > Mammalia > Primates > Hominidae > Homo > Homo sapiens. The sequence continues at coordinate 90,046,529 of NC_000008.11, read as the reverse complement.
TATTTCTTGGAGGCTTTGTTCATTTCTTTTTACTCTTTTTTCTCTAAACTTCTCTTCTCACTTCATTTCATTCATTTGATCTTCAATCACTGATACCCTTTCCTCCACTTGATCGAATCAGCTACTGAAGCTTGTTCATGCATCACGTATTTCTCATGTCATGGTTTTCAGCTCCATCAGGTCATTTAGGGTCTTCTCTATGCTGTTTATTCTAGTTAGCCATCATCTAATCTTTTATCAAGGTTTTTAGCTTTCTGGCGATGGGTTCCAACACCTTCCTTTAGCTCAGAGAAGTCTGTTATTACCAATCATCTGAAGCCTTCTTCTCTCAACTCGTCAAAGTCATTCTCCGTCCAGCTTTGTTCCGTTGCTGGCGAGGAGCTGCATTCCTTTGGAAGAGAAGAGGCGCTCTGAATTTCAGAATTTTCAGCTTTTCTGCTCTGGTTTCTCCCCATCTTTGTGGTTTTATCTGCCTTTGGTCTTTCGTGATGGTGACATACAAACGGGGTTTTGGTGTGGATGTCCTTTCTGTTTGTTAGTTTTCCTTCTAACAGTCAGGACCCTGAGCTGCAGGTCTGTTGGAGTTTGCTGGACGTCCACTGCAGACACTGTTTGCCTGGGTATCACCAGTGGAGGCTGCAGAACAGCAAATATTGTAGAATGGCAAATGTTGCTGCCTGATCCTTCCTCTGGAAGCTTCGTCTCAGAGGGGCACCTGGCTGTATGAGGTGTCAGTTGGCCCCTACTGGGAGGTGTCTCCCAGTTAGGCTACTCGGGGGTCAAGGGCCCAGTTGAGGGGCCAGTCTGTCCGTTCTCAGATCTCCAACTCCATGCTGGGAGAACCACTACTCTCTTCAAAGCTGTCAGACAGGGACATTTAAGTCTGCAGAAGTTTCTGCTGCCTTTTGTTCAGCTATGTCCTGCCCCTAGAGGTGGAGTCTATAGAGGCAGGAAGGCAGGCCTCCTTGAGCTGTGGTGGGCTCCACCCAGTTTGAGCTTCCAGGCTACTTTGTTTACCTACTCAAGCCCCAGCACTGGCGGACACCCCTCCCCCAGTCTCACTGCCACCCTGCAGTTCTATTTCAGACTGCTGTGCTAGCAGTTAGCGAGGCTCTGTGGGCATGGGACCCTCTGAGCCATGCGCGGGATATAATCTCCTGGTGTGCCGTTTGCTAAGACCATTGGAAAAGTGCAGTATTAGGGTGGGAGTGTCCTGATTTTCCAGGTACCATCTGTCAGGGCTTCCCTTGGCTAGGAAAGGGAATTCCCCAACCCCCTGCACTTCCCTTAAACCTCTTTTCTTTATAAATTACATAGTCTCAGGTATGTCTTTAGCAGTGTGAGAACAGACTAATACATCACTGAATAAATGTCATAGGCTAAACAATATATATAATATTTTATATTATTTACAACTAAATACATATTTTAAATGATATTTACATTCAGCATTGTCAGGATTGGTTCCACAACAGACCTCCCTGCCCCAAACACACTCCTGAAAAAAAAGTGAAGAGAAATAAACAACGCTTACTGCTCCATTAATCCAAGAAGCATAATCACTACAAAGGAAAGCAGCAAGATTTGCGAGTTCTTCTACAGTCCCCAGGCGACCACAGGGAATTCTGCCAATCATTTCTTTCTCAAATGTTCCAGTTGGGTCCAGACGGCTAAAGGCACCCTTAGAAATTAAGAAAACAATTAGGTTGTGTCGGGTTTTTCAATCAATTCCTTTCCTACTCAAGAAAAAATGTGTATAAAATGGCATGCTGCCATGCAGCTTAAAACCTTAGGCTTTGTAAGTAAAAAAGAATTTCACCAAATTATTCTTAAAAAAAAAATAGATCACTGGAAAATATAACCCTTTTAATCTTAGTTTCTTCTATGTAAAATGAGGATATCTATCTTAGTTACCTCACAAAATTGTTATAAGCATCAAATGAAAAAATGTATATAAAGGTATCCTGAAATATGTACAAGCTTAGGTGGTAAAGGCAGTGGTATTACTGGCTTTTCATTTAATAAACACAGAAAAGTGGCTCATAGGAAATATTTAAGAGGAAATTCCTTTTCTTTCATCCCAAAGTATTGGAAAAGGAAGAAAACAAGTAGGTAGAAATTCAATTAGATTCTAGAGAGAGAAAAACTACAACTAAATTGGCCAAACAATTTGCTTTCTGTCAATGATGTGAAGGAACAGACCAAGATGAATTATGGATGTGCACTGATTAATAAAAACAACTGGATTTTTCTGTACTAGTGCCTTGAAGTTTAGGTGGCAGTTTTCCTCAATAATGCAGCCATAAGACAGAACAAACACTCAGGGGACTCCATGACAGACCTCCAGTTCTTCCCAGGAGGTTATAAAGCCCAGAGACAAGGGGTTGCAACTGGTCCCAGTCCTGGTTCTAAAAAGTGCATGCTAGGGAGTTTCTACACTTCAGTTTTCTTTTAATCTCTTTAACAGTAAGTAGTTATTATTTGGGTACAACTCCTATCTCAGTGGCTAGACTGTAAACTCCTTAGTGGCAAGCACTTTCTCAGAGATACTTCTGTATCTTTCTCAGTACCCGTAGATACAGTGAACAGTCAATAAATATAGGTTAAATAAATAAAATGCAGGTGATTTTTCCCTAGATATTGGGGTCTTGGAGAGAAGCGTTTGTGTCTATAAGCCTATTTTCAGATATGCTTAGGACAGGGCCACCCTGAATCATGTGTTTTAATGTATGTTTTTAAGTTTCTTTCCACTAATTTTATTAGACTGTTTAGTATTGAATTGTCAGATAAATAAGATAGTCAACAAGTTTCAATCACTCAGGAAGTTTTTGTTTCTATTTCCCATCCTTTAAACTGCTAAATAAACTAATATGGCCATTTCCAAGTTATTTTTAATACCCAGAGCTACCTATAACCCAAAAGTCCTTTAGTATTATTTTCCAATATGTTTACACAACTGAAACAAGTTACCAAATTTTTCCTGGTCTTTCAACATTACATCTGGTTGGCATTATAAATACTTGCTTTAGGTGAAAACCAAGAGAAGTGTGAGTGAAGTTATTTTGGGATAATGAGAGAGCAGAGAAGGTGTGGATATTCTGAGCAACATCTGTAACAACATTAGAGATAATTACAAGTTGCAATGAGTATCCACAAGGATTATTACTTATAGGTGAAATCTATGCTGTCAGAAGGACTTATAATCAGAGACATGTGGGCGTTAGATGACATGCATAATTGACTGAGAGTGAAAGGGCACAAGCATGAGTCAAGGAAAATGCTACCTACCTATAACAAGACAAAGCCTATATAATAAGTTACCAAAGCATCTCTCAAACTAAAAATATAGTTACATTTCCTTGATTTTTTTTAAAAAAGGATGTCAGACAATGTAGGAGCCTTTAAAATGTCATGAAAGTTAACAAATACAGGACAATAACAGACCACTGAAACAAATCAGACAAAGTGCCAACATTGATGGTATAAAAGATCCCAAACGATTAAGACACTGAAATTGACATTATGAAGAAATTGCATAGCTGCTATATTCCTGCCCGCCTCCTTATTTCTTATATTCGATAATGAATAAAGGCAAAGGCCTCTTCCCTAGAACCAGGGCTCTAAACCTAGGCATCTCTGGAAAGTCCTTTACACAACAACCAGAATATACCTATCAGTGTTTCATTATTTAATCATTCACAATGTGATAACAAGCAAAATACAACTTACTTTGGTTTTTATAGGCCCTGGTTGAATCACATTGAATCGCATTCCATATTTACCCCATTCAGCTGCAAGAGACCTAAAAATTAAAATCAACAACATACATTCTGAAATATTATACCATATGTTAAAGACAGTAATAACTGAGACTCACTAGATGCTTACTACATGCCAGAGATTACAACCCCAACAGGTAGGTACTATTATTGTTCCCTATATTACAGATAATGTAACTAAGGCACAGAGAGGTTAAATCATTTTCTCTATGTCATATGGCCAATTTGTCAATCTCAAGAGGTCTAGCTTCAGTCTGTACCCTTAGTCACTCTACTGTACAACCTAACCTTTACATTTTAGTGTCCTTAACCACTATGCTACACCACCTACCATTTGTAGTTTAGAATATATACTTTTGTCCAATGTCAATACACATTTTTAGAGTAGGTATTCATTATTCACATAAAAACGTGAGTGCTTCATGCCCTTCCCTCACATTTTCTGGAGTTCAGTCTTGTAGTTACAAAGTTCATTATAACTTTACTCATAGCCCTGTACATTGGATTACAATGTCTGTAATATCACAAGTGCTTTATTTGAGTAAAAGAGTACATCGATTGAAAATATAAACCACATCCATGTCTAACTAGGCTTTAATATAATTGTTGAACCAAACTTGAAAGGAAATAGGAATCTAACAAAATCTTGCTTAATGTCCTGAAGAAAAATATAACACTAATAGCAAACAAAGAACTTCAAAGGAACTTGTTTTAAAAGCTTACTTTACAGGTAGCTCTTTTAAAATCTAAATTCATTTTAGGAATTTACATTCATATGTATATTTGTGTGTATATATACTTAATGTAATTTCAAATAATGACGAGGTAGCTTAAAAGAATTCATATAATGCAAATGAGGAAGACAGGATAATTTGAAAGGAAGAAGGAAAGAAAAAAAGCAAGATAAAGAGAGAGAAAAGCCAGGATAACGAAATATAACGGAGCCAAGAATGAGGCTAATATCTAAATGTACTGAAGTGTGTGATGTTCCATATAACTGCAATAGTCACATCACAAATTTGTATCTATTCTTCCCATGACTCTATACAAAAAAGGTAAGCCTAATCAGTTACACAATCCACAGTACCCATAAAGAAAAAGCAAGCTAATTGCTCAGGAAAAGCACAATTGTCTCTAATACGAAAAATGCTTTAAGTCTTTCTAGACTTACAAAAGGAAAATTGTACAGTATAACAATCTCCTTAAGACACTGTATCCTTGCAATAGATAAAATGGGCTAAGTTCAAACTTGACAAATGGGATCTAATTAAACTAAAGAACTTGTGCACAGCAAAAGAAACTATCATCAGAGTGCACAGGCAACCTACAGAATGGGAGAAAAGCTTTGCAATCTATCCATCTGATAAATGGCTAATATCCAGAATCTACAAAGAACTTAAAGAACTTAAACAAATTAAACTTAAACACAAACAACCCCATCAAAAAGTGGGGGAAGGATATGAACAGACGCTTCTCAAAAGAAGACATTTACGCAGCCAGCAAACTATGAAAAAAAAAGCTCATCATCACTGATCATTAGAGAAATGCAAATCAAAACCACGAGATACCATCTCATGCCAGTTAGAATGGCAATCATTAAAAAGTCAGGAAACAACAGATGCTGGAGAGGATGTGGAGAAATAGGAACACTTTTACACTGTTGGTGGGACTGTAAATTAGTTCAGCCATTGTGGGAGAGAGTGTGGTGATTCCTCAAGGATCTAGAACTAGAAATACCATTTGACCCAGCCATCCCATTACTGGGTATATACTCAAAGGATTATAAATAATTCTACTATAAAGACACATGCACACATATGTTTATTGCAGCACTGTTCTTAATAGCAAAGACTTAGAACCAACCCAAATGCCCATCAATGATAGACTGGATAAAGAAAATGTGGCACATATACACCATGGAATACTGTGCAGCCATAATAAAGGATGAGTTCATGTACTTTGCAGGGATGTGGATGAAGCTGGAAACTGTCATTCTCAGCAAACTAACACAGGAACAGAAAATCAAATACTGCATGTTCTTACTCATAAGTGGGAGCTGAACAATGAGAACACATGGACACAGGAAGGGGAACATCACACACTGGGTCTGTCAAGGGGTGGAGAGCTAGGGGAGGGATAGCATTAGGAAAAATTCCTAATGTAAATGACGGGTTGGTGGGTGCTGCAAACCACCATGGCACATGTATACCTATGTAACAAACCTGCACATTCTGCACATGTATCCCAGAACTTAAAGTATAATTTTAAAAATGCGCTAAGTTCTATGAAACTATCAGACATCCGTTAATAGTCTTATAGCATCATTTCAAAGGCCAATTCAGTAAAACCAGTTCTACAGAATAGGGTACACGTAATCTCAAGATAGCCTGTTAATCTGACTTAATCCATGAATGTATTTTAGAGAAATGGGTGGGCTGTATCTCTTTCAGACAGAACATACATAAAAATTGCTTCTCTGAGTGATGTTTTTGACAAAGTTCATTGCCATAGCTACCCTGGGCATTTATTTATAGTGTATCTACTCTAAATTGCTTCATGTCTTAATAGAATTACTGTACTGAGCAGAGTCTATATTATCCTATGAAAAACTGAGCAACCTGTTAAGAAAATCTGCCTAGAGGAAAAGCCATCCTCTCTGTGCTCAGAGGTGTGCCAGATACATTTGTTCAATTGCTAGCATGATCTTTCAACTGTCATTAAGCTAGCTGATATACTGAAGAACTACTGTAATCTGATAATGAATCCACCTCATACAGTTATCTCTGCATGTTAAGATGCTAAGAACAATATATGCAATATGTTAGCCATTATTATTGCTCATTCAACCAATGTTTATTATATACTTACCATGTGTCAATACTATAAATATTGCTTAGCCTCAAATAAAGTCAGTCCCTGCTCTCAAATGAGAGTCCCTCCCTCTCAAGAGAGGTGAGCCTGGTTATATAATGAATCAGTTACTAGGCTGGGAATTGTGTGATGTAAGCTATACCTGCTTAAAAGAAGAAGAACCTAAGTGGGAGTGACAAGGAAGGCTTCTCTGAAAAGGTAACATTCTGAGCTGATGGGTGAAGAAGGATTAGGAGTTTGCTGCAAGAGGCAGGGGAAAGGAGGAGCTGAGAGATTAAGAAGGTAGGATGGTGACATGGTTTGGCTCTGTGTCCCCACCCAAATCTCACTCTGAATTGTAATAATCCCCACATGTCAAGGGTGGGACCAGGTAGACATAACTGAATCCTGAAGACAGTTTTCCCCATGCTGTTCTCATGATAGTGAGTGAGTTCTCACAAGATCTGATAGTTTTATAAGGGGCTTACCCCTTCACTTGGAACACATTCTCTTTCCTGCTGCCCTGTGAAGAGGTGCCTTCCACCATGATTCTAAGTTTCCTGAGGCCTCCCTAGCCATGTGGAAACTGTGAGTCAATTAAACCTCTTTTCTTTATAAATTACCCAGTCTCAGGTATTTCTTCATAGCAGAGTGAGAACGGACTAATACAGATGGAGAAGGAAGACAGCCAAGGCATATGGGTCAGTATGAGTAAAGGACAAGGGCCCAAACAACATGTAGAATTTGGGAACCTATAATGCCTTATTTAGTAAGACTGTGTACTATAAAGTATGAGAAGAAGGTTGATGGGAACTCAAGCTGTAAAGGAAGGCACATGTTTAATGAGCATCTATTATATGCAGGAACACAATAAAAGCAGCACCAAATCAGTTCTTAAAGGACATGAGATAAAAAGCTCTAACAAGACTGAAGAGTCCTCACAAAACAAATATTGACATTGAACAAATGCTGCCAAAATAGTCAAGTTCTCATCCTTTATTTCCAACACTACCTGACCTTAAAAAATGGTAATTATCTCTTTTCAGACTAAGATTCAGCTTGTGAATAAATATTTCTTTCTATCTCAAACTAATGTGTATTTACTGACTTAAATATTAAAAATGCTCTGGGACTACTAAAAGAAGAGTACCATAATTCAGCTCAACAAGCATGAAGCACCAGCTACGGACCAGACTCTTCTGGTCCAAGTGGGGAAGTCAGATTGTTTAATGTTACGTTAATGGAGGAAATCCCATCTCTACTAAAAGTACAAAATTAGCCAGGTGTGGTGGCATATGCCTGTAATCTCAGCTCCTTGGAAGGCTGAGGCAGGAGAATCGCTTGAACCCAGGAGGCACAGGTTGCGGTGAGCCAAGATGGCACCATTGCACTCCAGCCTGGGCAACAAGAGCAAAACTCCGTCTCAAAAAAAAAAAAAAAAAAAAAGGCCCGCGATGCCCTGCTCTCTCTCTCTGCTACATTGGTATATTACCTTCATTTTAGAATCTATTTATTAGTGTTTGTCCTCTCACTAGATTGGATTAAACAAAGTTTTAAGGCACAGAGAGGAGGAAATGATTACAGAGAAAACATCTCAAAGGAAGTAAGCAAAACATCACAGCAAAATTCCAACAACAATATAACTCAGCCATAGACATATGAAAGCTGTATGGTAAGTTTAGGGAAACATGGAACAGTTCAATGGAAATTAAAGCATGGAAATAATAAATGGAATAGTAAAAAAATTTAAGCTCAGCTAACAACGAGGACTGTTCTATTTCCATCACTATCATATCCCTAGGACGAAGCATATATAAGGTACACAATAAATATTTATTGAATAAATAAATTAATTAACAATGGCCAGAGACAAGTCTGTTTAGAATGCCATAGTGAGTTCTGGCTTTTATTCCAAAGAGTGACAGGAAATGATCTAAGATTTTTAGCTGGGGAGTGTCGTGAGCAGACATATATGTTCTTAGAAAGATAATTCTGGTGAAAATGTGAATACAAAATACAGGGGGAAGAGACTGGTAGTAAAGAAATATACCATGATTATAGCAAGCCAGACAAGCAATGAAATGATGAGAAGCCCCATTATAATAAAGACAATGGAAAAGGCCAGTGGAGGACAAATTCAAAAAGCAATCATGGCTGGGTGTAGTGGCTCATGCCTGTAATCCCAGCACTTTGGGAGGCTGAGGCAGGAGGATTTCTTGAGGTCAGGAGTTCCAGACCAGCCTGGGCAACATAGCAAGACCTCATCTCTACAAAAAAATTTTAAAAATTAGCCAGGCGCTGTGGCACCTGCTTGTAGTCCCAGCTACTTGGGAGGCTAAGGTGGGAGGATCGCTTGAGTCTGGGAGATTAAGGCTGCAATAAGCTGTGATTGCACCACTGCAATCCAGCTTGGGCAACAGACTGAAGTCCTGTCTCAAAAAAAAAAAAAAAAGCAGTTATACTCTGCTGAGAAAAGGCCACTGGACTTGGGAAGTGCTCATAGTCTGTGTTAGTCCCATTAATCTTATACAGTATCTACAATAAAAGAATAAACGTGTGCTTATGAGAGGGGTTAGGGATGGCACTGATAAAGATCTATGGGAGAGCAAAAAAGCTATAGTCCTGTGGTGTCTAATATGTAGCCACTAGCCATATACAGCTACTAATTTTTAAAATTTAGTTTCTCAGTCACAGTGGGATATTCCAAGGGTTCAATATCTACATGTGGATACTGGATAGTGCATATTTACAGAACATTTACATCACTGCAGAAAGTTCCACAGGACAGCGCTGCTATAGACAAATAGGACTTATCTGGGAGATAAAATGTATGTCTCATGGTGAATCCAAGTCTTTGTTTACTTTTCTCTGGATGGACACCAGAAAGCAGGAATACAGTTCCCTGAGCCACCAACTGTATTAGTTATGTTCAGCAACAGGATTGACAAGGAAGTACTTACTTGCTCATGGCTTCCACACCTGCTTTGGCAGAAGCACTTGGTACTACAAAACCTGAACCAGTCTCAGCATAGATAGTAGTAATAGAAAGAAATGCTGCTCCTGAAATTTTAAAAGGATACAGTTGATTAGCAATATAGATGTATCACTACACATAAGGAAAACATTATTTATAAAAATGGGATCTGATTAAAGAGGGTATAAGAAAAACTAAAGTATTTTTTAAAACTTCACTCACTCTAAATTAATGAGAGAGTAACCTAAGAAAATTGATATGTCTTGCTACTAATCTTATGATTTAGGATGGCCCAATCTGCACTTACTTGGAATGTATGCCTGGCGAGTCAATACGAAAGCCCAAATCTCAGAGGCATGCCCCTATTGCACCTTGTATAATCAGCTGGTCAGGATTCCCATTAACTAAGTACTACTTGAATAAGAATAAATCAGAATTAAACTTAAACTAGCAGGGACTTCTGCCTCCAGCCATAATGAACTTACCCTTCTGCTGTAAACATCAAGAAAACTGAGTAAGACATATGCTACAATTATATACAGATACTGCACAGCAGGCAGGGAAGGACTATGACTCTGATAGAAGGAAAATGACTAAGCCCTGAGATACCCTAGCTTTTTGCCTAAAGATACTATATAGATGGAAGGATGAGGAGGAGGAATCTAAGCAGAAAATGGCATTCACACTGAGTTAAGAAGATAGAGATCGGTTTGGGGAGCCTGAGGAAACTAAGGTTTCTAAGAGTTCCTCCAAGGAGGAAAGTAGGCAGAGATATTAATAGAACTCCATAAAGCTGCATGGAGTCTCAAAGAGTCTTTAGACAAATAAGCTGTACATGTTTAGTGTGAGATTCCATTGAGGCCAGGCAAAGAACAACTACTAGGAAGCTGTAAGTGATGCAATTCCCAGAGCTTGCATAGGGCTGGGAGACATGGGAGTTCTAAGCAGCTTCACTGAACATCCAGAGCTTTCAGTAGAGAGCTCAGAAAAAAAAATGCCTTAGTAGGAGGGTTAAATTAGCCCCAAAGTAAGGACTACTATATACTTGCTGAAATAAAGCTTTAAAATGACCCTTAAAAATGATTAGGCTGATGCATAAGTAATTTAGAAGCTTTCCAAAATAAAAAAAACCACACACCTCAAAAGAAAATTAAAATACACACAGACACAAACACAGAACAACAACATAACATTCACAGCATGCAATAAAAAATTACTGCACATAAAAAGACACAGAAACCTAACAAGGAGAAAAATGATTAATAGACAAAGAGTCCCAGAAATGACAGAGAAGACAGATGTAGCAGACAAACAGCCTTTTAAATGCTATTACAAATATTTTAAAAGATTTCACTGAAAATATTTATATGATGAGAAAAATGGAAAATACAAAATAGAAACCAATATGGCTTCTACAGCAGAAAAATACAGCATCTGAAAGGAAAAATTGAACAAATAAGCTTAGCTGTAGAAGAAAAGATCCATGAATCTGAAGACACAGCAATATAAACTATCCAAAATGAAAGACAAATGGGAAAAAAAAAACTGAGGAAAAACCCAGAACCTCACTGACCTATGGAACAGTATCTAGCATTCTAACAAACGTATAGTTAGAGTCACAGAGGAAGAAAAAGCACTTGAATAAGGACTAAAAAAATTCCGAATTTGGTAAAAACTATAACTTACAATGCAGAAAGCTAAATGAATCCCAAGCAGGATAAACAGGGAAAAAAATCAATACATTATCATAATCAATAACTGAAAACCAATGATATATAGAATCCTAATTGCAGCCAAAGGTAAAAATAAGCAATAAAAATACACAAACACAGACAAAAATTTTCATTGTCTTCTCATTTCTAAAAATAATGTAAGCTAGAAGACAATGGAGTTATATTTTTAAGGTGTTGAAAGATAAAACTTAACTCTGAATTCCATATCCATCAAAAATACCCTTCAAAAATCAAGGTGATATGAAAATGATATTATAGAGAAACTGAGATTGTCAAAAGGAAAGAAATAGTAAATATGTAGGTAAATATAAAATATTTTTTCTTGTTTTCTAAATTTCTTTTTAAAATGATTGTATAAAAGCTATATTACAAAGTGATACTGCATATACAGTGGTCAATAGTGTCTAGGACACAGCAGGTTCTCAATAAATTAACTGAATAAGGCCAGGCACAGTGGCTCATGCCTGTAATCCCAGCACTTTGGGAGACCAAGGGGAGCAAATCACCTGAGGTCAGGAGTTCGAGACCAGCCTGGCCAACATAGTGAAATCCTGCCTGTACTAAAAATACAAAAATTAGCCAGGTGTGGTAGGGCATGCCTGTAATTCCAGCTACTCAGGAGGCTGAGGCAGGAGAATCACTTGAACCCAGGAGGCAGAGGATGCAGTGAGCCGAGATGATGCCAGTGCACTCCAGTCTGGGTGACAAGAGTGAGACTCCATCTCAAAAAATAAATAAATAAACAAACAAACAAATAAATAAATAAACAAATAAAGGCTTAAAAGGGTAATCTTTAGGTCCTGAGAAATCAGTGATTTCTCTACTTCTTATTTATTCATAACACGGGATAAGACAATACTTAATATTTGCAAAAGGATCAAAATAAGTTTACATCTTTTACATAACAGCAAATACTTTTAGAAATTTAAATTTGAAGGACTACAAGGAAAGTATTTTGAAGAATATTCAGATAAGTTTTTTCTCTGCTCCATATATTTAGTTTCTCTTTCTCTCAGCATGTTCCAGAGTAGAAAGAAAACTCAGCACATCCTGGGAAACACGGGGGTGGAAGAGGGGGCAGGAGTACCATTTTGAGGATAGGAAAAAATAAGAATGGTTATGTTAATCATTCTGGTAACTCCTTCTATATATCAAACAGCCTTTCAGATTGCTGAAAATTACTTTGCTTCCAAAATCGTACTCCATGAAAGAGGAGGGATGTAGAACATTAGTGGGCTCCATTACAGTACATTGACAACAGATGCTAACTGTATCATTCTTATAGCAAAATTACAAAAGAAAAAAAACTGCTTTAAAAGTGGCAAATACAAAGCAAATGCTCCAATGGAAAGTGCACTATCTTTCAACTAAGACTGAACAAATACATTTCTCCAAGTGTGGGAAAGGAGTTAAGCCATCCTACTACAATTTAGATGCTGAAATGAAAGTTATTTTACTATTCTTTTTATCCCTTTAAGGTTTTATTTTCTCAGCCTAGAAAATTTGGGTAGCCCACCTCTTAGAATAATATACTGCAGCTTTTAATTCTCATGAGTGTAAAAGGGAGATAAAGGTTTGAAACTGCACTGTTCCAATAGCATTAATGCTGCAAGGTGAAACAATTATCGGCTTCAAAAAAATGAACAGTGGTGCTAAAGTGCAAAGTAAAGAATTCCTAGATCCCCAGGGTTAGTCACATATATTTTCCTTCTTGTACAGAGGCCCATTATTTCAGTTAGAATAACTGCTCATGGAAAAGCTTTATAAAAGTCAAGTTTCTAACAGCTCAGAGCAGACAACAGAAATGAATCTATATTATTAATGAGGTTAAGAAAATAGAGAAGGGAAGCAATAAATGAAATAAATATTATGTTAGTCCATCCTTTGTTATTTTGAAATGGAAAAAAATAGTAATAAAAGAACATCAAAAATCATATTATCTATCAAAAAAGCTATGATATGTGCAAGATTATGATCTAATTTCAAAAGAAGATTCAAAAGTTCTAAAATCTGGTTTCAATACAAACTATGAATTGAAAGAATCACTAAACAAATTTAGTTCCAATGACCAACAGAAGGGGAATAGTATAGACACCTGGGCTCAGAAACTGATTCCACTATTTACTAGCTGTGTAGCTATGAGACTGGGGAAGTCGCATCCCTGCTCTGGACCCTAGATTTATCACCTGTAAAACAGGAACATAGGGCGTATCCAGCAAATGTCATTAGATTCTAAGGATTACTTGTTAATTTACTGCTGTTGTTGATTCCACCTATTACTCTTCCGCTCTCATGCAAAAAGACTGCCATTTACTAGCTGTGTATTAATAATTTGGCAAGTTGCGTTAGGAAACATCACCAGAATGGAAGGTAACTCCAACAGGCAACCCAGCCCCCTAGTTTCACAGACACATCCAAGAATTTGTTGAACGGCCGGTAGGTCAGGGCTGCTACACATGGTTGAGCAGTGCATAAGGGTGCCATATCTAAGGAAGCATGTTTTACATTACAGATATTACATGATTATTTACTTATTTCAAAATATTCTTGTTGTTCTGAGGGTTTCCTTTCTAACAAGATAAGAAATATATGTGGGCAGAATGGCCCCACTTAAAGATCCCATGCCCTAATTCCTAAGAACTGAATTTCTTATTTTACTTGGCAAAATAACTTTGAAGACATTAAGAAAGATTACAGGATTTAAGAGAGGGGCCTTTCTGGGATTATCCAAGTAACACAGTCTAATCACGTGAACTCTTAAAAACAGACAACTTTCTCTGGCTGTAGTCAGAAAGATGAATTTTAAGGAGCAGGCAAGAGAGATGTGGTAGAAGAGAAAGTCAGTCCCTAAGCATGAGAAAGACATATTGTGGTATTGCTGGCTCTGAGATGTACCAGTCCCTATGTAAGGATCAGAGAGAGGTCCCTAGGAGATAGGGTGGCCCTAAGCTGACAGTAACCATGAACATATACACTTCAGTCCTACAACCACAAGAAACTTGATTCTTCCAACGACCTAAATGAGCCTGGATACAGACTCTTTCTAGAGCCTCCAAGACATGAGCTCTGCTGGGTGACTCCCTGATATTAGCCTATAAGATCTGAAGCAGAGAAACCAGCCAAGCAACTCTGTGCATTTACTTGAAAAAAACAGAATTATAAAATTATAAGCATATGATATATTAAGCTGTTAAGTTTGTGGTCATTTGTGGTCCCCACAATGGGGGACTAGTATAGTGTATTATGTCAACTTTCCAACAAACAGAAATAAAGTATCTTAATTTTTTTTTAATCCTTGTTTAACTTTACCTATCACCGAAGGATAAAGACCACATTGCTTGGCCTCATCTCCTACCCCTCCAGGCATTATATGTCACATATAAGCAACACTGAACTCCTTGTATGCCTAAATACACAACTGAGCTGTTGGTTGCAGTTCTAACTCTTCTACTATTATTGCTAGCAATTAATCTTACTGACAATCATGGTAAGAAGACAAACTTCTCTGTCTTTTTGATGAGGGCACAGAGGATACCTGTCTCCGAGCCATTTTTCAATGAGAGCCCATATGAAAATCTAAAAATCCTTAATTCTCTAAAAGCTACTCAAAATAGGACTATAACATTTAAAAACTAGAATAACCCTACATAAATAATATTATCTACTAAGGAAACACTTTTCTCATTTAAACATTTAATATAAATATGTCCCTCATGTAGGCTGCTATTTTTAAGTTTAATTATAGTAAGAAGGGATATCAGGGCTCTGGTTTTTCTAACTAATTTTAATTATGAGTCAAAACCTAAGTTTCAGATAGTTGATAGTCCCCTTGTAAAAGACGTGGTAAAAATACATTTATCTTGGAGGAAACTTAACATTTTCTTTCATAACTAACATTTATTGAGTACTAGTCTGCCCCGGGAACTATTCTTAACACTTTATAGACACTAGCTCTTATAATCATTACAGCAATCCTAGGAGGAAGGCTTTATTATCAACATTATTTTACAGAAAAGACAGGCACAGCAAGCTAATCTGTCCAAGTTGATAGGACTAATAAGTATTAACCAGGATTGGAACTTGGCAGTTAAGCTCTAGAGCCTGCACTCTTAACTACTATGTAACTACTACTGCCTTGCCAAGAAATTTCTAATTACTACTTAGAAAGAAAAACTAATTTATTTTCAAAATTCTCAAATCGCTTTACCTTTACCTTATCTTCAAAAAACATCAAAATAAGGTACACAGTTGCTCTAAGAAATTTTAACAGATGAGGTTGAACTCTCCCATCAAACGAGATGACTCTAGAAAAAAGTGATTTCAAAAGGATACTAATACCACCTTAATAAATTTCAACTGATAACTAAAAATGTGTTTTCAAATATTCTTTAGATGCACCCACTGTTCTAGAAAAAAACAAAATCTCTGGACACAATATAAAGAAATGTACTTATGTGGTTCTTATATACTCTAAGCAACATACACCTTGCACTCACACTACTGACGAATAAGGAAAGCCTTCTGCTATGCTCTACTCTTCCCACTTCTGAAACAAGGTGCATTTGCTTCCATTCCAACTGATCATGTCAATGACTGGTCATCTTTTCCCTCCAATAGTAAAGTTGAAGGACATAATTGAAAGAAGTGTTAAGTATGTACTCAACTCACCTTCCTTTTGCAGGTCTCCAAAATGTTTCACTGCATAAACAAAGCACCACATTTGTGTTCAGTGTTGAGTTAGGAAATGGTGGGGAAGGAATGGAAAGGCTTTGCAGGTAGGGCAGAAGTAATGCACCCTGATAAAAGAATTTGTAATGGACGGAGAGTTGATGGAAAAGGAGACTTACAACATGAAACAATAACTAGATGTAGCATGTTTTTAAGTGCTAAAGCAGGGGACCCCCACACCCCAGCCCCATACCAGTCTATGGCCAGTTAGAAACCAGGCCACACAGCAAGAAGTGAGCAGTAGGTGAGCCAGCATTACTGCCTGAGCTCCACCTAATGTCAGATCAGCGGTGACATTAGGTTATCATAGGAGCGCAAACCCTATTGCAAACTACACATGCAAGGAATCTAGCTTGCACATTCCTTATGATACTCTAATGCCTGATGATCTGAGGTGAAACAGTTTCATCCCAAAACCACCCCCTGCACCTTCCCCTGGTCTGTGAAAAAATTTTCTTTCACGAAAATGGTCCCTGGTGCCAAAAGGGCTGGGGACCACTGTGCTAAAGTATGCATGCTAGCCCCTGAACTGGTAATCCTTCAGTGAGGAGTGGACTAGAGCTGGGAATGGAGACTCTATGGCTCAGGTAAAGAATGATTCTAATCAGGGCATGTGTACTGGATCAGTCAAACGGGCTAGTATAGAGACTGGACAGGCTGAGGGTGCTCCATTATGGAGGACAAGGAAGAGTAACTGGCCAAGTACAATGTCTATGGGTTGGAAAAAGGAATGTTTTGAAATTTATTCTTGTGTTTACGGTTCACACATCAGGGACTCCAGAAGAACAGCAAGATGGTTAAAAAATCTTGTGTTTTCTGATAATTTAATTAAACTGTAAAAACAGTATAATGTACTTTACTTAGTTCAATGCTTCCAAGGCCTCTGGCCTTGAAAACTGTTTCTTCTTCTCTATTAACTAAAACAGTCCTTTGTTTTTATTCTTTCTTCAGTTGGTGATTTACATTTATTCTCTTCCTCTATCACAAGGCTGCTGGTAAGATTATTCACTTCACTCTTTCCCTTTCCCCAACACAAGCTCCATATGGTTCAAGCTTCCTTGGGTTGCTTCTACTTCTTAGTTTTAAATTCTCTGAGGTTCTTAAAAGTTATTTCCACCAAAGTCTTTATGTTAGCTAGGCTATCGGATGTCCATTCACATGTAAGAAAAAGCACATGTACATCTGTAAAACAATTTATATTTTTCATGAGGCTTCTACACCTAACGCCTTGTTCTGTTACTAAATATTGGAGTAGTAATTTATTATCAAGTATATTTTATAGATGAAAAAGCTGAATAACAGTAAAATATCGTCACTCACTAACTGTCCAAGTATCAGGTGTAAACTAAGTGACTATGACTACAATAAAAAGTCACAGTTCCTTCTTTTTCTCTACTAGACCACTTACAACAACTAATTTTTTAAATTATGTCAATTGTCGATTTTAATAGTAATAGTTAACACTTAGGTAATTAATAAGCCATAGTTTCTCATCTGTAAATGTGAGCGTTAAAAATTCACTTCCTACATTAAAAAAAGATTGTACGTCAGTTTCCACCCATGTCTATAAATGGGAATAAAAGAGCACTTACTTGCAAGGTCATTGCAAGTGTTAAATGAGTTAATAAGTATTTAGCACTTAGAACAAAGCCTGATACAAAATAAGCACTCAATAAACATTAGATATGAAAGAAAGAAAGAAAAAAAGAAGGAAGGAAAGATTTTTATAAGGGAAAAAAAGAAAGGAAGGGAGGAAGGAAGGGAAGGAGGGAGGAAGGAAAGAAGGAAGTAAAAATAAGTGAAAATTTGGTTAAAATTAGGTAATGTCTTTAAAAAGAATATTTCACATTTTGCTTGTTCTGTATTCCAACACCTGTTACATCATATACCTTTATTTAATATACAACTTGTGGGAATCACTATAGAATTCTCATATGTTCTTAGGTATAAGGAATTCTAGCTTTCTGGTATAAAGTAATCCATGTGACTCAACACCAAAGCTAGTCCAAAATCAAGTACAATATCTGAGTAGGCTGTCATATATTTTTTCAATAAATACATGCAAGAAAAGCAAAAAAAATTTTTTAAGAAAAATAGTTTTATCTAGATACAATCAAAATGTAATTTTAAGACAATAATAGACATGAGGCCAACATTTTAACTTGAATGTTAAGTAACTTAAGATGCTAAAAAAAAATCCAAATATGAAGAGTATCACACTATGTTGAACACTTATATAATATGCCTCTGATGGCGGCACAAGAGGCTTTTGTTGGATTCAGGTTAAAGTAACAATTTCGCAAAGCAAGGCTGTAGCCAACCTATCACCTGTTGGACAAAGCTGCCAGAGCAGGTGCAAAGGACGAGGTAACATCTGCATATAAACTCCCCTCAAATCCTAATCACTAAACTAAGCAAGCACAGAAGCTAAGAAGCTCAATGAAAAGTAACACTTGGAAAATGACAAAGTAAGCATTAAGAAAATTTCAGCAAAACAAATCTAGCAATATATAACTAGGATAATTTACCAAAATGAAGGAAGATTCAGCCTAGGAATGCAATGGTGTTCAATATTCAAAAATTAATTAATGTAATTCACCATATTAACAGGCTTAAAAATATACCCATCTCAATAAATGTAGAAAGAAGGCTTATATTAACAAATTCAATACTTATTCACGATTTTTTTTTAAAAAAAAAACTATAATCACAGGATCAAACTCACACATAACAATATAAATCTTAAATGTAAATGGGCTAAATGCTCCAATTAAAAGACACAGACTGGCAAATTGGATAAAGAGTCAAGACCCATCAGTGTGCTGTATTCAGGAGACCCATCTCACCTGCAGAGACACACATAGGCTCAAAATAAAGGGATGGAGGAAGATCTACCAAGCAAATGGAAAACAAAAAAAGCAGGGGTTGTAATCCTAGTCTCTGATAAAACAGACTTTAAACCAACAAAGATCAGAAGAGAGAAAGGCCATTATATAATGATAAAGGGATCAATTCAACAGGAAGAGCTAACTATCCTAAACATATATGCACCCAATACAGGAGCACCCAGATTCATAAAGCAAGTCCTTAGAGACCTACAAAGAGATGTAGACGCCCACACAATAATAATGGGAGACTTTAACAACCCACTGTCAACATTAGACAGATCAACGAGATGGAAAGTTAACAAGGATATCCAGGAATTGAACTCAGCTCTGCACCAAGCAGACCTAACAGACATCAACAGAACTCTCCACCCCAAATCAACAGACTATATATTCTTCTCAGTACCACATCTCACTTATTCCAAACTTGACCACATAGTTGGAAGTAAAGCACTCCTCAGCAAATGTAAAAGAACAGAAATTATAACAAACTGTCTCTCAGACCACAGTGCAATCAAACGACAACTCAGGTTTAAGAAACTCACTCAAAACCGCTCAACTACATGGAAACTGAACAATCTGTTCCTGAATGACTACTGGGTACATAACGAAATGAAAGCAGAAATAAAGATGTTCTTTGAAGCCAATGAGAACAAAGACACAACATACCAGAATCTCTGGGACACATTTAAAGCAGTGTGTAGAGGGAAATTTATAGCACTAAATGCCCACAAGAGAAAGCAGGGAAGATCTAAAATGGGCACCCAACATCACAATTAAAAGAACTAGAGAAGCAAGAGCAAACACATTCAAAAGCTAGCAGAAGGCAAGAAATTACTAAGATCAGAGCAGAACTGAAGGAGATAGAAACACAAAAAACCCTTCAAAAAATCAACAAATCCAGGAGCTCGTTTTTGGAAAGGTCAACAAAATTGATAGACTGCCAGCAAGAGTAATAAAGAAGAAAAGAGAGAAGAATCAAATAGATGCAATAAAAAATGATAAAGGGGATATCACCACCGATCCCACAGAAATACAAACTCTCATCAGAGAATACTATAAACACCTCTACACAAATAAACTAGAAAATCTGGAAGAAATGGATACATTCCTGGACACATACACCCACCCAAGACTAAACCAGGAGGAAGTTGAATCCCTGAATATACCAATAACACACTCTGAAATTGAGGCAATAATTAAAAGCCTACCAACCAAAAAAAGTCCAGGAACAGACAGATTCACAGCCAAATTCCACCAGAGGTACAAAGAGGAGCTGGTACCATTCCTTCTGAAATTATTCCAATCAATAGAAAAAGAGGGAATCCTCCCTGACTCATTTTATGAGGCCAGTATCATCCTGATACCAAAGCCTGACAGAGACACAACAACAAAAGATAATTTTAGACCAATATCCCTGATGAACATCCATGCAAAAATCTTCAGTAAAATACTGGCAAACCAAATCCAGCAGCACATCAAAAAGCTTATCCACCATGATCAAGTGGGCTTCATCCCTGGGATGCAAGGCTGGTTCAACATTATGCAAATCAATAAACGTAATCCATCATACAAACAGAACAAAAGACAAAAACTACATTATTATCTCAATAGATGCAGAAAAGGCCTTCGACAAAATTCAACCGCCCTTCATGCTAAAAACTCTCAATAAATTAGGTATTGATGGGACGTATCTCAAAATAATAAGAGCTATTTATGACAAACCCAGAGCCAATATCATACTGAATAGGCAAAAACTGGAAGGATTCTCTGTGAAAACTGGCACAAGACAGGGATGCCCTCTCTCACCACTCCTATTCAACATAGTGTTGGAAGTTCTGGCCAGGGCAATCAGGCAGGAGAAAGAAATAAGGGATATTCAATTAGGAAAAGAAGAAGTCAAATTGTTCCTGTTTGCAGATGACATGATTGTATATTTAGAAAACCCCATCATCTTAGCCCAAAATCTCCTTAAGCTGATAAGCAAATTCAGCAAAGTCTCAGGATACAAAATCAATGTGCAAAAATCACATCATTCCTATAC
This sequence comes from Homo sapiens, assembly GCF_000001405.40. Classification (NCBI taxonomy): domain Eukaryota; kingdom Metazoa; phylum Chordata; class Mammalia; order Primates; family Hominidae; genus Homo; species Homo sapiens. The sequence goes on along the minus strand of NC_000008.11, from coordinate 90,025,536 downwards.
AGCAATAACAGACAAACAGAAAGCCAAATCATGAGTGAACTCCCATTCACAATTGCTTCAAAGAAAATAAAATATGTAGGAATCCAACTTACAAGGGATGTGAAGGACCTCTTCAAGGAGAACTACAAACCACTGCTCAATGAAATAAAAGAGGACACAAACAAATGGAAGAACATTCCATGCTCATGGATAGGAAGAATCAATATCATGAAAATGGCCATACTGCCCAAGGTAATTTATAGATTCAATGCCATCCCCATCAAGCTACCAATGACTTTCTTCACAGAATTGGAAAAAACTACTTTAAAGTTCATATGGAACCAAAAAAGAGCCCACATTGCCAAGACAATCCTAAGCCAAAAGAACAAAGCTGGAGGCATCATACTACCTCACTTCAAACTATACTACAAGGCTACAGGAACCAAAACAGCATGGTACTGGTACCAAAACAGAGATATAGATCAATGGAACAGAACAGAGCCCTCAGAAGTAATACCACACATCTATAACCATCTGATCTTTGACAAACCTGACAAAAACAAGCAATGGGGAAAGGATTTCCTATTTAATAAATGGTGCTGGGAAAACTGGCTAGCCATATGTAGAAAGCTGAAACTGGATCCCTTCCTTTTACTCCTTATACAAAAATTTATTCATGATGGATTAAAGACTTAAATGTCAGACCTAAAACCATAAAAACCCTAGAAGAAAACCTAGGCATTACCATTCAGGACATAGGCATGGGCAAGGGCTTCATGTCTAAAACACCAAAAGCAATGGCCACAAAAGCCAAAATAGACAAACGGGATCTAATTAAACTAAAGAGCTTCTGCACAGCAAAAGAAACTACCATCAGAGTGAACAGGCAACCTACAGAATGGGAGAAAATTTATGCAATCTACCCATCTGACAAAGGACTAATATCCAGAATCTACAAAGAACTTAAACAAATTTACAAGAAAAAAATCAAACAACCCCAACAAAAAGTAGGCGAAGGATTTGAACAGACACTTCTCAAAAGAAGACATTTATGCAGCCAACAGACACATGAAAAAATGCTCATCATCACTGGCCATCAGAGAAATGCAAATCAAAACCACGATGAGATACCATCTCACACCAGTTAGAATGGCGATCATTAAAAAGTCAGGAAACAACAGGTGCTGGAGAGGATGTGGAAAAATAGGAACACTTTTACACTGTTGGTGGGACTGTAAACTAGTTCAACCATTGTGGAAGACAGTGTGGCTATTCCTCAAGGATCTAGAACTAGAATTACCATTTGACCCAGCCATCCCATTACTGGGTATATACCCAAAGGATTATAAATCATGCTGCTATAAAGACATATGCACATGTATGCTTATTGTGGCACTATTCACAATAGCAAAGACTTGGAACCAACCCAAATGTCCATCAATGATAGACTGGATTAAGAAAATGTGGCACATATACACCATGGAATACTATGCAGCCATAAAAAAGGACGAGTTCATGTCCTTTGTAGGGATATGGATGGAGCTGGAAACCATCATTCTGAGCAAACTATTGCAAAGACAGAAAACCAAACACCACATGTTCTCACTCATAGGTGGGAAGTGAACAATAAGAACACTTGGACACAGGGTGGGGAACACCACATACTGGGGCCTGTCATGGGGTTGGGGGAGAGAGGAGGGATAGCATTAGGAGATATACCTAATGTAAATGATGAGTTAATGAGTGCAGCACACCAACATGGCACATGTATACATATGTAACGAACCTGCACGTTGTGCACATGTACCCTAGAACTTAAAGTGTAATAATAAAAAAAAGCTATCAGCAAACTAGATATAGAAGATAACTTCCCAAAGCTGATGAAGGATATTTATGAAAATTTACAGGTAAATCATAATTAATAATGAAAATCTAATTGCTTTCCTCCTGGCATCAGGAGGAAATGTATTTGATTTGTTCTTAATACTAGGAACCAGCAGAATCTAAGTTTTTACCTATTCAATATTTTAGTGAAGGTCCCATCCAATAAAATAAGGCAAGAAAGAAAATAAAAGGCTTATCAGTTGGGAAGGAAAATATAAAAACTGTCTTTTTTTCACCAACAGTATTACCAATGCAGAAAATCCAAAGGAATCTAAACAAAAAAAAACTGTAATAACCATTAAGTGAGTTTAGCAAGCTCCTAGGGAATACATCAATACACAAAACTAATCCATTGTATTTCTAAATACTACAAGAAAACACCTAGAAAATAACATTTAGAAAACAGTGCCATTTGCAATAGCACCAAAAATTTAAATACTTTGGGAGAAAGTTAACAAAACATGTACAATGCCCATGCAAAACACTGCTGATAGGAATTAAAGAAGACCTAAATAAATGGTGAGAGATACCACATTGAGAGACTGGAAGACATGATATTGTTAAAAATGTCACGCTTCAGTTCCTTGACTGTCGATCCAGTACCAGAACAAATCCTTTACCGCGTACTCCCCTCAGCTGAGTGGTCCAAGTTCTCCAAACTCTGTCAGCTTATAGCATCAATAACTGACAGGAATCTTGGAAGAATAAAAACTGGCTTCCATCTTTTAAAAAGATATTTTATCTAATATATTTTTAATGAAGCTCATAGAATTTTAATCCAATGTGATGAACAAAAATAGATCAGAGTCTATGTTAAAATGAAAGACAATAATGAGGGAAGAAGGGAGAGTCAGACAGAAATTGAGGGTCACAGAGATGAGCGAGGGAAGAAATAAGAGACAAAGAGGCAAAGAAGGACAAAGAAACGAAAGAGACAGATGAAGAGAGAAACAGAGAACCAAAAATGAGGAGCTGACAGAGGCAGAGCAGTAGAGAATGAAATGGAGATATCAGCAAGGGGTAGGGCGAGAGAAAATCAGACAGAGGCAGAGACACAGGAGAGATACAGAGATCAAGGTTCCTCGGACAGAGAAGGGAAGAGAGAGGAGTCACACTCTTCCCTGTCCCCCCTTCCCACTCTTATCCATCTTCCTGCCCCTCACTGAAAAAAAAAACATCAAATAAAACACTTATCCAAAATCCAATTATAAATCACATCCATTCTGCCATCATGGAAATGAGTAACCAGGAATTTCAATTTCAATGAGTGCATAGAAAGGATGGAAGCTATTAGTGTATGTATGTGAGCAGACACACACACACACAGAGCTAGTGCCTCTGTAGCATCTCTCTGTTCCTACAGCGTATCTCAAGCTGGTTCTAGGATCACCTGCGCTGCACAAAAGAAGAAATTGAACCTTATAAGGCAAAGGTTTCTGAACAGAGGGAGGAACCTAGCCAGCTCCATGCCCTCTTTCCTCCCCTCAACCCTCAAAGGACATCCTCTGAGGAGCATGAGAACGCTTCCTCATTTTCCTTGTTTAAAATACTCTCCACCTTCTCTGAGAAAATACCCGCACCCTTCAAGTTCCCCAAATTATTCAGGGACAGGGTCTTGTCCACCTCTGTGCTTTGAGCATGAGTATAGGGCCTGCTACCCAAAAGTCATTAGTAAGTGTCTGTCAGGTGAATAAATGTACGCTGGTTCTAGATATATATGAATATACACACATATATACATTAGACATGTTTGCTATCCATGTACATATGAACTTTTATAAAGTAATTCATTCATAATACTAACAAAAATGTTCTCCTAGTAAGTTCTTTCTAAATCTATTTTCCCTCCAGTGTTCTTAATCTCATTGGTATTATCATCCAGACTCTTCATCCCATCTAAAAATACTCTCATCAAATCAATAAGGCCTGTTGATCTTATTGTCTTCTAAATGTCTTCTACTTTATCTCCCATGCAATCTAGCCACCTGCTAAAAGAAAAATCAAATCCTCCTGAATGGCACTCCTTTTATCATCCATCTTGTTGTCACTAACCTTTCCAATCAAGTCGCATTCTTTGTTCCACCTTCAATGGAAATCTATACAAAAATACTTCCTATTTCTTTCAGAATTAACATTAAACTCCTTATTTTGGTATTGAGAACTCTCCCAATTACACTCCAACCCACCTTCCCAAAATCATTTCCTATTCCTTTCCCCATCTCTAATGACATCAAAGTTTTCATCATTCCCTATGTACTTATGTCCTCCTCTCCACCAGGCCTCTATCCATTGACATTCACATGTCCTTTCCCTCCTCTTTCTCCACATCTAGATCTTTGAACTTTCAGCTTAAGTTGCATCTTGTTCCTCAACCTGATCACTGACCCTAGGGAGAGTTAGTCATTCCTGTCTCTGGATTGCCAATGCACTTGAAACATATATTTATTACTGCTCAAATTGTAACATATGATAATTATTTAAATATCATTTTTCTCCATTACACTGTGAGTTGTACAAGTGTAGACTGTCTCATTGACTTTTAAAGTATCACAGAGCTTACCACAGAACCTTGCACACACAGAAGCCAAATAAATATGAGAAAAGCAAATAAACATACCTTTCTGTGCTTTAATTAGTTGTTTTCCAATTTCTAGTGTCACGAAGGCTGTGCCATTTAGAACTATGTCAGTTATGGTTTTCCAAGCATTAGGAGAAAGTCTTTCAGTAGGAGAAATAAAATTCCCTGCTGCATTGTTTATCACAATCTAATAAATGAACAAGGCAAGTTACAGAAACTTTAGATGAGGAAAAACATTTTCCCTGCAGGGTTTTTTTTCTGAAATGTATTAATAGAAATAATACAATAAAGTTGAAGTCCACAGCTACCTACGAAACAATACCATGAGATTTGGTAGTCTGAGTCTGTGAAAACCTCCTACGTTAGTTACCAAATTTCAGAATCCTAAGCCGTCTTTAAATTAGGGTAGATTCTCTTATTAAGAAAACTAAGGCTGAGTGCAGTGGCTCATGCCTGTAATCCCAGCACTTTGGGATGAGTTCAAGACCAGGCTGGGCAACAAAGCGAGACGTCATCTCTACAAAAATTTTGTTTTAAAAATTAGCTGGGTGTGGTGGCACGTGCCTGTATTCCCAGCTACTTGGGAGGCTGAGGTGGGAGTATCGCTTGAACCCAGGAGGTCAAGGCTCCACTGAGCCGTGATTGTGCCACTTGCACTCCAACCTGAGTGACAGAGCAAGACTCTGTCTCAAAATAAATGAATAAAATTTTAAAAGTTAAAAAAAAGAAAATTAATACAGATTAAACATATTTACCATGTGACTGCATTTTATTTCAAAGAATCTCAAGAAATGGCTTTTTGTTTCTGGTGTCATTTTAGTTTAACTTAACCAATGCAGCTTGTGGTTGATGATCTATTTACCATCAGTAAAGATTCTGGCTAGTTCTACAGGAGATTCAGTGTTACTGGTTCTGAAAATACCTTTAACATAGAAAAGTGCTATCTTTGAGACTACTGGAAGAAACGGCTTCTCTCCGATAAATGTACCAAGCAACAGCAAAATATTCATGCATATTTCAGGTCTTAAAAGGAGAAATTTTGAATTTCTTATAGTTTTTCATGTTTATATCGTTCTCCTCCACTGAGGAAGACAATCAAAAGTTACTAGGAGAAGCAAAAAGCATCAATCATTTAAACTCAATGCTGTACTCTTGGATAACTGCTCTTGTTATTTCATAATCTTATTAAATAAAGTGAAATCAAGTTTGTTTTCTGATCAATCATAAATGGATTCTTTAAGTATTCCTGAAAGGAAGTTGTGTAGCAGTCTTCCTACTCTGTTCTTTGCTTTAGCAGAACTGGCATTTTCCTAGGGATGGAAAATAGGTGCTTCTCAACACAGCACTTGCTCATATTGAGGTAGGAGGAGGCCTAACTCTGGAGGCAGAGTTCCATCACAGGACCAGAATGAGGACTAGTTAAACCAGGTCCTGGATGAAAGCACCCCCTCTTTAGACATACCCACCAATGCACCATGTTTGTTTACCATTGCCATGGCAATGTCAGCAAGTTACTGCCCTTTCCATGGCAACGAACTGATAACTCAGAAGTTACCAACCCTTTTCTAGAAATTTCTGCATAAACCTAATTAATTTGCAGGCAATTAAAAGTGGGTATAAATACGACTATAAAACTGCCTCTCAACTGCTATGCCCAGCACATTGACTATGGTGTTGCCCTGCTCTGAAGGAACAGTCACAGATCCATTCCACTGCTGCTGCTTCAATAAAGCTGTTCTCTTCTACCACCGGCTCATCCTTGAATTCTTTCCTGGGTGAAGCCAAGAACCTTCCCAGGCTAAGCCCCAGATTCGGGCTTGCCTGTCCTACATCAGTATCAATATTTTATTTCCTTTGTACATGTTGGTGGGTGTTATCAACATCAAGTGTCTTGCACTTTGGCTTCATCATTGCTACACTTACATTAGGATGTCCTGCAACTTTGATCAGTTCTGACACAGTGTTTTGAACCATATCAGGATCCCTCACATCACACTGAATTGCATGAACCTGCAAAATAACAAAAAGAATATGACATTTTCCAGCTTTCTTAAACCAAACGCATGAACAAATTATTTGAACATGTTATAATTCCTAAATCTAAATTAAATAACTGATTTTTAATGTACCTTATTTCCAGTTTGAGAAGAAATTTGTTCTGCGGTAGCTTTCAAAACATCCATCTTCCTAGAAATAAACACCTTGTATGACTTCATATTATATTTTTCAATTTCATAAATTGAAGAATACAGAGAATCCATAGCTTAAAGAAAAGCATTTCTGAGAAAGTATAGATGTTATTTATATACAAAAATCAATGTGAATTTTTTCTAAAAGTCAAATTTAGATCATTTTTATATATTTGATACTAACTTATTGAATTAGTCACTTTTAAACCAGTTTACTTTAACATTATCTACTCACAGATTTAAATTATTTCCTTGATAAGCCAGGTTTACAAAGAAAATATATTCATGGTATAATGTTAGTAGGTTTTGTACTAAATTTATGGGTTCAAAGAGACTACATTTATTCATGCAGTCTCACATTCTACAAAAAAAACTATGAATAGAAATTATTATTAAAATGAAAATAATATATTTAAACTCTTAAAAACATTACAATGTAAAAACAAAAAATATTCCGGACAATCTGCAATTGCAAATGACACAGTAACTGTTGTTTGGATGACTACTTGGCTTACCTAAAATTTTACACCATTCAAAATGGTGAAGGGGTGGATTTTTAAACCAGTCTCTAAAGCCTCAGACTTTGGAACAGAGTTTACAGGGTACCAGAATATGCCTAATAAGAAGAAATTCCTTCCACATGGTCTTACCCTTCCTATATTCATCACAATAACAGATATTTTGAAATACCTGTTTATTTTATAGAAAATGAAAGTACTGGCTGGGCGCGGTGGCTCACGCCTGTAATCCCAGCACTTTGGGAGGCCAAGGCGGGTGGATCACCTGAGGTCAGGAGTTCAAGACCAGCCTGGCCAATATGGCAAAACCCAGTCTCTACTAAAAATACAAAAAATTAGCCAGGTGTGGTGGCAGGCGCCTGTAATCCCAGCTACTCGGAAGGCCGAGGCAGGAGAACTGCTTGAACCCGGGAGGCGGAGGTTGCAGTGAGCTGAGATCATGCCACTGCACTCCAGCCTGGGCGACAAGAGCTGGACAAAACTCCACCTCACAAAAAATAAAAAATAAAATGAAAGTACTGCATCAATTTTCCTGGTATAAGGTTAATTATTAATTAAAGCAGTAACCATAATCACTCCCACTGAAGACAAAGCAACCTCCATATAGTGCTTAAAAAAAAAATGTTTCTTTTGAGACAAGGTCTCACTATGTTGCCCAGCTGGTCTCAAATTCTGGGCTTCAAGTGATCTTCCTGCCTCAGCTTCCCAGTAGCTGGGATTACAGGCACACACCATCCCACCTGGCTCCATGTCGTACTTTTTAACTTCATCTTCGTGTACAGAAAAAGAAATATTCTACCACTGAATTGGAGAAATTAAAATAATGAAAATTGCGGATGTTTACCCAAACATCAGTTCCACAATTTTCATTGTTTCTTTCATCTCAAATAGTACCTAACTTTTTCCAAAAAGATGTATTTAAATAATCTAAATAATATTTCTAGTATTTCATATAAGATTAAGATGCTAATCAAACAACTCTGGCGAACAGTGTTTTCAATACTATGGCACAGAACAGTTTCTTCAAAAGCGTCGCCAATAGGCTTGATGTAAGGGACTTACCGGCTGGCTATCACGCACTGAGCACCTAGGCTGGACAGAAGAGTTGTCATTCCTTTACCAAGGCCAGTACCTCCCCCAGTAATGAATGCCACTTTTCCTTGAAAACTATTAGGTGGTAGCATCGCTTTTTGAAGAGGTGAAAAGAATTTAGATTGCAAAGCTTCAGTGTTTTGATATAATATTTTTGTCCCATAACTGAAAAACTAAAAGGGGAAAATGAATTTAAATTTGCATACATATATTTCCAAAAAACAGATGAATTTTTTAAAACATGCTCTTGAATTTAATAGTAATCAAATTCTTGTATTAACACAAACTCACTGCAAACATATTGGTATTGTACTTAATTATTATTCTTTGTTTTCTGATTTAAAAAGCACAGGCTCTGGAGCTGGACTACATAGCACAGAATTTTCTCCCAAGCTATGTAACTTTCAGCAGGTTATTTGACCTCTCTGTGCCTCAGTTCCTTCATCTACAAAATGGGGACAATAAAATAAATTTCTTCATATGGCATTGTGAGGATTATATGAGTTATTACAGGTAAAGCACCTAGAGCAGTGTGTAGCACATAGTAAGCACTACAAATGCTACCATTATTAGCTGCAGGTGTTTTGCTTAAATTAAATTGTTGTGTTTTGTTTTGGTTTTTGGTTTTGTTTTGTTTTGTTTTGTTTGTTTGTTTTTTTGAGATGGAGTCTCGCTCTGTAGCCAGGCTGGAGTGCAGTGGCATGATCTTGGCTGACTGCAACCTCCGCCTCCCAGGTTCAAGCGATTCTCCTGCCTCAGCCTCCCGAGTAGAGTAGCTGGGATTACAGGCACACACCACCACGCCGTTAAATTTTTGTATTTTTAGTACAGACAGGGTTTCACCATGTTGGCTAGGATGGTCTCGATCTCCTGACCTCATGATCTGCCCACCTCGGCCTCCCAAAGAGCTGGGATTACAGGCATGAGCCACCACACCCGACCAAATTTAATTTTTAAAAAACTAACATAAAGCATTTTTGTCTTTCAACAAGAATAATCTGGACAAAAATCACTTTCCACCTTTGAATTACTGAAGAAAATTGTTAAAAATTCTCTATAAGGATTATTAAATCAAATGCCTCTTCCCATGCTAGCTTCTGGCCACAAAACATAAAACAGAATATTTCTGTTATTTATTTTAAATGGGAGGAAAATCAATCCATTTCGGAGTAAAAAATATTTGTATTGCCCTATTTTATATGTTAACAGCTTGTACTCACATTACATGCGAACATCACTGCCATTCTCTCGCATTTAATCATAAAACAAACTTTAGGTATCTAATATAATGAACAATAGGAGCTAACATTCATTAAGTAGTTACCACCTGCCAGGATTACATATCAAACTATTTAATCTTCCAAACAACCACATGAAATAGGTATTAGTTTTATCCTATTGTACAGAAAGGGCTCAGAGTGATAAAAAATATATATATTGCCAAAGTTGCAGAACCAAGGTTCAAACTGACTGACAGGCTCCAGAGCCTTCTCTGATAACCAGCTTGCATATTCCTCTGTCTATTCTCTGAGATCCTGCTAAGCTTAATGGTCACACCAGGGAGGTTATGTGATATTCCATTAGGTCATGGTGGCAAGATTAACACTCCAGTTAAAACTCCAGAAGCTACCATTTCCTTCCAGAGTATTCCTGTAGCTAAATAGGCTGTCATCAGTTGGTTCAGGATATCTTGAAATTTATCCTCAGGAAAGAATAAGAAATGTGGTCAATGATTTAGAAGGAGGCTGTTCATCACCTGGAAATTGCACAAGAAAATGTTTATAATGTGATGTTAAATGAAAAAAAAGAAACAAATATACAGTATGTTTTTAACTACAAATAAAAATATATGCTTAGAAAAAAAGACTAGAAGGAAATAACAACAGTAAGTAGTAGATTCAATATTTACCATACAGTCCTCAAAACAGCTCTATAAGGTAAATTCAATTGTTACTTCTATTTTATAGATGAAAAAAACTGAAGCACAGAAAGGTCAAGTAGCTAGCTGTTAAAGATAAATAATAATAGGGAATAAAGACTTAAATCCAGTATCTGTCTGACTTCAGAGTCCACCCATTACTTTACAGTTATGGTTAAGTGATGAGATTATAGATAATTATTTGTTTTTTTTTGTTTGTTTGTTTGATTGGTTTTTAGTACTTTCCAAATCTATCCAATAAGTATGATTAGATCTTTACAAGCAGAAAAAAAGTTACTGAAAGACAAAATTTGAGATCATGTATAAAATAATTGAAGATACATTTGTAAATCTTGTTATGCTCCATGCCAGTCATCATATTTATTTTAGCTTCATGTTGACAAAGCATTTTCTTTTCATATCCTTTTGCCAAAGCACAGTAATCCAAGCAACTCTACAATAATCTTTTTCTACATAAGTGGCAGTTTTCCTTAAAGCTGCCACCTGCCTTCAGAACTATTACATTAAGATGATGAATCAAGAAGTTCACTCAAGTAGAATGGTAAATTTGTCATTAAGTAATAATAATGAAAAAAATGTATTCTAATTTTCTGAAGGCTTTCCCATAATTTTTAACTTTTTAATGTTAATGTGTATAGGGGATTTGATGTGGGACTTCATGAAAATAATTAAACAAGATATTTGCATACAAACTTTCTTTTTAAATTTATTTTAAAACATTTCCTCAACCTCCTCACTGGTAGAGAAAAGGATATAAAGGTAAAAATGTCACATGTGGTAAAAATAATTCCTAGTGTCCATAATGTAACAGGTTATTACATAGCACATTTTTATCTTATATGATCTGATCAATACTAACCTTATGATTCCACTTCCTCACCAAACCAAAGTGAAGAAATTGATAAGCTATTTTAATTCTCATTACCCTCTGACAATACACAGCATATGTGTTAATATAAATTCAAGCCATCTTCTCTGCCTAAAAGGAAGATGTTCATTTCAACCTTAAGACCCATTGAGATGATCAGATCTCACAGGATCACATCATATTCAATCCCGTTTCTACAAGGAAGCATCCTTAATAACCTTAAACAGTATTTTGGTTGGGCTTTTTTGAATTATAAAAAGTAGATACAAAACAGGCTTTTAAAGATTTTCAAGTCTTGCTTTATGGTTTTTAGAGAAATAAGTTTTTTTCAAAAATATAAATAACACCTTTCGTATCAAGATTGATTTCTCTTGAGATCTTTAGTGACCTAAAATTCTTAAAACTTTCTAGAGTCTTCCAACTTTGGCAATACAGAATTATTTTTTAGTTACAAGCTCTAAATCTCTCCCTCAAAAAATTAGCTATCACCTACCTTCCTCACCATACTCATCCCTCTCCTACATCATATAAACAATAGCTTCCTCCTTCATGTATTCCAAAATTACAGCATCTAAACTAATGAGACATGATCATACTTTTAATCTTCAAAATGGCAGTTCTGAGAGTTGACACTGCACCTTCCCCTCAAGGATAAGGACTGTATATCAATGAGATATATACCTAAATTACTTAAGTATATTTTGGCTAGTCTAAAATGTCTAGGGTAAATATCTCAAATAACAGTAGATTAGTGATTCTAGGCCAAATATGTTTTTAAAACTTGAGCCCAAAGTTTTTAAAACTTGAGCCAACATTTAGATAATGGAAGAATTCACATAAAAGTCAGAAGCTCTACCAACACTTGGGTACACCTTACCACATGATTAAGTACAACTACGACTGCCCCCTTGAGACAAGGCCTGAGCTCTGTCCAGCCCCGACTCACACAGGAAAAGTGAGCCCTTTTCACTGGGTGGCCTTTCATAAACAAGGCCTTCAAGGACTTTAGGCCTCTGAGTATGTGACTCCTAGATGCCTATTGTAAGTAACACACAAGAAACCAATACAAAAAAAAAAAAAAAAAAAAAAACGAAAGAAGAGGCAAGGCTTTTATTTTGGAACCACAACTAAATTTCATTTAAAACAAATTTCTACAAAAATCATTGTTTAATGTGTGTGCTAGGTACATTATTAAGAAGATCCAGTTTCAAATATATAAAACTCATACAATAATAGTCTCTCATATGGAAGTTGTAAGGCTAAATGAGTTATCTTTTGAGCACTTAGTTTAGCTATTTATCATCGTCGTCATCATCATCACTATGGATGGGTCCTCCACATTAAAATTCCATTCCTCAAAAACATGGATGCCTTCCAAAGTCAAAAAGACAAAAATCAAACTCTTGAGCATGGCATTCAAGCCACTGGACAATATGGTGCCAACGTATTAATACTTTCCTAGCCCCACCTCGTGACTGATCTGCCATGTAGAAGTAAACTCTACACTTACCAAGCCCTCACAATTCCAAAAACTTGCCAACTACTTTCACCTTCTGGCCTTTGCTCCTGCTTTCTCATTGGCCTGAACCACCCACTGTCTTTCTCAACCCAGCAGAATTGGCCTTCAAAACCAGACAACATTGTCAATATCTCTGTCAACACTTTAAATTGTACCCTATTAAAAACAGGCAAATGGAAGGCTTCCAAATTGGCCTGCTAAGGAGTTGCCACAATTCATTTCAACATATCAGGATGCTTAGGAAGCCAGGGACACGACCTTATATTCATCACTATAGTACAGTTTCTGGCACCAGTTAGGCATTCGGTAAATGCTTGTCTTACTTAATGTAACACTTGGTTGGCCAGACTCCAATTGCATTAGAAAGCACATGGATACAGACATGTAGTCTTATGTGAATATATGATTGAAATCCAGCTTTTGCCACTTGTTTTAAAAAATTAGTCATTTCCAATGACCCTAAATTATGACATCTTAAACATTAGAATAAGCCCAAGAATAGAAAATCTAAATCATCAGGCCGGGCACGGTAGCTAACACCTGTAATCCCAGCACTTTGGGAGGCCGAGGCAGGTGGACCACCTGAGATCAGGAGTTCGAGACCAACCTGGCCAACATGGTGAAACCCCATCTCTACTAAAAATACAAAAATTAGCCGGGCGTGGTGGCATGCGCCTGTAGTCCCAGCTATTCGAGAGGCTGAGGCAGGAGAATTTCTTGAACCCAGATGGCGGAGGTTGCAGTGAGCCAAGATCGTGCCACCACACTCCAGCCTGGGCAACGGAACAAGACTCCCTCTTAAAAAAAAAAAAAAGAAAAGAAAAGAAAATCTAAATCAATCTATACAAGTACTGAGTTACTTGCAAATAGAAAAACTAAGCAAAGGGCTTAGAAAGGTACTCCACACAAACAAAAAACAAATATACGACCATATTTATAACTAAATAAGCATATTTAAACAAAAGGAGACATAATTTTTCTCTTACCAGACCAGCAAGGTTCAAAATTTTATCATCTATAATACAAGAAACAGTTGATTAAAGCCACCCTTACAATCTGTTGATAAGAATTCTGGCAACTTCTTAGGAGGCCAATCTGGCAACATTTTTTTAAATGTTAGATACAAATACTCTTTGACCCAGCAAATCCACATGCAGGAATTTATCTAAAAGAAATACTCATTCATTTGGGAAAGAAGCAGGGGGAGAAGGAGCTATGATCAAAGATATACATTAAGATGAAAATGAAATTAAGAAAACAATTCTGTTTATAATCATATTGAAAAGAATACTAATACATTTAATAAAAGAAGTACAAGACTTATAAATTGAAAACTATGAAACATCATTAAGAAATTAAAGACCTAAGTAAACAAAAAGACATTATATGTTCATGGACTGGAAAGCTTAATTTTGTTAAGAGGACAACACTTCCTAAATTGATATACAGATTCAACAAAATCCCTATCAAAATCCTAATCAGCTTTTTGTGAACGTCGACAAGCTTATCCTAAAATTGTTTTGAAAATGCAAGAGACTCAAAATAGCCAAAGAGATTCATTAAAGAATTGTTTGTAATAGAAAGACTACAAAACAATCTATGTGTGTTTCCTTAGGGGACATAGCCAATGAATTAGAGCACATCTATATTACAAAATACAGTTATATGGATCTATTATCTACCAAAAGAAGGAGCTGGAATGTATATGCTGACTGTAAACATTGCTATAGATGTATTATTTTTTAATTATTCAATAAGTATTTGTTGGATACCAACAATGTGAGACACTATGTGTTAAGTGTAAAACTCAAGGTAGAGAAATACATGTAACAGGCTCCCCTTCATGTGGTTTTTTAAAATGAGGATATCTTCATACATATGTTGACATATGCACAAAAACTGTCAGAAGTATCCACAAGAACCTATTCATAGTAATAACCATAGTAATAATAACCTTATTACACTGTCACTGCATATCCTTTTATATTGCTTGAATGTTCAACATGTTCATAAATTTTTTTTCTTTAACAATAGCTAACAGAAAACTGAATCATATAGGCAAGCACACAATACAAGAAGTACGTAGAGGAAAACAGAGCAAGAAAAAAAATGGCCTAGAATCAATTTCATGATAAGGACATATACCTTACTTGAAGCATAACTACTCTATATTAAACACTAAAGTGTGAGCTATATTTATAAAGATAATGAAATATTTCCACATCTATTTTCTTGGAGCTTCTACGTATCTGTTGGTTCAGGTTGAATCAATATTTTTTAGATCAAATTTACTCCAACTGGAATTCACATAAGAGTTTTGCAGACTGGGCCCTAACTGCCATATTAAACTATCAGCGTGGTAAACACTGGACAACCATATTTTTCAAAGGATGAGTTTCAAAAGTGTACATCTTTGCATTCCCAAAACACCTTATGTACTCCCTGAATACAGGAAGCCTTCCATAACTACTTCCCAATTTATTTTGTCCGATTGCTAGAAGGCCATGCGTGCATTCTTTCCAATGGCCACACCACTGCCACTTCAGCACAGTGTATGTGGTCCTTAGCTGGAGGTATCTGGTAATACAAGGGATAGTTTGGTGGGATGTTCTACTGGATGTTCCAGTGCAGAAAAGGACAGCCTTGCAGAATGAAGAACTGTCTCACCCCAAATGCCAACAGTTGCCCTGCAGACATTAAAATAACTGAGTACCACACCAAAAGCTTGCCACAGGCCTCGTTAACTCATGCTCCATGACTGTGTAGATTGCTTAAGCACATCTGCCTGCTCCTTAACTTATAGCAGGGCACTGAACAGAGGCCACTGATATTCTCAGCTTCCGCAGAGCACAGATCTTGTTGCCACAGCAACCTGAAGGTAAGGCTAAACAAATATAAAAGAAACTGCCCAGCTGGACTCCAAGCTCCAATGGCTAAGCTGAATTATGCAGTTGCCAGGAGCAAGACAGAAATTACATTTTTGAGGAATGATACATTTTGTATCAGTGAACATGAGTCCTTGAAAATGTCGGTGCTCTATGCCATAGGGTGTACATCTCATTTTATTACAGTGGTTATCTGTCTGCAGTTAGATGCAGACTGAACAGATGCTTCTCCAATACAACAAAATAAAAAGAGATGAAATCACAGACCTAAGAGGCAATTTGAAATTTTCAGCTAGGGTCTTCACTCCTGCCTGCCTCTGATTTGAGTCATCTCTTATTGATCCCCTATCATGTTAACCAAAACTATAATGACAATCTTTTTTAAACCAAAAATTAGAATCTCTGCTCTTGCAAAGAGTTTGTTTTGGGAATTTGCTTACATAAAAAAGTATTAGGGATAAACATGACATTATGATGGATATAGAGTTTATTCATTTATTCATTTTAAGCAAGTGTTTATTGAGCATATATTAAGCCCCAGGCACTGTTCTAGGCATGGCAGTACGGCAGTAAAAAAAAAAAACAGACACAATATTCTATTCTCAGCAAGATTATCCTTGGGGGAATGAGGGATAAAGAAATTAAGTTAAATATGTAGTATATTAAAAGTTGATATGTAGTGTGGGGAAAAAATAAGGCAGAGAATAGGGATAGAGCATTGCTACTTTAAATAGAGTCATCAGCAAAGGCCTCATTGAGAAGGTGACATTGGAGCAAAGACGTGAAGGAGAAGAATGAATCACAGGGTTTTAGGCAAAAGGGATTGGGAGCAAAGGCCCTAAGCAGGGGGCATGCTTATGGATGGGGTAACAGTCAGGAAGCCAGTGTGGCTGGAGAAGAAGGAAGGAGGGAGACAGGGGCAGGAGAAGAGGTCAGTGAGGTAAAGGGGACTGGACCATGCAGGCTGAGTCAGCCACTACGGAGACTTAGGCTTTTACTCTGAGGCAAGTGGGAAACATCTTCTAAGTTTTAAGGAGAGAATGGACATGATCTGCCTTAAGTTTTAAGGGGATTGTTCTGGCTGCCATGGAGTGTAGAGGGCAAGGTTGGAAGCAGGGAAACTATTAGGACACTTGTATAACAAGCCAGGCAAGAGATGGTGATGCTTAGCCCAGGATGCTATCATGTGAACTGGTGGGAAGTTAGCAAATAAAACTACTTGCAAGAGCAAAGGTCCCAAAAAATGAGGACGTAATGAGTCACCACTGTACCTAATATCGCCTGGTCCAATTATTTCTTCTTTTTCTTAATGTTTTATTAATACATAACATTTTAACCTATTTATGGGGTACATGTGATATTTTATTCCATGCATAGAATGTGTAATGATCAAGTCAGGATATTTAAGATATCCACTAGATCCATGATTTCTTCTTGCCTCTTGCCCAACAACATGAGCTTGGACTTTTGTTCTTGATCTATTTCATCACATTTTTGCCTGTTTCATTAACAGCATATAAACAGGTCTCCTGTTTACTGAAAAGAACTGAGAGAGATTTTTCTACCTCTCTCATCTTTACCTCAATATCCCTGTTACATCTGCACTGCCTTTGTGTTCTAGAAAAATTAAGATTTAAATGTGAGCCAGAAAAAAGGAAATGGAGACTCATCAGACAGAAGTCATTAAGTGTACATGAGAGATACCGAGGGCAGTAGAAATTAAGAGAAGACAACATATTCCACACACATTTAACATGTAAATTAGCCTGAACCCAGAACCCAACCAGCCAGACCTGGCAAGTAAGGTGAGAGCTGTGGAAGGTAACTGAGTTCTAGTTTTAAGTGGCTGCATGCAGAGTGATGCTCTGACTGAAATGACTGGGTTGACATGAGAAGACCAAGTTGGAGCATTGAGGATAATGAGTTCTGCATCAGAAATGCTGCACTTGGGATGCTTCTGGAATAGTCAGGTAGAGATATCTAAGCTGCAGTAGGAAATATGGTTTTGAAGCATGAAGAATAAATTAGGGCTAAAGGTAAATGGCAACATCATTTCATCATTCCAGCAATTATGAAAGCCTACAGTTCTATCACTGCTTTTATGTTACAATGCAGTGTGAGGGTTTCCCAGACTGGAAGGGATAAAAGTGCAGTTGACCTTGTATTCTAGACTTACTTATCATTACCCTGGCACTTCAATCTCAGAATGATTCATCAACTTAGGAAGAGAAGAGCGCAGGACAGCTGAGAATGCTGATCATTTTCTACCTAGAATTTTCTGCAAAAACTAAAAGTTGCTAAACATCTATTGCATGCTTTCTACCATGGGCTGTAAGAAACTCTGGATAACTTTAAAATTCCCCCCTCTTTTGATGTCATTATCATGACCTTTGGGAGATATCTGAGATCTAGATTATTTTTTGTAATAATATAAAGTTTGCTTTGTAGTTTGGGCAGGAAGTTTGTTTGAAATTTCTTCAAATGCATCCTTAAGCTACAAGGCCAAGATTCATCCATTAACCCCACCCCCACCACCTGCCCTGCCCTGCCCCACCTTGGTGACTCCCTCTCCTCTTCACCTGATACATCCCATCCGTCTATAAGCCCCATGCCTTTTACCTCCCCAGTGTCCCTCTATATCCACCACCTGATTTCAAACCCCTATCTCACAACATTCACAAACATTGGGGGCCTATTCTGTGTCATCTTTTAACTGATCTTCCGAGGACTGCTAATGGGATCATGTTACTTCTCTTCTTAAGATCTTCTAAGGGCTCCTGGTAGCTGCAGAATATCCAGATTCCTTCGCTCCCCATAGCATATGTCTTCACGACCTAGCTCCTGTCCCTCTCTTCTGCCTCATCTCCCCTGAAATTTACACTCAGGAAAACAAAGTACTCAGGATTCCCCAAACATGAACTCTTTCCTACTTTCCTGTCTTTACACAAATTGCTCCCTATCATCACCCAACATTCATCATTGAAACCCAGCTGTGAGAGCTCTGGTGCTTTCCCTAACACTCCCAGGGAGAATTAACATTCTCTCCTCTACTTCTGTAGCTTATTTATCTATATACCACTTGAGGAGTCCCAGACCCTACTGACATTTCAGGACTGATGTCACTTACTCCTCTTCTCCCTCCAGCCCCCACTTAATGTCCTCACTCAAGAGAGTGGCACTGTCCTTAGCTCAGGGGCCAAAGACAGAAATCTGGGCTTCATCTTACCCCATACATTCAAACCAAGCCCAGTTCGTTTTAGTCCCCAGTAGCTCTAATGCTATCCTCAGTTCAGACCCTCATCACTGGTGTTTGGATGTTTGGTCTCCCTACTTCCAGTCTTACCTGATGATATCGTATTTCTGCTCACAATTTTGATGGCAACATGTCACCACTGAGCATAGCCCCATCTCTCATCCTCACCACCAACCAATCACCAAGGCCTCTGATTTTACCTCCTAAATATCACTCAACTTTGAGTGTCTCCAAACCCAATGCATGCCCTCGTTGAGGCCACCATCACCTCTCAACAGATGAGAGGATTACTCAGGGTTTAGCCATT
The DNA here is from genome assembly GCF_000001405.40 of Homo sapiens. Classification (NCBI taxonomy): domain Eukaryota; kingdom Metazoa; phylum Chordata; class Mammalia; order Primates; family Hominidae; genus Homo; species Homo sapiens. The sequence goes on along the minus strand of NC_000008.11, from coordinate 90,006,525 downwards.
TGTCTCCACTCCCACCCTGCAGGACAAAGTTCTAACTCTTTAACGCAGCCAACAGGCTGCTCACTAAGCTGTCTCTCACCTCCTGCCTCCCCACTCTCTGTTGATAACCTTTATGCTGGGCCTTCACATAGACTACTCTCCTGTTTAAAACATTCTTACATCTCTCCCTTTGGCTAACTCCTACTCATCTTTCAGGTCTCAGCTTTGATATATACCAAACAACAACACTCTCATAAAACTGGACATACCTCCCCCATGAGCAGGAGATGCTTCTTCCCCAGTCCTGACATCTCCCTACTGTGAGAAGTTCAGGTAGTACAACTCCAGGCTTCTTTCTGTCCCCTTAGTCAACCTGCTAAGGATGTTTGGATGTTTGTCCCTTGAAAACTCATGTTGAAATGTGATCCCCAATGTTGGAGGTGGGGTCTAATGGGAGGTGCCTGGGTTATGGTGGCAGATCCATCATGAATGTCGTAGTACCATCTTCATCCTGGCAGTGGCAAGTGAGTTTGCACTCTATTAGTTCCCACTAAAGCAGGTTGTGAAAGAACCTGGCACCTCCCAACACCCTCTCACTTCCTCTCTTGCCGGCACCTCCCAACACCCTCTCACTTCCTCTCTTGCCGGCACCTCCCAACACCCCCTCACTTCCATCTCTGCAAACTCCAGCTCCCCTTCACCTTCTGCCACAAGTGCAAGCAGCCTTAGGCCGTCACCAGATGCAGATGCCCAGTCTTGAACTTGTCCAGGCATCAGAATCATGAGTCAAACAAACCCTTTTCTTTATAAATTACCCAGCCTCAGGTATTCCTTTATAGCAACACAGACTGAGGTACAATCTGTCTGTGCAGAGACAGTTGATATGACTGGTAAATTTTGACAGGATCGTTGGGTATGAACAGTTCTCCTTGGTCTTCTTCCTTTTGGGAGCCAGCTGCCTTCAGAGGACAATGTTCTGCCCTCCTCCAGAGTTATGTAAGTCCGCCTACTTCGGGAGATCCAGCTGATAGGCCCAGCTTCCTCTCACAAACCACAATAAAAGTGATACTTTGGCTTCCATCTTTACTCATTTTTCAGACTGGAAAAAACGGATGCTATTTATTTGGGATCCCATCCAAAAGCAAGAACACCCAACCTAACATGCGGCACATCATACCATAATGCCATTGGACTCTATGCTTCTTGACAGCAGGAATCAGCTCTTCTTCTCACCTTCATATCCCTAGTAAGGTGCCTAGCAAATAGTAAATGCTCAATTTTCTACATAAATAAGAAAAGCCCACCATACCCTGTCCCCCAGCAACCTGACTGATCTCGTCTCCACACGCTTCTCTCTGTTCCCATACTTCACCAACTCCACAATACCAAACAAACCACTTGAATTTTTATAAATAAGCCACTCTTTCACTTCTTGATACATGCTATTCCTTAGGTCTATATTGCCATTGGGACCACACAAATTCCAACTCCTGATTTAACAGCAGGCTCCTGGGGCCACCTCCTCCATGAAGCTTTCCTTGCCTCCTCTAGGTATGTACAGTTTGGGTCATATATGCATTATAATACACATCTGCATCTTCACAGTCTATTGATGTCTGCTGGTGACTCACTAGACTATCATTTTTCAGATTTTTCTGACTGTGAACCATAGCAAGAAATGTGATTTATATAGCAACATACACATGTTCATAGCAACACAGTACACACGTTCATTCATGTAACAGATATTTGTTACATGTTTACTCTATGCTAAGCACTGTTCTAGGTATAAACAGTGGACAAAACAGTTGAAAATCTTTGCCTGCATAGAGCTTATATTCCAGAATTTTACACTGAATAAAGAAATACTTAGGCTTCCAGATTTAAAAAAAATAAAGAAAACACATCTAGTTGGTTTTATACTGCTCCAAGACAATATTCATCGTGAGAAAACAATGAAACAATGTTGACTAAGGGAAAATGTGACATCCAAGTAAAATTATGCCTATCCATCCTTTTACCAGAACAGATGCCTGGAATGATATACACCAAATGCTAACCCAAGTTAATTCTAGGTGGCCAGTTTGAGGTCATATCTTACTTTGTTAACTGTATTGCTGAATATTGGCCAGGAATCATTTTTCTAAAAATAGTGATTTTACTCTTGATAGTTACTATTCTTTTTTTTTTTTTTCTTTTTGAGATAGAATCTCACTTTGTTGCCCAGGCTGGAGTGCAATGGCGTGATCTTGGCTCACTGCAACCTCTGCCTCCTAGGTTCAAGTGATTCTCCTGCCTCAGCCTCCTGAGTAGCTCCTGCCTCAGCCTCCTGAGTAGCTGGGATTACAGGCACGCGCCACCACGCCCGGCTAATTTTTATATTTTCAGTAGAGACAGGGTTTCACCATGTTGATCAGGTTGGATAGTTATTACTCTTGATAAAAACAAAAGGAAAAGAAACATGGCAGTGTGCATGATAGTAATCAAAGAATGAATCAAAAAAGGAAGAATGGTAAATTTTTTTTTTAAAGTTTCACAAAATGAACAACCTTACTACATGAGATGAATTTAGATATATCCTATTCTATTCCATTTTTTTGTTTTTGAGATGGAGTCTCACTCACTCTATCGCCAGGTTGGACTACAGTGGCGCGACCTCAGCTCACTGCAACCTCTGCCTCCCAGGTTAAAGCGATTCTCCTGCCTCAGCCTCCCAAGTAGCTGGGACTACAGGCGTGTGAAACCACACCCAGTAATTTTTGTATTTTTACTAGAGACAGGGTTTCACCATGTTGGCCAGGATAGTCTTGATCTCTTGATCTAATGATCCACCCGCCTCAGCCTCCCAAAGTGCTGTTTTGCTCCACTAAATTGATTTCAAGGCCTACTCATTGGTTATTATTTGTGGCTTAAAATACATATATGAGACTATAGTACATTGAAGGCAGGAATGTCTTTCAACCACAAATTGCCAAAGAATGCCCAATACTTAATAGGTACTTAATTAATTAGTGTTTCCTCATAAACAACTGAATGACTGAATGTTTTCCTCAATAGAACTGAGAGCAACTTGAGAACAGTTGAGAGCAGGGCTCGTATTTTTTAAATTTTGAGTCCCAGGGCATAGCACAGGGCCAGACATAAAGCCAGTCCTCAATAAATATTTATTAAATTGAAATGAGGCCTATTAGCCAGCAGCACAATTTAACACAGCACTTCACAAACAGGTTTTATAACAAATTAAACATTTGCCTTGGTTCTTGGTAACAAAAATATTCAAATTAGGGGTTTTAATTATAACAACTTGTATTTGCCCACAAAAACATGATGTTCCCTGGAACAACCTCCCACATCACAGATGTAAAGACTTTTCTTCTCCCAGGAATTCAAACTTGAGGCTACATGTGCTAGGAAGGGGACAAACCACACTAACAGGTACCTCTCTTGCCTCCCAACCCTGAACCTCAAAACTTCCATATTTTTCTTCAGCAAAGGAATTTCAAAATTGTCAGATTACAATTAATTTTTAAATGAGTTCATTTTCTCCTTCTCAAACTGTATTGTCTAATGGTGTCAGAAGAGCTTGGATAAGGTCTGTATGACCTTATTGCTACAATCCTAATGATGTGTGTTAAAAAATGAAATCTCTGAAGACATCACAGAGCTGTTGTAGATTTCAAATGAGAAATGTCTCTGAAAAGTATCAGAAAATATGGGCTTCCTTTATAATGATCTATAACCCAGTTTTCACAGGGAGAGAAAAAAAATCAGCAAAACCCTAACCCTGAACAAATCTCACTTTTTAAAAGAAAGATACCTTACTTGAGGGAACCACCATACTAATTCTTTGTATTCCTATTTGGAACTACTGCTGCCCATATTTTTTGAAAAACAACACCATGGCTGTCTATTCTATCAAATCAAAAGAAGTTTTTTCACAGTTGACATATTAATTTTTCTACCTGGCTAAAGAAAATGTGCTTTTTAGTTTACTTATAACAATTTTGTAATTTAGATGTGGGGAGGGCTTGTCTTGGATATTATTGCTTCTTTTTGTTTTTGTTTCTCTTTCTTCTTCCTAGCTGTTTTCACTTCCTAGCTATTTCCACTATGGGTGCAATGGAGATGGTGACAGGAGTGTGGGCCAGAGAGAGGGGGAAGCCAGTGTGAGACGGACCTCTCCCAGCTATACATCTGGGAAGGGGAGTCTATAAACAGCTGGGGTTTTGTTTTTGTTTCATTTTTATGATAATTTGTTTGTATTAGTGTTTAATTCCATAACTAACACATAGATGGACTTTCCTCACAACAAAGGACGTCAAAGGTCAGTGCTCGCTCGGCCTGATCCCCTCTCACTCCTTAAGGGGTGGACGGGCGCCGTATCCTTCCCTACCTCTTTCTACCTATTTACACACAAGTTGGAAACTTGCAGAACTGTGAAAACTTCGAAAATCACGTCTCTTCCCTATTCCCCTACACACATCAGGGCTTCATCTGACAGTGGAATACGACCCGGGCCCCGGTGCTCACTCCCGGCGTTGCCCTTCGCTCCGGGACCTGGTGGTCCTCTCTCTCTGCGCCCCAAAACGCCCTGTCCTAGCTCCCTGAGCCCCAGGGACGCCGGGTCCTCTCTTTGTGCCCCAAGACTTCCTGCCCTTTCTCTTGCGCCCCGAGACGTCCTGTCCTCTCTCTCGCTCCCCGGGTTGCTCTGTGCTCTCTTAGCGCTCCAGAACGCCCTGTCCTCTCTCTTTGAGCCCCGGGACACCCTGTCCTCGCTCCCCGAGGCCCCGGGACGCCCTGTCCTCTCTCTCTCTGCGCCTCGGGATGCCCTGTCCTCGCTCCCCGAACCCCCGGGACGCCCTGTCCTCTCTCTTTGCGCCCCAGGATGCCTTGTCCTCGCTCCCCGAGCCCCCGTGACGCCCTGTCCTCTCTCTTTGCGCGTCGAGACGCCCTGTCCTCGCTCCCCGCGCCCCCGGCCGCCTTACCCTCCGAGGAGCGAGGCCACAGGGCAGCCGGGACCCCAGAGTAAAGAAAACCCTGGCCGGTAGCTTCATGTTGAGTCTCCAGAACTCGGGCCGGAAGGCGGCGCAGGCGGTTGGGCGCAGGGGGCGGGACAAAAAGAACAAAGTTCTCGGGGCTGGAAACGCTGCCTAGGCCGCCGGGGGATGGGACGGGGACTGGGACCCAGGCGGCGTGGACGCCCAGCGGCCCTGACCTTCAGAGTCCGGCCGAGGGCGCCGCCTAGCTGGGCCTAGCTGATGCTCTTTCCTGCTCTCTGGGCCAGGAGTGCTTTGTATGGCAGAGAATGGAGGTTCTTTGCGTCCTTGAGCGGGTGTACGAAACCCCGCGCCCTGCAAGGGTTTGCAGATTGCAGCTGCGCACCCCATACACTGCCTATCAAGGGCGAAACTCTTTTTCAGTCGTATGTGTTTATCCCTTAAGTGCGTGTTTAAGTGCAGAGTGCGCGTGGCGCCAAGTCACATATTATCAGAATAATAATATGTTGGATGTAAAACACGGCCTCACTTTCCCTAAGACCAAGAGGCTGAAAAACACTAAGGGCAGCTTCCGGCGTTTTGACTTTTCGCAGGACACACCGCCCCCTGTCGCCGGATGCAGCGTGACTGCGACCGCCCAGCCTTGGCTTTTTTCTCGAAGTTAAACACACGTTAAAGGCAAACACAGATTCAGTATATCATTCTCCATCTTAGTGTAATATACCTGTTGACACAAGGCATTAGCTCAGATCACATTTCTTTCCTCATTCGTAAAATGAGAATATTCATAGCTAATTCAGAATTTTAGATAAAAGAAGATGGGTGTGAGGCCCCAGGCTGAGGCTGATGGTAGATGATATTGAGTGTTTACTATTTGCCTGGCATGTTCCAAATGCTGATAAAGAAACATTTATATCTTCAGAGGAATGTACACTTACATGTAGACATATAGCTTATAAGGTATATAAACTCTGAAAAACTTTGTAATTTTGAGTTGGTCTGGTGATAATTTCCAGGCCTTCTGCCTGTAACTGGTTACAGAAATAAAAACTTTCTTCATCCCCAGTTCATCGACATCTCATTATTGGCAGCAAGAAATAGCAGCCTGACCCTCAGTTTGGTCCAGGAACAAAACTACCACAGATTGGGTGGCTTAAATGGAAATTTGTTTTCTCACAATTCTGGAGGCCACAAGTCAGCAGAGTTGGTTTCTTGTGGAGCCACTGTGGGACCATCTTCTCCCTGTGTCTTTACATGATCCTCCTGTGTACCTTTCCATATCTAAATTGCCTCTTCTTATGAGGACACCAGTCGTGTTGGATTAAGGCCCACCCTCAATGACCTAATTTAACTGGAATTACCTCCCTAAAGACTCTATCTCCAAATATAGCCACATTCTGACATACTGGGGGTTAAGAGTTCAATGTATATATTTGGCTGGGAGAAGAGGGAAGTACACAATTCAGCCCAGAACACTTGCCCTCTTAAATAACTTTTAGACCAGCTTAGGAGGCATTTTCTGTCCTCCCAAAAAAACCTTGAGAATATATCAATAATAAAACTTTTCCTAAGCTCTTGATATATGTATGGCACTGTTATTCTTGACTTCCAAACCAAATTGTAAGTGGGATTCATCTTGTTTCTAAAAAGAAGTTGCAACATTAGTGATACGGTTTGGATTTGTGTCCCTACCCAAATCTCATGTTGAATTGTAATCTCCAGTGTTGGAATTGGGGCCTGGTAGGAGGTGATTGGATCACGGGGACAGATTTCTTCCTTTGGTGCTATTCTCCTGATAGAGTTCTCAGGAGATCTGGTTGTTTAAAAGTGTGTGGCACCTCCCACCCTCTCTCTTCCTCCTGCTCCAGCTGTGTAAGACAGCCTGCTTCCCCTTCATCTTCCACCATGATTGTAAGTTTCCTGAGGCCTCTCAAGTCATGCTTCCTATATAGCCTGCAGAACTGTGAGTCAATTAAACTTCGTTTCTTTATAAATTACTCAGTATGAGGTATTTCTTTATAGCATTGTGAGAATGGAGTAACACAATAAGTAACTTAAAACAATTAATCATTTATTATCTCACAGTTCCCAGGAGTTAGGAGTCTAGGCACAGCTTAGCTGGATCCTTGGCTCTGGGTCTCAGAAGACTGCAATCAAGGTGTCAACTAGGCTGTTTTTATCTGGAGGCTCAGCTGGAGAAGATCTGATCCCAAGCTCATCCAGATTGTTTGCAGAATTATTTTCCTCATAACCATATAACTGACAGCCCCACATTTTTGCTGGATGTTGGCTGGAGTTGCCTTCAGCTTCTAGAAGTCACCTCCATCCCTTCCCATGTGGGCTTCCTCAGCAGACTGCTTACTACATCAAGCCAGCAAGGACAATTCTGTACCTCAGGGAGGCCCCAGCCCATCTTTTAAGGACAATCACCAGATTAAGTGAGGCCCACTGAAAATAGTCTTAACCCCTTTTTGATTAACTAAAATCAACTGACTTGGGACTGCAAACCAAAAAGTGACTGAGGCAGATCTCTGTGGGTTAGCGATCATTTAGCCAAGGTTGAGAACATGTCTGGGAAAAAAATGCAACTCACAAGAGCATCTGTAACCTATGCTTTTTCCAAAGGGGGTTTTGGGAAATTCTTTATTTAAAAAAGAAAGAGCAAGCAGGAGAGAAAAAAAAAAAAAGGAAGAGAGGGTAGACAGTGAGGCAGATGGTTCCATTCTTTTGAGGCTCTGATTAGCCTCAGTAAATCTACATTTTACATAAGATAAAGTAAACATGTGAAAAGAGGGAGTAGAGGAAATGATGCTATGTCTTGGGATTATGAAATTACAGCTATCAGTTTGGGAACAACGACAACAAAAAAGACAGTATTGGTGACTGAGTTTCCAAGCTTAACTTTCCTTATGGCATAGTGAGTTCACAGTCCCTATATTCTGTTTTTCTTTCACAGGATCTTAGTTGCATCTGCACAATTCTTTCACCTTTGCCATATACTGTTAACTAGAAGTGAGTCACAGTTCCTGTCCATACTTAAGGGAAGGGAATTATACAGAGCATGAATTCCAGGGACTGGGACTCATGGGACCATCTTAGAATTCTGTCTACCACAACCATACATTAGACATGAAAAAGAAGTTTGCAAAAGTTTTAGGTAGACCCCCTGTATTAGTCCATTCTTGCATTCCTATAAAGAAATATCTAAGACTGAGTAATTTATAAGAAAAGAGGTTTAATTTGCTCATGGTTCTGCAGGCGGTACAGGAAGCATGGTGGCATCTGCTTCTGGGGAGGCCTCAGGAAGCTTCCACTCATGGAAGGCAAAGGGGCACACTTTTAAATGACTAGATCTCAGGAGAATTCCCTCACTATGGTGAAGATAGTACCAAGTGGAATAGTGCTAAACCATTCATGAGAAACCTGCCCCCATGATCTAATCACATTCTACCAGGCTCCACCTCCAACACCAGGCATTACATTTCAATATATGAGATTTGGGTGGGGACACACATCCAAACTACGTTACCCACACTCTACAATCTAGTCAGAGGGAAATAGCTACATAAAACACTTAGGCAGCCTGGACTCTGGGTTCTGTTTTACTGTCGTTCTCCAAGCTTGGTACAGAAGCAGAGGGTTGGAACCTCAAAGGAATAAACCAGTTAGGAAAAATATAACCACTAGGAACTGAAAATCAGAGAGGCCTCCCCTAAAGGCCTGTATAGGACTTGGTGTCCTTCTTATGATACCGAGAGGGAAGAAAGGAGACAGGGCACTAAAGATGACTAAGGTTGAATTTCCCACAATTCCCACAATCATGGAGGAATGGATAGGGCTAGGAATGGAATTTAAATAAAATAAAATAAAATGATATTACCTTCATCCTTGAATATATGGTTGAATATTTATACCACTAGCTTGTCTTGAATATGAACAGAAAAAATGGTTATATTATTTTTAATTTTTAATATTTCCTGAAATCAAAAGGCCTAAAAGTGGGGTTCATCTTGTTTCTAAGAAGAAGTTGCAACATTGGTGATATGATTTGGATTTGTGTCCCTACCCAAATCTCATGTCGAATTGTAATCCCCAATGTTGGAATTGGGGCCTGGTGGGAGGTGATTGGATCATGAGGACAGATTTTTCCCTTTGGTGCTATTTCTTCTGATTTCTTATCTGATGGTTCAGCCTTAGTGACTGGCAGACTCCTACACTCCAGCAATGGCTGCTCCCCTCACACACATGCCTCCTCTCCCCACTTTCACATCATCACCCTAGTATGGCTGCCTCTGACCCCATAATCAGGGGTCAGCTTTGATTTTGTTTTCTCAGGAAAAGTTACCTTGACTTCTACACTAATTCAGGTCTTCCTACTAGGGAAGCATCCAAGTTTGGTGGTACCTGAAGCTTATAAACTTTGGGAAGCCATTTAAGAAAAAGATTACAAAATTAGATGCAAAAATGAATATTAACTTACAATATAAGAAGAAATTAGAACAAATTACAAATTCCAAAAAATTTACAGTATCCTAAATTTCACACAAATATAAAGTAATGTTTCAAACTACTTAAATGTCTAACACATCTCTAATTGCAATTTCCGTCTACATTTCGGAGCTGCATTCTCTTTGATCACCTCTTCCTTTATTGAAGATTTTATAAGCATATTTTTAATAGAGAGAATAAGGAGTTCAAGTGCTAAATCATACCTCACACACACTTAGATTTGCCACTCATAGGACCACCACAGATTTGTATCTGGCCAAGACAGAATTTCTAAAAATTTCTATTGTATGCAATTATTATCATATTTTTAAAAAGCATGGTGCATTCATAATAGTAAACACTAAATTGTGAATATTCATGATGGGGACAAACTTCTGTTTTGACTATGCATCCATGAAACCATATCCTCTGCTAACACTTTTACATAATTTGATACTAGCTTATGGCTTCATACACTTTAAACAATTCAAACTTTGCTTCTCCTCCAATTCCCATTTACTTCCAGAGCTGAGTACCACTGGACACTTCTACATTTCAATACCACCTCTGGCCCTGCACATAAATGTCACAAGGTGGGCAGAAAGTATAGTCCAGTCTGCTGGAAGACAGCCCCACCAAAGGACAGTATAGAGCATTAACTCTATAGTGAAGTGACAACAAACCACACAAGTATTTCTGAACTGATCTAAGAAATAAATTAATTCCCCAATTCAGTTTAGCAGACACCCCAACTGCTGGTGACCACTCCAACATCATCCAACATGAGAGGAATTTTGACAGAAATAGGAATGGAAAGAGAATTATTTTAACTCCTTTTGTTAAAATAACTTACTTTTGTGAATTTTACTGGAAAAAAGAAATGGCCCTGGGGCCTTGGAAGAGCTGTGCAAGCAAGAGGCCCTGAAATTTACTAGCTTCAGGTAAATCAGCCCTTGCCTTAGCTGTATGTTTTCATAGGGCACTGAATTTCCCTTTTGGGGGCTCTTGTTACAATTGCAATTGCGTCTTTCTCTTATATATTAGCAGCTGTGGGGCGGGGTGCCTACCTTTTTAAATTTACCATCCTTCTATCCCTCATATCTAGCACAATGTTTGGTGCATGGTGAGCCATCAAACACTTTGTTGAATGAGGTACTGAGACTGTTACCATTTTCTAATGAGGTTATTACAAAAGTAATTTAGAGGAGAATGTGCAGCAGTCATAGGCACTACTAAGGAACAGATGAGGGGCATAAAACCAAGAGGCCGTTCGAAATGCAGTAAGTTACAGTATTTCCATGAGGGGGAGCCATGGAGCCTGACTTCAGTGTCTGAGGATCTATTTTTCATGAAAGCTAGTGTTTCCCCACTTTTTCTGTATGTCAGATTCTGCACACAGTCTGTGTACACATTTCACTAATCGTCACAAGCACTTATAAGGCTTATATTATCAGCATTTGGGAAACTGAGGCACAACACAGGTAGGCAAACTGTCCAGCTAGTAAACAACGGTGATGGAATCTGAACCCAGCCTTGTCGCGCTATAGGGCCCCTGTTTTCAGCCACTGTATTTTACTCTGTGCTAGTGGGGTAGAACCTCGGGAGTCAGACTGCTGGGGTTTAAGCCAAGCTACATGTCTCACTAGATGTATAATGTTTAGCCAGTTACAAACTTTCTCATTTGATTCCCTTATCTGTGAGATGCAGATACAATAGTAAGGGTGTCAACTTCACAAGCTTCTACTCAGATTTAAATGACATAATATATTTAAAGCACTTAGAACAGAACATGACACATACAAAACAGCCAGCAAACGCTCGCTATCATCATGCACATGGAGAATGGCCAGTAATTAGCCCAGAATTAGCATAGAATCCCTGATACTACTATGTAATGATTTTTCTTTTCTCACAGAATCACAAGCTATAACTACTAAGCAAATTCAACAGGATTATTACCCATGAAATAAACTACCTTAAGGGAGAAAAAGAAAAACCTACAAAAGGCCTTGCCAAAAGCATTGGTGTCTAGAAATTATGCTTAGTGCAATTATATATATAACGTATTATATATTATATAATATATATTACATGTTATATATAATATATATTATTTATATTATATATAACATGTAATATATATTATATTAAATATTATATATAATATATATTATATTAAGTATATTTATATTAAATATAATATATTATATTATATTAAATATAATATATTATATTAAATATAATATAATATATTATAGTAAATATATATTAAATATAATATATTATAATTATAATATAATATATGGTATATAATATATTAATAATACATATTATATATAATATATCATATATAACATATAATGTATCATATATGATATCATATATAATATATGTTATATTATATTAGTGCATATATAATTGCACTAAGCATAATTTCTAGACACCAATGCTTTTGGCAAGGCCTTTTGTAAGTTTTTATTTTTCTTCCTTAAGGTAGTATATTTTATTTTAAGTATAATATATATAATATATTAATATATTATATAATAATATATTATATATTATTATATTTAATATATTATATATTTATATAATATATTATAATTATTATATATAATATATATAATATATTATATATAATTATTATATATAATATATTGTATATTATATGTTATATATATAATATATATTATATATATATTATATATAATATATTATTATAAATTATATATATAATTTATTATATATAAATTATATATATAATTTATTATATATAAATTATATATATATAATTTATATATAATAAATTATTATTAGATATAAATGTTATATATATATATTAGACGGAGTTTTGCTCTTGTTGCCCTGGCTGAAGTGCAGTGGCATGATCTTGGCTCACTGCAAACTGCGCCTCCCGAGTTCAAGCAATTCTCCTGCCTCAGCCTCCCAAGTAGCTGGGCTTACAGGTACCTACCACCAAGCCCAGCTAATTTTTGTATTTTTAGTAGAGACAAGGTTTCACAATGTTGGCCAGGCTAGTCTTGAACTCCTGACCTCAGGTGATCCAGGCAATCCAGGTGATCCACCCGCCTCGGCCTCCCAAAATGCTGGGATTACAGGCATGAGCCACCTTGCCTGGCCAGTGCAGTTTAATATTTTTGTTAGAGTCTAAAAAAAAAAAAAAAAGACACACAGTATCCAAAATACAGAGTTGTGTTTGAATGAAATTAAAGTTCACAGCTTCTGCCCCAGGAAAACAGGTTGAAGAGGGTGATCAGGCTTAGCCAGCTTGGGAATGTAAAGGCAAACACAAATTAAGAATAAGAGGCTTAATTCTTCCTGTTGAAAATAAAGGAAGAGGTTTCCCTTCCTCCCTTTGCTTAAAGCATTTGCCTTATAAATCTTGTCATTGCAAATTCTTTCGTTGTCTCTTTGAAATGTATGCAAATCTTTTTTTTTTTTAAGGCTAAGTAAGCCTCTTGCCAGCCTTACAATGCAGCAGTGTCTAAGGACCCTACAGCCACTCCTTTGCAAAGTAATAATCAAAGAAGATAGTGGCCCTATCCTATCTCCTATTTCTGTGGGAGAGTAGGAGCCTAACTTAAGCTGTTTACCTGGCTTCAAGTTGAAACCTACCCCCAGTCGTAAAGATAAAATAAGTTAATTTTTCCTTTAAATCAACCCAATTAGTTAATAAGGGTGATAACCCTAATTATCAAGTGAATTTGGTATGAACAAGGTGTGACAAAGGGTGCTATCAAGTCCTCTTACTTGAGGACTAATTATTGTTCCTCTTAAGAACACGTATGAAATGGTTGTATCTGCTTGCCTATATAAAGTGTGAGATTTATTTTTGTCTTCACAATCTCTAGTCAATTGCTTGTGGGTCTACTGGGGTGCCAGGAGATTTTGTTTTTAACTGGACATCCCCAACAGCAGTAAGCTGCAAGCAAACCCCTTGGCACCCAGCCCCAAAGCCATGTTGTTACACCAGCCTGTGCTGCTGTGGTGAGGAAGACCCACACCTTTCAGAAATGGACAGAGGGTTGCTCCACATTATTTTGGAAATAGAATAAATAGACTGAGACACTCTTTGACTGATATCTGACTCACTACTGAAGAATATCAGTAAGGCCCACCTGAAAGGGAGAGTCATGCTTACTTCTGGTGGAAGGTGCCAGACATGTGATTGCTGACGTCCTTAAAGGGCAAGTCTGAGTCGGGGAAAAGGGAGCTACAGTTAATAATGTTCCTCCCTCTGGATTTTTGCTTTTTTTTTTTTTTTTTCCTAGAGACCGGCTCTCACTATGATGCTCAGTCTGGCCTTAAACTCCTGGGCTCAAGCAATCCTCCTGCCTCAGCCTCCAGAGTAGCTGGGATTACAAATGTCAGTCACTGTGCTAGGCCTCTCTGGTTTTTTATCCTGCCTTCACTCCCCAGATTGCACATCACAGGAATTGCTCAAGAGTTGTGCTGTGCTCCAGGAACTAAGTCCATTCCATTTGGGAGCTGAAGGGATTGAAAGAGAGCTGCACTGAGAAGCAAAACAGCTGATGATACTGTTCTTGTCACAACTCTGTGACAAATTGGCTTTCTGTTACTGGACAAATTAACTTTTATCAGCTTTATTTTCCTCATCCATAAAACTAGGGTGTTTGCATAAATGAGATCAGTATAGAACTATAATATCGCTTGTAGGTCTAAAAATCTGTGATTTTGCAAATAAACTAGATTTGGCAGAATTGCTATAGGTAACCTGGTGTGGTACTAAGGAGTTCATTGTGAAATGCTGTTAAAATAAAATAGCTTAAATATATATAACATATTATATATAATATTAGCTCTTATGTATCTCTGGTGTTTGAATATTTCATCTAATTTACACATTTTAGGTAAATATTAAGCTTCAGAGTTTCAAAGTGCTTTGTAATTGTTAATTCGCTTCTTGAATGACTTCTGCAAGGGAGGCTTGCCCATGATCCCATTACATAGACTTATTTGTTCTCATTCAGTAAAGCCAAATCTTATACTCTGCAATTTGGAGTCTTATATTCTTTTATCTTTCAATTAAAAAAAAAAACTATGATTAAACAGCCAATACGATTCAAGTAATCCATTGATGTTTCAATTAATTCTACTGCTTATGCACAGATTAATCATACATATATTGTTATATCCCCATATAAAGAAGAAACAAGACACATAGAAGTTAAATTATTTATTCTAGTAAAATATATAATTATTATAGCAAAATCATTATAGTAAAGTAGAATGAGCATTGAGACACAAAAATAGAACTCATTGCTCCTTACTATCAGACATATTCAGAATAATAAAGATACACCTTGAATCAACACTTGATCTCCACATGCTTCTCATTCACCCACACTCCACACCCCACCGACCTTCACAGTTGCAATCTAAGTAAAAGTTGGAAAGAGGTTCAATGAGTAGTTAAGTTTAACAAAGAGTTATGCATCTTCCATGTGTTCATCACTATGGTAAATATGAGAAACAAAAGTGATTTAGACAGTAGGAACACAGACATGTCTTAGACACCAGCCCTTCCCTCATGGAACTATAAAGGAAGAAAAGGAAAGTCACATTTGCTTAACAACTACCATATATAATATAGTGTCTTGTGGAAGGAAAATAAAATCACTATGCCAAAAGGGAAAAGTTAAGCTCAGAAACTGAGTCATGAAAAAATATTTTTAAAAACCAAAACTACCTTTCCTTTTGTCTTAAACTGACAGATGGCCACGTATCTCCAAAGGGGACCTCCCTCATCCGATGATGTAAATTAACACGTTATCTTCACAAGTATGGGACAAGAGGAGACTAGAAATCATCCCGTCCCCCCACCCCACCCACCCCAAGACAAATGCATATTTGCTGCTTCCTCTATGTTTACTTTACCTTATGTAAAGTGCAGATTTATTGAGCACGATATGAATACATCAACTGTTCCCTCTCTCCCCTCCTTTTCTTGTGCAATGTGTGGATTCACAAGAGTGTGACCATACCCTCCCTCTTTTTCCCCCCCTCTTTCCCTTCCTGACCACTTTCCCCTTTAAATATTGAAGCTCTTAAAATCCTTGGAAAAAGTACAGGCCACAGATCCTACTGTGGCTTGTGTCTTTTTACCAAGCCTGTCCTCAACCTTGGCAAAATAAACCTCTAAATTGATTGAGACTTGTCTCAGAGACTTTTTGATTTACAATCTCACTTATTCCTAACAATAACACTTCAAGGTAGTTATTATTTAAGACCACTTATAGATAAGAGGAGACTGAGTTACCTTTGTTAGTTACCCATTGTGTGATCTTGAAACAATTAAGTCTAGCACTATTAAACTTACATGTTAGCTGAACATTCGCTGGAAATTAATGGCAGGGTTAATGGAATTTTGGGGGAGAGGACAAGGTAAATATTTTTAGGGTATGGTAAAGGAACCAAAGGGAGAAACTGAAAACAAGTAGGAGAAAGGGATAACTGATAAAGCAAAACCCTGGGGAAATGAGAGGAGATGGGTGTAAGCACATGGAGAAATTGATCCTGAACTGAATGGTAAAATCATATCATGAAACCAGAGATAAGAAGGCAAGGATAAGGCATGGGTACAGATTTTAAAAGAAAAGAGGTTTGTTTTGTGATAAGAACAGCAGCAGTGTAAGGTCAGAAAGTGTAAGGAAGCTCTTGCCTCAATTTCTAGTAAGATACGAAACCATTTTCTTGGAAGGAAAGCAGGAGATGATCAGATCTGAGGAGTTCAGCAAATGTGTCAAATAGCTCTTCAGAGTTATTGAGAATAGATTTTCTTAAAAGCAGGAAAAGATACTGATCAATTGTATTCTGTAGTTCAACTGATATTAGAGTTTATAGATTGGCATTGGTTCCGTATTTTTGAAGATGGACAGATTTTACCCAGGTGTCTCAGTAGAGAAATTTGCTGTGGGATTGATTGACTCATAGTTCTGAGTTTGTTAGGGCTCTTAGACAAGTGAGCTATGGATCTAAGAGATCTCAGGGTAAAAGTACTTCTGAGAGCTACAGCTCAGTAGTGAGAGCTGACTGACAGCAAAGTTACTGAGCTATCCATCCTGGTGTCCAGCCCGGATATGAAGGAGGATGGAAGGAGACTGACACCTGGGTAAAGTGGAAGGATCATGTGGCTGGAGTCGTGGGTGAGGCTAAAAAGCGAGGCAATGGAAGTGAACATACAAGGAAGTGGGAAGGCCAGGCAGCTCCAGTTATAAAGCAGGAAAATAAGGGTGAAGAAGGTTCTGATGATGTGAAGATCGAAAGTGTGGCCAACTGAGAGGGTGGTATGTGTGGAGTAGAGATGAAAGTCACAGAAGCTGAGACAGTTGAAGAATAGTGAGCCTAGCATGTAGAATGAGTTTTCAGTGTAGTTGAGAGTGATGGCAAGAGTTGGGATGGAGCAAAATCTCTCACATATGTGACAGTGTCCTTAGTGAATATGGGCAAGTGACATGGTCATACCTGCAGTAGGTAATAGAAAAAGAAGGTCTAGAGGGTGGATAGTTACACGAAATGATCCTGACCAAGGAGAGGTTTTGCAAAGTAGGGAAGAGTAATACACTAAAATGGAAAGTAAAGTTTAGGGGGAAGTAGTAACCCTAGTGGCCCACAGCTGTACTGGATATGAGTGGGAGAGGCATTGGAGCAAACTAGCCTAGAACCTGTCATGGGAAGCTGTGGTCTAGGGTGACAGCAAAGTTTCATTTAAGGCAAGATGTAAAGGGAAGACTCTGTCAAGACCCTAAAGATTTAGAAGAGTTTGTTTATACCATGACAGAGGTGAGAGGAGATGCCAGCAAGGTACAAGAAGCAGGGAGCATGGAGCAATAAGCAGACCAATTTGCTACCAAAAGCAAACCCTATTTGCATCATGCTCCTCTTCAATTTTTTTCTGGGCTCTGATTATTAGACCTGTGTTGTTACCAAGCAACAGATAGAAATTGTGGGATCTGTTTTCCTTCATCACTCTGCCACTACCATCTTTCATCCTGGCAATCAGACAATAAGTTGGGCTAAGTTATAGTATTTCCCAGCAGGGAAGAACTGGGCCTGATAAAGGAAGGAGGTGGCTTTACCCAGAAGGAGCTGTAGAACCCTGCCAACATGAAGCAGCTGGAACAAGACAGTACTGATGGGACTGCCTTCTGAGGATGCTGAACAAAAGGAGAGTGGAAAGTAAATTTGTATGAGAGAGTTTATTGATTTGAGAGCAGTCTCCAGGGAGAGAGGATCGAACATTCCAGCAAGGACTCTGGGAAACATTGCTATCATGCTTCTATGACGGCTTTTAGAAGTTTGTGGAAAAGTGGTGGCCCACGCTAAGAGAAGTAAAAATGCCACAGCTGCCATGGCAGATGGTAGAAGTAGGGATCAAACTGCTCAGGGAAATGGGTATGCTACAGTGGCCATATTATGTAGGGCTGGAAACCCCCCAGATGTCAAAATTCCAGTTCAGATGTGCCATTTATTAAAGAGACATGGAATTCTCTGGTGAGAAGGGTACCAGCATCACTGAGAAGCTCAGTGGTAGGTCTCCTCTGTAGGTCATGGTTGATGATAAAAGATGCTGTTATGGAATTGAGTTCCCAGATAGGACTGGGGATAATAGAATCCTGAAATGATAGAGGCCAGCTGGTGGTACTTAACCATCCGAATGGTATAATTATCTTGAGTGGCAAGATTGAAGTGGCAGCAGAGCTCTCGACCCAGAGTGAGCTTAAAAGATGCTTAATAGAATAAGGCACCCCTGTGGGGAAAGACAGTTAACCAAGAGTAAACTCAATCTGTTCAGTGAACAGGTATCAAGAATGGAAGACACAAGGCTCAGAGCAGCAGCCTCAACAAAAAGTCACAGTCTCTTTCCGAATTTCCTGATTTGAGCCACTTTGCCAATCCAGAACCCATTGACTGGTGGAGAGGCAGGACTGCCAGTAAGAAGGACCCTGCAATCCCATAGCAAGAATATATGGTAATGACCTCCCCGCACCCCACCCTACTCTCAGTCTTTCCCTTAAGGGACCTATAGCCATTCGCTTGGAAAATCATACACTGAGGAAAAGAGAATGCCCAAATACTTGGAGGGCTGTGGGACATGATCATTATTGATACCCATGAACCCAAAATATTATGACTCCTGGTTAAAGCAGAGGTATTCAGAAGCCAGAGAGTTAAGGGAGTCCTTGTCCAGGTCTGGCATACAGTGGGTCCACCGAACACATAGACTTACGTGGTGGTCATTTTCCTAGTTCCCAAATATATAATTGAAATGAACATCCTTGGTAGTTCTTACAATACCCACCTCAGCTCCTTGGCCTGTAGGGTAAGAACTATCAACGCGGGCAAGGCCAACAGGGAGCAGCCTCAAATTGTACAGCCATGACAGTGAGCAAGAACAATATAGGGGAATGATAGATATTAGTGCTTTCTTTTTGGCTCCCTTTTTATCTCCATTTAATTCATCATACTTGACCTACAAAAGCCTAACAGTTCCTGGAGAATAAACAGCCGACTACTGCAATCAACAAAGTAATAACCCCAATTAGAGCTGCTGTACCAGATGTGAAATCTTTACAAGAGCAGAACAACATGACCTCAGGCAACAGGTTTGGGGTGATTGATATGATGACATGTGCTTCCCCAACCTTAACAGAAAGTAGAATCCAAAAGTGCTCATATTTAATTAGAAAAAATAATAGAAAATACTTGCAATGTTGACCCAGAGCTAAGCTGTATCTCCTTAACCTCTATCATAATGTATTCCCAAGAGACCTGAAGTGTCTGGACATGCTGCAGAACATCCACTGTTCTACTACAGTGATGGTATTATGCTCACCAGATTGGATGAGTAAGGATTTGGCAAACAGGTTGGAGGCCTTGGTGAGATATGTATACTTCAGAATGTGGAAGAAAATTCCTGCAAAATGTTGATGCTTCACTAAATCAGTGAAATTTAGGGATTCTATGATGCAGGGCATACTTTTGTGTGTCCTACTTAAGAAAGATCTGCCTACTTTGAAATCATGTTTTCTTCCACTAATATTTATTATTTTACTTTCCTATGTAAATAATGATTCATCTGGAATTTAGATGAATTCTAATTCATCTAAATGAATTAGGGGGATCAGTCTTCATTTCCTGTGTTATGTTAACACATTTCTTGTGTCACGTTAATAAACGGGATCATTTATTTGTGGGGTGGGGTGGGGTCACATGAGACTTTCCTTTGTTGCCCTGTAATCACCTTCGAAAAATCAAATTACCTTATGTGTCCACTTTTTTTAGGTCCCTCTATTCTGACTCATTTGCCTGTTTTCTATCCTTGTACCAAGCAAACACTGACTTAATAACTGTAACTTTATAATAGATCTTAGTATTTCATAATTTAAATATTCCAGCTTTGTTCTTCAAAATTGCCTTGGCTATTCTAGGCATTTGCATTTCCATATAAATGTTAGAATCTGCTCATCCATTTCTACTCAAAAAAAGCATTTGAGATTGCTGAAGTTACATTGAATCTATAGAACAATTTTGGGGGAAATGACATCTTAACAATCTGTGAACATGATCCATTATCCTTGCATTTATTTAGGACTTTTTAAACTTTCTGTCAATAATGTTATGTAGTCAATCATGTTTTGTATTACATAGTTTGATCGATGTATTACCAAGCACTCGATTATTTTGGTGCCATTATAATTAAACATGTAATTTTCTATTTATTTTCTGGAATAAAGGTATACAATTAAATTTTGTATCTAGATATTGTATCTATAACCTTATTAAATTCATTTATTAATTAAAATAGTTTGCCAACAGTTTTTTTGATTTTCAATATAGGCAATCGTGTAATTTGTGAATAATGACTGTTATTTCTTCCTTTCCAATCTGAATGTCTTTTGTTACTCTTTCTCCTTTATTGCATTGGCTAGAGCATCTAAAGCCATGCTGAAAATAAGTGGTAAGAGCGTGTACATCCTTGTTTCATTACTGATGTCATGGGGAAATGTTCAATAATTTACCTTAAGTATAACGTAAACTGTAGTTTTTTTTGTAAATGTCCTTTATCAGATCATGGATGTTTTCTCTATTCCTACTTTGCAGAGAGGTTTTTATCCTAAATGGGTGCTTAATTTTATCAATTTCTTTGCTACTATCAAGATAATCATGATTTTTCTCCTATTTAAAATTATTATGATGAATTACATTTATTTTTTCCCCCAATGTTAACCCACCCTTTTGTTTCTGGATAAATCTCACTTAGTTATGATTATTCTTTTTATACTACTACTTGATTCAATTTGCTAATATTGTGCTTAGGAGTTTGCATCTATGATGATAAGAGATTGGTAAACCAGCCTTTTTTTTTTTTTTTTTTTGAGACAGGGTCTTGCTCTATCGCCCAGGCTAGAGTGCAGTGGCATGATCATGGCTCACTGCAGCATCGAACTCCTGGGCTCAAGTGATCCTTCTGCCTCAGCCTCCTGAGTAGCTGGGAATACAGGAGCATGGCACCAAGCCCTGCTAACTTTAAAATTTTTTATAAAGACAGGGTCTTGCCATGTTGCCCATGCTGATCTTGAACTCCTGGCCTCAAGTGATCCTCCCATCTTGGCCTCCCAGACTGCTGGGATTAAAGGAGCGAGCCATGGTGCTGGGCCTAAACAAGCCTTTTTAAAGTGACTTTTCCCCCCTATTACAGAATGCTTTTGAAAGCCAAAATGTATGTGATCAGGAGTGTGCTCTCAGATGTTTATTTAGTAGTGCGCAGGATGTAGACTACATTATGTGGGACGTGGGTGGTGATGGGTTGGGAAGCTACTGGAATTAGGAGGAGAGCTTGAACCAGCTTGAGACAGGTGGAAGTGGAAAGGAAGGGTATTAAATACAGGAGACTGCCCAGTATTTAGCATGTGATTAGCTGAAAGTGTGGCATTATGAAATAAAGACGTTAAGACAAGTTGATTTGAACTTAGAAAAGAGTAAAAATAATGAGTTTACTTCGAGGTGAAATCCTTATCTTCATCATTATTATCACCATTACTAGATTCCAAAGGAATACCTGCAATTTAAGAAACTGCAAACGCACGAAACTACATAACTGGTAAGTATTTTAATGCATTTAATTAAAAATTTTCCTTATGTTGCTTTGGAGTTAGTTTTTAAAATTCTTTTCGTTCATAATCAGGAAAGGTAGTAACCTTACATTCAGCGACACCTTAGAAACATACCCTTTTAACGCAGCACATTTCAATACAGATTGTGCTGTTCCTTTTCCAACCACCAGGTGGCGGGCAAGCGCCCAAGTCGCACTCCCGCCTCATCCAAGGCAGCCTGCGTGGCTCCCGGGAGCGCGCACGTCCCGGAGCCCATGCCGACCGCAGGCGCCGTATCCGCGCTCGTCTAGCAGCCCCGGTTACGCGGTTGCACGTCGGCCCCAGCCCTGAGGAGCCGGACCGATGTGGAAACTGCTGCCCGCCGCGGGCCCGGCAGGAGGTAAGGGCAGAAGGGAAGCCTCGGGGCCTATTTTCCCGGTAGCGACTGCCTCGGGGGAGGGCCTGCGGGTGATTCCTGCGTCGCGTCCGTTCCTGCCCGGGGACGCTGCGGAAGCGGTCGCAGAAGCGGCGAGTACGCTGTATGGCAAGCGCATATTCTTCCCGGGCAGCACGGCGGCTGTGAGCTGGAATTCAGCGCGGGCGGTGGGGTGATTGCGGCGCCCCCTGGTGGCAGTCCTCCGCGCCCCTCCCCTGACTCCCCCTCCCTCCCAGCCTCACCCCCGCGCCGTTGCAGCGCTAGGGCTGGATGGCCTGCGGGTAAGCGGCAGCAGGCGCCTAGTGGGAACCCCCGGCAGGAAGTTAGCATGGGCGGACCACACGGGGGCCACACATGACTTGTGAAGAACTACTGGACAGTTTGGGGAAATGACTACCACGAAAAGGCTTACTTTCAGTTTTGTTTCAGACTCCTTTTCCACAATGTCATCAGAACAATGGGAAAAGTCGATTTTTTCCCATTCATTTCCAGCGGTGTGAAATGTGATCACATGTTAATTGGTTGCCCGTGGTGGGTGTGAAGGGTCTTGTCCTCGGGAAGTTTACATGATGATTGGCAAAGATCTATGTAGAGACTAAATGGACTGGCAGGGTAAGAGAGTATGGAGAGCGCCAAACTAAATAAATTTTATACTGTGAAGACTCACAGGTCAAGGCGTCCCTGGAGACCTGGCTCTTCTGGACTCCCTACTCTTTATCTGCCCTAATCTCCCTGCCACTCGGGTAATGAAATTATGCTCCCAGACTCAACTCCGCATGTCTCCAATATATATACTGTTACTCCAACAACTTATGATTTACAGCAATTTTAAAAGAAACTGATAACCCTTTCCCACTGATTGGAGATGTTATCTTTAAGATAAAAACAAATTTTCAAAAAATGTACACGTGCATCTTAGTCTGGACTTTGTTGCATTGGTCTGTGTTGTTTACTCATGGTCCAGTACCATACTTTTAGTTTTATGGCATATTTTGCCATCTGGTAGGGCAAGCTCCTATTATATTATTCACATTTTTCTTGATTTTTTTTTTTTTTTGAGACGGAGTCTCACTCTGTCACCGAGGCTGGAGTGCAGTGGCACTGTGTCGGCTCACTGCAACCTCCATCCCCTGGGTTCAAGCAGTTCTCTTGCTTCAGCCTCCCAAGTAGCTGGGATTACAGGCTTGAGCATCTTTTTTTATAGTTTCCTGATATTTTTGTTTATCAAGTTCCAAACATAATATTGTGATTGTTGCTAGGTAATACATTAAGTTTTTAAGTTAATTTGAGGGAACATTGACTCCTTTCAGCATTGCTTTCCCTTTAGAAAAATGATGTAGCCTTCTATCTGTTTAGATAACCTTTTTTTCTTTTTCTCTTTTTTATTGTATTTTAAATTTTGTTGTTGTTACTCCTGAAACACCATAGTTAGATAACCTTTGATAGCCTTCAGTGAGGCTTTACTGAAAACACAAGTTTGACATATGTAAAGTTGACTAACATTTGAATAACAAAGGTGTTTTATTTAATATTTGTCATACCTATATCATATACACTTACATGTATGTGTGTGTTCGTGTACATGTGTATGTGTCTATCAACTTATCTTTTTTTAAAAAAAAATTTATCTCAGGAGAACCATACAGACTTTTGACTGGCGTTGAGTACGTTGTTGGAAGGAAAAACTGTGCCATTCTGATTGAAAATGATCAGTCGATCAGCCGAAATCATGCTGTGTTAACTGCTAACTTTTCTGTAACCAACCTGGTATGTTACTAATTTTATTTCACTAGTTTCCAGTAAGGGGGTTGAAATCACAAAATATTCTCTTGGTTTGTATGTGAGAGAGAGTTCACAGGATTTGTCATTTTATAGAGCTGTGTAGACTTTTTTAATGTTAACAAAATTAAATACTTATATTGTGGCAGTGGTACCAGTGGTATTTGTTCATTTTGAGATTTGAAGTTTCTATTTCAGTAATTTACTCTTTGTTTTAGTTAGAAACTCAGAGGAAGTAGGACATAGTTATTTTTATTTGCTTACTAAACATTTATTGTTTACTATTAGTTTGGTGCAAAAGTAATTGCTGTTTTTGCCATTAGCAGTAATGTGTTTTTATGTGTCAGTAACTGTGCCAACCCTGCGAATAGAACAATGAACAGACCTTCATGACTCTGGCTCTTAAAGAGGTTATGTAGCTGTGTGGAAACGGGCATTTCTCATATAATACAAGTTTTTGCAATGGGAATTGATTTGTTTTATTAGGGAAATGCTTACTTATGCCCCACAGCTCCTTTAAATGGCTTTCAGTTTGTTTTGATCATAACCTTGGGTGATAAAAGTGCTAAAAAAAATACATAGGAATATCTGTACTCATGATAACGCTGGTGGTAATAAGAAAGATGAGCCATTATTTTAATCAAAGATTGCATATATGCGATATGAATTTCTTCAGTTTTATTTAGGTTTTGTTTCTGTTCTTTTAGGTATAGAAAAACATTTTGGAAATTTCTACAGAAAAAGTAAAATTGTTACTGTAAGTCAGAAACACTAGCCTATAACCTCGTATTCTCATGGGACTAATTTTTACAATGTGGTTTTGATACTGTAAAACAAACAAAAAAAGATCTAGGAATGAAATTGTCATGTTTTAAATGAAACAGACTGCACCAAAGCAAAAAATTCTCAAATGTGTGTGAGGGGTCAGGAGAATCCCCACTGACTTACACAAATAAAGAACATGTGTGTTCTAGGAGGGGTATTCCTGGGTTAAGAAACTTCCCTAAGGGGAAATATGAATTGTTAGTTGAGTGATCTTCCTCTCAAGGCAACCGAAGCAGTAATTGTTGTCTGCCGTGTTGGGAGGTTAGCCACCTGCCTATTGTCTTTTCTTTTGAAAACTTTTTCTCTGAGAAGTGAATGTACTGAGTGGTAAAAGACTTTAAATTATTTGCTAACTTTTCAGAGTCAAACAGATGAAATCCCTGTATTGACATTAAAAGATAATTCTAAGTATGGTACCTTTGTTAATGAGGAAAAAATGCAGAATGGCTTTTCCCGAACTTTGAAGTCGGGGGATGGTATTACTTTTGGAGTGTTTGGAAGTAAATTCAGGTAAGACATTTTAAAATTGATTTTAAAATGGACAGCTTTGTTTCAGCCAAATCCTAAAGGAAAATGATATTTCTGATTAATGAATTTAAAACAGTATAATTTAGTTCCTGCTTAGCACAGTATTGGACTCTGTGCCATGGGTGGTGAGTGCATTTTGTACATCACGGTGATGAGAGTTTGAGTGGGCCCTGAGGGACTTCATGGGAAGTTACATTTCTTCGATTCCTCATTGGTGAAGGTATAATGTTAACTTTTGGTCATTGTTTTTTCTTCATTTGGACTCAAGACTTAGGATTTGATAATTTTCTAGGTTACAAAGCTTAATGATGAGGAACTGATAATTTCATAGGTTACAAAGGGTAACAATAAATAAAAGTTACAATAACAGTATATGATGTGAGCTTAAAGTTTTAAAGTACTAAAAATTGCCATCTCTGCAACTCTGATACTATGACTTTATTTAACTTATTCTCATTTACAGAATAGAGTATGAGCCTTTGGTTGCATGCTCTTCTTGTTTAGATGTCTCTGGGAAAACTGCTTTAAATCAAGCTATATTGCAACTTGGAGGATTTACTGTAAACAATTGGACAGAAGAATGCACTCACCTTGTCATGGTATCAGTGAAAGTTACCATTAAAGTAGGTTGAATGTCTTGTTCTTATGTTAAAAATAAGTTATTTGAATTTAAGCTTACCCACTATACACAGATTTTTTTTTAATTACTTTAAAACTATCAGAACTGTTAGTTGTAGATTTATATATACCCACTCCATCCCTTTGTATACCATTTAGGCTTGAGTGGCTTTTCATATAACCTGTTTATTATCTGAGACAAGCCAAAAGCAACTAAAATTATATTTCAGATTTTGTTTAGCATTTTAAAAAGCGATTCTGTTGTCCTTCCACCGAGAAGGTTATGACAGTGCATACTTTGTGTTTTCAGTCTTAAAGCAACGCAACTAGAGATTAACTGCCAGTCTTCAAAGTTTGCATCTCATGTCTTTCTATCAAGTTGTCTTTCTCCAATCTCCAGGTGATTCATCTCCTTTTAAACAGGTTGACCTATAGATTTGTGGGATCCTTTTAGGTTAATATCTATAGTAAAAAGCCACAAATACTTAGATTCCTTTATTAAAAATCCTTTAGTATTTAATATAATTAAACTAGAATTATGTTTTATAGCTAAAGAGTTATCGTGGAGAAAGGCTTGCCGCTCAGCTGGAACTCAACTTGTACTTTGGTGGGGTTGTCTGTAATCAAGGGTTTTTTTATTTTTGCACATTTATGAAATTGATTTTATAAATTCAGCAGTGTGATTAGCCTCCAGAGTACTAATATATGCATATAAACTTACAAATAGTAGATTTACAAATCAAAGTGTCCATTTATGGTTTTCAGTAGGGATGCACCTTTACCAGAATATTTAAGTGTGGGCCCTAGCACAGTCCTCTTTAAGATATTACTTAAGAAATAGAGTAAGTAATCATACACTAGCTTGGTTGGTGTGAAATACAATCAAAGGTAGTTAAATTGTCTTGAGAGATATTTTACTACATCTGTGACAGACCTGGACACTTCCAGCGAGTGGGATGCTGATGACCACCTTGTGAATTGCTCCATTACACACACCAACGTGGTTTACAGAGTAATTTGTTAAAAAAAATTCCTGGTCATTCATATGCCAAAATAGAAAACCTTGTTGTTATATTTTTTTTTTTGGTAAATTTTCTGAAAGTACAGTTAGCTTATATTTTTTAAATCATTGAATGTTAGAGCCAAAAAGGAATTTAAAGACCATTTATTCTTACTATTAGCTACTTAAAAACAACAACAACAACAACAACAAAAAAAGCGTTCAGTTCAACTTTTATTTTCTGAAGTGTAAACTGAGGCATGGACCAATTAATTTCCCAAGTCACATGTATTAGAGTTTACCCAATACAGTGTTGATTTGCACATTACTGGTTCATGCTAGTTTATTTCTTTCACATTGGAAAGTGGTATCTTTCAGGTTCCATTCTTGAGAGACAATCTAAATCTGCTTGCCCCTATTTAGACAATAAAATACCCTGTGTTATTGAAAGCATATTCATGGCTGGGTGCAGTGGCTTGCGTCTGTAATCCCAGCACTTTGGGATGCCGAGGTGGGAGGATTGCTTGAGCCCAGGAATTTGAGACCAGCCTGGGCAACATAGTGAGACTCCATCTCTACAAAAAATTTTAAAAATTAGCTGGGTATGGTGGCATGTGCCTGTAGTCCCAGCTACTCAGGAGGCTGAGACAGGAGGATTGCTTGAGCCCAGGAGGTTGAGGCTGCAGTGAACCAGGATCACGCCACTGCAGTCCAGCCTGGACAACAGAGCGAGACCCTGTCTCAAAAATAAAAAAGCATATTTATATTATTCTGAATCTTATTTTCATTGCCCACTGTAGCATTTTCTAATGTTTGTCATATTTTTTGGATGTATCATATTTGAGGCTTATAGCTTAATTCACATGTGAGTTTAAGTTTCTTTTTTTCCACTTTATATGTACTTATTTTGTGCTTTTACCAAAAATTATTTTATTTACTTTCTCAAAAAGGCTTTATTGCATAGTTACAATCTTTTTGAAAGACAATTAGTCTAAAAATAGCTCATGTTCATCTCCTAATATTGTCTTCCCTGAAGCAGATATGTTACATTTCCTCAATTCTGAAATATATTTTTAACATTTTAATGTCTTCGAAAGTGGAATGCATTTTAAAATTGAATTTTATTTTATGTTGTTCCACCCTTTCCAAAAAAGCAGTTTTAAAAATTAGTATTATAATCGGTGACTTCTTATAATTGAGTGATTATACTGTGATTTATGTTCTAAAATAATGCAGTGACCAAAGACCGACTTCTATTTTATAGATTGTGGCTTCTTTATAAATTTAGAGAGATGAAAGGGAAAACATTATTTTTTATGGATGTAAACAGCCTCTTTGTAGTTTATAACTTAAAACTTTTCTTTAAAAAATGCTAGCATGTGAATATATATATTCACATGTTTTCTTCATTGTAGACAATATGTGCACTCATTTGTGGACGTCCAATTGTAAAGCCAGAATATTTTACTGAATTCCTGAAAGCAGTTGAGTCCAAGAAGCAGCCTCCACAAATTGAAAGGTATATTATGTATTTTAAATATAACAAGATGTCACTTATATGATAGCATTGATTTTTATTTAAGTTAATTCCCTCTTTAATGCTTGTTTCAGGATGTAATAGTTGCTGTGTTATAGTTCGGTATTATTAATGGAAGGTTTTTTGTTAGTTTGTAAAGAAAGAGTTCCCCAAATTTCTTTGTTGGTTATTCTGTATCTCTGAAACAAATGTTAAATATGTGCTAATATTTAAAGAAAAAAATGGAAAGACAGTAAATGGCACTGAGGTAACCTCATGGTCAGAAGAGCACATATGTCAGTTCCAGGCATCACGCCACAGTTAGCTCTGGAATTGTGTGGTGCAGCAGCCCTCTTTGCAAGCCACATAGTCCAGAATATTAACAGCACCATAGCTTTGGGAATGGAGCTTAGTTTTTCTGAGCTCCAGTTACTCATTGCAAAATTGAGAGTAATACCTACCTAGCTGAGTTAAAAAGTCAGGAAACAACAGATGCTGGCGAGGCTGTGGAGAAATAAGGCTTTTACACTGTTGGTGGGGGTGTAAATTAGTTCAACCATTATGGAAGACAGTGTGGTGATTCCTTAAGGATCTAGAACCAGAAATACCAATTGACCCAGCAATCCCATTACTGGGTATATACCCAAAGGATTAAAAATCATTCCACTGTAAAGACACATGCACACATATGTTTATTGCAGCACTATTAACAACAGCAAAGACTTGGAACCAACCCAAATGCCCATCAATGATAGACTGGGTATATGTCCATACCTATGCACATATACACCATGGAATACTATGCAGCCATAAAAGAGAATGAGTTCATGTCGTTTGCAGGGACATGGATGAAGCTGGAAACCATCATTCTCAGCAAACTAACACAGGAACAGAAAACCAAACACCGTATGTTCTCACTCATAAGTGGGAGTGGAACAATGAGAACACGTGGCCACAGGGAGGGGAACATCACATACCGGGGCCTGTTTGGGGGTGGGGGACAAGGGGAGGGAGAGCATTAGGACAAATACCTAATGCATGTGGGTCTTAAAACCTGGATGACAGGTTGATAGGTGCAGCAGACCACCATGGCACATGGATACCTATGTAACAAATCTGCATGTTCTGCACATGTATCCCAGAACTTAAAGTAACATTAAAAAAAAAATTTTAAATGTTATGCCAGTTAGGAATTTTATTGCTAATTTTAATGTGTTTTGAGCTGCTATAAGCTATTTGGCTTAATGTTAGTTTTTTAGGGACTGTTTATACCGGATAACAGCTGTCTGCTTTTAAAAGTAATAAAAAATCAGGTTTTCCTCTTTGTTTATAATTTTTATCTGGGAAGTTTTTTTGTATTTATACTCCAGTTGGCAGGTAATGTGATATATTTGGACTCTGGAAAAATATACTCAGATTTTAAAATAGAAGATTCTTAAAATTTTTTGAGTCCAAGACCCCTCAGTATGTGCCAGGTCTGACCCGCAGACCCTGACCCAGCGACAGATGAACAAATGCACTCAAACACAGGTATCCAGTGAAAGAGTGAGCTAGGGGGCTGGGCCACCCACAGACACTGAGGAGGGTGCTGTAAAGAGTTAGCAGCCGCGGTCCCGACTAGCTGTTGCTGTGGTCATTTATTCAGTATAGATATAATGGCAAAGGCTTTGAGTCAACACACTTGTGGATAATTAACATGGTTCCCCTCCCAGGAGAGAGCAGTCCTACGAATGATTAAAGGCCAGGTTCCGAGCTAAGTAACTTATCTAGATCAGTTTCTTAACATCCCGTTATCTAACCTAAGCTTTCAGGCACCGTATAAAAGAATCTGGCTGCTTTCAGCCAAATCCTGTTCCGAAACTGATGTAAAACCTTTTGGCCTTCCAAGGTTTGCATCTTTCTACATTTTTTCCCACCACCCTGACTGAACTCCTGCAAATATGAAAGCAGGCCAGCCCTGGTGGCTCACGCCTGTAATCCCAGCACTTCGGGATGCCAAGGTAGGCAGATCACTTGGGGTCAGGAGTTCGAGACCAGTGGGACCAACATACTAAAAATACAAAATTAGCTGGGTGTGGTGGCAGGTGCCTGTAATCCCAGCTGCTTGGAAGACTGAGGCTTAAGAATCCCTTGAATCCAGGAAGTGGAGGTTGCAGTGAGCTGAGATCCCACCTCTGCACTCCAGCCTGGGCGACTCAAAAAAAAAGAAGTTGAAAGCACTGATCTCACCTCAAGAAACTTCACCGACATAACTACAAACTTGCATAGTATTTTAACAGAATCACATTTTTCCCTGAAGCCTCTTGAGGAACCTCCCTGAGGAAGTACATAAATCTTGTAAATAATGACTCTAGCTGCAAATAGTGAGCTATTCTTAATTCTAGATTATACTTGAGGATAGAGGAGTCTGATAAGTTTTCACTACTAGTAGATATATTTCATGGTCTTGGAGTTTTTAGAATTAGTCGTTGATTCCTCTTTTTGTTCACATTGTCAGTTGTGTTTAACCTAAGGTTGTTTTTGACCAAGTTCAACATAATTTTTTTCTAGATTCAATTTTTGATTGTATCAATGTACATGACGACTATACAACATCCCTACCATAAGATTGTTGAATCCCTCCTAATTCGGTGTTAACTGGGACAGGTTATTTATCCTATTAACCCATATTCGATGATGGCAATTGATAATACAATTTTTAAATATATTTAGTTATTTGCCTTAATAGAGTCCTATACCTATCTGGATCCATTTTGATGTGCTTGTTGAAGGCTTATTTGTCTGAGTACTCAATTAACAGAAAAAAGATTCAATTTATAAACATTAGTAGAAGGAATGGGTTACGAAAAGGATATGAAATAAATTGTGGTGACGCCTTTGATTACATAAGTACCTCTAATGTTCCAAAAAAGCATGACTGCTAGTCCTGGATTTAAATTAGGAGGCATACTATAATATTTTTTCCAATAAAATATACAGTCCTATTTAGTACAGCTATGTCTACATCTTTGCACTGTTACCAAGAAACAGGATATGACAGTTATAACTTCATGTACATGAAATGATTTGCAATATCTCATTTTCCTTGACTGTCATCAAAGTAGTAAAGTAGATGAAGTCATTTTTAGAAGAATACATTTAAAAGGAGTGTTTAATTTCAATAATCTGTGCTCTAATAGAGGAGATTTGTATGTCTAAATGTAAGGAGATTATCCCCCAGAAAGGAGGGGGAGTTGGCTTTTATTTGAGTTTTACAAAGTCTCTCATGTTGTAGGATGGTGTATTAATTATTTCAAACAACAAGTATTGTTTTAGTGAGACACTCTTGAGAGATGGAGTCCTCCATGGGTCCCTTGCATTCATAAACAATTTGCTGAATAGGCCAAGAATGCAAAGCCTTGACCCTCCTTTACACAGACCATTTCTCAAGGGTATGTTTGCAGTGAGAAACCTCGAGGGATGAAGTAATGTTTCCTTCCTGTGACAAAATGTAGGCTTGCTTAAAGCTTGTTATAATACCGGTGGTTTCCCAAGTTCAGTGTTCCTCTCTCCTGTAACACACACCACTGTATGTACCTTTCACTGTATGTACCCTCTACGTCTTCCCTATGGGACTTGGTCAGAGAGGAGACCTGCAGCAAACATACTGGGGCTCATGCTGCTTGCTTTGCTGTGACTCAGGAGTGTTTGTCTTCTGCCAGCATCCATGAAACAGGAACAGGTTAACTTACCAGCTGATAATCAAATCTCAGACCCAACAGACACATTGGCCTGAAATAATCTCAGTAAATGAAAGTTTGACAGTTTAGGAAGCTTATAGAAGTCACCTTACATAGTTAATTTAAATCGAAGGTAAGAAATATGACTAGTATTAGTAATTTTTTTCAGGATATGGAACCTCACATTTGCAAATTGTGGATGTCACTGTAGTCTAGCCTTTTCAAGATCACCAAAAAAAAAAAAAAAAAAAAGCCATATAGTAAATGGTTCTAGAAATTATGAACATATGCCTGCAGGACTAATGAAATAAACAGCTGTCCAGATATTGAACAAATAAGTATGTGTGGCTTGGGATACAGTTTCTAGAGCCAGAATTATACATGGATTCAGAAAAATTCTGTATTTGCAAAATCTTCGTACAGAAGTGAAAATGATATACTGTAGGTTAGATGAAATTTATTGAAGATCATGTAAAGAATTTAAATAGAAAATGTGAATGGGAAAAAGCAAAATTTCTAGATTAATATCATTTTATAGAATGTATGATTCATAATATGTACCAGTTACTGTGTAATAAAACATAATTATTTGTAGCTCTTAAAGTTTCTGTATAAACGAACCCAAAACATTTTAATTTTTTAATGATAGAAATTGGAGATCACTTTATATTTGTAGTATCGTTATATTCAGTCAATATGCCTCTAGCCTAGGTCTCTGACAGGTTACTTTCCTATTTTCCAGTTTTTGTACTAGTTTATTAAATTACTAGAGTGTCAGAAATGCTTTAAAACTTCTAGAATGTAATGCTTCAGACGTAATGATTTTCAATGATCTCTTCACATTCATCACTAGTCTTTTCTTTCTTGCTCTCATCATTACACTGGTAAAGAGAAAAAGGCTTATGTAGGTATTTGAAATTCTAGAACATAGTGTTTTTTGATCACTGTGTTATCAATTATCTATGTATGAATGTGTCTATCATATATCAAATGTAGGTATTACTAAGAATAACCCATGTTGGAGTCATAGCCAGCATTTGGTTAGCTTCTAGATAATACAGTTTTGTATTTTTTTGTTCAAGATTGATCTTACCAAGTATTGGGGCTCAAATTTATCAGTGTTCTCAAAACAAAACCAAAATACATTGTTCAAGTTCTAGAATTTTAATACTTAAATCTATACTTGAGGGAATTGAAGGATGTTTATACTTTTTATTCACTTTTAAATTATTAAGTTGAATTTTTATTTATATTTTGTAATGTCAGTTTATTTGTAAATATGTATTGAATGCCTACAGTGAAGCAGGCAAGATAGACTTGTGGATATAATGATGAGCCAAAAAAAGTTACAGTTTCTGCCCTCATGGCACTTAGTGGAGAAGCCAGCTGTTAAAGAATGACACTAATAAAGTTAGAACTCTGGTAGAGCCATTAGAGAGGCCTAACAGGCTACCATACACATATGTTTAGGAACCTGGCTCAAACTTCATCGAACTAAGCTACAGTTAGCTGCTCCCTGGCTACTGTAAACTGTTATCTATGGCATAATTAAGAATGACAGTGTGAATAATAGAAAGCTGTAGATAATTTAAAAATCATTCAACTTTAGTGTTTTGGGAAAGCAGGAAGAATCTCACATCTACTCAGTCATAGTTTTATAGTCATGTTTGACTGTAACACACAGTCATATGTGTTAAACATTTCCTTACTGTTTTTGTCTGTAACTGGCTCTGTAATCTGTCCTAGTGTTGTTACATTATTGTGTGAACTAATTGGTAAACTAGTTATTTGTATATAAGTAAAGTGTTAGTTGGCTTTTACACTAAGAAAGAAGTATAAGTTATGGGGGAATATTTATTAGGAGATAAAGGATAAAAAGGATTCAAAGAGATATTAAAATTGATCCTTTTTATGTGTCCGAATGTCTACTAACTTTCCAGTGCTCTTATTGTAGATTTAGTTTTTGTTAACAGTTAAAATAGTTTCCACTGTTCTCTGTATATTTTAAAAGTAAAATAAATAGAATTTTAAAGTCGGTTGTTTAGAAAAACCATAACTAACGCAGTTGCCTGCATTCTGTCCTGCCAAGTGAGTCTGCTCTTGCCTGCAGATAACTCATTTGAGATTGCAGCTTCCAGAAATCATTGCTTTAAAACAGACTTACAGCATCTATTGTAGTGAAATTAAAATACATGCATCAGTTATCAAAAAAATTTTAAAGTATTGTAACTCTTCAATCATAACTTAGCTTTACTTTATGAAATATGTATGTTTCCAAGGAGAAGTCCAGGGGAAAGATGTAAGGTAATTAGTTCTAAAGTGCTGGATAGTGACTCTTAATGACTGCAGTGTTTTTACCACGTTGGATGTTGATCTCTGCAGATAGTTAACTCTTGATTTGTGACTGATTGTCCAGGTTGTGAATTTCTCCCTCCCTACATTGTCCCCTTATCATCATCATCATGGGTTAGTAATTTTTACTGAAAGGAAGAGAGACAAGTCGAAATGCCGGTCAGTTATGAACAGCTGTAGCAAAAGATCTGATTATACAGGAAGTTGAAACTCTAGACTGATGAGAGGCTTAAGAATTATCTGTTGATATTTCTCCATTTCTTATTTTCCTTTATTTTCATGGATGATTAAGATGTTCTTATAGCATTAAATTAAAGAGCTAAAACATTATATTCTTTAGTCTTGTTTTGGAAATTTTATTTGAACTGAGTAAATAATGTAAGTTTAAAAATTTCCTGAACTTCTCCAAAGAGATCTCTAACAAAACACTCATAATAGATTGTGCTAGTAGAATTGAAACATGAGCGTTTTAATAGATATTGGCTCCTAAGTAAACACAAGATGCTAATAGAATTTGATCTTTATGGATGATGTTTCTCTCAAACTTTTGTAATTCAGACACCTTGTTTGAGTCATGTGTGTTTAATGTTCATCCTGTTATGATTGTCTACCTTGGATTATTTATTTTGAGATATTAATGATCAATTCTAGCTCTTCTTTGTGTCACCTGCCACCATATTTCTAGAAAACGCGATTAGATGCTTTTTGTCATTTTGTCCCAGATAAAATTCTTACTTAAAAAAAATACTATAAAGGTATTATGGAAATTATGCCTTTTGAGTGTCAGATAGTCACTCCGTTTACAATTTAATAGCAAACATAGTAGTATATAATTAGAATATACTTTAATTATTTTTACAGTTTTTACCCACCTCTTGATGAACCATCTATTGGAAGTAAAAATGTTGATCTGTCAGGACGGCAGGAAAGAAAACAAATCTTCAAAGGGAAAACATTTATATTTTTGAATGCCAAACAGGTAATTATGTTATAAGCTAAATTTTCCTAAAGAATACATTACAAACTAGGATACATTATTAACTCTTATCAGTAGTTGTTAACGTATTTCATTTTGGGATTTTGTGTAAAAGTGTGAAGTAGAATAAAAAAACCCCAGGCACCAGACCTGCCCAGTGATCATGGCTGTGATTACGGGGTTTCTTAAAATCTGTGATAACTGGCCTATTCATAAATATGCAAGTGAGAAGGACAGGAAACTTAGTTTTAACTTCTTTAGTTAGTAAGCTAAACCTCTTTAGTTAGTAAGCTCACTAAAGAAGTTAAATCAGTTGAATATGTTCTGTGTACCAAAGTGGGGTTTCCAAGAGTTTATGTTGTAGTGGAGAAATGCAGATAAGCCCACAGTTAGAGTGCTGTTAGGAAGTGTGATGAGGAACCACAGAGAGTGTAACAGTTCCAGGGCCGCAGAGACCTGTTGAACTAGGGACTTTCTCAAAGTGGAAGCTGAAATGACCTACTCAAGAAGTAGCACCAAGTCTTCTTGAATTGTACTTCTATGTTTCCCAAATCAAATTCTTATGTGTTCAAAAAATTACTACATTTTACTTTAAAAAATGTTTCCTTCCATTTTTAGCATAAGAAATTGAGTTCCGCAGTTGTCTTTGGAGGTGGGGAAGCTAGGTTGATAACAGAAGAGAATGAAGAAGAACATAATTTCTTTTTGGCTCCGGGAACGTGTGTTGTTGATACAGGAATAACAAACTCACAGACCTTAATTCCTGACTGTCAGAAGAAATGGATTCAGTCAATAATGGATATGCTCCAAAGGTATAGAATTATTCTTTATTAGTAAAAAACTGCAAGTAGGAGATTTTATGTTTAACCTTTTTTGTTGCTTTTCACCTAACAATGTAAAAGTAGATACAAGAATTTTTTTTTTTTGAGACGGAGTCTTGCTCTTGTTGCCCAGGCTGGAGTGCAGTGGCACGATCTCGGCTCACTGCAACTTCTGCCTTCTGGGTTCAAGCAATTCTCCTGCCTTAGTCTCCTGAGTAGCTGCGATTATAGGCACCCACCACCACACCCAGCTAATTTTTGTACTTTTAGTAGAGACAGGGTTTTGCCATGTAGGCCAGGCTGGTCTTGAACTCCTGACCTCAGGTGATCCTCCTGCCTCAGTCTCCCAAAGTGCTGGGATTACAGGTATGAGCCACCGTGCCTGGCCTATTTTTTATTTTTTTGAGACAGGGTCTTGCTCTGTTGTCCAGGCTGGAGTGCAGTGGCACAATCTTAGCTCACTGCAACCTCTGCCTTCTGGGTTCAAACGATCCTCTGCCTCAGCCACTCTAGTAGCTGGGACTACAGGTGTGCACCACCACACCCAGCTAATTTTTGTATTTTTAGTAGAGATGGGGTTTCAACATGTTGGCCAGCCTGGTCTCAAACTCCCATCCTGAGATGATCCACCCACCTCGGCCTCCCAAAGTGCTGGGATTACAGGCGTGAGCTACTGCGCCCGGCCGATACAAGAATTAATAAAAGGTTTTATAGTGTAGTATACTTGAAAATTAATTGTGACTTGGTATATTAGATATAGAATATCTTTATTCATGACAGTTTTACTCAAAAATATTTTATGCTTTTTTGTTACTTTAATAGAATTTGTAGAATTTACCTCTGTAAATTAACAAAGTAGTGTTAAGTTTTTTTACAGAATATGTTGCATTTGAGAAACTTAAAACTCAACGGTAAAAGGTTTTCTGCAATTGCCTAGCGTTGAAATGTATTTGCCCTTTGATGGTTATTACCCATTAGAAAGACATATAAACATTCCTATCCTTATATAGGCTATTATGGGAAAGCAGACAAAAAGTCAGATAGGTTGAAATGATGTTTGTAGAGTGGAGGGAGACTGTAAAAGAGCTAACTGAAGGATTTTTCTTAGACTTTAATTTGCATTAATAATCTTAGCATTGTTGAAGCCAGTAAGTATTGTAGAAATATATGGCTTGGCAGTCTTCTGACTAAATTGCTCTTCATGTGGCAAAAAGTAGGTGAGGACTAAAGTGTTTATATGCCTGAAAAGTCCACAGCCAGCTTCCTACCAAAGATTCATTCTTCCTGTCCCAGGAGTCCTTCTGACCATGGGGGGATTTTCTTTTTTTCTCTTACAGGCTTGCTGAAATAAAAAGTAAAATTTTAGTCATCTATCCTATAAATATTTTACTTAATTGAGATATATTAACTACTGTAAAAAAGAAGATATACTATATAACAAAAATACTATCTTATTACTACAACACAAATTTACTGTAGTTCCATTGTGTTTTAGGCACTGGAAATATAATGAAAAACAAGATAGTCACAGTCCCTGCCATCACTGGAGCTTACTGTCTAGAGGCAGAGACAGAGAAAGACAAGTAAACAAATCATTACACATGTATATAAAGGAAGCAGTAACCCGGCAGTGGGGAAGAAGCTTATTCTAAACAGAGAAGGCCTCTTTTAGGCAATGTCTTACCTATGACCAGTTTTTCAAAGAGCCAGACAAAGAATGTGCCAAGCAGAGCAACAGCAGTAATACATTAAAAAAAAAATTATCCTACATAGCAGGTTCTGGTCTAAGAATTTATGTATGTATAAACATTTAATCCTCAACCTATATATTATTTACTGTTGTGGTCCTCACTGTGCAGATGAGGGAACTGAGGCAGAAGGGGGTTTGCATATAGCAGAGGCAGTGAGCAGGGTGGCCAGGATGTGAGCCCAGGCAGTTGGATTCTGGAGTCCAGGCTCTTTACTTTCAGCACATATTGACACCCTGAGGTTAAAAAAAAGTAGCTGGAGTACCAGGTAGCTCAGACCCTGGTGCCTTGATCATGAGGTGACACTTGGCCCCTGTTACAATATGGTTTTTTGGGTTTTTGGTGGGGGGATGTTGAGACATGGTTTCACTCCAGGCTGGAGTGCAATGGTGTGATCTTGGCTCACTGCAGCCTCCACTTCCCAGGCTCAAGCAATTCTCCTGCCTCAGCCTCCCAAGTAGCTGGGACTACAGGCGTACACCACCACGTTGCTGCTAATTTCTTTATTTCTTGTAGAGACTGGGTTTTGCCATGTTGCCCAGGCTGGTCTTGAACTCCTGAGCTGAAGTGATCTGCCTGCCTCAGCCTCCCAAAGTGCTGGCATCATAGGTGTGAGCCACCACACCTGGCCACAATATGTTTTTTGGAGGGAATGCAGTATTATATTTTGAGAAAGACTGTCACTTAAAATGATACCTGTTAACTTAGTTCAAGCCAATGAAGGAGCAATTATATGAAGCAGAGTGGCCAGTAAAGCCAGCTATTGACCGAACTTCAACAGGGCAACATTGTGATTGGTGATTGCCATGGCTGTATTGATTAGATGTCAGAAGTGAGTATAGGAAATCTGTGGTAAAGATTAAGTGTCTTTTGGAGAAGATTAGAAGTCTAGGGGAACAATACAGCCCTGATTTTTGTTCTTGCTGAGACCTTTTTCCGGTATCTCAGCTCAAATTTGGTAACTCTTCCTGTTATTAATTTAATTATTTTCTCTTTATTTCCTCCTGCTTTTCCTTCTTTCCTGACCTGTTCCCCAGCCTTGCACAGAATTGGATGAATCATAATCCTTGGTCCATGACACATGCTCATCATTGATTTATGCGTAATACACATTTATTTTGTTCACCAATTATTTAGTTATTTTTCAGACAGCAAGTGTTTGAAAAAATCTGTCATCTAAAATACCAGCCAGATCTTTGAAAATAACTTACGTGGTTACCCCTAGCCCAGTTTTCTCCTGTGTGAAATAACTGTCATCCAGAATCCAGTTTACAGTTGTGGGTGGCCAGAGCCTATTCAGCAGTTCAGGGTGCAAGGTGGGAACCAACCTTGGATAGGACACTATTCCATTGCAGGGCACACTGACACACCCACCCACACTCACTCAGACTGGTACAATTTGGACACACCAGTTCACCTAATGTGCACATCTTTGGAATGTGGTAGTAAAGCAGAGTACACACAGAAAACCCACACGGACACTGGGGGAGAGTGCAAATTCCACACAGACAGCGGCCCTGGTTAGGAATCAGTTTTTTCTTGCCGATGTCATAATGAAATGACACTGAATGAAATGATGTTATTCGAGGACCTGCTATATAGTAAAAATCTTTTCTGTTTTAGTCAGTGCTAAAGATACTCACCTATGTTTTTTACTAGTATTTTGATACCATCTTTTGTTTTTGACATTTGTTTTTAACTTATCTGGAATTCTGTTTTATACCAAAGTTACATGCACTTTTGTGTTTTTGACTTTATTCTTTTTCATTCATCAGTCTGCCTTTCTTTGTACCAATACCACATTGTCTTAATTAGTATAACTTCCATGAAGTCCTCCTAGCTGGTAGAACAAGTCTTTTTTTGCTCTTCTTCGGAAGCATCCTGGCTATTCTTGGCCCTTTATTTTTTCATTTACATTTAGAATCATCTTTTGTTAAAGTTTGTTTGGATTTTGATTAGGAAGTGCATTGAATCTACAAGGCAACTTGAGAATTAACGATTTATGTAAATTTTAATTGTTTTTATCCTTGAATGTGGTATCCCCATTTATTTAGGTTTGCTTGAAATCTCTTAATAGAATTTTATATTTTCTGTAGAGAGATCTTGAATATCTTACTGTATTTATTCCTAGCTAGTACATATTCTCTGATATTATTATAAATGAATGATATTGTCACTTAAATTACCTTTTCTAGTTCACTACTGCTGTAAAGAAATTCAGCTGACATTCAGATAATCATCTTATATCCAGCCATCTTGCCAGACTCCTCTTTTTTCCTAATAATTTATCTATAGTCTTTTCTATAAATCATTATCATCTATAAGGAATGTTTCCATTCTCCTTTGTAATCGTTATTTCTCTGATACCTCTTTTTTCTGTCTCTTTGTTCCATACCAACTGGGACCTCCAGAGCAGTGTTGAACAGAAGTGGTGAAAATGGCCACATTTATCTCACTGTTGACTTTAAAATAAATGCTTCCAGTGTTTCTCCATTAAGGGTGATGTAATTTCTGTAGAGCATTATTAAATATGTATTAAAAATGTTTCTATTTTATGTAACCATTCTTTATAACTAATTCACATAGTATAAGTTATAGTTGCAAAAGTTAGTAAATAAAATACCAGTTTTGAATTACCTAAATTACAGGTAGGTATATGTGATCACTTGATTATAAAGGTTTTTTAGATTTTATTTTTTTAGTCTGATACTTTAATTGCACGTATAACTGAATCCTATTTAAGTAAGCTCAGTACACACAAAAAGACACATTAAGCATTTCAAAAAGACCTTACGAACTAACCATTTAAAATATCTTGACTGAGCAAGGTGGTTCACGCCTGTAATCCCAGCACTTTGGGAGGCCGAGGAGGGTGGATCACTTGAGGCCAGGAGTTCGATACCAGCCTGGCCAGCGTAGTGAAACCCCATCTCTACTAAAAATACAAAAATTAGCTGGGTGTGTTGGTGCGCGCCTGTGGTTCCAGCTACTTGGGAAGCTCAGGGCACAAGAATTGCCTGAACCTGGGAGGCAGAGGTTGCAGTGAGCCATGGTTGCACCACTGCTCTCCAGCCTGGGTGAAAGAGCAAGTCTCTGTCTCAGAAAAAAAAAAAAAAATCTTTACAATGAGTATTGAAGACATTTTGTAGTTGTTTGTTAAAATTTGAGGTGTAATTTTTATATGATATTAAATGGTGTATTTTTGTTTTTATAAAATCAGTCATTGACCTTACAGAACAACAAAAAATAGGTTCACCATAAGATTCCTTTAATGTGAAGATACCTTAATACTTGTAAATTTGGCAAAATGATTTGATTTACTAAAAGTTGTAACACATGTATAGATATACCTTAGGTATAGTTCTGTCTACTTCTCTCCGTCCTTCCTCTCTCTCTTCTTTTTTTCTTCTCTTTGAAGTTTCATCTTAGGCTCATAGTATCCGTAGATTTGTTTGTAAAAGCCTGTGGTGATTTTTTTTAATTTTTTTTTTTTGAGACGGAGTCTCGCTTTGTCATCCAGGCTGGAGTGCAGTGGCGCGATCTCAGCTTACTGCAACCTCCACCTCATAAGTTCAGGCGATTCTCTTGCCTCAGCCTTTTGAGTAGCTAGGATTACAAGCGTGCACCACTACACCCAGCTAATTTTTGTATTTTTAGTAGAGATGAGGTTTTACCATGTTGGCCAGGCTGGTCTCAAACTCCTGACCTCAAGTGATCCACCCGCCTCAGCCTCCCAAAGTGCTGGGATTACAGGCATGAACCACCATGCCTGGCCATAAAAGCCTGTTCTGTTGTTTAATTTGGGTAGTACTGTATTCTTTTTATTCCAAAAATTGTAGAATTTTAGAACTGGGAAGATCTATATTCTTTAGCCCCTTATTTTACAGATGAAGTTAATGGAGTTACTAAAAGATGGTAGACTTGTCAACGTAACAGTGCCCCAGCGAGTAAGCTATTATAGTACTCTGCATTTGAAATTCTGTCTATACCATAAAATTATTTGGGAGGAAAAAAAAGAGGTTGCTTTATCTTGACATTATCTGAATAAAAGTTGCTAGTTTTAATATATTATCATACTTAAACTATTTTATTCTAATAGGCAAGGTCTTAGACCTATTCCTGAAGCAGAAATTGGATTGGCGGTGATTTTCATGACTACAAAGAATTACTGTGATCCTCAGGGCCATCCCAGTACAGGTAATTGAAGCATTATTTTATTGATTCGTTAGCAACTTTATTATGTAAATCGATAAGCTAAATATACGTTACTCATATACTTGCTAGGGGTGACCATATTCACCATGTTTTAAAATTCATCCATTTATACTTTCATTTATTCATTCCATAAATATTTGTGGCTGCCATGTAGCAGAAACTGTTATGAAGTGGTAAATAAAATAAGAAAGATCCTTGTTATTATAAACTTTATGTTCTGAAGATCAAGATTTAGTAACCAAACACACACACATGGTAAGTTCAGATCAAGCCAAGTATAAAGACAGGTAAAACAAGGTGATGTATGTAATAGTGATGGTAGTAGGCTATTTAGATAGGTATTCAAGGAAAGTCTCAGGAGGTGACATTTGAGCCATGTGTCCTGAATGATGGGAAAAGGCAGCTGTGTGAGGATCTGGGTGGTGGATAATTCCAGGTAGAAGGAACAGATCACTCTTAGGTTTGTGTGGAGAATTCTAAGGGTCGACAGTGTAAGAGGAGATGTGAATAGAATGCTATTGTGGAAATCTGGATGTGAAAGAGCCTGATGCCTTGGACCAGCATGGTAATAGTAGAGATGCAGAAAAATGAACAGGTTCAGGATATATTTTAGAACTAGACCTGGTGGGACTTTCCGGTGGAGCAGTTAGAAACAACTCCTAGTTTCCTAGCATAAGTAACTGGGTGGATGGTGGTGCCATTTACTGAGATGAAGAATGTGCATTATAATAATCTCAGTGTTAATCATGAAAGCCAATGTATTCAGAGACAGTCACTGTTTCCCCTTTATTAGTTAAAACACATTTCCATAGTTTTTAAAAAAATTTTTTAGTAAGTTGTTGTAAAAATGGTTTATTTCTTTTCTTCTTGCTTTTTTACCTTGGAGATTTTTACATTTATTCTCTCTACTAACTTTTATCTAATTTGCCTAGCTCTCAGAGCATCCATTCTGTATTCCTTATATATTTATTTGCTCCCTGGATTTGTTGTGTAGTTATTTCATCAGCAGCTATTGAACTTGGGCTAAAAGAGACAAGTTAGAGAACAGCACTACCAGATTGCACACTCCGGGGAGCATCATTCACTGTAGTCCATTGAATGGCAACTATGGAGTCAGTCCGTGTATCTCCTGAGTGCTCTGCAACCTTGGTTTAAACAAGTAAGGAATGTGCTAAGCTAAATTTTGGAAGGAGTTAGCCATTACGGCCTAATGACCAGGAAGCTATTAGGTATGTAGATCGTTAGTAACCATGCATAGTAATAATAACTGCTGTCTCTGGAGTGTGCAGAGACTAGAGTAAGCACTTTACCATCATCAAACTTTAATCTGCAAAACAGTCCTTATAAGATAGAGGGAAGAGCATCATCT
Organism: Homo sapiens; assembly: GCF_000001405.40. NCBI lineage: Eukaryota > Metazoa > Chordata > Mammalia > Primates > Hominidae > Homo > Homo sapiens. The sequence goes on along the minus strand of NC_000008.11, from coordinate 89,963,022 downwards.
ACTTTTCGTAGATGAGGGAACTGACGGACAGAGAGGAAATTAGCTGGAGGTCACATAGCAAGTAATTGGTTCAAGCTGAGTCTTAAAGCTGTTACGACATCACATTGCAGTACAAATGGCTTATATTTTAATGTGTGACGTTTTGAGAAATGGTGGTGTAGGGATGATTGGGAGCTGATGCAAAAGCATAGACATCTGATAAAATTTGACAGGCTAGTATTTTATTATTTGGATAAGAATGTTTATTCAGCTGACATCTCTACCCTGTCCCATTGAGTATACTACATATGTTTGTGTCTGTACATAGGTAACCTTCAAATACACACAGTCGTAAGTTCTTGTGAAGTTTTAAATATAACCAAATCACTTATTTTGGTGGAATCGTGATATGATTAATATTTTCACCAAATTCCCAGAATTCATCCATAAAGTAAAAAGCTAAAGACCAACTCTTCAGGCTCTTGGCAAGGGAACTTTTTAAATGTGGATGCCAAAGAGAGCCATATTCTTGGAGAAACTACTGCTTCCTTGTCTACTAGAAATATGCTCAACTTTTAGAACTAGCAGGTGCTGTAGATATTATTTTGTTGATAGATTTCTGTTCTCTTACAGAAAAAAGATCAGTATCAGTAATTTTAGACTTTAATTACAACAAACATATAAAAACGGTGATTAGGTCTAAGTCAGTAGCTCCCCTTGTCTCAGCACCCATTTGGGGTCACTGTCCTGTGTTTCTCTGTTTAGAAAATCAATTCTCAACTAGATATATGCTTCAGAAACAATTCTGAATACAAACGTACATTGTCCATGATTCAGAACATTCTGGGATGCATCCTAGACATCTGAGTTTTTTGGTTGGTTTTGTTTGATTTTTAAGCTCCTGTTTCCTATACAAACTCTAGAAACCACTAAATTAGAATAGTCTTGAGAAGAAATGAACTAGAGAGGAGTCTTCTTTTATATAAAAAGAAGAAGCACTCAGACTGGAAACTTTGGACATTTTTTATTCTTCCTTTTCCATTTTATCACCAAGACCTGAAATTCTCACTCTACAGCTTCTGCTCAAGAGGTCTGTGACTGTCCCCTTCTCACAGCCAGTACCCTGTTTGAACCCTCTACATCCTTCTCTCTGGAGTGCTGGTTGTATTAGTAATTGCCCTAGTAATGGTCCTTACTCCAGACTCATCTCTACAGTTAATATTTCACTATGCCACTATTCAATTACCTTCTCTTTTCTCAAAAATTTTAACTAGCTCTTATTATCCACAGAATAAATCTCCAAGCCCTTTGTCTAGACTTCTGAGTCCTCAGTAGTTTAGCTGCAGCCTTCCTCCTCCCGACCTCGCCTTTTTTACATAGTTTCTCTACAGAATATGTGTGCCATATTTTTTATAGTTCCCACACTTCCTCACCTTGAACATCATGTTCCATTCCTAGAATGTTCAGTACTGCTCGTCAAAATCTGACTCATTCTACAAATGATTACCTCCTTCGTAAGGCTCTTCTAAATTGTTTTCACTCCCAACTCCTCCAAGTCAGATGTAATTATTCTGTTTCTATGCTCAGTAGCTTTTTTGCATTCCAGCCGGAGTTTCTTCCTACTTTGGATATAACCAGTTGTTTCCACACCTCTTTCAGCCACTGAGTAGATTGTAGGCTCTTACTAATTTGGGATCCCCTAACAGCAGCAAGCACGGTACTTGTTTGTAATAGGTATAAATATTTTGCGTAATTGAACTAAGCTATTGGTACACAAGATTATGTTTTCCAGTGTGGAGCAACAAAATATTGTCACCCACTGTTGAAATTGTGTTTATAGCTGAAAGGGCCTTAGAGATCATCTAATCGTTCTATTAAAAGATAAGGTATACCAAGGCTGAGAAAAGTTAAGGTACATAACTACTTCATGGCCAAGCCAGTTCTAAAATTTGGTTTTCTGACTACCAGACTGGTGCTTTTTTCTGATGTATTATTTCCTACAGAAACAAAGTCATGAGAGTGAATTAAAAAGTACACTGTATGTAGTATTACTTCTTGCATATTTTCGTAGGTAGGTTTAGGTGGGTTCCAAGTCATAGTCCTCTGATAATAAAATAATTTTATAGCACAACCAACTTTGGGGGAACAGAGTGAATGAGTCTCCCTTTTCTCTCCTCCTTCCTTTGTTTTTATATTCACTCTTTTGTTATTCAACAAATACTTATTGAACATTTGTTATATACCTGTATTATGGCAAGCACTTGAAATAAAGAGGTGAATAGATGAGACCAAGTTCCTGCCCTTATGGTATTTTTAACAAGGAGAAAATTGTAAGTAATCTGTTAACAAACACCAGTTATTTTGGGTCATTAGCTTATTATTATTATTATTATTTCATAAAGTCTTGCTCTGTCACCCAGGCTGGAGTACAGTGGCATGATCATAACTCACGCAGCCTTGAACTCCTCGGCCCAAGCAATCCTCCTGCCTCACCCTCCTGAGTAGCTGGGACTATAGGTGTGCACCACCATGCCCAGCTAATTTTTAAATTTTTTTGTTGAGATGAAGTCTCACTATGTTGACCAGGTTGGTCTCTTAACTCCTGGCCTCAAGCAGTCCTCTTGCCTCATCCTCCCAAAGTGCTGAGCAGCAGCGAGCCACCTCACCGAGCCTACATTAAATTATTCAGTGATGATATGAACATTTATAATTTTTACTCTTTCCAAACTTATGTGCAGCTGAAAATGAATTCTAGAGATATGTGTCTTAAAGGAAATGCCAGTGAGCTTCTAGAGGTCACATAGAGAAAGTGGCGGAAGTCATTTAAATATCTGAATTTAGAATTAGTAGTAAATATTAAGCACATCCTGTGTCACAAGGACCTAGCAGAATGATAATTTAGCTTAGGTGTTTAGTAAATATCAACTTAAAATTTTTTTCAGTTAATAGTGTAAACTTTTTTTACATCTACTCTATACCAAATATTGCTCTAGGTACTGGTGATACAGAAATACACAAGACTTAGTCCTTATTCTCAAGGATACACCAGTCTAACAAGGGAAAGTAGCAAGTAAACAAGTGATGATAATGATAACAGCTAATGCTGGCACAGTGCTTACTATGTTCCAAGCATTTTTCTAGGGGCTATTTTACCCTCCAAACAACTTTGTGAGGCAGATGTTATAATTATTCTCATTTTATAGATGAGGAAAGGGAAGCATAGAGAAGTTAAATAACTTGACACAGGTCACTCAGCTAGTCATAAGTGAATTTTGTTTATTGCTTTTTTGTTGTTGTTTTTTGAGATAGGGTCTTAGGCTGGAGTGCCATGGCACAATCACTGCTCACTGCAGCCTTGACCTCCTGGGCTCAAGTGATCCTCCCACTTTAGCCTCCTGAGTAGCTTGGACTGCAGGTGTGTGCCACCATGCCTGGCAAGTTTTTTTTAATTTTTGTAGAGATGGGGTCTCCCAGTGTTGCCCAGGCTGGGCTCAAACTCCTGGGCTCAAGTGATCCTCCTGCCTCAGCCTTCCAAAGTGCTGGGATAACAGGCGTGAACCACTGCACCTGGCTTGAATTGTTATTAGAATGATTTGCGTGGTGGTATGGAAGGAGAATTGGAGAGCACTTAATTCAGTGTGGGAGATTCAAAAAAAGTATTCCAGAAGAGCAGCACTTGAACTAAGTTGTTCTTCTGGTAAGTAAAAAGATGAGGTAATCATTATGGTTTTCTGGAGTAGCCAGAAGTTTATGTCTAAGATGGTTTTACATGATTTGTTTCAAATAATGTATTCCTTATGAAAATAAAACTCACTAATTCTGATTTCTATAGATGGTAGGGTGTATACACTTTCTGTGGGGGAATAAATGTAATTTTTTGGCCCACTGACTTAAAACATAATTTGAATTAGAATTTGCTTATTTTATTTTTCTTTCAGTTGATAAGACTTCAGCACAAAGTATCTGATGTGGCTTTAAAATGATTTGGTTTAGATAAGCCCGTCATAGATGCCCGCAGGCTGCTTATAGACTGTTTTGTGTTTGTTGGTACCACTCATTGGAGAAAACCATGTGCAGTATTCCCTAGTTAATCCCCTCAGCATGGTATAGTCTAACAATTTTAAGTGACCAGATGTTCATCTTCTATCTAGCAGTTGTGATTCTTTCTTTCTACTTGTGTGATTTACAGGATTAAAGACAACAACTCCAGGACCAAGCCTTTCACAAGGCGTGTCAGTTGATGAAAAACTAATGCCAAGCGCCCCAGTGAACACTACAACATACGTAGCTGACACAGAATCAGAGCAAGCAGATACATGGTAAAGCTTCTTCATTACCGTACTATTGTTATTATTCTATCAATAAATTAATAGTATATTCAGGAAGTAATGCCCTTTATCAGGTTGTCTCTTGAGAGAGAAAGCATGGAAGAATGGGATACCAGGGAAAATGATATCTTAGGACAAGGGTCAGCAGGTTTTCTGTAAAGGAGCGGCGAGTAGTTATTTTCGGCTTTGAAGACTGTTGATCTCTGTCCCAGCTCCTCCACTCTGCCACTGTAGCATGAAAGTGGCCATAGACGATATGTAGTCATTGTCAAGAGACAATACGTAGTCTCTTAAAGACAAGGATACTTTCCAAGAAATGCTTCCTTACACAATTTTGGCATTGTGTGAACATCGAACAGTGTGTTGACATAAACCTACATGGTATAGCGTACTGTATAGTATAGATAGCCCAGGGGTTCCTTATCTCTCAGCCACGGTATCAGTCCATCACCTGTTAGGAACCAGGCCACACAGCAGTAGGTGATCAGCGGGCAAGCTAGCAAAGCTTCATCTTTATTTGCAGCTGCTCCCATTGCTTGCATTACCGCCTGAGCTCCACCTCCTGTCAGATCAGCGGTAGCATTAGATTCTCATAGGAGCACAAACCCTATTGTGAGCTGTGCATGTGAGGGATCTAGGTTCTTATGATAATCTAATGCCTGATGATCTGTCACTGTCTCCCATCACCCTCAGATGGGACTGACTAGTTGCAGGAAAACGAGCTTAAGGCTCTCACTGATTCTACATTATGGTGAGTTGTATAATTTTTTCATTATATATTACAACGTAATAATAATAGAAATAAAGTACATAATAAATATGCTTGAATTATCCAAAACCATTCCCCCCTCTGCCCGCAAACCTGGAACCTCACCACGAAGCTGGTCCTGGTTGCCAAAAAGGATGGGAACTGCTGGTATAGACTATTTCTCCTAGGCTACACACTTATATGGCATGTTACTGTACTGATACTGTAGGCAATTGTAACACAATGGGAAGTATTTGTGTATCTAAACATAGAAAAGGTACAGAAAAAATATTGTATAAAAGATAAAAAATGGTATACCTGTATAAGACACTTACCGTGAATGGAGCTTGTAGGACTGGAAGCTGTTCTGGGTAAGTCAATGAGTGAGTGGTAAGTGAATGTGAAAGCCTAGGACATTACTGTACATGATTGTTGCCTTATTAGCACTACATTTAGACTACACTAAATTTATATGCAAAAAAATCTTCAATAATAAATTAACCTTAGCTTACTGTAACTTTTGTACTCTGTAAACTTTAATAATACCTAGCTTAAAACATTTAAAACATTGTATAGCTGTGCAAAAATATTTTCTTCATATTATTCGATAAGGTTTTCTGTTTTCAAATTTTTAAATTTTGTTTTACTTTTTAAACTTTTGTTAAAAACAAAGACATAAACATACATGTTAGCCTAGGCCTGCACAGAGTTAGGATCATCGCAGTCATTGCCACATCCTGTCCCACTGGAAAGTCTTCTGGGGCACTAACACACATGGAGCTGTCATCTCCTATGATAATAATGTCATCTTCTGGAATCCCTCCTGAAGGGACTGCCTGAGACTGTTTTAAAGTTATTTTTTTTATAAGAAGGAGTACATTCTAATGATAAAAAGTATAATATAGTAAATACATTAACCAGTAACATAGTCATTTATTATCATTATCAAGTATTATGTATTGTACCGAATTGTATGTGCTGTTGTGCTATACTTTTATACAATTGGCAGCATAGGTTTGTTTACATCAACATCACCATAGACACTTAATAGGTTGCACTGTGCTGTCAATAGGTGATAGCAATTTTTCAGCTCCTTTATAATCTTATGGGACCAGCATCATATGTTGCAGTCCATTGTTGACAGAAATATCATTATATAGTGTCTGTGACTGTAATTGAAAGTGTTGTGTTCTAATAACTGTGTTTATAAAAATAAGTGGCAGATCAGATTTGGCCTACAGGCTGTAGTTTGGCAACTCCTGTCTTAGGATAGTTTTTTTATTCCTTGCAAATGTACATGGATGACTGGAAAGAATTGTTCAACTTATTTGTAACTGGTGAGATAAGTTTGAAATACATATATTTGTATTGCGTGATGTTGCCTATATTTGAATGTTACTTGTAATTTTGAAGATACTTTATATGTGTCTACCTAGCTATTTAAATAGTTAATAGTTGTCCATAAAGATAGTTTTTCTATGGTTCTTTATCTGAAGAGGGATTTTGTTTTGTTTTGTTTTTAATGGAAGGGGTTAGCACTTTTATATTATTTGTTATTTTCTATTTACAACCGTATGTTTTTTATTTTAAATATGACATAATGAAGTGTTCATATTAAGATACTTAAGATATCACTGTATTAAACCTTATTTATTTTAATTTTTGCTACACTCATATTGAGGCCAGATTTAACTTTTTCAAGAGAAATTGTTAAGGTTTTGGAAGTTGCTTGAATGACAGCCTGACCTCTTGTTTTTGTTTTTTTTTTTTCTGTAAAATAAGAATAGCAAAGGCAGTGTCTAATTTAACCATACTTTGTAAAAGTAAAAAGTATATAAAAGTATACTCTGTGCATGTATGTTGAAAATATTTTTCTGGTAATCTAAAGTTCTGTTCTATTCTCGAGTCTGCCATCTGGCTGAAATAATGATATCAGTTCATTTACAGTGACCTGAATATCTTATATGTGATTTTATTCTGATTTTCCATTTTTAATAAAAAGGTACTATAATAATATAATAATAAATAATAATGAAAGTACCATAATAGTGATTTTACGTGGGAATAATTTAAAATTTTTAAACAAAACAGAAATTGCCTAGGATTATCACCTAGTTTAACTTATAATAGGCTATGCTAAGTTGGTATTCTGTGTGTGTTTGTCAGTCGTCTATAGTGGAGCAACAATATGTGCTGTAGGGGGTGAAGAAGAGTAAGGTATCATCCTTCCACAGGATGCTTAGGTAATAAAGGAGTTGCTTTCTTGGGATGGTAAAATATATTCAGTGTATTTTTGTCTAAAAATTATCTTCTAAGGTTATATTACGTTAGAACTATTTAACGATCTTTGTTTCTCTATTAAAGTTGCTGTAAACTTGATTATTTACCTTGCATTCTTTTCTTTTTCTACAGGGATTTGAGTGAAAGGCCAAAAGAAATCAAAGTCTCCAAAATGGAACAAAAATTCAGAATGCTTTCACAAGATGCACCCACTGTAAAGGAGTCCTGCAAAACAAGCTCTAATAATAATAGTATGGTATCAAATACTTTGGCTAAGATGAGAATCCCAAACTATCAGCTTTCACCAACTAAATTGCCAAGTATAAATAAAAGTAAAGATAGGGCTTCTCAGCAGCAGCAGACCAACTCCATCAGAAACTACTTTCAGCCGTCTACCAAAAAAAGGTCTGTTTTTGATAACTTCTCTCATGTCTCTGAAAAAAAAATGAAAGTTTTTTATACTGTTGTAGAATGGTATTGTCTTTAGTCTGTTCTGATTAAGTATGCTTCTGCTGCTGCAGCTTTTTGACCGCTTTCCCTCTCAGAAATGTCCCTGATCTCCTTCACTAGAGCCACTAGACAGTTTCTCCTTCATCTCCTTCTATGTATGTACTTACGTGTTATTTTACTTGCCGCAATTCTCTTCAATAAGAACTAACCCCCTGTCTCAGCTCTAAAATCACATTTCTGCTGGTTTTCCTTGAGAACCGCTCTCACTCCCTCTAGGACCATATTCCATCAATTATTTTCTCAATTTCCATATTTTGAATATATTGATCATCCCAGATTTTTTTCTTCTGTTTTCAAAAGTTCAATCTCACCTTTATTTTTGAAAACCTTCTCTTGACCTGGTTTCTTCCTCTAGCTACTGCTGCCTTTTTTCTTGTGCCGTCCCGTTAAGCTTCTCAGAAAAGATGATGTTATTTCTCCCATTTCTGTATGAACTTTGGAGGACTTCTTTTCTTCCCCGTACTGCTCTTTATACTCTACCTTCAGGTTTTGAGACTTTATTACTGACAATCAACATATGTGGCCCTAACTTTTCCTTTAAACTTTACTTCTTTTCCACAGGGGTTTCATGCTGTTTCCCCAGTAATAGACCTAAAAACTTTTTCTGTCCTCTCACCAAATGTGGTTTTGTTTTTTTTTTTTAGTAAAATAGCTTATGTTGTTACAATTTTTGACTCTTGTCCTCTGGCTCCTGAAATCAGTGTTATTGATTGTTATTTTCAGTGTCTGTCAATCCCTCCATTTCCATCTATTGCCAGGTTCAAACTCTGACCACCTAAATTATTACAAAAACCTCTCGATTGGTTGGTTTGTCCAGTACCTTGGCATTAAATTAGTGTTAATAGAACATTGGGTTGACTGTTCTTGTTCAACATGAATCCAATAAACTCCTGGAGAACAGAGTCCCAGGTCTTTGTGTCCTCTATGGGCTTAGTACAGTTTGCATAAAGTGTTTGGTATTTATTGAATGAATGATACAGTATTGTATAGGAAACTTTTAGTGATATATTCACATAGCATTTGCAGTATACAGTCAGTACCGTATTGTAGATTTAGTCACTCTGACTTACTGTCTTGAATCCATCTCTCATTAACCCATCAGATTGTATTCCCAGGGCAGTTTTCCCTGCCCACAACCTTACTACGTTATAAAGTAAGTTGCTGTCTCTTGGCAACAGTTTCTTTGTATTTTTATATTTTTCTACCTTTTCCTGTAATTTATCAACTAATGCAACTTAAGCAGAGAAGATAGAGATCACCGTACTGCTTTAGCCACAGGGTCCGTCAGTTCTATCAAAACAGCAGAATGTATGTGAGTTCTGCACTGTTTTCAAAGGTCTATTTGTTGATTTCCAGTAATATTGTTAATAAAATCAAGAGTACATTGTGAACTAAATGGAGGGAGTGATGAATATTGCCAAACTAAATGGTTACTTAGCTGTGTTCATTTTCTTGTTTTGTTTTCTTCTTTTTTTTTAAATCTAAGGGAAAGGGATGAAGAAAATCAAGAAATGTCTTCATGCAAATCAGCAAGAATAGAAACGTCTTGTTCTCTTTTAGAACAAACACAACCTGCTACACCCTCATTGTGGAAAAATAAGGAGCAGCATCTATCTGAGAATGAGCCTGTGGACACAAACTCAGACAATAACTTATTTACAGATACAGATTTAAAATCTATTGTGAAAAATTCTGCCAGTAAATCTCATGCTGCAGAAAAGCTAAGATCAAATAAAAAAAGGGAAATGGATGATGTGGCCATAGAAGATGAAGTATTGGAACAGTTATTCAAGGACACAAAACCAGAGTTAGAAATTGATGTGAAAGTTCAAAAACAGGAGGAAGATGTCAATGTTAGAAAAAGGCCAAGGATGGATATAGAAACAAATGACACTTTCAGTGATGAAGCAGTACCAGAAAGTAGCAAAATATCTGTAAGTAACATTTTAAATGAGAGGTATAGTACATAGAAGCTTAGAATGCTAACAGGTACTTTCGATTTTGTATTGACAGTATGAGCATCCATTAATGTCTTTAACACTCAGTACTATAGAAATTTGTTGGTTGATAAGGTAAATGGTAAATGTTAAAAGTACAGTGATTCTTCAGTAGTGTAAAATAAATGACCACAAATTAAACTTTCATATGAGATTGTTTTACTAGATTTCCAAATTAGGCTGTACTATTATAAAAGACATTTGGCTATGATGATAAGTGTAGGAGATGCTTCAGTATAAGAAACAGGCACAGAAAGATGAAGTTAGTAAAACAAAGTATCTACTCAATAAATTTTTAGGATATAACATCACTAGGAATTTTCATTTTCATTTAGGTTTTGTAATGTCCTTGTCTATTTTCATGACTGTTGATAATTTGTCTTACCCACTTTGATCTATGAAAACACCTGAGATTATTTTCTTTTTTGTATACATCAGTAAGTTGACTTATCTGTAGATTTGTTAGCTCTTTAGATGAGAGCACAGACCTGATGAAGTAAAACTTTAATATTCTGATCTCCAATGTGGATTCATTAGCTCCACTCATTCATGGCTGTGGTCATCCTCTCCAGTAACACCTGCAGAATAAGGACAGGAATAGGCGAAAGGATAGGATTAAGTGAACGGAAGTTATAGTTTATTAGCTAAGCAGTTGAGAACCTAGTGTGTATCAAGGACCTTATAAATCTACAACTACTATTCAAAAAACAGAACCTATGTCCTATTTGGCCTGTGTATTGTTATCTTCATATAGGCAAGGGAATCCCCATTATTTGTTACTTCTTCTGAGTGATCCTAAATGCCCTTCTGTGGACCAGCTGCATTGGAGTCAGCTGGTAAGCTTTTCTAAAATATAGATTCCCAGGCCAGAGCCCCAGAGATTTTCATTCAGTATATCTGATTTTCCTTCCCAGGATAAGTTCCCTCATTGGGTTAGCTAAGAATTCCTTTGATATTTTTAAAAATTCTAAAATCAGTGGCTTCCGTAAAATAGGATCTTTTTTCCCCTATAAAAGTGTCCTGGAAGTAGATAATCAGAGCTGCTTCCCATGGTATTAATTTACTAGGTGTCTGTCTTTCTGCTCTTTGAGAGGATACCTCCAGCCATCAAGTCTACTTTCCAGGGAGGGAGAATGTGATGATGAGGGGACAGGTAAAGGCCTTTCCAGCTGAATTCCTCCCTGTTTTCTAAGGAGCTTTCTCAGAAACCCAACTTAATAGCTTTTGTTATTGGCCAGAATTGGAAATAATTTAGCCACTCTCTATCCTCAATCTAGAAGAGTCTGGAAATGTTTTAAACTTGGCACATTGCTGTCCCTGATAAAGAGTTGCATTTAAGGAAAAAAGAGAGAATGAATGTTGAATTATCGGATTCCATTTTGCAGCCAGAGTGAGAAGTTCAGAGACAGAGGTTTTTTTTTTATTGTGAAGGATTTAAGACTACTCTCATTTCACAGATGCACTAAGTGAAACAAGAGATTTGTATGTTCTATAAGTCACTTCTGTCGCAATTCCTACTATGGTGGAGAGCTAGGTAAATTAGTTTAATGTGACATTTGTTGAAATCCAAGACATCATTTGCTAAGTTTAATACATTTACATATGTTTATAAAGCTATCTTTATTCTGTTGGTATTATGGATTTACATTGTTACTTTAGTTCCAGACTTTTCAGAATCTGTATTCAGGTTACTTAATATTACATGTAAGTGTTTAGAAAGTTAGGCACTTTTTACATTACTTTGGCCACACCTTTGGAAATACATTTCCCTTGCTGTGCTCTCTTCTCCTCTGATTTTCTCTGACATGTTATTTTCTTTAGTCTTCTTGTCCTAGTACATGCTTTAATCTTTTTTTTTTTTTTTTTTTTGAGACAGAGTCTTGCTCTGTCACCCAGGCTGGAGTTCAGTGGCGTGATCTCCGCTCACTGCAAGCTCCGCCTCCCGGGTTCACGCCATTCTCCTGCCTCAGCATCCCTAGTAGCTGGGACTACAGGCGCCCGCCACCACGCCTGGCTAATTTTTTGTACTTATAGTAGAGATGGGGTTTCGCTGTGTTAGCCAGGATGATCTCAATCTCCTGACCTCGTGATCCACCCACTTCGGCCTCCCAAAGTGACTTTAATTTTTTTTAAGTAGCTACCCCCACCCCACTTTTTTTCCCTTAAATTCCATCCCAGATTAGTCTACTGCTATGGTGGCCACAAATCTATCTGGAAATGGTTGTGGTTTTAGTCTGTAACAGCCCTCCTTGGCTCATCCTGGATGACTGCTAATTAATCTTCCTGAAGACCTACTTTCACTGCACATTCTCCCAGGGCTTATGTCACTCAGGGCACTGGGCATTAGAGCACAGACAGGGAAAGACAAGAACTGAGCACTATACACCCTTGACATGGGAGCCATCAAACAGTCTTTCATAGACCGAAAGAAACTTTCATTTAATATGTAAGGTTTATATGAGGTATAACGATATGAGGAAATATAATTATTTTATTTTGCCCTATGATTCTATAGCATAATTCCATTTTTCCTTTATTTTACTGTTTGAGAATTCATGACATTCTAAATGAAAATTACAGTACAAAATATGTTGTTGTAGGCTTTTGGAGAAAGAATAGCAATTTAATTGCGGTATCTCTCATTGAGATACAGTTGGCCCTCTGTATCCATGGGTCCCACATCCTCTGATTTTACCAACCTGTGATTGAAAGTATTTGGGAAAAAAAAAATGCGTCTGTACATGTACAAACTTTTTAAAAATTATTATTTCCTAAACAATGCAATATAACAACTACTTACGTAGCACTTACATTGTATTAGGTATTGTAAGTATTCTAGAGATGATTTAAAGTATATGAGAGGATGTGCCTAGGTTATATGCAAAATTTATGCTTTTTTTTATCAGGGACTTGAGCATCCATGGATTTTGGTGTCCATGGGAAGTCATGGAACCAGTTCCTCAGGGATACCACAGGGATGACTACTACAAGTTAAATCACTGTATTCCAGCACTATAATATTTTTAGTAAGAATCTGTAATAGCTACAAAAGTATTTCTGTTTTCAATGTAAGGTTACTTTTAAAAACTGTTTGAGACAATTGTTTGTCCACATGCAGCGAACCCTTTATCTAATTTCCCCTGATTGTTACAGCTTGCATAACTACAGTACAGTATCACAACCAGGAAATTGACATTGATAAAATCCATCAACCTTACTCAATGTGGGGTTGTTTTAAATTATTTTATTTTTGTTATTTTAAGAATTTGTCTGAAAGTCCATGTTAATCTCATGGATTAAAGGAATTGGTGCTTAATTTTTTTAGCTACAGAAGTGACTGTCAGAGAAAAATACTTCTTAATCCTTTCATTTAAACATTTTTTTGGCGATTTTTTGAAGGCAAAAAATGTGATACTTCTCTTTGGTGTTGGAATCCCTAGCTATATTTCAGAAAGGCACTTTCCAATAGATGTTGATGGTAGAACTGTCATTTCTCTGTTTTTGGATCTAAATTTAGATTATAGCATGTCTGTAAGATTTCCTGTCAGCTGAAATGGAAAACTATTAGCTTAATATTCCTCCTAGGACTTTATCCTTATACGAATGATAGCTGTGCCTGAGTCTTGGCCTTACTTTCAGTTTCCCAGTCTCTATAAAATGCAAAACTGACTCAAGATCCTTAACATTCTTCTCCTTAACAGCACCCACTGTGTCTATAGTATATTTCCTCTTCACTTCATTGTACTCTCCTTTCTCAAGTCAAGCATTTTTATATAGCATTTTTTCAATACCCAGTAGTAAATTCTTAAAACTACAGCATTTTCCAGTACCCTGTAGTAATAGCTACCACTTATTGGATACTTTTATTATATTTACAGCAACCCTACAATGCAGCAATTAATATCCTATTGAACATGTGTGGAAACTGATAGTGGGAGTTTTTAAGTAACTTGCCAAGGTCACATAGCTAGGTTTGACAACTCGGACTTAAACACAGGTCTGCCATGCTCTTCTGACTGATCCTTTTGTTAGCTTTCACTGTGTAATTCACTCAGTTATTCCATTACTGTAGGCATTGGGCATCTGCCATGAAAGGCAGTTTGAGAAGAGAAGTTTGATAGGCATTGAGGTAGAATCCCCAAGACTTGGTGGTTTACTTATATGGGAAATAAATAGATAGGAAAGAATATAAGATAATTTCCAAGCTTATATTCTGAGTATCTAGGTAGGTCGTATGATTCTCTGAGTTGGAAAATCAAAACTTGCTCAAGAGGAAGAGCAACTTTGAGAGAGTAGGGCAGGATGGGGAGAAGGTACATAAAAGGAGTTTGTATTCTGATTATGTATAAAGGGAGTAAAATGTTCTGATTGTGATAACAACTTTCTGTAAATGATATGTGCCTAAGTAAAATGGCACTTGATAGGCTTGAAACATACATTTAATTCTATTGATTAAAATATCCTCTTTACTCTGTGGGGAAGCACAAAGTACATTTGTTTTTCTGCCGTTTCCAACTTCATTTTTAAAACTTTTAAGACTTACTGCTGTATTACTGAAAATGTGACGTAAAATGTTATGTGCCCCACTTTGCATCCAAGAGAATTGTAGTTTTTACTGAAATCATTACCCATTTATGTAATATTGTTCCGTCTAGGACATGATCCAGACATGTTAATGTGAAAGATACTGTGACTAATATACAAGGCAGTCTTCATTTTTATTGCAGACAAATATCTTGAACAGTTGAAGTAACTGTTTCTTCTTTAAGTATGATTTAAGATACTATTGTAAACTTGAATTCTTTTAAAATGTTTCTTTTTTGATTTTAAAAGTAATACACGATCGTACAGACATGTAGAAAATAAAACAGACAGTTTGTTGATAATCCTACCATCTACAGACAACCATGGTTAATATTTTGGTATTTTCTCTTTCCATTTTATTTTGCAGACTGTTAGTGCAATTTTGTAGTCATTTTTTAAATTTACTTATAATCATTTTCCCATATTGTTAAATATTCTCTAAGCATGTGATTTATATGGATTTAGATCGCTTCCAATTCTTTGTCCTGATACTGCAGTATCTCTTTCAATATATATTTTCATCTCATAATTTCTTTTGGAAAGACAGTTGAAAGCCAAATGCCTGGTCATACATAACATGAATATCTCTTAAGTTTTTAGAAAGGAACCATTTTACACTTCATCTTATTCAAAAGGCCAAGAAGTGATAGAAACATACCATTTTATTACTCCTATGAACAGTATTTTTTATTTTATTTCTTTAGCAAGAAAATGAAATTGGGAAGAAACGTGAACTCAAGGAAGACTCACTATGGTCAGCTAAAGAAATATCTGTGAGAAACGTTTTATTAATTTTTATACAGATTTGGCTTACGGGGACTGTCATCTCATCAATTTTTGTGATTTTACATTCTTAGGATTATTTCTCTTTCCTAATTATGGCTTACTTCATGATTGTGCCTTGAAATGGATTGATCATGGTATTATTATTATTATTATTTTATTTATTTGTTTATTTATTTATTTTGAGACGGAATCTCGCTCTTGTTGCCCAGGCTGGAATGCAATGGTGTGATCTCGGCTCACCGCAACCTCAGCCTCCTGGGTTTAAGCTATTCTCCTCCCTCAGCCTCCCGAGTAGCTAGGACTACAGGCATGTGCCACCACGCCCGACTAATTTTGAATTTTTAATAGAGACGGGGTTTCTCTATGTTGGTCAGGCTGGTCTGGAACTCCCGACCTCAGGTGATCTGCCCGCCTTGGCCTCACAAAGTGCTGGGATTACAGGCTTGAGCCACCATGCACGGCCTGGATAGATCGTATTATAACCATGATGCAGTGAAAAGAGTATAGAGAGAAGCCAGGGTGTAATTCCCTGCCTTCTGCTCCTTAGGTATGTGGCCTTGAACAAGTCATTTTCACATTTAAGAACCTCAAATACTCTATAAAATGAGGTTGATGCTTTTCTAGCAGGATTTATATCAGATAAGAGTAATGGATGGGAAATATTTGTAAACTCTAAAAGTTTAGGCTGTTCTTAATAATGTGCTGATTACATTCTGTCACTATCAGATGAACCTTTTTTTCTGACTTTCCCCTTTTTTTTTCTTTTTGACTGCTTTTATCTTAGACCTATTAGCAACTTGCATATTAATTATGTAGTTACAGCAGTTAAAAGAACTAAGATGTCAACCTTAAGCAGCTGTAATAATGTTGATGTGTAACTGACTAGTTAATAGTAAATGACACGAAGCCAAGAATCTCATCCAGCAATTGAAAGATAACAGGAAGGACTCTTGAGGCAAATTTAACAGCTATTAATCTTGAATTAAAAATGGCTTGTCAATTAATGAGATAGTATGTCCAGAACTGATGATTGACTTTTTTGAGGTGTTAAGAATAATAAAAGATACAAACTCTTGAGAATCCCAAAAGTTTAAGAAAAGTAGATGAGGACCTGTAGAACAGGATATATTATAATCTCAGTGTACAATTTTAATGAAAAGCAAACAGTGCTGAGATTTTGTGTCAATAAGATATATATCTGGAGGTAAATTGTTTACTGAGATGATATTTATTAGAATAACTACTAGGTTAAAAATGCTTCACAGTTTTTAGCCTTCTGTCACAGATGAGTATGTTATAAATGTTTCCAAAGTTTATAGAGCATTTGAGTAAGTAATTTTCTTATCTTGAATTAGCTACAATTTGATTCCAAATACAAAGTTCAGGTACAAGAAATAAAACATTTTTACTATTTTTTCAGGTATTTGAACTTTTTTCTATAGATTCCCAAATGACAAGTGACTTTTCTTTGTTATTTCTTCTCTTTCTTACCTATCCATCTTAACCCCATTTAAGAACAATGACAAACTTCAGGATGATAGTGAGATGCTTCCAAAAAAGCTGTTATTGACTGAATTTAGATCACTGGTGATTAAAAACTCTACTTCCAGAAATCCATCTGGCATAAATGATGATTATGGTCAACTAAAAAATTTCAAGAAATTCAAAAAGGTAGGTATTTCAACTGTATCACAAGAGGTCAGTGTTTGAAATGTTTTTAGAGATACCAGTGATGCTAAACAAAGATAAAAGCAGTTTATGTTGAAAACTGATACTTCTTCTGCTTAAAATGCTTTAAAAAATTCCTCTAGGAAGGATATGAACTTACAGTTAATGAATATATTGAACACCTAGAATGAAATAGATTTCATCAAGATTGAATTCTTTAGAGGTTGCTGTTTACCTGGTTTTCTCTACCTTAAGCAGGAAGTTTTTGTTGATAATCACAGGATCTTCTCTGTTAGTCTAATATTGGTCTACAACTACTTGAGGAGGTTCTTTAGCTCAGGACTTTATGAAGATTAAAATGTATTTAAAATAACTAAGCATATTCAGTAATTCAAACTATAGTCTATATTTACATATAAAACACAATATAAATATATATGCTGAGTATGATCATCAGACCTGAGTTTCTGCTCATTAAGGAACTGATACTTATTTTATCAGTAATGGTTAAAAAAAGACTTCTATCCAGTAGGTATTCTTTTGTTGTCTTACATTTGCTTCTTGCTCCAGACCTACTTCTGACTGCTAGCCTTTACTTATCCATTTGATCAGAGTATAGTAATTACTCAAAAGTAATTTTTGTGGAGAACTGCTTTCCTCTATAACATGATCTTGCCATGACTGTGAGGTAGTAGAGATTTTTCTCTCTACTGTGAGCATTTACTATTAACATTTCACAGTTAAATTAGTTTTTTGCCTTCTGTAATAGTACCTAAAGGGTTCTGAACTCCATTTGATGGGAAGAATCTCTTCTACTTAGAGCAGAAGATGGAAATATCTTCCACTTAAATGGCACCACTATACCTTTTTGTTTAACACCACTTTTTCTCACCCTATATCTGAGGCTCATGAATAGCACAAAGGCATTCTTACTGCATGGTTACTTCATGTTTAATATTGTGTTATAAGATCTCATTAAATCAAAATTCAAAAGACTTTTTTTATAGTTTTACAAAGAAACAGCAGTAATGTTTACTACTGGCACAGAGTGGTTTATTAACAACTGAAGAAGTATGAAGTAATATGAATCTCTGGAAAGTGGTTTGGAAATACTTAAAATGTTTAAAAATACTGCTATCCTTAACCAAGTAATCTGTTCTGAAACTACAGAAGAAATCCAATCCAAAATTTCTATAGGAAGATGTTTAACTGGATTGATATTAATGCAGGAATTTGTCTGAGTTCTTTACATCTCCAAATCATGCTGGGCCTGGTCGCTCACACCTGTAATGTCAGCACTTTGGGAGGCCAAGGCAGGTGGATGGCTTGAACCCAGGAGTTCGAGACCAGCCTGGGCAATATGGTGAAACCCTAACTCTACAAAAAAATATATAAAAATTAGCTAGGCATGGTGATGTCTGCCTGTAGTCCCAGGTACTCAGGAGGCTGAAGTTGAAGGATCATTTGAGCCCAGGAGGCGGAGGTTGCAGTGAGCCAAGATTACACCACTGTGCCGGGCCAGGTATCAGAGCCCCAGCACCAGGAAGTGGTCAACTTGCGGGTTGGTGAAAAGAATTTACCGACAACAGTATAGATTTGGAAAAGGAAAGTTTATTAGAAAGGAAGAACACTGCAGAAGAATGCAGAGGGGTGCCTCAGCGAGAGGACTGAGCACACTGTGGCGGATTGTCCTTAGGAGCATTTATGGACCTTAAGGTGGGAGCTTGGGATTGTAAAATGAGTTTCACCATGGCATTCCAGAGATGTATAAAAATTTTAGTTACTTATAAAAGTTGAAAGAGGCCTGGAATCAGAAGCCGACTTTAGATACTAGGGAAGTTTGATTACTTCTAAATTACCCAGATAAGGAGTTTTGCCTCCAGTTAGCCTGTTTGATGGTCACCGGTTGGTCTTTGCCCCCTTCTAAATTGCTTAGAGAAGAAGTTTTGTCTCTGGGGCCTGTTCCATGGTCACCAGGTGATTTTCTCTCTCCTCACACTGCACTCTCCAGCCTAGGTGACAGAGTGAGACCCTGTCTCAAAACAAACAAAAAACCCTCCAAATCAATGACATAGCGTTTTTTAAACTTTTAAAATACTGCTTAGGGGTGAAAATAAATTTAAAATTCTCTTTCTACTTCATATATTGGAATTTTAAAAGCATGTTACAAATATTAAGGAACTGTTACTATTAACAATGTTATTAACTAATAACAAGTATTAACAATGATCTTGATGGGCATTTTCACATGGAATTTTCTTTTCTTAAAGCACCTCTTTACTAGTAAACAATTAAAATATCAATTAGAAGTATAAATTGTTGGCATCCCCAACATCTCCTGCTTGGACTCTGTGAACTGGAAAGTTTTGAAAAAGATTTAAATTTTCATCAATATTAGAAAGGGCTTAAGCTTTGAAGTCATTAGAACAAAATACAGTGCTTTGAATTGTAGTGTTTGTGTTCATCTTGAGTTGCTTTAATTGTTAAATGATAAGGTAAGGCCATTTTAAAATAAAAACTCCAAATGAAAAGTGTTAAATTATTTTTAATACATAAATCCCATGACATGTCCAGATCTGTATATAGTAATAGCTATAAAAGAAGGGCAAAAACAGATGGGTTTAGAACAGAGTTACTGCTCTCACTTTTATTTGTAGAATATAAACATCTTTGGCACTTATGCATGATTTACCATCTTTGCTTTTTAATCTTTTTAAAAAAATGGTCATTTTTGTTTGTTAATATGATTTACTGTACTACTTTTATTATTCAATAGGTCACATATCCTGGAGCAGGAAAACTTCCACACATCATTGGAGGATCAGATCTAATAGCTCATCATGCTCGAAAGAATACAGAACTAGAAGAGTGGCTAAGGCAGGAAATGGAGGTTAGTAGGAAGTGAGGCCCAGAAACTTGCTTAAATTGCACTTTGGTCCATTATGGTGGCCTTCAAGCAAATTCTTCTTAAAACCAAATTAAAATAAGTGACATAAAGTCATTCATTCAGGAGCATTCCTGAGTTACAGAGCATTAATCTATACCCTTCCATAACACTTCTTTAAAAGAATACTAAATTTATTTTTGTTAAAAAAAAAAAAAAAGGTGAGACCTAAGAAATTCAGTTTACATCCTAATGAAAAGGGGGAGATAAAAGCCACAAAAATTTAAGGGAAACTAAAAGAATGTGGAGGATATTACAAATATATCACTTAAATGTATGTCAAGGGACTGGCCTTTTTAAATCTGGGGATTGTGTTTTAACAATTCTGAAAATTTCTTATTCATTCTCTTGAATATTAGTTACCTTTTTACTGTTTTCCCCATTATCTCCTTCTGGAATTCCAACTTAACGTAAGTTAAATTTTCTTTTCCATTTGTCTTTCCTGTGTATTTCATTTCTTTGTTTCCCTGGGTTATATTTTTGGCAACTGCTGCAGATCATCTTCCGATTTACTACTACTGTCTTCAACTCTAGTTGGCATTGCATCCGTTCATTTATTTTTTCATTACTGGAAGTCTGTTTTATTTCTTTCTAAATCTTCTTGTTCCTTGCTGTTTTTCAAGCTTCCCCTTTTATATTATTTGCCTAATGATACCATTACCTAAAATGTTTGATCTGTTTTCTGCTCTTATGTACCTTGTTTTCAAGTTTGTGCTTTGTGATTTTTGAATATGAGCTGATTGTTTTCTTTGTAACTCGATCTGTAGGGTTTTCTTGAGTATTAAGTTCAGATGTATTTCCTCTAGAAAAGATACGTTTTCTATCTTCGAGTCTTCTACCAATATGAGACCACTTCAAATTAAAATCTCTCCTTGTGATTCTTTGAATCACCCAGACAGTTAGTATGTATTAATATTTGGACCAGAAGCTGGAGTGAATGAAGGCTGGCTTATCATTAGAAACTTCAAATGAGATTTTTATTTATTTCCTTCACTAAGTGCCAGAATGAAGATGGGCAAGTTTCTTTCCTAGCTCCTTCTGTGTTGTAAGGTTTATTTCTCTTTCTTCTTTTAGTGCTGGGTCTTTTATTAAAGTCAACATCTTGGGTTTTCTTTCGTATCACTCATACCCCGTATAGACATTAAAGCAGAGTTCAGGTTTTTCATGACTTGCAGATACTCATAGGGCAAGGCAAAAGCTGACTGTGGTCCTTGCTAACCTCTCAGGGTTCCTTATTTTGCTTTATAGTGGGTATAGTGTAATTCACTTTTAAAAGTGCTTTTTTCTCAGTTATTTTAAAATAAGGGTTATTTAGGAAAGTCACTTATGAAAGTAGAGTTGTTAAGGTCACTCAGGATACTTATTTTTAAAAAATGAAAGAATGGAAATCACATCCTTTCTCCTTTTCTTTTTTGAAAGAATAATTGGCTTATTTTGTAACATGTGCATTCCACAGAATTATGGCAGTACACAAAGAATGAAGATGTGAAAACCTAAAGCCCAGAAATTACCTATTTAAACAGTTAAGTGAACAATATTCCAGACATCTCTTCATTGAGGAGTAGTGAGAGGCAGGGACAGACTGGGAAGGAAGAGAGAGACATTGATAGGAGGAAGTTAAACTGAAGGCATTGCTGAATTTCTATAAATGTTTCTTCCCTCCAAGATATTTTATTTTGTGAGATCTGTCTAATATTAAGGAGGAAAACTATAAAAATCACTGTAAGTCGGAATGGGTAGTTTTAAACTTCATATTAACTTCACATACAATTATTTGTTGGCTCGCTACAGTGAAAAGTGAGGACATTATTAGTACTTCCTCCCACCTAGCCTCCCTTACCTTATGCCAGTCCTGTTTTTCCCTTTTTAGGTGACTTGCATGCATGACCAGTCATCTTTCTTAAGCTCGAAAGCCAGTAACACTCAGAATACATCTCAGTGTTGATCATTCTCCATTAGTTTTTCCTGACATATAGTATGCTGTTTTGATTTGCAGGTGTAATTCTCTTTCTCAAGGAACTTTTTTCTATTATATATTTTAAATATTTTATATTTGCTGGGCTCTCTATAAGACATTTAAGACATAACTATCCTTTCATTGGATTACCTTTGTCGTCCACATCTATTTTTTCTGCATTCACTGTGGTTTTCTTAGGCTCTTTCACTGTATCAAAATTTTACATTTCAGGTGTGTCTATAATGTTTCTCACCAAGTATGTGACCTTAGGCAAATTACTTAATGTCTCTGCTTCCATCTGTGCAGAATGAGAATAATAATAGTACCTTTATTTCACAGACATATGAGGATTAAATCAGATACTACATATAAATCATTTATAACAGTGGGAAGTGTTAGCTATTTCTAATTTAATTCTGAAAGGCTGTTATTATGGTTCTTTTACTTAGCATTTGTTCTTTTTTCATTTCATTGTTCTATTATCTGATTTTTTGTCATTATTTCATTGCTTTCATGTTTCTATTTTACTTTTTATTCGTGGATTATTATTTCCTGCAGATTAGGTTCTTTATCTGTTTTTTGCATGTTCTGTTCCAATATCCCTTTTTTTTTTTTTCCTCTAGTAGATGGAGTAGCTTTTCTGTTTTTTGCCTTCACTTGAGTAAAGGGAAATGTCTTTTCCAGATATTCTGTTTGCTACATAAAGGATCATATGCCATCTCATGCAGGGATTACATTCAGAAGCCAGTTTGTGAGACAGAAATTCAGTATAATCAAAATTACTTCTAACATTCTTGTCTTGCCCATAAGAACAGAATTCAGCCAGGCACAATGGTGTGGCTCATGACTATAACCCCAGCACTTTGGGAGCAGGAGGATCACTTGAACCCGGGAGTTAAGAGTAGCCTGCACAACATCTTGAGACCCTGTCTCTACAAAAAAATAAATAAATGAAAATTAAACAAACAAACAAAAAAACACAACAAATTAGCGGGTCATGGTAGTGCATGTGCCCATAGTCCCAGCTACTCAGGAGGCTGAGGTGGGAAGATTGCTTGAGCCTGGGAGGTTAAGGTTGCAGTGAGCCATGATTGAGCCCCTGCACTTCAGCCTTGGTGACAGAGCAAGGCCACATCTCAAAAATAATAATAATAAATAAAATAAAAATTAAAGAACAGAATTCCCTCATGCCTCACTGTCAGTATGGCATTATGCTGAAACAGTCAGTGGCACATGGCATATCCCATCTAGTTTCTGTTGTCTGAAGACATTGAATCTGGGAGAGGAAAGGCTCAGCTGGAGCTGTGTGCAGCTTGGGCTAGCTGTCTCCTGGGATTTTAATTAAATGTCCTATACCAGGGAGTGTGCCCTATATAAAAGAGAATAACCTAGCATTATTAGGTTGTTTACCTAATTTGTTAGGGATCCTTGGAGCCTATGTGTTTGGTCAGTGTCAGCCCTGCTTCTTTACCTTCTACACCATTAGTCCCTTCCCAGCAGCCCACTGGCAGTTGTTTTCCCTGTTCAGGTTACCTTTTCCCCAAATTTGGGGCATTAGTAAGAATCCTCAGGTTTGACCAGTTGTGTAGCACTTTTAATGGATTGAGACAGTATTAGGAATCAGCTGCATCAGAATCATTTGGTTCTTTTTACAGCTGCACTTTTTAAGCGTATGGCATGGCTTAAACTCTTCTCCTTGATTAATTAACACTGTCGAGTTTTGTTTGATTAATTTTAGATGGGAGAAGTTGAGAGAATGATGATACATCATACAGCTGCTGACTTTTTTCTATTTTTTTTTTGCTTATTTCATTAGGAATTAGATGGACTGTGTTCTAGATGATTTCACCAAATCACTTCTCTTTTTGCTAGAATCATTTTAGTTGCTATTGGTAGGACTTACTCTATAACAGACTTGACTTGCTTTTGCTGCATGGCTACTGCTTATTTATGTAAATGTTCTGTACTGCCATCTCATTTCCCTGTTTGCTGCAGCTATTCTTTTTCTATATTCCCTCCCTATTTTTCTTTTTCATCCCTTCTTTCTCTACCTCTGCTGCAGACCCACCAGTCTTGATTTTCATAATCACTGCGTCAGTTCCTGAAGTTCCCTTGAATTTAGGATATTTTCATTGTGTACATCAAACATAAAAATTATTTGAACTGTATCCAACCTGATTTGAATTTGAAAGACTGTGAGTAGTAGTTATCTCAGACCTCTGAAAAATGCCAGTAATATGAGGCATTTCTGTTTCTTAATACTATTTTATATGTTTTTACTGAAATATATGAAATAAAACTGCTTTCTCCTCAGTGGTTTTTCCTTACTATGCTACAACTTTATTCCCCAGGCAACCTCTAAGAATGTTTAGAAAAATGTTGCCAGTAGTTATTTTGACAGCTGTTTTATTAAAATGATGTCTTCCCATTTATGTTTTGCTATCCCTATTAGAAAATATGAAAAGATAAGATGTAATTTTGTTTCACTATATGATAGAAAAATCAGTCTGTAAGATCGAATCCCTGCAAGTCACTCTTGTAGGCTTGCTCTAGAGATTCAGAAGCCCTGAGGCAGCCTCGTTAAGAGCTGGTGCTCTTAATAAGGTAGACCTGGTCAAATCCCAGCTATTCCATCTGAGTTCCCCTATCTTCTGCAGGTTTACCTAACCTAAGTCTCTGTTACCTCATTGGTTAAAACTGAGATAATAGTATAATAGTAATGAAGTTACATGAAGATTAAGTGAGATTTCATATATATATATACACACACACACATATAGAGAGAGAGAGAGAGTTTAAGATAGTATCTGGAAGCATTCAAATGTAAATTAGTAACAGTAAAAATAAACACAGTAAGTCCTTAACATTGTCAGTAGGTTTTTGGAAACTGCAACTTTAAGCAAAATTACATAACCAATATTTTTTCTCATTATTACAACAAAACAACATGATTCAAGGAACTGCTGTATGTCATCTCACTTACAGTTGCAGTTTCCAAGAAATATCAAAAACATTAAGTCAGGACTTACTCTATCTGTATTTAAGGAACTTCTGGTCTTTTAGAGAGGATAGGGTACAAATATAAATAATTATAACAGAAGGTAGAAATTGATAAGCATCCTGGGAATTCTGTAGCTGAAGTTTTGGGAGAGTTCTTCACAGCAGGCATTATTTTTAGAAGAAGGGGATCAGGAAGCCTTTGCTAAAGAGGGGAAGAACATGTTCCTTGAAACATAGTAGGCACTAAATAAGTATTGAATGAATGTACCTTTAAAGATGGTTACATGTGGGAAGAGGGAAAAAAAGGAATTAACTTCCTTGGCAGAGGGAGAAATATGAACAAAAGCAGATAGAGGGTCACAGGATATTTATTAGGAGATGATTCTGGGGTTTTGTTTTGGTTTTGCTTTTTTCTTTTTTGTGTGATTCAGTTTTAACCGGCATACAGAGTCCACGAAGAGGAGGCTGAGAAGTGATTAGGAAAGTAAAATGGAACCAGGTTATGAAGAGCCTTGCACATTTCAGCGGGTCAAATGCAAGGGCTTGTGTTTTCCTTGGTAGGTGGGAGAAGTCACGAAGGGTTTCAAATTGCATATGATAAGGGCATAGCTAGACTTTAGGAAGATGCACTCAGCACAGGGAGTTTTTGATTCTGACTCTGTAAGGTGCTGTAGAAGTTTAGTGAGTTTGTATTTAAAAGGACTTCAGAGGAGAGGTAATTTAGCAGCAGCTTCTAAGCCCTGATGTGGGACCAAGAACACAGGAGCCTCTTTAACTGTGGAGCTGCTCTAGTTGAAGGTGGGGTAAATGTTGCCCTCTTAGTCTCATCAGTGGTCTGACCCCCAAGCACTGAAATCTCATTTAGTAAAAGGGTTTTGCTGGAAAGAGTGTTTAAAAACTCAGCAAGCTAGCAATATACTATTGGTTGTCTTTGAGTGGAGATGGGTGGGAGAAAGCTGTTTAGTTAGAGCTCTTTTGTAATAATCTTAGCATGGATTGAAAATATAGAGGATCAGTTGAATGAAATATTGTAGAGGCAAGAACTCAGATGTGGTGACCTCCAGGATGTGGAAATCTCTAAGATGACAGTGACCTATCACTATAGCAATTCATTAACTATATATTCACCACTGAGCAAATGTTTGAAATTATGTTAATTTTGACAGGTACAAAATCAACATGCAAAAGAAGAGTCTCTTGCTGATGATCTTTTTAGGTAAAGTTTGATTCACCTTTCTCATGTACCTTTGAGAGATGTATATAAAATTTAGTTCTGTTCATAGAAATTAAGAATTTGTTTCTTCTGTCCTCATAGACACCTAGTCCCTTCACCTAACACAAGTGTTTATTTTTATTACTTAAGCACCTCTCAATTGGGTTTATTGGCTATAGCATCGAGGTTTGGGGTTAAGTTATAAGATACTTAAAATTTGTATGGGGGCATTCAGGCAAAAAGACGGTTCCCGAATTGTGTGAAATTGTTGTATAGATTTGTGAGATTTTTCAGCTCTGAGTAGAATTACGATTGAGTTTTGAATTAAGACAAGTAAAATGCCAGACCATTTGTTTAGTTTTTATTGGCACATGCATAAAAACAAAAGGCTAGATTAAAGTTTCAAAGCAGGTTTTTGTGGGAGGTTTTAGAGTTGTACTTTGTGATTATAATTTAATTCTGATTTAATACATTTTCAGCATTCCTGCAGGCCTAACAAACCTATTATAATAATTGCCTCTGAAATACTAATAAAATACTATATTATAGGTAGATATCAGGGGAGAAGACAGAATGAAGAAATTATTTTTGAGTCTGTTTTGCAGCCAATTAGATTGATTCTCTAATTTCATAACTGACAGTATAAATTGCTGGTAAAAATGTTGACAAACAGGCCGGGTAATCCTAGCACTTTGGGAGGCTGAGGTGGGCGGATTACGAGGTCAGGAGTTCAACACTAGCCTGGCCAGCATGGAGAAACCCCGTCTCTACTAAAAATACAAAAATTAGCCAGGCGTGGTGGCATGCACCTGTAATCCCAGCTACTCAGGAGGCTGAGGCAGGAGAATCGCTTGAACCCAGGAGGCGGAGGCTGCGTGAGCCAAGATCGCGCCACTGCACTCCAGAGAGAGACTCCATCTCAAAAAAAAAAAAAAAAAAAAGTGTTGACAGACAATACTGGTTTTTCATTAGTCAAATGAGATGGGTTGTTCAGCCATATTTGTTTAACTGCTGTAGGAGAAAATGTTGTAAAGTGCTAATTACATTTAAGTAGATTATGCTCTTTTGTGCAAATGATATGCTTTTATTATGGGGAGGAATGGGGATCTTTGAAGCCATACAGAAAGAAGTGTAAACATACCTTCATTTTTAAACTGTTTTCATTAATTATTTTAAAGCTTTAAAGGATTTTTGTTATTGTTGATTTTTTTTTTGTTTTTACCATATTTTCATCAAAGCAACATCAAAGGGATACATGAAAATAAAAATGTCAGTGCTTAGTATCTGATCCTAAGGACAAAATTGTCATTCCCATCCTATTTGCCAAAGTGTGACTACAGTTTGAAAGTTCTTTACCTTTAAAAGAAATACCATCCCTTATCTAAATATCATTTAACCCCATTTCTTTCTTTGCAGATACAATCCTTATTTAAAAAGGAGAAGATAACTGAGGATTTTAAAAAGAAGCCATGGAAAAACTTCCTAGTAAGCATCTACTTCAGGCCAACAAGGTTATATGAATATATAGTGTATAGAAGCGATTTAAGTTACAATGTTTTATGGCCTAAATTTATTAAATAAAATGCACAAAACTTTGATTCTTTTGTATGTAACAATTGTTTGTTCTGTTTTCAGGCTTTGTCATTGCATCTTTTTTTCATTTTTAAATGTGTTTTGTTTATTAAATAGTTAATATAGTCACAGTTCAAAATTCTAAATGTACGTAAGGTAAAGACTAAAGTCACCCTTCCACCATTGTCCTAGCTACTTGGTTCCCCTCAGAAAAAAATTCATGATACTCATTTCTTATGAATCTTTCCAGGGATTTTTGAGTCCTATTCAAATTCCTATTTTTAAATAATTTCCTACACAAATGATAGCATAACATATGCAGTGTTCTACACCTTGCTTTTTTACTTAGTAGATTAAAAATTATAGGAATATCAATATAATGTTTTTAATATTTTTTCTTTTCCATTATGCTGTAGTCTTACCTAAACTCTGGTGATCCAAACAAAATGGCTTCAGTGGTGCAGATGTCACCTACATGTTATTCTAGTACTAGAAACTGAAGACCATGTGGAGACTTCATCAAACATGGGTTTAGTTTTCACCAGAATGGAAAGACCTGTACCCCTTTTTGGTGGTCTTACTGAGCTGGGTGGGTGTCTGTTTTGAGCTTATTTAGAGTCCTAGTTTTCCTACTTATAAAGTAGAAATGGTGAGATTGTTTTCTTTTTCTACCTTAAAGGGAGATGGTAAGAAACAATGAATGTCTTTTTTCAAACTTTATTGACAAGTGATTTTCAAGTCTGTGTTCAAAAATATATTCATGTACCTGTGATCCAGCAAGAAGGGAGTTCCAGTCAAGAGTCACTACAACTGATTAGTTGTTTAGAGAATGAGAAATGGAACAGTGAGGAATGGAGGCCATATTTCCATGACTTCCCTTGTAAACAGAAGCAACAGAAGGGACAAGAGGCTGGCCTCTACATCACTCTCACCTTCCAAATCTTGTGGAAGTGCATCTACTTGCCAGAACCAAATTAACTTACTTCCAAGTTCTGGCTGCTTGCAGGTGGAACTCCAGCTGCAAGGGAGTTAGGGAAATGAAGGTCTTTTTTTAAAAGCTTCTCAGCCTTCCTAGGGAACAGAAATTGGGTGAGCCAATCTGCAATTTCTACTACAGGCATTGAGACCAGTTAGATTATTGAAATATTATAGAGAGTTATGAACACTTAAATTATGATAGTGGTATGACATTGGATAGAACATGGGATACTTTAGAAGTAGAATTGACAGGGCATATTAGTTGATGAAATGGAGTCATTTGAGTCTCTTAATAGCCATGTATCATAATTACCAAGTGAAGCTGGTGGAACATATGGTCTCCATTTTACAGTTAAGGAATATAATGGACAGATTAATATTGTTCTCTGTCATGCCCACAATCCCTTTCTAAGGAAGACTGCCCTACTATAGCAGTTTTTATATTTGTCAATTTATGAATATAATGAATGAGAGTTCTGGTACCTCCTGTCTTTACAAATATTGGTGTTGTCAGTATTTTTCCTTTTTAACCATTCCAATCGGTGTGTAGTGATGTTTCATTTTGGTTTTAATTTGTATATCCCTGATAGCTATAATTGGGTCATAGAAATTCTTTATACATTCTAGATGCAAGTCTCTTGTCGGATATATGTATTGAGATATTACACCTAGTCTGTGGCTTGACTGTTTTCTTTATGTCTTTTGATGAATAGAAGTTTTAAATTTTGACAAGGTCAAATTTATTTTTTTCTTTTGTTTGATATTTTTTCTCTCCAATTTAACCCCAAGATTTCAGATATTCTGCTCTATTATATAAACTTTATATTTTTATATTTGTGATCTACCTTGAATTGATATGTATGTTGTGAATTATGGATCAGGGTTCTTTTTTTCCCCCATACAAGTATCCAGTCATTGTAACACTGTTTATTGAAAGAATTATCCTTTCCTCATTAAATTACCTTGCCAATTAGTAAAAAATCAATTAACCATAATGGTGGATCTGTTTCTGGACTTTCTGTTTGGTTACACTGAAATGTTTGTCCATCCTTGCACTCACTCATACCATACTGCCTTGAATTACTGTAGCTGCATAGATGCTCCTTAAGTTGGGATTACATTGTAATAAACGCAATGTAAGTTGAAAATACTGTATTTAAGTCAAAAGTGCATTTAATACACCTTAACCTACGTCATAGCTTAGCCTAGCCTACCTTAAATGTACTCATGACACAGTAGCCTATAGTTGGGCAAAATCATCTAACACAAAAGCTATTTTATTGTAAAGTACTGAATATTTCATCTAATTTATTGAATAGTAAACTGAAAGCAAAAAACAGAATGATTGTGTAGCTACTCACTATAAACATACACAGCTGAAAGCGCACTGGGCCTGAAGAATGTTTGAAGCATTGAACTAAAATTGCGGCATGATGGGGAATACTACAGCAACAGGATTATCAATTTCCCTACTGATTAGGCTTGAGTAGAAGCATTGGTTGAAGGCACTAAGGGCATCAATACTTGATGGTTTAGCAGGAATAGTGTTCTTCACAAAGAGCAAGAATCAGTTTTTACCCTCTTGATGCTGTGGCTGACGGGAAGCTACGGCTTGCTGCTGCTGCCCAGCATTGCAAGATTGAGTATTCTATGGGCACATTACTAGCCAGGGAAAAGAACAAAATTCAAAGTAGGCTTTCTACTGAATGTCTATCACTCTTGTACTACCATCTAGTCAAAAAATGGTAAGTCAGGACTATGCAGGAAGTCTAGAAGTCAGATACATCAGTCCTCTGAGCATGTCAATTTCTATCCCAAAAATCGGCTAGAATTATTGTGCTGAATCTAAAAATCAATTTGTGAAGAACTGACATCTTAAAAATATTCAGTCTTTCAATCCATGCATGTAAAATGTCTATTCATTTACTTAGATCTACTCTTTCCACATTGTTTTGTAGTTTCACTGTAGAGGCTCAGACATCTGTTTTAATCTGTCCCTAAGCATTTTTTTGGTACTGTAAACGATACTTTCAGAAAGTTCATCTTGCAATGATTTATTCTATATGAAAATACAATTACTTTTGGTGTATAGAATTTGGATCCTGTGAACTTGCTAATCTCACCTATTCTGGCAAAATTTTTTTTTTTTTGGCAGATTCCTTAGGATTTTAAGTACACAATCATGTCATTGGTGAATACAGGCAGTTTTACTTCTTCCTTCCAATTGTTTTTGTCTTTTCTTTTTCTTACCTATTACAGTGGCTGTCAATACAATGTTAAATGTCTTTATTTTTTATCTCAAGGAACTATAGATTTTCTACCTCTAGTAGTTTCAGTAGTTTGCATCTTTTAAGGACTTCATATGTTCCAGTAAGTTGTGAAATGTATTGGTATAAAAGTTTATAGTATTTGCGTTAAAATGTCTGTAATATGTCATGGAGTCTCCCTTTCCTTTCTTGTTACCTGAACCTTGTGTTCTTTGGTTCTTCTCTAACTAGAGGTTTATAAATTAAATTTGTTTGAAGAACATTTAATTTCATTGATTTTTCTCTAATGTATGTCCTTTTTCTATTATTTATTTATTTATTTATTTATTTATTGAGACTCTGTCTCGCTGCCTCCCAGGCTGGAGTGAAATGGTGCGATCTTGGCTCACTGCAACCTCTGCCTCCCAGGTTCAAGCGATACTCCTGCCTCAGGCTCCTGAGTAGCTGGGATTACAGGCATGAACCACCGTGCCTGGCCTCTCCTTTTTCTATTTCATTGATTTTCACTTTCCTTGCTTCTGCTTACTTAGGGTTTAATTTGCTCTTTTTCCCTAGTCCTTTGTAGATCATTGATTTTAAACCCAGCTTCAAAAATGAGTATTTAGAATTTCACTCAACACACCTCTTTAGCTGCATGTGACAAATTTGGTTACTTGAGTGATCTTTTGGCTCAAAAAATGTCCTAATTTCCCTGTGATTTTTTTTCACTGATGTATGGACTAATTTCCAAATATAATTTTTCCATCTACCAAAAGATACAATAGTTAATTGCTATTTATTTCTATATGTTACTATTTCTAAAATTCCACTGTTGTCAGAGATCATATTCAGTCATATTTTAATCTTTTTAAATTTTTTGAGACTTGTTTTATGGGCAAGCATATTGTTGGCCCATTTTGGTGAATATTCTGGTTGCACATAAAAAGAATGAGTATTCTGCAGTTTAGGGGTGTAGTAGTTCTATAAATGTCAGATCAGTGGTTGGTAATGCCATTGAATATCCCTTACATCCTTTCTGATTTTGTCTACTCAGTCTCCAACTATGATTGTAACTTTGTCTCACCTTAGTTCTCCATTGTCTTTTATGTATCTTAAAACTCAGTAATTAGGTGCATATACATTTAGAATTGATAAGTTCTCCATTAACTAAACATTGTTATAAAATATCTATCTCTAATACTTGTCTTGAAGTATTTTATTAATGTTTTCATGGTATGTCTTTTTCCATTTTTACTTATAACCTATTGGTATCTTTATATTTGGATAAAGCTCTTGTAAACCTTTTTGAAGCTTTTTATTGAATCTGATGATCTTTGCTTTTAAGTTGGTAGTGCTTAATCCACTTGTATGTAAATATAATTATTGCTACGGTTGGGTTGGAGTATATGATCATGGTTATTTTCTCACTTATTTTGTCCCATCTGTTTCTCTTTTTCTGCCTTCTTTGAATTATTTTTTAGTATTCCATTTCATCTCTTCTGTTGGCTTTACAGCTGTACCTTTTACTTGTTTTTAGTAGTTACTATAAGGATATGCATTCTTATCTAAAGTTAATAACACACCACTAATTGTATAATGTATACACCTGATAAAAGTATACTTCTGCCACGCACAGTGGCTCATGCCTGTAATCCCAGCACTTTGGGAGGCTAAGGCAGGCAGATCACTTGAGCTCAGCTTAAGATCACCCTGGGCAATATGGCAAAACTCCATCTCTACAAAAAATCAGCTGTGTGTGGTGGCACCTCCCTGTGGTCCCAGCTACTTGGGAGGCTGAGGCAGGAGGATCGCTTGAGACTGGGGTGAGGCTGCAGTGAGCCAAGATTACACCACTGCAATCCAGCCTAGGAGACAGAGTGATACCCTCTCTGGGGAAAAAAAATAAAGTATACTTCTATTTGTCTTTCTATACAGTGCTACAATTATCGTATATTTTACTCTACATGTCCTAAATCATACAATTTTTTACTTTTTGTTTTAAATTGTTTTTGGTTAAACACATTCTCAACAGTCAATTGGATTTTGAATAATTTAAGAAATGAGAAAATACATAATTTTTATTTACCATTTCTGGCATTTTTCTTTCTTTCATGTAGATATATGCAGGTATCATGTACCTTCAATGTGAAGAATTTCCACTTTTTGCAGTGCAGGTCTTCTGACAGCATATTTTCTCAACTTTCACATATCCAAAAACGACTATTTCACTCGTTTTGAAGAATATTTTCACTGGATATAGAATTTTAGTTTGGCAGTATTTTTACTTTAGCAATTCAAAGATATTTAAGACTGTCTTCTTGATTGCATTTTTTTCTAGTCATGTATTCTCATCATTGTTCCCTTTTTTCTCCGACAGCTTTTAAACTTTCCTATTTTTCTCAGCAATCTATTAGGTGCATAGGCGTGATTTCCTTAATATTTATCCTGTTTGCAGTTTGAGTTTCTTGGATCTATGGGTTGTAGATTTTTTAAATGAAATTTGTAAATTTTTCAGCTTTTAATTCTCCAAATATGTGTTTCTCTGGCCCAGTCTTCCTCTCCTTTTGAATTCCAACTGTACATGTTAGACACTTGATATTATCACATCAAGTCTGGCAATTGTTTTTTTAGTTTTCTCTATGCTTTTTTTGGATAGTTTATATTAACCTGTTCTCAAGTTCATTATCTTTTCTTCTCCAGCGTCCGGTATGTTAGGCTCATCCAGTGAATTTTTCATTTCAGAATGTACTTTTCAGCTATAGAATGTTCACTTTTTAGTTTTTCTTCTGAGATTCCCTACTTGTTCAGTGTCATTTTAATATTTTGAACATATTAACTTTTAAAGTACTTGTCTGCGACTTCCAACATTTGTATCAATTCTTAGATCTGTTTTGATTGCTTGTTTTGTCTGGCTGTGTCACATTTTCTTGTCTGGACACCCAGTAATCTTTTATTGTGTGCTGGACATTACTGATGCTGTTGTGACAGTCTGGATTTTGTCTTCCTTGAGGAGTGTCAAGTCTTGTGCTGGCAGGCAGTTAATTTACTCACAGTTCTGCTTGATCCTGTTGAGGCTTAGTTTGGGGCAAATTAAGGTACCCCTATTCGCAAGGCATGGCCTTTTTGGGGTTTCAGCTGAATGCTTGAGGTGTTCAGCAAGGTCTGGCTCTGCTATTTGGCCAGAATTCCAATGTCTTCCAGAGCTGAATACCTTCAAAGTCTCCACTCGGCCCCTAACTTATAGCTGCTGATCCCTAAAGCCCCATGGTTTCTCCCTGTACTGTTTAGTATTGTGCCAGATGTAAGAAAATTATGCAGATTTCTGCAGCTGCATCTCTGCAGCTTCCTCCTCCCCAGTACTCTGCCCAGCAGATTCCAGCAGGAACCCTATACTGTGTTATTTTCTCCCAACCAGACATACTCCACTTTGTGTTAGTTTGCAAAGTACCTTCAAGCAGAAAGTCAGGGTGACTATGGAGCTCACCGCTTGTTTCTTCTCTTAAAAATCAGTCCTGGACTGCTGTCTACAACTGTATGAAAACACTGCTTTATATATTTTCTAGAGTTTTATAGTTGATTATTACAGTAAAAGGTAAGCCCTATTCTTATTACTCCATCATGATTAAAACCAGGACGCCATCCTTTTATTTTTAATTTGAAGGTTTTCATTCTTTTTATGCTTTATTAGTCATGTTCTTCACCTTTTTTACCCTGTTCCTTCCCCAGACACCATTTCTCTTGAATAACCTGCATGGGTGGTTGGCGGCGGGGGGGGAGTGGGTAGTTGTTCAAAATAATCAGGGTATCTCTTTAATCCTTATTTCACATACTCTTCAGACTAGCCTTAGGGGACTCAGGCCCTTTATCCCCCTCCCCCCACAAGGAAAGTATACAACTTAAAAACTGTATGATCTGATCAGATCAAAATGGCTCTATGCAACAAGCAGCCTCTGTAACCGAGTTAGATTTTTAATTTTTTTTTTTCAGATAGTTCTGCTCTGAAGCCCAGGCTGGAGTGCAGTGGTGCAGTCTCAGCTCACTGCAACCTCTGCTTCCCAGGTTCAAGCGATTCTTGTGCCTCACTTCCCAAGTAGCTGGGACTACAGGCACACACCACCACGCCCAGCTAACTTTTGTATTTTTAGTAGAGATGGGGTTTCACCATGTTAGCGGGGCTGGTCCCAAACTCCTGACCTCAGGTGATCCACCTGCCTCGGCCTCCTGAAGTTTTGGGATTACAGACGTGAGCCACTGTCCCCAGCCCCCAGTTAGATTTTTAAATGACATTTACATTCAGTCTAATTTTGTTTCATTCTGGGTTCTTCAGTGTTCCAAACACTAAGATTTAGTGGAACTTGCATTTATTTAATAGTTGAATTTATTTAGAAATTTTCCACCACTTCCTATTGACTAATACAATCAACTAAAATTTGATGCCACAGAAATATATTACATAGAACTAGATTTTCAAAAAAGTAGTTGGATATGGTTCACATAGTCAAAACACTGGAAGCTGTAATTAAATCTTTTTGTTGTATCATTGCACTTTAAATCCCCAAATTCTGCTTTGTAAACGGTCTTTCAACATCTGCTAATTATGGACTGTTTGCCAGACACCAAGCCAGGCATCGAGGGATAAGGAGGAGATGCTCACATCATGCTATAACTAGACAAGTATTTAGTGATTCTTCCCTTCCATGAATAGCTATAGCTGATAGCAAAGAAAAAATGTAAAGTGTTAGAATTACGGGACAGAAATTTATAGAACATGAGAGTATAGTATATCAGAGAAAATGCCCAAATGTTATATACTACACAGGACAGCTTGGATTGAGGAAGAACTCAGGAAATGGGAGATTACCAAAGATGAAATTATTCACCAGATTTATTTGCAGCTCCACTGAACTTTTATTTTTCTTGAAGTCTTTTTTTTTTTTTAACAAATACTCTCATCACAAAAAAAGCCATTGTTTGAATAACTGTGGACTTTTGAGACACAAGGGGATGTCAAAGGTTTTATCCTTCCCTTTTTTATAACACTGTCATTTTCTATTTAGAAGTGACAGTAAGAAAAACATCTAATCCAACTCATGCAGAGGTCAAAAACAGGCAGGCAAGAGAGTACTGAAGCAAGTGCAGTCAGAGAATGTTATTTCATTAAGATGTGAAACTGGTTTGAAAAAAGTTATTATCACAATAGAAAACTAAAACTGGATTGTACAGCTTGTAAAATCAAGTTAAATTAGGTGTGATATTATCAAGAGTCTAAGAATTCATCTGAAGCAATTATTTGATCGACGCAAATATATTCTATACAATTATATTTAAAGTGAATTATGGTCCTAATAAGCTTAAGCATTTAATACTGCAATAAAATGAACAGAAAAACCCACATTAATCCACTTTTAATTCTAAGAAAAATAGAATAACGAGTTCAATGAAGACATTCCAGATGAAGTAATTGTACCAAAAAAAGAAAAGAAAATGACTGAAAAATTCAATTTGCCATGGAGAACTTCAGATGTTTTCGTCTTAACATTAAAAATTCTAGCAGTTTGTGTGAAAACACAGACAGTAAACACACTTATATAATTAGAACAGATAAATCCAATAAACAACCATGATATGAGCTGCTATGTCATCTCGAATGAATACTAATAGAGATCTCTAAGTACACCTTTGGAATGGAAAAGAAAAATTCTGACTTTATTTTCTATTTTAACCTTTAATAATTTAGACAATGCCCAAACAGTATTACAATTTTCGAAGTACTTACCACACCCAAATACCTCAGTTTCAGTGACAGAAAGTAATTCAATGTTCACACAGGGATAAGTAGTTCAACCCACAATTTATTGAACTACAAATCAGATTCATTAAATGCTATGATAGTTAAATCGAGAATAAATCTCTGAAAAACATCTTGGTGAGTTCTTGGATGTCAAAGTGTATACCACATTATTGGACTGTTTAAATTATTAGAAGAATATGAAGTACCTGTCAAGGTTTCAACGATAAAAATATTTTTTAAAAGACCCTATTTGGTAATAAATTAGATTTATACAATTGATAATTTCAAAATAAATAAAATCTGAGTTGTAAATGCCTCCTACCCTCACCCCACCCCCAGTTATACATACCTTATATCCATTTTCATTTAAACCAGTGTCTCAAATTTTTATGAGCATACATATCCCTTGGGGATCTTGTTAAAATGCAGGAAGTAAGTTGTGGGGCCTGAGAGTTTACATTTCTAACAAGCTACAGATGTAAGATGCTGCAGGACCTTGCACCACCCTTTGAACAGCAAGGTGACCCATTATATATTTAAGATAATTTCTGGCATAATGACTGCACAGTTTTATAGATTCAAGGCTGTACTATTTTGGAATCAAGTATAATAAATAACCAAAAATGATCATGAAAAATAAGTTTTGCAAGAAAAGAATGTTTTAGTTAAATGAAAGCTTAAGTTACACCAAGTTGGCAGTGTTTCTATTTGTCTGACAGTGACACCTTTGAAACACTGCAATATAAATCAGGATACCAAATTCTAGTAACTTTTAAAAATGAAGTTACTATAGTTTGAGGCTCTCCTTCAGTTAACTCAAGTCCAGAAAATTCAAGCCAGTACACTGCAAAACCACTATTAAAAATCTTTAATGGCAAACTGTCCATTTTAATTACTTGTAAACTTGCTTTAAGCTATCCCATCTCCTCCTCCTCTTTCAACAAACAAATGCTTTTTCTTCTGTCTTGTAGCTAAACAGCGTGTAACACCCAGCGCCCCTCCCTTTAAAAATCGAACAAAATTGTCTCCAACCAAAGGACCCAATGCAAAAAGGTTGGCTTCTTTAATACACTCATAGGTATATGTATCTATTTCCACAGGATTACCCTTACATGTGATTGGCTGGCTTGACTTATGGCCTAGGTAACACCCTTGATCCTTCAGAAAAGACAGATTAGGATGAGAACCTATCAATACTACTGCTGCAGACAGCTTAAATATTTTCTTCAATCCAGAAACGCTTTGGAGAACACATTTCATGTCCGACTTAAAGGAAAGCACACGGTGCTCGGGAAAGCTGGTATAATCAGATAAAAGATTTGAGTCTACAGAATATGACTGAGTACACATCATATGATAGACTTTATGATATTCAGGATACAGCTTTTTGGGAAGCTGTTTGAAAATTAAGCTTGGATCAGTTACTCGTCTGCGAAACACATGAATCACAGGGATATTACTGTTGTAAGCACACAGTACTGCGTCAGCGGCAGTAAGCCCAGAACCTACAATTAACACTGGATCCACTTTGCCACGCAACTTTCCTTTGTTTATAGCAGCTCCAAATTCAGGCATTGAATGAAACACAAAAGGAAAATCTTCCCCTTCAATTTCCAGATGGGCAGGAGAATCCAGCGTTCCAGTTGCCAGCGCTACATTCTCAGCAAAGAGGCAGAAGGGAACATGAGAACCATCAGCTATTCGCTGATAACCCCTAATTTCCCAGTTTCTCTTGATAAAGTTTGACTTCTCTATCTGTAAATGCTTTGTTGAAATATCTCTGTCTTGAATATCATCATCATCTTGATCTCTGTAGAGTCTTGATACGGAAGTTATGTAAGTATTCTCTCTGAAATTCTTCTGAAGACCCATGACTTTTACATAATGTTTATAGTAGCGAGCTATTTCCTCTGGCATAACTCGATCCCCTTTTAGGCTCCTAAAAAAGGAAAAGGAAAAATATCCTATAAGGATACTACTTTCAGTTTCCATGATTATTACTTATCTACCTAGTAAGCTTTTATAGCTTTTTAATTCTGCTGGACTGTCTTAGCTATACATTATCCTAACACTTAAAAAAAAAACTATTTTTAGTTAAAAATCTTCATGAGTTACTTTTTAGCAAAAAATTGGAAGAAGTCCCATGAGAGCAGAGACTATATTTAATGCACTTCTGTTTCCCCAGTGCCATGCATAGTGTCTGCTCAAATACACTGCTTGATAAACTTTCATTAAATGAAGGTATTAAAATGTGGATATTTGAAAATTGGACTACTTTATCTCACAATTATAATCTATAACTATCAACTGAATTATTTTCATGGCAATCATTGAGATATTACAGGCCTAACTAATATCTATGCTTCTTAAAATTATACATGCCATCTTGACATGAATTTTAGTACACTGCTATTTTCCTAACAGCTGAAAATAATTCAGATCTGTCTTTTGCTAAACAAAGTCATCTTACATCTAGGTTAAGTAACAGATGACATTTCACTCTATGTGTTTTCCTACTCACAAGCAGAGCTAAAACATAACTGTTATGAAAAACTTGCATTAGTCTGTATGTCATTTTCCAAAGTTCAAAGCAACAAGCAAAATCCCCTGCCCCAATCAGAGATAAGAAGCAAATTATTTGACATAATTCATGATGTGGATGCTCTTCAATTTACAGTAGGGTTTGTCCTGATAGACCAATTGTAAGTTGAAAATATTTTAAGTCAAAAATGCATTTAATAACAACTAGCTTACTGAACATCAAAGCTTAGCCTAGCTTGCCTTAAATGTGCTCAGAGCACTTACACTAGCCTACAGTTGGGCAAAATCATCTAACAAAATGCCTATTTTATAATAAAGTGTTGAATACCTCATGTGACTTATTGAATTCTATACTGAAAGTGAAAAACAGAACAGTTGCATTGGTACCCAAAGTATAGTTTGTATGAAATGCACATCACTTTGGTACCACCTTAAAACCTAAAAACCTTAAGTGAAACCATGATTAATCAGGGACTGTTTGTAACTTGTAATGGGAAGTTCACAAAAATTTTTCTTTTGAAGTTTAATAATTATTATTAAGATTTAGAATTAACTTTAGATTTTTACTTCTTCAGTCATGTGTCACATAATTCAATCAACAAAGGATAGCATATACAACAATGGTCCCATAAAGGATTATAAAGGAGCTGAAAAATTCCTACAGCTTAGTGACATCACAGCCATCTTAAAGTTGTGGTAAAATTACTTTTTTAAAAAGAAATTCAGTGTACCCTAAGTGTGCAGTGTTTATAAAGTGTACCTTAGTGTACAGTAATGTGCTAGGCCTTCACATTCACTCACCACTCACTGACTCATCCAAAGCAGCTTCCAGCCCTCCAAGCTCCATTCATGGTAAGCGCCCTTATACAGGTATACCATTTTTGGTATGGTACCTCCCACAGGTATACCATTTTAAATCTTTTATATCGTATTTTTACTGTACTTTTTGTATATTTAGATACAAAAATACTTACAATTGTGTTACAACTGCCTATAGTATTCAGTACAGCAACATGCTGTACTGGGTTGTAGCCTAGGAGCAACAGGCTATACCCTATAGCCTAAGGGTATAGTAGGCTATACCACGGAGGTTTGTGTTAAGTACACTTTATGATGTTTGCCCAACGAAATCACCTAACGACACAATTCTCAGAACATATCACCATCATTAAGCAATACACGGCTGTATTATCATCTCCATTTTACAGAATGGAAAATTGACAACTAGTTTATTTGTTCAGGATCACAACACTAGAAGTCATAAGTCGGAACTCAAACTCCACCAATCTCTAGAGACCTAAGAGTCTTCTCTTTATACAAAGGCAGCAACTAAACCTAAATTTATCACAAAATTCATTTGCACATATTACTTCAACACAATATGCATAATTTAGAAAAGTAAATGCTTCTGGTACATAAATCATAAAGCTTTCTCTTTCTTACCCTTTTACAAAGTGAAGAATGTGTTAAGCAATTTCACTTGCCAAGTTACGAAGATCAAGAACTGTACAACTTGCCTAATTTTACTTCAAGTTTCAAACCCATATATAATTCTTTTTAAAAATCTAAAATGAATTTTTGGAAAGGTTTAATCTCAATTACCCATGATGATGTAAATTTGCTCTCCCTGAATTTCCTCATATTAAGGAAAATTTCTATGAATTAACATGGTTGTTATGTAGCAGGAAGTGAAGTACTCAAATGTTACATCCCTGTTCTAACAAAGGTTACGTAACTTCTTATTTTGTGAGTAGTCAAATTAGAGTAGATTCTCTGTATTAGTAATTCTTATCTAATATTTACTATCCTTGAAAATGATTGACAGGATTTTCATATTTCTCTTTTTAAATTTTGGGATTTCCCCTTAAAATAAATAAATTTATAGTTTTCCAAGGTGAGATTTCTTCCGTCCTTTTTTTTTTGAGACAGAGTCTTGCTCTGTTGCCCAGGCTGGAGTCCAGTGGCGCGATTTCGGCTCACTGCAACCTCTGCCTCCCGGGTTCAAGCAATTCTCCTGCCTTAGCCTCCCGAGTAGCTGGGATTACAGGCATGCGCCACCATGCCTGGCTAATTTTGTGTTTTTAGTAAACAGGGTTTCACCATGTTGGTCAAGCTGGCCTCAAACGCCTGACCTCAGGTGATCCTCCCACCTCAGCTTCCCAAAATGCTGGGATTACAGGCGTGAGCCACTGCGCCAGGCCCTCAGTTCTACTCTTATTTTTTTTTATTAAATATGTTCCTTCATACCCAATTAGCCAACCATAAGCCAGATTCTAGCTTATCCATCATTTTAAATTATCAATCATAAAATATACAATCTTTATACTGAAAGTCAAACACTTTAGGTATGCAGAGTTTAGGTATTCATATAAGAGATATGCATAGATAAAGTTATATATCAATGCATAAAAATAAAGTATGAAAAATAATATATGGATGGATGAGAAAGTAACTAAACAGAGAGTGATGTAACAAGACAGTAGATAAACCCATGATTAACAAAAGTCACAGGAAACCAATCTGCAATAATCCCTTAGCTCTGTGCTTAGTTTTATAACATCTCTAAATGAAAACTAGCATATTATAATCACTGCTTCAAGGACACATTTTTATTTGAAAGACGTACATTTATATTCTTCAGCCATGACAAAATCACAAATATTTTGAAATTTTTCCACATTCTCTTTTTCAACGTACACCAAAGAATTTTAATACAGTTCAATCTTTACCTTCGTTTACTTGATACCCAGTCCTTAAATTTAAGTCCAGGTAGTTCCATCCAACTTCCAAAGCTGATTGTCAACATGGAGCCTTCCATATTCTATTAGAGTTTAAAAAAAAAAATGTACCGTCAAAAAACAAGAAGTAACATGGTTTTTTTTGGTCTGTTTTTTAACCATATCCATCTCATTTACAATAATTATGACTCTGGACAAGGTGCGCTCCTGCAGTCCTAAATGGTTGGCTAACTTACCTCAAAAACATTACTCCAATAAACTTTCATATACCTTCATCACTTGATATTATCCCGACAACCTTCTTTCATATAGTTATAAATTTATAAAACAAATTTACAATATTATCCAATGCCTACACAATGTTGATAACTTTGGTCTATGATCAACATAATTCAGATGTACAATATTATGTCAGGGAAACAAAAATTCAGTATATTCATTTTTTGAACAAAAGGAAAAATGTTCATTAAGTTCCAAAATTTTAGATGGCTTTCCATTTTAATATTATTAACTTTCTTTTAATTAGCAACAAAGAAGCTTTTCCCTCCTCCATCAATTATAATTCTAAAATCTAGGCTGATGTGGATACAGCAGCATCTCTTCTTAAGGATACAGAAATAGGCAGTGGATGCCTGAGAAACAAACGAGCTGAGGCTACTGCTTGCCATCAAGCTCCCTTGACCTACTTATTTCTGCTTTGTTCAATACAAAGCAAGAAAAGCCCAAAGGCCAAGTACCTGTTATACCTATGACCTCTATGATCTCTTTCAATCAACTCTTTTAGGCAGTGGCTCCTTTTCTCATAATTTCTTGCCCTGCTTCTATAACACCCAGTTTGAAAATGGGGCATATTATTATTATTATTATAACTGACTTTCACAGAGTACTTACTATGTACTAGGCCCTGTGAAACCTCATTTGTGACTATATACAAATCACCCAAGAAAGAGAATGTAGCAAGCTGCCACCTGCTTTGAGGGAGGCTAGCCCTGATACCAGGTTCAGAACCTGGAATCATCATAAAAGGAGCTGTTAAGAATGTATTATCTATCAGAGATTATTTGGAACCTGAGAGTTTCACCTGTAACTCTAAAACCTTAAGACACTACTATTTCACTTTCTGACAACAATTTTTTAACATTATTCCCACTGCACCAGTTCTTCCAGTTGGTTGAGAGCCCTAATGCCTTGATCTCTTCATTTTTCTCCTATCTTTCTTTTTTCCCCATGTAACCTATATGCCATGAATACAAGCTGCCATGGACACTGTAGTATTAAAGGATGCAAACTAAATAGAAGTATGCAGGAGCATATAGAAAGTATCTGGTTCTTCAAGGACACAAATGGGCAGAGGAGTGTACCATTAGAAAGGGAAAATATTCCAAGCCAAATAAAAATCCATGTGGCAGCTTAATAAAGAGAGCAAATATGAGTGTCCTTCAAGGAGTCAAAAGAAATTCAGCCTTGTGCCTGAAAGGATTAACTCAGCAGGCCTGCGTTGTTCCAACCTTTTACATTACCAACAAAAGCCTGTCTTCAGAACCAGGCTTGGCTGCCACCTTCTTAGAAATAACTTCTGAGCCCCTGAATACTCTACCTGATGAGCATGAGTTTTGCATGCCTAAGGCCTTGGCAATGCTATACCAGTGTAACCATGAGAGTTTATCCTAACAATGTGATTTATGTGAATACCAGTTTTTGCTCTGGGAGGCAGAGGTGAGTCACATGGGAGCTGCTGGCCTATATGACTGACCCCACAGAAAACATCCCTCGACACCACGCACCAGTGACTTTACTAGGAGTGGATATCTAGAAGCTTACACTTGGTTTCTCCTGGACTTTGCCCTGTGAACCTTTTCCCATTGCTGATTCTAATCTGTATCCTTTCACTATAGTAAAATTTAACCACAAGTACACCATCTTTACTGAGTCCTGTGAATCCTATTGAATCTTCGAGACTGAGAATGAACTTGGACTCCCCAACAAAAGCATGCTAGAGCACAGAATGTCAGAGATAAAAAGAGGAATATGACAAGAAACCTAATAAGGGCTAGATTGGAGTATGGTGAGATACATTACGAAGTCTACATACTATATGTTAGATGGAGAGCAACTGAAGAGTTTTATGCATTGGTGTAACATCTCAGACATGTAATTTAGAAAGATGAGTCTGGCTTTGGTATGGATAATGGATTGGAGAAGAGACAATGAGTAAGAAAACCATTTAGAAAGGGTTTGCAGTAATTCTGGTGAAAGACAGCGGTGACCAATATTAGCAACAAAATAGAGTAGATGGACCCAAAATATCATAAATGAAAAAGATTTGGTGATTAATTTGAAATGGGAGTTGAAGAAAGAGAAATCAAGGAAGACTCTCAGGTTCCTGGCTTGAGTAACTACATGAGAATGCCATTTAATGACAAGGAAATTGAAGGGACTTGATGATAAAGATAGTTAGTTTTAGGTACGTTGAGTCTGAGGACACCTGCAGAATAATCAAGGGAATGTATTTACTTGGGTATATGAGAAACAGCAATCTGGGCTGGTTTTGATTTTGGGAATTCTGATTTGGGAATCAATTAATATCAATATGCAAGCCATTGAAGTAGGTAAGATAACCCAGGGAGAATGAAGAGTATGAAGAAAAGACCTGGGCTTGGGATAAGGTCTAC
Source organism: Homo sapiens (assembly GCF_000001405.40). Taxonomy (NCBI): domain Eukaryota; kingdom Metazoa; phylum Chordata; class Mammalia; order Primates; family Hominidae; genus Homo; species Homo sapiens. The sequence goes on along the minus strand of NC_000008.11, from coordinate 89,918,490 downwards.
AGAAGCAATTTTTAAAGAACAAGAGTCAGCTGGGTGTGGTGGCACACACCTGCAATCCCAGCACTGGGAGGCTAAGGCAGGAGGATCATTTGAGCTCAGGGGTCCGAGGCTGCAGTGAGCTATGACTGTACCACTGCACTCCACCCTGCATGACAGAGTGAGACCCTCTCTCAAAAACAACAACAACAAAAAAGACAAGAATCCACAAAGGTATCAGAAAAGGAGTGACCAAACAGGAAGAAAAACAAGGAGACTGAAGATTCAGAGAACCTAAGAAAGATATGAACACTGTCAAAAGCTGCAGAGATCAGAAAAGATAAATTCTGAGACTCGTCATCAAATTAAGCAAAAAAGAAAGTTACCGACTTTCAGAAAAAACAGTTCCAATGGAAAACCGGTGGCAGAAGGTAGAGTGAGTAAGCTAAGGAGCAGAAAGCAAAGGCAGGGAGAAGTATGTATAGGTAACTCTTTCAGGAAGTTAGCTATAAACCAAAGGATAAAGATCAGCTGGCACCTAAAATTTTTTTAAAGATGGAAATAATTTCAGCATGTTTACATACCGACCAATAGAAGCTGGCAGAGAAATTGAAGATATAAAAGAAATGGGGAAAATCAAATAAATAATGTTCTTGGGAAGACAGGGATCCAGAATGTGGCTGGAAGGTGAGCCTTAGTAGTAATATCTCTTCCATTATAACAGGGGATTAAAAAAAAAGAATTTGCATCAATGTGTAAGTTTTCGGTTTGAGTGTGAAATTGTGGAAGTTCAATCCTAATGGATTACATTTTATCTGTAAAATAAGAACCAAGACCACTTCTAAGCATGAAAGAAAAAAAAGAGATAAAGGTTTGAAAAGAAGTTAATAAGGAAATATCAAAGGTTATAGTAGTGTTTTGGCCCCAACTGAGAGTGGAGAATATTTTCACAGTTGTATAATTTTTTTTCTGGGGGTCTGACTGCTCAAGTGTAAGAAAAGATAAAGTGGATAGTTAGATGAATTGCCTGTATGACAAACCTATGTGACAGAAGGACAATGGGTTAAGGGAATTAAAGAGAATAGTTAACTCCATGGACTACAGAAGCTGGGCTGGGTAAGTAAGGATATGAAGATCACAGCCTGGAGCACGCTCTGTGTTCAAAGATTATCTATAGTGTGAATTAACTGGGTGATAAGCTTGAAGAACAGGAAACTGTGATCAGAAAGGAAGACATTTGAGAATTTAGGTTTTTACAAGTTGAGTAGTTATGACAGATAAGATCTACAGTGGAGCCACTGGAGTGAGTAGCTAATGAAGAATACATCATCATCAAGAATGAGGAGACCAAGGAACAAAAAGGTTAAGATCTTGGTTCTGTGTCATGTTTGTAGAGGTAAAATTATTCAAGGTGGTAACAAAACTTGGGATATAATGGAAGACCCATGAATTAGGTGCCACAGATTCAGTAACTGGAGACAGTCTGGAATGGTAAAAAAGCCAGAAATGGAGACAGTCTGGAGACAGTCTGGAATGGTAGAAAAGCTAGAAAATGGCATCATCTGTTCAATGGAACAGGGCTTTTTACACAAGTGCATAGGGGTGTGAAGAGAAGACCAACCTTACTAGCCAACCTGATGGGACATAGGGCTATGGGAGAATGAATAGGCTCCACTTCAGAGGGCTACAGTGGGAATGGTATCTTTAGGAAAGAGTAAGCTTTCAAGAAAGGGAGCAGAAGCAGCATCTGACAGAATGGTTAAAGATGTGGGAAAGCAAACAAGTTGTTTATCACAAAATTGGTTCAAGGGGCCACAGAAAGTTTGGAAGAGAGAAGAGTGATGAGAAACTAGATCACAAGAGAAACAGAGAACTATATGAAGCTAAGTAGGAGAGAGGGGTGATGACTCAAGGAGTTTACGTCTTAAGTCACAACTCAGGTTAATTAGGATGTACATAAACCATAGCAGGGGAGATGGTCGCATAAACAGATAAATAGTACCACAGGCAAGCACAGTAAGATTAAGATATGGAATGCAGGTAGGATCAAGTAATTATGTCTGGGAACATTAGGAACCTTCACAGAGGTGATGACTGGCAACTGGTACACAGCTGAAATATTACTTACAGCCCTATTTTAGTGAATACATGCCTGAAAAAAATCAGCAACTTTTAGGTATATTTTAACCTTTATCACTGGCTCAAAATGTGTTTTTAGTAATCAGGGTTTATCCATACTTTCTAACTTTTTTATACATAAGTGAAAGAAATGAAACAGATCAATTATCGCCTGCACAACTCATCATTCTTCTAAGCGGAAAAAATGTAAGTAAAATAAAACCTCAGGAATTCAGAGAAGGCAGTCTAAATGCCCTCCCCACTTCCAAATACATTATGGCTTTTTTTAAAATTAAGAATGCTACTAATTAACAGAGAAAATATAAACACTTAAGTTTTGGGCATGATAGAATTCTTTCTTATCTTGTATTGGTGGTTTCACAGTTACAGGCATTTGTCAAATTATACACTCTAAATGGATGCAGCTTATTGTAAATAAAGCTTAAAGTTGATATGAAAAAGTAAAAATCATAAAACTTAAGCTAAAAGCAACAAATAATTTGGTAGTTGCTACTCATTATTAAAAAGAGAATAAAGATTTTAAAAGAAACCCATGACGTATTTAATCTAGGAATGTCCCGATACCCTGAAACAGTCATTTTATAAACGTAAACAACTTTTCAGATGTGCAAAACTGCACTAATACACGAACAGCCAACCGAAGTTTGTACTAAAAATTTGGTATGTAATATGTTAAAGTTCCCATGAAGTCTGTAATTCATAACACAGCAAACTAAATTACTTAACATCAATTTGTATAACAAATGAACACTCACTACACACTAGACACAGTGTTAACTGCTAAGAACACAGGAAGGATGAACAATTATTACTTACTGGCCCCCTAATGAAATGCACTGAGTGAATCCTTAATTCACTGGTTCTCTGGTTTAACCTCTGCTATGAACCGAATTGTATCTACCCTCAAAATTCTTACGTTGAGGTCCTGACCCCCAATGTGATGCTTTTGGAGATGGGGCCTTTGGGAGGTAAGTAGAGCTAGATGAGGTCATGAGGGTAGGTCCCTCAGAATGGGATTACTGGCTTCATAAGAAGAGAATATTTCTCTCTCTCTGCTATGTGAGGACACATTGAGAAGGCAGCTATCTGAAAGCTAGGAAGAGGGCCTTTACCAGGAACTGAACTGGCTGGAACCTTCATCTTGGGACTTCCAGCCTCCAGAACTGTGAGAAATAAATATGTTGTTTAAGCCATCAATTCTATGGCATTTTGTTATCGCAGACAAGCAGACTAACACAACCTCTTTTACATTTTTCATTTAAGATTCTGAAAATGTAAGAAAATAATGGATACTGCTTTGAAATACTATGTGAGATTATGTAAAGTCTAAAATGAATTGAGTTTTAAATTTTTATTATACAAAACATTCTTGAAATGTTTTCTACATAATTCTTGTAAGATAGTATAGAGACATGCTTATTCTAAGACTGTACCAGTAATAAAATTTGGCTTGATTTACTGCTACTTGTAATAAACCCATATTTAACTAACTGAACAGCATTAAAGTTCTTCTCAAATAAAAATGTGATAAACATCACATATAACATTATCATAATGCTTAAGAATAAAGTTGGTCTTATCAAGACAAATAATTCACATACACTAAAATGCTAAGAAAAATATACTCACATGCCAAGCCCCACCAGGTGGACCTTTACCAAGAACTACGTGAGGGATATAATGATGTTGCTCTAATTTCCAATGCAAAACGGATGGATAATCATACCCAAAGTCAGCATCTGGATGAAGAAGTGTATCGAAAAGTACTGCAACTGGATTGGATGATCGGCCCTCAAGGCCCTCAGACAAGTATTCTAAGTCCTGAATGAACAAAAGGGAGACAGAGTTTGAAAAAAGCCAGCATTTCCCAGATAGTATATTCTAATGCTTACCATGATGCTCCAATGATAAAAAGCAGTACCCCCAACTTGACCACAGAGCACCTACTAAATCTCCATTAGAAAATAATTCAGAAAACTCTGCTCTAATAAATTCAAGAAAATAAACAGAAGTAACTCAGAATACATTTACGAATCTAAAATAAAAATGATATAAGGTGTTATTTAGAATAAGGGGTTTCAACTAAGAAAGTTCATATAAATAAAAACTAATCTTGTTTCAGCATAAAAAAATTTTTTAAATTGACATGTAAGAAATAATACCTGATCAACAATGGAAAGATGTCTTGCTTCTTCTAATTTACTATTTAAGATTGTATTTGGGTGTATTGCTTCTGATGATAAATACGGTCTGTAGCCTGATAACATATAAGAAAGGCATATTCCTGAGGGTCCATTTCCTATTAAAAATAAAAGGTGGAAAGGGGTAGGTCATGCATCTTAATACTCTTGTTCCTTGGCTTTTGTCCTACTTTGAAGATGGCTCTTTTCTCTGACCAGTTCTTCCTTTTCTAATCTCTTAAAACCAGATGTTTCATGAGATTTTAACCTCTGCCTTCTCTCCTATTTTCTTTTGGGAATCTCATCTACTCAAGGCTTCAACTCTCTAGGCTACTGACATCCAAAATTAGTTCTCTAAATTGACCTATTTCCCAAGGATATATCCCACATTTCCATTCCACTTCTTGATTCTACCTGATAGAATGGCCCACTAATAACTTTAATGTAATGTGCTCAAAAGCAAGCTCATGAGTCCCTTCATTGAGGTGCCCTCTCCTTCAAACCCTATCCTATCTCAAAGTATGGTACTAGCAAACTTCTAAGTTAATCAGTTTCTGGTTCTAAACCTAGTTTGCCCCCTATATCTTGTCAGTTGTCTTTGCTATTCTCATTCCTGTACTTCACCTAAAAGACAAGTCTCCTACTGTTTCTCTGCCCTGAGATTCACCCACTCCCAATCATTTCACATACTACATTCACATAAGTTTTGGTAACATAATCCTCATCATGTTAGCCTTCTGTTCTAAAGGTCTTCATTGTTTGTTTCTGACTATCCAGTGTTCTCCATTTGAAACAACTTTTGCAAAGATTATGACAGTGAGAGAAATCTAACATGGCTGACTCCATCTTGCTTCTAGCTTCAAAGGCCGGCTGTCTTCCCTCACTCCTGGGTATAGGCAAAGCTAATCATGGAAGGAATTTATAGTTTAACCTTAAAGCAAGGATGGTAACAGTCCTTCCCAAAATTAAACCGCCTTTCTAAAACTAATGAAAGGCCACAAGGTTCGGATTATGAGAGGTGCCGGAATTCTGCTAAGATGTAGGCAGAGTTTCTATAATCCTTTACTGCTGAAGAGTCACGCAGCCAGAGGTCACATGATGTGTGACTTCCCTAATTGCTCTTACAGATAACATCGCTACTGTGGATCCTGAGGTTGGCCTTTTGAAATGTCTTTTCAGACTTTTGCATTTCTGATGACTGTCTGACTCTATTGGTCCCAAGATTCAAGACTCAGACCCAAGACTCAACTGAACCAGTCCTGCGGCCCCCCACCCAGAGTTGGACTCAGTGCTAGAGAACCATTTTTGATACCCCCAGCATGGCATCCCCAACCAATCAGCAGCACCTATTCCCTAGTCCCCTGTTCACCCAACTATCCTTGAAAAACCCTAACCTCCAAGCCATCAGGAGGGATCAGGAGTTTTGTTTTTTTCGTTGTGTTTTTTTTTTTCAGACAGAGTCTCGCTGTGTCACCAGGCTGGAGTGCAGTGGCATGATCTCGGCTCACTGCAACCTCTGCCTCCTGGGTTCAAGCGATTCTCCTGCCTCAGCCTCCCAAGTAGCTAGGACTAGAGGTACACGACACCACACCCAGCTTATTTTTGTATTTTTAGTAGAGACGGGGTTTCAGCGTGTTGGCCAGGACAGTCTTGATCTCTTGATCCACCCACCACAGCCTCCCCAAGTGCTGGGATTACAAGTATGAGCCATCACGCCCAACCAATCAGGAGTTTTATCAGGAGACTAATTTGAACAACTGCAGTTCTCTCACATGGGCTGGCCTTGTGTCAACTTCTTTACTGCAACGCCATGGTCTCAGTGAAATGGTTTTGTCTGTGCAGCAGGCAAGAAACTGCCAGGTGATTATACATCTCAACCATCTTTCCAGTCCTAAATCCTGATATTGCTTTCCTATATGTTTATATGCTTTAACTAAAACCAAACTGGATTTCCTGAACTACTTCCATTTATGAATTAATAATTCCTTTATTCTGGATTACCACTTATTATATCTGCCTTTCAAAAATTTAATCCAACCTAGAGAATTGCTAGCTGCAAAGAAAAAATCCTGTTCCTTACCTAATATGTTACCCCAAATAAAATATACTCAAAGATATAAGAAAAGTAAAACCATAAGAATACTAGAAACAGAGAAAGCAGAGAAAGATTTCAACTTATAATTCTAGAATAGGAAGCCTTAAAGACTGAAAGAAAAATAAAAAATATTTAGAACTAATTTTATATCTTTTTTTTTTTTGAGACGGAGTCTCGCTCTGTCGCCCAAGCTGGAGTACAGTGGTGCGATCTCGGCTCATTGCAACCTCTGCCTCACGGGTTCACACCATTCTCCTGCCTCAGCCTCCCGAGAAGCTGGGACTGACTACAGGCACTCGCCACCATGCCTGGCTAATTTTTTGTATTTTTAGTAGAGACAAGGTTTCACCCTGTTAGCCAGGATGGTCTCGATCTCCTGACCTTGTTATATGCCCGCCTCAGCCTCTCAAAGTGCTGGGATTACAGGTGTGAGCTACCAGGCCTGGCCCTCTTTTCTTTTTTTTTTTTTTTTTAGACAGAGTTTCACTTGTCGCCCAAGCTGGAGTACAATGGCGCAATCGCGGCTCACTGCAACCTCCACCTCCTGGGTTCAGGCGATCCTCCTGCCTCAGCCTCCCAAGTAGCTAGGATTACAGTTGCCCGCCACCATGCCCGGCTAATTTTTGTATTTTTAGTAGAGACGGGGTTTCACCATGTTGGCCAGGCTGGTCTCGAACTCCTGTGCTCAGATGATCCAGCCCACCTCAGCCTCCCAAAGTTCTGGGATAACAGGCGTGATCCACTGTGCCCAGAGATGTCCCAGTCCTATCCCCTAGAACCTGTAAATGTTACTACAGAGCAAAAGGACTCTGTAGATATGATTAAGGATCCTGAGATGGAGAGTAGTCTAGATTACCCAGGTAGACCCAATCTAATCACAAGAGTCCTTAAAAATAGAGAACTTTTCCCAGTTGTGGTGAAAGGGAGACATGACAATGAAAGAAGGTTAAGAAACAACATTGCTGATTTTGAAGCTACAGAAGGGAGCCAGGAAAAGGAAACATTCTTCCCTAGAGCCTCCAGAAAGCAACACAGCCCTGCCAACACCTTGATTTTGGCCCAGGAAGACCCATGTTGAATTTCTGACCCACAGAACAGTAGAATAATACATTCACATTGTTTAAAGCCACTAGTTTTGTGGTAATTTGTTACAGCGGCAACAGAAAACATATATTTAAGAAATTAGCTCTTTATGCTCAGGCTGGTGGTGCCATTGTCAACAGTAATGACACTATATAAATATACATGAGGCTAAGCTACTCACAGCTAGCTGAGGCAAAACAGGGATAGGCTGCTTTGTGGGAAGTGGAGTGGGCAGGTGCAAATGAAGGTTAAGTTTTTCTTTTCTGACCTTCCCACAGCCTAGCCACACAAGAAGACAGGATTCCTCCATTCATTCAGGATAGAAAACCAAGGTTAGAGGTAAGGGGGAAAATGAAACATGACGTATGGTCCCTGATATCTCTTGGTTGAGAACTATTACAAAAACTGTCACCTCTATCATATCCTGTAGAGGAGAATCTAGTATAGAACCTAGTATAGAACAATCTTGCTCTCCTCTTTTCCTCCCACAAGCCAGAGGACATGAATTTTCTCCCCTTCCTACTAACTTTGAAACAAGCTGTCAAAGAAACAAAGGAAGTCATATGCTACCAAGGCACCTATATTCCTTAACTCTCTCCTCTGGCTTAGTTAGCTTCACACTATATTCCTTGTCTGAATTCCTCGACTTTGTATATTAGATGAAAAATATACATAACAGGTAATTAAATGCATGCAATAAAACTAAATTATAAAAGCTTATAAATCTGAATGTTTTATTAATAGTTTAATTTTTAATATCTTAAATGCCTATCTGCTGAGGTGATACAAAGGATATAAAATAGTAGTGTTGTGGTTAAGGTAACTGTAAACATTACCTTAGAGTACTATAATGTCATTGCTAATACAGCACCGGTTACTAACTTGCACGTTACTCAACATCTGTGTCAGTTTCTCTGTCTGTATCCGCCCTACCAACATCAGAAGTCTGCAGAGTTGTAAGGTATTATCCAATAATATACATAGAATACTCTTCAGAGCTCTAATAATATTATCACATTACCATGACACTGTCATATAATTAACACAAATGTAGGAGATATTTTAAAATAATGTAGTAATATCAGTTCTTCACTAAAAAGATACTGCATTTTAACACAGATGCTAAAATCAGATAAACCAATTACTCTCCAAAGATTTGGTTATTAGTTTTTTAGCATATCAAACCACCTAAGAATACTTTTCAATAAAATCTTAAGAACTTGTACTAACTGTAGATTTATAAAAGTATTAAGGGTCATTAACTATAATTTTAAAAGATAAAATACAATAACTTACCTATTATTACCACAGGAAAAGTCACTGACGAATCTTCCAGTAAAGAAGTTTCTTCAACTAATGGCATCGCTTTAACTTTTCGCCCCAAGTTGTCACCAAAGTATTGCACTAAGGAATTAAAAATCTCTCCTTCAGTTTCAGTGTCACTATAGTTTCTTTAAAAAAAAAAAAGGGGGAATAAAAAGAGATATAGTCAATATAGCCTTTATAAAAATCAATCTCTACTCCGAGTTTATTTAGACATAAAATATTTTAATCATTCCATAAAAGAAGCAAAGAAAATCCTTCTGATTAATGCTTTCAAATTAGTAGCTTCGCTACATGTCAACCTATACCAACTTGAAGGCCAAATATCCCCAATATTAATAGTTGCTTTTCTCTCACAAGTATCTTCTAGGCAAGTCTCTAATAAGCAGTTCTCTCATGATCAAAGACAGCATGGTGTTGAGGAGTTCATAATTCTCTGAAACTAGCCTAGAAATGGCTAGTGTCTCCTCCATACCTTTCTTTTTAAAAGGTGAGTGCACTAAAATACAATATATAGTCATACACATTTTAAGAAAAAGTTACGGTATTTATATATTATAAATTGTGCATTTTTGTATAAGAAATTAGGTTTATACATTTTTATTCAAAAAATATACTACATATACATTATATATATATATATGTATATATATATATTTTTTTTTTTTTTTTTTTTTTTTTTTGGAAACAAGGTCTTGCTCTGTCACCCAGGCTGGAGTATAATGGCGCAAGCATGGCTCACTGCAGCCTCCACCTCCCGGGCTCATGTCATCCTCTTGCTTCAGCCTCCAGAGTAGCCAGGGCTACAGGTGTGCCACCACACTTGGCTAATTTAAAAAATATTTTTTGGTAGAGATAGGATCTCGCTATGTTACCCAGACTTCAAAAATATATTAAAATAATTTCTTAATGTTATTTTCCAATTTTTCTTTCTCAATTGGCTCTCTAGAAATTAGTTTTAGCATTCTCACATTTTCATGCAATACATGGAGTATCTCCTGCACACAGGTAATGTTCTGCATTATACAACAGATTACTTTAGAATAGAATCCCTTAATTAATTTTATCTTCATACAGTCAGTAACAGCCACAATGTCTGGAAGTATTAAATTAAGTATCTACTAGTGGGTAAGTGTGTTTATTACTACTCTCAGATGATAAATAAGCATGGGATAGATCAGTTATTTCACAAGATTGAACTCACTGATCCCAGAGGAGGTTGATAAACAGAAAAGAATCAGGCAGAGACAGGCATTTCTACTTCCCTATAACCTTCAGAGTTCCCAGTCTACCCTAGGATAGGCGAGACTTCCTCAGGACATACTGAGAGCTTTCTTGAAGCAAAGAAAGTAACCTGTACCCCAAATATTTGGTTTCCCCTTACATAGCCTCTTTTGACCAAAACAGACACCAATCAGACATGGCTACTAAGGGAAACCCCTCCTCACAGTGCAAGCCTACCCTTGGGAGGAAGTTTTATATGCTCAATCCATCTATTTCTGACTCATTCCAACTACTGCCTCTGATCAGATCCAGATGCCTCAGCTGTCTTGCCCATGCCCGCTTCTACCTCTTGGCAACTGCATTTAACATGTTTTATATTCTGCTCTGTCCCTGGTATTTCTCCAAAGTATGTGCAAAGGTTAGGTTCTCCTGTACCTTTGGAGGCTTCTGATCAAAGTCATTTTGATCAGAAACCTCCAAACCACTGCTCAAAGAAATCAGAGATGACACACACAAACCACTGCTCAATGAAATCAGAGGCGACGGGAATGGGAAAACATTCCATATTCATGTGTAGGAAGAATCAGTATCATTAAAATGGCTATGCAAATTCATACAAACTGCCCAAAGCAATTTATAGATACAATGCTATTCCCATTAAACTCCCGATGACATTCTTCAAAGAACTAGAAAAAACTATTTTAAAATTCATATGAAACCAAAAAAGAGCCTAAATAGCCAAGGCAATCCTAAGTGAAAAGAACAAAGCGGGAAGCATCACCTCACCTGACTTCAGACTATTCTACAGGGCTACAGTAACCAAAACAGCATGGTACTGGTACAAAAACAGACACATAGACCAATGGAAGAGAAAACCCACAAATAAGACCACACACCTGCAACTATCTGATCTTTGACAAACCTGACAAAAATAAGCAATGGGGAAAGGATTCCCTATTCAATAAATAGTGCTGGGATAACTAGTTAGCCATATGCAGAAGATCTAAACTGGATACCTTCCTTATACCACATACAAAAAGTAACTCTAGATGGATTAAAGACTCAAATATAAAACCCCAAACTATATAAACCCTGGAAGACAACCTAGGCAATACCATTCAGGACACAGGCACAAGCAGAGTTTGATGAGGAAGACGCCAAAGGCAATTGCAACAAAAGCAAAAAAAAATTGACAAATGGTATCTAATTAAACTAACGAGCTTCTGCACAGCAAAAGAAACTATCAACAGAGTAAACAGACAACCAACAGAATGGGAGAAAATTTTTGCAAACTATGCATCCAACAAAGGTCTAATATCCAGCATCTATGAGGAACTTAAATTTACAAGAAAAAACAACCCCACAGAAAAGTGGGCAAAGGACATGAACAGACACTTCTCAAAAGAAGACATACAGGCAGCCAACAATCATATGAAAAAAAGTTCAACATCACTCATTAGAGAAACGCAAATCAAAACCACAATGAGGCACCATCTAACACCAGTCAAAATGGCTATTAAAAAGTCAAAAAATAACAAATGCTGACAAGGTTATGGAGAAAAGGGAATGCTTATATGTTGGGGGGAGTGTATTAGTTCAGCCATTGTGGAATAGTGTGGTGATTCCTCAAAGACCTAAAGATAGAAATACCATTCCACCCAGCAATCCCATTACTGGGTATATACCCAAAGGAATAAAAATAATTCTATTATACAGACAAATGCACGTGTACATTCACTGCAGCACTATTCACAATGGCAAAGGCATGGAATCAACCTAAACACCCATCAATGATAGACTGGATAAAGAAAACATGGTACATATGCACCATAGAATACTATACAGCCACAAAAAAGAATGAGATCAGGTCCTTTGCAGGGACATAGATGGAGCTGGAGGCCCTTATCCTTAGCAAACTAACACAGGAACAGAAAACCAAAGACCACATGTTGTCACTTATAAGGGGGAGCTAAATGAGGAGAACACATGGACACACAGAGGGGAACAACACACACTGGGGCCCACCCGAGGATGAAGGGTGGGAGGAGGGAGAGGATCAAGAAAAACAACTAATGCAAGTTTGTTCAACCCACATGCGGCCCAGGATGGCTTTGAATGTGGCTCAACACAAATTCGTAGACTTTCTTAAAACATTATGAGATTTTCTTGCCATTTTTTTAAGCTCATCAGCTATCATCAATGTGAGTGTATTTTATGTGTGGCCCAAGACAATTCTTCCAATGTGGTCCAGGGAAGCAAAAAGAGTGGACACCCCTGAACTAATGGGTACTAGGCTTAATACCTGCGTGATGAAACAAACTCCCATGACACATGTTTACCTATGTAAGAAACCTGAACTTGCATCCCTGTACTTAAAAGAAAAAACAGAATATTAAGTTTTTCAATCCATGAATATAGAATTCCTTTCCATTTATTTAGACCTTTAATTTCTCTCAACATTTTGTAGTTTTCAGTGCATAAGTATTGCATTTATTAAATTTATTCTTATGTATTTCATTTTTTGATGCTATTATATAAATGAAATACCTTTGTTAATTTCATTTTAAATTATTCAGTGTTAATGTACAGAAATACAATTCACTTTTGTATGTTGATTTTGCATCCTGCAACACCGTTGAATTTATATATTAGGTCTAGTAGTTTTTTGCATGTGCAGCCCTCAAGCAATGAAGAACCAAAGTTTAGTTTATCCAAATTCTCTACACATTAGCTTATCTAAATTTACATAGTATAGGTAATCTGCTCTGATTTTTCAGGAGCCACTGGTATAAACTCTGTGATAAACTATTTGTAGTAAACCTGCCTCCTATTTGATAGTGGTTTAACACAAAGAAAAACAAGGAAACAAAAACGGAAAGTGTGATTCACTGGTTTTACATAAAACATTAATGAAACAAGACTTTTAGTAATTATTCTTTCTAAAAAATTCAGAGCTTAAGTTATAAATTTAGTATTGCTGTACATGTTTTATAGTACATGCACAGTATATCACAGGTCTATGAACAGTGTTAATCTCTAGATTTCCAATTTGATATTTGTTCTATTTAAAACAAGAGCTTATTTTGAGTAATAAAAATCTACTTTTTCTTCGAGGCACAAATTAAAATTGGAAAATATGTACAATTACATTTAGCAACTAGTAAAGAACAGCACTTTACATGCAAAATTAGTTACTCTATTGTTAGGAAGCAAGTTAAAAGCCTATTTGACATTTAAGATGCTTTTAGAGGCCTTCCATTTTTTGTTTTTGAAACATTACAGCACAAAGTTTCAGAGAACATTTCAAAGGATAGTGTGGACATAGTATCAGGATAACAAAAAGACTTTTTCCATACCATAGCAGTACTTGTTTAAATGATCATTCAAACTAAAATGAAATGCTTTACTAACTGAATTTTTATAGTCTTTGGAACCATGAACCTAAAATTTACCAAATTTATACTACCACATGGAAAGAAGGTTCTAAAGCCACAAATGAAGTCAGTCACACTCTTCATCTTCCAGAACACGAAGGAAGAGGTTTTTTCCTTTGGAAAGTTAGTGGACAGTTCTCTCACTACTTATCCATTCAGATGTTAGACAATAGATGTCACAACCTGTTTTATAATCTGTGTTTTTTTGTGTGTTTTTTGTTTTTTTGAGACAGTCTCACTCTGTCGCCCAGCTGGAATGCAGTGGTGCGATCTCAGGTCACTGCAACGTGTCTCCTGGGTTCAAGCTATTCTCCTGCCTCAACCTCCCGAGTAGCTGGGATTACAGGTGCACACCACCCTGCCCGGCTAATTTTTGAGTTTTTAGTAGAGACGGGGTTTCACCATGTTGGCCAGGATGACCTGAACTGACCTGAAACTGCTCGAGAAATAGCACTGGTAAATCAGAAACATATTCCTGAAGGAGCTGGTAAACAACTAAAAAAAAAAATACTTTAGACACAACAGAACTGTTTTTGCAATAAAAAGTGTGGTTTATTAATCATAATGTTTATCTTTGGCAGCTAGCTTGTTTTTCTTTCTGTCCCTCCAGACCAAAACATAGCAAATACTTTGTTTTCACTCCCTACTCCAAATTTCTGTGCACGGCAGGAAGCAAATGGTATTCAACACCCAGTATTAGTCAAAAGAATATGAATCCTACACTGTGCATCAAAAGGTGTCAAATAGCTTTCACACAATATTTTCTGAAAGGCATGTTAGATTCTCATGGGCTTTATTTAGTTTAACAAGTTTCACTAGGGGAACCTATTTCCTAAAAGTTTCCATAGTGAATCTGATACCTTCAAACCGCTGTCTCAGTAGTCAACAAATTTGCCTAAAAGTTAAAATCAAGCAGTTTATTATATGAAACAATTTTTCCTTAATATCCACAACCTAGAGACTCATTCTAAACTCACTGAGAGGTTAGACAAGCTTGGATTATCGCTGTTACAAAAGAAGTTCCAAACTTTCTCTATGCCTTACATCTCTTTTACTATAGGATGACGCTTCTTAACCTCTTCTCTGAATACTGTTCTTAAATATACACAGGATTTACAAGAAAACTAATTCTATTAAAACAGTCATAAAAAGTAAACGCGATATATATATGTGCTTCTCTGTTGCATTCAATAAATTCAGTGATGTGTTACTATAATTTTGAATAAGTATAAACAGTATTTCTATATTAACTGCAATGTGATATAAACATATTTTATGATCTCTACTGATGACAGTCACAGATACTACTGTGATTTGTTGCTTATATTTTAACTGAATATTAGTTTTTAAAATTTAGTGAAATGATATACCTTTCTTTCCATCCAAGTTCATGGGTTACCTAAATTGTATGAAACCCACTATTTAGGAAGGCTTGATCAAAATTTCATATTTTACCAGGGAAGAAGTCTTACATAGAATTATTCTGGAACATCAGTATATGTAAAGCAAGGTACTAAAGTATTCCCTATGCTTAACCATTCTTCACCCCAGGGTTAAAATCAGTTTCTAGTGTCTGGTCTTTCCACCAATGACTGAGGTGTTGACCAAATGTGCTAGATCTAGAAAACATACTTTTATTTTAGAAATGTATTATATTTTATCACCCCTAAAACCTTTCCCCATAAGGTGATTGTAAAACCGCCTCATTCTTTAAATTTCTACAACACACACGTCTTACCATGGCTAACATCTTAACAAGGCAGAATCTATTTGTGATTAGATGACACTGAAATGTAGTTCCCTACCTTCCTTCCACTCATTACATTATTTAGAAGACTTTTTAAGAAATAATTTTTTTTTAGGGAGGCAGGCACTTCGTAGAACCCCCTTCACTAAAACTTTGCACTACTGGGAAGTCTCAGCTCGCCGTAACCGACTCAGTCCGGCCTAGCCGATCCCGCAGTCCCGTGACCCGCGCGGTCCAGAGCGAGAAAAGGGAACAGCGCAGGGCTCCCCGGAGCAAGGACCCCACCACACCGCACCCCACCCCACCCCCACGCCAGGCAGGACGGCCGAGGCGGGAGGACGCTGCGGTCCAGGCGCTCGCCCTCCACCCCGGTCCCGGCCCGGGCCAGGCCAAAAAGCTCGAGAGCGCGGCATCCCCGCCTGCTCCCCTCCCATCCCCGGCGAGGAAGTCACCTGAAATGACCGGCCAGGGAGCAGCGGCAGCACCACACGGGCATGGAGCGCTGCGCGAGGGGCGCCCGAGCGCGGCCGCCGTGGCCGCCTCCGCCTCCCCCGGCGAGGCTGCCCGCTCGGGGCGCCCGCTGGCTCGGGGTCGCGGGGTCTGCCGGGCGCCCCTGCCTCGCGCCTCGCCGTTGCCGCGGCTGCCCCGGCTCTGTGGCGCCGGAGTCCGCCTCCAGATAGCGGCTTCCGCTCCTCGCCTGCAGGGAGCCAGGCGCCGGAGGCGGGTGATCTCGGGGCGCCGCGATAGGGGCGGAGCGGGGCGGGGACGCTGCGACGGCGGCTGCAGCGGCGCGCGGGCCCCTCCTCGCAGGTGCGGCTGCGGCGGGCGAAGTCTGCGATTGGTGGAGCCACGGCCCGGGCGAGGGGCCGGGCCTGATGGAGCCGAGGCTGCGCGGGCAGGGGACCGAGGTCTGCAGGCAAACTGCGCGGCTCGACCGGCGGCAATCGAGACCTAGACCTCGGTCAGCGCCCCGCCGCCCCTCTGCGTGCGACTTGGTGAGGCCGGTGGGTGCGCGTCGAGAGGGCCGAGGGACGAGCGGAAGAGAAGCTGCTGCGAACTCGGGCCACCCAGATGGCCCGGCGGAGTTCCCTGCGTAAGGCGCGGCCTCGGCCACTTCGCCGAGGACCCCGGGAAGGGTCGAGCTTCCCACGCCTGAGAACCCACCTTTGGGCATTTCCTCGCGCTGCCGGGGTGCAGACGCCGGGAGCTTCCGGGTGCCTCTCCCGCTGACCCCCGCATCACAGTTACCTGGAGGACTCACCAAACCACAGGTGCCCGGGACCCGCCCACCACGCTTCTTTTATGGAAGTCCCGCTTCCGGGAAGAGGTCATCCTCCCCTCTTCATGTCTCTCAAACACCCACAAGTGTAGGAATTACCAGCACGCCGGGTGAAAATCCAGGTGCTCATCAGGCCCGCCCCAGACCACACCGGCCAGTGTGGGGAAGGGCAGGAACCCCTGCTGCTTTTTAAGCCCCTGCGGGCGTTTGTGATGCAATAGGGAGTTAGAAAAGTACTCAATAGTGAGTGTCGTTATTCGGTTTGTCAAAAATTAAAGGTGGGGAGGACAAAAATCAGGAGAGATTGATTGCATCTACTTTTCTACGGAAATGTCTAACTCCGCTTCCAAAAAAAGCCGTAATTATTTTTGTGCTTCAAATATACGTTTATGTTTATATCTTTCAACATAATTTTGTAAAACAAATGTTAAGTTTTACTGAATGTTGTCACTGAACAAACTTGTGATGAGCAGGTATTTTAGAGTCTTGGGGTCTTAAAAGAAAATCATAGGACTCAGACTGCCCCAGAGTTATGCAATCTAAGAGTATATTAACCACTTTTAAGTATTATATGTTTTTCTCTTTTTTGAGCTTTTGTCGATTTGACACGTTCATTTCATTTGAATGTTGGTTCTGAAAATGAAGCATGTAGTTACTTTTCCGTTAACATACATAACAGCATTTTAAAGTACCTAAATTCCTTTTGGAAGGCCGAGGCGGACGGATCACCTGAGGTCAGAAGTTCCAGACCAGCCTGACCAACATGGTGAAACCCGTTTCTACTAAAAATACAAAACCTAGCCCCGGGCGTGGTGGCACGCGCCTGTAATCCCAGCTACTCAAGAGCCTGATGCAGGAGAATCGCTTGAAACCGGGAGGCGGAGGTTGCAGTGAGCTGAGATCGCGCCACTGCACTCAGCCTGGGCCAAAGAGTGAGACTCCGTATCAAAAAATAATAATAAAGTACCTGGCCGGGCGCGGTGGCTCACGCTTGTTATCCCAGCACTTTGGGAGGCCGAGACGGGCAGATCACGAGGTCAGGAGATCGAGACCATGGTGAATGGCGTGAACCCGGGAGGCGGAGCTTGCAGTGAGCTAAGATCGCGCCACTGCACTCCAGCCTGGGCGACAGAGCGAGACTCCGTCTCAAAAATAAATAAATAAAGTACCTACATTCCTAAAAGCAGTGCTTAATTCTGCAGCACATATACTAAAATTAGAATAATATAAAGATTAGCATGGCCCCTTCCCAAGGATAACACGCAAATTCGTGAAGCGTTCCGTATTTTTAAATATATACACCTACTATGTAACCAAAAAAATTAAAAATAAACATATAAATTCCTGAAAGCTATGCCAGTCCAATCCAGATAATTCTTTTAATTTTTAATTTTTATTTTTTGTGAGTACATGGTATATATATTTATGGGGTACATGAGATTTTGATACAGGCATACAATAAGTAATAATCACATCAGGGTACATGGAGTATCCATCACCTCAAATATTTATCCTTTCTTTGTGCTACAAACAATCTAATTATACTTAGTTATTTTAAAATGTTCAATGAATTATCGTTGACTAGTCACTCTCGTGCTGTCAAATACTAGATCTAATTCTGTCTATACTTTTGTACCTATTAACCATCCCCACTCTGCCCCTTAATTCCCCACTACCCTGCCCAGCCTTGTAACCATCATTCTATTCTCTGTTAGTTCCGTTGTTTTAATTTTTAGCTCCCACAAATAAGTGAGAACATGCAGAGTTTGTCATTCTGTACCTGGCCTATTTCACTTAAAGTAGTGACATCAGTTGCATCCATTTTGTTGAAAATAACAGGATCTCATTCATTTTTATGGCTGAATGCTACTACGTTGTGTACATAAACCACATTTTCTTTATTTGTCTATTGATGGACACTTAGGTTGTTTCCAAATCTTGGCTGTTGTGAACAGTGCTGCAATAAACATGGGAGTGCAAGTATATCTTAGGATATACTGATTTCCTTTCTTTGGGGTATATACCTATCAGTGGCATTGCTGGATCATGTGGTAGCTCTATTTTTAGCTTTTTGAGGAATATCCAAACTATTCTCCGTAGTGGCTGTACTAATTTACATTCCCACCAACAGTGTACAAGGGTTCTCTTTTCTCCACATCCTCATCAGCATTTGTTATTGCCTGTCTTTTGGATATAGGCCATTTTAATTATGATGAAATGATATCTCATTGTAGTTTTGATTTGCATTTCTCTGATGATGAGTGATGTTGAGCACCTTTTCATATACTTATTTGTCATTTGTATGCCTTCTTTTGGTAAATGTCTATTCACATCTTTTGCCCATTTTAAATTTTTTTTTTTTTTGAGAGATAGGTTCTTGCTCTGTCATCCAGGCTGGAATGCAGTGGTTTGATCTAGCTCACTGAAGCTTCGAACTCCTGGGCTCAAGTAATCCCCCCACTTCAGCCTCCTGAGTAGCTGGGACTAGAGGTGTGCACCACCACACCTAGCTAAATTTTCTTTTAATTTTTTTTTCTTTTTTTTTTTTTTGTAGAGATGGGGTTTCTACAAAAAAACAGCCTGCCCATGTTGCCCAGGCTGGTCTTGAACTCCTGGCCTCAAGTGATCCTCCTGCCTTGGCCTCCCAAAGTGCTGGGATTACAGGTGGGAACCATGGTGCCTGGCCCTTTTGTCCTTTTTAAACTCAGATTATTATAATTTTTCCTATTAAGTTGTTCATGCTCCTTATATATACTGGTTATTAATCCCTTGTCAGATGGATAGTTTGCAAATATTTTATTCCCATTCTGTGGATTGTCTCTTTGTTGATTGTTTCCTTTGCGGTGCAGAAGCTTTTTATCTTGATGTGGTCACATTTATCCATATTTGCTTTGGATGCCTGTGCTTTCAGGGTATTACTCAGCAACTCTTTTGCCCAGCCCAATGTCCTGGAGAGCTTCCTCAATGTTTTCTTTTAGTAGTTTCATAGTTTCAGATCTTAGATTTAAGTCTTTAATCCGTTTTGATTTGATTTGTGTGTATGGTGAGAGATAGAGGTCTACTTTCATTCTTCTGCATATGGCTATCCAGTTTTCCCAGCACCATTCATTAAACAGACCGTCCTTTCTCCAATGTGTATTCTTGGCACCTTTGTCGAAAATGACTGCAGATATATGGAGTTGTTTCTGGGTTCTCTATTCTGTTCCATTGTTTTTTTTTTTTTTTGAAATGGAGTCAGCCTCTGTCACCCAGGCTGGAGTGCAGTGGCAAGATCTCGGCCCACTTTTACCTCCACCTCTTGGGTTCAAGCGATTCTTCTTCCTCAGCCTCTCAAGTA
This sequence comes from Homo sapiens, assembly GCF_000001405.40. Classification (NCBI taxonomy): domain Eukaryota; kingdom Metazoa; phylum Chordata; class Mammalia; order Primates; family Hominidae; genus Homo; species Homo sapiens. The sequence continues at coordinate 89,898,673 of NC_000008.11, read as the reverse complement.
GCTGAGATTACAAGTGCGTGCCACCATGCCTGACTAAGTTTAGTATTTTTAGTAGAGACATGGTTTCACCATGTTGGCCAGACTTGTCTCGAACTCCCGGCCTCAAGTGCCGCCTCGGCCTTCCAAAAGTGCTCAAAGTGCTGGGAATACTGGTGTGAGCCACCATGCCCAGCTAATTTTTGTACTTTTAGTAGAGACAGGGTTTCACCATGTTGGCCAAGCTGATCTCAAACTGACATCAAGGGATCCACACGCCTCGGCCTCCTAAAATGCTTGCATTACAGGCATGAGCCACTGTGCCTGGGCCCTCTTCCACTGGTCTTTATGTCTGTTTTTATGCCAATACCATGTCATTTTGGTCGCTATAGCTCTGTAGTATAATTTGAAGCCTGGTAATGTGATTCGTCCAGTTTTGTTCTTTTTACCCAGGATAGCTTTGGCTATTCTGAGTCTTTTGTGGTTCTATATAAATTTTAGGATTTTTTTTTCTATTTATGTGAAGAATGTCATAGGTATTTTGATAGAGATTGCATTTAATCTGTAGATTGCTTTGGGAAATATGGACGGTTTAACAATATGGATACTTCCAATCTGTGAACATGGAATACCTTTCCATTTTTTTGTGTCCTCATTAATTTCGTATAGTTTTCACTGTAGAGATCTTTCACTTCTTTGGTTAATTTCTGGGTAATTAATTTTATTTCTAGGTATTGTAAATGGAATTACTTCCTTGATTTCTTTTTCAGATTGTTCACTGTCGGCAATAGAACTGCTACTGATTTTTATGTGTTGATTTTGTATCTGCAACTTTACTGAATTTGTTTATCAGATCTAATAGTTTTTTGGTGGAGTCTTTAGGTTTTTCCAAAGATAAGATCACATCATCTGAAAAGGATAATTTGACTTCTTCGTTTCCGATTTGGATGCCCTTTATTTCTTTCTCTTGTCTGATTGCTCTAGCTAGAACTTCTGGTACTATGGTGAATAACAGTGGTGAAAGTGGGCATCTTTGTCATGTCCCAGGTATGAGAGGAAAGGCTTTAAATTTTTCCTCATTCAGTATGATACTTACTAGCTGTGGATCTATTGTATATAGATTTTATTATGTTGAGTTTTATACCCAGTTTTTTTAGGGTTTTTATCATCAAGGGATGTTGAATTTCATCAAATGCTTTTTCAGCATCAATTAAAAAGATCATATGGTGTTTGTCCTTCATTCTGTTGATATGATGTATCACATTGTTTTGCATATGATGAATCATTCTTGCATCTGAGATAAATCCCTCTTAGTCATGATGAATGATCTTTTTAATGTGTTTTTGAATGCACTTTGCTAGTATTCTGTTGAGGATTTTTGCATCAGTATTCATCAGTGATATTGGCCTGCAGTTAATTTTTTATTTTTATGTATTTATTTATTTTGATGTGTCTACCTGGTTTTGGTAACCGGGTAATACTGGCCTCATAGAGTGAGTTTGCAAATATTCCCTCCTCTTCTGTTTTTCAGAATAGTTTGAGTAGGATTGGTATTAGTTCTTCTCTAAATGTTTGGCAGAACTCAGCAGTGAAGTCATTGGGTCCCAGGCTTTTCTTTGCTGGAAGATTTTTTTATTATGGCTTTGATCTCATTACTTGTTATTGATCTGCTCAGTTTTTGGATTTCTTCATGGTTAAATTCTGGTAGGTTGTATGTGTCTAGGAATTTATTCATTTCTTCTAGATTTTTCAATTTATTGGCATATAGTTGCTCATAGTAGCCACTAATGATGCTTTGAATTTCTGCAGTATTAGTTATAATGTCTCCTTTTTTGTCTTTGATTTTATTTATGTGGGTCTTCTCTCTTTTTTCCTCAGTCTGGCTAAAGGTTTGTCAATTTTATCTTTTCAAAAACCAACGTTTTGTTTCATTGATCTTGTTTATTGTTTTCCTCGTTTCAATTCCATTGATCTCTGCTCTGATCTTTATTATTTCTTTTCTTCTACTAATTTGCAGTTGGTTTGCCTTTGCTTTTCTAGTTCTTTAAAGTAAATCATTAGTTTATTTGAAGTTTTTCTACTTTTTTGATAATAGTATATAGCTATAAACTTTCCTCTTAGTACTGCTTTTGCTGTATTCCATAGGTTTTGGTATATTGAGCTTCCATTATCATGTGTTTCAAAAAAAGTTCCAGTTTTCATCTTAATTTCTTCATTGACTCAGTTGTCATTCAGGAGCATATTGTTAATTTCCATGTGTTTGTATAGTTTCAAAAATTCCTCCTGTTATTAATTTCTAGTTGTATTCCACTATGGTCTGAGAAGATACTTTATATTATTATACTTTACATTTTTGAATGTTTTAAGGAAATGTTATGTAAATATCTATTAGGTCCATTTGTTGTATCATGCAGATTAAGTCCAACGTTTCTTTGTGGAATTTCTGTTTGGATGATTCATTCAGTGCTGAAAGTGGAGTGTTGAGATGTCCCCAGCTGTTATCCTATTGGAGTCCATCTCTCTTTAGTGCTAATGTTTGCTTTAGATATCTGTTGCTCCAGTGTTGGGTGATATGTATTTAAAATTATTATATCCTCTTGCTGAATTGACCTCTTTATCATTATATAATGAGCTTTTTTGTCTCTTTTTATAGTTTTTGTCTTCAAATCTATTTTGGCTGATATAAGTATATCTATTCCTGCTCTTTTCTGGTTTCCATTTTCATGGAATATCTTTTTGAATCCTTTTATTTTCAGTCTATGTATTTCTTTATAAGTGAAGTATGTTTCTAGTAGGCAACAGATTGTTGTGTCTTGTTTTTATCCATTCAGCCCTGTATGTCTTTGGATTGGAGATTTTAGTCCTTTTACATTCAATGTTACTATTGTCAAGTAAGGTCTCACTCCTGCCATTTTATTGTTTTCTGGTTCCTTTGTGGTCTTCTCTTCCTTCTTTCCTTCCTTCCTGTCTTCCTTTTAGTGAAGGTGATTTTCTCTAGTGGTATGTTTTAATTTCTTGCTTTTTGTTTTTTTGTGTGTCCATTGTATGTTTTTTGATTTGAGATTACCATGAGGCTTGCAAATAACATCTTATTACCCATTATTTTGAACTTATGACAACTTAACACTGATTGCATAAACAAACAAGCAAGCAAAAAGAAAACTAATAAAAACTCTACCCTTTAATTCAGTCTCCCTGCTTTTTAACTTTTTCATTTCTATTCATATCTTGTTGTATTATCTATGTCTTGAAAAGTTATTGTAATTATTTTTTTTGACTGGATCATCTTTTATTCTTTCTACATAAGATATTAGTAGTTTATACACCATAATTACAGTGCTATGATAGTCTGTGTTTTCTGTGTGCTTACTATTACCAGTTAGTTTTGTACCTTCAAATGATTTCTTATTGCTCATTAGCATCCTTTTCTTTCAGATTGAAGAACTCCATTTAGCATTTCCTATAAGACAGGTCTGGTGTTGATAAAATCCCTCAGCTTTGTTTGCCTGTGAAGGTCTTTATTTCTTCTTCATCTTTGAAGGATATTTATGCTAGATATACTATTCTAGGGTAGAAATTTTTTTTCCTTCAGCACTTTAAATGTGTCATGCCACTCTCTCCTGGCCTGGAAGGTAACCACTGAAAAGTTTGCTGCCAGACATATGGGAGCTCCATTGTATGTTATTCGTTTGTTTTCTCTTGCTACTTTTGGGATCCTTTCCTTATCCTTGACCTTCGGGAGTTTGATTATTAAATGCTTTGAGGTAGTTCTTCTTTGGGTTAATTCTGCTGGGTGTTCTGTAGCCTTCTTGTACTTGGATATTGACATCTTTCTCTAAGTTTGGGTTTGGGAAGTTCTATGTTATTATCCCTGGGTTTGGGAAGTTCTATGTTATTATCCCTTTGAATAAACTTTTTTTTTCTTTGGCATAAAATGCAGATCCTGCACAACCTTTGAATAAACTTTCTATGCCTATTTCTCTCTCTACCTACTCCCTAAGGCTAATAACTCTCAGATTTGCTCTTTTGAGGCTGTTTTCTAGATCTTGTAGGTGTGCTTCATTGTTTTTTATTCTTTTTTCCTTTGTCTCCTCTGATTGTGTATTTTCAAATAGCCTGTCTTCAAAGCTCACTAATTCTGCTTGATCAGTTCTGATGTTAAATGGCTCTGCTGTCTTCAGTATGTCAGTTGCATTTTTGAGCTCCAGAATTTCTGCTTCATTTCTTTTACTTATTTTAGTCTCTGTTATATTTATCTGATAGGATTTTGAATTCCTTCTCTATGTCTTCTCTGTGTTATCTTGAATTTCTTTGAGATTTCTCAAAACACCTATTTTGAATTCTTTTTGAAAGGTCGCAATATGTCTGTCTTTGTGGAACAGGGATTTTTCACTGGTGCCTCATTTAGTTCATTTGATGAGGTCATGTTTTCCTGGGTGGTCTTGATGCTTGTGGATGTTTGTCAGTGTCTGGACATTGAAGAGTTAGGTATTTATTGTAGTCTTTGCAGTCTGGGCTTGTTTGTACTCACGCTTCTTGGGAAGACTTTTCAGTTATTCAGAAGCACTTGAGTATTGTGATCTAATTTTTTTTCCCACCGCAGCTGTATCTGGATTAGGGGGCGTTCCAAGCCCAGTAACACTATGGGCTCTTGCAGACTCAAAGAGATACTGCCTTGGTGATCTTGGGTAAGATCCGGTAGAATTATCTGGATTGCCAGGCAGAGCCTCTTGTTCTCTTCCCTCACTTTCTCCTAAACAAATGGAGTCTTTCTCTCTCCACTGAGCTGCCTAGAGCTGCAGGAGGTGTTGCACAAGCTCCTCTGTGGCTACTACCACTGTTACTGCACTGGGTGAGACCTAAAGCCAGCATAGCACTGGGTCTCGTCCATGGCCCACGGTAACCACTGCCTGGCTACCACTTGGGTTCACTCAAGGTCCTAGGCCTCTACAGTCAGCAGGTGGCAAAGCCAGCTAGGCTGTATCCTTCCCTTCAGGGTAGAAAGATCCCCCTGGTCCTGGGGGCATTCAGAGATGCCATGTAGGAGCCAGAGCCTGGAGCTGGAAACCTTAGGAGTCTACCTGGTACTCTATTCTACTGTGGCTGAGCTGGCACCCAAGCCACCAGACAAAGTTCTTCCCATTCTCCCCTTCCCTTTGCACAAGCATAGGAGTCTCTTCCCATGGCCACCACCACCCCAGGCATGCAGCAAGTACTGTCTGGCTACCTGCTGTTATTCGTTCAAGGCCCAAGGGCTCTTCAGTCAATTTGGTAAATGCTGCCATGCCTGGGACTTTTTCATCAGGGCACTGGACTTTTCTCTGGCGCAAGGTAGGTCCAGAAATGCCATCTAAGAGACAAGGCCTGGAATCTGGGACCCCTGAGAGCCCACATGATGCTCTACCCCACTGTGGCTGAGCTGGTACCTAAGCTGCAAGACAGAGTTCCTTTATTCTTCTTTCTGCTTTTCTCAAGCAATAGTCTATCCTTGTAGCCACCACACCTGGAAATATGCTTGGTCACACTTGAAGCTAGTACAGCACTGGGTCTCACCCAAGGCCAACAGCAAGTACTGCCTGGTTACCACTGCAGATTTTTCAGGGCCCAAGGGTTCTTTAGTCAGCAGGTGATGAATCCTGCCAAGACTGGGTCTTTCCCCTCAAGGCAGCAGGTTCCCTTCTGGCCTACGGTATGTCTAGAAATGTCATCCTGGAGCTAGAGCTTGGAATGGGGGCCTCAGGACTCTGCCTGATGCCTGTCCTATTGCTATTGTGGCTGAGCTTGTATCCGAGATGCAAGACAATGTCCTCTTTATTATTCCCTCTCCTTTCCTCAAGCAGAAGGAAGGTGTCTCTTTGGAGCTCTGCTGCCTGGGGTTACGGGAAGGGGTGGTGCAAGCACTCTAATTGGCTACCCTAGCTGGTGTCTCACTAGGTCACATGCCCCCCATGTCCACTGACTCCAAACCCAGCACAGCACCAGGACTTGCCCAGGAATGGCAGTCCTTATGGCCTAGACCACCTTTCAGCTCTATTTAGGACCGCAGAGCACTTTAGCCCGTGGTATGAGGTCTGCCAGAATGCATTCTGAGCACTGGGGTGGGCGAGTCCCCTCTGGCTAGGGCAGGTCCAGATGATCCCTTCATGGGTGCTGCCTGAGTTCTGCCTGGTGGTGGTTTCCACTGTTACAGGGCAGCACTGAGTTCCCATGCCAGTTTCCACAATCACTGCACTCTTCCTCCTCCAAGTGCACGGGTTCTGTCTCGGCACCATTGGGCCACTGCCAGGGAATGGGGAAGGGGTTGTGTTGGCAATGCAAGACTATTTTTCCTACCCTTTTCAGGGCCTCTTTCAGTGATATGAAGTTCAAAACACATACTGTGATCACTCACATGGTTTTTGTTTCTCATGAAAGTACTTTTCTGTATGGCAAGTTGTTCAATTTGGTGTTCCTGCAGGAAGAAGGATTGGTGGAGGCTTCTATTTGGCCATCTTGCTCTGCCTCCTCCCCAATCCAGATAATTTAAATAATATCTGACACTTACAGAATGTTTACAAGATCTTTGTATAAATTGTTCTTTTATGTCTTTGTTTTCATTTTGAGTGTTGTTGCAGTATTTTCAGGTTAAATAATAAAGCAGGCATATCAAATTTTAGCCTTAATCTTAGCTTTGCATTTAACCTTGTGAACTTGTTGTCGTGGTTTGCACTTCATGATGACTTGTGATTAAAGCAGGCCACAATGACTGCATAGAGGATTATTCTTACAGCAAATGGGTTATATCAATATTTTCATATTTTTATTTTGAAGTTGTAGGTGGGGTCTTATTTAAATATAAAACCCAGAGTTGGTGAGATTGTAGAGAAACAACTCAGATCCTGTTGGTGAGAGTGCAAATTGGTATATAAGCTAAAACTCCCAATACCTACATGATAGGAACTCAGTCCTCCTTTCAGTGCCCACAGTAGTATATTTACAGTAGGGCTTATCTCACACACGTAACCGTGCCAGTTCATGGTACCTTCTCAGTCTCCAGTGTCACCTGTTGTAAAATCCTTACTGAACAACACTTCTTACTGATATATAATGTACCAGCATTTTATACATTAAATTATAACATAGTAGCTAAGAGAATTGTCTGTGTTGGAATCTTTACTGTACTAGCCATGTGATCTTGGTTAAGTTACTTAGCACCTCTGAGCATCAATTCCTCATCTGTAAAATGAGGATAATTGAATTTATCTCATTGGTTGTAAAGATTAAATAAGAAAACATTTATAAAACATCATAGTGCCTGGCTCATGTTAATCACTAAATAAAGGTTTTTACAATTATCAATATTGTAAAATATTTTTACATTTTCTAAAAGCAAAATTCTGGAAGTATGTGCTGTGCACTAAACTGTGTCTACCTCAAAATTCTGATGTTGACGCCCTAGTCCCCAGTGTTGACTGTATTGCAGATGGGACCTATAAGGCAATAATTAAGGTTAAATGAGGCTATAAGTGTGGGGTCCTAATCTGATAGGGTTGGTACCATATAGGAAGATGAAGAAACACCAGAGCTCACTCTCTCTCACTCTCCAAGAAATCGACAAAATGGGAACAGAGTATTCACCAGGAGGCAAACTGGGGGGCAATCAACCAATCCTTGATCTTGGATTTCCCAGCCTCGAGAACTGTGAGAAAATAGATTCCTGTTGTTTAAGCCGCACGGTTTAGGGTATTTTGTTATGGCAGCCTGAGGTGACTAAAATAGTATGTTTATGCATTTTTCAAAAGCAAATAAATAATTCTAATGTAAACTATTCAGGATAAACTGTTGTATTTCATAAATTCGCAAATCTGTCATTGGCCCTGTTGTAAAAGGCCATAATTTGACAATGTAAGACTCAGGGGGTTCTAGTAAACATAGTATCTGACACTTTCAGAATGTTTATAAGTAGCATACATAAATTTTTGCTTGAGGTCTTCATTTTCATTTTGAGTGTTCTTGCAGTATTTGCAGATCAAATGGTAAAGTGGGTATATCAAATTTTAGGCTTAACCTGGTTACATTCATATATTTCTCCTTTATTAACCTGAAGCTCTGGGAAGCTCATATGCCTTTCAGATTTATAATCCTCAAGCCCACTGATACTTTTTTTTTTTTTTTTGATGGAGTCTTGCTCTGTCACCCAGGCTGGAGTGCAGTGGCGCGATCTTGGCTCACTGCTAGCTCTGCCTCGCGGGTTCACGCCATTCTCCTGCCTCAGCCTCCCGAGTAGCTGGGACTACAGGCACCGGCCACCACGCCCGGCTAATTTTTTGTATTTTTAGTAGAGACAGGGTTTCCCCGTGTTAGCCAGGATAGTCTCAATCTCCTGACCTCGTGATCTGCCCACCTCGGCCTCCCAAAGTGCTCATTGATACTTTTTGGTACAGTATTCCGTTTAGCTGTCAGCTTGGAATTCTCATCAGTTAAATTATCTGTCTAGATGGCAAATAGTAGGAATGCTTCCCTGAGTACATACAAAATTGAGGTAGGGGCTGTGCTGGGAACTTAAATGAGCTTTGCCCCTAGAGTTTGGTCTCAGAGGACAGAAAGAAAAATACCAAGGAGGCTTCTTGCTGAAAAGTACAATTTATTTTTGTGACTATTGTAGCAGTCAGGTTCAGTTACAGAGAATAGAATTCATAGAAATCATTCTATGTGCTCTATAATTTAAAGATAAAAAGAATTTCTCAACAAGTATTACATATTCTGCTGAATCATAGGAGGGCTGAAGAAACATAGAACTCTGAGAAAAATTCCTAGAGTCACACTATAAGAGCAAGCCACCAAAGAAGCTGCTGCCTGTCTCTGAACAAAAAGCTGCCTACAAAATCAGAAAACTGCAGCTACAGCTGCTGACTCCAGAATTATACTGGACATGCAACATTTTAATTTTTTATTGTCTGTGTCCCTCTACTACAAAGTCAGTTCAAGAAGTCAGGAATTTTTTTCTTTGTTCACTGTTATATACACAGCACTGAGAATGAATCTTGACTTGTAGTAGGAATGAATACTCACAGTCATAGGTAGCACTCACCCACTAAACCCAGCTGGGCTGATATTGGGTAAACCTTTTAACTAAGTGGAAAGAATAAACATGAGTCATGAGAGATTTATTTCTCTGTCTCATAGTCTGTAAGGTCAGTTGGTAGGCTCAATTTGCATTACTACAAGATTAAAGAAAAGAGGAAAAGTAGAGAACAACAGAGAAAGAAAAGATAAATCCTAAGAATTTACATTTTCAACATCAGAATAGTAGAAGTTCCTGAAAGTTAGAGAAGAGAAAGTGGTTGGATGAAACTTGCTTAATAAGAAAAAAATTTCAGAACTAAAGGGAAACATGATTCTGCAAATGTAGAAGACCTACTGAGTACTGAACAGAAAAAAGAAAAATATGTATATACATAGATATATCATGAAATTTAAGGATAGCAAGAATGAAGAGGATTCTAAAAGCTTCTAGGAAGAAAGTTCAAGTACTCCATAAAGGAATGAGAATCAGGCTGGCAACAAACTTTTGAGTGAGTGTTAAGATACAAGAAACCCTAAAAGTTCCTAGGAGAAATGACTTTAAACTTAGAATTCCTTTTTTTAATTTGGTCCACACAGGGTCTCACTTTGTTGCCCAGGCTGCTGTACAATGGCCCAGTCATGGCTCACTAAAGCCTTGACCTCCTAGGCTTAAGTGATCCTCCCTCTCTGCCTTCTGAGTAGCTGGGACTACAGGCGTAAGCCACCATGCCAGCTAATTTTTTTTATTTTTTATAGAGACAGGGCTGGGTGCGGTGGCTCACACCTGTAATCCCAGCACTTTGAAAGGCCAAGGCAGGTGGATCACCTGAGGTCAGGAGTTCGAGACCAGCCTGGCCAACGTGGTGAAACCCCGTCTCTAATAAAAATATAAAAATTAGCTGAGCATGGTGGCGGGCACCTGTAATCCCAGCTACTTGGGAGGCTGAGGCAGGAGAATCCCTTGAACCCAGGAGACGGAGGTTGCAGTGAGCCGTGATCACGCCATTTCACTCTAGCCTGGGAGACACGAACAAAACTCCCCCTAAAAAAAAAAAATTGGTTAGAGACAGGGTCTCGCTGTGTTGCGGAGGCTGGTCTTGAGCTCTTGGGTTCAAGCCATCCTCCCTCGTCAGCCTCCCAAAATATTGAGATTTGAGATTACAGGTGTGAGCCACCACGCCTCCTGAACTTGGAATTCTATACCATGCCAAACTATTGATAAAATAATGTGGGCAGAATGAAAAAGAAAATGAAACCCAAACTTTTGAGAAAGCTTTGCCTCACTAATATTCTTTTTTAGGATGTTTCTTGAGAATACAGGCCAAGAAAACAAGGGACTTGTTGAAGGAAATGAAGTGGATTGGGTCTGTGAAACAGTGGAACAAATTCAGAAATGCAGTGAACGCAAGTTCCAGGATAGTTATGCAACAGGAAGCCTGTCTATCCAGATTGAAAGACTTCAGGACTGTAAGAACTGCCTGTAGAAAAAAAGGAGTTCCTGGATTTGCTAGTATTCTGGAAATGTTGGAAGAATCTAGTCTAATGATGCCATAAAGGAAGACAATTCAAGACAAAGTAAAAAGGCAATTTATAATTTAATTGAGTAGGGTATATGACAAAAAGCTGTACCAAAAAACAAATAGAGACATAGAAGGTAACTTTCATGGACAGTGAATACTGTTTACACAGATGTAGCATAAATAGCCTTTACTGATTTTCAAAAATACAGTCCACCTGTAGGCAAAGCAAGAATTGCTTAACTATAGTTACAAAACAGGTTGTAAATGTGAAGCATGATAGTGTAATAAAGGAACCAAAGATGAAGACAAGGGTAAGGGATACAAAATTCTTATCTGGCAAAGTGAAGAGGGATTGTTTATATTGAAGCAAGAACTGTGAGTTACATTATTTAAAGTTGCAAATGTAATAAGTGCAATGCTGACTAGTGATATAATTTATTAGCTGTTATGAGTAGGGAAAATTTGTGGTGGTTTAATGTAGTTAAATCTTCATCTATCTTGGCAGGAAGTGAGTATGCAACATCTAAGATTGAGACATCAAAAATTCACAGCATGAGCAGATTGTTTACAGATGGGGTAACTAAAAACAATGAGGTAAATGTGGTTGCCTCTGGGAAAAACACTGGAGGCATTGGAAAGGGTTGGGTTGGGGGCCTGTTGTTTTTTGCATTCGCCCCCTTGAGTTCATTTGTTCTTTCATCTAACAGACACTTACTGTTTGCCAAACACATGTAAATGAAACGACTTTACTGAAGATTTGAGGACGTGAGATATTTTCTGTCACCACAGTGCCAGATTTAAAATTGAATATTAGAGAAACTTGTTCTTAAAACTTTTTGCTAGGCACTTTATGCCAACCATGTTGCTACCCTCTTCTCTCCGTTCCTCTTACATTCTCATTCTCTAACAACTTTTTCAGTCGTCTCACACCCATACACAGTCTTGTTTGTTGGTGTTATGGGGAACTCACAAATGGAGCCATAAAGAAGAAATATGACCTCTCCTGTGTTTCACCTCCAGTGGGGTTGACGGGAGGTCCCAGGATTTCTGTGAAGGGGATTTGTAGTTTTGGAGTTCCAGATGGTGACAACTCGAGCAGCAAGCCTGATGAGCATATTGAGCAGACTACTAAGAACAGGAATGAAAAACAAACAAACGAACAACAACAACAAAAAAAACACCCTTCTCTTTCCCACCTGTACCAGAATAGTGGCTCTGAACCATGGCTGCATATTAGAATCACCCAAGGAGCTTTTAAAAACATCGATGCCCAGGCACCACCTCTTCCCCTTTTGATGCTCTTCCTTCCAACTCCCACCACTACCAAATAAATTGAAAATGTAGTGAAGGGACCTCAGTCCCATGATTCAAATCATTAATATAAAAGTCACCTGCAATTTCTGCACAATTGATTGAATTGGGCAAAACAGATTAGAGCATTGAACCACTTTGTCGACGATTTTCAACCTGATATTCTAAGGAAGAGAACTTGCTCAGAATTTTGCATTGGCTGTTCCTTCTGCCTGGGACACTTTCCCTTCCTATATGCATAGCTTACTACCTCACCTCCTCAATGAGACTGACCTGCCCGCCAGGCGCCAAAATGGCACTCCCAAGCTCACTCTGCTCTACTTTCTTTTTATCGTAGCACTTATCAGTGTCTAACGTAGAATTTGCCCACTTCTTGTACCTATTGTGTAATGTTTGTTTCCACCCACTAGAATGTAAACAAATATGATCAGGTATTTTTCATTTCATTCACTGATGAAACTTAAGTATCTAGAACAATACCGAACATGACTGAGCACTCAATAAATACTCGTTGAATTTCAGTGGCCTCTCAAATAGCATTTAACTCATTATCTCCATAAAAGATAAGTGTTAACCCATGTTATGTAATATGTTTGGAATGTGCTAGCATTACACGCTTGCATAAAGTTTTTTGAAGAATTATATACCTCACCAGGCAAATATTCTGTACCCCTATGAAGCCTGCTGGATATCTGGGCTGTCAGTCAGAAGATCTGGGCTATAATCTCATGTTGTCTGTTAAATAAATATGTAATATTGATCAAAGTACTTCATTCCTCTCAGTGTCACTTAGGTTATTTATAAAAGAAAGAGGTTGATATAAATGAATTCAATTTTTTTCTCTTCTATTATATAGTACTTTGTGACCACATGTGAGGTTGAAATACAATAAAATGTTAATTTTGTGTTTTTTATTTTCTTCTGATAGCAATTAAAATATGCAGCTATCTCCATATTTCAAGTCCAATTTACTATAGTAGTTAAGAGCTATCCCCTTTGGAATCAGATTGTCTTGATTTTAACCCTTGATTTACTGCTTATAACCTCAGTATTTTTTCTATAATTTTATTTATTTAATTTATTTTTCTGTAGAGATAGGGTCTTGCTATGTTGTCCAGGCTGGTCTCAAATTCCTAGACTCAAGCAGTCCTCCTGCCTCGGCCTCCCAAAGGCCTGGGATTACAACAGATGTGAGCCACTGCACTGGCCCTTATCTCAGTATTAAACAAATTATTCAATATTTCTCTGCCTCAGTACCCTCATCTGTAAAATGAATATAGTAATATCAATTTCAGTAATAATTTTTATATTTATTATGAAATTAAATTAGATAACTCGTGCAAAAACATTTAATACAGTGTGTGATTCATGATAAGAGCTAAATGATTAACTTTTTATGAAATACTAACTTTAGTAATACCTTCTGTTTACATGCATTTGTGAAAATAAATGATGACCAATAAAATGAGAAAAGCAAAGGCTATTTATTCTGAGCTTGCTATAGCAAGGGAGTCGGCCGTTTTCACTGGCATTTTGGCGGACACTCAAAAGCAGGCAAAAGAGTGGAAAAGCTTCTGGGATGCCCTGATCAGAGGCAGTTGGCATGGGGGTACTGGATACAGGCAAACCAGAAGCAGAGCATGTATGTGATTGATTAGGGTACATATTTGGCTTTATCTAGTTGGTTCTAAGTTGGAAGTGGGGACAACAATTAGGGAAGCTGTCAGTTATTAATCAAGTCCTAACGATTTGGGACTGATTGTTTTGTTTAGCTTCCTGGATTTTCACTAGAGATAGCAACCTGGCTTCCTGCAATTCTGACTTACATCAGACTGGCTTTCTTGACTGTTTATTGTAGATAAGAGGGTTGCTTCCCTGGACAGGTTGCTAAAGGTTGTTGGTCAAAGTTTGATTTTTATATATGTTCTGGCCATTGTCCATTTGCATATTCAGTCTCTCAGCCTTTATTAGCAAAGTTATTAAGAATATTCACCATTGGAAAATTATTTTCATTTTTTTATCAGAGTTTGATTTAAATATTGCTGTATGGTTGGTGCTGTATAAACCTATCCAATCAGTATTTTGCAAATACATTACCTTCCCTTAATCCGTTTTATCTTTTAAAAAAAGGCGTTAGAATAAATACAACTTGGTCGGGCGCAGTGGTTCATGCCTGTAATCCCAGCACTTTGACCACTTTGGGAGGCCAAGTTGGGTGGATCACTTGAGGCCAGGAGTTCGAGACCAGCCTGGCCAACATGGTGAAACCATGTCTCTACTAAAAATAAAAAAAATTAGCCAGGCATGGTGGGATGTGCCTGTAATCCCAGCTACTCAGGAGGCTGAGGCAGGAGAATCACTTGAACCCGGGAGGTGGAGGTTGCAGTGAGCTGAGATCACGCCACTGCACTCCAGCCTGGGAGACAGAGTGAGAGTCCATCTCAAAAAAAAAAAAGAATAAATACAACTGTTCTTTGTATTTTTGATGTTCTTTTTACCTAATCTTCTTCAGTGCTGATGGGTCCTTTGAATTTTAAGATGCAAAATTATATTTGGAAAGGGACCCATTTCCTACATTTCCCCCCAGAGCGTTCAGAATTTAAATTTATGCCACTGAGTAGGATGCTTTTTATAAAGACACTAATATTATTTTTTTCCATTTAAGTGTATTTTTGTTGTTTTGCCCTTTATTCTCTTTTAATTTTAAAAGACTAGTCTCCCCAGTCAATAAAAGTTTGTATGACCTAGCAGTTCTTGCATATGTATAGTATGTATATTCATTGTTACATGGCTTCTTGATTTGGATATCAGTCACAAGAGGTACTTAACAAGTAACAGTGACTTATTGGAAGACTCTCATTCCTGTTGAACATCCACTACAATTTTGCATTTATTCTCTATAGAATTGAAAAAGAACTGTAATGCCAAATATACCAAATACAAGGTTATTTGGAAAGAAAACATGAATTTCCACCATTATATAATTTATTCTTGATATGCTTCTATGGTAGGAGAATAATTATTAACTTGGCATTTTAAGGTATTTAAATTGCAAAACTATTTTTAAAATAAGATAATTTTCATTTATGTAATAGTGATATTATCAGTTGCATAGTATTACTAGAATATCCATATTTTTTCCTTGTTCTGCGACTAAAAACAGATTTTATAAGTACCAGAAATCATAGTTTTAATTATAAATGTAAATTGTTATTTTTAAAATTTTGTTTTAGAATATGTACCAGTCATGACACAGTTAAAATAATGATTTGATTAACTAATAATTACCTGTTACTTTACTATAACTAGGATATTTGAAAAGGGTGTCCTTTTGGGAGAGTGCCAAGAAATGTGCTTGTGTGTATTTTTATGTTAATTTAATAGAAATCAATGAAAACTCATGTTAAGTATGCTAGAAATTTAGTGTGGCATCCAGAGCTCAAAACTAGAGTTTGCAATCAATTTCCAAAAAAGGATGTAAAGCATATCTAGTCTTCCATATGCAATTCCAGGGTGGCAGGGGAAATTAGTCTTTCCTGTTTAAAAAAACATGTATGTAAGAGTTAATCTCCAGAGTTAAGTAACAAAAGACCACCAGAGTTGTAGATAAACTAATGAAAGAAAAGAGATTTGAACTCTATCCATTGAAGTGTTTTTTTTTTCTCATGAGTATATATTTTATTTGCAGGAGGATTCTGTTTGGCTCCTGTACAAATCTGCCTGCTCTGACTTACAATACAGCCTTGTTCTTTCATTGTCATTGTATTCCTTCCTTCCTTACAAATACTTATTTCAAAGTATCTTTACAACTAAACTATATCCTTTTTTCTCTTCCTTGGCTTACAAATTCTCCTATTTGTTGTGTCTGGCTAATACTTTCTTACAGTGATTCACTTATTTCCTTAAACAGATTATAATCTCCAACTGTAAATTCTTCTCCAGCAGGGGGTTGATTTGGGCATTCTTGTTATGTACTCAGGATATGGAATCTGAACCACAGTGTAGTTTCACATTTGCCTCTGCCTAGGCTGATGGATTTTGCCATACCTGGACCAGTTACAATGCAAACATCTCAGTTTAGGATCATTCCACAGTTACCTGCAGGCGGAGGTGCTGGCTTCCAGTGGGTGACTTCTTTTCCACCTAATATTTTAGACAGAGGGCAAAGCTTCCTTACAGTTTCCTAGGCAGGGTCAGTGGCTGAGCTTCTTTCATTTCATGGGATGATCAGCCCCTTACGACTCCTGGTTGTATGCAGGGAATTTAGTTTGGAGATTTTCCTGTCAATTTCAAGCTTGACATTACAACCAAATCTTCCATTATTATATTTGATCCATGTGTTTGTATTGGGAGGAAGGGGTCTTTCTAATATCAGCTTGTGTTGACATGTTAACCTACAATTCATTGATTTATTTAATATTTGTAAGTCTTTCTAATCTTTCATTATATTATTGTTTCTTAGGAGTTCTGATTGGATTTATTAATCATTTCCTTATCACTATAATAACATTTACTTGTATCATGGATACAAAGGTGATGATAAGTAAAGAATTTTTCGTTTTCCCCACCCCCCTTGAAATAGTTGGCTCAGTTTAGTCTAATAATATTATGTGGTTTCTAAATGACCATCATTCCTCGGGCACAGTAAAATTATTTTTTTTCCAAAAGGTTCAAGCCAGAACTTTGAACTTGAATTCACTGCTGGTATGCATAATACTTAATACCTTTATTATTATTTGGCATCTAGTTAACAGCCAATGAAACCACTTTAGCAGAAGCATTTACATTTAATTATTCATTACTCAGAGTCAGAATTCCATTCCATAAGAGTAGGACTAGCAAAAGCCAAGAAAGTTCTAGATAGGCTGAACTATTAGGAAAACCAATACATTTGACACTGACACATGGAACAAAGCAGGCCTATTTTTAAATCTGAATTAAGTAAAAGTGGACAGTAGAGTTTTGGCTTTCAATAGAAGCCTAGTTACCAGAATTGGGACACAAGGTGGACAAAGCCACGCTTGAGCTAAGTTTAGACATACATGTCACGGCCACAAGTTACATGAGTCCAGTTAGTTAAATATTCTTAGAGAAGTGGTATAGCCCATTGGAACTGATTCATTGTCTTACACTCTCTCGTCAGTCCCCTACTTATTCATTCCTTTAGATATGCATTCTTTCCTTCCAGTATGGCCCTCTGGTTATTCCATTCAGATGCTATAGACCAAGGCAGAGCACTCAGGACTGCCAAGGAAACTTGGTGTAAAGGCAGCACGTAGCAAGAAGTCTCCATTACTATAACTTGTCTTTCTGGGAACAGTTCTGATGGCTGCTTCCCCTAGCTCCTCAGCTTCTTTAGTTCCAACTTTTCCCTGGTGACCATGATCCAGTTTCTTCCTATTTTAGATTTCTGTCTGGGACACTCCTATAGCTATGGCCAACCCATCCTAATGGGCTTTATTTGTTCTACAAATTTCTTAAATTGAAGGGTGACCTATAAACTCTATGTAATTCATTTACATAGAAATGTGTTATGCTTCTTAGCTTCATCTTATGAAGATATATTTTAGTGCCAAAACCTGGAGTAAAATAGCGTTAAAACTTTATTAACTCTATTTTTTATTTTTGTCTTGAGACAGAGTCTTGCTCTGTCACCCAGGCTGGAATGCAGTGGTGCAATCTCGGCTCACTGCAACCTCCGCCTCTTGGGGTCAAGCAATTCTCCTGCCTCAGCCTCCCAAGTAACTGGGATTACAGGCGCATGCCATCACGCCCAGCTAATTTTTGTATTTTTGGTGGAGATGGGGTTTCACCATGTTGGCCAGGCTGGTCTCGAACTCCTGACCTCAAGTGATCTGCCCACTTTGGCCTCCCAAAGTGCTAGGATTATAGGCGTGAACCACTGCACTTGGCCTATTAACTCTATTGACAGAAGAAAATATTATGTTCTTTTTCCCTCAATAGTCTTTTGATTACTTGGAAAGTATCGAATTTCTGAGTGTCTATACAGTCACTACTCTGACTTTAATAATGTGTTAACCTGAACATTGAAAGAGAAACTGTAAATCTAATGCAAACATGCAGAAATTACACAGAATCACATGTAGATCTTACTTGTCCTATGTATGTAAATCACAGTCTCTGGAAAATTCGAAAGGATGTCACTGTTCCCTGTCTTTGATGTCCTAGCCTACCTGTACAGGTTAGGATTCTTTGACAATATGCCAACTCGTGCTCGTTGAACAAATATTTTCTTTTCTGTTTATCTCAGTGTCTACCTGCTTATCTTATTCTGCCCAAATCCAGTTGTAGAAGTTATACCCTTCACCAAAAATACAAGCCCTATGCCTTAGCATACTCTACAAGGTATGTAGTCTATTTTAACAATGGCTTACCCCCTTACACAACCTTCCAGCAACCCTGAAATCCTAGTAGTTACATCAATACACCAAGCTATTTCTTGTCTTGAGCCTTTGTGCCAGGCATCCTCTTTCCCAGGAATGCCCTTCTTTTTATTATGAGATAGAATTCCATTATATGAACTGCCACAACCCATTTACCAGTTAAAGGACATTGGAGTTGTTTCCAGTTTGGGGCTCTCATAAATACAAATTTTAAAAACTAAACATTTGTATACAGGTCTTTGGGTAAACATATATGTTGTTTTATTTGAGGAAATTCCTAAGGGTGGGAATGCTGAGTTATCACCCGAGAGTATGTTTACCATATAAGAAACTTCCAAACTCTTTTCCAAAGTGTCAGTATCATTTTCCATCCTCACATGCAATACATGATAGTTTCAGTCACTCAGTATCCTCACCAACACTTAATGTTAGTCAGTCTTTTGATTTTAGACATTCTGGTGATATGTAGTGACATCTCATTGTGGTTTTAATTTGCTTTTCATGAATTATTAATATTGTTGAGCATCTTTTTGTTTTGTTTTGTTTTTGAGATGGATCTCACTCTGTCACCTGGGCTGGAGTGCAGTGGTGCGATCTTGGCTCACTGCAGCCTCCACCTCCAGGGTTCAGGTGATTCTCCTGCCTCAGCCTCCAGAGTAGCTGGGATTACAGGCGCCCACCACTACGCCCAGCTAATTTTTTCAATTTTTAGTAGAGACGGCGTTTCACCATGTTGGCCAGGCTGGTCTCGAACTCCTGAGCTGGTGATTCACCCGCCTTGGCCTCCAAGAATGCTGGGATTACAGGCATAAGCCACCACGCCTGGCCGAGCATCTTTTTATGTGTTTATTTGCAATTCATATATCTTCTTTAGTGAAGTGGGTATTCAAATCTTTTGCCCATTATTGGGTTGTTTGTTTTTTATTGTCTTGTTTTTTTGTTTGTTTGTTTTTGTTTGTTTTTTTTGAGACAGGATCTTACTCTGTTGCCCAGGCTACACAGTAGCCTCAAACTCCTAGGCTCAAGTGATCCTCCTGCCTCAGCCTCTTGAGTAGCTAGGACTATAGGCACACACCAATATGCCTGGCTAATTTTTTTTTAAAAATGTTTGTAGAGACAGAGTCTCACTGCATTACCCAGGCTGGTCTAGAACACTTGGCCTCAAATGATCTTCCTGCCTTGGCCTCCCAAAGCATTGGGATTACAGGTGTGAGCCACTGACCTGGCCAGTTTAGCAATTCTTGAAAAATGAATTTTATTAGGAAGAGACATTGTGGGTTTATCAAACATCTGGAGTGGTTTTTTTTTTTTTTTTTTTTTTTTTTTTTAGACAGCGTCTCACTCTGTTGCCAGGCTGGAGTGCTATGGCACCATCTCCGCTCACTGCAACCTCCGCCTCCCAGGTTCAAGCAATTCCCCTGCCTCAGCCTCCCAGGTAGCTGGGATTATAGGCGTGCACCACCACGCCCAGCTAATTTTTGTACTTTTAGTAGAGACAGGGTTTCACCATGTTGGCCAGGATGGTCTCAGTCTCTTGACCTTGTGATCCACCCACCTCAGCCTCCCAAAGTGCTGGGATTACAGGCGTGAGCTACCATGCCCAGCCTGGAATGTTTTTAAAAACATTTATTCTCTATAATTTTCAAACATGTTTAAGCTAATAACCCTCTTCCATTAAAATATATTTAAATTTCTACTTTAGAAGTAATATATGGTCATTACAGAAAATTAAGAAAAAGGGTATATATTTCTGTAAAAAAAAAAAAGAAAAGAAAATGAGTCCAGATGTGATGGCTCATACCTGTAATTCCAGCACTTTGGGAGGCCAGGGTGGGTGGATCACTGGAGGTCAGGAGTTCGAGAGCAGCCTGGCCAACATGGTGAAATTCCATCTCTACAAAAAATACAAAATTAGCCAGGCGTGGTGGTGCACGCCTGTAGTCCCAGTTACTTAGGAGGCTGAGGCACAAGAATTTCTTGAATACAAGAGGCAAAGTTTGCAGTGAGCTGAGATGGTGCAACTGCACTCCAGCCTGGGTGACAGAGCAAGACTCTTTAAAAAAAAAAAAAAAAAGAAAGAAAGAATAAAAGAGAATTAGAGATATAAGAAGCATACCACTAAATGTAACAACTGTTAATATTTTGTATATTTCCTTCTATAATATACATATATGTACCGATATAAACATATACTAGATATATATACACATACTTTTAAAATTCTGATTTTATTAAATATTCTTTTAAAATCTTATTTTAATAATTTCCTAATAGTGTACACTATTGTTTTATATCATAACATTTAATTATATTCCTTCCTGTTGAGCATTTAGGCATAAAACATGGGATTTACTAACTTAAACATCAAAACCAGGTAAGTCCCATTCTGAACTCTTCTCTTTGGGTTTTTTTGTTTGTTCATTTGCTTGTTTTCTCTTTTTTGAGACGGAGTCTTGCTCTGTCCCGGCTGGAGTGCAGTGGCCCGATCTTGGCTCACTGCAACCTCCACCTCCCGGGTTCAAGCAGTTCTCTTGCCTCAGCCTCCTGAGTAGGTGGGACTACAGGCACGCATCACCACGCCCAGCTAATTTTTGTATTTCTGTATTTTTAGTAGAGACGGGGTTTCACCATGTTGGCCAGGATGGTCTCGATCTCTTGACCTTGTGATCCGCCCACCTCGACCTCCCAAAGTGCTGAGATTACAGGCGTGAGCCACCGCACCTGGCTCTTTTCTGTGTTTTTATCCCGCAGTGTACTACAGGTTTGGGTTGGCTCAGGGTTGAGGTCTTTTTGTATCAAATCCAGTTGTCCATTGAGAAAGCTAGATGGTCATGGCCATATCTCTATCACAGTTCTCTTCCTCCACTCCAAATATACGGCCAAGGTCTAATATAAAACTCTTTAAATGAAAGAGTGGAAAGCAAACCATGTTGTGTTCTAATGGATGTTACATTCACAGATTATATTAGAGATCAGGCTCCTCCCTGCTTTAAGAGACATAAGGAATTCATTTAAGGTAAGTTATTTCTTACCAGAAAAACAAGTTCTTTATCTGGAATGACACAATCTTTAAATAAATAAAAGAATTTGAGTATGCAGTGTTGTCTTTCTGCAGAGAATGTCTTAAGAAAAACTAATTTGTTCTGAAAATTGAAACATGGAAACGTGGACAAACAGCTAGAAAAAAATTTTTTTAAGAAAAATTTAAGACTCATATTTCCCTTATATACTTTTTAAAAATCAACCTCATAATTATATAAATAAGACAGAGCTTAATGGCTAGCTAAGCTAGGTCAGAAATAAAGCAATCCAAATGAAAATTTAGAAATGTGGTTGGTAATGGGAGCACAAGGGGCTGGATGGGAACAGGGAGTGAGAAGGAAAGCTCACAACAGTCCATTCCTAAAGCCCTCTGCAAAGACTCTTCACACCTCACTGAAATGGGGGAGGGCTCTACCCTAGGACACAGATGGGTTTACAGCAAGGACACCTAGCCACTTCCAGATATCTCAAATGTCCCACAGGCTTCTTCCCTAGATGAACCCTTAATGAGACCTTGGATAATGTGGAAGTTAGAACAGTGAACTACATCTTGAGATTGTTGTCCCAGAGGTATTATGGTAATTTAGTGAAAGCAGCTGAAAGCAGGGTTGAGTGTGTGACTGGCATGATTGTCAGGGGTCGGTGGGTAAAAATAAGGAAGAGGGCACATGCTAATAATTAACATCAAGCACTTCTAAGAGGATTGTACATATTAATCCATGTATACCTCACACCACCAAGTAAATATTTTTATTATAAAAAGTATTTTATTCCTAATAATAACAAATCATGTTTGTATATCACTCATTGGACATAAGCGAAGCCAAGGAGGATCTAATTCTTGACTTCCCTTCAGATAATAGAGTGTTAACAATAGTTTTTAAAGGATGGGTAGATTACTACTTAACGCGGAATGAGAGGGTGCAGCCTGACCAGCTCAGAAAGCAACTAGGCTTCTCATTTACATTCTGGGAGCAGGTGGATTTTTGCCATCTGAGCTTGTTACTGGTGAGTGATTACCTTTTTACCTTCTATATTTAGTGCCTTCCTAGGACAGTTGCTTCTCCCAGGCTAGTTGCTTCTTTTAGAATCTTACCTGGCTATTTATCTAAAGATTGGACAAGCAGTGTAATCCAGAAGCAAAAATGTTGACTTTTCTTTTTACTTAAATCAAGAGATTAGAAAATGCTATTTCCTGGGAAGTGAATAGAAGCACACACTTAGCTTGACCACTGTCCCAGAGTGCTTTACATATATTAATATATTTAGTCCTGACACAACCCAGTGAAAATCCCCATGTACAGTATAAGGAGATTAAATCACTTACTCAAGATCACATAGCTCAGAAATGGTGAAATCAAGATTCCAACCTTCAAAGTCTGGACCCCCAGTACACTCTAAACCACTATACTCTGAAAACATCAGTGCCATATGCACCTAGTCATGTATACTTGGAGAAATCACTGCGTATCTCAGTTTCTCTACTTTTCTTCCGCTGATTTACCTGCCTTAGAAAATTGTTGAGCATGGGAAATGATCATATATATATGAACGTGTATAATGCTACAAGATACTGTTTTAAGCATAAATATCTAGCAGTTGTGAGATCTCCCTTAATGATGATGTTATGCTACTACTTCTTTTCACTACTGTTGGAACTCCCAGAGCTGACTCTTTACATGCCTTTTTCAGAGTGTATGTTTTAGGACAAGATGGGGTTCAGGGGACAGTGAGCATTGGACAGCAGTCAAGAGGAGTTTGGTTATGCCTGTTGGTTGACTTGGTGCTGGTTTGTGGTCCGCTTCTCCATTGCTTTTTATTTTAAATCAGTGGCTGCTACTGCCAACTACCCTGGTACCTCTGAGTGCCATGGTTCTTGCACTGCCAAGGTTCTTGCACTGCCACAGATTAGGACCAAATATTGGGGAGAGATTATTAAATGGTAAGGATAAGGGGATAGAGTGATCGCTCTGAAGTAGGGCTAGAGGCAATATAGTTGAGTGAAAAGTAAAATCACAGCAGTAGGCATGTGATTAATATAAAAATCACTTAAAAATTAGCCAGAATATTAGGCTAGAGAAAGAGGAGGGAAAAAAGTATCTTCCCTTCTTCCTAGTCCTGTGACTATTCAGTTAACACAACAGTTCTGAGACTAGAAATGAATTGTAATAAAATAATAACCAAACCTCCTGCCAGACTAGAAGAAAATATAAAACCTTGTAGTTCACAGTTTTCACTGATCTTAAAATTTACAACTTTTGATCAGCATCCTGATGATGTTATTTTAATTTTAGATATCTTAGTAAATACAACTCCATAACTTAAGTAATTCTTATTAAGAACTAGAATTGATTTTTAAACACCTAAGAAAAAGCATAAATCCAATAAGCTGGCTTAAATAATACTTTAATTTTTGCTATTTGTAGTGTTATGCTCTTTGCTAAGCAAATTTTATTTTATTCTTATTTATTTATTTATTTATTTTGGAGACAGGGGCTCACTCTGTCCCCTAGGCTGGAGTGCAGTGACACAATCACTGCTCACTGCAGGCTTGACCTACCGTGGCTTAAGCAGTTCTCCAACCTCAGCCTCCAGAGTAGCTGAGACAACAGGCATGCATCACCACAACCAGCTTGTTTTAGTAGAGATGAGGTTTCGCTACGTTGCCCAGGCTGGTCTCGAACTCCTGAACTCAAGCAATCCACCCGCCTCAGCCTTCCAAAGTTCTGGGATGGCAGACATGAGCCACCACGCCTGGCCTAACAAATTTTAAGATTCTTTTGTTATTCACATGCTTACTGCTGTGGCTTTATTTATTTTATTTTATTTTATTTTATTTTATTACTTATTTTTTTTGGTTGAGATGACATCTTGCCCTGTTGCCCAGGCTGGAGTGCAGTGGCACGATCTTGGTTCACTGCAACAACCTCTGCCTCCTGGGTTCCAGCGATTCTCCTGCCTCAGCTTCCCGAGTAGCTGGAACTACAGGTGCCTGCCACCACACCTGGCTAATTTGTGTATTTTTAGTAGACACGGGATTTTGCCATGTTGGCCAGGCTGGTCTTGAATTCTTGACCTCAGGTGATCCCCCTGCCTCGGCCTCCCAAAGTGCTGGGATTACAGGCGTGAGCCACTGCGCCCAGCCTATTTTTGACACTCACTATAGTTTTGGTTCTTGTGGATTGTCAGATATTACACTGAACAATTGGGACTTTTTTTTTTTAGATTGTACAAATAGAACATTTGCCACAGTTAAAATGTGAAGAAAACATACTATTTCTATTTTGGAAAATTTCTGCAGAATGTTTTTCTAAAAGACAAAGCATGTTTCATTGTTTACTTAAGGCATAAAGGTCCCATTTATATTATTCAAAGGAGGGACTGTAGGGCTTGGGGAATATAAGGTATTTGAAGCAAAGAGGGGTTTAAGAAATAACTCAAATGATTAAGATTTCCAGCATGGAGTTTGTTTAGTGATTTCATCAATCAGTCGCTATTTCTAGATGGAAATGGGTCTAATAATAATGCAAGCTTTTAGGATTTGATTATATTTTAGACAAAATAAGTTTAATACCAAAAAAAAAAGTTATCATGTGTTAGCCGAGTTCCATTTAAAGATCCTGGTATTTTTACTTATTAGCATAGTTCTTTCTGCTTCTGTGGGCCTCAGCTATATGAATGTGGTGCTTATTTGCTTTATACTATATTCCATTTTGTTAACTCAACAGAGACCAGACTGCCAACTGCAAAGTAAGTAATGCAATAAATGGGTTAAAAATACACCATGTCAATTTTGTACAGCTAAATTAAATAAAATATATGACTACAGGTTCACAAACCCTTACCTGAAACTTTAACAAAAAATTTTTGTCTGCTTGCTTTTTGTTTTTGAGATGGAGTCTTGCCCTGTTGCCCAGACTGGAGTGCAGTGGCACGATCTCAGCTCACTGCAACCTCTGCCTTCCGGGTTCAAACAATTCTCCTGCCTCAGCCTTCCGAGTAGCTGGGATTACAGGCACCCACCACCACGCCCGGCTAATTTTTGTATTTTTAGTAGAGACGGGGTTTCACCATGTTGACCAGGCTGGTCTCGAACTCCTGACTTCGTGATCTGCCCACCTTGGCCACCCAAAGTGCTGGGATTACAGGCATGAGCCACCGTGACCAGCCAAAAATTTTTTAAAATTCAGTAGTTTGGGGGGAACAGGTGGCTTTTGGTTAACTGGATAAGTTCTTTCATGGTGATTTCTGAGATTTTGGTGCACCTTCACCCAGGCATTGTACACTGTACTCAGTGTATAGTATTTTGTCCCTCATTTCCCTTCCACCGTACCCCAAAGTTCTCAAAGTCCATTATATCATTCTTATGACTTTTCGTCCTCATAGCTTAGCTCCCACTTACAAGTGAGAACATCTTACCTGAAACCCTTGAGGTCATATGTTAAAAATGTTTCAGACATTTTTTTAAAAAACTTGCTGCCTTTCATCATGCATGTAATATTCCATCAGGGTCTGAGGCAGCACTCTCTAATCAAACATAGTGAATATATTTGCAGTAAAAAATATATTCACATTAAGCGAATTAACTTCACATCATTTCTGGTAGATTCTGCTGCCCAATAAGCATACACTAAATTTATGAAAAATTTAGTGTTCAGAATTCTTGTATTTTGGAATTGTAAAGAAGGGACAGACTATAATGATGTCACAAGGCATCTAAAGCTGCAAAATATTATATTCTTCTCTGGTTATAATATATACTTACGTCCAAAACAAAATATGTATTTTTAAAAGTAGCATTTTTTAAAACAAAATAAGAAAAGCAATGTGTCATACTTATCCTTTTTTATTAATGTCCTTCTTAGAATCAACAAAGTAGTCTATTATAATTATTGTGTATTATAAATTTTGTATATTATATATTTTAAATATTGACATTTTAAAATCTTGACATTAGACTGAGTGTGGTGGCTCATGCCTGTAATCCCAGCACTTTGGGAGGCCAAGGCTGGTGGATCACCTGAGGTCAGGAGTTTGACACCAGCCTGGCCAACATGGTGAAACCCCGTCTTGATAAGAACTACAGAAAATTAGCCAGGCGCACTGTAGTCCCAGCTACTCAGGAGGCTAAGGTGGGAGAATTGCTTGAACCCAGGAGGCAGAGATTTCAATGAGCTAAGATGGCACCACTGCACTCCAGCCTGGATAACAGAATGAGACCCTGTCTCAAAAAAAAAAAAAAAAAAAAATTGACATTAAAAAATATTACTCTTTTGTAATGTTTCTGATTAACTCAAAGTACAATATTAAATTGATACCTATCATCATTTGCTTTGCAAATACATGATTTATTATAAACAGATATCTAAAATTTGCCTTTAAAACTTCAGCCAAAAAAACAAAGGAGGAATAGATGAAATAATATTGGCAAAATACTAGTAATTGTTAAAGCCAGGTGGTAGGGGTTTACTATATCATTCTCTGTTTTTGTGTATGTTTGAAATTTTCCATAATAAAAGTGTTTTTATATATGGATGAACAATTTCCCCTTTAACAGTGCTAATTACCACATAATTCCTTCTGTTTGAACTCAGATTTTCCTTCTACTCTCCTTTTATACCTTTATCTTAATGTAGTTTTTAAGCTTGAAAATGTTATTTTGATCACCCTATCATACTTTTCTGTAACAATAATATCCATATTAATTGAATTATAAAACGACATTTTGTGATCCTAAAGCTCTGAGTGTTAAAGTTTCTTTCTCCAGTTTTCAATGAAACAATACATTGGTACATAAAAGGAGTATGGTACATAAAAGAAGTATAGTACATAAAATGTATGCAGTTATTAGAAACAAAAGCTAAATTTTTATTGGAATTGCACCCTTAAGGAGATGGGTGGATCTATTTTTTTTAATTTCAAATTAGGATAATTTTACCTTGATGAATATTACTAGCTGCTAGAATGAGACAAGGTTCAGCATAAATTCCATTCTTTCTTTTTAATATGCATATTTTACATCCTGAGAAACTGTGCTTACATAAATAAGTAGATACAAGTGTAAAAAGTTTTGCTGTAGCCATGTCATTTTGAAGTCTTTCCAGGTTATGCATCTAAAAGAAAACCCACATGATGACTTATTATTAAGTAATTTTTTTCTCACAACTCTAACATGTAGTTTTAAAAAAAGGAAAAAGAGTTATTTTTAATATATGTCAGCTGATGTAATGGATTATGTCCTCCTCCAGTTCTGCTGAAAGCAAAGAATTGGAAAACCCAGCCAGGCATGGTGGCTCATGCCTGTAATCCCAGAACCTTGGGAGGCTGAGGTGGGTGGATCACTTGAGGTCAGGTGTTTGAAACCAGCCTGGCCAACATGGTGAAACCCCGTCTCTACTAAAAATACAAGAATTAGGTGTGCTTACTTCAACCCAGGAGGTGGAGGTTGCCCTGAGCTGAGATTGTGCTACTGCACTTCAGCCTGGGTGACAGAGCGAGACTTTGTTAAAAAAAAAAAAAAAAGGAATTGGAAATCCCCTCACTTGCAAAAATTATTGTTACCCTGTCATTAGAATAATTCACTTTCTCAACGCCAACTTTACTACTTCAGTTTTTCCCTTCGTTTTGTACGCTGGAGGTGTTTATACTTGAAGCATTATAGTAAAGTTCAGGATGATTGAGAAATTTGCCTTTCTTTTGTAATGAGGGAGATGAGCCATGGTAAAGATCTCTTGGGAAAGAGTTCACATGAAGATAAAGTCAAGATCTGGCAAATGATTCCCTTGAAATAGCTGTGACTTTCCATCTTACTCTTTTTGTCTTAAAGTGATTTTTTTAATACAAAAAGTTGCAAAAGTAATACAGGCTGCTTGGGGAAAAAAGGTCAAATGAAATAGATGTTTATAATGTCATTTCCTAGGCCAGGTGCCATGGCTTACATCTGTAATCCCCACACTTTGGGAGGCCGAGACGGGCAGAACACTTGAGCCCAGAAGTTCGAGACCAGCCTAGCCAATATGGCAAAACCCTGTCTACAAAAAATACAAAATTTAACTGGGTAACTACAGGCGTGAAACACCACACCTGGCTACTTGAGAGGCTGTGTGGAGGGATTGCTTGAGCCCAGGAGGTCAAGGCTACAGTGAGCCAGGATCTCACGACTGCACTGCAACCCAGGCAACAGAGTGAGACCCTGTCTAAGAAATGATAATAATAATATATCTCTACCCCCAAATATGAATTTAAGTTTAAAGATTGCTCAGAGATTGGGTCAAAGAGCCTAGTCAAAATTAAGAGGCAAACCAAATATAAAATTCAAAGATGTAAAAGGAAGAACAGAGGACCAGCTTTAACCATGAACACAGGAGAAAGTTCTTCAAAGTATGATGTGAGTTGACAGGGAAAAGTCCCCAAATATTTTTTATCCTTAAAAAATTGAGCTAAGTTCTAAGTGTCCATGTTGGGGGTTAGACAGCTTATTCCAAGTGGCTAGGTGGGAGTAGAAGATGCAACTGTGAATGAAGTGAGCAAATACTGTAGAAGCGAGCCAAGGCCAAGGTGAAAACAGCAAATAGGTGGAGGGTTCACAGCTTACGCAAAATCAAATGGAGCCAAAAGTGAGTTATCAAACTGAGGCGACTGAACCGAGAAGCTGGGGCATAGAGAATTGACAGGCGCAAGTGAATTGGGAACAGATAGGAAATGAATGGGAATTCCAGTGGATAATTTATCTTCTAGAATCTGAGTACTTGTCTAGACTCTAGAGATCTCACAGATACTTATTTGTGTCTTGCTTTCATGAGTGGCCTGGGCTATGGCACATGGATAGTTTGTCCTGACATAAAGTGCTTTGGTAGAAGAATCCTAACAAGAGTTTTATCCCTTTGGTTTAAAGGATGTGAACAGAATTCTGTTAAAGTGTAAATGTGCCTGAAATAATGAGTTATCAGATCCTTAGCAAGAGTGACACAGAAGCCTTAAAACTAAATGTATAGTGGTGTTTCTGTCATTTGTAAAAACTTATTGTATACTTAAAACTGATTGAAATTTATTATATATAAATTACAGTTCAATAATTTCAATGAGAAAATCAGGTAAACAGAAGATAGCATCTTCAGATGGGAAGAATTTTAACTGTGAGACAATTGGACTACATGTTTTGCAACTCTGTCTCCTTAACTTGATCTTCTTGAGATTTTTCTCAAATCAATTTCTATCCATGCAACACATTTAGGAATGTACTTTTCTCACTTCTAAAAATGTTTCTGTCAGGCCGGGCATGGTGACTTATGCCTGTAATCCCAGCACTTTGGGAGAGTGAGATAGGCCGGTCGCTTGAGCCCAGGAGTTCAAGACCAGCCTGAGAACATGGCGAAACACAGTCTCTACGAAAAAAAAAAAGCAAAAATTAGCAAGGCGCGGTGGCACCTGCCTATAGTCCTAGATACTCAGGAGGGTGATGCAAGAGTATCACTTGAGCCCGGGTGGTCAAGGCTGCAGTTAGCTGAGATCGTGCCACTGCATTCCACTGCATTCCAACCTGGGTAACAGAGCAAAACCCTGTCTCAAAAAATATATAATAAAAAATAAAATAATAAAAGTGTTTATCTTTTTTACTTAAAAATATTTTTATGATGATGAAAATAGTTGAAAATTACTAAATTTTACCAAAATTATGATGTTTCTTTACTTTTCCCTGCAACTTTCCCTCCTTAGATGTAACCTTTTTTTTCTTTTTCTTTAATTTTTTTGGTTTGTTTTATTTTAAAAATAGAGACAGGGTCTCACTATGTTGCCCAGGCTGGTCCTGAACTCCTGAGCTCAAGTGATCATCCCACCTCAGCCTCCCAAAGTGCTAGGATTACAAGAGTGAGCCACCACACCCAGCAAGATGTGACCATTTTTAACAATTCAGTTTCTACCCTGCTATACCTTTCATTGTAAAATACAGACATACGTTATTTTTGTTAACCATATTGTATCATAACTAATACATTATGCTGCAACTTGCTTTTTTATTCAGTAACATATCACAGATATCCTTCCACTACTTGTACATCTACTTCATTATTTTAAAAGTGTGAATTATATTCTAATGAATGTGCCACAATTTAATCAGTCCCCAAATGATTAAATTTGTTCTAATTCTTTATAATTTCAACACTGCTGTTAAGAATATTCTCGAACATACGGCTGGGCGCAGTGGCTCATGCCTGTAATCCCAGCACTTTGGGAGGCCGACGCGGGGTGGATCACCTGAGGCCAGGAGTTCCAGACCAGCCTGGCGAACATGGCGAAACCCCTACTCTACTAAAAATACAAAAATTAGCCGGGTGTTTTGGCGTATGCCTGTAATCCCAGCTACTCGAGAGACACGAGAATTGCTTGAACCCGGGAGGTGGAGGTTGAGTTAGCCAAGATCGTGCCACTGTACTCCAGCCTGGGCGACAGAAAGAGACTTTGTCTCAAAAAAAAAAAATTATCAAACATATATCTTGGCCCACTTGGGTGAATATTTGTATAGGAGACATACTAAGAAATAGTCCCGATAGGCCTAAAGGTATGTGTGTCTTGACTTTTTAAAATAGGTGCTATTTTATAGTCCCAAAAATAGTAATAAATATTTTTATAGGTACAAATTCACAAATCCTGTCCTCCATTGTGATGTTTTGAATTTTTATCTATCTCATAAATAAAAATGGTATCTTTTTTTTTTTTGAGGCGGAGTCTCTCTCTTCGCCCAGGCTGGAGTGCAGTGGCACGATCTTGGCTCAACTGCAAGCTCCGCCTCCCGGGTTCCCGCCATTCTCCTGCCTCAGCCTCCGGAGCAGCTGGGACTACAGGCGCCCGCCACCACGCCTGGCTTTTTCTTTTGTATGTTTAGTAGAGACGGGGTTTCACCGTGTTAGCCAGGATGGTCTCTATCTCCTGACCTCGTGATCCGCCCGCCTCGGCCTCCCAAAGTGCTGGGATTACAGGCGTGAGCCACCACGCCCGGCTAAAAATGGTATCTTACTTCAATTTGCAGTTCCCCATTCACTAGTAAGATAAAGTGTTTTTAAATATTTACTTAAATATTTATTAGCAATTTGTATTTATGTTCCTAGACTTGCCTGGTCATATCTATGACTATCATTAGCCTTGTCTGTGGGAGCGATTTGTTTATAAGGGATGTGAATCATTTGTCTTATATGTTGGAAGTATTTTCTTTAGGTCTTGTGTCTGTAATTTGGAGATCAGAATTTTGCTTGGGTACAGAGGAGAGTTAGTATTTAGTTACAAATTGGGAATCTAATGATTAAAATAAACTGTAAAATGCTTCAAAGTCAGAGAGACCTAAATTTGAATCCTCTCTGCCATTGCCATTGTGATTTCACTCTAAATACTTGGCCTGAGATTTAGTTTCATCTTCTGTTAACTAGGGATAATAATACCTACTGCATGAAATTTTTATTTGATAGGATGTGTGTATTTAGCCTGGTTCTATAGATACTTAATAAACGAAAGCTTAAATTATTTTATTCTATATTTTTATTATTCTCTAGATCCTCCAGATCTTGTTTCATCTTAATTTAAATCCAGCTGTTGTTCTGACAATTAAAGAAACACAGTTTTAGAAAAACTGTGTTGTATTAGTTGTGAAGGGGATGAGGGTGAATCTAAGTTTTCCTTTACTATAAATATCTTTTAAAAGGCAGACGGTTTTTTTGTGTGTGTGTGGTTTTTTTTTTTTTTTTTTTTTTTGAGACAGAGTCTCGCTCTGTTGCCCAAGATGGAGTGCAGTGGCGCGATCTTGGCCCACTGCGACCTTTGCCTCCCAAGTTCAAGCGTTTCTCCTGCCTCAGCCTCCCAAATAGCTGGGACTACAGGCGTGCACCACCACACCCAGCTAACTTTTTTGTATTTTTAGTAGAGACAGGGTTTCACCATGTTGGTCAGGCTGGTCTCAAACACCTGACCTCAAATGATCTGCCCAGCTTGGCCTCCCAAAGTGCTGGGGTTATAGGCGTAAGCCACTGCACCTGGCCAAACGGCAAACTATTTTAATGTCAAAATATGTCATGTTTAACTATTACCTCAATAATATTATATTTTGATACTGCTACTACAGCATTAAGAAGCACATTATCATCAACAAATATTTCTTATGCACCTAATTTGCACAAGATGAAAGGTGTGTGGAAATTTATATTTAAGTAATCTTT
This sequence comes from Homo sapiens, assembly GCF_000001405.40. NCBI lineage: Eukaryota > Metazoa > Chordata > Mammalia > Primates > Hominidae > Homo > Homo sapiens. The sequence continues at coordinate 89,866,171 of NC_000008.11, read as the reverse complement.
CATAAATATAAATGCTTTAATAAGTTTTTCTATTTTATTTTATTTCCTAATATATTCTGTATGTAATATAGAATTTTAAAATATTTTAATATAATTTAAAAATGTTTAACTGTTTGGCCACCACCACACTTTGCTGGTTTGTAAATTTATGTAACGCCTTTGAAGAGCAATTTGGCAATACAGTGTGCTTTGTTGGATCTAAAACATCATTGATGTTGTAGGGGCAGCAAAATTCCACCTCCATCTTCTTAGGGTCCCAGCTGAGTCCAAGAATTAAATTGACATAAGACAGATCAATAGGAGAAAAGCATACAAAATTATTTAATACAAGTTTTAGGTGGCACTGGAGGTATCATAAAGAAACAAAGACCAGAAGAAACACAGTCACTTACTAATGGATAAAGAATAGTAAGTTATGAAGAAGCCATAAATTATTTGGGGAGATAGGAAAGTTAGTTTATCAAGTTATGTGTAAACTTTTCTTGGTCTTGACTTCTTGTCCTTGAGGATAAAGATGTTGCATCTTTCACATGGGAATCTCATCTGCTGCTTTTAAGAAACAGCACAAAGGTCAGAGTACAGCTACTGTTTTTCCAATGCCTTTAACTTAAATAGTCAGTATTTTAACTCCATTTTCCTCCATCGGGAACTTCCCTAGAAGTTTCACATATTAAAAGCTGAGTCGCTAGCTGTGAAGAGAGAAATCAAATGAGTAGCAAAATATCTGCAAAGGGAGAGAAGAACATTAATTGGAACAAGCAGAAGATAACAATTCTAAGTATATTGTCCCAAATCTTAATGGATCAGTCTTAGTTACGAGAATAGTTCAGTCCGGTTAAGCAGTTGTATCTCATATTAGGAGGCAATGTTGTAGGTGGGCTCCCATCTAAGTTAGACCTCTAGATGATGTAAGCAAACAAGTGCTATATAAGAGGCATTTCTTTGGGGGGAAAAAAAAGGAAAAAGTATAATAGTTGGAGCAAGTTGTAAACCCATTTTTTTAGTCCAGTGGGCAGTCAGTTGAGAAGATGTTTAGATGTTGGGCTTTTAAGCATCTTTAGATAGAGGAGTGAGTACAAGTAGTGGCAATTGTGATGAATTTCCTGGTTTGTAGTCTGAATATCTCTGGTAATGCCATTGGGTGTGCTGATGAACTTTCTAAGTGATCTATATAGCAGCAGGCATGAAAGTTGTTCACACATGATCTCATAGAATGATTTCTCTGAAGTTTATATTAGGTTGTCCAGTTTCAGCTTTCAGGGTCTTAGGAAAAGGGCAATTTTAATTTTTTAGAGATTTCAAGTCAGAAGGATGGGAGAAATTTGGAAATATTAATTTGGAGAGTTGTAGTCAAATATTAGAGGAAACCAGAAGAACTCATGATCTAGTAATATGAGTATTTTGGAAATAGTCATATTAATAACATAACAAATATAGCTCAAAGAAGGGTTAAATATAATCTCTTATTTAACAGTGCATCCCATGTACGTTCAGCATCCCAAATAAGTCTAATTAGTTTAGGATCTCTCTTTTTATAAGGTGAGAGGATAAATGCTTTTCAGACATTTCAGGGTCCCATTTTGAACACTTCTGGCTGGGTGCAGTGGCTCACGCCTGTAATCCCAGCACTTTGGGAGGCTGAGGCAGGTGGATCACTTCAGGTCAGGAGTTCGAGACCACCCTGGCCAACATGGTGAAACCCCGTCTATACTAAAATACAAAAATTAGCTGGGTGTGGTGGTGGACACCTGTAATCTCTGCTACTTGGGAGGCTGAGGCAGGAGAATCCTTAAACCCCGAGGCAGAAGTTGCAGTGAGCTGAGATTGCGCCACTGCACTTCAGCCTGGGCGATAGAGCGAGACTCCTTCTCAAAAGAAAAAAGAAAAGAAAAATTTGATTTCAGAAAGTTGTCAAAAATGTCAAAATGTTTAAACACTTGATAAAAGAGGATCACAATTAACTGTGAAACCATACCAGAGTAACAAAAGATTTTAAAGGCAAATATGGAAACTTAAAAAAGGTTGTAGGGAAAAGCTTAGCTTCTTTAACAGGGCTCAGTTTTTTAAAATTATTGAGACCTGATAAAAGACAACATGAAGCACAAGAAATTATTTTGGTAAAACACAAAATCTTTGTTTTCTAGGCAAATTATTTAAAAGATAAAGTAAAATGGTTTTATAGTTTTCTTATCAACGTCAGACTAATCCCCAAGAAAACTTTGTTCTTTTAATAGAGAAGACCAAATTCTAGTTTTGAGTCAGTTTACTCCTTATATTAAGGCTTATTCTAAAAAATCTTGTAGTAAATTCATTCAATTTACTCAGCTTGATTATATAAGATTTCCTCTTTTGTTCTCTTTTTGACTTTCTGTATCCTTTCAGTTTTTATCCTTCATTCATTGATTCTTTCTGAAACAACCTTTGAAATAGCTCTAAACTAAAACAAAATTACTCTTTCCATAACAAAAATACATCTTTCATATCTTATAACTTTTCTTACCAAAAATGTCTATTTTCCTTGTGTACTTTGTATACAAAGTTGTTTCCCCTATTATTTCTAGTAACTTTGAGTATATACATTAATTAGATTCTTAACTCCTAATGACTTCGGTTTCTGGTGAGAACTCGGAAGCAAGCATTGTCTTTCATAAATCAGTGAATACATTATTTCTTAATTTCTGGAAATATATGCTATCTTATAGCACAATTTGTCAGTGTGGCACAGGACATGTTTATTAATAGACCCAAATATTTTTTGTTCCTCTGTAACAATAAGTCAAACATAAACAAGCTTAAACTTATTTTCAGCAGTTAATGTTTGAGTATTATATTTTACTTGGAAATGATCTAGACATTCCATGAATATCCATCATTTCAGTTAATATAACTTAAGGTTTTAAGTCACCAAAAAGATTCTGGAAACTACGTTTAGATAGACATAGCTTATAAAACGTATCAGTGTTGAAAAGTTTATTTATAAACTGTTATTCTATTTACATTAACATTTATTAATTTACTTTGTTTTAACAATTATACTTGGATTGTTCATGAAAACTTCGTGAGACATTGCATCTCATCATTAACTTATTGTTTTGCTGATCATTTTTATCCTTATCTATATATATTAGGCAAGTATTAAACACTATCGAAATAAAGCACCTACAAAGTTAAACATTCAGCCTTTCCTTTTTCTCTTTTACTGTCATGCTTGACATACATTAGGTAATTTACTTTTATTGTACATTTTATTCTTAGATTGAATTTATAATTTTACAATCTTAAACATATGTAAGATTTTTGATTAGTAAATCCAGGTAGAATAAGTTGTATGCATTATATTTAATGTTGACAATTCTGAAGGTATGCCTGCTTTAATTAAACCACTAACCTTAAACTAGCGTTTTTTTAACCGAAGGATTATCTCAGATCACATGACCTTAAAGAACATTTAAGTTAGTTTTTATTTGTCCTGAGATAATATTTTATTTATGTAAGCACTTATTTTCTTGCTTTAAACCATATCTTCCCATAGGTACCAATAGGACAGTTTTGGTGGTTTTTTGTTTGTTTCTGGAATGAGAGCTATCCATAAAAATACTTTTAGTTAAGAAAAAGCAAATCTACTACATAATCTAATTATACCTACTTTAATTTTGACTAAAAACCAATAAGCTTTTTTTATGGCTTAAAATCAGTAAGTCTTTTCATCCTAGATGCAAGAGCATGTTCCAAAGAGGGTGCAAAAGATGCAGTCCACCTCAAGATCCAAAGTTACTCCCAAAAATAGCCTAAGAAAGCCAAGACCTCCATTGTTAACAAGGCATGGAAGGTAGAGACAGTTAAGACAAATTCCCCTGAGAGATGGCATTGTCAGTCACAGTAAGAGACAGTTTGTGTTTTTGACTCCTAGCCAGCGGGCTAGCTGAGCTGCCTGATGCAAGCCTAACAACTTGCACCCCCAATGGCTGGCAGAGACCAGAGATAATATTTTCACTAGTCACAAAGCTGAGCTCTCAAGACATAAAAGAAAATAAAAGGAGAATCTTACTGTGAATTTTCTCCTTATAACAAATAATACAAAAGAGAAACAAGGAAAACAAGAACCATTCCTGAATGTGTGGATCAGTGACCAAGGAGTAGCCAGATCCAAATTCAAAAGGGTCACAAATCAAAGAACCAATTGTTACATTTTTCTTCTGCCAATCTGAATTTGGAAAGGAAGGAATAAGGAAAAGTTTTTTGTCTTCCTCTCTCAACCAGACACTGTAGACAGAGACCCAGGATAACTGGCTTTGTTAAGAATTCCTGCCTTCTGCCAGCTTTTGTCAGTTCTCCCAGGATCACCTCCTCAGGCTCCAGAGCAAGTGGAGCAAGCCAGTCTTTGTTTGTTTGTTTGTTTGAGATGGGGTCTTGCCTTGTTGCCCAGACTGATTTTGATCTCCCAGGCTTAAATGATCCTCCCACCTCAGCCTCCTAAGTAGGCATTCCCATATTTTAGATTCCCATCTTTATTCCAAGAAACTGTAGAGATGGAAAAACTCTATCTCCATCCTCTTAGGATCCTGGCTGAGTCTGAAAATTAAATTGACATAAGATACATCATAGAAGAAAAGCACACAAATTATTTAATACAAGTTTTATATTGCACTGGCATCTTCATAAAGACATGAAGACCTAAAGAATCAGTTAAATGTCAGTTGCTTACATACTGAAGTGGACAAAGAATAATTGTGAAGATGCAACTAAATTATGTGGGGAGCTTAAAAGATAATAATTATTTTAATGCGTCTGTATATAGTTCTCTTGGTCTTGACTTCTTGTCCTTGAGGATAAGGATGTTGCATCCTTCACATGGGAATTTCATCTTCTGCGTTTAAGAAACAGCACAGAGTTCGGAGTGATCTTTTTGCACCTGCTGTTTTTCAAATGCCTTTCGTCTAAATAGTTAATAGTCAGAATGTCATATTTTTTTTAACTCCTTTAATTTTAAGATGCAACTTTTTTTATCACTAAGGAAGAAATAAAGCTGCCTATACTTTAACACAATGATTTCTTGTCATTTATAATATTTGTTTTATACTTAGTTATTTTAGAATTCTTTAGACATGAATTTTTATTATTTATATTTCTAATGCCTGTATAAAAAGAAAAATACAAGCAAACCACTTTATATTCAGAATCCAAATCTCCGTGTTACTCTTTTACTTGGAGTTGTTTATGTCCACATTTCTCTACATAATTTTGTCTCCTGTGCTATCAAGGATAAAATGTTATGTCCTTCTTTCAGTGGGAGTGGCTAAATCCCAGTAAGTAAGTTTTGAAACGTGTGTTCTTGATCTTGCCAGAAGGATGTCAATATAAATTTCTCAGGGAATAGCCAAGACTGTTATTTTTTCTTCAAAAGATCCCTTTTAGAGCTTGTGAACCAAAATGTGGGGGGTACCGTGATCCAGTTGTTGCTACCAGGTGTACCCACTGAGTTGACACACACGAAGGCAATGAAAACTACTGCCTAGCCAAAAGTGAAATTTGACTTCATTTGTTGTATGTTGCATTACAAATTCAGAGATTTAAAAATTTTTAAAAATGTGCATCATAGAACTAATGTTGAATAAAATTTTAAATGATTTATATATTTTGATCCTCTTGCCAGCAACCATCTTTGCTAGAAAAAAAGATTGTTAGAAACAATCTTTTTTTCAATGTAATTGTAGTAACAATGTTACTTATATTTGAAAAGAATATATTCTGTATGTCTGACTATAGGAGAATGGTTAAATAAGATGGGGTAGATTCACACAGAATGCAAAACAAGTGTACAGATTTGTATGGTTTCAATTATATGTATTAAAAAATGCCCAAGCCTTATGTTTGAAAAAAAGATATGAAGAAAACACATCAACATGTTATCTTTATTTGTGTTTGGCATGGTTTAGTATTTGTTTTTGCTCTTTACCTTTCAGTATATTTTAAAATTTTCTTTTCCATTTTTTTAATTTCTAAAAGTATATACTACTTTTATTGTTGATTTAATATTTTTGATGTTGTATTATTATTATTAATGAAAACCACAACCCCGTATCATATAATACAGTTTTAGTTATCTAGATTTTCCATTGTTATCATATGCTGCAGGAATTTAAAAACCTTGTAGATAGGAAAATATTTGTCAGGATGTTTAATATGTGTATTCCTTTCCAAGATCTTTAGCTGGCTACAAAGTGTAATTCTTTCAGAAACTTAGAATATAACATTTCAGTCTGAAAACATCATTGCAGATTAATTAGTTCAACTGCCTTTTTAATTCCAAGCATTCTTCTGTCTCTCCATGATTTAGAAATAGCAAGGCATGTTACTAAAGTATCACCCGCTTAGTCCTGTGAATGCGTAAACAATACAGATTTATCTAAAATAAATTTTGTCTTTAACTTTCCGATGACATTTTCATTAGCTCAGTTCTAGTAACTTCTCTGTTAACATTATCACCTTTCTTGTGTATAACCCTAGATTACATTTTGCAAAAACAGTAACCATGTGTTTCAAACAATTCTGATTTCAAATCAGTTATTTTATCCCTGTAAGTACATTAATCTCATTTTGTGCCTTGGAAATTCCAAATCCAAAAGTCATTGAAAGGGAAAGAAATATGAGGTTTGCTTTGAAATCAAGATAGCTAAATTTCTCCCCTGGCTTTGGGGAATGAGGCAGTTATATGAATTTTAAGGGTTTTAGCAACATCCATATTCAAACACAGATATGGAAACACATATCAAAGTTTAAGAAAATGTTTCTTTTATTTACACTCTATTATTCACATTAATGTTGCCTCCCATAGTATCTGAAATAACTAAACAATAGTATTTTTCACATGTATTCAGTTAAGGAAAGGATGTCAGAATCCATGTGGTATTGGAATATGGGATCATTTGACTTTGTCATCTTACCTTTGTCATATTATCTAGCAGTGCTACTGGGAAAGTTAGTTATATTCTCCCAAACTTGGCTTCCTCAGTTGTAAAATAGTAAAATGATAATGTTTACCAGAGCAAATAACAGGCCTTTGGGTGGATCACTGCAATTTCCCTCAACTACAGCTTGATAAAACATTTTCTCTTTATAGTCTTATCAATTCATATTCTTTTGTTATTTCACCTCTGATCTAGAAATGCTGGAGAGGGTACAGTCCTTCCAGGCCTTGTGATTCTTCACAGCGTGCTGTATTACATAACAGAAACATGCCTCATGAGTAAGATAAAGGTTTCCAAACTGGTTTTGCCAAGAAAGTGTTTGGGGATACTTTGTGTGTGCCATCTGTAGTTGCAGATACTGCAAAGTCAAAAACACTTGTAAACATAGTGGTCAGGGCCCTGTCTTGACTCTGAGAATAGCTGTAGGGAGATTCTTCATAGCCATAACTCAGCATGTATTGCTGCCTTTAAATGTGTAAGAAGTGAGTATAACCCCTAGATAACTAACATCTTATACATAGAGCTTAAGAGTGAAAGTTGTAATAGCTTGCCAAGCTCACTCAGTGGAAATAAAATTATACTATGTAGTTTTCTTTTAACCTGTGTTTTTCTTTGACGGAAATACGAACTTTCCCCAGATGTGCCAATGCCAACAGTAGAATGAAAAAATAGCCAGGACAAGCTGCTGCTGAATAATGTTTTGGGTCATAAGGAGTGTCAGAAATCACTCTGATGTCTCTCCATCTATTAGATAAAACACTGAAAGCTATACTTTACCCAACTCAAATCATTGCCATTAGAAAATATTTTAGAAGTGGGAAAAGAAAATGCTTGGTTTTGCAAAATAGTTTACTTTTAAATCTTATTTTAAGTGTTGATTGACCTTGGCTTCAGGATTCACATGAATCCTTTTTTATTTCAAAATGTTTCATGCATCTCCTCCAGCACCCCCCAACCCCTAAAAAGAAAGGTTAAGAAACATTGGTCCCATCTGAATAGGGGCACCCTGTCTGACTGGGAGTTGATTTTCCAAGTCAGCAGAACCGAGGGAAATTATCTGGAAGTGATGCTGCCTGCATTGGCAGCCTGTACCGAGAGGGCTGGACCCACTTCAGAGTCTGATTATACCAAAGACAAAGAATTGTTGGCATCATCAGTTCCCTGAACAAGCAACAAGTGGGCATTCCATTCCAGGGTGGACCGAGTGACCTCATGATCCTTCCCCAACTGTGAGAAAGTTACTTGTAGCTCAGCTATTAGGAAACAAAGAAAGTTTTATATTTTGTGAAAACCGTAGCTTGACAGAGATTTTATTTGGTCAAGAGTTTTATTGACTGAGAAAAACTAAAAATGTTTTAAAGTACGCTTTGTTTGAAATATTAGATATATCTATATACTCAAAATTTTTTTTTAATTTATTAAACACTTATTGAGCATTTGCTGTGTGCCACGCACTTTGTTAGGTATGCGAAATCCAAAAATGAGTAGGACATGCTGTCCTCAAGGAATATGCAGTTTAGTGGACAGACATTTACGTATTAGGTATGTTATATATAAGACAAGTTCAGTCTCTCTGATCATTAGAATAATGTCTACTAACACAAGGAGGCGGAGTGATACAGAGGAAATATCAGGAATTTAGAATCCCAGAGACCTGGTTGTAAATGATGACTCTATGGATGTTAGGAAGCCATGTGAATTTAAGTTATTTGGTCTCTCTGAGTCTCAGTCCCTCATCTTTAAAATGAAGCTATGACATTTTTCTGATTGTGCTGATGTAAGGATTAGACATATTGTTTGTAAAGGGTTTAGCATACTCCCTGGCCCAGAGTGAAAGATCAGTAAAGTGGGTCTTGTATTAATCCTATTACTTTAATAACAATAATATTGATTAGTGACTCCTCCTAGGGTAGGCAAAGTAAATGTCTAGGAAAAAAGTTCTCTAAGCCTTGATTAAATACCTTACTTTTGAAGAATACATTACTTTTCTATATTTACTAAGGGCAGAGTGTTAACTAAAAAGATAGCATAAATTCAGACAGATATTGTATTTCCAAAAACAAACGTAGTGTCAGTGTGAGACAGTAAGGGTTAGAGAACTAGACTAGGAGTTCTGGCTCTGGTTCGAACTCTGCCTCACAGTGACTGAGAGAAAGTTAGGTAAGCCTCTTAATGGAATAGGGCCAAGGACCTTGGGAGTTGTGGGGCCTTGGGAGAGGCCATCAGCAGCCTCAAGCTCCATCCAATCTGAGTGAAATAGTGTACCTGCTATGCAATGGTGTCTACAAAACCAGTTCTCCAGCTTTGTGGCCAGGTTGCCATGCCAACGCCCTACCTGCACAGAAGATCTGGGGCTGCCACCATCATCCTACTTTTACAATCTTAGTTTCTTCTTCTATAAAATGAAAATAATGCCAGTCCAGCTACTTTAAAAGGTTAGTTGAGAGGATGAAATTATATACATGCAACTATTTAAATAAACGATACCTTTTACTAATGTTTCTCAACTGCTAACCTACCTGAGTCTATGTCACTGGGGGGTGGGGGGAGCTGCTTGTTAAAAGAGCAGATCCCTGGGTCCCATCCTAGACCTGCTATAAGAGAATATTTGAGAATTGAGCCTAGGTTTCTGCGTTTTAAACATGGCTCTCAAATGATTCTTATACACAGTGAGTTAGAGAAATTTTACCTCATTCAAATGTGTTATATAGTTATGACTAAAATATTGGATTGCACGCGGAAAGGGATTACCTTCAGAACTAAAGTTTGGAAACAATAAGTGACCTGCCCAAGGTTACTTATGAGGTGGTAGAAAAAGGGCCCCAATCCAGTCATCTGTAAATCTAGCTCTCCTCCTACAACATCAAGTTGTTTTTTTAAGAAAGGATTATATGAATGAAAAGAGACAGCCTGATTAAAAAATCACCACTTCCATGCTAGACAGGGGCAAGCAGTGGTGGTTCTGAGAGCTTGGCAGGGATGATTCTCTAAGGATCAGACTAAAAGAACAGCACCTGGTGGATCTCAGCCCCTGGCTGCTACTTCCTTTTTGTGTTCTCCTCTAGAACATGTGTTCCCCGGGGCAAACAAGCAAATACTGAGAAAATGGGGAAGTTCCACTTCATGTACTCTTCTAAGACTTCAACCTCAGTAGCTTAACTTTCCATCACAGATCCCAAACTGTGTGCCTTAGCACCCTCAATGAATTCACGGGGGATCACAGTGTTATTTGTAAATTCCAAGCTCAAAATAGTTCAGTTTTAAAATTAGTTCATGCTAATCCTCCTGTAATATTTTCGTGAGGTTGGGTTTTCAGCTGTTGCTGAAACAAAAGCAGTTGCTGATAAAAAGTAGTTACCCTTAGAAAAATCCATGTGTATGCAGAAACTGAGGGTGGTGGTGTCTGAGGTTTGAGAAGTTGTCCAATCCCCAGCCAGCACACATATCCCCTCAGTAAGTAATTGAGGCCCTTTAGGAGCACAATGACAGTATAATTTTTTCTTTTATTTATGTATCTGATTTTTTTCAAATGGCCATTACTTTGATAAGACATATGTATTTATTTGTCAAATTAAATTGGCCCTAACTTCCTAATAAACCTAACTATTATGTATTTCTTTTCTCTCTCTCTCTCTCTCTTTTGAGACAGAGTCTCACTCTGTCATCCAGGTTGGAGTGCAGTGGCGTGATCTTGGCTCACTGCAACCCGCACCTCCTGGGTTCAAGCCATGGTTGTGCCTCAGCCTGTGAAGTTGCTGGGATTACAGGCATGCACCCCCATGCCCGGCTAATTTTTGTATTTTTGGTAGCGACGGGTTTCACTGTGTTGGCAGGCTGGTCTCAAACTCCCAACCTCAGGTGATCCGCCCACTTCGGCCTCCCAAAGGGCTGGGATTACAGGTGTGAGCTACCGCACCTGGCCTATTAGGTATTTCTTTTGGCCTGAGGCGTATGATAAAAATACTGAGACACTAAGTGTATCACAAAGCCATGTATTTTGGGAACTTTTGCTTTGGAAGGGAAGGAGTTGGGGTGGGGGTAGTGTGGGGAAGAATTTCTTTAAAATTTTAAATGCATTTCAACAATTTTTTTCAAAGAGAAAACACTCATTTCTTCTAGCATTAGAGGTAGCAATCAATAAGCTGATGGCCCAGACATTCTGGGTCCTCTTAGCTGTAACAGAATTACATGGGGCTTAGGTTGCCCACCTGTGCTCAGCTATTTCTTCCTGGCAATAAGAGATAGAATTGTTCCTGACTCATCTGTGATCTATCCCAAACCTTTCCCAACTTCTTAGTATGCACCTCAGACAAAGATTGCTTGCTTCAGCCGTAACTGATTGGAGGAAGCAAAAAGAAAAGGAAATGCTGCCGCCATTCTCCCCTCTCCTTGCCATCTTCTCAGTACAGATGTAGAGGAATCAAGTTTCATGGTCTTGAGGTTACTCAACATAGAGATTATCTAGCATTTATTACATTTCTCTTTCTGGGACTTTGTCAGTCAGTTTACAGAAATGTCTTGCAATATTTTTCAAGAAACAAAAACAAGCCAGGGAAGAATTTATTTCATTTGTCCAGAATCCACCACTGAATGGAGAGAGGCTGCCATGGGTGGGAAATGTGAGGCGCTCAGTGCAGTTGTGTAGAGGATGAACGCTAACTTCTTGGCTGTCTTTCTGGCTTCTCATTTTGTGAAATGGAGATAATAATGCCTACCTCAGGGGGGTTTTAAAAGGGCTTAATATATGTAAAGCAAGTGATAGCACAGTTCTCAGCGTTTTTTAAATGTCCAATAATCATAGTAATTACATGTCTTTTGAAGATTAGTTATCAAACTTTCCTGGGCCTTAGCTTTCATGTTGAACTCTACCTTGTAAGTAAGTGTATTTGTTTTTGTTTTGGGGGGTGATTTTTTTGTTTGTTTGTTTTTTGTTTTTGTTTCTTTTTTTTTTTTTTTTGACAGAGTTTTGCTCTGTCGCCCAGGCTGGGGTGCAGTGGCGTGATCTCAGCTCACTGCAACCTCTACTTGGTGAGTTCCAGTGATTCTCGTGCCTCAGCCTCCTGAGTAACTGGGATTCCGGACATGCACCACCAAACCTGGCTAATTATTTTTGTATTTTTAGTAGAGACAGGGTTTCGCCATGTGGGCCAGACTGGTCTTGAACTCCTGGCCTCCTGTGATCCGCCTGCCTCAGCTTCTCAAAGTGCTGGGATTACAGGCGTGAGCCACTGCGCCTGACCAGGTACATGTATTTGTAATATCAAGAAGCAGAGCTTACATAATGTCTCAAGCTTCAAGAAAGACAACTTTGTCTCTACCGTCTTCTAAAATGAACTATTTTGGCCACTTGTTGCTTGGCTTCCTGCTGCATCAGGAATGGCTTGGGAGATGGGACATCCTGCGGACCTTACCCTGCACTGTTGAAGAGTTGGCCAAAAGCCTCCCTTCCCACATGTAGTTCTCTTCCATCCTCGCCCCACAGTGTAAGTTATGGAGAAGTCATTTGCTTTCCATCTCTGCTCTTCGTTACAAATAAATACTCAATGCACACTTTCTCCAGCACATTTCTGTGATATTTTCTTCTGTGTCTTGGCTCACACTCAAAATTTATCTTTTCCCTTCTCTCTCTTTACTCTCTGTATCCAAAAGTTACGCATTTCTTTAATGATGCTTTTTCTGATCCATCCATCTTAATGGATTCTTCCTAATCTGAAATCTCTTCACACTTATAGTCATTTAGCACATATAATATATAGTGCAGTGTCTTTCCCATTTTTTTTTCTGTTTATAGTTCATCTTCTGAGTCACATTCTCAGCTCCAGTTCTGGCTGTGTGACACTCTGCAAGTTGGTCTCCTTGAGATTCACCTATCTCAGCTGTTAAAATCCAGGATAACCTGAAATGTCTCTGTCTTTTGTATCCCTGTTGCACAGAGCCTTGAAAGTAGTAAATCTCAGCAAACACTTCAGATTGATTACAAGGGCTCCCTGTGTATGTTATAGACTTGAAAATGCACAGATGGAAGATACGATCTAAAATGTTAGCTATTATTCTAAATTAATTCTATTCATCTGTTGAGTGTGTTATTTCCCTCAAAACTGACTTTGTTACACTGTGTTTTGCTAAAATTAAGTAAAAGCCTCTTTTTTATATTCTTAACATATGTTAGATCTAAAGGAAGAAATAAGAGATTATTAATCCTCTTGATGAAAGGCTCTAACATGCTATCAACTAGAGGGTCAGTAAACAATAACTACTATTACAGATAACATATATCCAGTGCTTCCAATGTGTCAGGCAGTGTTCCATGCTCTTTAAATATATTAACTTATGTAATCTGCAAAATAACCATACAAAATAGGTAGCATTCTTATTCTTTCTTTATAGATGGAGAAACTGAGACAGCATTTATGAGACTTCCCTAAACTTAGGTCTAATGTGGTAGGCTGAATAATGGTTTCTCAAACATTTTCATATCCTAATCCTCAGAACCTATGAATGTTACCTTACATCTTAAAAGGGACTTTGCAGGTGTGATTAAATTAAGGATCTTGACATGGAAAGATTATCCTGTATGTACTATCCACGTAAGCCCAATATAATCACAAGCATTCTTAAAACAGGGAGGCAGGAAGATCAAAGATGATCAAAGAAGGAAATGGGCCAGTGGAAGTCAGAGTGATGCGCTTTGAATGTGGAGTAACAGGGCCGTGAACCAAGGAATGCACGCCATCTCTAGAAGCTGGGCAAAACAAGGAAATAGGTTCTTCCCTGGAGCCTCCAGAAGGAATGCAGCTCTAGCAATGTTGTGGTTTTATCCTAGTAAGACTCATTTTGGACTTAAGGCCTCCAGAACTGTAAGAAAATTAATTTGAGTTGTTTCAAGCCACTAGGTTTGTGGTCATTTGTGACAGCAGCAATAGGAAACTAATACAACACAAGTATATTTAGTTCTAAGGGACTTTAGTCTGGAAGTAGAACAGGCTGAAAAATGTACTTTTTGGAAATGCTAAAAGAAATGACTTACTAAAAAGCCATAAACTTAAGGGATTCTAGCCAAGCAAAAGAGCTCCACTTGAGGAGTCATTTCCAGACCTTGCTCTGTTACTGGCTAGCTCTCACACGCGGAACAAATCACCTCAGCTCTCAAAGCATAGTTTTCTCATCTTTAAAATGAGGATAGTGGCTGGGCACGGTGGCTGATGCCTGTAATCCCAGCACTTTGGGAGGCCGAGGCAGGCAGATCACCGAGGTCAGAAGTTTGAGACCAGCCTGGCCAACGTGGTGAATCCCCATCTCTACTAAAAATACAAAATTATCTGGGCGTGGTGGCGGATGCCTGTAATCCCAGCTACTTGGGAGGCTGAGGCAGGAGAATCTCTTGAACCTGGGAGGCGGAGGTTGCAGTGAGCTGAGACAGAAGCCACTGCACTCCAGCCTGGGTGACAGAGCAAGACTCTGTCTCAAAAAAAAAAAAAAAAAAAAAAAGAAAAAGAAGAAGATAGTGTACTGGTGTAACTAGGTCATTTCTGTGAAAGTTATTTGAACAGGTAATATATATGTGCTGATAGCACAGAGTTGAAAAAGTTTACATGAAAAGTTGTTCTCTCACTCCTTGTCCTTCAGATGTCCAAGTCCCCTTCCCAGAGACAATAGTTACTCGTTTTCTTATGTATTCTTCTAGAGATTTTCCATGCATTTACATAGGTATACATATGCATATTATTTTTATTGTACAAATGATTGCACCTTAAACATATGGTCCTGCACTTTGCTGTGAAAATGACAAATAACTTGGGGATTATTCCATATGATTTCATATTAGTGTATACTGTGATTCATCATTCTTTTAAATAGCATATTCCATTGTTTCTCTTTACCAGACCGTATTTCACCTGTCCTCTGTGGAGACATATAGATTATTTCTGGTCTTTTGCTAATGTAAACAAAGCTACAATGTATATCTTGTGACATGTTACTTTGTATGTGTTTCAGTATATCTATAGAGTAAATATATGAAATTCTGGAGTTAAAGTATATATTAATTAAAAATTTTAATATTGTCAAATTATATTCCCAAGTGGTGTATTCTGGTTGTCTCTTGCTATATATCATACTACTGCATACTTAGTGACGTATTATTATCTCTCACTGTTCTGGGGGTTGATGGGTTCAGCTGGGTGGTTTCTGCTTAACGTTTCCTGTATACCTGCATTTGGATGGTTGCTGAGGGAAGAGTCATCTGAAGACCTTTCACTCACATATTAAGCACCTGGGCTAGAACAGCTAGGGAGTGATAACAAAAAATTTTCAGCCAGCTTTTATTTACCTTAAATAAAATACCTGCATCCCCACCAGCATGTCCCAGACATATCACAGAAGCTGTGAAAAGCCACAGACCTAAAGAGGCCATGTAGAGAGGAAAAGTGGCCAGGTGATGTCTGTGGACAGATGGTCAACGACCAGAAGGACTTCTTCAATGCCCTGTGTGGAAAAATCCCTAAACTATGACTCATCAGGAGGTGAGGTGACAAGATGTAGAAACCCTCAATATAACTTTCTGCCAGCCCTGCAGAATAAGGACTGTGAATATAGAACATTAAATCATATTTCTTATTCACCAGAGGTGGTAGACTTCATTGGTCTACATACACTCTGCTCTAAAATATAGAAATATTTCCATTTATTCAATAAGTGTTTTATTTAGTACATATTTTTTTGCTAGTCACTGAAATAGCAGACATAGTTTCTACTTTTGTGAACCTAACAGGCCAGGAATTAAATAAATCATCATAGTATCACCTACTTAGTTACAATAATGAAAAATACCATGAAGGACAAGCAAAAGGTGTGATGAGGCTTTATAACAGAGACCTAATCCAGGAGCTCAGGTAACCTCTTTGACAAAATGATATTGAGGGAGAGAGGCAGCTTTTCAGAAAAAGTGTCCAAAGAGAGGTACACTTTTTACAATTTTGAAGTCGATGAGGACAGTGATGGAGTTGGACTACGTTTCATAAGAAGTTGTTGTGGAAATAAAGAACATATTTTTACTTTTGAATTAAAAGGTTTAACCGCTAAAAACTAGAAATTTTAGTTTAGCAAATGAATATGGAAGAAAATAATACAAGTGTCTTGCAAAAAATGCATCTACAATAATTTTTTAGTGATTGTTCTAATAACCCAAATTCAAAACTACCTAAATATCCCACAGTAGTGAATTATTTAAATAAATATGGTACAAAACCCAGTAGAGAACTATTCAGCTTTAAAAATGTGGTTGTAGGTAATTTATTAATTGATTATATGAAAAAGAGCTGAAAACAATAATATCCTATTTTATGAAAAAAATTTAATAAAGAGATATATGTTGACATAGGAAATCAGATAACTAAGATTACTTCTGAGCAGTAAGGTCATTTTCTTCATTTGGCACGTCTGAATTTTCTAATTTTTCTCCAAAGTTTTGTACCAAGGGAAAAATGATAAAAGTACATTTTAATTTTAAAAAGTCATTAAGCCTGTAATATTTTGGCTGGATATAAAAAGTCTTGGTGAGAGGGGGCATGGGACTGGGGAAAAGAAAGTAGTAGCTGGGGAGGACTTGTGTCCATGTTTATATTCAACACCTTCCCCGAGAACAAAAGAGACTTTTTAACCTTCTGCTAAAAGGCAGAATCAGAATAAAAGTATGATGTTGTACAGCAGGAAATTCCAGTTCTGAAGACAGAAGAGTTTCTCTGGCAGAAGTAGAGACATCCAATGGGATGAGGCTGCCTGAACACAGGGTGGGATCCCCTTCCCGCTATGTGAACAGCACAACTGCCCAAGAAGGCACAGGGATCAGAGGTGGCATGAGGGACTTCTGTGTAGGTGAGCATTAGATAGTTACTCTGGAGTTCCTTCCAGATTTTACGTCTGTGATTTCATGAATTTCAACACCTCTCAGGCCTTGCCCATAGCCATGTTTGGGGTGTCTTGAGGCTCGTATTTACTGGCTCTTGTCTGGGAAAGTAGAAAGGAATGCCTGGATCTCTTATTTTTATTATGTTTTAACTTCTTCACTAGAAATCAGGCTTGTGAAAAAATATGTGATGTTATTATTTTAATTTTATTTACAGGCTCATTTGATTCAATTATTCCCATGAAAACCAGTTCCGTCTTTTATTTTTGTTCAAAATCTGTCAGCCCCAGGACATGGCAAAGGTTTACTGTCTTTTAAACATCTCATCTAATCTTTTTAAAGAACAGCTTGAGTCCAAAGTTCATGGCTTTTGGCCATAAGGAGCGGCGACAAAATAGAGGTCTCCCTTGCTTATAAAAAAGGCATCTATTGTAAGAAGTATACTTATAAGAAGTTCACATGTAATAATGATACAGATTTAAAGGTGGAGAATCTCCTGAGGTTCAGATCTTGTTCCTGTGGTTACTCTGCTGTCTGACGTGCATAGACTCTCCCACTGAGAACTATGTGCTGAAGCACATTTCATGCATCGTGTTCTAATCTTTATTCCTCTGTTCCATCTTGGACCATTGCAAAAAGCATGAGCCATTTTGGAGCTACATTCAAAGAAGTGTATGTGTTATTTTGACAGTGGCGCCACAGAGACGAACCATTTATACTTGCTTCAAATACCGTGAAAAGCATGAGAGCTAATGCATTCAGTTGCTTTCATTTTCTAGGAAAATAATGCTGTTAGTTTATTTAGAAGCCCCTCACACAGCACAATGGGATACAAACTGCTGTTTTGTTTGCCAGCAGGGTGGACGCTTTTAGAATACAAATTAAGTGCTGAGCTCCCCCTAGTGACAGTAATATAGGTACATTTAAGTACTTTAATACCTTTGCATATTTTGCAATTAAATTCAATTTTGTTTAATTCTGTTAAATTCAGTTGCTTTCATTTCCCTTTCATTTTATATAACAGGTATTTATCAAGTCAGAAATTTTGCTAAGGAAACATTTAGTAAAACTATAATTCTAAAGGATCACTAAAAATAGAAATTACAATAACTGAAAATATTTCGTGTGAGTACAGCAGAGTGTGAAAAAGACAATATTCAAGCTCTATTAGTTTGCGTTCTTGACTGCCATCTCCTCAGTCTCGCCACTCCACCCCAGCCTCTGGTAACCTTCATTTTACTCTCTGTTTCTATGTGTTTGTCTTTTTTATACTCCATATATAAGTGAGATCATAAGTGAGGTATTTGTCTTTCTGTGTCTGGTTTATTTCGCTAAACATAATGTCTTCCAAGTTCATCCATGTTTTCACAAATGACATGATGATAGGATTTCCATTGTGTGGAAATTTTCCTTATAATTCATAGAAGATTATAGGTCATTGAGTATGTGACTTTAGCTATGAGATTGTCCTATTGGGCCTTTATTGTGTTGAGGTACATTCCTTCTAAACCTAATTTTTTGAGAGTTTTTTTTCCTAATCCTTAAAGGATGTTGAATTTTGTTGAATAACTTTTCTGCATCTGTTGAGATTATCATATGGTTATTGTCCTTTATTCTGATGTGATATATCACAGTTTTTGATTTGCATATGGTGAACCATCCTTGCATCCCAGGGATAAATCTTACTTGATCAAGGTGAATGCTCCTTTTAATGTGCTGTTCAATTTTGTTTGCAAATATTTTGTTGAGGATTTTTGCATCCATGTTCATCAGGAATATTGGTCTGTAATTTTCTTTACTGGTCTTTGGTATCAGGAAGACGCTGGCCTTATAAAACAAATTTGGAAGTTTCCCTTCTCTTCAATTTTTTGGAAAAGTTAGAGTGGTACTGGTATTAGTTCTTCTTTAAATGTTTGATAGAATTCAGTAGTGAAGCCATCAGTGGAACTTGTTTACACTTTATATCACTTAATCTTCACAACAACCCTATGACATAGTTACTATTTTCATATTATAGATGTCACAACTAAGGTACAAAGAGGTTAAGTAACTTTTCTAAGGTTACACAGCTGGAAAGTGACAGAACTAGAAGTTTGAACCCAAGCAGTAGAATGCCAAAACCTTTGCCACTGACCTCTCTTGTTTCCCCCAAATAGTATTTCACTGAGTTCCTTAAGAAACATTTTATTGAATGCTGTCAGTATGCTAGCCTTGTGGTGGGTTCTGTGGATACCTTGGTGTGTAGGACTGACTATAATGATGGAGGCCAATAGATGGTTATGGAGCAGTGTAATAGGTGGTGGTAGAAGTCAACATAGGAGCTTAGAGAAGAGACTGGGTAGAAAAAGCTTCTTGTAAGTGATAACTGACTTGAACTCTGGTAAGTGTGTAGGGATCAGAAGCTGGATGTCTGAGGGACTGGAGGCTCTTGGAGAGCAAATTTGCTGAGATAATGAAAGTGATCAACATGATGTCAGGGACTGGGAGAAGAAAGGGAAACTGCAAAGCTGCACAGGCCAACACTGGATATCAAAGAGTCTCTTTCTTTAATATTTTTAATGTTTTCTTGTTTCTGTAAAAATGAAACGTTCATTTTTTGATAAGGGTTTTGATATTGTATGTATTAAAATAGTACATACAAGCACAAAGAAAAAAAATAATCATCTGAAATCTTTCACTCTGAGATTACACCTGTTGACATTTTATTGAACATCCAGTAACTTTATACATATATAAACATACATATACCCATATATGTGGGAGTATGTTTATATATGTTTAGAAAGTGGGATCATACTCTGCATGCTGTTCTGTAACTTCCTTCTATTTATATGTTAGTGATAAGAATCTTGGACTTTATTCTGAAGAAGGATAAGTGAAAAATTTTAAACATGATAGTAACAATTATATTTGTATGTTATGAAAAAATATTATAACAGCATTGTATGGTAGGAATTTGAGGCTCCTGGTGGTGGAAAGACTAATTAGGAGACTGCTTTGGGGACCCAAGAAAGAAATGATGACATAGACCCAGGCAGTGGCAGTGGGATGGAAAAAGGGGATGGGTTCAGATAATGTGGGTTCAGATAATGTGGACGTAAGCTCAGTGGCTTCTGTGGCTGTAGAGCCAAGGTTGTCACGCGGTGGGAGATGAGAGGAAAGAGAGAAATCTTCAATAACTCCCAGGTTGCTGGTGCAGGACCATGTGTAGGTGTTAGTGACGCTGACTAAAGTTTAGGGTGCCTGTGGGATAGCCGACTTGTGACAGCAGGTAAGCATTTAATATGCAGATGTGAAGCTCAAGATAGAGGTCAGAGCTGAAGATAGAATTTTGAACATCGTCAGTGGTTAAAACCACAAAAACTGAGGACTTAATAATGAGAGACATCAAAATGTACAGGCCAGGGAGAGGACTTTGAGTAGGGACTTTGTTTGGGTCAGTGTTGTATCCTCAGACATCCCCTAGCACATAGTAGGCTCAAAAATGTTTCTTTAATGAATAAATGAATAATAATAATAATAAACATTCTATTCAATATGAACTCTTCTAATTGTGGCAGCATAATATTTCATTGAGTAAATACAGCACAATTTACATATCTATTTCCTTATTGTTCCAGTTATCAATGGCTGCCGTAACAAATTGCCCCAAATTTTAGTGGCATAAAACAAAAACTATTTTTTTCTGCAAATAGATCCTGTGGGTCGGGAATTTGAAAGGACCACAGAAGAATGGCTTGCCTATTCTCTCTGGGACCTCAGCTGGGGACATTTTAAGGCTTAATGGGTAATGCTGAAATCATCTGAAAGCTTGTTTGCCTACATATCTGGTTCATGCTGGCTGTCAGTTGAGACCTCAATTGGAGCTGTTGATGTAACATCATGGATTTCAAGAGTGAGTATCCCAAGAGAACTTGGAAGAAGTTGTATGGCCTTTTATGATCTGGCCTAGCAAGTCAAATGGTCATACTTCTGCATAGTTACAAACCCACACAGATTCAAGGGGTAGAAACATAGACCGCCACCTGTCAGTGGGAGGAGTGTCAAAAGTCAAAGTCACATTGTAAGAAAGCGTGTGGGATGAGAGATACTGTTTGGAAAAATACACTCTGTCACAGCTCTTCTGCCTGTGTTCTGCACTATTTGTCAATGACCATAGCCTTTTATCTATATCTGTCTTAACCACCATGTCACAATATTGACAACATTAAGTAGACAATCAACTAAAATCCCTAAATTGTTCCCAAATGAACTGAGAAGCCGGCTACTTCCCTTTCATCTCATACATGCTTTTAAACACAGACTTTGCATTAATTACAATTAAATATAATTATCATTCAGTAAATTTCTAATGAGTCTCTGTCATTTGCTGAGTATTGTTCTAGGCAATGGGGATAGGCTGAATATGACACAGAAAATGTTTTATTCTTTCAAGAAGTTTACAATCTAGAGGGATAATTAGAAATTTCTATACGAGGTGATGGAAATTTATATTAGCTTACTTTTCTAACCATCAATCACTGGTAAGATATAATTAGTTTTTAGAGTACAGTAGCATGAAACAATAATTTAATGGCTTTCTAGACACAAGACATATGATGCCACTGGCATTCCCCGATCTACTAGTCTGATGACCTCTAAAAACAGGAAATGAAATGATTGAGGCATGACTTGTGCTTCATCAGTTCATATGGACTTGGAATGATCACTGCTTCCCTTTTTTCCAACTCTTTTACTTATTGTAAATATCTTAATAATCTTAAAAATCTTTATTAGTGTTTAGTGGCCATTTTTATTTTAATTTTTATGGGTTTGGAACTCCCTAGAATCTCCCTGAAGACATGAAACATACTTATTTCAGCACCTTATTCTGTGCCCTATATTGCATTTTCCCAGGTTGTAGTTTCTGATTATTGAGTTTGTTGCTTCTCTGTACATCTTCTTCTTGTTTTTTTTTTTTTTTTTTTTTTTTTTTTTTGAGATAGAGTCTTGCTCTTGTCACCCAGGCTGGGGCAGTGGCACGATCTTGGCTCACTGCAACCTCCACCTCCCAGGTTCAAGCAATTCTCCTGCCTCAGCCTCCTGAGTAGCTGGGATTACAGGTGCTCACTACCACACCCGGCTTATTTTTGTATTTTTAGTAGAGACGGGGTTTTTCCATGTTGGTCAGGCTGGTCTCAAACTCCCAACCTCAGGTAATCCGACCAACTTGGCCTCCCAAAGTGCTGGGATTACAGGCGTGAGCCACGGCGCCCAGCCTCTCTGTACATATTTTTGGTTGTTTGGTCATTTTAATAGACAGGATACTAATTCAAAGATTATTGGTTTCTGGAGAGTGTAAAAATTCTTGATTGCCAGAACTACCACTCGTCGCAGCAATCCCATTACTGGATATGTAACCAAAGGAATATAAATTATTTTACCATAAAGAGACATGCATGCAAATGTTCATTGCAACACGATTCACAATAACAAAGACACGGAATCAACCTAAATGCCCATCAGTGGTAGACTGGATAAAGACAATGTGGTATATATACACTGTGGAATACTATGCAGCCATAAAAAAGAATGAGACCGTGTCTTTTGTGGGAACATGGATAGAGCTGGAGGCCATTAGCCTTAGCAAACTAACACAAGAAAACCAAATGCCCATGTTCTCACTTATAAGTGGGAGCTAAATGATGAGAACACATGAACACAAAGAAGTGAACAACAGACACTGGGGTCTACTTTGAGGTTGGAGGGTGGGAGGAGGGAGAAGATCAGAAAAAGAGACTACTGGGTACTTGGCTTAGTACCTGGTGATGAAACAATCTGTACAACAAACCCCCATGACACGAGTTTACCTGTGTAACAAACCTGCACGTGTACCACTGAACCTAAAATACAAGTTAAAAATAAGTAAATAAAATAAAGAATTCTTGTTTGCATGGCTAGAAGCTTAAGTTTGGATTAAACCAGCTCTGACTCAAGCAGCTACGTGTGGCAGAGAGAAGGTGGGCTTTTCTTTAAGATGTTAGTATGGTTTGTTTACAGAATATGCAGCTATCATTAGCTGGTGGTGAGGCCCTAACTCTCTGGACTGAGTGTCCATCTTGAGAATCTTTTACACAGAAGCTCTCACTATGTACAGCCTGGAGCACACATCAGCAGCGGACCTTAGGTGGCATGAGGACCAGCTCTGCTTTTACTTTTTGCCTGGCCCCTGCCCAGGGCTTACTTTTTCCATCCAGCCTGTTTATTTTGATTGTGAGACTTTTGCAGAATTCTGCTGGGCAATCTTTTATTTTTAAAGTTCTTGTTCATGGGTCTGGATTCATGGGTTGCTTAGCTCTGTTATATTTCAGCATCAATATATTCCAGAAATTCTTCAATATACTCCAATAACCCCTTCTGAATTTTCTAAAATTTATGGAGATTTATTTTTACTTAATTTTACTCTCCTGACATTTCTATGGGATTTGGGAAGAAAGGTAAATGCATGCATCCAGTCAGCCAGCTGTATCAGGAAGCCACTTACTCCTTTCCATGGTAACCAATTACTAGAAAGCTGCACTGGGAATCACAGCAACCTTGTCCAGTGTGTGCATTTTAGAAGACAGAATTTTTTTTCTGTTCTTACATTAGATCATGCTTAGATCCCTCTCTGAAATTTTTAAAAGATTACTGAGAACAGACGTGTGCTGACATGGACAACTCCTTTTAGTGCTCTGAAAAGTATTTCTCTTGAACAATGAAAATAACTAAATGGAATTAATATTCCTCATCTATCAAATGAACTTTGGGTCTTTCTTAAATGTGCTTGTTTTATCTTTTCCAAGTGCTGAAAGTTTTCATTGAAATTATTTTTCTTGATAGAAAAGAAGAGGATCAGACAGAAGTTGTGTAGTTCCAAGTGTTTATTTTCACCTGTTAAACATTGCGCCACCATCACTAATGATAAGAAATCCTTCTTGTCTTCATTATTTCTCAACATTAATTGCTTTCTCAAGTCTAAACTCATTTATTTATTTATTTTTAGGGATGGGGTCTTGCTGTGTCACTCAGGCTGGAGTGCACTGATGCAGTCATGGCTCACTGCAGTCTCAAACTCCTGGACTCAAGGAATCCTCCTGCCTCAGCCTTCTGAGTAGCTGAGACTTCAGGTGCGCGGCACCATGCCTCACTAATTTTTTTTATTTTTTATTATTTTATAGAAGTGAGGATCTCATTAAGTTTCCCAGGCTTACCTTGAACTCCTGGCTTCATGAACTCATTTAAAGATTTGGCATCCTAGCATTATTCATAGAGGTCCAGACATGACTCTCAATTTGTTTTTTATTTTATATCTCTGCTACAAATTTTTGTACCTGTCCATTTAAAATCTGAGCTTTTGAAAGAACTCTGCACAACATTCACAGCACAAGGGCATTAAGGCAGAAGGGGAAACTAAAGGTCAGAGAATAAGGAGTGAATCATTGGTGATGAAATACAGGCAGTATGAATAGCAAATTATGAAGAATTTGCTGGTGAACTGTTTCACATGTAATAGTTCCTCCTGCTAAGATGGTGGATTCACTGTCACGTCTGACCCATGTTGTTATAACTCTTTTCCACTGAAAGGTACATCTGTGTAATCTAGACCAGCAGACATTTCCTCTGACTTCCATCATGTACACAGTGTCCTATAGATTCCAAAGCTCTTTCAGATATGCTATTACACTTACATTTCCTTCCCATTTTCTTTTTTTTTCCCCCAATAGGAATGGTGTTCTTAGCCTCCCATGTTCATAACAATTTTTTTTTTTTTTTTGAGATGGTGTCTCGCCCTGTTGCCCAGGCTGGAGTGCAGTGACGCAATCGCAGCTCACTGCAACCCCCGCCTCCCAGGTTCAAGCGGTTCTTCTGCCTCAGCCTCCTGAGTAGCCGGGACCACAGGCGCCCACCACCACGCCCAGCTAATTTTTGTAGTTTTTAGTAGAGACGGGGTTTCACCATGTTGACCAGGCTGGTCTTGAACTCCTGACCTCGTGATCCACCCGCCTTGGCCTCCCAAAGCACTGGGATTACAGGCGTGAGCCACCCCGCCCGGCCGTTCTGAACGAAGGAGGTTACTGGTAGCCAGGGGAGAACTGACTGTGCTTTCAGGCATAGAGAAAGGGTTCAGGAGAGGAGGGGAAGTGAAGTCATCAGGTGGGAATGTGTAGCAAGCACCTATCTCCCTGGTTCTTCTATAATCACTCTTTCTCTTCTTTGAAACTCCTTCCTGGCTTCATCCATACTACATGCTCTTGATTTCCCTCTTACATTTCTGGCTCTTCTCAGTCTCCTTTTCTGGCTTCTTTTCATCCATTACAACTTCTAATGTTTTTAAAAAGGCAAAAGCTTGCAGCATCCAAAGTGATATTCTCTATGGAACTTAACATGGGATGTTATTTTTGCCTTGTGAGAAGCACTTTTAGGTTATTCAAAACAAAAGCTGAAACTGGAAAGAAATGTAACCAAATGCTTAGTGTAATAAAAATGTGTTGATGGTCGGGTGTGGTGGCTCATGCCTGTAATCCCAGCACTTTGGGAGGCCGAGGCAGGAGGATCACTCAAAGCCAGGAGTTTGAGACCAGTCTGGACAATACAGCAAGATTCTGTCTCTACAAAAACTAAACTTAAACAAAAAAATTAGCCAGGCATGATGTCACATGCCTGTAATCCCAGCTACTTGGGAAGCTGAGGCAGGAGAATCCCTTGTGCCCAGGAGTTCATGGTTACAGCAAGCTATGATTGTGCAGCCGCACTCCAGCTTGGGTGACACAGCATGACCCTGTCTTTACTCAAAGAGGAAATGTCTATCACAATTCCAAAATAAGCATAGTTTCCTTAAAGAAAATGGCAGAAATACTCCGGTGCTTTCACTAACTCATTTAAAATCTGCTTAAACTTATTTATCATTGTATTTTAAAACATTTTTGTTACATTGTATTAGTGAACACAATTCAAAATAATACCAACCATTTAAAATAAATTTAGGAAGCCTAGTTGGAAATGCTAAGCATCACCTAGATATGTGCAAATACAGATGCTCCTGACTACCAATGGAGTCACATCCTGATAAACCCATCCTGAGTTGAAAATACCATAGCAAGCCCATTTTAAGTTGAGGAATGTACAGAAAGTGAACCACTTTTGAGCTATTGTGAAGTGAAAAAATGCAAGTTGAACCATCTTAAGTAGGGGACTGTCTGTAGCAAACAATTATATCCTCACCAAGTCTTGTATGTGCATCTTACTATTGACATAAAGGTGTTGGATCTAGCGGGCCTAATACCTGTGTATATTTTAAACATTTTGAAAATTTTACTTAAAATGAATTTTATTTTTTACCTTCCATGGGCAGCTTAGCTAGTATGATTAAGGGAGACAGAGTCTCACTCTGTTGCCCAGGCTGGAGTGCAGTGGCGCAATCTCAGCTCACTGCAATCTCGGCCTCCCACGTTCAAGTGATTCTCCTGCCTCAGCCTCCTGAGTAGCTGGGACTACAGGTGCCTGCCATCATGCCTGGCTAATTTTTATATTTTCAGTAGAGATTGGGTTTCACCATGTTAGCTAGGCTGATCTTGAACTCCTGACCTCAGGTGATCTGCCCACCTCGGTCCCCCAAAGTGCTGGGATTACAGGCGTGAGCCACTGCCCACTGCACCTGGCCATTGTTAACTTTTTAGAGTGAGTGTTGGGGTGGGAGATGAGAGCAGAGACATGGGTGGGAGTGAGGGTGGGGGTAAGAGGGAGGTTGGACCGGTTGTGGTTGTAGCTATAGCCTGTTTCCCAACTTTTGGAAAATATGTTTTTTTTTTCATTAGGAAGAGGAGAAATAGTCTAAATAACTAGGGAACCCTACACCAATACTTTAAAAAGAATTAGAACAAATTCCTCTAATTAAAATTTCATATGCTTTCTATAATATATATATTATATATATATGCAGTGGAATATTATTCAATCATAATAAGTATTAAAACTTTTTACAAAAGTATTGATAGTACAGCATGTATGAATCTCAGAAACATTATGTTAAGTGAGAGAAGCTAGACACAAAAGGTCAGACATTGTATGATTCTATTTATATGAAATATCCAGAGTAGGTAAATCCTTAGAGCTAGAACATAGAATAGTGGTTGCCAGACACTAGGGGGAGGGAGGAATGGAGACCAACTGTTTAATGGTACCAGGTTTCCAGCTGGGGTGATGAAATGCTTCCGAAACTAGATGGATGTGCTGGTTGCACAACACTGTGAATATGCTAATAGCCACTGAATTGTTCACTTCAAAGTGTAAATTAATTTTATGTTATGTGAATTCCACCTCAATTAAAAAACAGTATATAGAGCATAAACCTATTTTTTGGAAAATATTTAGACCCACTTTTAATTAGAATAGTTTTACAAGTAACTTGATAGTTCTTAATAATAAAACACTGAAGGCTGGGTGCGGTGGCTCATGCCTGTAATCCCAGAACTGGGAGGCCAAGGCAGGCGGATCACCTGAGGTCAGGAGTTCAAGACCAGCCTGACCAACATGGAGAACCCCTGTCTCTACTAAAAATACAAAATTAGCCGGGTGTGGTGGCGCATGCCTGTAATCCCAGCTACTCAGGAGGCTGAGGCAGGAGAATCACTTGAACCTGGAAGGCGGAAGTTACGGTGAGCCGAGATCGCACCATTGCACTCCAGCCTGAGCAACAAGAGCGAAACTCCATCTCAAAATAAATAAATAAATAAATAAATAATAAAACACTGATTTTAAAATCACATGACTTTGTAGGGTATCTGTATATAAATCCTGAAATTCTCTGTCTGCTATAGATAAAGTCCTGTGTGTTTTATAGCTGGTTAATGTGATGCATAAAACAGCACTGTGAAGCTTTATGTCTAACCAGGACTAAATACATATAGGTTATGAATAGTTTTCGAATTTGTTTTAAATACAGTTCTGCTTGGTAACAAGTTAACTGTCCTCCTAACATGAAATGAATAGATTTTTAATGGAAATAAGAGAAACAGCTATCTTGATTTCTTGACCCTTTCACAATAAGCTACAATACATTATATAAGGTTTATTTTAACAATACACAGCTTAAGAGTTGTCTAGCAAGCACAACCCACAGATATTTGAATCTGATACTTTTTACACCTGCAGAAGGTTTATCTATGAAAAGCCTGCAATGATGTGCAGCAAAATGTTCACAGTGCTTATTTTTTCTGCACTTATCTGTAGTGAGTTTATTTTGTGATTATCTGTACCTTTTAACTTTTCAACAATGAGTATGTGTTACTTGAACAAAGATACACTTTTTATAATGTTGTCCATGCCTCCATATTTAACCTGCTATTCTTTCTTTGCAATCTCAGATATAGTCTTACTCTTGAACTTTATTGCCAAGTACAAGGACAATGGCTTTCTCTTTGCTTCCTGGTGACACTTTTAGGCAAATATCCTCTTTTCATCCTTCAAAAACCTGCTCTCAAGCCATGTCACTCCCAGGCATCTCAGCCAACCGTGAATGTCCTTGGGGTAAAGAAGAGCAGTATACAGATGCCAGGATACCCCACCACATTTCTGCTTTCATTGACACGCTCAACCTCAATCAACTGTATCTGCTCTTTATTCCCACACCTCATGGTGGAGCTTTCTGCCTCTTCCTGATCCAATAGGGCAATCAATCTGATGCCTTCATCTCTGGAATTCTTGTTTATGGGTTTATGAATTCTTGTGAAATTCAATATCCCTTAATCTCTAAAGGTAGAGATTTTAGGTAACTCCAGAGGGTACGTAAGGCCTTGTGAATTAAGGAAAATTGCCCAAGGTCACATCACTGGACAGTCATGTCTAGCTAGAATCCAGACTCCAATTCTAGGGAGTCTGGTTTATTTCTGTAAACCATAATGCCACAGATGTGAAGCCTAATTCAAGAACATCTCCATGGCAAACTCTTGTTTTAGTTAGAGAAATAGGAAAACATGACAAAGAATGTGTCATCGACTTCTATTTAAACGTTCAAGTTCCTCATCTTCAAGGATTTGCTGGATGACAGCTAACAAACAGTCAGATTGGATGATTCACAAAGACCGTTTCCAGTGTTTAAAAAAAATATGCTGGGGACTTTCATAGAAATTTCTACTTTTCTGAAAGCATTTTATTTCTTCATCTTTCTCTTCCTGCTCATATCCACATTCTTGTTTTCTTCCTGCTGACTGCACATAAACAGGATGTGTGGAAAGCAAGTCTAAAGAGGTAACTAAGTGAAAGGTTCACCGTTGATGTAAATCAAGAGTAGATCAGTGAAGTGGAAACCAGCAGAACTGCTTTACTGTTAGTATTCAGAGACACTAGCAAAAGAAGCTAATGTTGGTTCATTGTGAGCTAATAAAAGCAATAACCACTGGAAGATAGAGCTGAACTTTCATTTACTTACTTTACTTTTACTATGGTAATATTACTTAATAACTTTCCTTTAATGAACTCATTAAGATCATAAGCGAGTGCTTTTAATATTAAGTATGCACCTCCCCCCCACCCAAATTATACTGGTTGAATTTTCATGTTAAAATAAAGCAAAAATAAATATTAATATAAAATATTTAATCAAATATTTTAAAAATTTCAGTAGTAAAGTAAACCAACTCCAGCAGAGAAAGGGTTATCACACACACACACACACACACACACACACACACACACACACACACACCCTATCTGATGAGTTCTCTTTGCCAATAAAACAAACCAACAAACAAAACTGATCAAGAAACAAGACTATAGCTGGGCATGGTGGCTCATGCTTGTAATCCCAGCCCTTCAGGAGGCTGAGGTGGGCGGATCACCTGAGCCTGAACCCAGGAGGCCAAGGCTGCTGTGAGCTGAGATGGTGCCATTGCACCCCAGCCTGGGCGACAGAGCGAGAACAAAACAAAACAAAAGAAACAAGGCTATAGACAAGTCTGAGCTATTTTAGAAAATGGCACATGGTTGTTAATATCCAGTGAGTTCTACTTAGATTTTTCTTCTGTTTTTTCTTGTTCAACACCCAAATCTGTTAGTCAAGAGTAGTAAAGCCACTAAGTGTATTTTGTTGTTGAAGCTACAACATACAAGAAAAAAGAAAACATAGAAAGCAGCATTACTGAAACACAATTTTAGGAAACATTAATTCTCAGTATTGTGAACTAACTCCAAGAGGTATTCCGACGGACATTACCCCCATCATACTTTAGGATGTGGAGGACCTTTAATTAAAAACCCCAAGGAAAAAAATTTAATTATTTCCTTTTTGGAAAAAATCCATAGTTCTATCAGCCTCATTGTTCAAAAATTCTTTCATTTCCTCTCTTTCATGGTGAAATTCCCTCCTTTGTCTTTGGAAGTGAATTTGGTTATTACCTTTTGTAAATATTTTAGATTATCTGTAGAAAAAGGGAGAACCATGAATAGAGTCACATTCTTGAGCTATGATTTGAGATACTTATTTGCCCTTAAGAAACATTAAATTTCTTCCTTGTTTTAGTAAGAATGCTTTATTTCCTTTAATGCCCAGGGGGTATGTTGTCACATTTTCACTTTGAAGATAGAAATTTCCCACACTTTCCCATACTGAATTAATATTGAC
This sequence comes from Homo sapiens, assembly GCF_000001405.40. Lineage (NCBI taxonomy): Eukaryota > Metazoa > Chordata > Mammalia > Primates > Hominidae > Homo > Homo sapiens. The sequence continues at coordinate 89,835,660 of NC_000008.11, read as the reverse complement.
ATTCATTAACAAGACTAGCAACAAGTGTCAAAATATAAATGATTACAGCCCCGTGAGCAGGAAGGTAGAAATTACTTACTGTTTTTCCTTGGGGTGGTAATTAGCTACTGTTTGCCGTCTGTAAAATCACAAGTAAAATGTGGATTATGTTTCATGAGATGAAAAGAACATTTCAAACATAATATCTTGAGTTAGTTCTCACAACACCTCTGTTAGAAAGTATGAACATCACCATTTTTACTGACAAAGTCATCCACAGAGAGGATAACCAAGTAGAAAGAGGATTCAAACTCCTCATCTTGACTCCAAACTGTAAGATTTTTCTACAGTGCCTTCTTCCTTCCCTCCCTTTCAAAGTTTTGTTTCCTCTCTTTTAACTATTCTTACTTCCAATTCAAAGGCAAAGCATTTGTATAAATACATTCGCAGACTTTTCTTATCTATAATGGGTGATTTCTAGTCCCCTCTTTTGAGTATTCCCAAAGCTGAGGGAGAAAGGATGCTTCGAATTAGCTTTTGCTGTCAGTTACACAGATTTTTCTTTCCTCATTAACCTGAAGGAATCCCATAAACATAATTTAAGAACGGTAAAAATGGTTTTTGACTTTCTTTATTTTCATGTCTCCTTTCTCCTCCTCATTCTGTATTCTGGCGTTGGAGAAGAGCTAGAGAGAACATCCTTAAAGATGCACTTTTTTTTTTTCAGTATGCCCTATTTTTTTTGATAAAATTGTGGTGAAAAACTCATAATATAAATTTATACTCTTAACCATTTTTAAGTGCACTATTACAATAGTGTTAACTGTATCCACATTATTGGGTAACAGATCTCTAGAACTTTTTCATCTTGCAAAACCGAAATCCTTTGCCCATCAAATAACAACTCCCATTTCACCCTCCCCTTAGCTCCTGGAAACCACCATTCTACTTTCTGTTTCCGTGGTTTCCCCTACTCTACATAGCTCTACATAAGTGGAATTATACAGTATTTGTTCCTCTGTGACTGGCTTATTTTACTAAGCATAATGTCTTCAAGGTTCATCGATGTTGTAGCATATAACAAAATTTTCTTCTTTTTTAAAAGGCTAAATATGTATATGACACGTTTCCTTTATCCATTCATTTATAAACGGAATTTCAGGCTACTTCCACATCTTGGCTCTTGTGAATAATGATGCATTGAATATAGGTGTACAAATACCTCTTTGCGCTCTTGCTTTATATTCTTTTGTATTTATACCCAGAAGTGGGATGCTACCTCACATGGTAATTCTGTCTTTAGTTTTTTGAGGAATCATGCTGTTTTCAAGAGCAGCTACACCATTTTACATTTCTACCAGCGGTACACAAAGACTCAAATGTCTCCTCATCCTCACCAATACTTGTTATTTTCTGGTTTGTTGATAGTGGCCATCCTAATGGGTATGAGGTGACATCTCATTGTGGTTTTGATTTGTGTTTTACTCTAATGATTAGTGGGTATGCCGTTTTAAAAAGAAATTAAAATTCTTTTCATAATTGAGTACATATTATATTCTAGGAACTGTGCTTTGTGTGTTGCATGCATGCAATAGCTTGTTACTTTTAACAAACATTCTATGGCCTAAGTAGTATTATCCTCACTTTGTACCAGAGGAAACTGAGAATCAGAGTTTAAGTGATCTTTCTAAGGACAGAGAGCTGCTAAATGGTAAGGCCAGAATTCAAAATCCGGTCTGATACCGAAGCTCATATTTCTAACTACTGAGCTATTCTCTCTTGGCCTTTTGCTTTGCCCATTAATTCCTTAATGTGTTGTGTAGGTGGCTAACACACTGTTCTTCAAAAGGAAACAGAAAGTAACATTAATTAAGTGTCTGTTTTGTGCTGGACACATTGCTAAATGCCTTCAGATGTGTATGTGTACATGTGCGAAGTGAAGGAGGAAAGTCCTTTCATTTTACACATTGAAGCATAAATCCATTTGCATGGTTACTGTTGTAAGTCAAGTAGTGCAATGAAAGGAAAATTAAGCTTAGATTTCTTACCATATAGTCTTTGTAAACTTGAAGGGCTTTTTTTACTGGTAAATACAATCCTAAGATATATGTATAAATTCCAGACAGAGAAATTCTAATTCCAATTAAGGAGTTGATTGTACCGGTGTAAAGAGGGAATCTTATCAGGAAGAGGATACACAACCAAACACACACACACACACACACACACACACACACACACACACACACAGAGGAAGAAGAGGCTTAGCTAGGGATACAAGGAAGCAAAATAAATGATTACATAAATGTTGGAGCTACCACATGGCCTATTTTCTCTGACACTGCTCTTTATTCCACTATTTTTCCAGTGTAAGATGTTTACAGCTTCTTCCGTTATGGTCACCTTATTCTACTCCACTGCATGGCCCCATCTTGTTATGTAGGTGATATATAGCAATGGGTCCAGATTTATAAGTTTAGTTTTGCTTGTGTAGCAACAAATTCAGAGCTGATTGTGACTTTTAAGATCGCCCTAAGCCCCAGGAAAATTGATCCCGTGAAAATACAACTCTCAACTGTCTTTGGGAACCTCCTAATACTGGAATCTTTAGCCCAACCTTCGCTTGATCATGAAAAGCATCAAGTGAATGGGAAACTAAAATTATTATTTATTTATTATCATTTTTTGAGATGGGGTCTCATTGTGTTACCCAGGCTGGGCTCAAACTCCTGGGCTAAAGCGATCCTCCCAGCTCAGCCTGCTGAGTGACTGAGACTATAGGTGGATGCACTGTGCCCACTAAAATTACTTTTAACTGTGCCTTCCAACTAAGAAACACATCTACTCCCACCCCCAATTATCAGGATAGAAATCTCTTGGGATCTACTACTGCAGTTATCCCAATTTGTAGCACTGATGATAATCAAAAACATCTCTAGGTAGAAAAGTATAAATATCTCAATAAACTTATTATAAAAGAGGCAATAGAAATGCCTGTTGGTATTTATGACATTCATGAAGTGCTGCCAATGATGCAGGAGCAAATGAGCTAGTTAACATTTGTAGGCAAATATGGTATCCTTTACAGCCCTCTTCCACTGAATGAAAGAGGCAGCCTGGTGAGCTTGATAATGTGTTTTGTATCACAGCCTTGAGTGACAAATCCATGAGCCAGAAACAGCAAGTCATATTATCTCAGCATTTCTAAATTTTATAGATTTACAATTGCTGAGTGAGTTAAAAAGAAACTATCAAGTATACTAAATGCTGCATGTAGATATCATATCTGGAATCATAGCCATCTGTGAAAGTTATACACAGATTTATTATTCCATTTCATTAACCCATTTCATCTGTTCTCTGTACAAGTACTTTTTCACTAATTTTGCTTTCTTTTCCTATTTTATGTGATTGATCATTATTTCCTTCTTTTCTACTCTGTTAATATTTCAACTTCTCTTAATTAAGTTTTCTAATGAAACTTTATTGAAGTCCTTTCATAAGATAAATGGCTTTGATGTTGAGCCATGAATGCAATGGAAGAAAAAAACAATGAGAGCCATAACTTCCTTAAATAACTAGCACTCTATTTTCAGTTGCTTAGTTTTAATTTTTAAGGCTTATTCACTGTGAAGAGTGTAGAGTTATCGAGTTCTGCAAAACATTTGACAACACAGCAGTAGATTCTGTCAGTTATTTCATGATGAACATGGAAATTTAAATCTAAGATATAAAGTATGTTGCAAAGAAGGTGAAATTTTTGAGTGTAAATGACTTTCAAATGAATATTTTTAATGGGGGCATTCCGATAAAATTTTTAAATGTGAATTCCAGTTAACAAAAGCATTGTTCCTATGTGATAGAATTAGTGCTATTGGTATTCTTAGTTTACAAATGAGAAAACAGAGCCTTAGTAAGGATAAGGAACATGCCCAAAGTCACATAGTTCCTAAGTAACTAAATGTGATTTGGATCAGGATTGTCATATTCCAAAAATCTGTTTTTGACCCAACATGCTATACTACTAATGTTATTTTGTATTCTCTTATTTTCTCTTTCTTCTTTTTAAGAGACGAGGTGTTGCTCTGTCACTTGGGCTGGAGCGCAGTTGAATGATTATAGCTCTCACCGCAGACTCAAAAACTCCTGGGCTCAATCAATTTTTTTTTTTTTTTGAGACGGAGTCTCTCTCTCTCACCCAGGCTGGAGTGCAGTGGCGCGATCTATCTTGGCTCACTGCAAGCTCCGCCTCCCAGGTTCACACCATTCTCCTGCTTCAGCCTCCCAAGTAGCTGGGATTACAGGCATCCTCCACTATGCCTAGATAATTTCACATCTTTAGTAGAGACAGGGTTTCACCATGTTGGCCAGGCTGGTCTCGAACTCCTGACCTCAGGTGATCTGCCCGCCTTGGCCTCCCAAAGTGCTGGGATTACAGGCGTAAGCCACTGCACCTGGCCTCAATCGCTTCTTCTGCCTCAGCCTCACAAACAGCTGGGATCCTAGGCGCAGGCTACCATGTCAGGCTCTGCTATTTTCATTTGATATGTAATCATAAATATTTTTCTATGTTTTTTGGGATATCATTTTTATAAGCCACGGAATTCTCCTCCAAGTTGATGCATAGTTTCTTTTGTTATTGTTTGTTTTTATTCTTACAAATAAGAGTATAGTTAACAAGTTAACATTGCCACACTTATCTTTTCAATTCTGTTAAATTTTATCCTTACGATAAATTCCTAGGTATGTATGTTTGATAAAGAGTAGGTTTTTAAAAAGTTGTCTTTGTTTTTCATAGGTATTTTTTTTTTCTTTTTGAGATGGAGTCCCACTCTGTCACCCAGGCTGGAATGCAGTGACGCGATCTCAGCTCACTGCAACCTCTGCCTCCCAGGTTCAAGTGATTCTCCTGCCTCAGCCTCTCGAGTAGCTGGGATTACAGGTGGCAGCACAATGCCCAGCTAATATTTGTGTTTTTTTTAGCAGAGACGGTGTTTCCCCATGTTGGCCAGTCTGGTCTCAAACTTCTGAAACCAGGTGACTCACCTGCCTCAGCCTCCCAAAGTGCTGGGATTACAGGCGTGAGCCACCATGCCTGGCCTCTTTCTCATAGGTATTTCTTTTATTTAAAAAATTAATAAGACGTGCAGGACTCGGTATGAACAAAGAAAAAAAGGAAATTTTAAAAATAAAAAACCATACAAATAATGCATAAATAAATGCTAGTTGAGAAATTCTCAAGCCATATGGTGAGGCAATTTCAGACAGTATATATTTTACCTACTTTGATTGGATTTGGTCTTTCAGGCTATATTTTCCTTAAGCACATGAATCCTATAATTGAGAGCCTGGCATAGAATCAGTAGCTAAAAGAATAATAGATAATGAGTTGAAAGATGTCTTCCAACAGAAGAGACAGCATAGCTACCATACTTTGCCAAAACAATAAATTGATTTATGGTGTTATAGAGATGCAATTTTAAATTCACTGGTATAAATTTCCAGGTTTGTATACTCACAATGTATACAGTCATGCTTACTATGTTAAGAATCTTTTTAAAGAAACTTTTATAATGTAGTTCCTCATGGATTATTATTTATATCTTCATCAATCCGCCTTTCAGTTTCCTACTCTGAGCTTACTCTTACCCAGGAAAGCTCTTTAAACTAATCTCACTTCTCGTGATCATGAACATCCCTCAGCTTACTCACTCTCAAGGTCATTATTTATTCATTTAGCCAATAGATAATTGCCAAGTCTTCTAGATGCTGAAGCTAGAGCAGTGTCTAAGAGACAAATAAGATCTCTGTTTCTGTGGAGTATTGTTGGAGGAGGCAGATAACACAAAGAAATGGGCATTTTAAGATTGTAATAAATACTATGAGAGTAAAATGGAGATGGGGCCTAAGAGTGGCTCACACCTGTAATCCCAGCACTTTGGGAGGCCGAGGTGGGTGGATCACGAGGTCAAGAGATTGAGACTATCCTGGTTAACATGGTGAAACCCATCTCTACTAAAATTACAAAAAATTAGCTGGGCGTGGTGGTGAGTGCCTGCAATCCTAGTTACTTGGGAGGCTGAGGTACGAGAATCACTTGAACCTAGGAGGTGGAGGTTGAAGTGAGCCAAGATGGTGCCATTGCACTCCAGCCTGGGTGGCAAGAGTGAAACTCCATCTCAAAAAAAAAAAAAAAAAAGGAAAAAAAAACAACAACGAAAAACAGGGAGATGAGACTGAGATTGTCTAAGGCAGGGCGTTGGGGGAAGAGGGTTACTCTCATATGGTGATAATGAAAGGCTTCTGAAAGCATCTGAGCTAAGACCTAAATGATGAGGAATGAGCATTCCAGGTGGAGGGAGAAAATCCCCTGGGGAAGCCAAAGGTTTGTCCTACAAAACAGAAAAAATGCCAGAGGGAGTAAGTGCATGTGGCAGGAGGTGAGCTTGTCGAAATTTTTTGGGAACTGATCATATTGGACAGTGTGGGTCATGCTAAGAACCCACAATAGTTATTATGCTTGCAAGGGGAGCACACTTTGGAGGTTGTTGAATAGGAGAGTAAAATGATGTGATTTACTTTTTAAAAAGATGATCTGGCTGCTGTATGTCTTGTCCAAGATCAATCTCCACCCCATCTTGTGATAACATCCAGTGTCTAGCACATAGTGAGTGCCGAATGACTGAGCACAAATTATCCATTCCATTTCCAATATCTTCTGTATAATCTCTCCTTAACTGTCCTTTCCTTCCCACTTCTCTGACCACAGGAAAAATCCTTATTCATTAAGATTCAGCTAAAGCATTACTGTTCTGGGAAGCCTTTCTGATCTGCAGAGCTGAGTGAAATACCCGCCTCTATGCAGTTTTTGGACATTGTGCTCGCTTCTGTTATAATACTTAACATAATTATCGGTTAGGTTGTCTTCCCTCCCTATAGTGCTTAGCAAGGCCTATTTCTTATTCTTACTTAATCTTCAGTGACTATGTTAGATGATCTGCACATAGTCTGTTCACCTAAACTGCCCTTAACTGTTGATGTATTTGTTAATCACTTGGTATTACCCAACTTTGAAACTGACTCTAGAGAGGGTGACCTCTCTAGAAAACCTTTCTAATCTCAAGCCAGCTCTGTACTCCCTTCACAATATTGTAGCTTCACCCTAGATAATTCTTATTTTGCATTAAAATCTTGGCTTCCAGCTGGGCACAGTGGCTCATGACTGTAATCCCAGCACTTTGGGAGGCTGAGGTGGGTGGATCACGTGAGGCCAGGAGTTTGAGACCAGCCTGGCCAACATGGCAAGACCTTGTCTCTACTAAAAATACAAAAATTAGTGGGTGTGTTGGTGCACATCTATAATCCCAACTATTCGGGAGGGTGAGGCACAAGAATCACTTGAACCTGGAACAATGAGATTGCAGTGAGATGAGATTGTGCCACTGCACTTCAGCCTGAGCAACAGAATGAGAGCAACTCATTTCATCCAAAGTGGACATAAACCTGTTTTTATTATTAGGCATAAATTATTTGGGGACAGAATTACATCTAACTTATTTCTGAAATCCTGGTCTCTACTACCGTGTCTGGCACGTTGCAAACACAAAACAGGTGGTAATTATTATGAGTCTGAGATTCCCAAAGCCATGATCCACTGATGTTTTCCATTAAGACAAGTTACATCAGTAGAAACAATATTAAAATCCTCCCTTTATAGTATTTCCATTGAATAAATATTTTTAATCAAAATTTATTTTTATCTTTGCAATGATTCATAGAAATTAACCTTTCTATGTAAAAAACTAGATAGGGCAGAAATTTTAGTCATATATTAGAAAAAAGTAATCATCTTTTTGCAGTAGTTAAGAGCAATCTATCTTTTATTTAGTTGGTAAAAATGTTCAAATGTAAATGCATAGAGATAAATTTTCCTAGCTGTGGTAGATAACTCATCCCTCAGACTTGGAAGTGCAAGAAATGCCAAATAGACTGAAATGAAGATTAAGGTAAGTCTTTGGTTTTTATGCTTGTTTTCACACATGCTGGCAGCTATAATGGAAAATTAGGAATTCAGCCACATGAATGTCTGCTCTGTCTCCTTTTGTGTCTGGAAGAGAGGCAGCAGAATGGCCCTCTGGGTGTGGAAGAGGATCAGCTTCCCTATGCTGTTTTCCTTTTCCGTCATTTTGAAATCCATAAAGCATCAGCAGCAAGAACAACAACAGCAAAACACAAGTATAACCTGAAAGCATAGTGTATAGTCAGGGGAAGAAACGACTTTCAATCACAGTTATTTCATGAAGAAAAACTAATGTTTATATGACTATACTGTAATTAAGATTACAAACTCAAAAACTAATGGAGCTGGGTGCGGTGGCTCACGCTTGTAATCCCAGCACTTTGGGAGATCGAGGCTGGTGGATCACTTGAGGTCAGGAGTTGAAGACCAGCCTGGCCAACATAGTGAAACCCCATCTCTAAATTAGCCGGGCATGGTGGCATGCACCTGTAGCCCCGCCTACTCAGGAGGCTGAGGCAGGAGAATAGCTTGAGCCCAGGAGTTCAAGACCAGACTTGTCAACATGGTAAAAATCCCCTCTCTACCAAAAATACAAAAATTAGCTGGTCTCATAATCCAGTCAATAAATAAATAAATAAATAGATTTAAAAAAAACTAGCAAGAACTCAGTAAGGACAGATGTGACACTGCCTCCTGATTGTCCCATCAAAGGGGAAGGAAGGTGTGCGGAGGACCTGAGGGAGGAATGTGCTTCTTCAGACCCTATGTCCTGCTTGTTTCTGGTCAGTCTCTGGCCCAGGATCTTAGGTCTCTCATAGATTTAAGAAGCTTTAAGATGCACTTCCCTTAACTTAAATATGGGTAGAGATCTGTGAATATCCTCAGAAATATGAATATAGAACATGAGTGGGACAGGGGAGGAATTCTTGCCAATAACAGTTTCTGTAAGATACACATCAGATTTACTTACATTGAAAAGAAGAGCAGGGCCTGGTGTGAATCATTCCACTTGGATCACGCTTAAACTGCAGGGGAGGTGCCCTTCCCTTGAGCCCACATTAAAGAGCCTGGGAAATGGGTGTGAAGAATGAGAGGCTTTCGCTATTATCAGCTGGGTGCTGTGCAAACACAGCAACTGGTATTTCTATGTAAGTACACATGGAAAGAAAGGGAGAGAAATTTAGATGGCATATATAAGAGACATTTTTTTCTTTTTTCTTTTCTGTTTTTTTTTTGCTCATTACTCTTGAAAAATCAAAGACCACACAGAAACAAGCCAGTAGCACTGGAAATCCCCTTGTACTTGTCATTTTGTTTAGTCACTTATCAGGAGTCAGGGGAACAGTAGGCTGGAGGCAGACAGGACCAAGTACTTCCAGATTTAATGCAACCACTAGACAAGACAATCAAGAGGAAATGAAAAACTGGAGCCATTTCGTTTACTGGATAGCAGCTGACCTCACTCATCACTGGCAAGAAAAGGCATAGTGTCGCGGAAATGCCATAGTAGCTGGAGTCAGAAGACGTGAGATTGGCTGGCCATGGTAGCTCACACTTGGAATCCCAGCACTGTGGGTGGTTGAGGCCAGGAGTTCTAGGCTGTAGTCATCTATGATCACATCACTGCACCAAAAAAAAAAAAAAAAGGTCTGAGATTGAGCCTTGAGCTCTCCCACTCACTGGCATGTAGTCTTGGATAAATCCCTCTTACATCACTCTGAATGATCTGGTTTACCCATCTCAAAGATAAGGACAATTATACCATGAGCAGCAAAAATTTCATAGGGTTTGTTGTAGTAAATGAAATAAGATTAGCAAAGCTAATTTGTTATTATAATTTCAATAAAAAATAGACTCAAATGATTGTGGGAACTGCTCCATCTTTAATATTCACCATTTCAAACTAGAAAGATTTCCCCTAAATCTTCTTCCAAACATGTCCATACTCTAATCTTATTTCTTTTTGTAATTGGTTTGCTGAGCAGCGTTCTAATTGCCCATCATTTTTCTAGCCAGCTTTAGGGCAGCTGAGATGGCCAAACAGGGAACTGCAGTGTGTGACGGGGGGGATTTTAAGAACATTAGAGCAGAGCGTGTGTATGTGTATTTATTTTTCACAGCTTGTTTTGCTATGCTCATCAAGTGGCTCCTGTCTCTTTGTATTCGTCTACTGAGTATTTTTCCACATAAGTGATTTGCTGTGTAATTATCCTGGCCAACAACTACGTACAGTATGTCATGTTACTTAGCTGCTGCAAGCAAATCCTTTCCCACATCCTGGAAAAGGCTGACTCTTTAAAAAAAATCATTATGTGTATTTAAGATATGGAACATGATGTTATAAGATGCACATATACAGTAAAAAGGTCACTATAGTGGAACAAAGGAACATATCCATCGTCTCACACAGTTACTCCTTTATCCCCCTATGGCAAGAGTAGCTATAATCTACTCATTTAGAAAAAATCCTGAATATAACATTCTATTATTGACTATAGTCCTCACATTGTATATTAGATCTTTCCATTTGTTCATCGTATATATTTGCTAATTTGTATCCTTTGGCCTAATATCTTCCCAATTCCTATCCCACACTCCAACCCTGGTAATCACTGTTTTATTCTCTCTATGTCTGACTGCTTTAAAAAAATTCACAGAAAGCATTTGTGGAGGCTGAGCAAGATGGCTGAATAGAAGCCTCCACCAATAGTCTTCCCTGCAGGAACACCAACTTTAACAACTATCTACACAAAAAGCACCTTCATGACAAACAAGCAGGTGCATGATCATAGTACCTGGTTTTAACCTCACATTACCCAAAGAGGCACTGAATAGGATAAGAAAGACAGCCTTAAATTGCTGACAATGCTCTTCCAGCATTCCTCAGCAGCGGCCACATGGTACAAAGACAGCCTGTGCCCTTGGGGGTGGGAGAATGCAGCATCTGTGGACTTTGCATTGGAACTCGGTGCTACCTTGTCACAGTGAAAAGCAACACGGGACAGAACTCAGCCACCACCCATGGAGGGAGCATTTAGACCAGCCCTATCCAGAGCGGGTAGCCTATCCCAGTAGTCAGAACCTGTGTTCTGGCAAGCCTCGGCACTGTGGACTAAAGCGCTCTGGGTCCTAAATAAAGTTGAAAGGTAGTCTAAGCCGCAAGAACTGTGATTCCTGGGCAAGTCCTGGTGCTGTGCTGGGCGCAGAGTCAGTAGATTTGGCAGGCATATGACCTAGTGAGACACCAGCCCAGGTGGCCAAGGGAGTGTGTGTGTCACCCCTCCCCGCATACCAAGGCAGCACAGCTCACAGCCCCAGAAGAGAGTTCTTTCTTTTGCTTGGGGAGAGGAGAGGGAAGAGTAAAGAGGAGTTTGTCTTACAACTTGGATATCATAGGGGTAGTTTGCAAATATTTTCTCCTATTCTGTGGGTTGTCTCTTCACTTTGTTGACTGTATCCTTTGCTCAGCAAAAGCTTTTTAACTTTATATCACGTTAGTTCATTTTCTAACTCTTTGCCTTTCAAAAATTTCTCCAGGTATTTTCAATGAGCTTTTTCAAACACAACAACATTCTAAAAATGTTTCACACATCAGTAGTTTGAAGAAAATTTTCCCAAGACATGTAGGGCCATCTTTTCAATTTTAATCTTTTCCTGGCTATTAATGTACACAACTCATTTTCCCTGACCTTTTGCAAGTGTTACTTGTGTGAATAGTACCATTGACAAAAATGCTATTTCTTTCAAGAGTTTGATAATAAGATTTCTCTCTGCCCAGTAAATTAAAAAATCATGATAGTCTTTGCTGAGGGTCACACTGAGCTGAGAGGTATCTCAGGGGCATCTTTAGGAGTTAGCAACATAGCAGAATATATCGAGACCCATGTCAAGAACTACAGAACTGCCGCTTTTGACAGCTGCTTCCCCAACCAGAGCCAGTTCAGGAACTGCTGGCAGAACTACCCAGATTTCTACCACTGTGGAAAGGTAATGATGTCTGAAGAGAGTGATGTCTCTGGGTGCAAATGGTAGTGGGAATGTGTACAAATCCCCCAGCATCATATTCTGGGTCTTAACCTGGGGTGACCACGGGGCAGAAGCCACAATTCCTGGAAAGATGAGAATGAGTTCTGCCCCACTTTTCCTCGGTCCTAAGTCCTTCTCCCAGGGTGATAAAGGGGGACTTGGGTACATGGAGCTCATCGTGGGACCCTGAATCATGACTTAAGTGATAATAAAAGCTTACTGGAAGAGTGGGGAAAAAGTCATGACATGAAGGATTAGAGGAGAGATTTGCAGTTGTCTTAAAGAAATAGTCTACTCCCCTCCTGAGGTAGAGTTCAGCTTCGTCCACTTTTCTGCTGTGTGCACTATGGCAAATGCAGCAAGACATAGAGATATGGATGTGCCTCAACGCATCCAGTAAGTTGAGAGAAAACCTCAAGTTGCAAATGGATATGAACAGTGTAGTACCATTTATGAAATGACATAATTATGTATGGATATATTCATATGTAGTCAGATTTGTAAAAAGTACTTGGAAATGATTCATATTTACCTTAGGATAGTTGTTTAAACTGAGGAGAAAAAAGGTGGTGATGATGAGAGAAAGATAAGGAGATGAAGCTTTCCTTCTATTTATAGTGTTTTATTTCTTAAAATCTGAAAGAGGCTGGCATAGTGGTGCACATCTGTAATCCCAGCACTTAGGGAGGCTGAGGCAGGGGGATTGCTTGAGGCCAGAAGTTCAAGGCTGCAGTGTGCTATGATCATGCCATGGCACTCCAGCCTTGGTGCCAAAGCGAGACCCTGTCTCAAAAAAAAAAAAAAAAACTCTGGAAACAAATATGGTAAAATATTAACACCTTATGTGTGTGGTACATGAAATCCTTGTTATATTCTGTACATATGAAATAGTTTATAATTTGAAAAACAGCTAGTTTTCTAGGAAGTATTAACATACCTAAAGAATGAGCTAATTAAAATTGGTGGCAGAAGGTCAGAGAAGTTATCCTTGTAGTATCCATTCATGCATTTCTTGGGCAAATACTCAAGTCTAAAGCCCCATTTACAGTATTTCTGTTGGGAAGATGACTAGACGCCCCCTATCTATGTTCCTTTATTTACAATTTAGGCTTGAGCACAAATCTGACTACTAGAAGAGAAGGTATTCCCCAAGAAATTATGGAGGCCCAGCAGCAGTTCTATTACTTGCCCTTAAAAATGGCATTGCATTCTGATTTTATTAAAAAAGTTTATTATCAGCCTAGTGCCAAAATCTGTGTTTGAGTTTACAGAACTGAGGGTCAGAATGCCACTTTCTTTCTAATTTCCATATTGGATTTGGTGAAGATTTTCCAGCTCCTAAGGCCTGATTGTTCCTAGTAGACAGGTACATTATATTTGGTTGTTTTTGTTTTTGTTTTCTTCTTTTATCCCTAATCTGATCTCCTTGAGGGCAAGAATACTTCTTCTCTATTTTTTTCTCCTCCAAGAGTTCAATACACGTTTGGTGAAAAAATAGTGTTTCAATCTAGAAGAAATGGATAAGTTCCTGGACACATACCCCCTTCCCAAGACTAAACCAGGAAGAAGTTGAATCCCTGAATAGACCAATAACAGGCTCCGAAATTGAGGCAATCATTAATAGACTACCAACCAAAAAAAGTCCAGGACCAGACAGATTCACAGTCGAATTCTACCAGAGGTACAAGGAGGAGCTGGTACCATTCCTTCTGAAACGATTCCAATCAATAGAAAAAGAGGGAATCCTCCCTAACTCATTTTATGAGGCCAACATCATCCTGATACCAAAGCCTGACAGAGACACAACAAAAAAAGAGAATTTTAGACCAATATCCCTGATGAACATCAATGCAAAAATCCTCAATAAAATACTGGCAAACCAAATCCAGCAGCACATCAAAAAGCTTATCCACCATGTTCAAGTGGGCTTCAACCCTGGAATGCAAGGCTGGTTCGACATATGAAAATCAATAAACGTAATCCAGCATATAAACAGAACCAAAGACAAAAACCACATGATTATCTCAATAGATGCAGAAAAGGCCTTTGACAAAATTCAACAACGCTTCATGCTAAAAACTCTCAATAAATTAGGTATTGATGGGACGTATCTCCAAATAATAAGAGATCTTTATGACAAACCCACAGCCAATATCATACTGAATGGGCAAAAACTGGAAGCATTCCCTTTGAAAACTGGCACAAGACAGGGATGCCCTCTCTCACCACTCCTATTCAACATAATGTTGGAAGCTCTGGCTAGGGCAGTCAGGCAGGAGAAAGAAATAAAGGGTATCCAATTAGGAAAAGAGGAAGTCAAATTGTCCCTGTTTGCAGATGACATGATTGTATACTTAGAAAACCCCATTGTCTCAGCCCAAAATCTCCTTAAGCTGATAAGCAACTTCAGCAAAGTCTCAGGATACAAAATCAATGTGCAAAAATCACAAGCATTCTTGTACACCAATAACAGACAAACAGCCAAATCATGAGTGAACGCCCATTCATAATTGCTTCAAAGAGAATAAAATACCTAGGAATCCAACTTACAAGGGATGTGAAGGACCTCTTCAAAGAGAACTACAAACCACTGCTCAACAAAATAAAAGAGGACACAAACAAATGGAAGAAAATTCCATGCTCATGGATAGGAAGAATGAATATCATGAAAATAGTCATACTGCCCAAGGTAATTTATAGATTCAATGCCATCACCATCAAGCTACCAATGACTTTCTTCACAGAATTGGAAAAAACTACTTTAAAGTTCATATGGAACCAAAAAAGAGCCCACATTGCCAAGGCAATACTAAGCCGAAAGAACAAAGCTGGAGGCATCATGCTACCTGACTTCAAACTATACTACAAGGCTACAGTAACCAAAACAGCACGGTACTGGTACCAAAACAGAGATATAGACCAATGGAACAGAACAGAGCCCTCAGAAATAATGCCACACATCTACAACCATCTTATCTTTGACAAACCTGACAAAGAGAAGAAATGGGGAAAGGATTCCCTATTTAATAAATGGTGCTGGGAAAACTGGCTAGCCATATGTAGAAAGCTGAAACTGGATCCCTTCCTTACACCTCATACAAAAATTAATTCAAGATGGATTAAAGACTTAAATGTTAGACCTAAAACCATAAAAACCCTTGAAGACAACCTAGGCAATACCATTCAGGACATAGGCATGGGCAAGGACTTCATGTCTAAAACACCAAAAGCAATGGCAACAAAAGCCAAAATAGACAAATGGGATCTAATTAAACTAAACAGCTTCTGCACAGCAAAAGAAACTACCATCAGAGTGAACAGGCAACCTACAGAATGGGAGAAGATTTATGCAATCTACTCATCTGACAAAGGGCTAATATCCAGAATCTACAAAGAACTCAAACGAATTTACAAGAAAAAAACAACCCCATCAACAAGTGTATGAAGGATATGAACAGACATTTCTCAAAAGAAGACATTTATGCAGCCAACAAATGAAAAGATGCTCATCATCACTGGCCATCAGAGAAATGCAAATCAAAACCACAGTGAGATACCATCTCTCACCAGTTAGAATGGCGATCATTAAAATGTCAGGAAACAACAGGTGCTGGAGAGCATGTGGAGTAATAGGAACACTTTTACACTGTTGGTGGGACTGTAAACTAGTTCAACCATTGTGGAAGACAATGTGGCGATTCCTCAAGGATCTAGAACTAGAAATACCATTTGACCCAGCCATCCCATTACTGGGTATATACCCAAAGGACTATAAATCATGCTGCTATAAAGACACAGGCACATGTATGTTTATTGTGGTGCTATTCACACTAGCAAAGACTTGTAACCAACCCAAATGTCCATCAATGATAGACTGGATTAAGAAAATGTGGCACATATACACCATGGAATACTATGCAATCATAAAAAAGGATGAGTTCATGTCATTTGTAGGGACATGGATGAAGCTGGAAATCATCATTCTGAGCAAACTATCACAAGGACAGAAAACCAAACACCGCATGTTCTCACTCATAGGTGGGAATTGAACAATGAGAACACTTGGACACAGGAAGAGGAATATCACACACCAGGGCCTGATGTGGGGTGGGGGGAGGAGGGAGGGATAGCGTTAGGAGAGATACCTAATGTAAATCACGAGTTGATGGGTGCAGCACACCAACATGGCACATGTATACATATGTAACAAACTTGCACATTGTGCACATGTACCCTAGAACTTAAAGTATAATGATAAAAATATAAAATAACATAATAAAAAATAAATAAATAAAGTGTTTCAAAACTTTTTATTTAATTTGAGTTATCTGAGTTTCGGATGGTGCTAATTTGCATGGCCTAAACCCTTTAGTAACAAATAAAACAACCGCTATTATCAGAATGGTTTTAAGAAAGTATCTACCTTACCAAAGCAGCAAGCTAATAAGACATGGTATATTCATCACGCAATGATATAAATTATTTTTTAGTTTTAATTTTTAGAGACAGGGTCTCACTCTGTTGCCTAGGCGGGAATGCAGTGACACAGTCATAACTCCCTGTAACTTCCTTCCAACTGCTAAGCTCAAGTGATCCTCCCACCTTGGCCTCCTTACATGCTGGGATCCTAGGCTTGAGCCACCACACCTGGCCACAGTGATATAAATTTGACTTTGGACTTCCAAGTATCAATTCTTTTTTTTTTTTTTTTTTTTTTTGAGATGGCGTCTTGGTCTGTCAGGCTAGAGTGCAATGGCATGATCTCAGCTCACTGCAACCTCCGCCTCCCGGTTTCAAGCGATTCTCCTGCCTCAGCCTCCCTAGTAGCTGGGATTACAGGGGCATGCCACCATACCTGGCTAATTTTTGTATTTTTAGTAGAGATGGGGTTTCATCATGTTGGCCAGGCTGGTCTCGAACTCCTGACCTCAAGTATCGGCCCACCTTGGCTTCCCAAAGTGTTGGGATTATAGGCACGAGCCACCACACCCAGCCATTTTTGTATTTTTAGTAGAGACAGGGTTTCACCATGTTCGTCAGGCTTGTCTTGAACTCTTGGCCTTAGGTGATTCACCTGCCTCAGTCTCCCAAAGTGCTGGGATTACAGGCTCATGTGAGCCACTATGCCCAGCCTCAGGTATCAATTCTTAATGTTCTCCAGTTCATTACATTTTTGACACTGGAAGGTCCTAAGAATTTCACCTCAGGGTCACTTTTATTTAATTGCTGAGAAAACAAATTTAGCATGGTTTCAGTAATTTTTTCAAACTGATCTAAACCACTAGAGTTGAATTAGAATCTGTTTCCTGACTTGGTGTTACAGTGCTTTTCTGGAGTCTGTTACTAAAGCAGTTTGTTTTATAATATCTAAGATTTTGAAGACATGTTCAAGATGGTGATGTGGTTCCTGAAGGACAGGAGTATGTCTTGTTTGTCTTTGTATAGCCAGTATTTAGCATTGTGCCAGGCCCAGAGCTACCATTTTTCAAGCAAAAGGTTTAGTGAGTGGCTTTCCTGGGTAACTTTGGGAAAAACTTCATCTTAATTCTCACTTTCCTGATCTATAAAGTGGGAATAATACTTGCTTTGCTTATTCTACAGATGGGTTTTGATGATTGAAAGAGATAATTGTGCCAAAAAGCCACTGAAAATTGAAAAGCTAAATAGATTTACTTTTTTCATAGTTAGAACATTTAATAGTGGCTACATCTGAGATGTCATAACATTTTCTTTTTTTTTTTTAAGGTAAGCTCTGATACTTTTTTTAAAAAATGTTTTTAAAAATAGAGACAAGCAACAAATAGAGCAACATGGAAGACCTATGTTTGTTAGGTAAATTGCACGTCACAGGAGTTTGGTGTATGGATTATTTCATCACTAAGGTAATTAGCATAGAACTTGATAGGTAGTTTTTTGATCCTCAAAAATATGAAATGCTTCACAAATTTGCGTATGTGTTTACATTTCTTTAAACTGTAATATTAGCTAACTCAGAGTTTACTAATCAGTCTAGTCTCTAAAAACTATATCATAGGTTAATATTCATGTAATATAGTAGTTGATATTC
This sequence comes from Homo sapiens, assembly GCF_000001405.40. Taxonomy (NCBI): domain Eukaryota; kingdom Metazoa; phylum Chordata; class Mammalia; order Primates; family Hominidae; genus Homo; species Homo sapiens. Next base: position 89,817,568 of record NC_000008.11, on the reverse strand, counting down.
ACTGATATATAATTAATATTTATATAATTAATATTTATTTAACTACTCCATGGGTAATTTTTGCTTATTTACTTACATATACTTAGCTTTTGGTCTTACCTTTAATATTGAAATAGCCACCCACAGATATAGTTAAGATGAGGGTAGAGACCTTGGCATGCGTGAAAATATATTGCACTTTGGTCTCCCACTTTAAACTTAGGCAGTTAATAAATAGAGAAAATGAATATAGTAAGTGAAAAGTAACATTATGCTAATTACATCACAGGAACACATCATTCCAAGAATCAGTGTTCATGGAAAACTTTCAATAGGACAAAAGTCTATTGTTTAAAAAATAAAACTCTTAAATCTACATTTAAGAAAATGAAACTACATTCTATATGCTAAAGAAATAGATTTTGCGCAGTAGTTCTTAAACTTACCTACTTAGTTTATCTTTCCTACCTTTCCCTACCCTATGATTAGAGTGGCTTCATGAGCTCTGAAAATTTTCATAAAGGAGATCTCAGAGTTAGGTCCAAAGGCCTGAGCTGAACCCCAGCAGGCTTCTCTTCTACTTATGTGGAGAAAACTAAGGCTTCCTTGTATTTTTTTACAGCTCCAGGCACGCCATTCACATAGAAGACAGCTCTTATTTCCTTGTTGCCATGGCTTCCCTCCTGACTACTTCCCACCGTTAGATTGCTCATTCTGCTCATGAAATGCTCTCTTGTATATATCCTCATATTTCTTGTTCATCAAAATCCAATCTTTAAGTCACCTTCTCTAAGAAACTGTTTCTTAAAAGTAATTCATATATTCTCTCTCTCACCTTTGAAATATTACAGTACTTGTTCATACATTTCTGATGGAATGTTATTTTTGCTTAAGCTATGTGTCTTAGCTCATTGAACAAGACTTTGTTTTTATGTTCCCACAGTTTTTAACATATAGATGATTCATAATGAAATGCAATGGAACAGAAATAAACTATCAAGATTTAGATTCTCATTCTAGGTTCATCACCCACTAACTATAAACCATTAGTTACGAATGAACCTGAAGTGACCAACTATTTTTCATAAAATTTAATTAAAATAAAAATAAAATTACAAATAAAATTTGTAATTAAAATAATCTGCAATAAATGAATACAACTTTCAGGGTGATAAAAGGCCCTAAGTTTAAAAATTGAATATTACTAGAAGTAGAAACAGCTACTTCCCACAATTAGATTGGCTCACAGCTCAATTTAAAATATAAGGTTGATAGGGCCTTAAAAATAGCCTATGGTCTGGGTGCAGTGGCTTATGCTTTTAGTCCTAGCATTTTGGGAGGCCAAGACAGGTAGATCGCTTGAGGTCAGGAGTTCAAGACCAGCCTGACCAACATGGCAAAACCCTGTCCCTACAAAAAAATAGCCTGGTGTGGTGATGCATGCCTGTAGTCCCAGCTACTTGGTTGGGTACGTGGGAAGCTGGGGCATGAGAATTGCTTGAAATCAGGAGGCAGAGATTGTAGTGAGCTGAGATTGCACCACTGCACTCCAGCCTGGGTGACAGAGTGAGACTCTGTCTAAAAAAAAAAAAAAAAAAAAAAAAAGCCTATGAAATCTCCTTGATTAGAGTCTGAAGGGAAAAATACTACATTCACATAGGCAGGTGGCCAAGATCCAATTCACCGCCTCGTATGGGGACTCACAGTCTGGTCAAAGTGGTGCGATGACATATTTTATAAATTTGATTGATTGTGTTTATGGCATATCCTGTTGGCTCAGTGAGGAGTAAAGATGACCAAGACTGGATGAAGAGAATTAATTCACTGAAAGCTTCCATGCATGTTGTATGTACAGCTTGCTCCTGACTTTGGACTGAGGTTCCTGGCTCTGCATAACATAAATCCCCAAACAGTGAAAAAAAATCCAGCAATGGCCCAAATAATCAGGGAAAGCCCAAAGCCCATAAGAAGCGCTATGCATCAGAACTCCCTTGGCAGACACAAATACACCTGAGCCAACTGTATGCCCCATATGAGACAGATACCATTCAGTAAAGTGGTGTTCTGCTTCATTTGGACTTTTTCTTCTTGGTCCTCATCTTGCTTGCCTTCTGGTTGTTCTCCATCACTGGATTTAGCACATTCACCACGGCATTATAGAAAAAGGACCAGCCGTCTTGTGTTGAAATCACACCTGTGGGTTGTGAGAAGAAAGGAAATGCTATTAATAAGACCACACAAGAAGTGGCGAAAACATTTCTTGGCAACTCTCAAACCAGCAGTCAATGTGAAGAGTAGTTAAATAATTCTCTAGAAGGTTCTAATATGCTGTCACCAAATGAATACAATGACTGACTATTTTTAGCATGATTTACTCATTCATTTATCCATTTCAACAAGCAGTTAAAGGACTCAAGAGACATAGGTTCTAGGAATGCAAATAAAACATAATCCTTGCCCCAGGGATCTTAGCCTATTGAGAAAAATTAGAATGCAATGTAAAAGATTAGTTGGGCTGCAATGAGCTCCTGGAGGAAGCAGCAACTAACTTGTCTCTGGGATTATGGGAGTGTCTTTTGGGTTTGGAATGATGACTCAGAGTTCCTCAGGTACATGAAAGAGGAGGAAAAAGTGGCATTGCAGGTAAAGTTTACAGCATGTGCAAGACAATGACATAAGAAAGACCTAGTAATCTGGTGCAGCTGAAGTTCAGGACACAGAGAGGGTGGTATTAGGAGTGGAAACTGAAAATGTGTGTGTATATATATTATATATTTATTAATTAATGTGTATATACATATTATATATTAATATAATTTATGTTATTATTATTTTGAGATGGAGTCTTGCTCTGTTGCCCAGGCTGGAGTTCAGTGGTGCAATTGTGGCTCACTGCTACCTCTGCCTCCCAGGTTCAAGTGATTCTTGTGCCTCAGTCTCCTGTGTAGGTGGGATTACAGGCGTGCACTAACATGCCTGGCTAATTTTTGCATTTTTAGTAGAGACGGGGTTTCATCATGTTAGCCAGATTGGTCTCAAACTCCTGACCCCAAGTGATCTGCTTGCCTCGGCCTCCCAAAGGGCTGGGATCACATGTGTAAGCCACCATGCCTGGCCTTTATAATATATATTATTAATGTGTGTATATATAATATATAATAATTAATCATTATATAATATATGATATATATTATATATATAAAAATATATATCAGAAATAACATTCTGATATGTATATATATCTGATATAATGTTCTGATATATATATATCAGAAATAACTTTCCATCCTGTTGACGTTGTATTTTTGCATGACTGATTGATTGATTGCTTGATTTTGAGACAGAGTGTCGCTCTGCCACCCAGGCGGGAGTGCAGTGGCACAATTTGGGCTCACTGCAACCTCTGCCTCCTGGGTTCAACTGATTCTCATGCCTCAGTACCCCAAGTAACTGGGACCACAGGTACATGCCACCACACCTGGCTAATTCTTGTATCTTTAGTAGAGACAGGGTTTTGCCATGTTGGCCAGGCTGGTCTCGAACTCCTGACCTCAGGTGATCCACCTTGGCCTCCCAAAGTGCTGGGATTACAGGCGTGAGCCACCACGCCTGGCCAGATTTATTAAGATAAATCTGAGTAACCGTATCCTCTGGATTTTCAAAGAGAGAACTTATTCTTTGCATAGGCTGTCAAACCTTAATTTTTGTCTTACTGAAATAGAGTAAGAACCATACCACTTTCTATACCATTTCTATATCATAGCTATAAATGTTTTGAAAGTTCTTTTTATGGCTGCAATTTCCTCCCCATTAACTTTTCATTCAATGAGTTTGCAGTGATTCATATGTCATGTCTAGTCTGGATGAAAGCATTTTTGAGGCTTCATACAGACTGTCCTCAGGGACTCGGAGAAAACCTTTTGTATGTTTGCATCCAGGTAAACTCAAATTTTGGCATAATTATATTTCAATTCAATGACAATATACAAAAATGCATCCTTAAATATTTTTGAATTTAAAAAAATAAAGCATTTGGTATGTTAATATAGAAAAATACAGTACCAGTGAGTGAACTGTAGTGAATTTAGTACCTCTTACAGGCAAATTTTCCTTCAAGAAAAGCCAACCTATCCTTTGAGACTGTAAATTTTTCACTTGAAAACATTGAGGAAATTCCCAATGGGGTAGCAGAGAAATTAGGATGTAAAAGTAGTGGCTTAGCTGAAATCCTCGGCACACTCTGCTAAGAGAGACACACACACACACACACACACACACACACACACACACACACACAATTGCCTTACACAGCATTATCAACATTGTTAAGTTTCGTGACTTCTTGCTGATGTACCCCCTCCCCAACAAGAAATGTAATGATGATATTTACTATTTACTCATTCCAGAATTGACAGTGAACATTGAGCATATGTCAGGCACTGCTCTAGAGAGTAGAAATGCAATGAAAACATAAAATTCCTATCTTCAAGGTGTTTATATTCTAGGGGGAGAGATCGACCATACACAAACATTGTCTTTTGTCAGAAAGGTTGGAATGTATGAGAATGTATCTAAGTGAGTAAGAGATTCTGTTAGATCGTGATTCATGTTATGAAGAAACCAACTTAGAATAATAAGTTTCAGATGGATTAGGGGAAGAAGGACCTATTTTAGGTTAAAAAAATTGTTAGAATACTTTATTTAAAAGCAAGCCCGGAGAGATTCTCCTGACAAAGAGAAGGAACATGCCAAGTAAAGATTTGGAGGGGGAGCTCTTAAGGTAAAACAACAGCCAATGTTCTAATGGGGGATTAACTTCCCATGTTTAAGGGACCAAAAGGAGGCCAGTGTGATTGGAAGGTAGTGAATGAGGGCAAGGGAGCTATGAACTGAAGCAGAATAGTGTGCAGAGGCCAAAATAGAATAGGGCCTTTGGCGAAGAGTTTGGATTTCATGTTATGTGTAATGGAAGCCATTGGTCAAGAAAAACGATATAGTGTTGTCTGATTTCTGTGTTTGAAGATTACTAAGGTTGCTGTGTAGAGGATGAACAGTGAGGGACAAGAGCAGGGAGAGCCATTTAAGAGACTATTCCATAAATGATGCCTCCTCCATCAGGGGAAGGAATGGTCAGATTTCAAAAGCAGAACTAATAAGATTTGGGAAGTTTCTTAAATTACTTAGTAATAAATGCCCAGCTATTCAATGCTAGGCTTCCTCCATCTTTCTAGGATAAAGCTTCTCATGTCACATCAGTTTAAACTTCAAAATTCCCAAATATTCATAAGATAGAGGCCAATATTCTTATTGCAGAACTCCTTAAAGTTAGCAGTTATATATAAATAAATATATAATATATTAATCATTATATAATATATAATATTATATATAATATATAAATATATAATATATTAATCATTATATAATATATAATATATATAATATATATGTTTATTTATATATTATATATTATAAATATATTATATATTTATTTATATATAACTGCCAATTTTAAGGAGTTTTGCAATAAGAATATTGGCCTCTATCCTATGAATATTTGGGACCTTTGAAGTTCGCACTCCAGCCTGGGTGGCAGAGCGGCACTCTGTCTCAAAATCAATCAGTCAATCAATCAGTCATGCAAAATACAACGTCAACAGGATGGAACGTTCGAGACCAGCCTGGCCAACTTGGCAAAACCCTGTCTCTACTAAAGATACAAGAATTAGCCAGGTGTGGTGGCATGTACCTGTGGTCCCAGTTACTTGGGGTACTGAGGCATGAGAATCAGTTGAACCCAGGAGGCAGAGGTTGCAGTGAGCCCAGATTGTGCCACTGCACTCCAGCCTGGGTGGCAGAGTGACACTCTGTCTCAAAATCAATCAATCAATCAATCAGTCATGCAAAAATACAACATCAACAGGATGGAACGTTATTTCTGATTAGTAAAGTGCAGGAAAATGAATCCATGATACATCAATCTATTTATATTCTTTCTGTACAATCAGAACACCTGATCATTTAAGCCACATGTTTACTCTCTAATCACATCATAAATCAGAACTATGCATTTTTTGAAAGATAACTGAAAGCTTCACAGAGTAAATACATTACATATGCCACTTGGTTTTTTAAGAACAGCTATTAGAAATTCCCCAAAGAAAAGTACCATTTGTACTTTTCTCTCTGTTCAAGCAATCAAAAAGTTATGCTACTATGATTGGTAATTGATAGAAATAGTCAAATTTCCTTCTTCTGGGGGAAAATCCAGTCATGCTGCCTCTGCTCCATCTAGCTTGAGTTGGGCATTAGCTGAGTCAGATTGCAGTCTTGTGTCCACAAGAGAGTTCTTTGATTAGTGAAGTGGAGTTTTCTTTGGAGGGCTGACCTGAGAAAAGCACAGGTTCTGCCCATGATATGATTGGAAAGCCCAGAACATTGTATCTAATTGCTCATTTTTTTTTTTAATAAAACAGGGTACATGGAATCTTGCATCTATTCTTAGGGTGAAGGAGTGAGAGAGAGGGGTTGTGGTTTGGGACAGGAAGAAAAAAGAAAGAAAAGGGGATCTGATTTTTCCATATGGGAAATAGTTACGGTTAGTGAAGGGTTTTACCAGTGTGAAGAACAGCAACTGTGAAATTCTTTCCTTAGGAATCTGAAGCCTTCTTCTCTTACCTGGCGGATGATGCACTGGCCTTCTTGTTTTCTGGAGCTTCAGCTCAGTCTTAGTCCTACTGGTGGACTTCTAGAAGCCTAACTCCTTTAATGGCTGCCAAATCGGACTGTTACTTGAGGACTCTGAAGTGCATTAGTGCTATTCTCTAATGATTATTTTACACATGCACAAGAGATATCAGCAAAGAAAGGGAGGCTCTTTAAATCACTTCAGTTGAAGCCTTTTATTTTTTGCCTTCTGGTAAAGGAATATTAATTATTAAATAATTCATCTGAAAACGTTAGAAATAATAGGTTTGATTATATCTCTCCATGAAGAAGCTACTAATTTCATCCCTGTGCAAGAGTTTACCATTTTAAGAGCAGTATTATGTTATTGACGCATGGCCAGCTTAAATATTGTTGAAGAGCATTCTTTTCAAAGCATCATATTTTTCTATTACAAAACAAATATCTATTCATTGCAGAAACAAATTTAAGTACAGATAGTTTAAAAGGTTAAAATGAAATGATCATGGTCTCAACATCTAGAGACTGTTACTAAATTTTTTGTATATGCTACACATAGTACATATATAATTTATAAATTTTGAATCATAGTGAATATGTTTTTTGGAAACTCCCACTTTTCACTAAATATATTCTGCTCACTTTTTAATGACATTAGATATTTTTCTATAATTCCATGTTAAGGATGTATAGATAGTTATTATGTAGGTGTATTAGTCCATTCTCATGCTGCTAATAAAGACATATCTGAGACTGGGTAATTTATAAAGGAAAGAGGTTTAATTGACTCACCATTCAGCATGGCTGGGGAGGCTTCAGGAAACTTACAATCATGATGGAAGGAGAAGCAAACAAGTCCTTCACATGGTGGCAAGAAGGAGAAGAAAGAGTATCAAGCGAAGGGGGAAGGCCCTTATAAAACCCTTAGATCTCGTGAGAACTTACTATCACTACAATAGCATGGGGGTAACTGCCCCCATGATTGAATTATCTCCCACCAGGTCCCTCCCACGACACATGGGGCATATGGGAACTACAATTTGATATGAGATTTGGGTGGAGACACAACCAAACCACATCATTTTGCTCCTGGCCCCTCCCAGATCTCATGTCCTCACATTCCAAAGCACAATTATGCCCTTCCAACAGTCCCTCAGAGTCTTAACTTTTTCTAGCATTAACTCAAAAGTCCAAGTTCAAAGTCTCATCTGAGACAAGGCAAGTCCCTTCCGCCTATGAGCCTGTAAAATCACAAACCAGTTAGTTACTTCCTAGACACAATGGAGGTACAGGTATTGGGTAAATGCACCCATTCCAAATGGGAGAAATTGGCCAAAACAAAGGAGTTACAGGTCCCATGCAAGTCTGAAATCCAAAGAGGCAGTAATTAAATCTTAAAGCTCCAAAATAATCTCCTTTGACTCTATGTCTCACATCCAGGTCATGCTGATGTAAGAGATGGGCTCCCATGGCCTTGGGTGGCTCTGCACCTGTGGCTTTGCAAGGTACAGCCCACTCCTGGCTGCTTTTGTGGGCTGGCATTGAGTGTCTTTGGCTTTTCCAGGTGCACGGTGCAAGCTGTCAGTGGGTCTACCATTCTAGGGTCTGGAGGACAGTGGCCCTCTTCTCACATTTCCTCTAGGCAGTGCCCCAGTGGGGACTCTGTGTGGGGGTGCCGACCCCACATTTCCCTTCCTCACTGCCCTGGCAGAGCTTCTCCATGAGAGCTCCCCAACTGCAGCAAACTTCTGCCTGGACATCCAGGCCTTTCCATACATCCTATGAAATCTAGGCAGATGTTCCCAAACCTCAATTACTGACTTTTGCACACCTGCAGGCCCAACACCACATGAAGGCTGCCAAGACTTGGGGCTTGCACCCTCTGAAGCCACAGCTTGAGCTGTGCCTTGGCCCCTCTTAGACATGGCTAGAGAAGCTGGAACTCAGAGCATCAAGTCCCAAGGCTGCACACAGCACGGGGGCCCTGAACCCAGCTCAGGAAATCATTTTTCCTGCCTAGGCATCTGGGCCTGTGATGGGAGGGGCTGCCATGAAGGTCTCTGACATGCCCTGGAGATATTTTCCATGTTGTCCTGTTGATTAACATTTGGCTTCTTATTACTTATGCAAATTTCTGCAGCCAGCTTGAATTTCTCCCCAGAAAATGGGTTTTCTTTTCTGCTGCATCGTCAGGCTGCAAATTTTCCAAACTTTTATGCTCTGTCACCTCTTGAATGATTTGCTGCTTAGGAATTTCTTCTACCATATACTCTAAAACATCTCTCTCAAGTTTAAAGTTCCACAAATCTCTAGGGCACTGGCAAAATGCTGTCAGTCTTTTTGCTAAAGCATAAAAAGAGTCACCTTTGCTCCAGTTCCTAAAAAGTTCCTCATCTCCATCTGAGACCACCTCAGCCTGGACTTTATTGTCCATATCACTATCAGCATTTTGGTCAAAGCTGTTCAACAAATCTCTAGGAAGTTCCAAACTTTCCCAAATCTTGTCTTCTGAGCCCTCCAAGTCTCTGGGAAGTTCTAAAGTTTCTCACATTCTCCTGTCTTCTTCTGAGCCCTCAAAACTGTTTCAGCCTCGCCTGTTACCCAGTTCCGAAGTTGTTTCCACATTTGCAGGTATCTTTATAGCAGTGCCCTGCTCCTGGTACAAATTTACCGTATTAGTCTGTTTTCATGCTGCTAATAAAGACATACCAGAGACTGGGTCATTTACAAAAGAAAAAGGTTTAATTGACAATTAAGAATGGCTGGGGAGGCCTCAGGAAACTTACAATCATGGCATCATAAGACACCTCTTCACAGGGTGGCAGGAGAGAGAATCGGTGCCGAGTGCCGTGGAAGCCCCTTATAAAACCATCAGATCAGGTGAGAGCTTACTCACTATCACAAGAATAGCACGGGAGTAACTGCCCCACGATTCGATTATTTCCCAGTGGTTCCCTCCCATGACACATGGGGATTATGGGAACTACAATTCAAGATGAGATTTCGGTGGGGACAGTCAAACCATATCAGTAGGTATGCCATAATGTATTTAACAATATTCAAGACATATCAATTGAGCACATTTGTGATAGGTATTCTGCTAGGCTTATAGAAAGTTTGGGTATGGTGGCTTACATTTTAATCTTAGCACTTTAGGTGGCTGAGGCCGGGTTTGGGAGTGAAAAGACATCACTGGAGTCCAGGAGGTTGAGGCTGCAATAAGCTATGATTGCACCACTTCATTCCAGTCTGGGCGGCATAGTGAGAACCTGTCTCTAAAAAGAGCTTACAAGCTCGTGGGGGATAGGGACAAATAGCAGGCAGTTGCAAGATAGGGGGTTAAAACTATGATAGGGAGTGGGTGTTTTAGTTTTCTGTTGCTGCTACAACAAATTACCACACACTTAGTGTCTTAAAACAATACAAATTTCTTCTCTTCCAGTTCTGGAGACCAAAAGTCCAAAATCAGTTTCACTGGGCGAAAGTCAAGGTCGGCAGGGCTGGTTGTTCCTTTTGGAGGTTCTGAGGTGATAATCAGTTTCCTTGACTTTTCAGGGTCTAGAGCTGCATTCCTGGCATTATTTTTGGCTTCTGGACCCTTTCTCCATCTTAAAGACAGCAGCATAGCATCTTTAAATTTTTCTTTGTTTCCTTGATTGTATGCTTTCTTTCAACTGTAATAAAATGTCCCTCTCCCTCACTCTTTAAGAACACTTGTCATTACATTTAGGATGCACTTGAAAAAGCCAGGATCATCTCCCTATTTCAAGATTTTGCCAAAAAGCAAAATCCCTTTTGTCATATAAAGTAAAATTCACAGGTTTCAAGGTTTAGGATTTCGATACCCTTGACAGCTATTACTTAGTGGGGGGTAGAGAGCTAGTGGGGGCCCATGGAAAGAAACCCACACCCCAGGGTCAGGAAGGCGGGGTGCAATGGTAGACGTCAGAGGTGACCTTTCAGAAAAAGTCTTGATTAGTTGGAAAGGGAAAGGGAAGAAAGGTCTTATTAAAGTTGTAGGAGCCAGAAAAAGCTGAGGTCCAGAGGACAGCTGGAGTTTATGGGAACTGCTGATAGGTTGAGTGAGTCAAATTCGATAAGAAGGATTTAGGGAAAGGAGAGAAAGAAAAGAAAAGCAGAGGCTGGGTGCCGTGGCTCACGCCTGTAATCCCAACACTTTGGGAGGCCAAGGTGGGTGGATTACTTGAGACCAGGAGTTCGACACCAGCCCAGCCAACATGGTGAAACCCCGTCTCCACTAAAAACACAAAAATTAGCTGGGCATGGTAGCGGGCACCTGTAATCCCAGCTATTCAGGAGGCTGGGGCAGGAGAATCGCTTGAATTTGTCAGGGGAGTTGTGGGGGGCGGAGGTTGCAGTGAGCTGAGATCATGCCACTGAACTCCAGCGTGGGTGACAGAGTGAAACTCTGTCTCAAAAAAAAAAAAAAAAAAAAAAAGGGGGAAAGCAGAAGTCAGAATTTGAAGGGCTTTGTGTCCTGGGGGCAATAGAAAATTATCAAAGGGTTTTAAAAGCAGGATGGACAGACCCAGCTTGTGCTGTAGAGAGATATCCTTGGTTCTAGAGTGGAAAGTGTATTGGAAAAAAAAAGTGGTCATTCATTCATTCAAATTCAATAAATATTTTTTCAAACTACTAGAAAATGCTAGGTCCTAAAAGTATTTAGAATAAGTCATACATGGTTCCCACTTACCCTTATAGAACTTTTTCTATAAGGAGATAAAGCAAACAGACAATAAATGTTTAAACCAAATATTTACACTTCGAGATATGGTTAAAAAAAAAAAAGGAATACTTTGGTGATGTTAGAGAAGGTGACTGGGCACCTACTTTAGATATGGTCCTAGGGAAGGTCATGGCTGAAAAAATGAGGTTTGAACTGGGATTTGAAGAAGTCAGGAGAAGATCCCTGTCAAGAAATCCCATTTGTGAAAGGCAGAGCAAGGATGCCAGTGAGCCCCAGAGGAGCCAGAGAGGAGGGTGAAGTGACATGAGATTAGAGAGATCAGCAGATTCCTACAGGCTTTTCTTCTAAGTATAATGAGAAGTCACGGAAGTATAGTAAGCCAGAGGGTGACTTGGATGGATTTGCTATTAATACTAGATGAATGTTTAAGTGGATGCAGTTATCTGATAAAGCGATGCTGTTGATCAGAAGTAAGGTAGTGCAGTGGGGATGGAAAAAGTTGTTACAGGAAAGGTGTCTGGATCCAGACCCCAAGAGAGGGTTCTTGTATTTCATGCAAAAAAGAATTCAGGGAGAATCCATAGAGTAAAGTGAAAGCAAGTTTATTAAGAAAGTAAAGAAATAAGAGAATGGATACTCCTAGACAGAGCCACCCTGAGGGCTGCTGGTTGTCCATTTTTGATTATATGCTAAACAAGGGGTGGATTATTTATGCCTCCCCTTTTAGACCATATAGGGCAACTTCCTGACGTTGCTATGGCATCTGTAAACTGTCATGGCGCTGGTGGGAGTGTGGCTGTGAGGGCAACCAGAGGTCACTCTCATCATCGCCTTGGTTTGTGGTTTTTAGCCGGCTTCTTTACTGCAAATTGTTTTATCAGCACGGTCTTTATGACCCGTATTTTGTGCCAACCTCCTATCTCATCTTGTGACTTAGAATGCCTTAACCATCTGGGAATGCGGCCCAGTAGGTCTCAGCCTCATTTTACCCAGCTCCTATTCAAGATACGGTTGCTCTGGTTCACATGCCCCTGACATTGCTACACTGAAAACAAAAATATTTTGGAGGTAGAATCAATAGGACTTGTGATTAACTGGATATGGATAGTGGGGGATTTGAGCATAGAGAGAGAAGGAAGTGAGGGACAAAAGATTGAAGTTCGTCTGGACAGATGGTGTTATTATTTGCTGAGAAAGGAAACATAAGAAGGAAATCAAGTTTGGGATGTATGTTGCAGTGAGGAATGAAAAGGTCAGCTTTGGAATGTGGAGATTGCTGTGGAGCATGCCAGTTGGCAGGTCTGGTATGAAGTGAATCTCAGGTAAGGGCTGACTTTAGGAGTACTGATGTCTAGATGACAATAAGACCACGCAGGGGAATGAGGTGGATCCGGGAAAGGGTTTGGAGTAAGAATGTGAGGCCCAGACTGAACCTGAGTAAGAAGAATAAACACCTAAAGCCCCTAACCAGAAGACCAAGACATAGGAGGAAAAGCAGGAATGTCTGGTGTCACAAAAGGGAAGAGAACCATTAGAAAAGGAGAGGGCACTCAGCCACATCACATAGGAAGAGGACTGAAAAGCTTCCCCTGGATTTAGAAACCAGAAGGGTGTGTTAATCACTTTTGGGAAGAGCAATTTCAATGGAGTGGTTCAGACAGAAGCCAGATTAAATGGACTGAGGAGTGAATCAAGTGACTGAGGAAGTGTAAAAGTGAGAATTGCTATAGACAGCTCTCTCAAGAAGTCTGGCCATAATTAAGTTATTGGTGGGAATGTAAATTGATACCAACTCTTAGGGGAGAATTTGCCAATATTCACTAACATTTAAAATGTTCATAATCTTTGATCCCAGTAGTTCAATTTCTAGACCTGTGCCATAATACTTAAAAAGTATGGGCTGGGCATGGTGGCTCATGCCTGTAATCCCAGTACTTTGGAAGGCCGAGGTGGGTGGATCACCTGAGATCAGGAGTTTGAGACCAGCTTGGCCAACACAGTGAAACCCCGTCTCTATGAAAAATACAAAAAATTAGCTGGGTGTCGTGGCACGTGCCTGTAATCCCAGCTACTCAGGAGGCTGAAACAGGAGAATTGCTTGAACCTGGGAGGAGAAGGTTGCAGTGAGCCAAGATCGTGCCACTGCATGACAGCCTGGGCAACAAGAGCAAAACCCTGTCTCAAAAATAATAATAATAATAATAAGTATGCACATATATGTCAAATTTACACTATGTTCTGGATGGTATTGCCTAGGTTTTCTTCTAGGGTTTTTATGGTTTGGGGTGTTACATTTAAGTCTTTAATCCATCTCGAGTTAATCTTTGTATAAGGTGTAAGGAAGGGGTCCAGTTTCTGTTTTCTCCATATGGCTAGCCAGTTTTTCCAGCACCATTTATTAAATAGGGAATACTTTCCCCATTTCTTGTTTTTGTCAGGTTTGTCAAAGATCGGGTGGTTGTAGATGTGTGGTGTTATTTCTGAGGGCTCTGTTCTGTTCCATTGGTCTACATATCTGTTTTGGCACCAGTACCATGCTGTTTTGGTTACTGTAGCCTTGTAGTATAGTTTGAAGTCAGACACAGGGAGGGGAACATCACACACCAGGGTCTGTCCGGGGGTGGAAGGCAAGGGGAGGGAAAGCATTAGAACAAATACCTAATGCCTGTGGGGCTTAAAATCTAGATGATGGTTTGATAGGTGCAGAAAACCACCATGGCACATGTATACCTATGTAACAAACCTGCACATTCTGCACGTGTATCCCAGAACTTAAAGTAAAATTTTTAAAAAAATTATATAAATTAATTTAAATTTATATTTTATATAAATTCATTTACATATAAATGAATAACATATACACCATACCTATTCATATTTTTTCTAATAGCAGAAAGTCAGGAAAATTAAAACGTTCATCAAGAGGAAATAGATTAAATATTGGTACATCAATATAATGAAGCACCACATAATAGTTTAAAAAATAATATAATTTACATGTAATGACATATAAATATGTAAGAAGCAAATTCCAAAACAGAATGTGTAATTAGTTTACAGAAAAACAAAATCTGGAAACCTAATCACTAGACTGTGAATTTAGAAAGCAGTGAGGTAAAAAGGAGAAAAAATCCTCTCTGTTATGAAAAGAGGAAAGAGAAAGACAGAAGTAGACAGAAAGGGCTGACTTTATTTTATTTATTTATTTATTTTATGAGAAACTCTCGGCAGGCTTAAGTGTTTCTAGAAGGAAACTTTCTAAGGGAATGGTTGGAGTGAAGTGAGAGGGAGAGTCATCTAACAAGCTAGAGGAGAAATGCAGAAACAAAGGATTATTCTTAGTAGGAGAAGGGGTAATTCTGCCAGCATAATATGAGAATAAAAAGACAAAAATACAAATATGATTTAGTTAATAAGAATTGTGTTTATTCTTTATTTAATAGTATTGAGGGTCATTTATAATATCTTAGATTATTTGAAATTTTTATGTTGTTTTAAACTTTTTGTTGTATTAAGCCAGCATTTCTCAAAGTATCACCCAGAGACGCTGTGACCTTTCAGGGAATCTGCTAGGTCAAACCTATTTCCATAATAATTCTGAGATGTTATTGCATTTATTACTCCCATACTCTCACAGGTGAACAGTGGAGTTTTCCAGAGGCTACATGACATGTGATTTTGCAACAGATTGAATGCAGATATGAAAACCCAGTTCTCTTCTATTTACTTACTTTTTTAAACATTCAAAGAGATATGCAAAAATGTAAAATAACATGGTTCTTCTCATCAACTGTTTTTCACTTTGGATGTTTTAAATGAATTAATATATTCTTGACTTCTCAGTTTTAATTTCTAGTGGCAAATAAGGATTGATATAACCCCCAAAAGCAAAATCTCTTTTGGTTTCTCAATAGTTTTTAAGCAATGCCTCAGTGACCATCATCATGGCTTAATCTTTACACACACCTATGATTATTTCCTTAGAATAAATTCTTGGATATTGAATTCGTGTAATCCCCTGATGGGTTCTTCCTGCCAGTTGCACAGACAAAACCATTTCACTGAGACTGCAGTATTGCAGTAGAGAAAGAGTTTAATTAACGTGGAGCTAGCCAAATGGAAGGGCTGGAGTTATTACTCATATCAGTCTCACGAAGAACTCAGAGGCTAGGGTTTTTATGGATAATTTGGTGGGCAGGGGGATAGGGAATGGGTGCTGCTGATTGGGTGAGAATGAAATCATAGGGGTGTGGAAAATGGTGCTTGTGTGCTGTATCTGCCTCTGAGTGAGAGCAGTAGAACCGGTTGAGTCATGAGTCATGGGTTTGGGTGGGATCAGTCAGTTGCCAGAATGCAAAAATCTGAAAAACATCTCAAAAGACCAACCTCAGGTTCTACAGCAGTGACACTATCTTTAGGAGCAAGTGGGGAAGTCACAAATCTTGTGACCTCTGGCCACATGACTCCACTCCTGAGCAGTAAGGGAACATAGAAACTATGCCTACATTTTAGCAGAATTCAGATCCCTCCCACAATCCTATGTCATAAACGTTCATTAGTTTTACAAAGGCAGCTTTGGTCTCTGAGCAAGGCAGGGATCAGTTTTAGGGAAGGACTATTATGATCCTTGTTTCAAAATTAAACTATATACTAAGATTTTCCCATGATTAGCTTGGTCTATGCCCAGGAATGAGTGAAGACAGCCAGCCTGTGAGACTAGAAGCAAGAGGGCATGAGTCATGCTAGCGTTCTCTCACTGTCATAATATTTGCAAAGGTGTTTTCATTGATGGGTCAAAAAGTGCAAAGGTTTGAGGAGACAGGGCAACCAAATGTAATGTGGTATTATAGAGGCCAGGGGAAAACTTCCCCTTTGCCCTCTGAAGGTTTGCTGAAATCAATTGATGAAAGGCAGAAAAGGCATACAAATGTATTAATGTGGTGGAATCACAAAGGGATTCCCCCAATCTTCCAATGGGTACAGCTTATATACCCTTTTTCATAGGGGAGGGAAGCGCTGGGGGATATAGACAATTCTTTGAGGGGCAGTAAATGACTATTAGGGAGAATGGACGGACCAGGGAACAGTAATTAACTTGTAAAGGATTTTCTCTGGAATTTTCTCTGAGCTCCAGTGGCAGGAATTATCTTCTTAAAAACAAGTCTGTCCAGGTGTGGTTGCATTCTTGTCTTTTTTCTGCAATAGATAATGCCATTTTAGGAAGCAGATAGAAGGCAATTTTTTTTTTTTTGTAAGAGACTTTTTTGAACAGATGAGGAAACTCCAGAGAGAGTCCCTTCCTGTCCTGGGAGGTGAAGTGGGCTGGGGAAACAACACAAGGTTAGACAGGACCTTGTTTCTGGGGCCTTTCAATTTTCAAAAGCACTCAGCATGCCCAAGCCCCACAGGCTGGGGAATCATTTTCCACACCTCATCAGCATCCTGGATGGGATCTTGGAGCAGAAAAAAGACATTAGGCGAGTCTCGCTCTGTTGCCCAGGCTGGAGTGCAATGGTGTGATCTCAGCTCACTACAATCTCTGCCTCCTGAGTTCAAACAATTCTCTTGCCTCAGCCACCCAAGTAGCTGGGATTGCCTGATTAACTTTTTTTTTTTTTTTTGTATTTTTAGTAGAGATGGGGTTTACCATGTTGGCCAGGCTGGTCTCAAACTCCTGGTCTCAAGTGATTAGCCTACCACAGCCTCCCAAAGTGTTGGGACTACAGGCGTGAGCCACCATGCCTGACTCAGAATCTAGTTTAAACAGAGTTGATTCAAGTGCAAAGTTTGAAGCCGGGCTTCTTGGGAAGCACAGATTCTAAAGAATGGAAGTCAGTGTTCCAAAGTATAGAAGTTTTCACTCATATTCACAAAGTTTAGGGAAGTTTAGCAGAATATCAACACCTTCCTATGTTAGGCTTAATGTATAGTTACAATGATCTGATTTGTTGAGGTGGTATTTTTCTTTCAGGAAAGGCACGTCAAGCTGAAACAGTCAAACGGATCAGAATCAAGTTATAAAGAGTTTATTAAAGTGAAAAGCTGGGAATGGCTATTTAAAAGACACAGACTCCAGAGAAATGGGGTCAGGGCTCTGAAGTTAAAGGTTCTTATATAGACAGAAAATAGAGTAGGATTATATATAACATTTTCTATACAAAGCTTGTTTTTGAGTTATAAACATTTAATTAGTTATAGTTCATTTTGTTTTCCATACAGCTTGTTTTCATGTCCTTTCCAATTTAAAAGAGTATTTTTAATATTCCATCTGAAGACAATGTGATAACCATAAAGCCTTTTTGTGAGAAAGATAAGAGGAAGTTAATCTATAATAAAGATCAACAGGGAAGAGGGAAGGGGTCTTCCCTGGTGCCCTTTAGTAATATATAACATTTTAGAAAACAATGTAGGTGAGGAAGGCTAATCTATAATCAGAGCAAGAAAGGTTACAGCTGCCTGTCACATGACTCAGTCCCCATAACCTCACATTTCTTTAAGGTTCAAAGTAATTTAGAGTTCCAACAGCTTGGATTTCCAATTACCTATTTTCAGAGGTATATTTAACATTTCACACTGAGAATCTAATAGTTATGGGGTCTTTTGCACCATCTGGTCTGAGTTAGGTATTGAACAATAAAGGAGGCAGTTAATCTATAACAAAGATCAGTAATTGCAAGTGGAGAAAGGTCTGGTCTCTAGTCTCTTCTAGTCATTTACAGAACAAGAACAATGAGCAAGAGAGTTAATCTATAATCTAATTGCAAACATGCTTCATGACTCAGTCTCCAGAGCTTAATTTCCCCCTTGGCATGATAAATTTAGAGGGTTCTGAGATTTTTTATTTTATATTATCAATAGTAGTTCATTAATTTTAACAAATACACTATACTCATGGAAGATGTCAATAGTAGGGGGAACTGGGTGCAGAGTATATGGGAACTTTCTACACTAGCTTTTCAATCTTTCAAGAAATCATGAACTATTCTAAAAAATTAAGTATATTTTTAAAAATGAAGTATCTTAGTGTCCTAGGACTATCATTAACATATTACCGTAAACTTGGTGGCCTAAAATAATAGAAATTTATTCTCTCACAGTTCAGGAGGTCTGTAGTCCAAAATCAAGGTGTTGGCAGGGCCACACGCCCTCTGAAGGCTAGAGGGGTAAAAGTCCTTTGCCTTTTCCTTTTCCAGCTTTTGGTGATTCCAGGCATTCTTTGGCATGTGGCTGTGCCATTCCTATCTCTGCCTCTGCCTTCCATGGCCTTTTCTTTTGTCTGTGTCTTCTCTCCTTTTTTTCTTTTCCTTTTTTTTGAGACAGTGTCTCACTCTGTTGCCCAGACTGGAGTGCAGTGGTGTGATCTCAACTCACTGCAGCCTCTGCCTCTTGGGTTCAAGAAATTCTTCTGCCTCAGCCTCCTGGGTAGCTGAGACTACAGGTGCCCGCTGCCACGCCTGGCTAATTTTTGTATTTTTAGTAGAGATGGGATTTCTCCGTGTTGGCCAGGCTGGTCTCAAACTCCTGGCCTCAAGTGACCTGCCTGCATTGGCCTCCCAAAGTGCTGGGATTACAGGCGTGAGCCACCATGCCCAGCCCTCTTCTTATAAGGACACTTGTCACTGGATTTACGGCACACCCAGTTAATCCAGGATGGTCTCATCTTGAGATCTTTAATTTAATGACATTTGTAAAAACCCACTTTCCAAATAGGTCACACTCACAGGTTCTGGGGATTAGGACTTCAGCAGATCATTTTGGGGGCAACCAGTCAATACACAACCTAAAGCAATAATAGTAATAAACAAGACCATACCAGTCAATATATCAGGCATGATTTTGCCTATAACACTGAGGAACAAGACAGATTTATTTATGTTTCTAAGTTAAATTGAATGTGGCCCAGGCTCTAACCTGAAAGGGTTGGTGGGAAGTCTGAATCTCCGCCTTTTTTCAGGGTCTTGGCAAGTGGAAAGGTGAGAATGCTCAAGCTCTGAGGGCCACGCCTTTAACCTGCAGTATTCATTGTGTTTCTACTTGCTTTTTCCTCTACATGCTAGTGTTGTGGGCCACTGGTCCTTCCTGACATGGACAAGCCCAATCTGCCACTATTCAGTTTCCTTGCCCTTTGCCCCCTATCCTAGCACCTCTGGAGTACTGTGTCTGATTAGTGCTGTCAAAGTCAAATAAAATATAAAGATGAATCTCTGAAATTAAAATATTTTATTTGGCAAGAAAGAATTGCAACTAGGGGCATACACACAGACCGGGTTGTCTTTGGTATATCTAAAGAACAAAGAGAAGGTTAGAGCTTTTATAAAAAGGAGAAACATTACATACCACTACTCTAGAAAGTTCATTGGCTCAAGTAAGGTTTTGGGGAGCTAGCAAGCTTTTTGGTGAGTGATGGTGGTGGGTAAAACTAGTCTTAGAGGTGCAGTAGATTGTTTCAGTAGCCTTTAGATAAAACTGGTTTCAGGTTATAGCAGGCAGTCTCAGCAGCCAAGCTTGCAGAGAATTACATTCTTGGAGCAATGGTACGTGGTCTGATTGCGCTGTTTTAGTTGGGTGTGACAAGAATGACCCAGTTTGTAAGGTCAACTTTTGCTGTGGCTACAGTCTCAAGCAAACTTTTCAGACTACCGTCAGGTAAGTCATTTCACAATCAGAGCTGCAATAGGACATTCGTGGGCCCTAGGTGTTACTGGAAAGGTGTCCTTATCCAGACCCCAAGAGAGGTTCTTGAACTTTGTGCAAGAAAAAAATTCAGGGTGAGTCCATAAAGTGAAAGCAAGTTTATTAAGAAGGTAAAGGAATAAAAAAATGGCTACTGTATAGACAGAGCAGTGGCATGGGCTGCTCAACTGAGTATACTTATAGTTATTTCTTGGTTATATGCTAAATAAGAAGTGGATTATTCATGAGTTTTCCAGGAAAGGGGTGGGCAATTCCCAGAACTGAGGATTCCTCTCCCTTTTAGACCATATAAGCTAACTTCCCTAGGTTGCCATGGCATTTGTAAACTGTCATGGCCCTGGTGGGAGTATCTCTTAGCAATCTAATGCATTATAATTATATTATAATTAGCATATAATGAGCAGTGAAGATGAACAGAGGTCACTTTTGTCACCATCTTGGTTTTGGCTGACTTCTTTACCACATCCTGTTTTATCAGTAGGGTTTTTATGACCTGTATCTTGTGCCAACCTTCTGTCTCATCCTGACTAAGAATGCCTAACCTCCTGGGAATGTAGCCCAGTAGTTTTCAGCCTTATTTTACTCAGCCCCTATTCAAAATGGAGTTGCTCTGGTTCAAACACCTCTGACATAGGCACTTATGCTTTTGTGGCTCTGTCCTCTATAAAAGATATTAAAATTATTTTTTACAATTGCATTATTATAAAGATATATGTAATCTAAACTGTTCATTGTTATATATTCATTTTTTTCTTCTAATTTAAAAACAATTAAAATTAAAACATTGTCTTGGGACCAGGCTCCCAGTACTAGCTTCCATATTCCTTAGAATGAATTCAGTTAGATTAATGAGCTTAAAATTCTAAAACTATTAACTCTCTTCTGGAGTCGAAATTAATTCGGAATTTTGAGTCCTTTTAACTTTGTCGGGAGGCCTATGCAAAATATATCTCATGTGTTTGTGATCAGGCTGTGCCCAAAACACTAAAGAGTTAATTTTTCAAAAAATTTTTTTCTTGCCCCTTTAGACTTTGTACCATTCCACTAAGGGGCACTGGTGGAAACAAAGGTGATGGGCATCCTGCCAGTCCTAAGCATCTCTTAGTATGATGAGGAGTGCATCAGTCACAGTGAGAAGGCAAAAGCTCAGCAACATGTGTTTAGTGAGGGCAGGAGACTTCAAACTAGCAATGAAAAGTACTTGCAGTTATTTTGTTGGTAGCTTCCCTGTTTGCTCAGGGTTGCTAAATACATCCAAAAAGGAATCAACCAAAGATATGGAAGCTAGAGGCTTGGACTGGTTATCTACCCTAACAAACTCCCAAGTTAGGAGTCCTAGTGAGAAAAAGGACAGTTTTCAAGAATGGATGGGTTCTGGGTTATTATTATGAGAATCATAGTTTAAATGTTTCTAGATCATTAGTTGCTTCTATTTTTTAACAATTTCTCCTAGTTTTGAAGATAACAAGTCTCTCTAAGGGTATTATGTAAGTATTTTAAAATTATCTTCTGTCTATTCTTTAATTTTCTTAGTATTTTTTTTTCAGATGTGGAATTTGGAGTTTCTTTATTTGGTTGGCATCCTTAAATCATGGGATTTTGGTGGACAGAGAGTGTCTTGCACCAGATTTTATAAGCAGAGCCTGAGCAATATCCATTTAATATTTTAAGAGAAGAGGCATGCCCCATTTTAATAACTGAATGTACTTGTAGCAAAAAAAGTGGATTTATATTGAAACACACATTTTCGATGAAAACACAAGCCAATTCTTTAAAAAACTGCCCAGATATAGAGACCATGTAGGCTAAATTTGTAGATTCCATATTTTTTATGTTAAAAAAGGAAACTCTTTAAAATATTCCAATTATATTCATTAGTGATTAGATGAATGATTGTAGTTAAATAGTGATGAGCTTTGTCAAATTGAAGGAAAGAAGGCTTGTGGTAATTTGCAAACTTCATGCTTGAATGGCTCAGCACAATCGACATTTTAATTAGTAACTTGGATGAAACTATAAAAAGTAGGTTTGTCAAATTTGTGGATGACAAGCTGGAAGATTCCAGATTTAGGGATAAAAAATGTATTGAATAACTGGAACTAGGGATGAATTAAAAAAAAAATAGAGATAGGCCAGTGCAGTGGCTTATGCCTCTAATCCCAGCACTTTGCACTTTGGGAGGCCGAGGAGGGAGGATCATGAGGTCAAGAGATTGAGACCATCCTGGCCAACATGGTGAAACCCCATCTCTACTAAAAATACAAAAATTAGCTGGGTGTGTTGGCACGTGTCTGTAATCCCAGCTACTCGGGAGGCTGAGGCAGGAGAATCGCTTGAACCCAGGAGGCCGAAGTTGCAGTGAGCCGAGATCGTGCCACTGCACTCCAGCCTGGCGACAGCGAGACTCCGTCTCAAAAAAAAAAAAAAAAAAAAAAAGAGAGATAAAGGCAAATTGTTATATATGGGCCTAACAATCCAATTTACCTATTTGAAAAGTGGAGAAATAAGGCAAAACAACACAGGTGTACAGATGAAGAATTTGTTAGCTGGTAGTTAAATATTAATTTGACAATGACATGTGACTACTATAAAACGGTGCTTTAGCATTTTATTTAAGGATAAGGGAGCAGATATCCCAACTGTGATGGCAAGACCTGAGTAGGAGCACCATGTTTAGTTGTGGCTACCATACTTTGAGAGGAATATAGACCATGCCACTTAAATAACCACTGAAGTAAGTAGGAATTATTCTGAGGCAGAGAAAAAAAAAATCACCAGAAATAAAAGAGCTCCTTGGAAATATATAAGATGCTGTCATAGAAGAGGGATTAGATTTACCCCATAAAATATTCCAAGGTTTGTAATCAGGATGAGTTGATATATACTACAAGGAAATCAATTTTTATTTTTATTTTTTATTGTTTTATTTTTTTTTTTAGACAGAGTCTTGCTCTGTCGCCCAGGCTGGATTGCAGTGGTGTGATCTCGGCTCACTGCAACCTCTGCCTCCCGGGTTCAAGCGATTCTCCTGCCTCAGCCTCCTGAGTAGCTGGGACTACAGACGCACGCCACCATACCCGGCTAATTTTTGTATTTTTAGTAGAGACGGGGTTTCACCATGTTGGCCAGGATGGTCTCGATCTCCTGACCTCATGATCTGCCTGCCTCAGCCTCCCAAAGTGCTGGGATTACAGGCTTGAGCCACCGCGCGTGGCCGGAAATCAATTTTTAAATCAGTGTATGAAAGTATGGATAGTACTGTCTGGAGATGAAATAAATTGCCTGACAAGGTAATAAGCTCCCCCTTTATCTGTGGAAGTGTTTACTCATGAGATAAACGTCTATTAACATCTTTCCAGTAGAGGATTTTGAAGCATCAGATGCACACTTGTTCCTTTCAACCCATTCATTAATTACATGACATCAAATTTTAAACAAAGAAATAGGTAACAA
This sequence comes from Homo sapiens, assembly GCF_000001405.40. NCBI lineage: Eukaryota > Metazoa > Chordata > Mammalia > Primates > Hominidae > Homo > Homo sapiens. The sequence continues at coordinate 89,794,047 of NC_000008.11, read as the reverse complement.
AATAGAGGTCGTGTAGAATAAACTCCTTGAAAAGGATGAAAAAGGATAGATAGGTTAAGTAAAGAAATTTTGTTTTTAAAGGTGTTTGAAAAGAAATGATCCAGTGGAGAGAGAGAAAAAGCAACAGGTAGTTTGGGAACTAGGCTGTGTGGGAGATAGGAGGTATAATTTTGAAGAAACACATTACTAACTTTCTTTTGTTGTTGTTGTTGAGATGGAATTTCGCTCTTGTCTCGCAGGCTAGAATGCAGTGGTGCGATCACGGCTCACTGCAACCTCTGCCTCCCAGGTTCAAGTGATTGTCCTGCCTCAGCCTCCCAAGTAGCTGAGATTACAGGCGCCTGCCACCATGCCCAGCTAATTTCTGTATTTTTAGTAGAGAAGGGGTTTCGCCATGTTGGCTAGGCTGGTCTCAAACTCCTGACCTCAGGTGATCCACCCGCCTCGGCCTCCTAAAGTGCTCGGATTACAGGCGTGAGCCGCCGCACCAGGCTGAAACTTATGTTTGTGAGAATGGCTAAACATGAACGTTTATTGATTTTCCTTCTCTCCCCGTTGGCCATGTTTTTTTCTTCATAAATTAAGTATTTGAAGGGGCTGAGGGTAGGCAGATTAATGGTAGAGAGAAATAAAAAACAGCCCCCACTGCTTGACACAACTGCTGCCAACACCCAAATCTTTCACAGTCATGCAAATTTCTTTAGTATAACTTTCAGCACAATTTAGTCTTGCTTCTTGTATTGATCCTCATATCGGCTCAGCTCTACTGCTGTCATAACTCAAGTGTTTGCCCCTTCTGAAGTTCTTCCCTAAAGAACTGAGTTGTAGATTCTACTATAGTGATCTGATTTTCATGTTTAAGTGAAGCTATCTTTCCAAAATTCAAAGCATGATTAAAATTGTTTTGAGAATTCAAATTGGATGCAAAACAAAAGTAAAATTTTGTAATCAAACGTCAGTTCAGAGAGTGAACATTCTGAAGGCACGTGGCAATCAGAGTTCATGAAAACACATCTGTGAACCTAGAGAGAAATTATTTTATGCACAAATCTATAGTGTTTCTTAAAATAAAGGGTCTTGAACTTTACCGTGAGTAAAAATCGCTTGGAGAGTTTGTTAAAACAGATTCCTAGACCTCACCCCCAGAGACTGAATCAGTCGGTCTGAGATAGGAGCCATGAAGTTTCATTTCTAACATGCTATAGGTGATGCTAAATGTAGCCAGTCTGTGCACTGTACTTCTGGGTAGCACTGTCTTAAAATGCACTGCAAGGAATGACATCTCTAGCATTATCTAGTACTAGCTAGTTAAAAAATAAATTACTAGGTCCCTTCCTGGAGTGACTGAATTTTAATCTGTCATTTTCTTACTACTTCTATGATTGCTGGCCCATTCATGTCCTATCTATATTATAATTTACTTAATAGTACTTAAATTGTCTTTATTTAAATATTATGTAATAAAACTTTAGTATAAACAGAAAACTATTACTTGTCATATGTAGAAGTATAAATTTCAAATAGAATGCAACAAAAAAAACCATAAAATTCTTGGTAAATAGTCTCTGAAGTTCTGAGCCTAAAGCCTATTCTCATTTTGTTAACGAGGGGGATAAAAAGATGTTAGCAAAAAAATTGAGATATTCTCCTTTATTTAATTATAAGGCTCAAAAAAGAACGGAAAAGAATGTCCTTTACTAAGTGACTCAAATGCCATTTAGTGGTGAGCCTACATATGACCTAAAATAATCCCACTTACTACTAGCTGTGCTTGCACTACATTTTTGGAAATAAGATTTAAAGGAAACATCTCCCCTTCTCTATGTTTTCATTCCATTGCACTATTCATTAAAGAGTTATTCAAAAAGTGCCTACTCTATGCCAGACCCTGTTCTACACTAACTAGTCATACTCAGCATAATCTGTCTCATCTTCCTCTAAGTAGCAGTTACTAAATAGGGGTTATAATAAAAACCAACTGCTGAGATTGTAACAATCCCATGAAGAGATGATGAGAGCTCACTGCAGATTCATCTTAATCCCTGACAACATCTTCTTACTTATCAACATGTTATTATTTACGCAGAAAAAGTTTGCAGAGCTGTGATGACGGATGACTACACGTGTCTTCCATACAGAAAATTGTGGGAGAAAGTGACTGTAAGCACATAGCCATAAAGCACACAAACTATGAGTTTTTAGATCTTTGCAGAGAATAAAAAACAAGGCAAAGTTCATTTTATCAATCCAGATATACCTCATGAAATCAGTATAAACATCAATTTGAGGCCATCAATAGTCAAAATAATTTCTTTTTAGAGTATGTATAGAGAAAAGGGAAAGCTTCCAAAATAATTTTCTCTATTTATTACTTCACAAATAAAATTTGCATCTTAATGCTTTTTAAAATTTAATAGATAACTCATGTGTTTAGTTTTCACTTTTCCCTATTAATTTCCATATTTCTGAAAGGCACAGTAAGAGGTACAAGTTAATGTCAAGCTCTAAAATGGAGATTAAAATGCTTATATTTCTAATTAATATTTAATTACCTCAATGGCATCTAATTTCTTTTATTCAAACTTTTCAGGTTGTGGGTCTGTTGCTTCTTGAAAGTTCATCTTTTCAAATTTATTCTGTATCTCACTTTCTGCTGACTTCGCTACGCAGTTTCAGAAAAGGGCTATTATTCCTTGTAAGTTCTCCTATAGTAATATAACCTATTAACCAAAAAAGTGCTCACACCGTACTTTTATTGTTTGGGCTAAATTTGATATGGACAAGTTAAGAAAATAAAAACTGTGGGTATTAGGCAGCAAGTAAAAAGAGTAAGTTAGAGCCATATCTGATCTGGAAGGCTGTACTATTAAATGCAAAAAGCAGGTTGCAGTATGATGTATAATTATAATAATAATATGCAGAAAGATCCTTTCTCAAATGAGCATATGTTCTAAATATAAGCAGGAAGAAAGGGACAGAAAGATACACATCAGGCTGTTGACTTTATTTAGCTTGGTTGTTGGTGACAGTAGGGAAGGCTGAGGTTAAAAATGGGGACAGGAAGCCGGTATTAATATATTTATTTTTTTCTTTATATTGTATTGTTTTACCTTTGAAATATCATTTTTAAAGGGAATTCATAAATAAAACTTTAAAATGTAATCCTAATAATGGAGTTTTAAATTAATAACCCTTTGTAGGGCAATTAAGCCTGGGATTTTAGGGCAGGGATTCTGTACTGTCTCTGGTGGGTAAAGGGTATATACTTCATAAAATCAAATTGCATCTTAGACAAGTAACAAATAATCCATGAAGAACATGAATGTGAAAATGGCTTCCATCAGAAATACATCATACCTTAAGGCACTGTTATAAACAAGAATAATTACTATCCTTTAAAAGTGGTTTCTGTTAACAAAAGAGACATAAAAATTGAACTATGTAGCAAAATTCAAACTTTTTACTTGTATTAATTAAAAAAAATACTGCAGTGTCATGGAGGGAGACTAATATTTACCCAAAGAACCTTCAATAAAGCTTTAATACTCACGGATTTTATATAAAAAAAGTCAAAGCAACAGAGATATAAATATCCTTTTATGAAACACATTTCTTCTTGAAAAACAGTCACTTACATGCTTTTATTTTGAAGTAAATTTAAAGATGGTGATCTAGAAACCACAAGTATTTCCGGGTAAGGCTGAAGACCCATTTGTTTGTTATCTTTCAATTTTTGTACTATAACTTTGGCAAATTCTTCTCCTTGGATGTCAGTAGTGTCTAGTAATTGTCTGACTTTTGAGGTCCTTGTAGGCTTGGTACTAACAAGTTCATAGTCCTCTTTCATGATCAAGTCCCTGGACAGAAGGGCATCTAGCGACTGGTTAAGGCAGGCTTCTGTCATTTGGTTCACAATGTCTTCCCTTTTGCTCTGGATCCACTGCTGGGCTATACCAGGCTGCAGACGTTCTGAAAAAGAACAAGGAATGAATAATTTAAAAGGTGAGGACAGATACATAGCAATAAGTAAAATTCCATGAAAAATAAATAAAGCATAAAACATAATTTTCCTATGATTGTGCCAATATGGAACACCAACACTTTGGGGAATGGTGTCATTTTTCAGGAAACATTCAGAGATTTGGGTTATCTCCCCCTCACTCCCCAGAAAAGGCATTGCCTTTTCCTATGGTATAAATCACGGGGCAAAAACCACTTTATGTCATCATTTCCATCTTCTGGGATTTGTTCAGTTTTGTTTGATGTCCATTTTATTTCAAATATAAAAGATACCTGCAAATTTTTTAAATAAACAAAAATAACTTTACCATTAGTAATATGTTAATACCTCCTCTTAGCACTGCCTCCCTATTTAGATGTTCATAGAATACCATTTGGGCCATGTCATCATTCCCATCTCCTGGGATTTGTTTTCCTACTTAAGAAGGTATGTATTTATCATATTGAGGAAATAAAGACAAACCTCATTGTATGGTAAATCCACTGAACACAGATATGTAAGGTCAATGGCATCACTTACAAGGTGTTTCACAGTAAATATTTACCTGAGTTTCCTGCAGTTGAGAGTGGATTTATTATTGCTGAAGAGCATGGAGTGGTCTTGTGATCACAGAATGCAGCCCTTTGAGATCCAGAAATGGTGCTATCCCAACTGTGATTTCCAGGACAGTGATGCAGCTTCATAAAATAACAGTCTTGAGCTTTTCCTACAAAATACAACATCTTCATTAGAAGTAGAATACTCCTTAGAAATTCCTATTGGCTAACATGTCAACATCTGAGCAGACAGAAGGTAGGCTCCAATGTCTTTAGTTTCCACTAATATTAAGGCTGGTTCAGAAACCTAATTCTGCAAGTAGATATTTCTTAAAACAAAAAAGGGTTTATATGGAATGCTTTCACTACAATTTCTGTCAGAAATTGTCTGTTCTGTGTAAATTATAAATCATAGAATTTTACTTCTTTACATAGTCCCATATTTTTCCTGTGTGTCTTCTTACTCCTTCTGAAGTTTAAGTATGTTCTCTAAATCTATATATGATGTCTGTCTTTCTAGTTTCTCTTCTGGCAATCCCACTGAGCCTCAGGGACTTAATCATCCCCTCTATTCCCAAATCCACGCAATTACATTTTCTGTCTTCATTGAACTTTCGTCTTATATTTCCTTCCTTCCTTCTTTCCTTCCTTCCTTCCTCCCTCCCTGCCTCCCTCCCTCCCTCTCTCTCTCTCTCTGTCTCTCTCTCTTTCTTAGATGGAGTTTTGCTTTTGCCACCCAGGCTGGAGTGCAATGGTTGCGATCTCAGCTCACTGCAACCTCCACCTCTCAGGTTCAAGCGATTCTCCTGCCTCAGCCTCTTAAGTAGCTGGGATTACAGTTGCATGCTACCACAACTGGCTAATTTCTGTATTTTTAGTAGAGATGGAATTTCACCATGTTGGCCAGGCTGGTCTTGAACTCGTGACCTCAGGTGATCCACCTGTCTCAGCCTCCCAAAGTTCTAGGATTACAGGTGTGAGCCACTACACTCAGCCATGAACCTTAGTGTTATATTTTCAAAAGCCCTCTGGCCATCAACCCTTTGTGTGCTCCTAGTACCTCAAATTAAAAACAAAAACAAAAACATTAAAAGTATAATTATCCGTCTTAACTCTAAAACTTGTTTTAACTTTTTTTTTTTTTAATTGAGATAGAATCTTGCTCTGTCACTCAGGATGGAGTGCAGTGGCGCAATCTCAGCTCACTGCAACCCCTGCCTCCCAGGTTCAAGTGATTCTTGTGCCTCAGCCTCCTGAGGAGCTGGGATTACAGGTGTGCACCACCATACCCGCTAATTTTTTTGTATTTTTAGTAGAGATGGGGTTTTGGCATGTTGGCCAGGCTGGTCTTGAACTCCTGGCCTCAAGTGATTTGCCCACCTTGGCCTTGCAAAATGCTGGGATTACAGGTGTGAGCCACCGCATGCAGCCTGTTTTAACTTCTATTTCTTTTAATGGCACCAATGTTCTCCCAGTCCCCAGGCTTAACAATTTATTTGGCTTTACCTCTTTTTTCTCTCATCGCTCCTCTAAGTGAAAAGTTACAAAGTCCTATCATCTAGTTGTCTATAACATCTCACATACCACCCCTCCTTTCTTTCATTCTGTATCGGTTCTTAATAATCTCTCACGGGTACTACAGTAATAGTCTCCTAACTGATCTCCCCATCTCAAGTTTCCTTTTCCTTTCAAAATATCCTACACATTCCAGCCAGAATGAATCTCCCCAAAGTAAAAAATTTTATGTCACTCCCTTGCTCAAAAAATTGCAATAGTTGCTTCCTACTCAAGTAAAAAAGTCCAAATAGTTCAGCTGAAAGTTAGAATTCTTGATGATATGACTCCAATCTACTTAGCTCTTACTTCTTTCATTCACCTTCTTTACTAGCTAAACCAAATTACTCACTGTTCTCTGTATTTTCTTGCTTCTGTACCTGTATGTTGTTCCTTTTGCCTGGAATGCCTATCCTTTGTAATTACAGATCCAGCCTTCAGCCAGAAATAATTTCATGATGACAACATGGTAGAGTAGAGTGACATGATAATATTTATCAAAAGTCTTAGATGTGCCAGCTACTAGCTATGTGATCCAGAGTCCTTAAATGTGTAAAATGAGGACATTTCTCTCACAAGGTTGTTGTGAAAGTCCTTTGTACAGTGTTACTCTTCCACTGTACTACCATAGCTCTAGATCCACGTCTCTCTTATATCACTATCTCATATAATAGTTATTTAGAAACATTTCTCCTTTTTCTTGTAAGAGATTTTTTTGCGGACATTTTCTGGCAGTGTCTAACATAATGCCTGTTTTTTAAAATTTATTTTTTGACACAGAGTCTCACTCTGTCGCCCAGGATGGAGTGTGGTGGTGCAATCTCGGCTCACTGCAACCTCCCTCCCAGGTTCAAGCGATCTTTCCGCCTCAGCCTCCGAAGTAGCTGAGACTACAGGTGCCCACCACCATGCCTGGCTAATTTTTGTATTTTTAGTAGAGATGGGGTTTCACCATGTTGGCCAGGCTGGTCTCGAACTCCTGACCTCAGGTGATCTGCCCACCTTGGCCACCCAACATGCTGGGATTATAGGTGTGAACCACTGCGCCTGGCCAAACATAATGCCTTAAAACTTAAATGTATTTGTTGAATATCACACTACTATTTTCCTATCTTTAGACTCTGTCGCTTTACAAAATGAGTTATATATGCAAATTAAAGTTCCATAGAAATCATGACTGCTTGCAAAAATTTGATCTTGAAAGAAAATGGAAAACTTGCAAGTAAATAATGATTGGAAAATCTACATACTAGATAAAAAATCATTGTCTTGAGGAGCTGGCAGGGACCTTGAAGTTTCAGGAGAACCACTATTTTCATGGAGCTGAGAGGATCCACATGATTCCTAAAGTAAATAAAAAATAAAGGGTTTAGGTTAATAAAAATTATCGAGCTTTAATTTCTAAATAGTTCTTGTTTGTGGCTTATCACAAATGAAGATAAAAACTACTAATTTTTTTTTTTCAGACAGGGTCTCACTCTGTTGCCCAGTCTGGAGTGCAGTGGCACAACCTAGGCTCACTGCAGCCCCACCCTCCTGAACTCAGGTGAACCTCCCATCTCAGCCTCCTTAATAGCTGGGATTATAGGTGCACACCACCATACCATGCTAAATTTTGTATCTTTCGTAGAAATGGGGTTTCGCTACGTTGCCCAGGCTGGTCTCAAACTCCTGCGATCAAGTGATCCACCAGCCTTGGCCACACAAAGTGCTGGAATTACAGGTGTGAGCCATTGTGCCCAACCTACAAAACTACTAAAAATTATACTTTACAAAATTAAAGAAACACATACATCTATAAAATAACCAACAAAGATAAACTTATTTTCTTAATTAACACAAATGGGCGAAATAGGGGAATAATGAAACATTAGAAATAATTATTTTTTCAGTATTTTCTACACGATCTCAGATGCTGCAGCCAGTAGCTAGAATAGTGAATGAGAAATTTGGTATCTGCAAGTCTGGTCTCCTACAGATTTAGAAATGCCTGTTCTCAGCACCTCAGGTTCCTTCCACATGGAGGCACAGGAAAACATGGAAAAAGTAATGGAGAATTTTACTCCTAGCTCTGTCATGGAATCACTAGCTAACTTTCAATAAGGTATTTAACCTCTCTGGCTCTCAGGTTTTTGGCTCTATTATCCGCACTGTCTATCTAAAAATATGCATGAATGGCCTCAAAGATCAAATGAAATACTGTACATCAAGTGATTAAAAATGTGATATACTATGCTTTAAGGTTCGTTTTAAAGATACTACAGGTTTAATATCCCTTATCTGAAATGCTTGGAACCAGAAGTGTTTGGAATTTTGGATTTTTTTCAGATTTTGGAATATTTGTATATATATAACGAGATATCTTGGGGTTGGGACCCAAGTCTAAATATAAAATTCATTTATGTTTCATATACACCTTATACACACAGCCTGAAGGTAACTTAATTCAATATTTTAAAATAATTTTATACCTGAAACAAAGTTTTTTTTTTTGAGGTGGAGTCGCCCAGGGTGGACTGCAGTGGTGCGATCTTGGCTTGTTCAAGCAATTCTCCTGCCTCAACCCCCCGAGTAGCTGGGATTACAGGCATGCGCCACCATGCCCAGCTAATTTTTATATGTTTAGTAGAGATGGGGTTTTGTCATGTTGGCCAGGCTGGTCTCGAACTCCTGACCTCAAGTGATCCACCCACCTTGGCCTCCCAAAGTTCTGGGATCACAGACTTGAGCCATCGTGTCCACCCATGAAACAATGTTTTGACTGCGACCTATCATATGAGGTCAGATGTTGCTATGGTTTGATATGGTTTGTTTGTCCCCACTAAATCTCACATTGAAATTTGATCCCCAATGTGGTGGTGTTGGGAGGTGGGGCTTAATGGGAGGTGTTTGGGTCATGGGGGAAGATCCCTCATGAATAGCTTGGTGCCATTCTAGAAGTGGTGAGTGGATTCCTGAGAGAGCAAGCTGTTAAAGAACCTGACTTCCTCATTTTCACTCTCCTGCATCCTGTCTCACCATGTGATTTCTCTGCATAGCTCGCTCCCCTTCTACTTTCCAACATGAGTGCAAGCGGCCTAAGGTCCTCATCAGATGCAGCTGCCCAATCCTGGACTTTCTGGCTACCAGAATTGTGAGCCAAATAAACCTCTTTTCTTTATAAATTACCTACTCTTAGGTATTTCATTATAGCAACGATAAACAGACTAACACAGGTGTGGAATTTTCCACTTGTGGCATCATGTTGGTGTTCAAAGTTTTGGACTGTGGAGGGCTTTGGATTTTTGGATTAGGGATGCTCAATCTATGTTACTTTTCTAATTCTGTAAAATGAACATACATATACATTCTTAAAAGAAATTACTAATTCAGACTAATATAAGTCTGATTGAATGCTACTAAAGAGATCTTTCTTCCTAGGCAGCAATGTTTTCCTCTCATTAATTATTATAAGAGGTAAGAACAAGGTAGCATAAATACAGTGTTAAAACTGTAATCAATGATTTGCCTACATAATACCCTGGGATATCATTTATTGTATAAAACAATGACAGGGACAGAACTCAATGTCAAACAAAGAAGCAATAATTGTGATTTGATGGGATGAACAATGAACTGAGAATCAGTACAGCTGGGTTTCAAGTTGGAGATTGACATGAGCTACCAAACAAATCCTAAAAGCTCCCTGGGCTTTAGTTTTCCTTCTATAAAAGAAGGGCTTAGACCAAATGATTTTTTCAAATTCTTCTCACATTTTGAGTTTAATATAACCTTTTTTTTTTTTTTTTTTTTTTTACCTCTTGTGGACCATGATTTACAGGTATGTTCAGAGATAATTCCATTTTCTTCTTGTCACATAGGTGAATGGCACTTGAAACACTCTGTAACTGTAATGAATACATAAATATATATACACTTTAACTGGAGATGATTAGGAAATTATAGAAGTAAAATACAATCTAACACATTTTATATGTTTGTACAAAATACATGGAAAGAAAATATAAAGAGTTGAGAATATAACATATAACTGAAGGAAAAGACAGTGTAGAACGGGAAATAACTTTAGAAACACAGACTTTGAATCCTGGCTCATATTAATTGGTTACCTTCTCTCAGTGTCTCAGAGCTTCATCCTCGAAATCTAACAATTACCTACATGCAGGATGGTTCTAGAGATTGAGCTTATAAATATGAAATATCTGGTATAAACTAGGTACTTAATAAATTTTTGGGAATTTTTGGGAGTGTGATTGTATGTCTATCTATAGTTAAGTATTTACCACATTTTAGGCACTGTGCCTGTAAGTACTATTATTATTTTCATTTTATAGTTAAGAGATTGAGGCTTGGACTAAGTAAAGGAGGTAGAGTGTCAATAATGGAATGGCAGGGCCATGGAGCCAATCAGATGTGATTTAGAGACCCACATCTGTTTGACGTGAGACATTAGATTTAATCTCAGTTTACTTATCTGTACACTGGAGATAAAAATTCCTATTTTGAAGGATTACTGTGAGGAAAATGAAAAGTAATATATGCAAAAAGGCCCAAACATTACTTGTAAGCATTCAATAAATGGTAGCTGCTGAGTAGATGATTTACTTAAATACTATTCTTTTGTGTTAAAATTAAGTGGTTTATTCCTGTCTATATAAGCTAGGCTTGGATTAGTTTCCATCACTACTCAGTGATTTAAATACAAACCTATCAATCATTTTCTTCCCCAGACCATCATAATGTCAACTACTCTTCAGAATTTGGAAAATGGTGAATTCACACCCAGCCATCCATTATGCACATTTATGACTGCATACTCCATTTACATGGCTAAGGAACTTCAGAAGGAAATTACTCTTATTCATCTGTGTATATAATGTACCTAGCACAGGGCGTTATACACAGCAGTTCAATAAACATCTATAAACATATTGTTATATGACCCTTTAAAATGAGTTTTTGGTTTTATCTCTGTTATGTGAGGTTTTCCTCTGCTTATAAAATTTGCCAAAACATTTCTGATAATGCAATATCCTTGAATTAGTAACAGTTTTTCATAACTGATCAGTTATGATAATTCAAATTACTTGTGAATTAGTGAATCTGTCCCTAAGAAGAAATGAACAACTGAAGAAAAACTATGTTTATTCAGTGTTTATTATTCAAGATTTAGAAGCCAATTACCTAGGAAAACATAAATTACGGGAGCTGATTCCAAGAGTTGAAAAAATGTAGGAAACTCAAAACAAATTTCCCTACTAATTTTGGCTTTCAGAATTTTTTTTTTTTTTTTCTTAAGAGACAGGGTCTTGGTATGTTGCCCAGGTTGGACTGGAACTCCTGGGCTCAAGAGATCCTCCTGCTTCAGCTTTCAGAGTAACTGGGACTATAGGCATGTACCATCACACCTAGCTCAGAAATTTCTTTATGAAGAATCTTATTTAATTCGTGTTCTACTGTTGTCCCTGACATTAGCTTACTGTGTGAGATGTACATAAGTGACTAACTTCCCTATACGGTAGTCCCCCTCTTATCTTGGTTTCACTTTCCGCAGTTTCCATTACCCTTGCTCAACTGTGGTTTGAAAATATTAAATGTAAAATTCTAGAAATAAACAATTCATAAGTTTTAAGTCACATGCAGTTCTAAGTAGTATGATGAACCTACAGCTCCATTCCACCCAGGATGTGAATCATCCCTTTGTCCAGCATATCCATGCTGTATAAGCTACCACCCTGTTAGTACCAGAACAACTGTCAGGATCACAGTGCTTGTACTCAAGTAACTTTTTTTTTTGAGACAGGGTCTCACTCTGTCACCCTGGCTGGAGTGCCAGCTCACTATAGCCTCTACCTCCTGGGTTCAAGTGATCCTCCTATCTCAGCCCTCAGTAGCTACGACTACAGGCATGTGCCACCACACCCAGCTATATTTTTTGTTTTGTTTTGTTATGTTTTTTTGCCACATTGCCTAGGCTGTTCAAATAACTCTTATTACTAATTAAGTCAACTCTTACTACTAATGGCCCAAAGTGCAAGAATAGTGATGCCAGAATATTGTTAGAATTGTTCTACTTTATTATCGGTTATTGTTAATATATTACTGTGCCTATCTTATAAATTAAACCTTATCATAGGTATATATGCATGGGAAAAGTAAGTATGTATGTATGATAGGTATGTATGTACAGTATACATAGGGTTCAGTGCTACCCATGGTTTCAGGCATTGACCAGGGTCTTGGAATGTATCTCCCATGCATAAGGGAAGACTACTGTACCTTAGTTATCTTATCTACAAAAATCAGATGATATTCTTGCCCTATAAGTATCACAGAATTGATACAAGATTTTTTTTAAAAAAAAGAACAATCCTGAGTGGAAAAAATATGGCAACTTAAAAAGTAGCTGAGTGTGGTAGCCCACGCCTGTAGTTTCAAGCAATTGGAGATGCTGAGGTGGGAGGACTGCTTGAGCCCAGCACTTCGAGGTTGCAGTGAGCTATGATCCTGTCATGGCACTCCAGCCTGGGCGACAGAGGGAGACCCTGTCTTTAAAAACTAAAAAAAAAAAAAAAAAAAAAATTCAATCTATTAAGGAAGAGAGAAATTGGTATTTTCTGGAAAACACTACCTACTCAGAAGTGGTGGAGCCAGTGAAAAGTTATTAAAAGAATGAAAACACAGTTCCTCTTTAGTTCCTTCCTTTATGCATTTCCCTTTGAAACCAAGGGTTATGTCACTAGATCCAGCAACCCACAAGGGGCAGGCAAGCAATGTCATTTTGTGATAAAAATTGTAGATGTTGCTTGTTCACACCCCAAGAGTTTGGCTAACTGCTGGTTTTTATATCATATATTAAGTACAATTTAATGAAACCTATATCCCCTAACAAACCACAGTTCATTAGGGCAAAGTAAGCATAGTTTAGCACTTGCCCTAATGAACTGTGGTTGCTTTTTAAACAATTTTGAGTAATATTAAAAAAAAAAAAACCCCTGCAGTAATAGGTCCCTTAAATTGTTCCGACCCACAAGAATCAGACTGAGTATTTAATACAACTCTCCTAGGTAATTCATATAAACTGTTACTGCTACCTTGGTCTATAAAACATGAAGTGTTTGAGAGGAAAAATGAAAAAACAAACCACAAACACACTTTGGTCTCAAATTTAATAAAAATTCTACAGCTAAACTTGGCGAGGAATCTCAGAAAAAAATGTACATTAAATAAAAAGAGAAGTGCGAGAACCCAGACATCTATTATTCTCTAGGCATTACAACTTTGGGAAAATAAATGTACATTAAAAAACAAACACCTCTAATGGCTCAGTGCATTCATTGTACACAACTGGCTGTGATTATACATTTTTAAATTTATGTCTGATATATAAGGGTTCTGGAAATGTCTTTTTTTTTTTTTTTACGTTTTAAATAAAGGTGGGGTCTTGCTATGTGGCCCAGCTGGTCTCGAACTCCTGGGCTCAAGTGATTCACTCGCCTTGGCCTTCAAAGTGCTGGGATTACAGGTGTGAGTCACCACGCCTGGTCCTGGAAATGTCTTTAAAATCTGAAGGTGGCCATTTGAATGAAATAGAAAAGCTTTTGGTGACAAAGGAAAAGTAGTATTCATAGTCTCTGGTAAATTTTCTCACTCCAAAACTGTAGCTTATATCTGTGTAAAGTATATATATTAAAAACTACACTTAACTAAAAATCTCCATGAATATTATATAGTTGTTTAAATTTCTAATTTCCAGCATTTCATTTAGCAACTTACCTTTGTTTTCTTTAGCTGAATAACAGCTTCAAGAAAAGTTATCTCTTCAAATGTTCTCAAAACTGGTTCAAGTTCTATTAAACATTCTACATAAGAGAAAAAAATACAGGTTGAGTTCAGATTGCTTCTAAGTATTAAAGTGAAATGCTAACATTTAATGTACAAGGCCTCAAGTCAGTTTTTCCCCAAAGTGATGACATTCAGCTGTTTTACGAGCTTTTATTACTGACATAAAGATAGACATAAGCAACAATGGAATAGTGTTGAGAATCTAAAAACACCTGTTTTTGGACAAATGTGCTAAGCCAATTCAATGGGGAAATGATAGCATAGCCTTTTCAATAAATGATGCTAAAACAGTTGGATATACACCTGGAAACAGATAAATTTAGATACTTATATCACACTACACATAAAAACTAACTTGAAATGAACCACACACCTAAATGTAAACATAGGAGAAAATCCTCATGATCTTGGGTTAGGCAGAGTTCTTAGATATGACATCAAAAATGAAATCCATTAAAAAACTTGAAAATTGGGCCAGGCATGGTGGCTCACACCTGTAATCCCAGCACTTTGGGAGGCCGAGGCGGACAGATCACCAGGTCAGGAGATTGAGACCATCCTGGCTAACACAGTGAAACCCCGTCTCTACTAAAAATACAAAAAAAGAAAATTAGCTGGGCGTGGTGGCGGGCACCTGCAGTCCCAGCTACTCGGGAGGCTGAGGCAGAAGAATGGTGTGAACCCAGGAGGTGAAGCTTGCAGTGAGCCAAGATTGTGCCACTGCACTCCAGCCTGGGCAACAGAGCAAGACTCCATCTCAAAAAAAAAAAAAAAAAAAAAACCCAAAAACCGCCTAAAAATTGGACTTCAAAAAATTTGAACACTTTTGCACTTCAAGACAGTATTAAGAAAAAATAAGATAAGCTGCAGCCTTGCACACTATATTTCCACATCATGTATCTGCTAAAGGGTTTGTATCTACAATATATACAGACCCATGACAATAACAGGAAAAATAGCAAAATTAAAAAACAAGTAAAAGATTTGAATTTCACTAAAGGAGATATACAAATGTCTTCAAGAAGCACATGAAAAGATGCTTAACATCATAAGAAAAGGCACTTTAAAACTGCAATGAGATATCACTCCATACTCACTAAAATATAATTAAAAGGAAAATAAGAAGTGTTGACAGTGACGTGGAGAAAATGAAAACCTCATACATTGCTGGTGGGAATAAGATAATGCAGCTACTTTGGAAAACAGCTTGCAGTTTCTTAAAAATTAAAGATAAATTTATCATATAACCCAGCAATTCTATTCACAGATAATTAACCAAGAGAAATGAAAACATATGTTCACAGACTTGTATGTGAACAGTCATAGCAGCATTATTCACAGAGGCAACAAGTAGAAACAATCAAAATGTTCATCAACTGGCCAATGGATCAACAAAATGGGATACATCCATATGATGATGTATTATTCAACAATAAATTACTGAACTATGATTCATGCCGAAACCTGGATGAACCTGAGAAACATTACGCTAAGTGTGAAAAGAGCCAGATGCAAAAGGACCACACATTGTTATCATTCCATTTATATGAAATATCCAGAAAAGGCAAATCTAGAAAGACAGAGAATAGATTACTGGTTACCTAGGGTTAGTGGTGAGAACAGGCAGTGACTGCAAATAGTTAGGAGGGATTTTGTAGGGGGTGATGGAAATACTTGAAAATTGGATTATAGTAATGGTTGCAAACTGTAAAATTATTAATACTAAAAAGTCAATGAATGTATAGATAAATTTTATGGTAAGTAAATTATACTTTGATAGGCTTTTGAAAAAAATAATCTTTATTATATGATTCCTCTCTGCTACTGTGTTACTTTGCCATTTAATATGTATATTAATTGAACAGTTAAATCCATTTTCAGAATATATACTCTCTAGTTACTTTTTCAACAAAGGTTTACTGATCTTCCTCTTTTCCTTAATTCAGTTAACCTATATTTTTTTTAAAAAAAGGAAAAATATTGCTTGCTTTTAGTTTTTCAAGCTTCCTTTATTTTTTTATTAAAATTTCTTTCATTGTGAACTTTTCATTTCTTTTCAGTAGGTTTGTCCAAAAGTAGGCATCTTGTGCTTACTCTGGTATCTAGAGATCCCTTTGTAATTTCATGTTCTTCCATTTGGTCCTATTGACAGAATTTCTTTACTGAATACACTTAAACTTTCCTTATTATTGATTTTTTTTTCTTCCTTTCCCTTTCAGGTTCCCAGAATCTGCTTTTCAACATTCCAATATACACCAGAGCCTTAAAATAAAACTGACAGGCTGTATAGGCAGTAGTGTGTTTATAAATCAATGATGGTACCTTCCCACTGAAAATAGGAAACAGTCATCCTAGGAAAAAAAAGTTGTACTTCCATTTAAAAACAAAGTTCAAAACCTAACAATAACAACAAAACCAGTAGCATCCCAATGGCTATAAATGAAACATGTCTAAGGCAGACAACAGTACTTTGTAAGAAATGTGATAAATTAAACACACACACACACACACTCACACTGTACTATTAGATACAAAGCTGGATATGTTTATAGGCCATTTCAGTTAAGACAGTTTAAAAATAAACTCTAAGTTCTTATTACTAGAAAAATAATGCATTGTATTTTTCATTCAATACTTATATCCATTGTTCATCAGCATTATATTTACAAATCAAAAGTTGCTAAGGTAATGGGTTCACATTTTGTTTCTTTCTTTCCAGAGCCATGAGGAAGGGTATATATCTCTGTTGTCCTCTCTTTGCCATTTCCAAATCGTAATTTCTTCTTTCTGTGAAAATTCTAGATCCTCTAAAGTTCATGCCATTAGGCAATACTTACTTCTCTGCAAACTTCTCCTTTCTCCTATGCTCAAGATTTTGGCTTTTGGCTTACTGACTTCACCCTGTACTGATCAGTGCTCCACTGAATACTTGAGAGGAACCCTCTGAAATCTCTGGGGTTCTCACTCTGTGTACCTTTTCCCTTCTGGTGCAATGTCCTATGAAGTCTGTCTGCCTTGGTCTACCCACACTGTCATCCCTGTTTCCTTGACCCTGAGTGTCCACTGGGTTCCACCTGTTTCCTCTCCCCATGCTGCATCTAGAAACTCTCAAGGCAGGAAGCTGGGCAATCGGAAGGCTCACTTCATTTGTTTCCCATCCATCAGAGATTGCTGCTCTTTGTTTCCTGATATTTAGTGTCTTAAAAACCAGTTTCACATATTTTGTCTAGGTTTTTTGGTTGTTTCAGGCAGGAGGGTAAATTGGCCCCAGTTACTCCATCTTGGCCAGAAGTGGGGTCGCTGGTTTCTCTAAATTAACGGCCCAAACTAGACACTAAATACCACTTCTCAGCAATCCTATTTTGCTTCCTAAATACATCTACTATTCTGTTCTCATAGATAAGTGGTTCTTAAAGTGTGGTCCAGGGACCCCTGGCGGGGGTGGTTCCTGAGGGTTCATGAAGTCAAAACTATATTCAAAATAACAAGTACTAAGACATTATTTTCCCTGTTCACTGTCATCCCCAAACAAGTATATAGTGGATTTATCCAGAGGCCCATAAATAAGGTGTGATAAGATCACTGCTTCAACAGATAATGGAATGTGTTCTTGTATATTCCTACATTTTAAAATTCCTTGGTTTTAATTTCTAATACAGTAAATGCTAATAGATATTACCCACACATACAAAAGCTCTTTGAAGTCCTCAATAATTTTGAAGAGTCTTGAGATCTAAGTTTGAGAATTGCTGTCTTACATAATTATCTCGTACTGTTGGAGGAGACACTTAAGTCCTTTTCTTCATGTTTCCAACAGGAAGATGACATTTCCAGTTCAATCCTCAGGAAAGAGAAGTATAGGAGGAATTCTTCCAGCTCCTTTCTGCCCCTCAGACTTACCTCATTTATTAAACTTGGAGAAAAACTAAGCATGCTTATTTGGTACCTTTGCAGTTTTCTCCTTCTTTTAAAAGTCAGCTTGCCTAAAGAATGCATACATTTTCTGCTTCCCTATGTAGAAGCAGGGTGAGGCCTGTGGTGGGCTGGTAAAGCTATCAACTGTAGGGGTAAAATGCTACTAAGCCCATTTGGCTGCAGATCTAAAGGTACATTCTCCAATTAGCTTTATCAGTAATGAAACTGATATTCTGATCAACATCTATCTTTCTTCCTCGGCTTTTTCTTAATATATTCTGAACTTAGAAAGGGAAGGCAGGGGTAATAGGCATTGTACTTTATCTTCCCTTTTTCAGCCTCTTACATCCCATCCTCCATGTTTCCTTTGAGCTAGCTGATCATCTGCTCTCATACTACACTGAGAAAATAGAAGCCATGAGAGGGAATTCCTTCAGGGTTCTATAACCAGATCTACAAACTTCTTGTACTTGTATCCATCTCTCCAACCTCATTTCTCTTACAGTAGAAAAAAGTGTCCATATACTCATACAAATGTAAACAGTATCACTTGCATTCTGAATACCATTTCCTCCACCTCTCCAGCATTCTGTTTCTGATACTCTCTCTCAGTTCTTGCACTGACAATCTCTGACTCTCTACTGGATCATTTTTTCCAGTAGAGTATTTTTTCCAGATAAAGTAATCTATCTTTCTCCAGGATTTTTTTTTTTTATTTAAGAAACAGCATTTTGCTTTGTCAGCTAGGCTGGAGTGCAAGTGCAGTGGCACAATCAAGGCTCACTGCAGCCTCAACATTTTGGGCTCAAGCAATCCTCCTGCCTCAGCCTCCCAAGTAGCTGGGATTACAGGCAACGAACCATGTCTGGCTAATTTTTTATTTTTTTTTTATTTTTATTTTTGTTGAGACAAGGTGTTGCTGTGTTGCCTAGGCTGGTCTGGAACTCCAGAACTCAAGTAATCCCTCTGCCTTGGTCTCCCAAAGTGCTGGGATTACAGGCATGGGCCACTGTGCCTGGCCATAGGAAAAAATTTTGACCCCATATCATCCTTTAGCTATCACCTCATTTTTTTCTGCTTCTGTTCAGAGCCAAGCATCTTGCTGGAATTTTCCATATTTGCCTTCACTTCTTTCTATTTTTTTTAAATGTACATCAGTCTTCTGTTTACATCTCTCTATTAAAACTCCATTTGTTTGGATTACCGGTGATGACAATGTTGGAAAATCCTGCTTATCTCATTTGGCCTCCTGGCAGATTAAACATGTCCGACTATACCCCTCCTTGACTTCCAAGACACAAGGACTACACTCTCTACTGTCTTCTCTTCCTTAATCCTTTTTCTTCTTCCTCTTCTCAATTTCTAAGTGCTGGAATGCCTCAGAGCTTTACTATGGGTCCTCTCTTTGCTATGTATATTCCCTTCTTAGATGAACCAGTCCAGACTATCAATATGTTAGTGATGTTCAATTTTATATTAGGATCCTGGACTCTTCCTGGAACAACAGATTCATGTATTGTTGTAGTAGTAGCAGCAGTAATTATGACCGTTTCTACTTGCTGGCTATTATAAACAATGCTGCTATCACTAATCACATACAACTGTGTGAACATATGTTTTCATTTCTCTTGGTTTACCTGTTAGTGGATTGCTTGGTTGTATGGTAAATTTATCTTTCATTTTTAAGAAACTGCCAAACCGTTTTCCAAAGTGGCAGCATCATTTTATATTCCCACCAACAATGTATACGGATTTTGGTTCTGCCACATCACTGTCAACACTTGTTATTTTCTGTCTTTAATTATAGCTATTTTGTGGGTATGAAGTGGTAACTCATTGCAGTTTTAATTTGCATTTCCAAATGACTAATAATATTAAGCATCATTTTATGTGCTTTTTAGCTATTTGTATATCTCCCTTGGTGAAATTCAAATCTTTTACTCATTTAAAAATAGGGCTATATGTCCTATTATTGACTTGTCAGGGTTTTTTATATATTCTAGAATCAAGCCCTTTAGCAGATACATGTTATGCAAATATTTTCTCCCAGTCTGTGGCTCTGCTTTTTTTTTTCCTTCTTGGAAATGAGGTCTTGCTATGTTGCCCAGGTTGGAGTGCAGTAGCTATTCATAGGCACGATCACAGTGCACTATTACACATCCTCAAACTCCTGGGCTCAAGTGATCCTCCTGCCTCAGCCTCCTAAGTACCTGGGACTAAAGTCGTGGACACTAAATGCCTGGCTTTCTCTTTTCTCAATAGTACCTTTCGAAGTGGAAAAGTTTCCAATGTTTGCAAAGTCTGATTATAAATTTTTTAATGAATCCTATTTATTTTTGATGTCATATTTAAAGATTCTGCCTAACCCTAGGTCATGAAGATTTTCTCCTACATTTACATTTGGATGTCTGATCCATTCTACCTCTGAAATACTATCTTAATTCTGTAACTCTTCTGTCTTCAGAATTTCCACCTTAATTAGAATATTCCTGAAAGTGTCTTTTCTAGCCTCTTTGCTTCCACTTTTGTCTTTCTCCAATCAACTTTCCACACAGCAGTAAGAATTTCACCTAAACTTCTATCAGATCATGTCACTTCCCTGCAAAAGATACTTTAATGGCTTTCCATTGCACTTGGAATAAAAATCTAACCTTTTTATGATGGCCAATAGCCTCTCTCTTAACTCTCCAATATCATCTAATTCCTTTCCTTGCTCACTGTATTCCAGCCACACAGGCCTTCTCACTGTTTCTTGAGAATATAAAACTTTTTCCTCTTCTAGGCTCAGAGCCTTTATGCTTGCTGTTTTGTTTGGCTGAATACTCTTTCTTCAGCATTTGAATGACTGGCTCTTTTTCAAGCTTCAAATGTCAGCTCAAATGTTTGCCCCTAAAAAAAGGCCTTTGTTTCCCTCCCTTAATTAGTCTATTACCTTGCTTATTTCCTTATAAGACTGTCACAATTTGTGTATCTTGCTTATTTATTTGTTTTCACTCTGCCTTCTCAACTAGAATGTGAACTAGCTACAGAAAGTTTGTCTTGTTTACTACTCTGTTCCCAGGGCTCACTCCAGTATATACATAGCACATGGTAGGGGTTTAAGACATATTTGTTAAATATATGAAAGAAATTGTTACTCCTATCACACGATTTCTCTTTTTTGTTAGGAATTCTCAATTCTGCTCTAGAAGGAGTTACTCATATATAAATGCTATGATAAGACAGAAAATAATTTAAACAACTTCTAGCTAGTCATCTAATTTGCACAATTTTTCAAGGAATATTTTATTCACAGTATATTAACTAATTCTGTAATTCAAAGAGTCTAGGTTAAAACTATATACTCACTTAAGAAAGATGGTCTTTCATCTGGATTTTGTGCCCATCCACTTTCTATTAGAGAGATCATACGTGCTCGGTGAGGTATATCATATGGCAAACTTTCTTCATTAATAACAGGTCGATGTCCTTGTGACACACTATACATTATCTGCAAAGGATTGGTGACATCTGTCAAAACAAATAGATTGCATTCATTAGTAATATATTATGATTAAGCATATTACTTACATCTAAAACTAACTAAAAGAAAATAAGTGAATATTGAAATTTTAGGAATGATGCCTTACCCCCCTTTCTGTAAAAGGAATATATATACCCCAAACCATTGCCAGACTTGTCTGATTCCTATGGAATGAGTTTATATCCTCACCTCATTAATTTTGGGCTTGACCATGTGATTGGATTTGGTCAACAGAGTATTTGTAAAGCAGAGCTGAGCGAAACCTTGCAGAACTAAGAAGGGCTACAGCAACCAATATTTAATGTGAATGAGAAATAAATGTTTATTTCATAAGCTACGGAGATTCCGAGGTTGTTTTTTGTTACACAACAAGCTGACCTACACAAACCTCAAAATAAAGAAATAAACAATATTTTCAGGGAATAAAAAGGACAGATTAGTCTTCGATATTTGCTAGTCTTTATAGAGGGGGTAGTAATTAAATTATCATATAAATAATTTTACAGCTAGACTAGAACTTGGAAATAGTAATTTAAAATTCTTATTATGCAGGCGACAAAAATGAGGACGCAAGAGATTTGTGACTTGATCACAGAGCTAATTACTGTCAGAACAAGAATTAAAATCTGGGTTTTTCTGATCCTTAATCCAGTACATTTTCCAGTATATAGTAGACTCACAACTGGATCCTTAACCCGGTATATTTTGCAGTATGTGATGCATTCACAACTGATAAATGGTTGTTTTAGTGTGTTTTCCACAAAATGAATAAGCAGATTTAAAATAACATGATTTTTAGATAGTTCTGAGAGTGACCTACTAACATGATGTTATTGAGCATAAAAAAGTCAAACCATACTTACCTTCAAAAGGCTGTTTTCTGGATAACACTTCCCATGTGATAACTGCATAGCTGTTTAACATAAGAACATACATGTTACATATTTTAAATGAACTCTGCATAATAAACTAAAATAGCACTATTTTTAAAAGCTGACTGAAGATACCATTTTTCAAAGTGATAAGGCAGCAAAGAATTACTGTATACAATGAAGATGATAAATGCTCATGTAGTTTGGAAACAAAATCAACTTTAAGTTAAAAAATTAGGAAATTACTGTAATACAAGCTTAACGTTACATGCAAGATTAACTTTTTGTGGATGATTTAATTCTTGGACACCCAGATAAGCTATGCCCTTTAATTAAATGATATTATTTTTCACAAAGAACAAAGAACAAGAAAAAAATTGTCTCATGGAGCTCTATTCTACTGCCTTTTTTCTGCTCTCAGCACTATCTTCTTTGGTAGTAGAAATATCTTGCCTACAGTTTAACTTCAGATGTCAATTACAGGGTTAAGCTGCATAGAGTTTATAATTAGAATAAATGGTTAAATAGGATATAAGAATTTTGCCACACCCCAACATTAACCATGCATTCAAAATGGACACATAGAATTTATTACTACTAACACCTTGTGTTACAGGGAGAGCGAGGAGTACAGAGGGAATTCCTACCCAAATGAAGGAATAATATTTCCTCATTTTTCCCTGACAGAGAATATTGAAATTGAACATAAAGGGAAAATTCACAAAATGAATGACTGGCAGATTTATTGGCCCATTTTTATAGAATCAAACCAGCTTTAAGAATTGTTGGGTAGAACATGATCTCTACCTTAGGAAGCTATAAATACATTTCTCCTCCCCTCAGTACATCATTCAGAATGAATTAAAAATATCAGAAAACAAAATATAAAAGGACAGTTTCTTATATTCATACAATGTGAATGTAAAAGACACTGTATGAATTGTTTTAGTGCAGCCACTAAAATGGATTGGCTGGCTTTGGTTTTAATGAGAAATAACAAAAATTAAAATGCTTTTGAAGAAAAGGAATATGCAATTTAATTAAATATATAGTTTTCTGGTAGAGATATAGCATTCATTCCTAAAATGATTCATTAACAAATTATTTATTAAAGATGGCAAAAAGCCATTTAAAGGACTATAAAATGTGTTCAGAGCAAACTTAGAGAGTCTGCTTTTGCATTCATTAGTATATTAAAAGAGATAAGAGTAACTTATACATGAGGTGAATGTCCCCATCTCCTAAACCTGTGTAAATAATCATCTTCCTTTTATTCTGGTTAAATAACCAGTGTCAATAACAATGTGTTATGCTTATTACTGCATTATGAGATTATAAGTAATATGCATCTGAAATATGAAAATATGATCTTATCAAACCCATTGATTTGTTGTATAAAAAATTCACACATATACAAATATTAGGGATTCTTTAAATAGAAATATCCCCAGTGTGATTAAGAGTTTGTCTATTTATCTAAAAAGATATATAGATATCAAAAGCTAAAAGGTTGAACAGGTTGAGAAACCTAAAGCTAAAATGTTAGGAACCACTGTTTCCCTCTGCATTTCCAAGTCACATATGATAAAAATCCTTAACTATTATATTATAAATTGATAGGATAAGAAGAGATGCTTTAAAATTTCTTAAAGGATGTAAAAGTTTCTTAAAGCAAATCATTAAATTTCCTTAATTTGAAAAATATTAATCACCGTGGGGCCTCAAGTTTATTTTCACCACAATTATGAGAGAAGAATAAAAATCACAGTTTAAAATGTAGCTTCAAAATTCTGGTTGACTAATTTTGTGTCTGAGACAAGGTTAAATCTGAGCAGAAGCAACTTTACTCTACCTATATATATCGTGCTTGATACTGGCCCTTGATTTTTGTCCAGGTTCATAGTTTTCAGGTGGCATATAGATAATTGTCCCTCCTTCTGGTGCAGATTTGCTACTTCGTGACTGTGAGAGGGACATCATGCGCCACTTTGATAAACCAAAATCTGCAATCTGTAAGGGACAAGAGCAAATAATTAAGAAATTTCCTCTTTAAAAAGTCCAAAAGTCAACTATCTTTTTGTATATTCACTGTATTTAGATATCAAACCAGAGAAAATGTAATATATTTTAATATTTTATTTCTGTATATTCCCCCAACTTCTTACAAAATTAAATTCCACACTGCTGAGCCAAATAACTCTAGGAGCAATACATACTGAGTTAAAGTTTAATATAACATTACAAATTTCAAAAGAGAGACTAATTTTTGAAAATTGAGCAGAGGCATTTTTTGTCTGATATTCTCAATGAGTGTGTACCTTGCACACCTTACTTTTCATGACATATAGCTTGATACCATGTGCTTCCTACATCTCACAGAGCTGCCAAGTCTACTCACATCTCATGCAATTGTCACTGGTCATTGTTTACAATTCTGGTTTATACAGTTGTATTAATAATGCCCTAAAGGTAGCATCCTTAAATTAAGAAATACACTAAATCTCAAAATTGTAAAGGTAATTATTATACAATTTTATGCTGATCACTAAAAGAAGTATTTCATGGAAACAGTATAATTGCAAAGAAAACATATTTATGTCCAATACAATGGGTGCCTAAAGAATTATCAGTGACAATATTCTGTGCCTTTGATATGTCCTGTACAGTTTTGCTTCAGTTGTAAATCTTATGCACATATTATACAGTATCTTATAACTAAATATTTAAAAGCTTCCTTATTTTTTACTTTATTTTTTAAAAATGTAAGACAAAATGTAAGAACAGAAATAATATTTAATTGACAAGGGAGTATGGGAAATCCTAAAAGACACTGAAATTACTTAAAATATTTTACTGCATACTTTAGAATTCAGCAGAGTGAAATGAGCTCCATGCAGCACATCATTTGTTTCCATTGTTTACCTCCTATATTTTTTACCAATTTTAACAAAATACATAATTTTTATTAGCATTTAGATGAATTTGAGATAAAAAAAATTATGGCCTCCATTCCCAAAAAGGAGGGGTAGAATAAATGAATTTTTCATTCATTTGCTACAATAAAAGAGTCAATTTAAGAAAAAAAATAAAAATAATCAAGAATTTTAAAATTGAATTCACAGAAAAGGACCAAGATGACTAAGTCATGAGAACAGCTGAGAAAAGCAGTTAAGCAAAGACTTTCAGAAAAATTTTTAAGGACAGAATGAAGAAATATGGGCTGTATAATAGCACTTTTAGGAGTATTCCAGACAAACTGAATGAGTGTTCTCCAAAAGCGCGGATTAACAAAAGGACTGATATTGACCCAGATGAAGGTTCTTATGGCCATGTGATACAGCTCTGATTCAAGCTCTGTACTGGTTCATATTTAATCATGACTTAAAGATACAAAAAATTAGCTAATTAAATTTCAGCATCACACAAAACTTGGAGAGAAACTTAAAACCTTTGGATTATAGAAATAACATTCAAAAAGGTCTTAAGAGACTGAAGCAATTGCTCCAATCTAACAAGATAAAATTTGATCATATCTAGAAAGTATTCTGCAAAGTACATTATTTTGTGTACTTTGTTGCTTAAGAAGAGGTGGCTTAAGCAACGATACGTGGCAAAAAGAACCTCCAAGGGTTTTTTGTTGACACTAAGCCCAATTTGAACTATGTGATATGACTACCCCTGGAAAGCTGATGAATTATTAAGGAACTATTAAGTATTTAGGGCCAAGGAAATGACACTTTCACTAAAGTCTGCATTCATCAAACCGCACCAAAAATAGTATTGTGTTCAGTTCTGACGATCAACATTTAAGTGAGATTTAAACAAAATGATGCATCTACATAGCACCAAGGATTAAAATCCATGTAATAAGAAAACGAGTTGAAGGAACTAAAGGGTATTTATCAGGGAGATGGATAAAATGCACTTGTACGTGAGGGTTTGGGAGACAGCTCATAGCTATCTTCAAATATTGAAAGGGCTGTCTTGCTGAAGTAACTAAATTGGATTTATTCTGTTTATCACAAAAAGTTGAACTAGGATCAATGTGTGGAAGCAACCAGGAAGGAATTTTGGTTGATCATTTAAGAAAATGTCACAATTATTCAATTAAGGATGTTAAGACTCCCTGTTACAGGATAACTGCTTTGGGAGACAGGGATTGTTGCAGTGAAGTATCAGAGAACTAGTTGACCATTAAGGTATTTCTACTTGATGGTTCTATAATTGATGGAATAGATTAGTCTCTTTTTTTCTTAGCAATACTGAGGCAGCAGCTTGCTTCTCTCTCCTTTCCCCTACCACTTTATTCTAAGGAGAGGAGTGTCTTCAATAAAAATTTTTCCCACTTATTTTCTCTCACATTTCTTGTTTTAATTTCCCTGTTGTTTCAACTTCTCTATTACTGATTTCTTTGAACATTTTTTATATTTATAATAATTTTCTGATTACATGTTATTAAAAGAAGTATAGCAAAATGATACATAAAAATATGGTGAGTTACATTTAGTATTAATTACTCAAAAACTACTTTTTATTTACACTCAGTTAGATATAGTATAGCTGTGAAATCACAATAGCCAGTGTCTTCAGCACTTAAGTCCTGCATCTTATTAAAAAATGAATTCAAGGTGGATCACAGATTACATATGTAACATAAAACTATAAAACTTACAGAAGATAACAAAAAAGGAAATCTTCAGTAAGTAGAACTTGGTGAAAAGTGCTTAGAGATGACAGCAAAAGCATGATCCATAGAAGAAAAAATATGGACTTCATCAAAATTAAAATTTTTGCTTTGTGAAAGTCCCTGTTAAAAGGATGAAAAGACAAACTATAACTGGGAGGAAATATTTGCAAACTACATATCTGATGAAGAACTACTACTGTAACAAATACAGAACTCTCAAAACTCAACAGTAAGAAAACCAAAGAATCCCTTTAGAAAATGAGCTTAAGACATGAGAGACATTTCACTGAAAACCACGTATGGGTGGCAAATTAGCATATAAAAAGGTGTTCGATATCATTAGCAGTTAGGAAAATGCAAATTAATACCAAGATGAGATATCACTACACATCTATTAGAACAGCTAAACAGAAAACAGTGATAATACCAAATGCTGGTGGGCATTTGGTATTATCATTTTGCTTTGTGAAAGTCCCTGTTAAAAGGATGAAAAGATAAACTATAACTGGGAGGAAATATTTGCAAACTACATATCTGATGAAGAACTACTACTGTAACATATACAGAATTCTCAAAACTCAACAGTAAGAAAACCAAAGAATCCCTTTAGAAAATGATGCGGAATAGCTGGATCTCTCACACATTGCTGGTGGAATGTAAAATGGTACAGCCACTCTGGAAAATAGTTGGATACTTTCTTTAAAAACTAAACACACCCTTACCATATGACCCAGCATTTGCATTCTTGGGCATTTATCACAGAGTAATGAAGACTTATGTTCACTCATAAACCTGTACAGCTTTGTTCACAGCAGCTTTGTAAATAATTACCCCAAAATGGAAAGAACCAAAATGTTCCTGAATGGTTAACTTTGGTACATTTATACTGTGGAATACTACTTATCAATAAAAAACAACTATTGTTACAAGCACAACTTAGACGGATCACAAGAGCATTATGTGACGTGAACAAAGCCAATCTCAAAATATCACATACTATATGATTCCACTTATATAGCATTTTCAAAATGACAAAATTAAAGAGATGGAAAGCAGATTAGTGGTTGTTAGGGGTACAGATTGTGGTAGGGAGGAAGTGGGTGAGGTAGGATGAGTGTTATCTTTGTGGTGATGTTATGAGTAGTGCTGTACCTTGATTGTTGCGGTTACTATGAACACACATTGTACTAATGTCAAATTCCTGGTCTTGAAATTATACTATAATTATGTGTGATATAACAATGTGGGAAACCAGGTGAAGGATACATGAAACCTCTTTATTACCTTTGCAACTTCCTATAAATATATAATAATTTTAAAATAAAAAGTAAAAAAAAAAGGTGATCTTGACAATTCAATTAAGAAACATAATGGCTTTGTATTTTGTACCATAATTCTATCTCTGTCTAGGAATAACTTCCTAACTGCAGTAGGAAGAAGGAGAATAGAAGATAGAAATTAGGGGCTATGGAAATTACTATTCATTAGTCTCTATCTCTAAGGAGAGACATGAAATTGGCTAGGTCGAAGAAATAACTAAAAAGTATTTTTAAAACTATAAGGACAAGGAAACATAAACTTTTTAAAAAAGTAATTACCTTAACATGAAATTCATTGTCCAATAAGATATTCTGAGTCTTCAAGTCATGATGAAGTAAAGGAGGAGTCATATTGTGCAGGTAATTTACACCAAGGGCAATTTCATGCAGGATGCGAAATCTCAATGGCCAAGCAACATCAGGATATTCAGTTTTCTTCATATATATGTGAAAAGAAAGAAAATGAAATTAGTCCAAATTTCACTATGTTTCACACTTAGAAAGTTAAATATTCCATGAGGAAATACAGTATAAACTAAGGTTAAAACATATGCTCATTTTTATAAAATAGCACCAATTTGATAGGGTTTAACATTTTTGTGTCTTACTTTCCTCACTTTATAGAGAAAATTATGATAACTTTATGGCACCAATACTTCCTTTTAGTTTATATTGGTCATGCAACTACATGGTTTTGGGTCTTTCTTCAGCTGACACAAATCTCAATTACTTTGTATCTGTATATAGCCAGAGTCATATACTTACACCCACATCCACCTCCTCATTCTATGTCTTAATCAGGTAATTTGAGTACACACAAATACACACAAAATTACAGACAGTTTTTTTCTAGTAAATACCAAGGCATTCATTCAAAATTTGTATTTTAATTTTTCTATTACTATAAAATCATACATTATAATCACTGCATCAGTTACAAATTATGATCATATTGTATTTATTGACTAAGCATTAATTTATCATACATTTAATCATATAATTAATTTATCTGCATTCCAGCTTATAAAATTAGCCTTTTGTTTTGTTTTTGTGGAAGGGACACTCATTTTTGTTTCTAAAACTGTATAGAACAGACACATTTAAAACATAACATTTTATTTTTCATAGTACTCAAATAATATCCATCTGAGTTTTCTTAAAATAAATGTTTTCTGAACATAAAAGTTAATGTGGCTTCCCAGGAGAATGAACATACTTTGGAAGATCAGGCAATTTGGGAAGATCCACGATGAATCACCAGGCACCATACCACATTTTTCTAAATGCTATGAAAAAGACTGCTTCTACTGAAAGTACAAAACTGTTCTTGAGAAGTTTTTCTGCAAATGCGTCAGCTTATAGTTCAGTGATCAATCTGGCAGGGGGAGTGGTTCAAAATATTTTAGACTGTTTATGATACATCTTGAGTTTTCTCAATGAATTTTGTGAGGTTGGGGGAGGGCACTTCAAGATAAATCCCACCCTAAATAATGCAATACAGGAAACCAAAAGAAACACAAAAAGCTGACGTGGAACATTACTTTCTCTGGCATACACAGAGGCCTGTCCCCTAGAGAAACTTAATCTTTTAATCTGTAAAAAAGGTAACTTTTTCTGAAAATTATGCAGTTTAAAGCAGTTACCAGGCCTCTCTGCAGCATAATATAATATGGGGGCTTGTGATCATGGAGACAAGGGAGAGAAGTGCTCACTGTATATTTTATGATTTTTTTTCCAGGAGTTAGCAATCCCCCTTGAGGAGGCTGTAGAATTTCCAGCGAGCTGCAAATTTGGGTGCCAGAGTATCTGCTGGGGTGTGGGAAGAAAATGTTAGATTTCTACTTATACTCATTTCTCAACAAAAATAAAAGAGAAATTGTGATTTATTAATATTTGTATCTTGGCTCTGTGGTAGTTATACAAATCTTACAGACTGACACCAGTTACTTATTCCATCCTTGTTTCAAATGGTCACAAGTCATGAATAGAATGTGATGTATTCTGAAACTGAGAGGAAGTTACTCTATGACTGACTGACAGTGGCACCCACTTTCCCTTGGCCACTTACAGGGCATTGTGTTACACTATCATTTATGAGTATCTATTGATTGGATTTTGTAGATTAATACAGTTTTAATTAAGCCAACCCTCAAAAAATGGACCAAGTAGTTTAAAAAGATCTACTGAAACTACAGACTCATGATAATATTAATAATGAATACATGTATTTTGAGAATGAGGACCCCTGAATTTGTTTACTCAAGGGATTCATAATCAAAGAGAGAGTGACTGGTACCTTGGGAAAAAGGGTAAATGGCTGATACCACTGTCTATTATTAGAAAAGCTAATGTATCTGGTATTCAGAGATAATTTATTAATATTTGGCCTGCTAATTCAGAACTTTATGAACTGGTATTAATAACATTAAATTTGAATTTGAAATTGCTATTAATATAAAATAAAATATCACTTAACAGTGGATTTTACAGTATGCAGAGTTTATCTCTTCCATTTCTACCCATGTAATATGCATGTAAATACTATAATTTGGTATAAATGTTAGGAATGGTAACCCAGGCAAAATAATCTAGAGTACAGGGCCTGAATCCACAGTGTTTTAATCAACACAAAAATGTCACAAAAGGTAAAATTTTATCCCTGTGATAGTTTTTCATTATTCTTTGATTCATCTATATACCCCTAAATAATCTGACCAAATATAAAATCAAAGTAAAATATAGTTTGAATAGTAAAAATGGCAATTATGGCCACTAAAACTGTGTAATACTTACCCTATGTAGGAGTTCATTTAATGATCCATTTGGCATGTATTCAGTAACTATTCCCAAAAATTCAGGCTCATTGCAAATTCCCAAAATTGGAAGAATGTAACTAAATCTAGCTTTGTGTAAAATTTCAGCTTCTCTTAAGACATCCTTTCTTTCACTAAGAAAAAAAAATGCATAATTATTCAAGTAATAAAAAAATATACAATTATCATGCCTATAAGACTAAGCCTGGATTTTTTTTCATTAATTAGCTATGTGACCTCATGTAAATTATGCAACTTCTCTGCACCTTAGTTTCATCATATTTAAAATAGAAATAATACCTACCCTATATATTCCACAGGTCTGTTTAGAGACCAAACTAACTTCTATAAGCCATTGACAGGTAAAAGTGCTAAACACAGGTTTATTATTATTGTACTTATCCCAGGAATGGGAAAGAACATAGTATTAAATTTATAAAGTCTATCTATGTTAGAACAATTGGTGCTTGAACTAATTACATGATTAAGTTTACATTGTATTCAAATGAGCATGTTTTATTAGAATATTATATTAAATTTTATGGTTGCATACCATATAAACATTTTCCAAATATCCTGAATATTAAAACCTTTAAATGTTATAGATTCAATAGCTGCATAAAAGTCAGTAATATTTATAAATTATATACCAGAACTCAGGAAAAGATCACTGAGAACAGGTAAATGCTCAATAATATTAATAGACTGCTGGGGTAACTGGCTCCCAGGTTCATTTGTTTATTCATATGTAAAACAAATATATATTTAACTATTTTTTTTTCTATTTTTCTTTGTCACCCTGGCTAGAGTGCAGTGGTGTGATCACAGCTCACTATAGCCTCAAACTCCTGGATTCAAGCCATCCTCCCACCTTAGCCTCCCCAGCAGCCAGCTAGCTCCACAGGCATGCAACCGTGCCTATTTTTTTTTTGTAGAGACAAGGTCTCACTATGTTATTCAGGGTGGCCTCAAACTCCTGGGCTCAATTGTATCAGACGTCCAATAGGTAGGTATCAAATGATTTCAAGGAAATTAAAGGGAAGGCTAAAGTTGGGAAATTGTGAATTGTTTAATGCACTCCTTTTATGTAATATAAAAGGAGTGAAGGTGAATAAGACAGGTTAGGGACATATCTCAGTCTTAAAGCCTGGTTAGGGTGGTGAAACTTCACTTAGCAGTCACTAAGTGATTGACGGTTTGTTTGCTTTTTTTAACATACAGAATACACACTGGAAACTTTTTTTTTTTTTAACAGACCAGATCTTGCTATGTCGCCCAGACTGGCCCTCCCTACTCTGCCTCTTGAGTAGCTGGGACTACAGGGGTGTGCCAATGTACCTGGTGTGACTGAAAGTTTTTGAGTTGGGGAATGACAGTAGAATACAATTTTAAGATGATCAATTTGGCAACAAGATGTAGGATTAGTAGAAAGTGGTAGAGTTTGAAAGTCAGGTGTTAGGAGATTTTAATACCAGTTAATACATGAACCTAAAACTACAAAGGTAGCAGTGGAAATGGAAAGAAAAACACTAAGTGAATAGAATGCCCGCGTTGTAGTGACTGACTGTAGGGGGTTAAAAAAAAAATGAAAAGGAATTGGAGATGTCATTATTTTTTTACCCTGAGTGACTGGATGTTGGCTGCAGCAATGACAGAAATAGAAATGTTTCCAGGAGAAGCCTATTAGGTAAGTAATGATGATAAGTTAGTTCTTACACCTCCCAAGCTCTGAATGAATGGCTGTTGAAATATGAATAGCAACAGACATTCTAGACCAGACTAAGAGGACTACTTTTAAAAACAAACAAAAAAACAAAGCAAAAGAATCTTCGTCATTTATTTTTTGAATAGGTCATATATTTATATGTCTTAAAATTCAAGAGTAACAAGAAGGCATAAAGTGAAAAGCTTCTCTCATTCTCTGTCCTTCAATCACTTAATACTCCAACTGCTAGGAAACCAGTATCAGTTTGTGAGACCCATTTTAATTAAATGTTTATTCCCTAGATGGAAATAGTTCCATATCTGCCCCAAGAGATTTAGGCCAACAATAGAGGATGACCCTGAAGATTCCTGGATACTAAGAACAATAGAGAGTGCATGCTGCAGAAGTCTCAGTGACACTTCACACACTCTTTCCTCCTCCCATTAAGAGGCATTCTTCTTTCCACTGTGACCCTATTACATGTCAGTCACTTTATATGCACTAGCATCTTAAGATCACCCTCTAAACATAGTTTCATTAGCTCCACTTTATAAATGAGGGCACTAAGGCTCAGAAAAATTAATACTTTTCTAATGGTCACACTAATAAGTGGCAGGGTTGGCGTCAGATTTGAATTGCAATCATGGGACATTAAAGCCTGCATTCTTTCTACCCTATTGCTTGATCAAAGAATATAGTAGGAAAGTTCTTGAAGGTAGATTTTTGGCAAGATTGAGTGAGTGGGAAATTTTTTTTAAAGCCAAAAGATTTTAAAAATTGATTTTTACATTTTGAAAATAAAGGTGTAAAGTACAGCTTCCATAGTCACATCACCAAAATTAACTCAAAAATTTAATCAGAAAAGTTATGTCATCTACAGGGTATTTGAACAACCAATTGGACTCATTACTCATAAGGGGTGGGAAGATTGTTGGGGAAGGTCCACTCATCGGATAGAAGTCAGGTTATGGAGACTGATTCACCAGTCATTAAAATAAGAGCATGTAACATTGCATAAACTTATTTTTTTTCAGGTCATCCCAAAGAACAATGCAAACATTGTTCTCCATAGTCCGAGAAACACATGTATTTATTATTCGTATTTTATAAGTGAGGAAAGAGACACCAGTGAGTCAACTGCATAGCCTCATCTAATGCTCAGACTACATAAATACTGCAATGATAAGATCTTAAGTAACAAATTGGAGAAAAGAATGTGATGCAGTAAATGCCAGAGTGTTTCGCTGGTCTTATGGCTTCCTCGAAGACAGAATTAATTTCCTACCCAATTCAGTGAAGAATTTTAGACTATGAAAATTGTTCATGAGTATGGGAAGGAAACTCCCTCTTCACTTCTTGGTCCCCAAACTGCACAAAGCTTAGATAAATCAAAATCCTGAGAAGCAGCACCCAAAGTGGGAGGATCAATTGGCTTTTCAATACCTAATGGGTCCATCAGTGCTACATTTCCATATAGTGTTTGCATAACTGGTTCTAACATATATCCACCCTCTCTAACCAACCACCACCCTTAAAAGTTGACTACAGACACATATACACACTTGTCCAGCACTTGCTCCACAGAATATAAGGCCTGGAGTAAACAGACACCACACCTTGTATATCACTGAATCTGGATTATGATAGACAAGAAGTGGAAACAAGCTCTAGAAGTGTCCCAAATCTCCTGTGCCATTTAGGCCATCGAAGCCTGACAGTGAGAGACAATGAAGAAAAGCCACAGGCAGGTGAAAATCCAGTAACTTTGGCAGGGCGGAAGCTGAGGAATTTATCTGATGCTGGATACTCACAGCTTCTGGCCAATCAGGCATCGGGGATGACGTATTTTCACATTAGATATAGGAGGAGGAGAAGAGAATGTTGTAATCATGGATGTTAACTCACTAAGAACTGAATGCTGGGCCTAGTTAAATCCCTGTAGGAAGTAAAATACACAAGACTAGTGACCCATTGACTAATACACAGTCACAGGTCTATGGCACGCGGTTGTAATGTTCTTCTGAAAACAGAAACTAATGCTAACCTTCCCTTAAAACCTGTACAAACCAATAAGTGAAAGCCATTTACAATTTCTGGCCATTTAACAGTCTTTTGGTTCAATTTATTGTGGCAAAAATAGCACACATTTCCTCTACTTAATCTTCCCTGTGAGAGAAAC
Organism: Homo sapiens; assembly: GCF_000001405.40. NCBI lineage: Eukaryota > Metazoa > Chordata > Mammalia > Primates > Hominidae > Homo > Homo sapiens. Next base: position 89,759,078 of record NC_000008.11, on the reverse strand, counting down.
TGAGACTGGGAGAAACTGAACTGCTAGTATTGAGTTTGATATAAAACGTTCCTGACAACACATAATAAACCAAAACCAAAATAAAAACAATAAGAAGCAAAACATCCTTGATTCTAAAGCAGTGCGGTCCAATAAACATATAATGTGAACACCACCACATACAATTTAAAATTTTCTCGTGGCCACATAAAGTAAAAAGAAACACATAAAATGAATTTTAATCTTATATTTAACCCAAGATATCAAAAATGTTATTTCAGCATATAATCAATAAACAAATAATAAAATATTATAAGTTCTTTTTTTAATAAATACTAAGCATTCGAACTCTGGTATTTTACACTTAGGTCACACTTCAATTCGGACGGGCACATTTCAAGTGCTCAATAGCCACCTGTGGCTAAGAGCTACCTACTGGACAGTGCAGCCCTACAGCCCAATTTCAAAAATAAGGAAAAAACAAAGCAAACAAAACCCACACCCACTATATATAAACACACATCAATTTCAGTAAACCCAGCGTTTAGAGTTAGGCAGTGATTGCTGATTTTTGGAGTACGGAGCCAGAACGCCTAGGAGTAAGAGGGAAGGAGAGAAAGGGTAATGGAGAGATGTGTGGAGGAATGCAACTGCTGCATCTCCAGAGAAGCCTGTGCTCCCTACGGTGCCAGAGCTTGAAGGGTGGGTGCTCCCTATCTCCCAAGCTTGAAGGGCTCCCTAGAGGTGACGAGGTGAGGCCGGCCCCAAGCGGTCACTGCCATTTGGGCTCTAGAGCCCGCTTGTCAGGGGGCTTGAGGGGATGCAGGAGTTGAGGGCTCTTCCAGGGAACCCCAGTGACTGCCTACCTGTCGAGCAGCGGAGTGTGGATGTGCAGGTGCTTCACGGCCACCTGGACGCGCCAGTCTGCGTGGCGGGCGGACGACACAGTGCCAGAGGCGCCGCGGCTCAGGTAGCGCAGGTCGGCGAGTTTGTGGTAGGGAATGGTGGGCAGGGCGCTGCAGATGGCCTCCCCGTTCATGGTCCCGGGCGCTCAGGCCGGTTCCGGGTGTGCCCCCTGCTGCGGCGGCTCCCAAGGCTCCCACGCCGCGCTCAGGCGCCCAGATACGCCCCTGCACGAGCGAGGCCGGCAAGACCCTTTTTGCCCCGCAACACTAGGTCACGAGGGCGCCCATTCCCCGGATGGCCCACGCCAGCCGCTGCTTCTCCGAACCAGAGCTGACTTCTTTTCTAGAGACTGGTGCCAACGCCGTAGCGCCGCGAAAGAGCTTCCTCTCTCGCAGCCCCGGCCCTCCCCCCGGCGCGCGCAGCGACCAGCTCCGGCCGCCCGAGCTCCTCCCTCCCCAAACTTCGCAGGTTACGTCAGCGGCGGACGGCAAGGCGGGGAGAGGGGCAGCCCGCTCGCGGCCCTCCCGCCTGGCTCTCGCCTCGGCCTGCGGCCGGGATCCTCCGCCCGGGTCGCGCAGCGGAGGCCGAGGGCTGGGACGGGCGGCTGGGAAGTGGGAAAGGGAGCTCCTTTTGTCTTCTCTTCCCATCCCCCAGGTTTGGGAAAGTTTTCCTTTTGGGAAAGCCCCTCTCTTCAGCCTGCTGGCGGGTGTCGGATTGGTTAGCGACCACCGGCCCCCGCCTCCCCCAACAGGATTCTCCTTTGGGCCACAGGTCTTCCGGAAGTTGCCAAACCCCGGTAGCGGCAGCGTCCGGCTGGGGGCTTTATTAGGGGGCACCGGGGTCTGCTTTCCGACTCCCTTCCGACTCCGCGCCTGCGCAGGAAGCGATTTGGGGAGTGTTGTGAATTCCGAGGGCTCCACACTTAAGAGGTTGTACACTCACCTGTCTACCTGGACTCCAATTTCCATATTTCCAGCCACTTGAGGACTGAGAGGTGGATGATAAACCCTGTCATAGTGGAGCAAGTTCAGGTGTTTAACCGCTGTTATGGGGGATCTGCCTTTTCTCCCTCTTCTTTCTTACTTCCATAAGTATGTATGTGCAGAGATTGAAAAATAACCTTGAGAGAGTCCATCCATCTAACTCCAGGTAAGACTGCAAATATTTCTTTCTTATAAATCTGGGAGGAATGCAGTCAGTGTTTCATGCCAACCAAAAAAGACTGCAAACGTTTTTCCATCCTTCTGCCTTGAATACCTTTCTACTTAGATGACTATTTTGTAAGACGTGAGTGCAAATGTTATATACAATACCAACTCCATACTAGATGTTTAATTAATTCTAGGGATTCAGTAATAAGGAATGACTCGAACAGATTTCTGCCTACAGACAGCTAATGCTTCTTGTATTTTTGCATTACCTGAAATGAAAGTAGCAATGTTAGATTTTACAGTAGTGGGAGGTTGTAAACAATAGTATGTTAAACATTTTTGATCATTTATAATAAAATGTTCAGCACTAAACATATGGTCTGATACTCTGTGCTTTATTGCTTAATAAGCTTTTTTTTTTCTTTTCGAGAGGGAGTCGTGCTCTGTCACCCAGGCTGGAGTGTAGTGGCGCGATCTCTGCTCTGCTCATTGCAACCTCTGCCTCCCTGGTTCAAGCAATTCTTCTGCCTCAGCCTCCCAAGTAGCTTGGATTACAGGCGCCCGCCACCACACCCAGCTAATTTTTGTATTTTTAGTAGAGACGGGGTTTCACCGTGTTGGCCAAGCTGGTCTCGAACTCCTGACCTCGTGATCCGCCCACCTTGTCCTCCCAAAGTGCTGGGATTACAGGCGTGAGCCACCGCGCCCGGCCAATAAGCTTTTTTCTTAAAAAGTACTCAGAAGACTTTTCTATCCATTCATTCTGTTAACGCGCGTCAGTGTGAAGAGACCACCAAACAGGCTTTGGGTGAGCAATAAAGCTTTTAATCATGTGGGTGTAGGCCGACTTAGTTCGAAAAAGGAGTCAGCAAAGGGAGATAGGGGTGAGGCAGTCTTTATAGGATTTGGGTAGGTAGTGGAAAATTACAGTTAAAGGGGGTTTTTCTCTTGCGGGCAGGGGTGGGGGTCACAAGGTGCTCAGTGGGGAGCTCCTGAGACTCATTGTCCAGGAGAAGGAGTGTCACAAGGTCCATTGATCAGTTAGGGAAGGGCAGGAACAAATCGCAATCGTGGAATGTCATCAGTTAAGGTAGGAACTGGCTATTTTCACTTTTGTGGTTCTTCAGTGGCTTCAGGCCATCTGGATGTATACGTGCAGGTCACAGGGTATATGATGGCTTAGCTTGGGCTCAGAGGCCTGACATGTTTATCCAGTCAATTAATTAAAAACCTGAGTCCTAGAAAAAGAGAACAAAAAATAAACAGGGAAGAAATGATCAAAATAATAATTTAAAAATTTTTGCTAGGGCAGGAGTCTTCATATTTAAAGGGCCCACCAAGTAAAAAGACCTACATTAAGGCACATACATCATTAAAAGGGTGAGAACACTAACACTAAAGGGAAGATTCTAAACGTTTTCAGAGGGCGGAAACAAAAATTAAAGAGATGGGAATTAGAATGGCATTGAATTTCTTAACAATGTTACTAAGTCATTGTTATCCTGAAATATAATGAAGTGAAATTTTTCCAATATTCTGAAGGACAGTAACTTCCAACTTAGAATTCTATAGTCAAACTTTCCGTCAAATGTAAGGGCAGAATAAAAACATTTTCACATATACAAGAATGAAATACTTTCTTTCCATGTCATTTTTTTTTTTTAAAGAAAGCTCCTAGAGAATGTGTTCAGCAAAACATGGGAGTAGCCCAAGAAAAAGAAAGACATGAGATCCAGAAAACCGGACCAGGAAATTAAGAAGGGAAACTCCAGGATGAGAGAAATATGGCAGAATTGGAGAGCAACCCATTTTCACTGAACAGGGAGATGGCAGACTTCAAGAGAAAACAGTAGTTACAGTAATTGAAATGATAGATTATCTAATTTTGAGTATTTGAGAAATTATATTGATAGATGTTTGATAGATCTAATGAACTATGGGATAAAATTGGAGAATGAATTGTAAAAAAAAATACAAGTAAAAAAAGGAGACAATTGTTAATTCCATGAAAATTACATCAGAAGGGAGACAACATTTCTCTAAACTGTTTTGTGGTGGTGAAAAATGTAGAACTTTTCAGAACTTTTGAAATGCTAATATGCATCTCTAAGAAGGAGAGAGCATGAAGCATAGAACTTCATGGAATTTATTTGTATTGTTAATTACATTACTTTTAAATTTACTTTTTAAAACCATATCACATGGTTTAAAATTTAAAACAATAAGGACTCATAATGCAATAGAAAAATTGAGAAGAGGACTTAGATACCTTGAAAAAGAGGTGAAAAGGTTCTCAACATCATTAATTATCAGGGAATCACAAATTTTATTCACATTGCAACACTACTATCCAAACAGTAGAATGAATAAAATTAAAAAGACAGAATATACCAAGTGTGAGTGAGGATTTGGAGCAACAGGAGCTCTTGTACACTGCTCATGGGAGTGTTGATTGGTTCAATCAATTTTGTAAATTGTATGTCAGTATCTATTAAAATTGTAGATATGCAGATCCTATGACCCAGTAATTCCTTGCTTCGGTATGTGGACATGTGTATGCATCTACTAGAATGTTCATAGCAGTGGTGTTTATAATAGCCTCAAACTGGAAATTACCCAGATATCCATAAATAGTAGAATAGATAAATACATTTTGGCACATTTATGCAATATAATACTAAATGGGAATGAAATTAAACAGTGTACAAATATAATGTTGGATGAAAAAAGCCAGATACAGAAGAGTACATATTGCATGAGTCCATTTGTATAAAGTACAAAAATAAATAAAACTAACTTATGCTTATAGAAATCTTCTCTCTAGTAGGGGAGAGGCATTGATTAGAAGGGAATCATGAGGTATTTAGGATGATGGTAATGTTCTATTTTTTGATTCAGGACCTAGGCTGTAGGTGCCAGTTGCATGGGTGTGTTCAGTTTATGAAAATTCTTGGAGATTACACTCACATTCACTTTTCTGAATATAGTACTTCAATAAAAAGTTAATTGGTTTAAATATAAAATAAACATGCACATATATATAGGCATATATTGTATATGCATATATAAATATAGATTTATATATTATATTACTTCTGTTTATATTTATATATTTAAAATATATAAATATATTTAAAATATATATATTTATTTTAAATATATATTTTAAATATATATATTTATTTTAAATATATATTTTAAATATATAAATATATATATTTTAAATATATAAATATATATTTTAAATATATATAAATATGTATATATAAATATATATTTATATATTAATATATATATATACTATGTGTGCATGTTTACATTTAATTATATATAAATTATATATAAAATATATATATAAAATATCTGTCCCTTTTATGTAATTATTATAACACTATATACTCGTCTACTTTGCTTACTTTTCACTTAATGTATCTTGGATATCTTTCCATATGAATGCATAAAAAGCTCTCTTATCTTTTTTATTTTCTAGACGCTGATGGATATACCATAATTTATCCCCCATTGATAGGCATTTACTTTGTTTTCACACATATGCTATTACAGATAATGCTGCAATAGTTAATTTTTGCTTATGTTATTTCATACATATATATCTACGTATTCCAGAAGCCAAATTGCAGGATCAGAGTATGTTGGTTTGTAACTTTGGTTGATGTCATTGAATTGTTCTTCATTGAAGTTATACTAATTTTCTTTTCCTGTAGATGATGAAAATAGCTATTTCTCCACACACTTACTTTCCTTCCTTTTAAAGATGGATAGTACGTTGTTGGTCTGCTGATTCCTGAAGTGTTCGGTGCTTCTAAATTCATGTAAATGCTAAGATTCTTTTTATCACAAGCCTTCTAAATATTTTTTAATCACCACCTTAAACCTTTAGCTTTCATGATAGGTTTTACCAGTATACAGTTTTAAAAACATATATTATTAGTCATATATGGGAATTAATTAAATTATATATTTCTTCATATACATATAGTTCAATTCCCACAATTAATTGGCTAAAGATAGAAAGTTTAAGGGATATCGATGCTGAAATACATCAACTAAACAAGAAAGAAAATATTAGAATATTTACGCAAAGTAGGCTTAAAAAACAAGAATCACATCTATATGTTGATTTCATCTGTTCAAAATTCTATAAAATTACATCAATATTTGTTTTTCCGTGAGATAAGGGTTATTTATACCTGTATGTATTATTTTAGGAAATTGAACCTTGAAATTGCATATCTCTTCAATTAGACACGAGACAAGAAATGGAAAATAAACTACCTAAAAAACTACAAATTTAAGAATTTCAAACATTTCATATTGTAAACTTTTCTAATTTTTGGTCTAAAAGCACCTAATAAGTTTTAAAGACACAAATCCTGGGGAAGTGTCTATAATTGCATAATAATAACTGTACTGCATGGGAAAACTAATGTTTAGGGTACATTTGATACCTTCACCCCCAAAACTTTTAATACATGATGTATCTGATGATAGAGTCTATTATTATGAGGAGATAGAAAAATATACTTTTTGCAGCTAACTAGTAAAATCATGTTTCTCATTTAGCCATCTGTATTCAATCCTAAAATTGAACATGTCATATTTAAATTGATTGGCGAAATGATGTTTTTTTCTTTTGAATTATTAGCAAACATTACATGGAAATCAACCTTTTAATATGATATTTACTAATAACACTTTTCTCAAATATTTGTCAATTTAAAGTTACATTTGAATCTTACCATTTGGAAAAAAGGTGAAATTTTTAAAAAAAATTCTAAGAAGGTGAAGTTAATATATATTTCTTTGAAAGTGCTGAAAAGTAAAAACAAAACAAAACAGTTGGAGACACTGAGCTAGTACAATCTCCCACCTAATTCAAGAATATCTAATGAAGAGTTGACCAGTTCTTTTGAACATTCCCTGGCAAAAGGGAAATCACTACATTTTGAGCAAGCCCTTTCCATTGGTTACAGATTTCTTTTGTTAAAATTCTCTAACATTCTAAATTTTAGGAGGTTCTTCTGGTCTCAATATTACTGGCTTTTGTTGTATTAAGTCTAACTCTCCTACCTAGACAATTGAAACAAAGGGTCTACCCCTTTTAAGGCGGTATGAGGGATTTAAAAGATAAATACTTGGAAGATAGATATGTCATCTTTAGTCTTCTTTTACTTCAACTTGGTTTTTAGTCTCTGTGGTTGTCCTATATTCATCAATATCCCCGCCTCCAAATAGATTAGAAAATTTTGTGTGAAATCTGACAGATGAGAGGGATTGTGGCTATACCTGTCTTTGATCTGAATCTATTCACGCAATGGAAGACGGCCCTGCTAAACTATTCATTTAGGTTGGGCCTAAATTCTTTTCTTTTCTTTTCTTTTCTCTTTTCTTTTCTTTTCTTTCTTTCTTTCTTTTTTTTTCTTTCTTTCTTGTCTTTCCTTCTCTCTCTCTTTCTCTCTCTTTTTCTCTTTCTTTTCTTTTTTCTTTCTTTCTTTCTTTTCTCCGTTTCCTTCTCCTCCTTTTTTTCCTTCTTCTCCTCCTCCCCCTCCCTCTCACCCCCTTCCTCTTCTTTCTTCATCCTTTTCTCTTAATGAAGTGCCTTTAAAACAGGTTTTCCCTCTTGTACAATTGATTCTTTTAGACCCAGTGTTATTGTTTGAACCATGTTTCCCAAAAAGATGTTGAAGTCCTAACCCTCAATACCGATGACCGTGACCAACCATATTTTGAAATAGAATCTTTACAGCTGATCAAATTAGGATAAGGTTATTAGGATGGGACCTAATCCTGACAGTGTCTTTATAATGAGGGGAAATTTGTACATCATGACAAGCATGCATAGAGGGAAGATACTGTGAAGACATAGGGAGAACACTATCTGCAAGCTATTGAACAGACTAGACTACCAGAAGCTAAATGAGAAGAATGGAATGGATTCTCCCTCATAGTCATCAGAAGGAACCAACTCTGCTGGTGCTTTGATTTTGGACTTCTAGCTTCCAGACAATAGATTTCTGTTGTTTAAACCATTCTGTGTAGTTTTGTTATGGCAGCCCCAGGAATCTAATATACTCAGCTACAATTTAAAAATACTTTTTAGGATAATTATAAATTTATAGGATGTTGCGAGGATAATACAGAGAGGTCTCATGTATCCTTCATTCAGTTCCCGCCAGTGGTTATATCTTACAGAATTGTAATACAATATAAAAACCAGTAATATAGCATTCATCCAATATATATATATTGTTCTGTGTCATTTTATCACATGTGTAGATTCCTTTATCACCACCCCAGTCAAGATCCAGAACTATCCCACCACAAAAAAGATTTCATTTATACTCTTTACTTTCACACTCACCCCCTAACTCTCCCACCATCCTTAATCCCTATTAATCACTAATCTATTTCTACTCTATTACATTAATGGAATCATAAAGTATGTGATATTTTGAGATTGGCTTTGTTCACTCAGCATAATGACCTTGAGATTCATCCAAATTGTTGCTTAGAATTAGTATTTGGTTCTTTTTTTATTGCTAAATAGTATCCATTGTATAGTGTATCACAGTGTTTTAACCATTCACCTGTTGAGTACAGTTTATGCTCAACCTTCATTATCCCAGAGAAGTGCTTAGGTGTCCCAGATGATTGATTGGTCCATGAAATGCTCAGTGGTCTGGATACCATACTGTCTGAGGGAGAGGGATGCACAGCTGGGCAGAGCTGGACCAGTAAAGCTTGCACTCAGTTCCTTCAATGGTGGCTTCCAGCCCCAATGGGGATCAGAGGGCAGTCCCCAGGTCCCTGGAGAAATGCCCAGGTGAGGAGTGGTGCAATGCTGCTGCCCCAAGGTCCCAGCACAGGGATGGAGGGGTGGTCCCAGTGCCATGCCACAGCCAAGTGAGAGGGAATGTATTTTTTCATAGTTATTGTAACTGAAATTGCCTTTTTTTATTTGGTTCTCACCTTGATCATTATAAGGGTATAGAAGTGATACTGATTTTTGTACATTTCTTTTCTATCCTGAAATTTTACTGAATTCATTTATCAAATCTAAGCTTTTTTTTTATCGAATCTTGAGGGTTTTCTAGATATGAGGTCATATCATCAACAGAGATATATTGACTTTCTCTTTTCCAATTTGGATGCCTTTTATTTTCTTTACCTTGCTTAATTGCACTGGCTAAGACTTACAGTATTATGCTGAATATGAGTGGCGAAAGTGGGAATCCCTGTCTTGTTTCTAGTTCTTAAAGAGAATGCTTTCATATTTTCCTCATTCAGTATGATACTGGCTGTTGGTTTGGCATACATGGCTTTTATTATTTTGAGGTATATTCCTTCTATGCCTAATTGGTTGAGGCTTTTTATCATGAAGTGTGGATGAATTTTTTCAAATGCCTTTTCTGCATCTATTGAGGTGATCATGTTTTTTTCCTTAATTATGTTTATGTGATGAAGCCCATTAATTGGTTCACATATGGTAAATGATCCTTGTATATGTGGTATAAAACCCACTTGATGATGCTGTACTATCTTTTTGATGTGCTGTTTGATCTGGCTTGCTAGTACAGTGCCTAGGATTTTTGTATGTATGTTAATCAGGGATGTTTATCTGTAGTTTTCTCTTTTTCTTGTGTCCTTATATGTTTTTGGTATCAGCATGATACTGGCTTCATAGAATGAGTTAGGAAGAATTCTCACCTCCTCAATTATTGTAAACAGTTTATCTTTTCAAAAGCAGTATTTTGGCTGGGTGCAATCACGCACACCTGTAAACCTATCACTTTGGGAGGTCAAGACCAGAGGAGTTCAGGACCAGTCTGGGTAATATAGTAAGGTCCAATCTCTGAAAAACATTTTTTTTTAATTTTTTACAAATTTGTTGAGCATGGTGGTTTGTGCCTATAGTCCCAGGTACTCAGGAGGCTGAAGTGGGAAGATTGCTTGAGTCTAGGAGTTCAAGGACATAGTAAGCCATAACTGCACCACTGCACACAAGCCTGGGTGACAGAATGAGACCTGGTCTCCAAAAACAAAACAAAACAAAACAAAACAAAAAAGAAAAGCCCTTTTGTTTCATTGACCCTTCCTATTGTTTCTGTTTGTGTCTCTGTTTCTTTTAGTTCTGCTATAATCTTTCTTTTTTTCTTCTGCTAACTTTGGGCTTGGTTTGTTGTTTTATATATAATCAACACCTTGAGATGTGATGTTAGGCTATTAATTTGTGATCTTTCTTTTTTTATTATACAGGCATTTAACACTGTAAACTTTACTCTTAGCACTGCCTTTGCTATATCCCAGAGTTTTCATGTGTTTTGCTTCCATTTTCATTCACTTATAATTTCCATCTTCATTTCATCATTGACCCAAAGATTCATCAGGAGCACGTTGTTTAATTTCCATGTATTTGTATAGTTTACAAAGTTCCACCTGGTATTGATTTGTAGTTTTTTTTTTTTTTTTTTTCTTTTTGAGACGGAGTCTCGCTCTGTTGCCCAGGCCGGACTGCGGACTGCAGTGGCGCAATCTCGGCTCACTGCAAGCTCCGCTTCCCGGGTTCACGCCATTCTCCTGCCTCAGCCTCCCGAGTAGCTGGGACTACAGGCGCCCGCCTAATTTTTTGTATTTTTAGTAGAGACGGGGTTTCACCTTGTTAGCCAGGATGGTCTCGATCTCCTGACCTCATGATCCACCCGCCTCGGCCTCCCAAAGTGCTGGGATTACAGGCGTGAGCCACTGCGCCCGGCCGATTTGTAGTTTTATTCTGCTGTGATTTGAGAAGATACTTGATATGATTCCAATTTTTTAAAATTTATTGAGACTTGTACTGTGGCCTAACATATGGTCTATCTTGGAGAATGTTCGATGTGCTGATGAGAAGTATGTATATTCTGCAGTTGTTCAGTAGAATGTTCTGTATGTTTGGTGAGTCCGGTTGTTCTAGAGTATAGTTTAAGTCTAATGTTTCTTTGTTGATTTTCTGTCCAGATGATCTGTCTAGTGCTGTGAGTGGGGTGTTGAAATCTCCCACTATTATTGTATTGCTGTCCATATCTTTCCTTAGACCTAACAGTAATTATTTTATGAATTTGGTTGCTCAAGGATTGAGATATATATTTATATATGTATATATATGATTTATATCTATCTATCTACATGATTGTTACATTCTCTTCCTGAACTGATCACTTTATCACTATATACTGGCCTTCTTTGACTTGTTTTTTTTACTGTTTTTGATCTGATGTCTATTTTGTCTGATTTAAATATACTTATTCCTGCTTACTTTTGGTTTCTTTTGGTATGGAATATCTTTTTCCATCCCTTTACTTTCAGTCTATATTTGTCTTTATGGGTAAGGTGAGTTTCTTGTAAGCAGCATATAATTAAATCATGTTTTTAATCCATCCTGCCAATCTAAATCTTTTAAATGGAGTATTTATTCCATTTACACTCAAGGTTAATATTGATATGTGAGGTTTTGTTTCTGTCATATTGTTAACTGTTATCTAGTTCTTTTATAAATTCTTTGTTTCTATCTTTTTCTCTGTTTGTCTTTCTGGTTTGGTGGAGTTCTGTTGTGTTGCTATTTGATTCCTTTCTCCTGCTCCCTTGTGTGATTGTTTTATAAAGTCTGTGAGTTTTATACTTTCATTTCCATGTTTAGGACTCCTTTGAGCAATTCTTGTTTGGCTGGCTAGTGGTGACAAATTCCCTCAGTGTTTGCTTGCCTGTAAAAGGCTTTATTTCTTCTCCATTTATAAAGTTTATTCTGACAGGATATAAAATTCTTGGCTGACATTTTCTTTTAGCTCTTTGAAAATAGCATCTCATTCTCTTTTGGGTTTTAAGGTTTCTGCTGATAAGTCTATTAGTCTGATGGGGATTCCTTTATAGGTGACTAGATGCTTTTCTCTTTCTGATTTTATAATTATTTCTTTCATGGTGCCTTTTCACAGTCTGATTATATGGCATGAAGTCTGTTCTGCAATTGATTTTCTTGACAATCACTGGGGCTTTTGATATCTGAACGTCTAAATCTCTTGCTAGACTAGGGAAGTTTTGTCAATTATTCCCTTATATAGGTTTTCTCAACTTTTTACTTTTTCTTCTTCCTCAGGAATACAAGTGTGATTGATTTATGTGGTCTCATATATCTCAAAGGGCTTGTGCATTCTTTTTTGTCCTTTTTGTTTTTGTCTGGCTTAATGCAAAAGACTTGTGTTCAAGTTCTGAGATTCATTCTTCTGCTTAGTCCAGTCTACTTTTAATGCCTTCAAATTTATTCTGTATTTTCTTCAATGAATTTTTCATTTCCGGAAGTTCTGTTATTTTTTAAGATGTTTATCTTCTCAGTAAATTTCTTGTTTATATCCTGAATTGATTTTCTGATTTCATTGTGTTAGTTTTCAGAACTCTCTTGGATCTCATTGAGCTTCTTTAAAACCAATATTCTAAATGCTTTACCTGGCACTCTGATTTATTTTTGGTTTGGATTCATTAACAGAAAATTACTGTACTCATTTGGGGGTGTCATAATTCCTTGCCTTTTAATGCTTCCTGTACTATTTTGCTGATTTCTGTGCATCTGGAGATATAGTTGCCACTTCGTATTTTTACATTTACTTTTATTGGGGCAGGCCTTTTCTTTTTTTTAGAATGTAACTGTAGTATATGTTGGGTAGCGTCTTTTGGCTTTTCTTCTAGGTGTGTTCAGTGCTAAAGACAGTATTGTTTCCTTGGACATAAATAGTCTTAGTGCGGTGGCTTTCTCAAATGCCAGTTTTAGTAGCAGCAACCTCCTGAGTAGCCAGGGTGGTATAGGCAATGATTGTAAGAAGCTTATCTTGTTCCCAAGTGCTCTATAGTTGTGTAAGCAAATGCTGTAATGGACTGTGCACTCCACCCTCTAGGCCAGTAAGTAGGTGACACTTGCAGGTAAGACCCATCTGCAGTGGTAGCAGTTTACAATAATTGAGGAGGTGAGAATTCTTCCTAACTCATTCTATGAAGCCAGTATCATGCTGATACCAAAAACATATAAGGACACAAGAAAAAGAGAAAACTACAGATAAACATCCCTGATTAACATACATGCAAAAATCCTAGGCAGTGTACTAGCAAGCCAGATCAAACAGCACATCAAAAAGATAGTACAGCATCATCAAGTGGGTTTTATACCACATATACAAGGATGGTTTACCATATGTGAACCAATTAATGGGCTTCATCACATAAACATAATTAAGGAAAAAACATATGATCACCTCAATAGATGCAGAAAAGGCATTTGAAAAAATTCATCCACACTTCATGATAAAAAGCCTCAACCAATTAGGCATAGAAGGAACATACCTCAAAATAATAAAAGCCATGTGTGCCAAACCAATAGCCAATATCATACTGAATGAGGAAAATGTGAAAGCATTCCCTTTAAGAACTAGAAACAAGACAGGGATTCCCACTTTTCGCCACTCATATTCAGCATAATACTGTAAGTCTTAGCCAGTGCAATTAAGCAAAGTAAAGAAATAAAAGGCATCCAAATTGGAAAAGAGAAAGTCAATATATCTCTGTTGATAATATGACCTCATATCTAGAAAACCCTCAAGATTCGATAAAAAACGCTTAGATTTGATAAATGAATTCAGTAAAATTTCAGGATAGAAAAGAAATGTACAAAAATCAGTATGACTTCTATACCCTTATATGATCAAGGTGAGAACCAAATAAAAAAGGCAATTTCAGTTACAATAACTATGAAAAATACAAAATACCTAGGAATATATTTGACCAAAGAAGTGAAAGATCTCTACAAGGAAAACTACAACAGGCTGATGAAATAAATTTTTGATGACACAAACAAATGTAAAAACATCTCATGCCTATAGATCAGAAAGTTACTATAATTAAAATGACCATATTGCCTGATACAGTTTGGCTGTGTCCCCCACCCAAATCTCATCTTGAATTGTACTTCCCATAATTCCCACCAGTCACGGGAGGGACCCAGTGGGAGTTAATTTAATCATGGGGGCAGTTATCTTTATGCTGTTTTCCCGATAGTGAGTGAGTTCTCACAAGATTTGATGGTTTTATAAGGGGCTTTCCCACCTTTGCTCTGCACATTTTGCTGCTGCCATGTGAAGAAGCATGTGTTTGCGTCCCCTTTTGCGAATGATTGTGAGTTTCCTGAGGCCTCCCAAGCCCTGTGGAACTGTGAGTCAATTAAACCTCTTTCCTTCATCAATTAACCAGTCTCAGATATGTCCTTATAGCAGTGCAAGAATGGACTAATACAGTCAATTGGTACTGACAGAGTGAGGTGCTGCTGTAAAAATGTAGATGTGACATTGGAACTAGGTAATAGACAGAGGTTGGAACAGTTTGGAGGGCTCAGAAGAAGATGGGAAAGTTTGGTACTTCCTAGAGACCTGTTGGATGGCTTTGACCAAAATGCTGATAGTGATATGGACAATAAAGTCCAAGCTGAGATGGTCTCAGATGGAGATGAGGAACTTGTTGGGAACTGGAGTAAAGGTCACCCTTGCTATGCAAAGAGACTGGTGGCATTTTGCCCCTGCCCTAGAGATCTGTGGAACTTTGAACTTGAGAGAGATGATTTAGGATATCTGGTGGAAGAAATTTCTAAGCAGCAAAGTGTTCAAGAGGAAGCAGAGCATAAAAGTTTGAAAAACTTGCAGCCTGAAGATGTAGTAGAAAACAAAAACTGATTTTCTGAGGAGAAATTCAAGCTGGTAGCAGAAGTTGGCATAAGTAATGAGGAGCCCAATGCTAATCACCAACAAATGGGGAAAACGTCTCGAGGGCATGTCCGAGACTTCTGTGGCAGCCCCTCTCATCACAGGCTCAGAGGCCTAGGAGGGAAAATGGTTTCCTGGGCCGGGTCCAGCACCCCACTTCTGTGTGCAGTCTCGAGACTTGGTGCCCTGGATCCCAGCTGTTCCAGCCATGGCTAAAGGGGGCCAAGGTACAGCTCTGGCCATGGCTTCAGAGGGTGGAATCCCCAAGCCTTGGCAACTTCCACATGGTGTTGAACTTGTGGGTGCATAGGAGTCAAGAATTGAGGTTTGGGAACCTCTGCCTAGATTTCAGAAGATATATAGAAATGCCTGGATGTCCAGGTAGAAGTTTGGGATTATTTGTTTTCTTGTTACCGAGTAGTTGAGTTCCTTGTATGTTTTGGATATTGGCCCCTTATCTAACATATGATTTGCAAATATCTGTCAATGTATGGGTTGTCTCTTTACTGTTAGTTGTTTCCTCTGCTGTGCAGAAGCTTTTTAATTTGATGTGATCTCATTTGTCTATTTTTGCTTTCATTGCCTGTGCTTTTGGGGTCATATGCAAGAAATCTCTGCCCATTCCAACGTCATGGAGCTTTTCCCCTGTTTTTACTAGTTGTTTTATAGTTTCAAGTCCTAAATTTAAGAATTTAATTAATTTTGAGTTGATTCTTCTATAACTGGTGAAAAAGAGTCCATTTTTATTTTTCTGTATATTGATATCCAGTTCTCCTGATACCATTTAAAGAAGACTGTCCTTTCTACATCGTGCATCTTTTTTGGAAGTTAATTGAACATCGATATTTGGGTGTACTTTTGGGCTGTCTATCTTATTCTGTTGTTTGATGTATCTGTTATGAGTAACATGCTGTTTTAATTATTATAGTTTGTAATATATTTTAAAATTCAGTAATGTAATGCCTCCAGCTTTGCTCCTTTTCCTCAAGATTGCTTTGTCTATTCAGGGTCTTGTGGTTCCACATGACTTTTATGGTTGTTTTTTCTATCTCTGTGAAAAATAGTATTGGAATTTTGATAGGGGTTGCATTGAGTCTGTAAATTGCTTTATGTAGTATGGATATTTTGACAATATTAATTTTTCCAATCCATGAACACAGGACACTGTTCCATTTATTTTTGTCCTCTTCAATTTCTCTTACCAATGTTTTATAGTTTTCAGTGTACAGATTTTTTAAAACTTTTTTTTCCCATTAGTTATTGGGATACAAGTGGTATTTAGTTACATGAGTACATTCTTTAGTGGTGATTTGTGAGATTTTGGTGTACCCATAAGCAGAACAGTATACACTGCACCATACTTGCAGTCTTTTATCCCTCACCCCCTCCCACAATTGCCCCCAAGTCCCCAAAGTCCATTGTATCATTCTTATGCCTTTGCGTCCTCATAGCTTAGTTCCCACATATCAGTGAGAACATACGATGTTTGGTTTTTCATTTCTGAGTTACTTCACTTAGAATAACAGTTTCCGATCTCATCCAGGTCACTGCAAATGCTGTTAACTCATCCCTTTTCTTATGGCTGAGTAGTATTCATGTATATATATTTCACAATTTCTTTATCCACTCGTCGATTGATGGGCATTTGGATTGGTTCCACAATTTTTCAATTGTAAATCGTGCTGCTATAAACGTGCATGTGCAAGTATCTTTTTGTAATAATGACTTCTTTTCCTCTGGGTAGATACCCAGTAGTGGGATTGCTAGATCAAATGGTAGTTCTATTTTTAGTTCTTTAAGGAGTCTCCACACTGTTTTCCATAGTGGCTGTGTTAGTTTACATTCCTACCAGGAGCATAGAAGTGTTCCCAGATCACTGCATCCATGCCAACATCTACTGTTTTTTGATTTTTTGATTATGGCCATTCTTGCAGGAGTAAGGTGGTATCGCATTGTGGTTTTGCTTTGCATTTCCCTGATCATTAGTGATGTTGAGCATTGTTTCTTACGTTTGTTGGCCATTTGTATATCTTCTTTTGAGAATTATCTATTCGTGTTCTTAGCCCACTTTTTGATGGGATTGTTTGTTTTTTTCTTACTTGTTTTCTTACTGATTTGTTTGAGTTCGTTGTAGATTCAGGATATAGTCCTTTGTCAGATGTATAGATTGTGAAGATTTTCTCCCACTCTGTGGGTTGCCTGTTTACTCTGCTGACTGTTCCTTTTGCTATGCAAAAGCTCTTTAGTTTAGTTAGGTCCCAGCTATTTATCTTTGTTTTTATTGCATTTTTTGGGGGTTCTTGGTCATGAAATCCTTGCCTAAGACAATGTTTAGAAGGATTTTTCCAATGTTATCTTCTAGAATTTTTATAATTTCAGGTTTTAGGTTTAAGTCCTTAATCTGTCTTGAGTTGATTTTTGTATAAGGTGTGAGATGAGGATCCAATTTCATTCTCCTACATGTGGTTAGCCAATTATCCTAGCACCAATTGTTGAAAAGGGTATCCTTTCCCCATTTGTTTTTTGTTTTTTGTTTTTTTTTTTTTGAAGACGGAGTCTCGCTGTTGTCGCCTGGGCTGGAGTGCAATGGCGTGATCTCGGCTCACTGCAACCTCTGCCTCCTGTGTTCCAGCAATTCCCCTGCCTCAGCCTCCTGAGTAGCTGAGATTATAGGTGCCTGCTACCATGCCCGGCTAATTTTTGCATTTTTAGTAGAGATGGGGTTTCACCATGTTGGCCAGGCTGGTCTCAAACTCCTGACCTCAGGTGATCCACCCACCTCGACCACCCAAAGTGCTAGGATTACAGGCATGAAGCACTGTGACTGGCCCCTTTCCCCACTTTATGTTTTTGTTTGCTTTGTTGAATATCAGTTGGCTGTAAGTAGTTGGGTTTATTTCTGTGTTCTCTATTCTGTTCCATTGTTCTATGTGCCTATTTTTATACCAGTACCATGCTGTTTTGATGACTATGGACTTATAGTATAGGTTGAAATCAGATAATGTGATGCCTCCAGATTTGTTCTTTTTGCTTAGCCTCGCTTTGACTGTGTGGGCTCTTTTTTGGTTCCATATGAATTTTAGAATTGTTTTCTTTTCTTCTGTGAAGAATGATGGTGATATTTTGATGGAGAGTTCCTTGAATTTGTAGAGTGCTTTTGGCAGTATGGTCATTTTCACAATATTGATTCTACCCATCCATGAGCATGGGATGTGTTTCCATTTGTTTCTGTTGTCTATGATTTCTTTCAGCAGCATTTTATAGTTTTCCTTGTAGAGGTTGTTCAACTCCTTTGTTAGGTATATTCCTAAGTATTTTATTTTTTTTTTTGCTGCTATTGTAAAAGTGGTTGAATTCTTGATTTGGTTCTCTGCTTGGTCGCTGTTGGTGTACAGAAGAGCTACTGATTTGTGTACATTAATCTTGTATCTGGAAACTTTGCTGAATTATCAGTTCTAGGAGCTTTCTGGAGGAGTCCTTAGGGTTTTCAAGGTAAAGGATCATACTGTCAGCAAATGGTGACAGTCTGACTTTGTCTTTACCAATTTGGATGCCCTTCATTTCTTTATCTTTCCTGATTGTTCTGGGTAGGACTCCCAGTACTGTGTTGAAGAGGAGTGGTGAGTGTGGGCATCCTTGCCTTCTTCCAGTTCTCAGAGGGAATGCTTTCAACTTTTCCCCATTCAGTATTATGTTGCCTGTCAGTTTGTCATAGATGGCTTTTATTACATTAAGGTATGTCCCTTTTATGCCGATTTTACTGAGAGTTTTAATCATAAAGCATAATGGATTTTGTTGAATGCTTTTTCTACATCTATTGAGATGATCATGTGCTTTTTGTTTTTAATTCTGTTTATGTGGTGTATCACATTTATTGACTTGTGTACATCCCTGCGTCCCTGTTATGAAACCCACTTGGTCATGGTGGATTATCTTTTTGATATGTTGTTGGATTCAGTTAGAGAGTATTTTGTTAAGGATTTTAGCATCTATGTTCATCAAGGTTATTGGTCTGTAGTTTTCTTTTTTAGTTATCTGCTTCCCTGGTTTTGGTATTAGGGTGATGCTGGCTTCATAGAATGAATTAGGGAGGGTTCCTTCTTTCTCTATCTTGTGGAATAGTGTCAAAAGGATTGGTACCAATTCTTTGAATGTCTGGTAGAATTCTGATGTGAATCCGTCTGGTCCTGGACTTTTTTTTTGTTGGTAAGTTTTAAATTACCATTTCAATCTCACTGCTTGTTATTGGTCTGTTCAGGGTATCTAAGTCTTCCTGATTTAAGCTAGGAAGGTTGTATTTTTTTCCAGGAATTTATCCATCTCTTCTAGGCTTTCTAGTTTATGTGCATAAAGGTGTTCACAGTAGCCTTGAATGATCTTCTGTATTTCAGTGATGTCAGTTGTAATATCTCCTGTTTCATTTCTTAGTGAAGTTATTTGGATTTTCTCTCTTCTTGGTTACTCTTGCTAATAGTCTATCCATTTTATTTATCTTTTCAAAGAACCAGCTTTTTGTTTCATTTATTTTTTGTATTTTTGTTTGTTTGTTTCAATTTCCTTTAGTTCTGCTCTGATCTTGGTTATTTCCTTTCTTCTGTGGGGTTCGGGTTTGGTTTGTTCTTGTTTCTCTAGTTCCTTGTGGTGTGACCTTAGAATGTCAGTTTGTGTTCTTTCTGCCTTTTTGATGTAGGTGTTTAGGGCTATGAAATTTCCTCCTAGCATTGCCTTTGCTGTATTCCAGAGGTTTTGGTAGGTTGCGTCATTATTGTCATTCAGTTCGAAGAATTTTTAAATTTCCATCTTGATTTTGTTTTTAACCTAATGCTCATTCAGGAGCAAGTTATTTAATTTCCATGTATTTGCATGGGTTTTGAAGGTTCCTTTTGGAGTTGATTTCCAGTTTTATTCCACTGTGGTCTGGGAAAGTGCTTCATATAATTTCAATTTTCTTGAATTTATCGAGGCTCGTTTTATGGTCTATCACATGGTCTCTCTTGGAGAAAGTTCCATGTGCTGTTGAATAGAACGTATATTCTGTGGTTGTTGGATGAAATGGTCTGTATATATCTGTCAACGTTCATTTGGTCCAAGGTATAGTTTAAATCCATTGTTTCTTTGTTGACTTTCTGTCTTGATGTCCTGTCTAGTGCTGTCAGTGGAATAGTGAAGTTGCCCACTATTATTGTGTTGCTGTCTATCTCATTTCTTAGGTCTGTTAGTAATTGTTTCATAAATTTGGAATCTCCAGTGTTAGGTGCATATATGTTTAGGATTGTGATATTTTCCTGTTGGACAAAGCCTTTTACCATTATATAATGTCCTTCTTTGTCTCTTTCAACTGCTGTTGTTTTAAAGTTTGTTTTGTCTGATATAACAGTAGTTACGCCTGCTCACTTTTGGTATCCATTTTCATGAAATACCTTTTTCCACCCCTTTACTTTAAGTTTATGTGAGTTCTTATGTGTTAGGTGAGTGTCCTGAAGGGAGCAGATATTTGGTTGGTGAGTCCATCTGTTCTGTGGTTCTGTATCTTTTAAGTGGAATATTTAGGCCATTCATGTTCAATGTTACTATTGAAGTGTGAGGTACCATTGCATTCATTGTGCTCTTTGTTGCTTGTGTAATTAGGTTTTTTTGTTTATTGTTTTTGCTTCTTAACTTATATTTTTGTTTTATAAGTCCTGTGTGATTTATGCTTTAAAGAGGTTCTGTATCAATGTGTTTCCAGGATTTGTTTCAAGATTTAGAGCTTCTTTTAGTAGTTCTTGTTGTGGGTAGCTTGGTAATGGCAAGTTCTCTCAGCATTTGTTTGTCTGAAAATGACTGTATCTTTTGTTCATATATGATGCTTAGTTTCACTGGACAAAAACTTCTTGGCTGATAATTGCTTTGTCTGAGGAGGCTGAAGAAACCCTTCTAGCTTGTAGAGTTTCTGCTGGGTTATATGCTGTTAATCTGATAGGTTTTTCTTTATTGGTTACCTAGTGCTCCATCTCACAGCTCTTGAGATTTTTTCCTTTGTCTTAACTTTTGATAACCTGATGACAATGTGCCTAGGCAATGATCTTTTTGCAATGAATTTCCCAGGTGTTCTTTATGCTTCTTGTATTTGGATGTCTAGGTGTCTAACAAGGCTGGGGAAGTTCTCCTTGATTATTCCCCCAAATATCTTTTCCAAGCTTTTAGAATTCTCTTCTTCCTCAGGAACACTGATTAGTCTTAGGTTTGGTTGTTTTACGTAATTCCAGACTCCATGGAGGCTTTGCTCATATTTTCTTTTTTTTTTTCCTTAGTATTTGTTGGATTGGGTTAATTTCAAGACCTTGTCTTTGAGCTCTGAATTTCTTTCTTCTACTTGTTCAATTCTATTGCTGAGACTTTCCAGAGTATTTTGCATTTCTAAAAGTGTTTCCAAAGTTTCCTGAATTTTTGATTGTTTTTTCTTTAAGCTATCTATTTTGTTGAATATTTCTCCCTTCACCTCTGGTATCATTTTTTGATTTCCCTGCATTGAGCGTCACCTTTCTCTGGTGCCTCCCTGATTAGCTTAATAACTAATATCCTGAATTCTTTTTCAGGTAAGTCAGGGATTTCTTCTTGGTTTGAATCCATTGCTGGTGAACTAGTGTGATTTTTTGGGGGTGATAAAGAGCCTTGTTTTGTCATATTACCAGGGTTGGTTTTCTGGTTCCTTCTTATTTAGGTAGGCTGTCAGAGGGAAGGTCTAGGGCTGAATGCTGTTATTCAGATTCTTTTGTTCCACAGGGTGTTCCTTTGATGTAGTACTCTCCCCCTTTTCCTATGAATGTGGCTTCCTGTGAGCTGAACTGCTGTGATTGTTGTCTCTCTTCCAGGTCTAGCCACCCAGTGAGTCTACTCAGCTCTGGGCTGGTACTGGGTGTTGTCTGCAGAGAGTCCTGTGATGTGAACCGACTATGGGTCTCTCAGCTCCTGTTCTGGTGGAGGTGGTGGTAGGAAGATGCAGTGGACTCTGTGAGGGTTCTCAGCTTTGGTGGTTTAATGCTCTATTTTTGTGCTGGTTGGCCTCCTGCTGGGAGGTGGCACTTTCCAGAGGGCATCAGCTGTGGTAGTATGGAGAGGAACTGGCAGTGGGCAGGGCCATAGAACTCCCAAGATTATATGACCTTTGTCTTTAGCTACCAGGGTGGGTAGAGGAGGACCATCAGGTTGGGGCAGGGCTAGGTGTGTCTGAGTTCAGACTCTCTATGGGCAGGTCTTGCTGTGGCTGCTGTAGGGGATGGGGGTGGGATTCCCAGGTCACTAGAGTTGTGTGCCTAGGAAGATTATGGCTACCTCTGCTGAGTCACGCATGTTGTCAGGGAAGTGGGGGAAAGCTGGCAGTCACAGGCCTCACCCAGCTGCCATGCAAACTGAAGGGCCAGTCTTACTTCCACCATGGCCCCCAAAACTGTTGTGCCCGAGCGAGTTAGAAAAATGCCACACTTTGAGATGAATTAAGAGTCCTTTATTAGCCGGCGACCGAGAGATGGCTAACGCTCAAAATTCTCTCGGCCCCGAGGAAGGGGCTTAACTTTTATATCTTGGTTTAAGAAGGGGAGGGGGGGGTCTAGTTAAAACAATTTTACAGAAGTTAAGTACTCAAAAAAGTTAAAAGGACAAATGGTTACAGGAAAGTAAACAATTCCAGGTGCAGGGGCTTTAAGACTATTACAAGGTGATAGATGGGGGGCTTTGGCCGTTATCAGTCAGATGAATTCTTGGTCACTGCGGATATAGCTTGCCACAGTATCTTATCAGTTAATTGCATTCTTGGATGTTCTGGGAGTCAGCTTGCACAAGTTAAGTCCTTGAGGAAGGCACTGCCAGTGAAAGTGCCAAGATGGAGTTTGTCTGGTTCTCTTAGCTAAGGGAGAAACAAGGCCAGGTGAATAAGGAAAAAACAAGGTTGGGCATTACAAAACAGCTCTGAGTATGTTTCCAGGCTGTGGGCAAGATGGGCTTGAAAACTTGCCCCAGGCTACCTGCCTCCCAGCTGAGAAAGAAAAGAGCTTGGTTCTTATCAGCCTGTGGAGTCTGCACACTGGATTTGCACCCTCCCTTGAGGTCTGGCCAGGAGGCTTCTCGCCCCATTCAAATTGTTACAAATTTCAACAAGAGATGTCCTTCTCCCTGTGTAGTTTTACCCCCTGCTCCTCTGGCTGTCCTCCTGATGGATCCTTGTGGTGCCAGGTAGGAATGGGCTGCTTGGGGACCCAGTGTGCTCCCAGAGCCTTTCTGCTGCGTCCTCTACCCCTGTATTTGCTCAGCTCTCTAAATTGACTAAGCTCCAGATAAGATTGGAAACTTCTCCCGCAAACAGACCTGCTGTTTCTCCAGTGCAGGTGTGTGTTTGGGAGAGGAGGGTCTCCCTTTCCCACTTCTGCAGTTGGGGCACTCACAGTATTTGGTGTGCCTCCCAGGTTCTGCAGGAGCAGTCTGCTTCCTTCAGAGGTTCTGTGGGTCCTCTCGGGATTGGTAGTTTGTTCTTGCAGTTGATCTGGAGCTTAAATTCACAATGTGAGCCTACATGCTGCTCTGTCCAGAGCTGCAATCTAGTCCTGCTTCCTGTCCACCATGATGATCCTTCAGTGTACAGACCTTTGACCCCTGATAAAATTTACTCCTCTGTACTTTTTGGATATGATTGTAAGTGGGACTGCTTTCTTAATTTCTTTTTCAAACAGCACATTGTTAATGTACAGACATACTTCTGATTTTTGTAAATTGATTTTTTATCTTGCAACTTTACTGAATTTATTTATCACTTCTAACAGTTCTTTGGTGGAGTCTTTATAGTTTTTTTTTTATATATAGGATCATGTTGTCAGCAAGCAGAGACAGTTTCACTTTTTCCTTTCCTAATTGAATGCCTTTTATTTATTTTTCTTGCCTAATTGCTCTGGTAGGACTTCCAATATTATGTTGCACAGAGGTGGTAAGAGTGTGCATCCTTGTATTATTCCTTATCCTAGAGGAAAAGTCATCATGTTTTCACCATTGAATATGTTGAAGTCATCATGTTTTCACCGTTGAATATGTTAGGTGTGTGCTTCTCATATATGGACTTTGTTGTGTTGAGGAACATTCCTTCTATACCTAATTTGTTGAGAGTTTTTGTTGTGAGAGGAGGTTTAATTTTGTCAAATGCTTTTGTGCACCTATTGAGATGATCATATGTTTTTTGTCCTTCATTCTGCCAATATAGTGAATCACATTTATTGATTTGTGAATGTTGATCATCTTCACATCCCAGAGATAAGTCCCATTTGATCATGGTGAATGATCCTTTAATGTACAGTTGAATAGAGTTTGATAGTATTTTGGTGATAATTTTTGCATCTATGTTCATCAGTGATGTTGGCCTGTACTTTTCTGATAGTGACTTTGGCTTTGGTATCAGGGTAATGCTGGCCTTGTAAAATGAGTTTGGAAGTATTCTCTTTTCTTCAATTTTTTGTTAGAGTTTGAGAAGGATTGATATTAGTTCTTTAAATGTTTGGTAGCATTCAACCATGAAGCCATTTGGGTCTGGGCTTTTCCTTGATGGGACATTTTTGACTACTAATTCAATCTCTTTGCTCATTATTGGTCTGTTCAGATTTCTGATTTCTTTATGATTCTGTCTTGCTAGGTGATATGGTTTGGTTGTGTCCCCACCCAAATCTCATCTTGAATTGTAACTCCCACAATTCGCATATGTTGTGGGAGGAACCTGGTGGGAGGAGATTGAATTATGGGGGCAGGTCTTTTCTGCACTGTTCTCATGATAGTGAATAAGTCTCATGAGATCTAATGGTTTTTAAAAGGGGAGTTCCCCTGCACAAGCTCTCTCTCTCTTTGCCTGCTGCCATCCATGTAAGACGGGACTTGCTCCTTGCCTTCTGCCATGATTGTGAGGCCTCCTCAGCCACGTGGAACTGTAAGTCCATTAAACTTCTCTTTCTTTTGTAAATTGCCCAGTCTCGGGTATGTCTTTTATCAGCAGCGTGAAAACGGACTAATACAGTAGGCTATTTGTTTCAAGGAATTTATTAATTTTTTGTATGTTGTCGAATTTGTTTGTATATGATTGTTTATATTAGTCTCTTATGATGCTTTCTGTTTTTGTGTAATAAGTTGCAATGTCTCCTCTTTCATTTTTGAAATGAGTTTTGGTTGAGTCTTCTCCCTTTTTTTCTTAGTCTAGCTAATGGTTTGTCAATTTTGTTTACCTTTTCAGAAAAAAACCTCTTAGTTTCATTCATCTTTTGTATAACTTTTCTAGTCTCGATTTTATTTACTTTTGCCCTGATCTTTCTTATTTTTTTCTTCTTCTAACTTTGGGCTTAGTTTGTTATTCTTTTACTAGTTCTTGGGGTGGAATATTAGTTTGTTTATTTGCAGTTTTCCATTTTTTTGAGGTAGGGATTTACTGCTATGAAATTCGCTCTTAGAACTGCTTTTGCTACCACCATAAATTTTGGCATGTTGTGTTTCCATTTTTGACTTAGTGTTTCCATTTTAAAATTTCCCTTTTAATTTCTTTGACCAAATAGTTGTTCAGGAGCATATTGTTTACTTTCCATACAGCTGGCAATTTTCCTGATTTCTCCTGTTATTTACTTCTAGTTTTATGCCATTTTGGTTGGAAAAAATACTTGATATGATTTTGATACTTTTAAATTTGTTAAGTTTTCTTTGTGGCTTAACACATGATATATCTGGGAGAATATTCTGCATCCACTTGAGAAGAATGTGTATTCCATTGCTGTTGGGTGGCATGTCAAGTACATGTCTATTATGCCCATTTGGTCTAAAGTATAGTTCAAATCCAGTGTTTCCTTATTGATTTTATTTCTGGGTGATCTGTCTTTTGTTGTAAGTGGGGTATTGAAATATCCTATTATTGTGTTGCAGTGTGTTTCCTTTCAGATCTCTTAATGTTTGCTTTATTTCTCCATCTTTTTTTATTTTTTGGCAGGATTTTGCCCTGTTGCCCAGACTGGAATGCAGTGGCACAATCACAGCTCACTGCAGCCCTGACCTCCCAGGCCCAAGCAAACAGCTGGGACCACAGGTGTACACTACCATACCTGGCTAATTTTTAAATTTTTTGTAGAGTTGGGCTCTCCCTATGTTGCCCATCCTGGTCTTGAACTCCTGGGCTCAAGTAATCCTCCTGCCTTGGCCTCCAAAAGTGCTGGGATTATAGTCATGAGCCACCATGCCCGGCCTGCCTTATATATTTAGATGCTCTGCTATTGGGTGCACACACACACACACATTTATGTATATATTTACATATATATATTTACAATTGTTTGCTCCTTTTAATGAATTAAACCCTTTACCACAGTATAATGACCTTGTCTCTTTTTACAGTTTTGACTTAAAGTCTATTTTTTTCTGAAATAAGTATACCTACCCCTGCTGTCTTTTGTTTTCTATTTGAATGAAATATATTTTTCCCTCTCTTCATTTTCATTCTATGAGTATCCTTTAAGATGATGTGAATTGTAGACGGCATACAGTTGGGTCTTATTTTTTTAGTGCAGACATTTGCTCTGTGCATTTTGATTGAAAAATTTAGTCCATTTACATTCAAAGTAATTATCGGTAGGTGAAGACTTACTAGTGCCATTTTGTTAATCATTTTCTGGTTGTTTTGTAAATCCTTTGTTTCTGCTTTTCTCTGTTGCTTTCTTCCTTTGTGGCCTGATGGCTTTCTGCTGTAGTATGCTTTGGATCTTTTCTTTTTATCTTTTGTATATCAAATATAGGCTTTTGCTTTGTGATTATCCTGAGGCTTACATAAATCATCTTATAATGTGGTATTTATCTTGGAAACAACTAAATTTTGATCACATATAAAACTTTAAACTTTTACTCCCCTTCCTCTCACATTTTATGTTTTTGATGTCTCACTTTCATCTTTTTATAATTTGTATTCCTCAACAAATTACTGCAGCTTTAGTTGTTTTTAATAGCTTTGTCTTTTAACCTTTATACTAGAGATATAATGGATTTACCCACTGCCATAACAGTGGCAGTGTTTTGGTTTTGACAGTGTAGTTGTTTTTATTACCGGGTTTTATACTTTCATATGTTTTCGTATTACTAACTAGTGTCCTCTTCAGCTTGAAGAACTCCCTTGACATTTTAACACAAGTCTAGTGGTGATAAACTCTCTCATCTTTTTTTGTCTGAGAAAGTATTTATCACCTCTTCATTTTGAAAAATAGGATTGCTTGGTATAATATACTTGACTGGCAGTGTTTTTTCTTTCTGGATTTTGCATCTATCATTCTATACTCTTCTGGCCTGCAAGGTTTCTGCTGAGAAATCCATTGATAGTTGCATGGTGGTTCCCTTATAAATGATGTTCACTTTTCCCTTGCTGCTTTTAACACTGCATTTGCTTTTAGCTTTCAACAATTTGATTACGATATAGCTTGGTGTGGGTCTCTTTTGATTCATCTTATTTGGTGTATTTTGTGCTTCCTGGATCTGGCTTTCTCTTTTCTTCTCCAGTCTTGGGAATTTTTCTGCTACGATTTCTTTGAATATGTTTTCGGTTTCTTTCCTTCTCTAGTCTCCTTCTTGTACACTGATAATATGTAACCTATCTTTTTTTTTTTTTTTTTTTTTTTTTTGGGACAGAGTCCTGCTCTGTAGCCCAGGCTGGAATGCAATGGTGTGATCTCGCTCCGTCTCCCGGATTCAAGCAATTCTCCTGTCTCAGCCTCCCGAGTAGCTGGGATTACAGGCGCCTACCACAGTGCCTGGATAATTTTGTATTTTAGTAGAGATGGGGTTGCATCATGTTGTAGCTGGTCTCAAACTCCTGACCTCAGGTGATCTGCCCACTTCGACTTCCCAAAGTGCTGGGATTACAGGCATAAGCCACTGCGCCTGACCTTATGTAACCTATCTTTACTCTTTTTCATTATTTTTTCTTTTTGTTCCTGAGAGTGAATGATTTCTGGTGATCTGTCTTCAAGTTCATTGATCTTTCCTTCTGCTTGATTAGTCTGCTACTCAACCCCTCTGCTGAATTTTTTAGTTAGGGTTCAGTTATAGTATTCTTCAGTCTATAACTTTTGTTCGGTACTTTTTATTACTTTCTATCTTTTTTTATCAATGCTCTCATTTTGTTTTTGTGTTGCTCTCCTGACTTCATTGAGGATCTGTAATACCATTAGTTTGAATTCCCTGTCAGATAAACTACATATCTCCAATTCATTCAGATTGGTTTATGTAGATTTACCTTGTTCCTTTATTTGGGAACAAGATAAATCTTGATCTTAATTTCCCTTGACTCTCTGTTATGATTTCTTTCTTTTTTTTGTTTTTGAGACAGTGGCTCTCTCTATCACCCAGGCTGGAGTGCAGTGGCGCTATGTCAGCTCACTGCAACTTCCGTCCCCCAGGCTCAAGCAGTTCTCTCACCTCAGCCTCCTGAGTAGCTGGGATTACAGGCATGTGCCACCATACCCAGCTGATTTTCATATTTTTAGTAGTAATGGGGTCTCACCATTTTGGCCAGGCTGGTCTTGAACTCCTGACCTCAAGTGATCCACCTGCCTTGGCCTCCCGAATTTCTGGGATTATAGGCATGAGCCACTGTGCCTGGCCCTCTGTTATGATTTCTAATTAAAAAGAAATACATGTATCAAATAGGCATGGTAAGACATCCAAACATTATAAAAAGGCATGTGGATGAAAAATGGACCTTCCTGATACTGCAGATCTCTAGTCCGTCTCTCCTAATGAAACAAACAAACAAAAAACAACAGATATTTTATGTACCATTGGGCTAGGTGATGGAAATACAAGAATAACAAAATGCATGTGGTCTCTGCCCTGAAATGTTTTTAGTGTTCTAAAGAAGATAGACACCACAATATGCAGTTACAGCGTCATTAATTTTAGAATAGGGAAGTCCAGGTTCTGATAGGGAATTCCAGGTTACACTCATAATAATAGGCGAGAGAAGTATGTATGTTAATTTAATGAAAGTGAGGTCTGTAGAGGTTAGGTAAATTGCCAGAAGTCACAGTTTTGTAAATTATGGAGATAGGATTTCTGAACACATCTGTTTGAATCAAAGTTCATATTATTTCTGGGAACTACTTGATTTATCAGTAGAGTGCTTCAGTTTCGGTTTTACTTTCTGTAATGTCTGAGGAGAGAAACTTAGTGACAAGAGGGAATTTCCCAGCTACAAAAAGACATAATTGGAAAAATATTTATTATTAATAGACACTACTTAGGAAATTCCATTTTCCTTTTATATTTTACTTGGCAGGTTTCCAAGAATGTGGAAGAACATGTAACTAGTATTTCGCTTGCATTTAAACATTTTCGCCTTTGAATTCAGCGGGATATTTTGCTTTTTAATTTTTTTTCAGAATTCAAAATTGTATTTTTCACCTGTCACTCCTGGGTCATAAACAAAATATACTAAGGTATATTAACTTTTTAGCTGGGCGCGGTGGCTCACGCCTGTAATCCCAGCACTTTGGGAGGCTGAGGCGGGCAGATCACAAGGTCAGGAGATCGAGACCATCCTGGCTAACACGGTGAGACCCCGTCTCTACTAAAAATACAAAAAAATCAGCCGGGCGTGGTGGCGGGCGCCTGTAGTCCCAGTTGCTCCGGAGGCTGAGGCAGGAGAATGGCGTGAACCCGGGAGGCGGAGCTTGCAGTGAGCCGAGATCGCGCCACTGCACTCCAGCGCGCCACAGCACTCCAGCCTGGGCGACAGAGCGAGACTCCGTCTCAAAAAAAAAAAAAAAAAAAGGCAACACACACACACACACACACACACACACACACACTTCTTAAGAAGTGACTGTGAAAGGAGGTTATAAGTTCAGTAACCTTTTTAACATCCTGTTTTGGGCAGATACAGTTGTAGAAGAAGGCGGAGCTGTTCTTATTGTAGTAGCCTGTGTAATCTAGGTCATCACAGGGCGGGCTGGTGCAATTCTCTGGAAGGGGGAACTATGACTGCATCAGGGATCCAACGTCAGCAGCTGAACATGACAAAACTGTGGAGTTTATTGGGACATAAAGAGCACTCAGGAACCTTCTTTGGCTCAATTTTAATAGTTGTCAAACAGAATAGAAATGTCTGCCCTTCCAGGGCAGCCATTTTTGTACAACTCCAGTGGGGATGTTGTTCACAGTGGGGAGGTATCATTCACATGGAATACATGATCATTGGGGCCCCTGAAGTTGTGCAATGTGGAGGTACTATGGTCTATTTATCTTCCAAGATTGTTCTGAGAGGCTCAAGTTACACAATGAATATATAAGGACTTTATAAGCCTGTCAATATTCGTAAATAATGACAATAATAAGTGTTGTTTTCTGGCCAATTCTGCCCTTTGAGCAAAGCTTTCTTATCTAGTTTGCACTACTGGCTAAGACTTGGCTTAGCACTCACAGTGAAGCTGTGGAGTTCTCTTTCTGAATATATACATTTTCACAGAACACAAACTTCACACATGATCTCTTTGTGACTATAATGGAGCAAGATGGAAATTAGACTACTTCATGATCATTTCAGAACAGAGAAAAATAAGAACACTGTCCAATCCATGAAAATGAGTGAACATTCCCCTTTCCTGGCTAATAATGAATAACTGCTGATTCTTTCCAATTATAGCATTAGCTTACTTCATTCCTTTCAATGTTTAGATAAGAATAATTAAGATACCTAATCAGGGAATTCCCCCTGTTTCTGTACAACATCCAGTCCAGGGAAGATCCCCATTTTCTTGAAAGCTCCCCCGAATCACCTACCACAAACTCAAATCCTGTAAGTTTTTTCTAACACCTTCTTACTGATATGCTCAAGGGTCTCCCATGGTATTTGTTTCTCCCCCTTGCAATGAATTAATAAACCCAGTTTTATAGAACTGCAGATGTGTTGCTGGTGGTCTTTGACTAGAGGACATTGACAAATTCATACAGTAGTTATTACTCAGCCAGGAGCCCTCTCTCTATCTCAGTCAGAGAGGTGGCTCCTCTGACTTCTCTAAGGATTTTGTCTATGGCATTGGTGCTGTTTCAGAGCCCATAGCTGGACATGTAAACATCAGAACCAAATAACATAAATTTCCAGTTTTATTTATTTTAATATGTTTTAGAGACGGTGTCTCACTCTGTCACTCAGGTTGGAGTGCAGTGGCTCAGACATGGCCCACTGCAGCCTGGACCGCTCAAGGCTCAGGTAATCCTCCCACCGCAGCACCCCAAATAGCTGGGACTACAGGCATGCACCACCACATCTGGCCAATTTTTGTATTTTTTATAGAGACAAGTTTTCACCATATCACCCAGGCTGGTCTTAAACTCCTGAGCTCAGGCAATCCGCCCACCTCGGCCTCCTAAATTGCTGGGTTTTACAGGTATGAGCCACCTTGCCAGGTTTGCAGTTTTCTTTAGATTTGCTTTGTGATAAGGTGGTAAACTTGTTAGAATAAAGGGATTATGTAAATTTCTATTTAGTGAGTAATCAAATGGTACACACATCTAAATTAAATGTCTAAGATAGCTTAGTTATTAAGCAGCTTACATGGAAGACAGCAGAGTATACATATGTATATCTACACAAATATTTAACAGAAACACTGTAAAGAGATTCAGTAATATTCATGCTAAAATGAGAAGAAGACTAGGGAGGTAGTGAATGAAGAATCAAATCAGTAGTATTTTGTAGGGAATAAATTATCGAGGAAAATTTATGGAAAGAGAAGATCTGAAGGTGCAGTTTAAACGAGATGACTATTTTTGCTACCACAGACAACAAAAAGTTTTTCCAGAGTCTGGATGGTACATTTTTAATGTATGGTCATGGTTAATCATGTGTGCATCCTCTTATACTCTGGGGCAATAAAATGTTTTAATAGGTGAGTACCATAATATGAATTAGTAATTTTGTATTCATAACTTGTAGGCAGATGTGCAAAGGCTCTAAAAATCTGCATAATGTATGCCTAACCTAAATCACACATATAAAAACATGTTAACAGGATTGTGCTTGGTTTTAAGTTCAGTTTCTATTTTAGTATTCACATTGCTCATCCTTGCTGAAACTCACTTTTCTCATTTATAAGAGTTATAGGAGGAGTGAATACGATAATGCATGTGGAACTGCTTCATGAACTGTGGTACATTAATTAATTTTAGTTTTGGATCCTGGCTCTGCTCTAAGGTTTTCTCTTTTCCAGCTTAGTGTTGTTTTGAGGGTGAACACTGTGCTAGGCATATGCAGAAAAAGTAGCAATTATTCTACCTTTAGATGTTTTGCTATTAACATAGTTTCTAAAATTACTCATCTGTGGGGTGTTCAATAAATATTTCTCTACTGACTAACATATGACAGGCAGATCAGTTAATTGGATGTAATACTTTCATTCATACAGTGTAGCATGTGATCTTATACATGGAAATTGGCAAAATGTGCCAGAGTTACCAAACTGGCTTTCAGGATCTAGTTGTGACAGTCAGTTTTGGTTTATTATCTCTCCTGTATTTGCTGTGACTTGTACCTGTTTATATAATCTCATGTATAACATCAAATCTCTTAGCAAGAATTTAACACTGACTTTGAATGCAGTTAAATCTCAACCTGATTAAGGATTGTTTTCTAATACAACTCTTTCCCTAAACCTCAAAACATTTAGAGAATTCTAAGGGTCTTCTTTTGCCTCAGTTACCACTCATAGCACTAATGCAATGGGTTGGCTGCTTTGGCATTATGGGATGCTTGTTTTGACTATTGAGGTTTTGAATATTACAAATATAGTGAAACAATAGTGAAGCACAGATTGCCCAGAAAGGGTAAAGTTTCAACATCTTCCCACAAAAACAATGATTGAGTCTTTTCATTAGTTAGCTCCTAAAAAATCAGCATAAAACTAGATAATAATAGGATACCTGCTGATCTGTGAGATAAAAACATTCTTTTAAATTGCATGCCAATTTGAAAAGATAAATATTGATGCCAATGTACTGGTGATGAAGTGGGGGCCTGGGGTGTGGGGATGAGACCAGCTGGCAGACATTGGCTAAGCCAGACCCTGGGCTGAGTTGGATTGCATAGGCCTTGTGACTCTATTATTAAACACAGATCCTGAGGGTGAATGACAGCATCTGTGAGATTTTTGAGTCAGTTCTGAAGTAGGTTCTCAGCCAAGTTAGGCAGACATAGAAAAGTAATTATAAAATGCCTAGGCACCAGCCCCACCTAGAGTTGATGCTTAGAATGAGGTAGATAGTAGCAGAAGGAGCAGTTTTTTAAGCCAGTGAGCTTTACAGTGGGGGAAGGGGCAGAATGGGGAAGTCCTTTATTCTGAGCTCTTAAGCATGCCAGGAGCAGATGCCTGATTTTACTGTGTGGCACTTTGTGGCCCAGAAACTTTCCAGATTCTGTATTTTCCTATCTGGTTAAATGTAACTGTATTTACCTGTGTTTCAAAGCCTGAATGCTTTATTTATTCTCTACTTAATTTTCTTTTCCAGTTTTTCCTAACAAGCTTCCCTAGATTTACTTGTTCTCACTTCCTAGACGCTATTTGTATTCTTCCTTCTTCTCTAGTTCATTGGAAATTTCTGCTTCTTTGAGACTGAGGTTATATTCCACTTCTTCTGACTACACCACCACCATCAATCTCCTTCTCTGAACTCTTGGATCATTACTTCAACCTGAAACAACTCATCAGGTATCTATAAAGGTGGTTATTTGAGTTCCTGTTTTTAGGATTCCAAAATGATGCCAAGATATGTAAAATGAAATGTTAATTGCATTTTTTTTGAGGGGGTTAGAACTATGTAAGTCCCAAAAGAGACAAAGAGTTTAGCTCAAAGCTATCAGATGTTGGAATCAGAAGTTTGGCTTAGGTTAATAAAATGTTTTGCTGTTTAATTTACAAAATTTTTCAAGATCAGGTCCCTGGAGGGAAAATAGCAAAAGGAATTCCTGATAGAGAAAAGTTGCAAACCACTAATTGTGTATAGATTTGGTATTTTGTTATGTGTAGTAAAGTGGTTGAGAGTATGATCTTTGAAGTCAGGCAGACCTGGGTTTGCCACTTTCTATCTGTATAACTCTGTACTTTGCATTATCTTTGGGAGTCTTGGTTTCTCACCTAGAAAGTGAGTCAAGGCAAATAATTTACTCAGCACAATGCCTGCCATATAGTAAATGTTCAGTGTTATCATTATTGTTGTTGCATCTTATTTGCTCTTTTTTGTGGTTTATGTCCTGTGTTAGGCAGAATAGTTGCCTACTGCCCCAACCCCACCAAATGTTCCAGCACCTCTGATATTACCTCACATGGCAAGAGGGCTTTGAAGATGTGATTGAGTCAAGGATCTTGAATGGGGAGATTATCCTGAATTATTCAGCTGGACCCAGTGTAATCACAAAGGTTTTTCAAAGATGGAAGAGAGGCAGAAGAGCCAGAAAAGGATATGTGACAATGGAGTCAGTGTCAGAGTTGGAGTGACGTGATGTGAGAAGGATTCAACCTGCTGTTTCTGGCTTTGAGGATGAAAGAAGGGGCCATGAGCCAAGCAATACAGGTGGCTTCTTTCAAGAAGTTGGAAAAGGTAAGGAAATGGGTTCTCACCTAGAACTGCTGGAAAGCAACCCAGCCCTACTGACACCATGATTTTAGCTCAGTGAGACTCTGTCCAGATT
The DNA here is from genome assembly GCF_000001405.40 of Homo sapiens. Taxonomy (NCBI): domain Eukaryota; kingdom Metazoa; phylum Chordata; class Mammalia; order Primates; family Hominidae; genus Homo; species Homo sapiens. The sequence goes on along the minus strand of NC_000008.11, from coordinate 89,724,537 downwards.
TCTGACCTCTAGAACTATAAGATAATAAATTTGCATTGTTTTAAGCCACTAAGTTTGTGGTAATTTGATAAAGCATCAACAAAAAATGAACACTTCTTCCCAGCAGGACTCCTTTTGAAGACCAGTTCTGTATACATCATCGTATCCAGTGTAAGTACTGGATGTAAATATGGATCAATAATTTGGAATTTACTGAGGTTTCCAGTGGTGAGGCACAATAACTTGTAATTTGCAATTTTTTGTAGTGGAGAAGAGATAACCATGAGTCAGCTCTCTTTCTGCATACACATTTCCATTGCAGCACAAGTTAAAGATACTGGAGAAATTCCCCATCTCACTACCAAGGACAGACCTAACTGACAATAAATTCATCTATAGCCCAGTCAGGGTTTTCCCCTCATTGTCCCTGCCTTCCACAATTGCAGCTAGTTTTCAAAAAGATACATAAAAATAGCTACCATGAATTTAGCACATGGTATGTGCCAGGAGTTATGCTAAATGCTCTGCGTATGTTATCTTACTTAATCCTCCAAAATTTTCCATGGTGGTAAAAATAAATGTTTCTTGTTTTCAAACTTCAGGTCATGACTCTCAGTGGATTTTGAAATCAATTTTGTAGGGAGTGATCAGTAGTTATTAAACAATAAAATAGAATATGAAATATCATTGCATTTCAGGAAGTAAGAGTAGGCATAGCTTCATCAAATTTTGGTTTCAATTATATATATATCTTATCATGTCTATAAAATAAACACATATGTGTATGTACTGGGTTGTGTTACAGAACATATTTCTTACAATGAGTCCTAGTAAAAATTACTTTTTTTTTTTTTTGAGACGGAGTTTTGCTCTTGTTGCCCAGGCTGGAGTGCATTGTGCGATCTCGGCTCACTGCAGCCTCCACCTCCCAGGTTCAAGCGATTCTCCTGCCTCAGCCTCCTGAGTAGCTGGAATTACAGACATGTGCCACCACGCCTAGATAATTTTTTTTTTTTTTTTTTTTGTAGAGACGGGATTTCTCCATGTTGGTCAGGCTGGTCTCGAACTCCTGACCTCAGGTGATCTGCCCACCCCAGCCTCCCAAAGTGCTGGGATTACATGTGTGAGCCACCACACCCAGCCCTTAAAAAATTACTTCTTGGAGTGGGTTGTATTTAAATTTTTTAAAAACCACCAATGAAGTGGTTAAGAATATAGGCTTTAGCAACAGGGCTACCTGAGTTTATTCTCAGTTCTTTATTTTACCAGCTCTGTGATCTTGAGTATATTACTTACTGTTTTTACCTCAGTTACCTCATTTATAGGATCCTATCTCATAGGGACTTTTGAGGAGTAAATGAATTCATTCAAGTTAAGCACTTTGAACAGTGCCTTAGTAATTAACAATTAGCTAATGTTACTTTCCCAATGTTATGTGGGTTAGTAAGTGGTAAAACCTACCAGATTCCCATTCTGTCTGACAAAGTCTAGTCTCTTAGCTACTGTGTGTCGCTGCCTGAGTGTGAAATCTAAAGCAATTTTACAGTAATTTATGTGGCCCCTCAAAACAAACAAATCAACAAAATTAAAAAGTCTCCCTTTATAATAAATGGTACCAGTACATGAAAATACTGGGGATGCCTTTTTCTCAGGGACTTGGCTGATTTGGCATAACCTTATCTCTGAGGGAAAACAAGTTTTGTGACTTGTTCCACTCTGAATTTCAAGAGAGGAATATGTGGAAGGTACTGAGTGCTTTTGACATATAGAGAACAAAGCGATGACTCACTTAAACCCTGATAGTAGGGGCACCATATAAATTATTATATCTAAAGGGAGTCAGGTCAAAGAAGAAATCTTGCAAGAATCTGGAGGGAGATCTGTTGTCTAAAAGCTTATTAGGTGACTAGGGTATCGGTTTTGCTAGTGTTTGTTTTTATCTTGTTTTTTCCCTTCCTCAGTTCCAGCAGGCATTTTAGTGATCTCTTGAAACACGTTTTGACTCTACTTGGTGATTGAAATACACAGCCAGGCTGTGTTGCTTTTATAAGCTCTGAAAGTTTAAGAATTTAGGAAGCTAATGACTGTCTTAAATTACAGTTAAATCTAATTGATAAAATCCTGGGACATTGAACGATTGATTTTAGTATTCAGCTAATAACCCATTTAAAATGAATTCCATACTTCTTTCAACTTGCTTGACTGAAGAGTAATTTTGTCGCTAGTTACTGTATTACTGGAAAATGTATTCCTAGGCTTTAAGATTTGGGAAGCGTGTGAGTCTAACTTCTCAAACAGAATTTGACAAGGACGTAGCAGTGTTTTAAAAAGTCAGGGAAAGGAAAGAGGTGTGTTCAGCATTCCTGCCCCATCTTAACATATTCTTTTTCTCGTCTTAACAGTGGTAATATTTTATGTTATTTTGGTTTGATTTTTGTTTGTGGCATATGGCTCTGCTGTCCTGTGACTCTAAGTAGAAGAGAAAATAGTGCCAATAATTCTTCATGGAGATGCACCTCTCTCAAGTCTTGAACAATGTTTGAGGTAGGTGGTGGCCTAAATGAATGAGCATGTCATGTGTGATTACTTAGTGAGTGTAGTTTTGTAAGGCGCACCAAGGAACTGGTAATTAACTGCTAGGCATGAGATTACCCCAAGATTCTACAAACCCACCTAAGCGTTGTTATATTTGTGAAAAGATTAGAGGAGCTGAACTGTGTATCTTCTTGGTCTCCAGTGGGCAGATACAAGGGGATTGCAGCAAAGATTGGGGAAGTGGCCTCCAAGTATGCATGTGGATGTCCTCTGCTCCTCTGAAACATGACGGATGGCCATTGTCTTTGTTAGAACAAATAAAAAGCAGAAGTATATTTGCCTTTTAGAGAGAGCTCGGTGTTCCTTTTTGCCAAACACAGTACTCTCTCACACCTGCCTTCTGGGGCAGGGATATTTTATTGGACCACAGATATTCTGAGGGGAAAGGAGTTAAAAGTCAGAGCTTGACAAATGCCAGCTCCGGTGCTAATCAGCATTTGTCAAATGCTCTGATTCTAGGCTTTGAAAAGTCTTGAGTTATTAATGAAGTACCCACTATTCACTGAACACTGTGTAAAGTCCCCAAAATGGAAAGAATAATACTTGCTCGTGTCCTTTTGAAGTTCATGTTTATATTGTCTGTTTCCAGGAAAAGTGCTTTCAGCTGGGCTGATGAGAACACCTTGGCACTCTTTCCTGCAATGGGCACTGATTGAGGGTCTTCCTGGTGTGGCATCATCAAATCCCTGTTGCTCAAACCCACTAATTAGCTCATTCTTATCTACAAGTAGCAGGGGCCCTAAAGCTCTCTGAGAAGATCTCATACTGTGTCTCCTACATTTCATCTTCTATAATCTCTTATTCTTAGAGACAGAAAGATGGTTAAAAGACATCACTTCATTTCTTTCTCTGGATTTGGAAAGAGTTATATATTGGGATTATGCTGTTAGTTTACACTTGCATTGTTTAAATTAGAGGAAAGGTTATTTTGTGCAGAACAAATAAAAATTACTCTTTAACTACCTTTCAGAATATCCCAACTTTTAACATAAGCTGTTTTGTAAAGGCTGGTTGTAGTGACTTGCTTCATAATAGACTATTAAAATAAGATGCATTGAAATCTTGTTCTTTTCTTTGCAATACCATGTATCAGCTTTGTTTTGAGAGGCAAACTCAATTTTCCCCTGAAATTAGGAAATTACTGTAAGGGACTGGAATGACACACAAGAAAAGATTACATCATAGCAGGGAGACTAGCCAGTTAGAATGGGGATTTCTTTACAAACACTAGACTGGACTATGGATTATAATTTACCTAGTGTTAATAGTTGCAGTCATACATTAAGGACAATATGTATGTTCTTTAGTTTTTTGTCACTGAGCAGAGGTAGAAACAGGGAAACAACAAAGGCCGAATAATTTCCAGCCATTGCTGCTTTGTTTGCACGGAGCCCTTTGAAATGTGAACTAAGAATATTTCTCAGAAGGTTTTTAGGTGATTCATATACACAGTAAAGTTTCAGAAGTGCTATATTCGAGGGCATATGGAAACCCATGGCTTTTCTGCTAGAGGATTGTCAAAAGTCCAGAATTTCATAACTAAATACCATGAATTTAGTATAGTAGAGCACAGAACTAAAGGCTGTCTTGTGGCTGCAAAGAGTTGACTTCACATAGCATAAACTATAGTCTAAGACAGTGACTTAGACATAAGAGAGAATAGAACTTGGTAACTGGGATTGTTTTACAGCGTGATCATGTATATTTCTATATTATTCTAAAAATATTTATTATATTTATATAAAAATTGTTACAACCGTGTACAAGTGTGCATAAATAAATAGTGTATTTATGTAGTCTTTATTTGAATGTCAGGCCAGTTAGAGAAGCTAGACATGTATAACCAGTTTAGTCTTAACAATCAAGTTCAGAAAATAATATGTAGACTTCCACCTAGTTCCTTTTCTGAATAATATTATAGACTTAAGGAAGCTAATAAGAGTCCAAGATTCTCTGAGTGCCTTTGTGAATTATTTCATCTGATTCATGTATGTACCTTCATATAATGGCTTTTAATATTGAGGAATATTTGGAGATTAAAAGATTAGAGTAATTCTGAGCTCATTAAATTGTAGATTGTCATTTCTTATGAGGATTTACTTTTCTGGTACAACATGTTCTTATCACTAGTTATAATGTATTTTTTTACTTTTGGCTTAGATTTTGAGCCCTCTATTCATGACATATCAAATGTAGTTCTTTAGATATGCTGCTTTCTAATTAGGAAGCAGAATGTGATTGCCTACTATTCTCTAGCCACGTACCTACTAGTGAATATATAAAGGATGGAATTCAGGCCGTGGTTTATGAAATTCAGGCTGTGTTTTTGAGTACTTCCAAGTATGTTTCAAGTAACTTGGTTATGGTTTTGAATGACTAGGAAAATGCTTTGCTTTTTTTGAAAGGGAAATTGTTCAAAAATGAGATTCAATGGAAAACACAGAGGGTGCTAAAAATGCAGAGACATTGTATAAACCTATAAGAAATTTTACATGGAACCAGAATTTTGATGCCCCTTAAAAGGAAACCAATGAGATTCCTTATTCATTAGTACTTTGAAAGTTGGCAGTGGAATGAGGATCTGTGGAGGAAGGGACAGCTGGATCTTGCACTCAGGACTTCTGCCCTCTGCTCCTCAAAGAACTCATTAGTCACTGTTCCCACTCCCACCCTGGCACCAAGGAAAATGTGGATGTTTCCACCTTTCCCACCCAGGCCTATTTAGGGCATACAACCCTTCCTGAATTTCCTGCAGTACAGTTGAGATCACACTGTAGCCTCTAACAAGCATTTACCAGAGATTCAGCGATGACAACAGAGAACTACAATATAATGAGTAACAGATAACCACTCCATAGATGTTGCATGCATTTCCGAGTGTATACAGCCCATTCTCACCTTACAGGAGAACCAGGAAAAGAGAACAATTTGGGAAGGTCTCTTCATTTAATTTTTCCCACACTGCTGCCTCTTCTATCTTTGGCTTGTTTCTTCTTCTCACTTAGGAGGAAGTGGTTCTCAGATAATTGACTAATCACTTCTTCATGGTCGTGAACTCAAGGACTTACCTGTTATGAGGGGAGAAGCATAATAAAGATTACATCATGTGAACTTTTGAAATAAAATGCCCGAAGACATAAGAGAGACCCTTACCACTGTCACACTCAAAAGGAAAGCTTAGTAGCTACAGAGATTTAAAAAGCAAGCAAACAAGCAACCAAGCAAACAACAAAGACCTGAAGAAAATTCCAGAATAATCCTCAACCTGTGCTTTCACATGCTAAATTTTCATAATGAGAAAGATAAACTGTGTATCTTGTGGTGTCAGTGGTCAGTGTGGTGATAGTAGTTGTGGTTTGGGCTGCTTTTTTCCTTGTTTATTTTTTCCAAATTTTATTTGGGAAAATTTCTGCTGTTTCCATTGTGAACTAAAGTTACATATACTGGATGATATAACTTTAACTCCTAAGAGTATGTTTGGCTATGTTTTTGGAATTAGGTATTATGCATGCCACCTTGTGGCCATTATTAAGAAAACACCTAACATGAAGACGAGAAACAGGATCATTAGTGAGAGCAGCTTGAGCTTGGAGCAGTACTTTCCCAAGTCTGTTTCTCCAACAGCATCCTTAGAACCCTTAGAACCTGGATATCACATTTTAGTGGGAGGAGACAGACAATAAATAAAACAAAGTATAGTAAGTGCTCTGGAGAAAAGTAATGCAAAGAAGAGGGCCAGAAAGTATCAAAAAGTTTGAAATTACAAATAAGGTACTCTTGGAAGACCTCACTAAGGTCACATTTGAGCAGAGATCTGAACAGCATGAGAGACAACTGGGGGTGGGGGGGGGCAGAATAATGTTTCAGATATGTACATTGCAACTGCAAAGGCCTGAGACAGGAATTTGCCTGGCCTGTTCCAGCTTAGCAAAGAAAGAGGCCTGTGTTAATGATACTCAGAGAGGAAGGAGGCAATAGTAGAACATGAAGCCAGAAAAGTGACCAGATGCAGGAGTGACTAAGGCTTTGTAGACTGCTGTATAGACTCTGAGGGAAATGAGCAGTCATTGATGGGTTTTTCGCACAGAAGGATCTTGGTGTGTTTTAAAAGGAACATTCTGTATTCTATGTTGAAAACAGACTGAAAAGCACAAGAGAAAGAACAGGAAGAGCAATTAGGAGGCTGTGGTAGATTATTATTCAGCAAATATTCACCCTACTGTCCTCCCCATAAGATTTCCCCAGGCCACCATCACTGGATTTGGCTATTTGACTTGCTGTAGTCAATGGAATGTGAGTGAAAAGTGACTCTGTACCAGTGGGGAGGCAAAGCCTTAAAAGACCCAGCAAATTTCTTCCAGCCCTTTTGTGCTTCTGCCAAAAGAATACTGTGAGCAATCAGTGCCCTTAAGCCTGGGCCTCAGAACGAGAGATATGGAGCAAACCTGAACCTGAACAGCAGCCTACAATCAAGCCAGGATGACCCTGCAAAGCCCAGCCAACGATAGCAAAGCCACAGCAGACTTGTAGACCAATGAGCATGAAATAAATTGCATTGAAAGCTACTGAGATTGGAGGAATAATTTTTATGCAGGATTACTGCAGTGAACCTGATTGATACAGGAGCTACTGCAATAATCCAGGGAAAGAGGGGATGATGAGCTGAAGTAAACTAGGATGGTTGCGATCGGATTAGAGTCTGTATATACATTTGAGGACAAGATTTGAAAGAATTTGCTGATGGTTTAGCTATTAAGTGTGAAAGAGAAATTTTGAAATTTTGGTCCAAACAATGGGAATGATTGAGTTGCCATTTACTGACACGGGGAACATGAAAGAAGGGGCAGGTTTACTTGATTCAGGGCATGCAGAGGAGAGCAGAGTTAAACTTTATATATGTTAAGTTTCATATGCGTCTTATATTTGGAAGTAGAGGTATCTTCCTATATTTGTAAAAAGAGGTATCCAGCAAGTAATTTGACATTTAAAAAAGATTTCTGGAGATCATTTCTGCTCTGGCTATAATGGGATGACAGAGACTACATTTACTGTGTACCTCAAACAAATAGAAAATTGGACAAAACAATGTTTTCAGGCATAATAAACAAATTGAACCTTATTATTACCTCAGCTTGGCTTGCCACCTAGAGGCAGTTTTCGAGCTTTAATAGATGGAGGGTTTATTAGTCTGTTTTCACGCTGCTATAAAGAATGACCTGAAACTGGGTAATTTAAAAAGGAAAGAGGTTTAATTGACTCACAGTTCCTCATGGCTGGGGAGGCCTCAGGAAACTTACAATCATGGTGGAAGGTGAAGGGGAAGCAAGGCATGTCTTTAAGAGGTGGCAGGAGAGAGAGAGAGACAGAGAGAGAGAGAGAGAGACAGAGAGAGCAAAAGTGCAGGGGAAACTGCCGCTTTTAAACCGTCAGATCTCATGAGAACTCCCTCACTATCACAAGAACAGCATAGGGAAAACTGCCCACATGATCCAGTCACCTCCCACCAAGTCCCTTTCTTGACACATGGGGGATTACAATTTGAGATAAGATTTAGGTGGGGACACAGAGCCAAACCATATCAGAGGGAAACCTCGAACAGATCCTGGCAGTCTACCTTAGTGGAGGGATTAGAAATTAGAGTTCATGGAGACTAAAGTGGATAGAGATTTTGGGTGGGGGGGGGGGGTTGGTGAAGAGAGAGAGAGAGAGATAAGAGAGAATATACCCAGAGATCACAAAGGGGTCCCTTGAGCCTTGGTATGTGCATGTGAGAGAGAAAGATACCCCTGGCAGGGGTAAGAACTGCTGGGAGGCAATAAGCCAAATAATTCCTGAAGCTCACTTAAGGCTGGGAAGAGTTTGTGTTCCCATCAGTTAGAGTGGAAAGACCTTATTACACTGTATTATATAGGGGCATTGAATAGAATCCTCAGAAGAATACCTCAGTAGTGAAGTTAGTAGTGAGGCTAAATTAGCCCTGGACTAAAATATACTCTGGATTTCCCTAACAAGCCTCAAAAGAGGTAGACTGCTACTAAGTAACATAACTGCGTGCTAGAACAAAGCCTAAGACTACTAGAAGGGTTACAACAAAATCTACCACCCTATTAAGTGAGGTTTCAATGTCGCAAAGCAATAAAACATTTACCAGACAGTAGAAAGAATAAGAAACCTAACCCATAATCAGAAGAAAAATGTCAATAAATAGAAACAGCACCAGAAATGACAGAGGTGATGTAATGACTAAAATTGTCTATTGTAAATATGCTTCACATCATGAGTAAGGTATAGGGAAGCATGAGCATGATGAAGAGAGATATAGATAATAGAAGAAGACAAATCAAAGTTATAGAGATGAAAAATACAATAGATTCTTCATTTCATCTCTGAAATGAATAGATTGAACGGGATCAACAGCTGATTAGATACTGCAGAAGAAAAGATGAGTGAAATTGAAGGAGCAATAGAATCTATCAAAAATGAAGCTCAGGGAGAAAAATGACTAATAGAAAAATGAACAGAGCATCAGTGACCTCAGGAACAAAGTCAGGAGATCTAATATAATTGGAACCACTGAAGCAAGGTGGAGGAGTGTAAAAAGAGAAGACATAATGGCCAAATGTTTGTCCAACTGTCATGAAAAGTATAAACTCATAGATCCTAGAAACTCAAAGAATCCTAAGACGGAAAAGCATCCTAAGAAAATCACACCAATACACATTGTAATTGAATTTTAGAAAACCAGTTTTGATAAAGAGAAAAATCATAATAGCAGCCAGAGGAAAAAAAAAAGGCACTGTCTCAACAGAAACTTCTCATCAGAAACTACACAAACTGGATGACAGTCCTCCAAGTGTTGAAAGAAAAAAAACCTGTCAATCTAGAATTCTATGTCCAGGTTTTTGATTTTTTAAAAATAAAGGTGAATAAACAATTCTCCAGACAAACAAAAGAGGTAAAATTCATTGTCAGCAAACTAAATATAAGAAATATTAAGGGAAGTTATTCAGGCAGAAGGAAAATGATGCCAGATGGAAACTTGTGTATTCACATAGGAATAAAAAATGCCAGAAATCATAAATATATGGATACATGAAAAATACTTAATTTTCTTAGTTTTTAAGTCTCTTTAACAGATAATTGACTGCTTAAAGCAAAATAGAAATAATGTACTGTTGGCTTTATAACATATATAGAAGTAAGGTATATGATAAGGACACTGTAACTTACCATAGTTGTGTTAAGCAGCTTCTAAGATGCTCCCCAACAGTCTCTGCATTCTACTGTTCAACTCTAATATAGTCTCATCCTGCATGGCATAGGGCCAAACTCTGTAAAGAATAGAATATGGAGAACTGACAATGTATGGATTTTAAGCCTAGGTCAAAAAGATATTGGAGCTTCCAACTTGCTCCTTTTTGCATTGCTCCTCTGAGGAAAACCCAACTGCCATGTCCTGAGGATGCTCACATCTACAGAGAGTTTACATGGAGAGAAACTGAAGTCTCCAGCCAAGACCCAGCATCAACTTCCCAGTTACGTGAGTGAGCCATCTTGGAAGCAAATTTTGCAGCACCAGTAAAGTGTTTAGATAACTGCAACCCCTTTCGACATCTTTTATTTATTTATTATTATTATACTTTCAGTTTTAGGGTACTTGCGCACAATGTGCAGGTTAGTTACATATGTATAGATGTGCCATGTTGTTGTGCTGCACCCAGTAACTCGTCATTTAACATTAGGTATATCTCCTCATGCTATCCTTCCTCCCCACCCCACCCCACAACAGGCTCTGGTGTGTGATGTTCCCCTTCCTGTGTCCATGTGTTCTCATTGTTCAATTCCCACCTGTGAGTGAGAACATGCAGTGTTTGGTTTTTTTGTGCTTGTGATAGTTTGCTGAGAATGATGGTTTCCAGCTTCATCCATGTCCCTACAAAGGATATGAACTCATCATTTTTTATGGCTGCATAGTATTCCATGGTGTATATGTGCCACATTTTCTTAATCCAGTCTATCATCGATGGACATTTGGGTTGGTTCCAAGTCTTTGCTATTGTGAATAGTGCCGCAATAAACTTACCTGTGCCTGTGTCTTTATAGCAGCATGATTTATAATCCTTTGGGTATATACCCAGTAATGGGATGGCTGGGTCAAATGGTATTTCTAGTTCTAGATCCCTGAGGAATTGCCACACTGACTTCCACAATGGTTGAACTAGCTTACAGTCCCACCAACAGTGTAAAAGTGTTCCTATTTCTCCACATCCTCTCCAGCACCTGTTGTTTCCTGACATTTTAATGATTGCTATTCTAACTGGTGTGAGATGGTATCTCATTGTGGTTTTGATTTGCATTTCTCTGATGGCCAGTGATGATGACCATTTTTTCATGTGTCTGTTGGCTGCATAAATATCTTCTTTTGAGAAGTGTCTGTTCATATCCTACGCCCACTTTTTGATGGGGTTGTTTGTTTTTTTCTTGTAAATTTGTTTGAGTTCATTGTAGATTCTGGATATTAGCCCTTTGTCAGATGAGTAGATTGCAAAAATTTTCTCCCATTCTGTAGGTTGCCTGTTCACTCTGATGGTAGTCTCTTTTGCTGTGCAGAAGCTCTTTAGTTTAATTAGATCCCATTTGTCAATTTTGGCTTCTGTTGCCATTGCTTTTGGTGTTTTAGACATGAAGTCCTTGCCCATGCCTGTGTCCTGAATGGTATTGCCTAGGTTTTATTCAAGGGTTTTTATGGTTTTAGGTCTAACATTTAAGTCTTTAATCCATCTTGAATTAATTTTTGTATAAGGTGTAAGGAAGGGATCCAGTTTCAGCTTTCTACATATGGCTGCCAGTTTTCCCAGCACCATTTATTAAAGAGGGAATCCTTTCCCCATTTCTTGTTTTTGTCAGGTTTGTCAAAGATCAGATGGTTGTAGATATGTGGCATTATTTCTGAGGGCTCTGTTCTGTTCCATTGGTCTATATCTCTGTTTTGGTACCAGTACCATGCTGTTTTGGTTACTGTAGCCTTGTAGTATAGTTTGAAGTCAGGTAGTGTGATGCCTCCAGCTTTGTTCTTTTGGCTTAGGATTGACTTGGCAATGTGGGCTCTTTTTTGGTTCCATATGAACTTTAAAGTAGTTTTTTCCAATTCTGTGAAGAAAGGCATTGGTAGCTTGTTGGGGATGGCATTGAATCTATAAATTACTTTGGGCAGTATGGCCATTTTCATGATATTGATTCTTCCTACCCATGAGCATGGAATGCTCTTCCATTTGTTTGTATCCTCTTTTATTTCCTTGAGCAGTGGTTTGTAGTTCTCCTTGAAGAGGTCCTTCACGTCCCTTTTAAGTTGGATTCCTAGGTATTTTATTCTCTTTGAAGCAATTGTGAATGGGAGTTCACTCATGATTTGGCTCTCTGTTTGTCTGTTATTGGTATATAAGAATGCTTGTGATTTTTGCACATTGATTTTGTATCCTGAGACTTTGCTGAAGTTGCCTATCAGCTTAAGGAGATTTCGGGCTGAGACGATGGGGTTTTCTAAATATACAATCATGTCATCTGCAAACAGGGACAATTTGACTTCCTCTTTGCCTAATTGAATACCCTTTATTTCCTTCTCCTGCCTGATTGCCCTGGCCAGAACTTCCAACACTATGTTGAATAGGAGTGGTGAGAGAGGGCATCCCTGTCTTGTGCCAGTTTTCAAAGGGAATGCTTCCAGTTTTTGCCCATTCAGTATGATATTGGCTGTGGGTTTGTCCTAGATAGCTCTTATTATTTTGAGATACGTCCCATCAATACCTAATTTATTGAGAGTTTTTAGCATGAAGGGCTGTTGAATTTTGTTGAAGGCCTTTTCTGCATCTATTGAGATAATCATATGGTTTTTGTCGTTGGTTCTGTTTATATGCTGGATTATGTTTATTGATTTGCATATGTTGAACCAGCCTTGCATCCCAGGGATGAAGCCCACTTGATCATGGTGGATAAGCTTTTTGATGTGCTGCTGGATTTGGTTTGGCAGTATTTTATTGAGGATTTTTGCATGGATGTTCATCAGGGATATTGGTCTAAAATTCTCTTTTTTTGTTGTGTCTCTGGAAGGCTTTGGTATCAGGATGATGCTGGCCTCATAAAATAAGTTAGGGAGTATTCCCTCTTTTTCTATTGATTGGAATCGTTTCAGCAGGAATGGTACCAGCTCCTCCTTGTACCTCTGGTAGAATTCGGCTGTGAATCCATCTGGTCCTGGACTTTTTTTGTTGGTAAACTATTCATTATTGCCTCAATTTCAGAGCCTGTTGTTGGTCTATTCAGGGATTCAACTTCTTCCTGGTTTAGTCTTGGGAGGGTGTATGTGTCGAGGAATTTATCCATTTCTTCTAGGTTTTCTAGTTTATTTGTGTAGAGGTAGTTATAGTATTCTCTGATGGTAGTTTGTATTTCTGAGGGATCGGTGATGATATCCCCTTTATCTATCATTTTTTATTGCATATATTTAATTCTTCTCTCTTTTCTTCTTTATTGGTCTTTCCAGCGGTCTATGAATTTTGTTGATCTCTTAAAAAAACCAGCTCCTGGATTCATTGATCTTTTGAAGGGTTTTTTGTGTCTCTATTTCCTTCAGTTTTGCTCTGATCTTAGTTATTTCTTGCCTTCTGCTAGCTTTTGAATGTGTTTGCTCTTGCTTCTCTAGTTCTTTTAATTGTGATGTTAGGGTGTCAATTTTGGATCTTTCCTGCTTTCTCTTGTGGGCATTTAGTGCTATAAATTTCCCTCTACACACTGCTTTGAATGTCTCCCAGAGATTCTTGTATCTTGTATCTTTGTTCTCGTTGGTTTCAAAGAACATCTGTATTTCTGCCTTCATTTCGTTATGTACCCAGTAGTCATTTAGGAGCAGGCTGTTCAGTTCCCATGTAGTTGAGCAGTTGTGAGTGAGATTCTTAATCCTGAGTTCTAGTTTGATTGCACTGTGGTCTGAGGGACAGTTTGTTATAATTTCTGTTCTTTTACATTTGCTGAGGAGTGCTTTACTTCCAAGTGTGTGGTCAATTTTGGAATAAGTGTGGTGTGGTGCTGAGAAGAATGTATATTCTGTTGATTTGGGATGGAGAGTTCTGTAGATGTCTATTAGGTCCGCTTGGTGCAGAGCTGAGTTCAATTCCTGGATATCCTTGTTAACTTTCTGTCTCGTTGATCTGTCTAATGTTGACAGTGGGGTGTTGAAGTCTCCCATTATTATTGTGTGGGAGTCTTAGTCTCTTTCTAGGTCTCTAAGGACTTGCTGTATGAATCTGGGTGCTCCTGTATTGGGTGCATATATATTTAGGATAGTTAGCTCCTCTTGTTGAATTGATCCCTTTACCATTATGTAATGGCCTTCTTTGTCTCTTCTGATCTTTGTTGGCTTAAAGTCTGTTTTTTCAGAGACTAGGATTGCAACCCCTGCCTTTTTTTGTTTTCCATTTGCTTGGTAGATCTTCCTCCATCCTTTTCTTTTGAGCCTATGTGTGTGTCTGCATGTGAGATGGGTTTCCTGAATGCAGCACACTGATGGGCCTTGACTCTTTATCCAATTTGCCAATGTGTGTGTTTTAAGTGGAGCATTTAGCCCATTTACATGAAAGGTTAGTATTGTTATGTGTGAATTTGATCCTGTCATTATGATGTTAGCTGGTTATTTTGCTCGTTAGTTGATGCAGTTTCTTCCTAGCCTCGATGGTCTTTACAATTTGGCATGTTTTTGCAGTGGCTGTTACCGGTTTTTCCTTTCCATGTTTAGTGCTTCCTTCAGGAGCTCTTTTAGGGCAGGCCTGGTGGTGACAAAATCTCTCAGCATTTGCTTGTCTGTAAAGTATTTTATTTCTCCTTCAGTTATCAAGCTTAGTTTGGCTGGATATGAAATTCTGGGTTGAAAATTCTTTTCTTTAAGAATGTTGAATATTGGCCCCCACTCTCTTCTGGCTTGTAGAGTTTCTGCCGAGAGATCTGCTGTTAGTCTGATGGGCTTCCCTTTGTGGGTAACCCGACCTTTCTCTCTGGCTGCCCTTAACATTTTTTCCTTCATTTCAACTTTGGTGAATCTGACAATTATGTGTCTTGGAGTTGCTCTTCTCGAGGAGTATCTTTGTGGTGTTCTCTATATTTCCTGAATTTGAATGTTGGCCTGCCTTGCTAGATTGGGGAAGTTCTCCTGGATAATATCCTGCAGAGTGTTTTCCAACTTGGTTCCATTCACCCTGTCACTTTCAGGTACACCAGTCAGATGTAGATTTGGTCTTTTCACATAGTCCCATATTTCTTGGAGGCTTTGTTCATTTCTTTTTATTCTTTTTTCTCTAAACTTCTCTTCTCGCTTCATTTCATTAATTCATTTGATCTTCCATCACTGATACCCTTTCTTCCAGTTGATCAAATCAGCTAGTGAGGCTTGTGCATTCATCACGTAGTTCTCGTGCCTTGGTTTTCAGCTCCATCAGGTCCTTTAAGGACTTCTCTGCATTGGTTATTCTAGTTAGCCATTCATCTAATTTTTTTTCAAGGTTTTTGGCTTCTTTGTGATGGTTTCGAACTTCCTCCTTTAGCTCGGAGTAGTTTGATCGTCTGAAGCCTTCTTCTCTCAACTCGTCAAAGTCATTCTCCATCCAGCTTTGTTCCGTTGCTGGTGAGGAGCTGCATTCCTTTGAACGAGGAGAGGCACTCTGATTTTTAGAGTTTCCAGTTTTTCTGCTCGGTTTTTTCCCCATCTTAGTGGTTTTATCTACCTTTGGTCTTTGATAATGGTGACATACAGATGGGGTTTTGGTGTGGATGTCCTTTCTGTTTGTTAGCTTTCCTTCTAACAGTCAGGACCCTCAGGTGCAGGTCTGTTGGAGTTTGCTGGAGGTCCACTCCAGACCCTGTTTGCCTGGGTATCAGCAGCGGAGGCTGCATAACAGCGGGTATTGGTGAACAGCAAATGTTGCTGCCAGATCTTTCCTCTGGAAGTTTTGTCTCAGGGTAGTACCCGGCTGTGTGAGGTGTCAATCTGCCCCTACTGGGGGGTGCCTCCCAGTTAGGGTACTCAGGGGTCAGGGACCCACTTGAGGAGGCAGTCTATCCGTTCTCAGATCTCCAGCTGCATGCTGGGAGAACCATTACTCTCTTCAAAGCTGTCAGACAGGGACATTTAAGTCTGCAGAGGTTTCTGCTGCCTTTTGTTTGGCAATGCCCTGCCCCCAGAGGTGGCATCTACAGAGGCAGGCAGGCCTCCTTGAGCTGCAGTGGGCTCCACCCAGTTCAAGCTTCCTGGCCACTTTGTTTACCTACTCAAGCCTTGGCAATGGTGGGCGCCCCTCCGCCAGCCTCGCTGCCATCTTGCAGTTTGATCTCAGACTGCTGGGCTAGCAATGAGCGAGGCTCCGTGGGCATAGGACCCTCCGAGCCAGGCGTGGGCTATAATCTCCTGGTGTGCCCTTTGCTAAGACTGTTGGAAATGCGCAGTATTAGGGTGGGAGTGACCCGATTTTCCAGGTGCCGTCTGTCACCCCTTTCTTTGACTAGGAAAGGGAATTCCCCGACCCCTTGAACTTCCCGGGTGAGGCAATGCCTCCCCCTACTTCGGCTCACGCTTGGTGTGCTGCACCCACTGTCCTGTACCCACTTTCCGACACTCCCCAGTGAGATGAACCCAGTACCTCAGTTGGAAATGCGGAAATCACCCATCTTCTGCATCACTCATGCTGGGAGCTGTAGACTGGAGCTGTTCCTGTTCAGCCATCTTGGCTCCACCCCCTTTCCACATCTTGACTGCAACTTCATGAGAGACCCTTAGCCAGAACCACCCAGCTAAACCCATCCAGATGCACAGAAACTGTGGGAGATCATAAATGTTTATTGCTGTTTTAAGCTGCTAAGTTTGGGGTATTTTGTTATTCAGCAATAGGTAACTAACACAACAGTCTACCACCAGATGACAAATCATTTCCCACACAGTGAATGAAACCTTCAACAATATACTTCTATTTCACCTCCTGTCCACATATACTACTTTCTTTCTGTGTTTTATTGTGATTCCTAGCTAGTGAAGTTTGGCAAGAAAAAGAAACAAAATACATAGAGAAAAGAAAGTGTTTTTATTTGCAGATAACATGATAATCCACTTTTTAAAAAAACTGAAGAATTACGCTACTGGAACTAATAAGTAAGTTTCACAAGGCTGCAGGATGCAAGGTCAATATTCAGAAATTCATTATATTTCTATATAGTTACAATCGACAATTGGGATTTTACATTAACTTAATAATGCCATTTTTATGGCACTTATCTTGATGGCAATAAAATTTAAAAATTATAGGGATAAATGTCATAAAATATGTATACAATGTGTATACTCAAAAGCACAAAATATACTGAAAGAAATTAGATAAAACTTTAATAAATGGAGATATAAACCTTGTTCACAGCTTGGGAGATTAATTGTTAAAATATCAAATGTCCCCAAACTGATTCCATGTTTATTGAAATCCCGGTAGCTCTTTGGTAAAAATTGACAAATCAACTCAAGAATTTATATGTCAGTCCAAAAGTTCATAAGCTTTGCAACAAGTGTTAGAAAAGAACAAAATTTGAGAACATATATAATATCTGATCTCTAGTTTTTTTTTTTTTTTTTTTTTTTTTTTAAGATGGAGTCTCGCTCTGTCACCCCAGCTGGAGTGTGGTGGCGCGATCTCAGCTCACTGCAAGCTCTGCTTCCCAGTTCACGCCATTCTCCTGCCTCAGCCTCCTGAGTAGCTGGGACTACAGGTGCCCACCACCATGCCTGGCTAATTTTTTGTATTTTTAGTAGAGACGGGGTTTCACTGTGTTAGCCAGGATGGTCTCGATATCTTTACCTCGTGATCCACCTGCCTCAGCCTTGCAAAGTGCTGGGATTACAGGTGTGAGCCACTGTGCCTGGCTGATCTCTACTCTTTTGTAAAGCTGTAGTTATTAAATAGCATGACATTGGCATAGAGAGAGACAAATAGAAAAATAGAAACAAATATAAGTCCCAGAATAGATAGATACACATGTAGTCAATTTATTTTTGACAAAGTTTTTAAGATAATTAATTAGAGGAAAGGATGGTCTTTGCAGTAGGTGCAAAAGGTACTGGAACAATTTGATAGCCATCTGGGCCTTAACCCTTACCATACATACTATAAAAATTAGCTTTAAATGGACTGTACACTATAAAATTATAGAAGAAAGCACAGGCAAATATCTTTGTAACCTTGATTAGGCAGATGCTTCTTAGATAGGACACAAAATGTATGAACCATAGGAAAAATAAATGGTAAAAAAAGAATTAATTGAAATTAAAAATGTTTGTTTCTTAAAACACTGTTAAGAAGAGGAAAAGGCAAACTACAGATAGAAAATATTGGCAAAGCATACATCTGATGAAAGGCTTGTAGCTATAATATAAAAAGAATTCTTACAACTCAATAATAAGAAGATAAAACATCTGATAACAAAAATAGGTGAAAGATTTGTAGGCACTCTACCAAATGAATTATGTGAATGGTAAACAGCATATGAAAAGATGGTCAACATTATTAGTTATTAAGGGAATGCAAATGAATGAATACATAAATTGTACATTCATATGTAAAATTCTACTCAGCAATAAAAAGGAAAGAACTATTGAGAGATGCAATAATGTAGATGAGTCTCAAAAGCATTGTCCTAAGTGAAAGAAGCTATTCTCAAAATACCACAAAATGTGTGATACCTTTTATCTGAGGTTCTACAAAAGACAGAACTCTAATGATAGGAGGAAGATTGTTGGTTACCAGGGACAAAGGGTGGAGAGAAGGGATTGATGGCAAAGGATTGGAATGATGGAAATGTTTTATATCTTGATTTTGGTAGTGGTTACACGACTATATTCGTTTGCCAAAACTCATCAAAGTGTATACTGCAAATTGATGAATTTTGTTGAATGTAAATTATATAGTGGAACTAATTACAACAATTCAGGGGAGGGGTCTGGGATAGAGACAAAAATTTGAGACTCATGAGCATATGAAATTTAAAGCTATGAAACTGGATGATGTCACTGAGAAAAATAGTGTGTGCGTGTGTGTGTGTGTGTGTATATGTATATATATGTATACGTATAGTCAAAAGATTAAGTCCTAACATATCCCAATGTTTAGAAAACAGGGAAATGAAAAGGAAGTAGCAAGTGTGACTCAATGAGTAGCCAGTGAAGAAAACCAATTATGTGTGGTGTCCTGGAGGCCAACTGATAAAAGTATTTCAAGAAGGAGTGAATGTGTCAAATACTGTTGATGCATTAAAAATATGAGGATATTTTTCCCCCAAGATGTCAGATTGGAGGCAGTGTTTGCATGCTTCTCCCACCTGGAGACAAAATAGTGTGTACATATTCACACTGTGAGCTTTTTTCCAAGAAGCAATGCAGGAACTTAACAGGAAAACTGAAATCTACAGATTATTTGAAAGAAGTGGCAGGCTGCAGCCTACACCATGAGTCAGGCAAGAAACTGTGAGTCCCCAGAGTGTGTGATGGGGTGAGACTGCTTCTAGGGTATACACCCCCACTAGGGAACCTGGAAATCCAGGCCACAGGGGAAGGCATTAATCCTATACAGTACTAGAACTAATTTAGGAGGGTGAGCAATATAAAAGTAGGAGTGGCAGCAGGAAGAGCTTTGTGTACATTCCCAGTCTCCAGTGTGGACCAAGGGAAGCCATTACCTATTCTGACTCATATGGGACCTTGCAGAAGTCTGGCAACTGACTCAGGCAGTGGTCTTATGTTGGAAGAAGCTCCCAACTGAACTTTGTGATACAACCTTGAGTAGGGAAGAACTCCTTTAGCCAGAACTGGGGGGTAAGTGGGAAGTGTGCTGCAATCATGAGCATAGGAGCTGGGCACCCCTGTCGTGCAGGTGCGCTTTTCATGCATGGCTTGAAAGCTGTGGTTGTTATCCCTGCAGAGAAGGTATATGGCCTGGGGGAGTTTTGAGTTCTGTGCTCAGATGGCCTGGAACTTAGGGTCGTTGCTGCTAGTAGAAAGCTGTGGGTGTGAGATCTGCCTTGCCAAGTGTGTGGGAGCTGGGTGGGACTTACCACTGCCTGCTACTCCACATTTCCTGCAGTACTTTTCTGTTCAACAGAGGCAGCTATGCTCCTCTTTGGAACATTACCCCAGGGTCCAGAGAACTGTCTCCTGACTCCCACAGGGGCTGCTGCTTGCTCTGCACATGGAGAGTCAGACCAAAGACCTGCCTAACTCAGCCCCCACCTGGCTTTGCCCCTCTACCTGCCTGGTATCTTAACACAAAGGACAGAAACTTTTGGGAGCTTTATGCCCACCACCTGAGAAACCGGAGTACCTCTCTTGGGTAACATAAAGCAAGCACAAATCCCACTGCTACTACCATAGCTGGTGCTCTTTTGCAAGTGCCACATTTTGGCTGGAGGCTAGCTGACGCAGTCCATTACAGCATCTCCAAGTTGAATAATACCACACCCAGGAAGGAGAAAACTTGTGTGTGACCTCAGCTGTCACCATTGCCTACACAACCCTGGCTAACCAGGAGGTCCTAAGTCTGTACATGTGACCAGTTCATTACTACTACAACCAGCATTTGAGAAAGCCAACACACTAAGGCTATCTATAACCAAGGAATTTCACAGGATCTACATCACTCCCTTGCCACCCCCATCAGAGCTGGTGCTAGTACACACTCCTGGGAAACTTAAAGACAGGTCACATCTCTGGATCCCTTGAAGACATTCCCCAGAACCAGCCTGGAGTTTACCAGCCCCACTGGGCAACTTGACTCAGGGGCAACAGCATTCACAGTAGTCTGGCCCTCAGGGGCTCCTACTCCTAGGGGAAGGGAGAGTGCAGCTCATCAAGGAAACACCCTGTAGGACAAAGGAACCTGGATGGCAGGCTTGAGTCCCAGATCTTTCTGCTGGTGGGAAGTTTCTTTCAGCAGATGCACAGTTGCAATGCTGGGTTCAACCGGGAAAGTCTGCAGTTTTGCCCCAACAATCAGGAGGCCCTGGTGCCCATGAAGGATCTCGGAGAAGGGGGGGTTCTTCTCCTCCTTGTCCACCACTGCAGACACAGCTGGTGTTCTCCCCACAGGAGCTTAGCATGAGTGCACCTATACACAGGCTTTCTGTAACACTTCAGGGTGACTGCATCTCCACAGGAGGAGCACCTTCCAGGTGCAGGCTTGCATGAGAGGTAGGGTCACATTTCCTCTCTACTTGGTACATCAGCATTTCTGCCGATGAAAAGAGGCACTTGTCTGATCTGAACAGCTGGAACACTTGGTCAGGAGTGTGTCTGGGAGGTGGATAGCTTTCCTGTTGGCCTGGCAGGGGAGCTGAGATGGTTATGGCCATTCCCTCTGATAAGACCTCAGTGTGTTTCACTGAGGGTGCCCCCAGCCACTTCTGTCAAGGCTGGGACTTCTGCCCACCATTGAATGTTGCATTTACCCACCTGCTTTAGCTACAGCTGGTTTTAATCTGTGGACACCTTTCCTATTGGCCCCAATCCTGAAGCATTCAATCCAGTAAATAAAATACTGGGGAATAAATAAAGAAGTACACACCAAGGGGGAATCAAATACACTTCAAGATACCTCTGTCATTCCAACCCTATAGGAGACAGTGAACTTGCTCACTCACCGAGCACGTTGGTACTGCAACCAGCATCTGAGGAAGCCATCATACAAAGACTCTCTATAACCAAGGAACTCATACACAGTCTTCAGCCCTGAAAGCACCAAGAGCCAAATTAAGCTATAAACTATAAACATTAAAAGTCACATCCTTAAAGGGGGAAAATAAATTTAACAAAATACAAATAAAAAATAAGTTCAAGAATAATCAGGAGAAACTGTCTACCCAAACTAAACCCAAAGCTAGCAGAAGAAAAGAAATAACGAAGATCAGAGCAGAACTTAATAAAATTGAAACAAAACACAATACAAAAGATCAATGAAACAAAATTAGTTATTTGAAATTATAAACAAAATTGATAGACCATTAGCTAGATTAACCAACAAAAGAAAGAAGATTCAAATAAGCTCAGTTAGAAATAAAACTGGAGAAATTACAACCAACATCACAGAAATACAAAAGATACAAATGATCATTTGAGACTACCATCAACACCTCTATGCACACATAAAAAACCTAGAGAAAATGGATAAGTTCCTAGAAACATAAAACTCTCCTAGATTAAATCAGGAAGAAATAGAAACCCTCACTAGAGGATTTCTGCATGGAATTGGAGGCCATTATTCTAAACGAAGTAACTAAGGAATGGAAAACCAAATACCATGTGTTCTCACTTGTTAAATGAAAGCTAAGATATGAGTACGCAAAGGCATACAGAGTGATATAATTGACTTTGGAGACTCATAAGGGGGAGGTTGGAAGGGGTATGTGTGATTAAAAAAACTGCATATTGGGTACAATGTACACTACTTATGTGACAGATGCACTAGAATCTCAGAATTCATGACTATATAATTTATCCATTTAACAAAAAACTACTTGTACCCAAAAAGGTATTGAAATAAAAATATATTAAAAAATAAAAATAAGAGGACTGAGTATTTCTTGTAGAATTTAACAATCAAATATGAAAGGGATTCATATTTTCTCTTCATGAGAGCAGTTTGGCTGGGGCTGCCTGGAGTTGATTCAAAAGAGAATGAGTGCAGGTAAATTAGATACATTGAATATAGACAACTCTGAATTAGGAGTTTTGTTTAAAGGGAAGGAGTGTAATGGAGTTTAACCTGGAAGGGTAGTAAGACAATGAGAGAATTTATCATTATCGTTGTTATTTAAGATGGTAGCAATGTTAGCATGCTTTTATGCATATGGGAAAGATTTCAGCAGGGGGAGAAACATTTGTGATATGGAAAAGAAGAGGGAATTGGGAATATTTGTAAGTGTGATGTTCTTGAGCAGGAGTAGACAAGATGAAGCATTAAGCTTGCATAGAAGTGTGGACAACTAATCTGTATTAACGGTAAAAAAGAGTGTAAGGAGGTACATATATGAGATGAGTAGATGTGATGGTGATGGAAGCTTATGGGGATTCTCTTCCACTTTTATTTTCTCAGAGATACAGGAAGCATGATTGTCAGCTGAAAATTAGGATGAACAAGTAGTTGATGGAGGTTTGAGGTGAGACTAGAAGATATGAAACAATTATACAGGGTGGGAGTGCGAATGACTAGGGAAATATGGTTTGATTGTTGGGCAGCATTAAGAGCCCACTTGTGCAGACTGGCCAGGCATTAAAAGTGAGACCAGTCAGCATGGTAGTATGTTTTTCTGCAGATTCTTTCAACTGCAAGGATACAAGGACAGAATAGATGGAGTGATGGCTTCCCCAGTATTAGGGTTTCACCAGGAGAGAGTGAGAAGCTGAGAGAGGCAAGGGAGTTGAGAATATGTGCAAGAAAATAATTATGAAGTTGAACTGTAGATTTAAGCTGTGAAAGGAAGTGAGTATATGAAGAAAATGATGGACAGTGGAAAGGTGGTAGGATAAATGGATGGTAGGATCTGATAAGGTTTAAGAATGGTTAAAATCAGGGCTAAGATGGCTGACTAGACCCAGCCAGGAAGAGCATCTCCCACTGAGAGACCAGACCATCAAGAAGACCGGCATATTCTGAGCAAATCTTTGGAAGGTAGGAATTGAGAGTGGATGGAGGGAGTATGCAAACCTTGGGGCGAAGGAAGAGGAACCTGGGAATTTTGCCTGGGGCTGACAAGAACCGGACTTGTTTCTACCCCCCACTGTCACCAGTGGCTGCTGGGGAGGGAGTGAGTTAAATAGGCAAGGAGTGGCCCACTCTTACCAGACCTCTGGAATCCTAGCTGCAGGAGACCCCATGACCCCCATGGACATCTGAAATGGCAGGGAGAGCTACTTGGAGAGGTGGCAGAGACAGGACTCCAGCCTGTGCTGAACCCAGAGGGTGTGGCATGGGAATGGTTGCAGTGGAGCGTGGCCAAGGAAGCCCATCCCCTAAAGTTCACCATGCTCCTCTAGGTGACTTTGGCCTTTGTTGACTGCAGGACATGGACAGAAAAGAACTGTCTTGCCCATGGGACAGGGTCAGTCAGATCAGAGCAGCCCTATCTGCTGACCTACGTTTCAAGGTCCCTCCCTGGCTATATCCACTTGCAGCATAGCCTTGGATACCCAACTGGGGTTCCTCCTGGTGGCTGCCATCATAACTCCTTTTACCAGAAGGCCATGCCTAACCGTTGAAGAGCTTCAGCAGATGTGCCCCCATGGAAGTGCTTCTGCTGGCATCCCCATTCAAGTGTTGTTGCTAGTAGATTGGGAACATCTCAGCTCTGCCAGTGCAGCAGGTGTTTTCAAGGGGCCGGAGATCAAAGATATGGGTCTGGTGTCAGCCTCCTGGGGTTACAGCATACAGCCCAAGTGTGCTGAGCTGAACTCAGGCACCCCAAAAGTATCTAGAAAGGAAGCCAGTTGACGGAACTCAACTTATTCCACAGTCAAACCCTCAAGGGCATGAAAGAATATAAAAGCAAAAAGCTGCATCCAAAGCATAGCAACTTCCAGCATTAAAGGAACATCAGCTCACACAGATGAGAACCAGCACAAGAACTCTGGCAACTCAAAAAGCCAGAGTGTCTTCTGACCTCTAAATGATTGCACTGGCTCCCCAGCAATGGTTCTTAACCAGACTGAAATGGCTTAAATGACAGACTTAGAATTTAGAATCTTTTTTTTTTTTTTTTTTTTTTTTTAATTGATCATTCTTGGGTGTTTCTCGCAGAGGGGGATTTGGCAGGGTCACAGGACAATAGTGGAGGGAAGGTCAGCAGATAAACAAGTGAACAAAGGTCTCTGGTTTTCCTAGGCAGAGGACCCTGCGGCCTTCCGCAGTGTTTGTGTCCCTGGGTACTTGAGATTAGGGAGTGGTGATGACTCTTAAGGAGCATGCTGCCTTCAAGCATCTGTTTAACAAAGCACATCTTGCACCGCCCTTAATCCATTCAACCCTGAGTGGATACAGCACATGTTTCAGATAGCACAGGGTTGGGGGTAAGGTCACAGATCAACAGGATCCCAAGGCAGAAGAATTTTTCTTAGTACAGAACAAAATGAAAAGTCTCCCACGTGTACTTCTTTCTACACAGACACAGCAACCATCCGATTTCTCAATCTTTTTCCCCACCCTTCCCCCCCTTTCTATTCCACAAAACCGCCATTGTCATCATGGCCTGTTCTCAATGAGCTGTTGGGTACGCCTCCCAGATGGGGTGGTGGCCGGGCAGAGGGGCTCCTCACTTCCCAGTAGGGGCGGCCGGGCAGAGGCGCCCCTCACCTCCCGGACGGGGCAGCTGGCCGGGCGGGGGGCTGACCCCCCCCACCTCCCTCCCGGACGGGGCGGCTGGCCGGGCAGAGGGGCTCCTCACTTCCCAGTAGGGGCGGCTGGGCAGAGGCGCCCCTCACCTCCCGGACGGGGCGGCTGGCCGGGCGGGGGGCTGACCCCCCCACCTCCCTCCCGGACGGGGCGGCTGGCCGGGCAGAGGAACTCCTCACTTCGCAGTAGGGGCGGCCGGGCAGAGGCGCCCCTCACTTCCCAGATGGGGTGGCTGGCCGGGCGAGGGGCTGACCCCCCCACCTCCCTCCCGGACGGGGCGGCTGGCCGGGCGGGGGGCTGACCCCCCACCTCCCTCCCGGACGGGGCGGCTGGCCGGGCAGAGGGGCTCCTCACTTCCCAGTAGGGGCAGCAGGGCAGAGGCACCCCTCACCTCCCGGACGGGGCGGCTGGCCGGGCGGGGGGCTGACCCCCCACCTCCCTCCCTGACGGGGCGGCTGGCCGGGCAGAGGTGCTCCTCACTTCCCAGTAGGGGCGGCCGGGCAGAGGCGCCCCTCACCTCCCGGACGGGGCGGCTGGCCGGGCGGGGGGCTGACCCCCCCACCTCCCTCCCGGACGGGGAGGCTGGCCGGGCGGGGGGCTGACCCCCCCACCTCCCTGCCGGACGAGGTGGCTGCCGGGCGGAGACGCTCCTCACTTCCCAGACGGGGCGGCTGCTGGGCGGATGGGCTCCTCACTTCTCAGACGGGGCAGTTGCCGGGCGGAGGGTCTCCTCACTTCTCAGACGGGGCGGCCGGGCAGAGACGCTCCTCACATCCCGGACGGGGCGGCAGGGCAGAGGTGCTCCCCACATCTCAGATGATGGGCGGCTGGGCAGAGACGCTCCTCACTTCCCAGATGGGATAGCGGCCGGGAAGAGGCGCTCCTCACTTCCTAGATGGGATGGCGGCCAGGCAGAGACGCTCCTCACTTCTCAGACGGGGTGGCGGCCGGGCAGAGGCTGCAATCTCGGCACTTTGGGAGGCCAAGGCAGGCTGCTGGGAGGTGAAGGTTGTAGCGAGCCGAGATCACGCCACTGCACTCCAGCCTGGGCACCATTGAGCACGGAGTGAACGAGACTCCGTCTGCAATCCCGGCACCTCAGGATGCCGAGGCTGGCGGATCACTCGCGGTTAGGACCTGGAGACCAGCCCAGCCAACACAGCGAAACCCCGTCTCCACCAAAAAAATACGAAAACCAGTCAGGCGTGGCGGCGCGCGCCTGCAATCGCAGGCAGTCGGCAGGCTGAGGCAGGAGAATCAGGCAGCAGTACTGTCCAGCTTCAGCTCAGCATCAGAGGGAGACCGTGGAGAGAGGGAGAGGGAGACCGTGGGGAGAGGGAGAGGGAGAGGGAGGGAGAGGGAGAGGGAGAGGGAGAGGGAGGGAGAGGGAGAGGGAGAGGGAGAGGGAGAGGGAGAGGGAGAGCAGAATTTAGAATCTTGAAGGCAACAAAGATAATAAGGATTCAGGAAAAAACTGAAGCCCAATTCAAGGAATCTAAGGAATCCAGTAAAATGATGCAAGAGATGAAATATGAAATAGTCATTTTTAGAAAGAACCAAACTGATCTGATAAAGCTGAAAAACTCATTGAAAGAATTTCATAATACAATCAGAAGTAATAACAGCAAAATAGACCAAACTGAGGAAAGAATCTGAGCTTGAATCAACTCAGGCAGACAAAAATAAAGAAAAAAGAGTAAAAGAGAATGAACAAAACCTCTGAGAAACAGGAATTATGTAAAGAGTCCCAACCTATGACTCATTGGCATACCTGAAAGAGAGGGAGAGAGAGAGCTAGCAACTTGAAAAATATATTTGAGGATATTGTCCACAAAAATTTCCCCAGCTTCACTAGAGAGGTCGACATGCAAATTCAGAAAATTGATGACACTGTCCCACTTTCAGTACATGCTATCTTCTTGCTTTTCTGCCTCAGATCTTTCTCTGAAGCCTTAAGGTCTCCCTCAGTCCAGGGAAGGCAATTTTGAAGTATGTCGGGGTTTATATTTCTGGCGACAAATCCATACCAACTGGGAAACGGAGTTGGATAAATGCCTCAGTTGCTCTTCTTTGGAAGGGTAGTTCAGTTCAACATGATTCTCCAGAAGGTACTCAGAAGGATTGAGCTGCTACAGTGTATTCTGGTAACTAATGCCATAGCATACACCTCAATCTCACTCTTCTTACTCCCTCACTGTTACTTCTTGGAATTGTCTCTTAAACTGACTGCATTCAAGTACTTATCTTGGGATTCACTTTGGGAAATAAAATTGAAGTATTGATAAGTCAGATTATTCAAAAGATGATCCAAGTGGATATTTAAAAGACAATAGTAATATTGGAGCAAATGAAGTAATATAGGAGTTACAATCTGGAAGTATCAGGGAGTACATTTCTTAGCATATAGCTTGGTGCCTGAAAGTGATGATTGGTAAATATTTTTTGAATAAACAATGCATAGAGCACACTGATCCTTCACCATCCCATTCTTATGAATTTCAGTTCACTACCATAGGAACTCCTTGAAGAATCATTCTAATGTCCATTGCGTGACATCTATACCACACTGATCTGAAAAATAAAAGTGGTGAGATGCGTCCCTCTGAGACCAGAAAATACCACTAAGTAGGAAAATCAACCATGCTGCTTTGAATTGTCTATGGAAGGACAGAGCTGGATATTTACTGAAAACTATCAAATTGGAACCATCTTGTATAGCTTGTGGAACTGTAGCGATATACTCCAAGACCAATTAAGTCTTCCTTACCATCCTGTTTAAATTGTGCCAGGAAACCTCTTTCTGAGTGCAATTACTTTCACAGGATGAATAGAATGTAGGGACTTTTCTATTGCTGCCCTTATTTTGTATCAAAGGGCTCTAAATTTAATGAAATGTAACTGTGAATTCATTAAGAAATACATTTACAGCTTTAATATTTGTGCTCCCTAATATATACCAAAGTGGTTCCTGAAAGCTAAACATGATGTAGGTAGTTGATTAACTTAAAACATTATCTCTAAATGAAACGTAGCATATTTATAGGGAGAGAGTTGATTAATGTTGAACAGGAAAACGAGAGGAACTGATGGAAATATTCACCAAGGAGTTACACCTGAGATGCCGAGTTTCTAAATGTAATGCCTTTTCTTATCTCTATAATGAAAATTGTCATTAGGAAGATGGCAGAAGTAGGTTGTTACTGCTGGTAATGAAATAAGACATGAAACACTTGAGAGTCTGTTCATAAAATTGTATTTATCAGTAGAAGGGAAAATTGCCTTATTTGTGTTTTAGGGAAAGATGCTACCGTACCTGTTAAAAACAACAGATTCTGTTATATTATTCTAATAATTTAAAGCATACATTAAGCATAGGCTGTTTGTTTTAAATGGCTAAATATCATGAAAGGGTACTTTACAGCTCAAAATTAAGTTCTATAGTTTTATAACGAACAAAATGGTGTAGATCCATAAATACATAATTTGGTATTATGCGTCTATTTAACTGTTAATCGAGAGAGAGAGAGAGAAGAGAGAATGGCTTTGAAATATTCTGAGTACCTCTATTTGACTCGTTGTAGAAAAATTGGAAAAATTGATAAATAATAAAAAGGAAATTTAAGTCACCCATAATCCCACTTCAGAGTTCACAGCTGTGAAAGGCATACCTAGTTGTTGATTCAGAAAGTACTTACCTAAAAAAAAAAAATAGTAACTGGATGGGTGTTGATCCAGCTGGTTCCATAAATACCATAAACTTGGTGGCTTATAAACAAAAGACCGTAAACTGGGTGGCTATAAACAATAGAAATTTATTTCTCACAATTTTGAAGGTTTGGAAGGTGCAAGGTCAGCGTGCCAACAGACTCTGTGTCTGGTGAGGGCCTACTTTCTGGTTCATAGTCAGCCATCCTCTTTCTGTCGCCTCACATGGTTGAACAGGCGAGGATCTCTCTGGGGTCTCTTTTATAAGGGCCCTATCCTATTCTTGAGGGCTCTGTGGTTGTTAACTAATCACTTTCCCAAAGACCTCACCTCCTCATACCATTGCCTTGGGGTTAGGATTTCAACATGTAGATTTGGGAGGGACACAAACATTCAGACCATAGAAGGTGCCTAGGGTACTTATTGCAGTGTTGTGAATAATAAATAGTTTTAAACCTGAAATATCATATATAAAGCTATTTGTTAAATTCATTGTGGTCTAGCTATATAAGCAAACACTAAATAGCAAATAAGAATGATATTGTGGAAGAACATTTAATGACATTGAAAGACCTTCACTATATATGATTAAGTGAAAGTAGTTGTGTCTAAAATAATAAACACATTATAACTACACACACAGTCACACACACACACACTCACACACACATACACACAAACAGGCATACCTTCTAGATATTGCGAGTTTGATTCCAGACCACTGTGACAAAGCCAATATTGCAATAAAACAAGTTACATAAATATTTTAGTTTTCCAGTGCATATAAAAATTATGCTTATACTATACTATTGTCTATTAAATGTGCAATAGCATTATGTCTAAAAATAAAATATACAAATCTGAATTAAAATATTTTATTGCTAAAAGATGCTAATGATTATTAGAGCCTTGAATGAGTTACAGTCTTTTTGCTGATGAAGAGTCTTACCTCAGTGCGGATAGCTGCTGATTGATCAAGTTGGTGGCTGCTGAAAGGTGGGGTGGCTTTGGCATCTCTTAAAATAAAATAACAATAAAGTTTGCTGTATTGATTGACTCTTCCTTTCACAAAAGATTTCTGTGTAGCACACAATGCTGTGTGATAGCATTTTACTCACAGTAGAACTTCTTTTAAAATTGGAGTCAATCCTCTTAAACCCTGCTACTGCTTTATCAATGAGTTTATGTACTATTCTAAATCCTTTCTTGTCATTTTCACAATGCTCATGGCATCTTCACCAGGAGTATATTCTATTCAAAAAATCATTTTCTTTGCTCATCTGTAAAAAGCAACTCATCCGTTCAAGTTTTATCATGAGATTGCAGCAATTCAGCCACATCTTCAGACCCCACTTCTAATTCTAGTTCTCTGGCTATTTCTACCACTACTGAAGTTACTTCCTCCACTGAAGTTTTGAACCCCTCAAAGTCATCCATAAGGGTTGGAATCAACTCCTTCCAAACTCCTTTTAATTTTGGTGTTAATATTTTGACCTCCTCCCATGAATCACAAATGTTCTTAATGGCATCTAGAGTGGCGAATCCCTTCCAGAAGATTACTTTCAATTTACTATGTCCAGATCCATCAGAATAATCATTATTTATGACAGCTATAGTCTTACAACATGTATTTTTTAAATAATAAGATTTGAAAGTAAAAATAACTCCTTGATCCATGGATTGCAGAATGGATATTGTGTTAGCAGGCATGAAAACAACATTAATGTATTGTACAGCTCCGTTAGAGCTCTTGTGACCAGGTACATTGCCAGAGAGCAGTAATATTTTAAAACAAATCTTTCATTTTTTTTTCTGAGCAGGAGATCTCAACAGTGGGCTTAAAATATTCAGTAAACCATGCTGTCAACAAATGTGCTGTCATCTAGGCTTTGTTTTGACATTTCTAGCACACAGACAGTAGATTTAGCATAATGCTTAAGGGTCCTTAGAATTTTTGGAATGGTCAGTGAGCATTGATTCCAACTTAAAGTCACCAGATGCATTAGTTCCTATCAAGGTAGCCAGCCTATACTTTGAAGGTTTGAAGTCAGACATTGACTTCTCTCCAGCTATGAAAGTCCCAAACAACATCTTCTTCCAAAATAAGGCTATTTCATCTACACTGAAAATGTGTTGTTTAATGTAGCTACCTTCATCAGTGATCTCAGCTAGATCTTCTAAATAATTTGCTGCAGCTTCTACATCAGCAGTTGCTGCTTCTCCTTATACTTTTATGTTACGAGATGGCTTCTTTCCTTAAGCCTCATGAACTAACCTCTGCTAGCTTCCAACTTTTCTTCTGCAACTTCCTCACCTCTCTCAGCTTTCATAGAGAAAGAAAGGGAGGACGTTGATCTGGATCAGGCTTTGGCTTAAGGGAATGTGGCTAATTTAATCTTCTATCTAGACTTCTCAAACTTTCTGCATATCAGCAATAAGGTTGTTTTGCTTTTTTATCATTCATGTGTTCACTGGAGTAGTACAGCTTTCAGCCTGTCTTGGTTTTTGACATGCCTTCTTCACAAAACTTAGCCATTTCTAGCTTTTGATTTAAAGTGAGAGAAATGTAATTCTTCCTTTCAGTTGAACATGGATACGCCATTGTACGGTTATTAATTGGCCTAATTTCGATATTGTTGTGTTTCAGAGAATAGGGAGGCCCAAGGATAGGGGAAGAGATGGGGGAATGACTGGTTGGTCCATGGGATAAGAACACACACAACATTTATTAAGTTTGCTGTCTTATGTGGGAATGGTTCATGATGCCCCAAAACAATTACAATAGTAGTATCAAAGGTTACTTATGACAGATCACCATGACAGATATGATAATAATGAGAATGTTTGAAATATTGAATTACTAAAATGTGACACAAAGTGAGCATATGCTGTTGGAAAATGGCACCAAGAGACTTGCTTGATGCAGAGTTGCTACAAACCTTGAATTTTAGAAAAGCACAATATCTGCGAAGTGTAATAAAGTAAAGTAAAATGAAACACATTATGCCTTTATATGTATATACTCATATACACAATTTTGTGCATGTGTCTGTGCGGAGAAAATATTATAGGTATACCCATATTTTCGTGGTGATTATGTTGGGGGGGAGTTTACATTTTGTTATCTGTATTTTTAAACATTTTCTACAATAAACAAGGTTATTTAAAAAAAGTCAACAATTATGGGTAAATAAAAGCACACAAATAACTTAAACCTTTAAATGGAACTATTACGTTATGGAACCTTGAGAGAAAACCACATTCATCAAAGGTTTGCTAACTTCACTTTGCAAAAAGTATTAAATATAAAAAGTACAATATCTGAATATTCCTATATTATTTTTACCCAGAAATGATAGGAATAAACCTGGAGCTAGGCTAAAACCTCAGAAAAGTAGGAATGAAGATAAATAAGCAAAATTTAATTAATGGTGGTTAAAGTCAGAACCAATCTCTTATCCTTCTCATAGAGAATTGATAGAAAGTCACTCACTTTCTAAATGGAGCCCCAGAGGTGTGGATGGCTCTGGCTCTCTGTCCATTCCATTATTCTTCCCTAGAAAGTCTGTGATAGAAGCCAAGAAGATAGGAACATGGCTGGTAAAGCTGCAAACATACTAATGTTCTGCAGATGTCATTCTAGCAAGATTTGTTTTTCTTTAATAAGTTATAAGCTCCTCTTTTAAAAGTAGGAGGATTGAATCTAATAGTCAAAACTTACCATAAAATAATTATATAATCCCCTTTGTCACCTTTTAATTAAAATACACATAAATGAATATTTTATGGAAGAAAAGGAGGTCAGGGAAGTAATGGAGGGAGTTATGATAGGTGGGAAAGCAGCAGGGGCTTTGACTCACCAGAAGGGCATGTTGATCTCTGAGGTGAGGGAGATAGAGTACCAGAAAGAGAGAGTAAAGAATGTGTTGGCAAGCTAGACAGTAGCAAGCCAGGCAGTAACAATTTTGGGCTTCTAGGACCATGCTGTGTCTGTCAAACTGCCTGACTCTGTTGTGGCACTCGAGCAGCCATCGACAATGCTTAAACAAGCAGCATGGCTGTGTTCCAGTAAAACTTATAAAAATAGGTGGCAGGGTGGATTTCACCTGCTGGTATCATTCGCTGAGACCTGGTCTAGGCTTAAAAAAGTCATGGAGGAAATGTTAATAATTCAGAATAAACTGAAAAGTGCATTGTATGTATAATCTTTGCAGTAAGGATAGCACACAAAATTGAGAAAATATTCTCTTAGTGTCAGAAAATATTCTGTTATTTAGCAAAAGAGTTGCTCACATCATTGACGAATGAGTGAAGTGTCATTTATACTGGTGCTGTTTCTCTCCCACATGCTTTCTGCTTGGACAATGCTGAGATCTCTGATTACCATGCAGAGATTGGTGAGATGGGTTGTTTTCTAAAATTGAATTTTCAAGATCTGCTCCAGGGTAACTCTTTTTCTTACTGTACAGACCATGTCTCAGGTTCTGTTGTTGAAGAGGTAAAATTTCATTTCTGGTGGGCTAGCTTACTATATCTAGGTTTGTTTTTTTTATTTGACAAATAAAAAGTATATATATTTACTGTATACAAAATGTTTTGAAATATACTCTAGGTGTTTCTTAAATATATAAGAAGTGAGAGTATTCTGGGGACAGAATTTCTTATAGGAAGAGTCATCCTTTATTTCAATAAATCACTTTAAGGAGCTACTTGGTGTGAAAAGATGGAGCTCAGGACTTGGTCTGGAAGGGAGAATAGATAAAAGAATGACAGAATTGCTTTGAATG
Organism: Homo sapiens; assembly: GCF_000001405.40. Classification (NCBI taxonomy): domain Eukaryota; kingdom Metazoa; phylum Chordata; class Mammalia; order Primates; family Hominidae; genus Homo; species Homo sapiens. The sequence continues at coordinate 89,691,017 of NC_000008.11, read as the reverse complement.
AGAAAATGAGACGATGTGACTACTATCCAGCAACTGCTGTTGTAGGCACTGGATATGAAGTGGGGAGCTTAGAAGGGGCTCCTGCTTTTAAGCAGCACCCCCGCCACCTTTTTTTTTTGAGACGGAGTCTCGCTTTGTCGCCCAGGCTGGAGTGCAGTGGCGCTGTCTCGGCTCACTGCAATCTCCGCCTCCCAGGTTCACGCTGTTCTCCTGCCTCAGCCTCCCGAGTAGCTGGGACTACAGGCGCCTGCCACAACGCCCGGCTAATTTTGTGTATTTTTTAGTAGAGACGGGGTTTCACTGTGTTAGCCAGGATGGTCTCGATCTCCTGACCTCGTGATCCACCCACCTCGGCCGCCCAAAGTGCTGGGATTACAGGCATGAGCCACCGCGCCCGGCAAGCAGCCTCTTTTTAGTTTAGCTGGAATGAGAGTGAAGAACAGCTGTAGATACAGAGACCAAGAGAGAACTCAGCAGAGGCAGGATATGATAGCAAGAGATGAATAAGATAAATTTAAATCCTACAAGGGTCATCTGGAGGTAGAGGTAGGGGAAAGGGCCCCGATAGCACATTTCCTCACCTGTATGGCATAGGTGCTTGGGCCAATTTTTAAACAAACAAAAAAAAGGTGATTTCACAACATTAGAGAACATAGAGACAGCTGACCTTGGGTTATATATATTAACCCCAGACATCCATGATTTTTTCTGTAGTCTTCCCTCTTTACTCCCCTTTCTCCCCCACCAAATGGCGTAGTATCATAAGATCTGTAAGATCTTGATTTAATTAATGTTGGTAAGATGCCACTAGTGATGATTATGTTACATGTGCATATGACTGAAATGAGACACTCCTGCCTGGGACCACACTTATCTGATTTAGTGCCACTTTTACACGAATGCTTTAGAAATGAGATAGGACAGTGGTACAGCCTTCTACAACATCGCCCTCCTCCTCCCATTTTGCAGTTGGGCCAACATATAAGCTTGCTTCCTGGAGGCTGGAACTTTAGTTCTTCACATTGTAAGCAACACTGTGCAGTGAAATTTGTTCCTGAAGTGAATGTTTACACCTGCCTGCTTAAAATCTGCACAGTGAATGAAACAATGGAGCAGCGTGTCAGCTGTGTTTTGGGATTATCTATAGATAACTCCCAGAAAACTGCGTTAATTCTTCATTGCCTAAAGTGCCCCACTAAATGTTCTTGTTTCTTCATCTTAAAGAAAAGTAGAATGCTACTGTGTGGAATCTAAAGTTCAGAACCACATATACATATAGTAGAAACTGTAGGCTGAAAGATAAAACAGAAAAGAAATAATTGGTCATTTTCCTTGGCTTCAGTGGATAAACAGTAGTATAAAAGTGAGTTATTAGGAAGTCTAATTTCAACTTAAATGGTGACTTTAGTAACTGCCTACCAGATATGGCTTTGTTTCCAGGTTGAATTTATGTTTTGAAATTCTCTAGCTTCATATAAGTACTAATCATAAATAAAATGCAATTTGAATGATTTGAATAGCACAGATCTTTTCTTAACTCTTTTCATACTGTTAGGAAGGTTCATACCAGAGGTGACTTCTGGAAATAATAGGGACCGAAATAGTAATATTTTTATGATGTGCATTTTTTTCTCCAAGAATGCACTTCAGTAAAATAGTCACTAGATGTCACCGTTGCAACACACAGATGGAAGCAAATACATTGTGTCAGAGAGAGGAGCTGAATAGATGTTGAATATGACAGCTTCAACAACACATCTGTGCAAAAAGTAAATTCAAATAAAACTGACTTCTTAATGCAATCCAATTAAAGTTCCTCTTCTATAGCTCAAGTAATTTAAAATCGGGCAGGTGTGTTTTGGGGGTTCTTATTTAGGTAATTATTAGTATATTTTTACTCATCTATCTTCCTAAGAATTTAGGTTACAAAACCTAAATACTGTTTTTTTGGTTTCTATTATATCTATTGAAATTTTTTTTTTTTACTTGGGGTCTCACTATGTTGCTAGACTTGAACTCCTGGACTTAAGCAATTCTTCTGCTTTAGCTTCCTGAGTAGCTGGACTATAGGCCCATGCCACTGCACCTGGCTCATATCTATTTTTAAGACCTAAAAAAAGGTATATTTTGCCATGCTTTCCTGTCTCCGTGCGTTTATGGCATCGCTAAAACAGCTAAAGATCACTCAGGAATTGCCCACCCCACCATTCCCCCATGTTTGTGTATTTTGTAAGTCCTGGATTTTTCAGAATTTACTCTCACAGTAAGTTGGTCTAAAGAGTGGTAGGGTCCCTTGGGAGCAAGAACAGTCATTTATCTTTTTTCAGCCATCTGCAATCTAGAGACTGGGCAGCAATAAACCATTAAGGGTCTGCTTATTTTTTAGGAGCAGGTATTAACATGGCTTATCAACAAAATGCTGGTGTTGATCAGATTTAATATTGAATATAAAACTAAAATATCATCCCATTCTTGTTAAAAATAATGGATATTTACAAATATAGAATCATTAATGAATTGTTGTTAATGCACCTGTTCTTCAATCATTAGGATGAAATATGAAAAGTTTTCTTTTTCCCAAGCCACTGCTTTTAAATGTATTCTGTCCAATTTCTCTTCTTATCCTTAAATAACATCTCAGGCAAATCTCATAACAATCAATTCACTTGTAGTTATTAGAATTCATTCCGGTATGGTTTAAAATTTCCAAAATTCCACATTGGTGGTTCTCAAACTTTAGTATGTATCAAAATCACCTGAGGTTGGGGTGCTTTTTAAAAGTACAAATTATTGGGTGCTAGCCCCAGAGTTTTTTATTCAGGTCTGTGGAAACACCTGAGAATATGTTTCTAATAAGTTCCTAGGTGATGGTGTTGCTGCTTTCTGGGAACCAACATTTAAGAAGCACTGCTGCAACCAAAAAAGAGCTCGTATAGCCAAGACAATCCTAAGCAAAAATAACGAAGCTGGAGGCATCATGCTACCCGACTTCAAATGATACTGCAAGGCTACAGTAACCAAAACAGCATGGTACTGGTACAAAAACAGAAACATAGACAAATTGGACAAAATAGAGAACTCAGAAATAAGACTGCACAACTACAACCATCTGATCTTTGACAAATCTGACAAAAATAAACAACGGGAAGGATTCCCTGTTTAATAAATGGTGCTGGGAGAACTGGCAACTGGCTAGCTATATGGAGAAAACTGAAAGTGGACCCCTTCCTTACACTTTATACAAAACTTAAGATAGATTAAAGACTTAAATGTAAAACCCAAAACTATAAAAATCCTAGAAGAAAATCTAGGCAATACCATTCAGAACATAGGCACGGGCAAAGGTTTCTTGACGAGATCATCAAAAACAATTGCAACAAAAGGAAAAATTGACAAATGGGATCTAATTAAACTAAAGAGCTTCTGCACGGCAAAAGAAACTATTATCAGAGTGAACGGGCAACCTACAGAATGGGAGAAAATCTTTGCAATCTATCCACCTGACAAAGGTCTATTATCCATAATCTACAAGGAACTTAAAAAAATTTACAAGAAAAAACAAACAACTCCATTAAAAAGTGGGCAAAGGACATGAACAGACACGACTCAAAAGAAGACATGCATGCAGCCAACAAACATATGAAAAAAAGGTCAACATCACTGATCGTTAGAGCAATGCAAATCAAAACCACGATCAGATACTATCTCACTCCAGTCAGAATTATGATTATCAAAAAGTCAAGAAACCAATGCTGGCGAGGTTGCAGAGAAATAGGAATGCTTTTACATTGTTGATGGGAATGTAAATTAGTTCAACCATTGTGGAAGACGGTGTGGCGATTCCTCAAAGATCTAGAACCAGAAATACCATTTGACCCAGCAATCATCTTACTGGGTATATAACCAAAGGAATATAAATCATTCTATTATAAAGATACCTGCACATGTATGTTCATCGCAGCACTATTCACAATAGCAAAGATATAGAATTAACCCAAATGCCCATCAATGATAGACTGGATAGAGAAAATGTGTACATATACATCATGGAATGCTATGCAGCCATAAAAAGGAACATGATCATGTCCTTTGCAGGGACATGGATGGAGCTGGAAGCCATTGTGCTCAGCAAACTAATGCAGGAACAGAAAACCAAACACCGCATGTTCTCACTTACAAGTGGGAGCTGAACGGTGAGAACACAGGGAGGGCAATAACACACACTGGGGCCTCTCAGGGTTGTGGTGGGGGGAAGGACAGCATTAGGAAAAAAAGCTAATGCATGCTGGGCTTAATATCTAGGTGATAGGTTGATAGGTGCAGCAAACCACCATGGTACACGTTTACCTTTACAACCTGCACATTCTGCACATGTACCCTGGAACTTAAAAATAAAAATTAAAAAGATAAACAAAACAAAAACAAAACAACAAAAACAGAAACACTGCTGCATACATTCTGTCCTGCCTTTTCTAGGCTCTAGTGCTCTAGCACTCAGTTGTGTTAGAGTGGAGAGGAAGGAGAGCGAAAGGGAAATGTCTCTCTACTTCGCTGGCTGTTGTCGTGGTCCTCTCTTGGATGGTTGCTTCTCTCTGGCATCGTAACTACCAGCTGTTGATTCTTCTGACCTACAGTATCCACATGCTGACTTTCTTGGGATGTCCCACATGTGTGTTATTTAAAGGGCTCTGAGGAGTGTGTGTCTCCCCACTACACAATTTCCTGATGGGTTAGATTCTGCTCTGGTTTGGTCCCTTCCATGTTTACCTTTGTTCTCACAATTGGTAGTCCACCCCATTCTCTTATTGGTGTGTGCTCCTCTAAGCCAGTCTCCACATGGCTGCCAGGGTGGTTTTTTTAAGACCCTAAATTGTATCATATTCTGCTTAGCCTCTCTCACTCTTATTTCCCCTCCTTAGTCCCTGTATAAAATCTTACCTCCTTAACATGGCCCCAAGGGCCCTGGATGATCTAACCTTTGTCACCGTTAACATTTATTGTACTGCCTTCTGGACTTTTTCATACTATTCGTTTATATTCAATATTAACAATATTATACTATTGTTATATGTATACATTTGCTTACACAAAAATTTTGTGTATATTTTTATACACAAACATAAATGCTTATACGCACATATACACACAAACATACACACATTTACACAATTTTGCTTTTATAAACACAGGCTTGTTCTATACATATTATTCTGAATCTTTCTTTTCCTTCTAACAATTTTATTTAGGAGAGCTTTCCCTGTTGGAACACATAATAGTGATTTTCAAACTTTTATGGGTAAGAATCAGCTGAGGCTTTAATGAAACATTTATGTCCAATGAATTCAGTAGGTATGGGATGAGGCTCAGGGTATCTGCTTGTTTAACAAAATGCCAGTCAGCCTTAAAAAAGGAGCGTCTGCAATGTGAAAAGGAGCATCTGCAATGTGCCAAAACATGGATGGACCTGGAGGGCATTATGCTAAGTTAAGTAAACCAGACACAGACAAATATACCATGATCTCACTTATATGTGGAATGTAAAAATAAAAGATCATATACATAGGGGAGAATAAAACAGTAGTTACCAGGGTTGGGGTGGAGTAGGGAGAGCAAATGGGGAAATGTAGGTCAAAGGATATAAAGTAGCAAATATGCAGGATAAACAATACACAACATGAGGACTATAGTTAATTAAAATGTACTGTATTCAGGATTTTTGCTAAATGAGTAGTTTACAGATGCTCTTTTGAGGAGGGGATGAGTAACTATGTGAGACAATGGATGTTAACGTTTGTTCCACTGTAGAAACCATTTTACTATTGTAAACAAAAGACATCTGAGACAGGTCTGAATCAATTTGGAAAGTTTATTTTGCCAAGGTTAAGGATGTGCCCGTGACACAGTCTCAGGAGGTCCTGATGACATATGTCCAAGGTGGTTGGGGGACAGCTTGGTTTTATACATTTTAGCGAGTCATGAGACATCAATTAATATAGGTAACATGTATGCTGGTTCAGTCTGGAAAGGCAGGACAACTTGAAGCAGGGAGGGGGCTTCCAGGTCATAGGTAGATAAGAGACAAATGGTTGCATTCTTTTGAGTAGTTTCTGATTATCTCTTTGCTGAATGCACAATTTACGGGAATAGTCACTTATGCCTTAGTCTGGCTTAGTGACACATTAGGGCAAAGGAAGCAATCAGATTTGCATTTGTCTCACGTGATCAGAGGGATGACTTTGAGTTTGTCCTTAACCTTGGCAAAATAAACATTCTAAAATGGTTGGGACCTGTCTCAGATGCCTTTTGGTTTACACTATATGTGTAGTTTGTAACACTACGTTATATACCTTAAATATACACAATAAAATTTATTTATTTAAAAAAACCCAGTGATTTTGGTGCAGATGATCACTGGATCATAGAGAAATACTAACAGAAAATTTTGTCATTCTTTTTATGACTATGTTTCAGTAGCATAAATGTTACATGATTTATCCATTTATTTTTTTCTTCAACTTTTATTTTAAGTTCAGGGGTGTATGTGTAGGATGTGAAGGTTTGTTACATAAGTAAATCTGTGCCATGCACATATGTGCCCATCATCCCATCACCTACATATTAAGCACAACATCCATTAGCTATTCTTCCTGATGCTCTCCTCCCCCAATCCCCCAACAGGCCCAAGTGTGTGTTGTACCCCACCATGTGTCCATGTGTTTTCATCATTCAGCTCCCACTTATAAGTGAGGACATGGAGTGTTTTTTTTTTTTTTTTGTTCCTGCGTTAGTTTGCTGAGGATAATGGCGTCTAGCTCCATCCATGTCCCTGCAAATGACATGAACTCATTCCTTTTTATGACTGCATAGTATTTCATGGTGTATATATACCACATTTTCTTTGTCCAGTCTATCATTGGTGGACATTTAGATTGATTCTATGCCTTTGCTATTATGAATAGTGCTGCAATGAACATATGTGTGCATATATCTTTATAATAGAATGATTTATTATATACCCAGTAATGGGATTGCTGAATTAAATAGTATTTCTGGTTCTAGATTTTTGAGGAATTTCCACACCATCTTCCATAATGATTGAACTAATTTACATTCCCACCAACAGTGTAAAAGCTTTCCCGTTTCTCTGCAACCCCACCAGCATCTATTGTTTCTTGGCTTTTTGATAATCACCATTCTGACTGGCATGAGATGGTATCTGATTGAAGTTTTGATTTGCATTTCTGTAGTGATCAGTGATGTTGTGCTTTTATTCATATGTTTGTTGGCTGCATGTATGTCTTCTTTTGAGAAGTGTCTGTTCATGTCCTTTGCTCATTTTTTAATGGGGTTGTTTGTTTTTGTCTTGTACATCTGTTTAAGTTCCTTGTGGACTCTGGATATTAGACTTTTGTCAGATGATAGATTGTGAAATTTTTCTCCCATTCTGTGGGTTGTCTCTTTACTCTGATAATAGCCCTTTTTGCTGTGCAGAAGCTCTTTAGTTTAATTAGATCCCATTTGTCAATTTTTCCTTTTGTTGCAATTGCTTTTGGTGATTTCATCATGAAACCTTTGCCTGTGTCTATGTTCTGAATGGTATTGCCTAGATTTTCTTCTAGGGTTTTTATAGTTTTGGGTTTTACATTTAAATCTTTAATCTAGCTTGAGTTAATTTTTGTATAAAGTATAAAGAAGGGGTTCAGTTTCAATTTTCTGCATATGGATAGCCAGCACTCCCAGCATCATTTATTAAATAGGGAGTCCTTTCCCCATTCCTTGCTTTTGTCAAGTTTGTTGAAGATCAGTTGGTTGTAGGTGTGGGGTCTTCTGAGTTCTCTTTTCCATTCCATTGATCAATGTGTCTGTCCTTGTGCCAGTACCATGAGGCTTTGGTTGTTATAGTCTTGTAATTTAGTTTGAAGTTGGTTAGTGTGATCCCTCCAGCTTTGTTCTTTTTGCTTAGGATTGTCTTGGCTACTTGGGCTCATTTTTGGTTTCATATGAATTTTAATATGTTTTTTTCTTATTCGATAAGAATGTCAGTGGTAGTTTAATGGGAATAGCATTGAATCTTTAAATTACTTTGGGCTGCATGGCCATTTTCACAATATTGATTCTTCCTGTCCATGAGCATGGAATGTTTCTCCATTTGTTTGTGTCCTCTGATTTCTTTGAGAAGTGGTTTGTAGTTCTCCTTGAAGAGGTTCTTCACTTCCCTTCTAGATGTATTCCTAGGCATTTTATTCTTTTTGTAGCCATTGTGAATGGAAGTTTATTCATGATTTGGCTTTCTGCTTGCCTATTGTTGGTGTACAGGAACGTTAGCAATTTTTGCACATTGAGTTTATATCCTGAGTCTTCGCTGAAGTTGCTTAATAGCTTAAGGAGCTTTTGGGCTAATACAATGGGGTTTTCTAGATATAGGATCATGTCATCTACAAACAAAGATAATTTGACTTCTTCTCTTCTTATTTGAATAGGCTTATTTTTTTGCTCTTGCCTGATTGTCCGGCCAGAACTTCCAATACTATGTTGAATAGGAGTGGTGAGAATGGGCATCCTTGTCTTGTGCCAGTTTTCAAGGGGAATGCTTCCAGCTTTTGCCCATTCAGAATGATATTGGCTGTGGGTTTGTCATATATGGCTCTTATTATTTCTAGGTATGTTCCCTCAGTACCTAGTTTATTGAGAGTTTTTAACATGAAGGGATGTTGAATTCTATTGAAGCCTTTTCTGCATCATTGAGATAATCATGTGGTTCCTGTCTTTAGTTCTGTTTATATCATAAATCACATTTATTGATTTGCATATGTTGAACCAACCTCGAATCCTGGGGATGAAGCCACCTTGATCATGGTGGAAAAGCTTTTTGATTTTCTGCTGGATTCAGTTTGCCAGTATTTTATTGAGGATTTTTGCATCATTGTTCATCAGGGATATTGGCCCAAAGTTTTCTTCTTTTTGTTATATCTCTGCCAAGTTTTGGCATCAGGACGTTGATGGTCTCATAGAACAAGTTAGGAAGGAGTGCCTCCTTTTGCATTTTTTATATTAGTTTCAGTAGAAATGGTGCCAGCTCTTCTTTGTACCTCTGGTAGAACTCAGCTGTGAATCTGTCTGGTCCTGGGGTTTTGTTTTTTTGGTTGGTAGGCTATTTAATACTGCCTGAATTTCAGAACTCATTATTGGTTTATTCAGGGATTCAATTTTTTCCTGGTTCAGTCTTCGGGGGGGTGTATATGTCCAGGAATTTATGCATTTCTTCTAGATTTTCTAGTTTATGTGCAGAGAAGTGTTTATAGTATTCTCTGATGGTTGGTTGTATTTCTGTAGGTTCAGTGGTGATTATCTCCCTTATCATTTCTGAGTGTGTTTATTTAATTCTTCTCTCTTTTCTTCATTATTAGTCTAGCTAATGGTTTATCTATGTTATTAATTTTTTCAAAAAACCATATCCTGGAATTTGTGAGTTTTTGAAGGTTTTTTTGTTTGTATCTTCTTCAGTTCCTCTCTGATCTTGGTTATTTCTTGTCTTCTACTAGCTTTGGGGTTTGCTTGTTCTTGGTTCTCTAGTTCTTTTAGATGTTAGGTTGTTAACTTGAGATCTTTCTAGCTTTTTGATGTGGGTATTTAATGCTATAAATTTCCCTCTTATCACTGCTTTAGTTGCATACCCAAGAGTCATTCAGGAGCAGGTTGTTTAATTTCCATATAGTTGTGTGGTTTTGAGTTGATTTCTTAGTCTTGAGTTCTAATTTGATTGTGCTGTAGTCTGAGAGACTGTTATGACTTCAGTTCTTTTGCATTTGCTGAGTAGTGTTTTACTTCTGATTATGTGATCAATTTCAGAGTAAGTGTCATGTAGGAATGAGAAGAATGTACATTCTGTTGAATCTGGGTTGAGAGTCCTGTATATATCTATCAGATCCATTTTATCCAGAGCTGAGTTCAGGTCCTCAATATCTTTGTAAATTTTTTGTCTTAATGATTTCTCTAATATGTCAGTGGGGTGTTAAAGTCTCCCACTGTTATTCTTTGGGAGTCTAAGTCTCTTTGTAGGTGTCTTTCTTTATAAATTCATAAAGCAAGTTCTTTAAAGAAAGAACTTACGAATCTGGGTGCTCGTGTATTGGGTGCCTATATATTTAAGATAGTTAGCTCTTCTTGTTGGCTCTTCTTATCACCCTTTACCATTATGTAATGCCTTTCTTTGTCTTTTTTGACCGTTATTGGTTTAAGGCCTACTTTAGTAGAAACTAGGATTGCAACCCCTACCAGAGGTACAAAGAAGAGCTGGCACCATTTCTATTGAAACTAATCCACTTTTTTCTGTTTTCCATTTGTTTGGTAAATTTTCCTCCATCTCTTTATTTTAAACCTATGTGCGTCTTTGCATATGAGATGGGTCTCTTGAAGACAACATACTGATGGGTATTGGCTCTTTATCCAGCTTATTCTGTGTCTTTTAATTAAGGAATTTAGGCCATTTACATTTAAGGTTAATATTTTTGTGTGTGAATTTGATCCTGTGATCATGATGCTAGCTGGTTATTTTGCAGACTTGTTTATGTGACTGCTTCATAGTGTCACTGGTCTGTGTATTTCAGTGTGCTTTTGTAGCGGCTGGTAATGGTTTTTCCTTTCAAAATTTAGTACTTCCTTCAGGTTCTCTTGCAAGGCAGGCCTGGTGGTGATGAATTCCTTCAGGATTTGCTTGTCTGAAAAGAGTCTTATTTCTTTTTTGCTTATAAAGCTTAGTTTGGCCAGATACGAAATTGTGGGTTGGAAATTATTTTCAAGAATGTTGAGTATTGGCTCCCAATCTCTTTTGGCTTCTAGGGTTTCTTCTGAGAGGTCCACTGTTAGTCTGATGAGTTTCCCTTTGTAGATGACCTGGCCCTTCTCTCTGGCTGCTCTTAATGTCTTTTCTTTCATTTTGACCTTGAAGAATCTGATGATTATGTGTCTTGGGACTGATTTTCTTGTGGTATATTTTACTGAGGTTCTCTGGATTTTCTGAAATTGAATGTTGGCCTGTCTTTCTAGGTTGGGGAAATTCTTCTGGGTGATATCCTGAAGTATGTTTTCCAACTTGGTTCCATTCTTCCTGTCTCTTTTAGGTACCACAGTCAGTCATAGGTTTGGTCTCTTTACATAATCCCATATTTCTTGGAGGTTTTGTTTGTTCCTTTTCATTCTTTTTTTCTCTATTCTTGTCTGCCTGTCTTATTTCAGAAAGATAGTCTTGAAGCTCTGAGATTTTTTCCTTCCCTTGATCTATTCTGCTGTTAATACTTGTGATTGCATTGTGAAGTTCTCATGTTGTGTTTTTCAGCCCCATCATGATGGTTATGTTCCTGTCTAAACTGGCTATTCTGGCTGTTAGCTCCTGTATTGTTTTATCATGATTCTTAGCTTCTTTGCATTAGGTTACAACATGCTCCTTTAGCTCAGTGAAGTTTGGTATTACCCACCTTCTGGAGCTGACTTCCATCAATTCAGCTATCTCAACCTCAGCCCAGTTTTGTGCCCTTGCTGGAGAGGTGTTGTGGTGATTTGGAGGAGAAAAGGCAATCTAGCTTTTTGAGTTTTCAATGTTTTTGCATTGATGCTTTCTCATCTTTGTGGGCTTATCTACCTTCAGTCTTTAGGGTTGCTGACCTTCGATGAGGTTTTTCTGTTTTTTGTTGTTGTTGTTGTTGTTGTTTCCGTTTGGTTGTTTTTCTTTTAATAGTCAGGCCACTCTACCCTAGGGCTACTGTGGTTTGCTGGGGGTCTGCTCCAGACCCTAGTTCCACTGATTTCTCTTGTACCTGGAGATATCACCAGTGAATCCTGCAAAAGAACAAAGATGGCAGCCAGCTTCTTCCTCTGCAAGCTCTATCCCAGGAGGGTACTGGCCTATTGCTGGTCTGCACTAGGATGTGGCTGGAACCCCCACTGGGAGGTCTCACCCAGTAAAGAATAATGGAATCAGGGACCCACCCAAAGAAGTAGGCTGGCTGCTTTTTGGTAGAGCAGGTGTGCTGCATTGAGGGGATCCTTCCCCATCTGAACTGCCTGTATTCTCCAAAGCCGGCAAACTGGAGCAGCTGAATCAACTGAACTGCAGAGATAGTGACCATGCCTCTGCCTGGGCACTCAAACCTGTCTCAGATGGACTCCAACCCACTGTTGTTGGCTGGCTGGGATTCCAAGCCAGTGGGTTTTAAATTGTGAAGTACCATGGAAGTGTGATCCATGGAACAACACTGTTTGGCTCCTTGGATTCAGCCCCCTTTCTAGGGATATGTATGGACAAATTTCCCATCTTCCGGGGATCCCTGGGCCAGAGTATGTAAAGCTCCTGGATCTCTGTATGTTCCTGAGCAGCCGCTCTGCCAAGCCTCCACACAGCTCTGCATATCAGACCCAGGGCCACCGTGGCATGGGCTCATGAGGGGATCTACTGATCTGTGGGTTGCAAAGATCCATGGGAGAAGTATGGTTTCCCATGCAGGGTTGCACTATCACTCACTGATTTCCTTGGGGCTGGGGTGGGTGCTCCTTTGGCTTTGTGCTGCTCCCAGTTGGGCCCACTTTCCCCAATCGCAAGCTTTTCTTTGTTCTCCATGAGTCACCTTATTTGCCTGGTTCGTCCCAGTGTGAGAACGTGGATATTTCAGTCGAAGGTGTTGAATTCACTTGCCCCTTTTCATACCTCTCGGTGAGTGCTGCAGACTGTGCTGCTTTTTTTTTTTCTTTCTTTTTTTTAAATCATACTTTAAGTTCTAGGGTACGTGTGCACAACATGCAGGTTTGTTACGTATGTATACACATGCCATGTTGGTGTGCTGCACCCATTAACTCATCATTTACATTAGGTATATCTCCTAATGCTATCCCTCCCCCATCCCCCCACCCCATGACAGGCCCTGGTGTGTGATGTTCCCCTTCCTGTGTCCAAGTGTTCTGATTGTTCAATTCCCACCTATGAGTGAGAACATGAAGTGTTTGGTTTTTTGTCTTTGCCATAGTTTCCTGAGAATGATGGTTTTCAGCTTCATCCATGTCCCTACAAAGGACATGAACTCATCATTTTTTATGGCTGCATAGTATTCCATGATGTTTATGTGCCACATTTTCTTAATCCAGTCTATCGTTGATGGACATTTGGGTTGGTTCCAAGTCTTTTCTAGTGTGAATAGTGCCACAATAAACATATGTGTGCATGTATCTTTATAGCAGCATGATTTATAGTCCTTTGGGTGTATACCCAGTAAGGGATGGCTGGGTCAAATGGTATTGCTAGTTCTAGATCCTTGAGGAATCGCCACACTGTCCTCCACAATGGTTGAACTAGTTTGCAGTCCCACCAACAGTGTAAAACCATTCCTATTTCTCCACATCCTCTCCAGCACCTGTTGTTTCCTGACTTTTTAATGATTGCCATTCTAACTGGTGTGAGATGGTATCTCATTGTGGTTTTGATTTGCATTTCTCTGATGGCCAGTGATGATGAGCATTTTTTCATATGTCTGTTGGCTGCAAAAATGTCTTCTTTTGAGAAGTATCTGTTCATATCCTTCACCCACTTTTTGATGGGGTTTTTTTTTCTTGTAAATTTGTTTGGGTTCTTTGTAGATTCTGGATATTAGCCCTTTGTCAGATGAGTAGATTGCATAAATTTTCTCCCATTCTGTAGGTTGCCTGTTAACTCTGATGGTAGTTTCTTTTGCTGTGCAGAAGCTCTTTAGTTTAATTAAATCCCATTTGTCGAATTTGGCTTTTGTTGCCATTGCTTTTTGTGTTTTAGACATGAAGTCCTTGCCCATGCCTATGTCCTGAATGGTATTGCCTAGGTTTTCTTCAAGGGTTTTTATGGTTTTAGGTCTAATATTTAAGTCTTTAATCCATCTTGAATTAATTTTTGTATAAGGTGTAAGGAAGGGATCCAGTTTCAGCTTTCTACGTATGGCTAGCCAGTTTTCCCAGCACCATTTGTTAAATAGGGAATCCTTTCCCCATTGCTTGTTTTTATCAGGTTTGTCAAAGATCAGATGGTTGTAGATGTGTGGTATTATTTCTGAGGGCTCTGTTCTGTTCCATTGGTCTATATCTGTGTTTTGGTACCAGTACCATGCTGTTTTGGTTACTGTAGCCTTGTAGTATAGTTTGAAGTCAGATAGAGTGATGCGTCCGGCTTTGTTCTTTTGGCTTAGGATTGTCTTGGCTGTGTGGGCTCTTTTTTGATTCCATATGAACTTTAAAGTAGTTTTTTCCAATTCTGTGAAGAAAGTCATTGGTAGCTTGATGGGGATGGCATTGAATCTATAAATGACCTTGGGCAGTATGGCCATTTTCACGATATTGATTCTTCCTACCCATGAGCATGGAATGTTCTTCCATTTGTTTGTATCCTCTTTTATTTAATAGAGCAGTGGTTTGTAGTTCTCCTTGAAGAGGTCCTTCACATCCCTTGTAAGGTGGATTCCTAGGTATTTTATTCTCTTTGAAACAATTGTGAATGGGAATTCACTCATGATTTGGCTCTCTGTTTGTCTGTTATTGGTATATAAGAATGCTTGTGATTTTTGCACATTGATTTTGTATCCTGAGACTTTGCTGAATTTGCTTATCTGCTTAAGGAGTTTTGGGCTGAGATGATGGGGTTTTCTAAATATACAATCATGTCATCTGCAAACAGGGACAATTTGACTTCCTCTTTTCCTAATTGAATACCCTTTATTTCTTTCTCCTGCCTGATTGCCGTGGCCAGAACTTCCAACCCTATGTTGAATAGGAGTGGTGAGAGAGGGCATCCCTGTCTTGTGCCAGTTTTCAAAGGGAATGCTTCCAGTTTTTGCCCATTCAGTATGATACTGGCTGTGGGTTTGTCATAAATAGCTCTTATTATTTTGAGATACATCCCATCAATACCTAATTTATTGAGAGTTTTTAGCATGAAGGGTTGTTGAATTTTGTCAAAGGCCTTTTCTGCATCTATTGAGATAATCATGTGGTTTTTGTCTTTGGTTCTGTTTATATGCTGGATTATGTTTATTGATTTGCATATGTTGAACCAGCCTTGCATCCCAGGGATGAAGCCAACTTGATCATGGTGGATAAGCCTTAGATGTGCTGCTGGATTCCGTTTGCCAGTATTTTATTGAGGATTTGTGCATCGATGTTCATCAGGGATATTGGTCTAAAATTCTCTTTTTTTGTTGTGTCTCTGCAAGGCTTTGGTATCAGGATGATGTTGGCCTCATAAAATGAGTTAGGGAGGATTCCCTCTTTTTCTATTGATTGGAATAGTTTCAGAAGGAATGGTACCAGCTCCTCCTTGTGCCTCTGGTAGAATTCGACTGTGAATCCATCTGATCCTGGACTTTTATTTGTTGGTAGGCTATTAGTGATTGCCTCAATTTCAGAGCCTGTTATTGGTCTATTCACGGGTTCAACTTCTTCCTGGTTTAGTCTTGGGAGGGTGTATGTGTCCAGGAATTTATCCATTTCTTCTAGATTTTCTAGTTTATTTGCATAGAGGTGCTTATAGTATTCTCTGATGGTAGCTTGTATTTCTGTGAGATTGTTGGTGATATCCCATTTATCATTTTTTATTGCATTTATTTGATTCTTCTCTGTTTTCTTCTTTATTAGTCTTGCAAGCGGTCTATGAATTTTGTTGATCTTTTCAAAAAACCAGCTCCTGGATTCATTGATTTTTTGAAGGGTTTTTTGTGTCTCTATCTCCTTCAGTTCTGCTCTGATCTTAGTTATTTCTTGCCTTCTGCTAGCTTTTGAATGTGTTTCCTCTTGCTTCTCTAGTTCTTTTAATTGTGATGTTAGGGTGTCAATTTTAGATGTTTCCTGCTTTCTCTTGTGGGCATTTAGTGCTTTAAATTTCCCTCTACACACTGCTTTGAATGTGTCCCAGAGATTCTGGTATGTTGTCTTTGTTCTCGTTGGTTTCAAAGAACATCTTTATTTCTGCCTTTATTTCCTTATGTGCCCAGTAGTCATTCAGTAGCAGGTTGTTCAGTTTCCATGTAGTTGAGTGGTTTTGAGTGAGTTTCTTAATCCTGAGTTCTGGTTTGATTGCACTGTGGTCTGAGAGACAGTTTGTTGTAATTTCTGTTCTTTTATATTTGCTGAGGAGTGCTTTACTTCCAATTATGTGGTCAATTTTGGAATAGTGTGATGTGGTGCTGAGAAGAATGTATATTTTGTTGATTTGGGGTGGAGAGTTCTGTAGATGTCTATTAGGTCCACTTGGTGCAGAGCTGAGTTCAATTCTTGGATATCCTTGTTAACTTTGTGTCTCGTTGATCTGTCTAATGTTGACAGTGGGGTGTTAAAATCTCCCATTATTATTGTGTGGGAGTCTAAGTCTCTTTTTAGGTCTCTAAGGACTTGCTTTATGAATCTGGATGCTCCTGTATTGGGCGCATATAGTTTAAGATATTTAACTCTTCTTGTTGAATTGATCCCTTTACCATTATATAATGGCCTTCTTTGTCTCTTTTGACCTTTGTTGGTTTAATGTCTGTTTTATCAGAGACTAGGATTGCTATCCCTGCCTTGTTTTGTTTTTCATTTGCTTGGTAGATCTTCTTCCATCCCTTTGTTCTGATCCTATGTGTGTCTCTGCATGTGAGATTGGTCTCCTGAATGCAGCACACTGATGGGTCTTGACTCTATCCAATTTGCCAGTCTGTGTGTTTTAATTGAAGCATTTAGCCCATTTACATTTAATGTTAATATTGTTATGTGTGAATTTGATCCTGTCATTATGATGTTAGCTGGTTGTTTTGCTCGTTAGTTGATGCAGTTTCTTCCTAGCTTCAATAGTCTTTACCATTTGGCATGTTCTTGCAGTGGCTGGTACCAGTTGTTCCTTTCCATGTTTAGTGCTTCCTTCAGGAGCTCTTGGAAGGCAGACCTGGAGGTGACAAAATCTCTCAGCATTTGCTTGTCTTTAAAGTATTTTATTTCTCCTTCACTTATGAAGCTTAGTTTGGCTGTATATGAAATTCTGGGTTGAAAATTCTTTTCTTTCATAATGTTGAATATTGGCCCCACTCTCTTCTAGCTGGTAGAGTTTCTGCCGAGCGATCCACTGTTAGTCTGATGGGCTTCCCTTTGTTGGTAACCCGACCTTTCTTTCTGGCTGCCCTTAACATTTTTTCCTTCATTTCAACTTTGGTGAATCTGACAATTATGTGTCTTGGAGTTGCTCTTCTCGAGGAGTATCTTTGTGGCGTTCTCTGTATTTCCTGAATTTGAATGTTGGCCTGCCTTGCTAGGTTGGGGGAATTCTCCTGGATAATATCCTGTAGAGTGTTTTCCAACTTGGTTCCATTCTCCCCGTCACTTTCAGGTATACCAATGAGTTGAAGATTTGGTCTATTCACATAGTCCCATATTTCTTGGTGTCTTTGTTCATTTCTTTTTGCTGTTTTTTCTCTAAACTTCTCTTCTTGCTTCATTTCATTCATTTGATCTTCAATCACTGATACCCTTTCTTCCAGTTGATCGAATTGGCTACTGAAGCTTGTGCATTCATCATGTAGTTCTCATGCCATGTTTTTCAGCTCCATCAGGTCATTTAAGGACTTCTCTACATTGGTTATTCTAATTAGCCATTTGTCTAATCTTTTTTCAAGGTTTTTACCTTCTTTGCAATAGGTTTGAACTTCCTCCTTTAGCTTGGAGATGTTTGATCGTCTGAAGCCTTCTTCTCTCAACTCATCAAAGTCATTCTCCATCCAGCTTTGTTCCATTGCTGGTGCGGAGCTGCATTCCTTTGGAGGCGGAGAGGGCTTCTGATTTTTAGAATTTTCAGCTTTTCTGCTCTGTTTTTTCCCCATCTTTGTGGTTTTTATCTACCTTTGGTCTTTGATGATGGTGACTCACAGATGGGGTTTTGGTGTGGATGTCCTTTCTGTTTGTTAATTTTCCCACTCTTTGTCAGTAACATTTAAAAAAAATCACCAGTGTCTTAATGTAGATATTCCATCCTTATTGCCAACCCTCATTTTTCCAGTTTACTGCCTTTTGTAAAATGAGTCTAACATTCTTAGCCCATCCAAGTCAGAGTGTAGGCATGGTTTAGGTAGGTCCTTTGCAAGGCTATAGTAAAGGTGCCAGCTGGGGATGTGGTCTCACCTGAGACTTAAATGGGGAATGATCCACTTTCTTGCTCATGTGGTTGTTAGAAGAACTCTGTTCCTTATGGGATGTTGGACTGAGTGCCTCAGTTTCTTGCTGGTTGTTATCTGGAGGCTACTCTCAGCTCCTTGCCACATAGGCATCTCCATAGGCAGCTCATAATGGAAAGTCGCTTCTTTGCAAGAGAAAATCTCCTTGCAAGACAGACGTCAATATCTTATGAAATACAATCATGTACATCCCATTTGCCTGCTTTATTGGCCCAGAGAAAGTCACAGGTTCTGTCCACATTTAAGATAGGGGTACTACACAAGAGAATGAATACCAGGAGGTGGGACCATAATGGCCACCTGATATGGTTTAGATCTCTGTCCCTGCCCAAATCTCATGTTGAATTGTAATCCCCGGTGTTGGAGGCGGGGCCTGGTGGAAGGCGATTGAATCATGGGGGCGGTTTCCAATGGCTTAGCACCATCCCCGTAGTCTTGTCCTATGATAGAGTTCCCATGAGATCTGGTTGTTTAAAAGTGTGTAACACCACTCCACTTCCTCCTCCTCTGGCCATGTGATGTGCTGGCTTCCCCTTTGCCTTCCACCATGATTTTGTTTCCAGAGACTTCCCCAGAAGCCAAGCAGATGCCAGCATCATGCTTCTTGTACAGCCTGTGGAACTACAAGCCAATTAAACCTCTTTTCTCCATAAATTACACAGTCTCAGATATTTCTTTATAGCAATAAAGATAATACACCATCATATGATATGTCCATCTCAGACTGATTGTTCATCTGACTTTGACATTCTCACTCCTGTTAACATGGAGTGACACTGGCCAGTATATTATCATCAAACTAAAATGACAGCATTCTCAAGTTATAGACTGTTTGGTTACAGGCATCCTGGATCAATAACAAATTATTTTTTAAAATTATTATTAAATAAAATTTAATTAACTATTATTACTATACAAAATTAACTTTAAAAATGAAGTATTGTTCTCTTTAAGGTTAAGTCATTGATTGTTTTTATTAAAATTTATTCTGGAATATACACGCAAAGATATGTGAACAAACAGGTTAATAATAAAGTAAATATTAACATATCCAACACCAGGTTGAGAAATTACTTGGGTAGTGGCTTAGAAATCCCCTGAGTGCTCCTCTTTTAAAATTTATAATCAAAGTGCTCTTTGATAATTTTCCTTTTTGTCCTCTCTCAGTGCTTATTACCTTCCTGAATTTTCTGTTAATCATTCCTTTGTGGTTCTTTACTGTTTTAACAGGTATATTTCTATCCCTAAACTAAATAGTGTTTATTTTGCCTCTTTTTGAATTTTATACATAGTGTGGTTCTTCTCTTTGACTCAAAATTATGATCTTAATTTATCTTTATTGTTCTTATTCTTACATATTGATGTATGGCTGTTGACATTTCACCATATACTATTGTATTATACACCATTTGAATATATTGCAATTTACATATCTACTGTATCATTTTTTTCTATTTTTTTTTTACCATGAGCAATGATGCTGTGAGATTTCTTGTTGATGTCTTCAGTCATAGATGCTCAAGAGTTTCTCTTTGCCACTTAAGAGGGGAATTACTGAATTATAGGTGATGTGCATGTTTAACTTTCCCAAGAATGCCTAAGTACTATACAAACGGTTGCATCAGTTGACACTTACACCTGCAGTAGAAAAGTCTGTTTCTTTTTATAGGAGAAATTTACCAAGAGTCAGCTTTAAAACACTTTACCTCATCAGAGGCACGATGATTGTAATCAGTCACTTCAGAATTAAATGCTTAAGTGAAAAAAACTGACAGCTTGAGTAAATCTTTCTGGCATGTGGTAAATTTAAAATAAATGTATCTTATGATTATAAACTTTTAGAGAGTTTAATTAAAGTTTAGAGGAGATTACAGCACAAATGTTTAGGAACTAAAAATCCCCTTTCATGTCCAATGCCGATTAATTCTTCTCCTCTTCCATTTGTAATTTATCAGCTTACTTCTGTTGCACTGATAGTGCTGCTACAATTTTCTACTTGGTGGTTATTTTAAAGCCAAGAGGCTAAATTTACCAAGCTGTAAACTTACCAAAGTGAAGCCAGGTTTACTCTTTGTATTAATCAATGGGATTTCTAAGCCCATGGTGAGTATTGAATTGGGAGATAAAGGCAAGTTGGAATCTCTGGGTAAAGAATCAACTAGAATTAAAAGTATAAATGTACATTTCTTAGGAAGGTCATGGTCTATTTCCTTATCTTCTTCACAAGAACACATTGTGCTTTAAAACTAAGTGTCAAAATTAGGGTAGATGTCATGCATAATTAGAAAAATTTGAGAACAATTTTCTCAAAGTTGTGCTCTTCACACTTTTGAGACTAATGGGCATATTAACATGAATTGCATTGAAAATCACCTGGAATGTAACATTTTAATTTTCTTTATTAGAACATTTATTTATTTTGGAATATATTATTACTCTGTGAAATATTAGGTGTCTTTAGGTGTCTGTGAAATTGTTTTTATTGCATTTTATTATCTATTTAGCTCTTCTCTCTAATCATTCACATGCATTGGCTAAATTAAAAAAAAGTTTTCTCTTACCACCTCTTATCTGACTGTAGGAAATCTTTTCTTGGGTTGCTGAGAGAGAGGCAGGAAGAGAAGAGCAGACAGGGGAGAGGGAGAGAGGAAAAAAGGGAGGGAAGCAAGAGGGGAGATGAGAGAAGCAGATGAGGGAAGGGCAGCAGAGTGGTCAGTGATAATAATGAATTGACATTCTTACCAGATACATTTCTGATTTCAAGCTAAAAAGAATAGGATCTCTCCAGCCTGTGTATGTCTCCTCTTCCCTGGAGGAGAGGCAGGAGTCATATTATTCATTAATCTATGTCTTAGCCCAAGTTTCCTACAAAAAAAAGAAAGGATTCTGAGGCAAAGTTTACATGCTATTGTTTTATTGAGGACTTCAATCCTGGGGCAGCAAGAATAAAGTAAATTTGGCCGTGGAGGAAGAAGAGCAAATACCAGGTAGTGTGCTACTCAGCTGGTTACATTCTTATAGGTGACACAGCTGATTGCTTGGTCACATAGGACATTTCTGGAGTGGTCACCTGAAATCATTGTCTAACCCTTTGGATTAGAGGGGAGGCAGGCAAAATAATTTATCTGACAACTTCTTGTAATCTCCTGTTCCTCCTTAGCTAATATTTTTCCTCCAGGGCCTTAACCAGACCAAACTCCTCTGAGCAGCTGTTGAAGTCAGATTGCATACCTCATGGGGAGTTGCTTCATTGGAACCTGGAAGTGGTGGGGAAAGCCAGAGTTTCTGGGTGTCATGTTAGTTTATGCTTGGACATGGCATTGGGACTCACTCCAGGAAATGGTTGGAAACAACCAGCAGTTTTGAGAGAGAGGCTCACTGCAGCCTAAGGCCAGCTGCAATAGTGGATTGTCAGTAGGCTGACCTGGCCCAGCTGTTACATCTATGGACCACACAGGTGGGGTATCCTGGAGTGGCTCCTCAAGTAGTCAGTTAACTCACTGTCGCAATTATCTCAAGAAAATTTGGATCAAGATTTAGAATGCTTCCCCCTTCTACAGAATCATAACCTGAAAATGTGTTTATGCGTTTTTTGAGGTTCTTGTTCGGGGAAGAGAGTTGAGATAATGGAACAGAAGAAAGATAATTAGCAGATGGGCCATTGAGAGCATAAATTTAATTTTTAATTAAAATGCATGTTTCTCATATTGAAGTTATTGTTGGATAGGAGGAAGCATTTCAGGGCCAAGGGGGTGGGAACTGACCTAGGACTGGATAAGTCTCAGAAACTGACTTGACTATAAATGTATAAACGAATAAGTTAGAGGCCAGTGTGGCTCAAACTGCCAGTGCAATCAGGGAGCTCACTGGGTAGGAGGCCTTGAGTGGTGTGGTTTGGCAGGGTAAGGTTTTGGAGCCTCGTACTTGTGTGAAGTCTGGCAGGACCGTTCGTTATTCCTTCATGGCAATGGGAGCAGGATCCCGCCCTCAGGACTGTAGGGAAGCGGGAGAGAGCTCCAGGTAAGATTCTAATCTTTAGTTGAATACTAGGGTATGCCAGTAGAGAAATAATAGAATGAGGCTTTCTATGAACTGAGCCAAAAATTAGGCTGAAGTTTGAAGGAAAGAAGAAAAGCAGGATTGTCTTTTAGGGACCCTGAGGACACCCTGGCTCATTTATGCATACTTTATAGTAGGTGTGCGTAGAAAATAAGGTTTCCTTACCATGTGAAGTTAGAAAAGACCAGGGGAAGATGAATTGAAAATATGCATATTATCTTCTGTTGCTTGAAACATTTTTCAGTTGCATTCAGAAAGTTGACATTTGTTTTGGGAAAGGTGGTCTCTGAAGACCTTAAAAAGAATCATGTTGCATATCTCAAAAATATCTGGAATTCACTTTTGGAGTCTGTGTTACTAAGATTTGTTTTAAAAACCCATCCTGTTTGTTTTCAACTTTACTTGTAGTATCAAAGATTATTTTCTCACCTGCTCTGAAAATATTTGATATGAATAACTTCCTTATAATCTCAATCAGCTATTTTCATTTTACTGTATATTATTATGACTTTCAAAGATAGGAATTTCTCTTGCATATCAATTCCATAGAATCAGAGGTGGCCAAATACTTTTTAAAGCTCTTTTAACCAATTATAATGCATATTATTTACAAACTGTTTTTGTTTCTGATTTAATTTAATGTAATTTATTGATTTAATTTTATTTATTTTCTTGAAGACATTAACATTTTCTGTTAAAAGACAGAAAATCTTTCTGGAAAAGCATCATTGTCACACTTGATGCTTTTAAGTAATCATTTCCCTCTGATTAAATTGGAATGGAATTGCCTTTTTCAAAGGTTGATCAGAACATAGAATTTGTGACAGTGGTTTTAGAGATTTGGTGCTAATTCCTGTTTTCCACCTTCTACAATCTTTGTTCCAGCAGACATTCAAAAGTTTTCTGTCTCTAGTGTCTGTTTTTACACACTGTGCAGTGACACATCTTCCTCTGGCAGCTGGTTTGCTTTGCCCTGGTGCTCCCTTCATCTTCCATCTATTCTTCATCTTCTCAGATCACAGCCAGTCACAGGCAGAGCAGCTTAGAAACCAACAGAGTGGCAAAACAGAGCAGCTGTTAGGGGAACAGAGCATGACATGTGGGAGACGAAGGGGGGAAACTCAAGTGAACAAACTGATGCAAGTCTGCAGGTTAGAACATTTGACCCAGAAATATTTAGATGTGTAACTAATTCTTGAGATTGGCAAATCTATGTAGCTTAATAGGATGAACCCTCCTTCTGATATTCTTCTTTTTCCCATTCACCTTCATATATATTAATGAAGAAAAACAAAACAGGCTTTGGCTAAAAGAAAACAAAAAACCAGGGCTATTACTTTGCAAAGCAAGTCTTTGAAACTATATGCAATCAGAATATTTTATAAGTATCCACTTTCTCAATTCAGAAGGGGATAGAAAAAGGTTATGATATAGTCAGGTGCTTTTAAATCCTTGTCTCTAAGTCTTTAAATACTTTGCCTCTCTGTGTCATTTGATTGAGTCCTGTGAGATTCACATTCCTTCAGACGTTTTAAAGCTTCAGCAATCTCATTCTGTGTCTTTCTCCTGTGCACGCACACTTAGAACAGTTGCATTTATTTGTTGGAATTTCAGCCAGAATCCCTTGGCATAATTCAAATTAACTTACTGCAGTCTTCTTGCTATGTGTAGTCATGTTTGCTTTAGTCAAGGATGCCCTGTAGTGGGTTTTTCCTGTCTGTAGCTTTGTATTCATTTTTATGCATTGGTGGCATTTCTGGTGATTCTTTGAAGTATTTTAGTGTTATTGATTATTAGAGTGGAAGGAGCCAGAGTCCATCCTGCTCAGTTTACAGATGATATATCTGAGTCTCAGAGAGGAAAAATGTCATGTCCAGTGCTTGCAGCTTGCTTGGGCTGAGTAGGATTAAGAAAAGCCAGCACATATTTCATTTCACTAGGGGCATTTATCATTTTGAAAGACACTTTTAGTCTTCCATCTGCAATTTATTGTTTTATGGTATATTACGCAAAGAAATGGACACATTTATTATTGCAATGGATAAAATAAGACTTTATTAAAACATTGAACACATCCTTAAAATTTAGTTGTGCCATTAACTTTATCTTAAAAAAAAAGACACAAATTACAAGCTAAAGAATGAAAGACCCATTGTTTAAACCTTCTGCTTTTTACTTCTGAATCAGGAATAAGAAAGACAGAATGAATATTTGCTTTTGCTCTTCTGTTTATTCATTCATCACTATTTATAAGTATTGACTATCTACTGTGTAACAAAGAGTGTGCTAGATTCTGCACAGATATAAGGATAATTGAGTCTCCCCTGGAAGAGCTCAGTGTCAAAAGGGCTAAAACAGACTTGCATATATTCACAATTGCAGCATAGTGTAACCAGTACTTAGAAGCAGGTCCAGAATTCTATGAAAACATGGAAAAAGAAAGATTAACTTCAAAAGAAGCTTCATTGGGAGATGACATTTACATTGTGTCATGAAGAATATGTAGACATTGATCAGGTGGTAAAAATGTATGGATATAAGTGAGAATCCCAGGCAGAGGGATTTTGAGACACACAGTTTTATAAAGAAATAAAATACTTCAGTGAGTGTGTGAGCAGAAATATGTTAGCAGAAAATGTGAGCTGAATAATGAAGAGAGATAGTTTTAGAAGAATGATTAGCATATGACCATATGGGGCCCTGTGCATGACTCTAAAGAGCTTAGCCCTTATTTTAGCTACATGGAAGCAAGGAGTCTGTCTAACTCACTATTATATCCACAATGCCAGCATGACACTCAAATAAGAAGGTATCACTATGATGAAAAGAGACTATAAAGTTGTTTGATTAGCATTAAGGAAAATATCTAAGAAGCTTTCAGAATAGCCCATGCAAGAGATCAAGCATCAGAAATGAAAGATTAATGTTTTCTTAGTCTGTTTGGGCTGCTATAACAAAATATCATTGTCTACGTAGCTTATAAACAAGATAAATTTATTTCTTATAGCTCAGGAGGCTGGAAAGTCTAAGATCAAGGCACTGGAAGATTTGATGTCTAGTAAAGGTCTGTTCCTCATAGATGGCACCTTCTAGCTGTGTTCTCACATGGTGGAAGAGGCAAACAAGCTCCCCTAGGCCTCTTTTATAAAGGCACCAATCCCATTCATAGGGCTCTTACATCATGAATTAATTGCCTCTCAAAGGCCCCACCTCCTAATACCAGCACCTTGGGGGTTAGGATTTCAACATATGAATTTTGGAAGACACAAACATTCAGACCACAGTGGCTGAGATGAAGAAAATTAGAAAGATATAAAAGGAAAAACTGACAGGATTAGGTGTCTGGTTAAGGGTGGTGCTGGAGTGGAAGGCATCAAGAAAGATTCCAAGGTCTCTAACATGAAAGCACAGATGATGATTTTGTCAACTAGAGCTGGAGAAAGAGAAAACATGAGGGGGAAGGAAATGAGTGGTTTTAGAATAAGAATCCAAATGACAATGTTCAGTAGCAGTTGGAAATGTGCATCTGGAGTTTGGATGAAAGAAAGTGATATACATTTGGAAGTTATCCACAGTCAGAGTCATACATGTGACTACTGAAGCCAGGGGAATGGTGGATTAGGTTACTTACAGAGTGAATGAAAACAGAAGAGACTCTGGGAGGAAATTCTGGGAAGTCACCGTGATGGTTATGTAGAGTATGATAAATATCAGTATAAAAAGTGTCTTAAACTACCCTTGACTTAACAGTCATTATTCATTCATTCAACAAATATTTAGGCACCTTCTAAATTCCAGACACTGCATTAGGCACTAGAGATACAAAGATGAGAAAAAAAATACAGCCTCTGTTTTCAAAAAAAGATTATAGTTTAAAGGAAAGACAGGTAAGATAAATGGACAGAATTTAGTGTGGCAGGGGCTGCTGAGTGGTATAATAGAGGTAGGATGGGTAAAAACTGTAAAAGGACATCTAAAAGAGAGTTTAGGAACGGAGTTGTTAGGGGGGTAGGAGGCAGGTGGGGAGTGGAATTGGAACTTGGAAAAGGTAGTTTCCTAGAGAATAATGAGAGAGCTGAGATGAGTCATGAAAGATGATCAGATGATATCCATGTGATATGCATTGGCTGTGTCCTTGCCCAAATCTCATCTTGAATTGTAGTTTCCATAATGTGCACCTGTCATGGGAGGGACCTGGTGAGAGGTAATTGAATCACGGGGCTGGTTACCTCCATGCTGTTCTCATAATAGTGAGTGAGTTCTCATGAGATCTGGTGGTTTTATAAGGGGCTTTCTTCTCTTTGCTTGGGGCTTCTCTCTCCTGCCGCCCTGTGAAGAGGCGCCTTCTGCCATGATTGTAAGTTTCCTGAGGCTTCCCCAGCCGTGTGGAACTGTGAGTCAGTTAAACCTCTTTTCTTTATAAATTACCCAGTCTCGGGTATTTTCTCATAGCAGTGTGAGAACAGAATAATACAAAAAAGTGGTATTAGGAGTGGGGTGCTGCTATAAGGATACCCAAAAATGTGAAAGCAACTTTGGAATTGGGTAACAGGCAGAGGTTGGAACAGTTTGGAGGGCTCAGAAGAAGATAGGAACATGTGGGAAAGTTTGGAACTTCCTAGAGACTTGTTGAATGGCTTTGACCAAAATGCTGATAGTGATATGGACAATGAAGTCCAGGATGAGATGGTCTCAGATGGAGATAAGAAATTTATTGGGAACTGGAGCAAAGATGACTCTTGCTATGCTTTAGTGGAGAGACTGGGGACATTTTGCCCCTGCCCTAGAGATCTGTGGAACTTTGAACTTGAGAGAGATGATTTAGGGTATCTGGTGGAAGAAATATCTAAGTGGCAAGGCTTTCAAGAAGAAGCAGAGCAAAAGAGTTTGGAAAATTTGCATCCTAATGATGTGATAGAAAAGAAAAGCCCCTTTTCTGGGGAGAAATTCAAGCTGGCTGCAAAAATTTTCATAAGTAACAAGGAGCTGAATGTTAATCACCAAGACAATAGAGAAAATGTCTTCAGGGCATGTCAGAGACCTTCATGGCAGCCTCTCCCATCACAGGCCTGGAGGCCTAGGAGGAAAAAATGGTTTTCCTGGCTGGGCCCAGGGTCCCCCTGCTCTGTGCAGCCTCAGGACATGGTTCCCTGTGTCCCAGCTGCTTCAGCTCCAGCCATGGTTAAAAGGGGCCAAGGTACAGCTTGGGCCATTGCTTCAGAGGGTGCAAGTCCCAAACCTTGGTGGTTTCCACAGAGCGTTGAGCCGGTGGGTACTCAGAAATCAACAATCGAGGTTTGGGAACCTCCCCCTAGATTTCAGAGGATGTATGGAAATGCCTGGATGTCCAGGCAGAAGTTTGCTGTAGGGGTGGAGCTCTCATGGAAAACCTCTGCTAGGGCAGTGTGGATGGGAAATGTGGGGTCAGAACCCTCACACAGAGTCCCCACTAAGGTACTGCCTAGTGGAGCTGTGAGAAGAGGGCCACTGTCCTCCGGACTCCAGAATGGTAGATCCACTGACAGCTTACACAGTGCACATGGAAAAGCCACAGACACTCAGTGCCAGCCCGTGAAAGCAGCCAGAAGGGGGACTGTATCCTGCAAAGCCACAGGGGTGAAGATTCCCAAGGCAGTGGGAGCCCACTTCTTGCATCAGCATGACCTGTATGTGAGACATGGAGTCAAAGGAAATCACTTTGGAACTCTAAGGCATAATGACTGCCCTATTTGATTTTGTGCTTGTATGGGGCCTGTAGCCCCTTTGTTTTGGCCAATTTCTCCCATTTGGAATGGGTGCATTTACTAAATGCCTCTACCCCCATTGTATCTAGGAAGTAACTAATGGTCTTTCCATTTTATAGGCTCATAGGCAGAAGGGACTTGCCTTGTCTCAGATTAGACTTTGGACTTGGACTTTTGGGTTAATGCTGGAATGAGCTAAGACTTTGGGGGAACTGTTGGAAAGGCACGATTGTGTTTTGAAATGTGAGGACATGAGATGTGGGAGGGGCCAGAGGTGGAATGATAGGGTTTAGCTGTGTCCCCACCCAAATCTCATCTTGAATTGTAGTTCCCATAATCCCCACATGTTGTGGGAGGGACCTGGTGGGAAATAATTGAATAATGGGGCCAACCTCTATGCCGTTCTCATGATAGTGAGTTCTCATGAGATCTGATGGTTTTATAAGGGGCTTTTCCCCCTTTCTTCGGCACTTCTCTCTCCTGTCGCCCTGTGAAGAGGTGCCTTCTGCCATGATTGTAAGTTTCCTGAGGCCTCCCCAGCCTGGCGGGACTGTAAGTCAATTAAATATTTTCTCTTTATAAATTACCCAATCTCAGGTATTTCTTCATAGCAGTGTGAAAATGGACTAAGACACCAGGTGAAAAGGGTGTATATGTGCATGTGTGTGTGTGTTGTAGTGGGTGAAGAGTCTGATTCTGGGGTACTTCTTCCTCTTCTCTTTTTAAGACCTAAATTGTCTGGTGTCAAGGATAAGAAGGGAAGAAGGACAAATGCCCCTTTTTTCCTAATTGCTTATAATCTTTGTCCCTCCCTGTGTTTGATTTCCTGTAGGTAAGGGTTTGCTTTGCTAAGAAACACCTGTTGGCCATGGAGGGCTTCTGTGTGGCAGGCTTCTGCATGCTGATTTTCTAAGAAGGCATGTGGTTGGAGGTTTCTGAAGATTCCTACTGGACTTCTTCTCTACATAGAACCCCTCTTCCTGGGGGTAATCTCACCTGACTGCTGAGGGCTTTCATGGCACTGTGTAAGGCAAGCAAAATGGTCATCAGACATGAATTGTGCCTGAATAATTAATATTAATGCATTATTCATGTGACTCATAATTTACCATTAGTATTCAAAGCTGTTAATTCTATTCCATAATGCAAAAAATATTTGGCATGATGCGCAGGTTAAATTTACTATTCACTACATCTGTTAAAAAAGTGGAAAATCTTGAGTTGGTTAAAATTACTCACAAAACATTTTCAGATGTTCACAGTACAGTGAATGTTGCTGCAGTACTCTATTGAAGTGTACTCTCTTAAATAAAAACCATCTGTAAAACTTTTGAAAAAAAACAAATAAGGAACCAAGTGATGATTCAATTTTAGTACTTGCAGTATCATGTTTATATTAATAAATTCAAACAGAAGAGAAAGTTGCAGCTCTAGACAAAGTGCCACCAACTCATGTCATTAAATGTTTGTGGTTGAAACATTTTCTTATAGAAAAATATTTGTTGAAAATAAAAAATTTGTATTTTTATAAGACATCCAATTACCAGCAGGTGAATTCATTGCAAAATTGATAAAACTTATTTGGTTAGGTGGTAGTTGTAAAAGTTTGACTTTTCTTATTATTGAGAAGCACTAGGTAATCAGATGAGCTGTGGGGTCAGACCTCCTTGGTTTGAGTCCCAGATCTGCATTCTACTAATAGGGTGATCTTAGCCAGGGTGATCTTAGCCAAGTTCCTTACTCATTCTTGAATTCAGTTTTCTAATCTTTAAAATAAAATTATGAAACAATTTTAAAACTTCTGATTCAATGTTTAATAAAGTAAACATTATATTAAGGACTCACAAAATCAATAGCTCTTTGGGGTCCTTAATACAATTTTTTATTATTATTATACTTTAAGTTTTAGGGTATGTGTACACAACGTGCGGGTTTGTTACATATGTATACATGTGCCATGTTGGTGTGCTGCACCCATTAACTCATCATTTAGCATTAGTTATATCTCCTAATGCCATCCCTTCCCCCTCCCCCCACCCCACAACATTCCCCGGTGTGTGATGTTCCCCTTCCTGTGTCCATGTGTTCTCATGTGTTCAATTCCCACCTATGAGTGAGAACATGCGGTGTAGTGGGCAAAGGATATGAACAGACACTTCTCAAAAGAAGACATTTATGCAGCCAAAAAACGGATGAAAAAATGCTCATCATCACTGGCCATCAGAGAAATGCAAATCAAAACCACAATGAGATGCCATCTCACACCAGTTAGAATGGCGGTCATTAAAAAGTCAAGAAACAACAGGTGCTGGAGAGGATGTGGAAAAATAGGAACACTTTTACACTGTTGGTGGGACTGTAAACTAGTTCAACCATTGTGGAATTCGGTGTGGTGATTCCTCAGTGATCTAGAACTAGAAATACCATTTGACCCAGCTATCCCACTACTGGGTACATACCTGAAGGATTATAAATCATGCTGCTATAAAGACACATGCACACGTATGTTTATTGCGGCACTATTCACAATAGCAAAGACTTGGAACCAACCCAAATGTCCAACAATGATAGACTGGATTAAGAAAATGTGGCACATATACACCATGGCATACTATGCAGCCATAACAAATGATGAGTTCATGTTCTTTGTAGGGACATGGATGAAGCTGGAAACCATCATTCTCAGCAAACTATCGCAAGGATAAAAAACCAAACACTGTGTGTTCTCACTCATAGGTAGGAATTGAACAATGAGAACACATGGACACAGGAAGGGGAACATCACACACCGGGGAATGTTGTGGGGTGGGGGGAGGGGGGAGGGATGGCATTAGGAGATATAACTAATGCTAAATGACGAGTTAATGGGTGCAGCACACCAATATGGCACATGTATACATATGTAACAAACCTGCACGTTGTGTACATGTATCCTAAAACTTAAAGTATAATAATATAATAATAAAAATGTTTTAAGGACCCCAAAGAGCTATTGATTTTGTGAGTCCTTAATATAATGTTTACTTTATTAAACATTGAATCAGAAGTTTAAAATTGTTTCATAATTTTATTTAAAATAAAAAAATAAAATGAGGAGAGCAAGAGTACAGACCTCATAGAGTTGATGTAGGGGATTAAATGAGATAATCCATGTATAGTGTTTAAGAGAATCTGGCTTATAACAAGCAATCAAAGTCAGCTAGTACTTATACAGTTTAAAGTAGTTGTCATCACAAAGTTTTATCATCACGATCCAGATTTCGATCTTATGTAGTTTTATGATAGTTAATTTTCTTAAGAAATTATTTTTTAAATCCATATGTTGAAAATCTGGTTATATTGGTTCAAATATAGGTGACCAAATGAGCTAGTACTACATAAACACTTTATTTTTTTAAAGTATGGAAATGGTGGTACTAGAGCTCTCAGATTTTTTTGAGGGATAGATGTTGAACAAAAGGGAAATGCTTAGTTGAAGAGTAAGATAAGGATATGAGTCGCCAGTGGTTTGGGGATAAAGAATGATAAAAGGAGGGGCTGGAGAGTGGGAATGGGTTGTTTAGACCTTACAGTTTTGTCAGGTGTGACCCCATATCACCTATCAAAAAAGGAACTATTCAGGTTGCCTTTCTTGTAGCACCTATGCATATAAATATATGTGTATACTATTGTATGCAGCTTCTTGTTTCTCATAGCACTATTACTAAAATAATCTTACACTGAGTGGTGTGTATTATCTCCAGTGAACAAAACAGAACAAAGAGAGTTTATGTGTCAATTCTTTAAAACCACATGTCCAGAAATATTCCAGCTGCTAAATGTCAACAGTGAATTTGATGGGATTTACAATGTAAACGATAAAGTCAGAGGATTAAACAGTTAATTACAGGAGAGGTAATATTATGAAAGGGGAAGTAGAGAGAACTATTGGAACATATGGGGAAGAGGCCTTTAATTTTGTCCGAGAATTCAGAAAGGCCTTGTGGAGGAAATGTACTTAAGCTGAGACCCGACATGTAAGTTGATGTGGCCAAGTAATTTGGAAGGAAAACAAGAATAAAAGGGAGGGACAAGTATTCTAGACAGTGGGATAAACATGTGCAATGACCTGGAAAGAAAAGAGAGAACATGATGTGAAGGATTGAAAATACAGTTTCCTGATACTACTGGGAGTCATAAAAGCACATGACTTAAAGGAGAGAAAATAACTAATGCATGCTGAGCCCATGATGAACAGAATATCTAATATCCAGGGAGCAGCCTACATAATTCACTACCTAGTATTTTGCTTCATCAGTCTACCAAGTCAGGAAGTCATGTGAAGTCATCCATTAGTGACAGGATGTGCTATACCTGGTGTCCCCAATATCGTTAGCATTCACATTTTAAAAATAACTATTTATTTAATTTTTAACTTGATGAATAATAATTATATATTCATATTCATCGGTTACGTAGTGATGTTTTAATACATATAATATATAGTGATCAGATTAGGAAAATCAGCATATCCATCTTCTCAAACATTTATTATTTCTCTGTTGTGACCGTTCAGTATCATCCTTCTAGCTTTTTGTAAGTATATTTATTGTTAACTATAGTCATCTGACATTGATATAGAACACTAGAATTTATTGCTCCTATCTAGATGTAATTTTGTATTCATTTAAAATTTAAAAAATTCACATTGATACATGATATTTTACACATTAATGGGTACAGGTGATATTTTGCTACATGCATAAAATGTATAATGATCAATATCACTTTGAGTATTTCTCATTTCTATGTGTTGGGAACAAATCATCATCTCTTTTAGCTACTGTGAAATATACAATACATAGTTTTTAACTATAATCACTGTATACTCTACTTTCCAATGAGAGAATTTATACATTTTATCTAACTGTATGATTGTACTCAATTACCTACCTCTCTTATCGCCCTAATTTTTTATTCTTTAGCAAATCCCCCTCTGTTGTTCCCCCCCTCCTACCCTTCTCAGCCTCTAGTATTTTCTGTTCTACTTTTTACTTCTGTAAGATCAACATTTTTTAGCGTCCACATATGAATGAGAACATGAGCAGGCTAACTCTTCCTGGCTTACTTTACTTAACATAGTGTCCTCCAGTTCTATCCATTTTGCCATGAATAACAGAATTTCATTTTTTGTGGTGGAATATTATTCCAGTGTGTATATATAACATGTTTTCTTTATCCATTCATCTGTTATTGGACATTGAGGTTGATTTCATATCTTACCTATTGTGAATAGTACTTCAGTAAACATGGGGGTGCAGATGTCTCTTCGATATACTGATTTCCTTCCCTTTCAATAAATGCCCAGTAGTGGGACTGCTGACTCATATGGTAGTTCTATTTGTAATTTTTGGAGAAAGCATCATACTGTTCTCCATAGTGGCTCTACTACTTTGCATTCCCACTAGCAGTGTATAGGAGTTCCCTTCTCTCCACAGTCTCACCAGCATTTGTTATTTTTTGTCTTTTTGATAATTGCCATACTAACTGTGGTGAAATGATAGTGCATTGTAGTTTTGATTTGCAATTCCCTGATGATTAGTGACACTGAGTAGATTTTTAATATATTTATTGGCCATTAATACATTTCTTTTGGGAAATGGGTCTTCTGATCATTTGCCCATTTTTAAATCGAATTTTTTAAAAATTAAAAAAATTATATATTTTGCTGCTGAGATCTTTGAGCTCCTTATATATTCTGGATATTAATCACCTGTTGAAGGAATACTTTGCAAATGTTTTCTCACATTCTGTAGGTTGTCTTTTCACTCTGTTGATGGCTTCGTTTGCTGTAAGGAAGCTTTTCAGTTTGATATAATTTCATTTGTTTATTTTTGCTTTTGTTGCCTATGCTTTTGAGGTCTTATTTTAATTTTTTCTTTCAGGCTAATGTACTGAAACATTTTCTCTGCTTTCTTCTAATAGTTTTATATTTTGCGGTCTTATATTTATGTCTTTGATCCAGTTAAAGTTTTGTATGTGGTGGGAGATAGGGGTCTAGTTTCATTCCCCTGCATATGAATATCCAGTTTTCCCAGCACCATTTTTTGAAGAGTAGCCTTTCCCCAAAGAGTTTTCTTGGTATCTTTATTAAAAATCAGTTGTCTCGTGCACAAATATGTTTATTGCGGCACTATTCACAATAGCAAAGAGTTGGAACCAACCCAAATGTCCATCAATGATAGACTGGATTAAGAAAATGTGGCACATATACACCATGGAATACTATGCAGCCATAAAAAATGATGCGTTCATGTCCTTTGCAGGGACATGGATGAAGCTGGAAGCCATCATTCTGAGCAAACTATCTCAAGGACAGAAAACCAAACACTGCATGTTCTCACTCATAGGTGGGAATTGAACAATGAGAACACTTGGACACAGGGTGGGGAACATCACACACCGGGGCCTGTTGTGGGGTAGGGGGAGGGGGGAGGGATAGCATTAGGAGATATACCTAATGTAAATGATGAGTTAACGGGTGCAGCACACCAACATGGCACGTGTATACATATGTAACAAACCTGCACGTTGTGCACATGTACCCTAGAACTTAAAGTATAATTTAAAAAAGTCAGTTGTCTTTGGATGCATGGATTAATTTCTGGGTTATCTATTCTGTTCCCTTGGTCCATGTATCTATTTTTAGTCCAGCACCATGCTGTTTTGCTTACTATAGCTTTGAATATATTTTGAAGTCTGCTACTGTGATTCATCTAGGTTTGTTCATTTTGCTCAGGATATCTTTGTCTACTTGGGGTCTTTTTTGGTTCTATACAAATTTTAGGACTGCTGTTTCTATTTCTGTGAAGAACACCATTGGTATTTTGATCCAGATTACACTGAATTTGTAGATTACTTTTGGTAGTATGGCATTTTAACAATATTAATTATTCTAATCCATGAGCATGGGATGTTTTTACATTTGTTTGTATCCCCTTCAATTTCTTTCATCAATGTTTTGTAATTTTTATTGCAAAGATCTTTACCTTCTTTGTTAAATTTATTTTTAGATTTTATTGCAGCTATTATAAATGTGATTGCCTTCTAGATTTCTTTTTCAGGTAGTTTATTATTCATGTAAAGAAATGTTGCTGATCTTTTATATTGATTTTTTATCCTCCAACTTTACTGAATTATTTTATCAGTTCTAAGAGGTTTTCGGTGGTCTTTAGTTTTTCTATATGTAGGAGCATGTCATCTGTAAACCAAGCAAAATTGACTTCTTTTTTTCCAATTTGGATGCGTTGGATGCACTTTATTTCTTTCTTTTGTCTACTTGCTCTGAGTAGTATGTCCGGTACTATGTTGAATACACACGCTAAAAGTAGGCATCCTTGTCTTTTTACAGTTATTAGAGGAAAAGCTCTCAGTCTTTCCCTGTTTAGGAAGGTGTTAGCTGTGGGTTTGTCATATATGGCCTTTATTATATTGAGGTACTTTTTTCCTTCTATACCTAATTTGTTGAGAGTTCTTATTATGAAGGGAGGCTGAATTTTATCAAATGCTTTTTTGGGCATCTATTGAGAAAATTACATGGTTTTTTATTCTTCATTCTATTGATGTGATATATGATGTTTATTGTTTTGCATATGTTAAAGCATCCTTGTATTTCTGGCATAAATTCCACCTGATCATGGTGTACTATCTTTTTGATGTGCTGTTGGATTTTGTTTGCTAGTATTTTATTGAGGATTTTGTGTTTATATTCATCAGATATATTGGCATTTTTTTCTTTTAATTTTCTTTTTTTGTTGTTGTTGTGTTGCTTTTTGCCTTTATTATTTGGGTTATGCTTGCCTGGTATCATGAGTTAGAAAGAATTCCCTGTGCTTCAATTTTATGAAATAATTTGGGAATAATTGGTATTAATTCTTTTTTAAAGATTTGGTAGAATTCAGTAGTGAACTATTCAGTCCTGGATTGTCTTTGTTTTTTTTTAATATTTTATTTTATGTTAATTTATTTTTAGAGACAGGGTCTCACTCTGTTGCCCAGTCTGGAGTGCCGTGGTGCAATCATAGCTCACTGTGGCCTTGGCCTCCTGGGTTCAAGTAATCCTCCCATCTCAGCCTCCTGAGTAGCTGGGACTAACGGTATACATCATCATGCCTAATTTTTAAATTTGTAGTAGAGATGAAATCTTGCCATTTTGCCCAGGCTGGTCTCAAACTCTTGGTCTCAGGTGATCTCTTGTCTCTGCCTCCCAAATCAATGAGTTTACAGGTGTGAGCCAACGCACTTGGCCTGTATATTGATCTTGTACCTAGCAATGTTGCCAAACACACTTACTGGTTTTAATGCCTTTTTAAAAGGGTAGATTCCATCCAATTTTCTAAATAAATGATAATGTCATCTGTAAGAAAGACAGTTTTACTTTTTCCCAATTTAGACAACTTTTATTTCATTTTCTTACATTATAGCAATGGCTGAATCTTTCTGTAAAATCTTAGAAGTGATGAGAGTGAACATTATTTTTTCAGATCTTAGGAGGAAACTATCCTATTCAGTCTTTAACCACAAAACATGATGTTAGCTTTAGGTTTTTGTAAATGTTGTTTATCAAATCAAGAAGTTCCCTTCTATGCCTAGTTTGCTGAGAATTTTTATTGGGATTGATTTTGGAATAGTCAAATGCTTTTTCCACGTGTAATTAGATGATCGTATGTGCTTCTTTTTGTGCTTGTTGATATGGTGATTTGATTGCAAATGTTAAGGTAAACATGAAATCTTACTTAGTCATGATGTATTACCATTTTTATACATTGTTGGATTTAATTTGCCAAAGGTTTTGCATCTAAATTCATGAGGGATATTGGCCTGTTGTCTTAGTCAGTTTATAAGGCTGTTATAAGAAAGTACCATAAACTGGGAGCTTATCAACAACAGGAATTAATTTCTCACAGTTCTGGAGGCTGCAATTCTGAAGGGGACACCAATGTGGTCCAGTACTGATGAGTGCCTTCTTCTGGGTTGTAGACTACTGACTTCTTGTGGTATCTTCCCGTGGTAGAAAGAGGCTAAGAAAGAGCTCTGGGGTTCCTTTTATAAGGAACTCACCACATTCATGAGAGCTCCACCCCCATGAACTAATTTCCTTCCAAAGGTCCAACCTTCTAATACCATCACATTAAGGGGTAGTATTTCAGCATTTGAATTTTGGGGGAACATAAACATTCAGTTCATTGCACATGTAGTTTACTATTATTATTATTATTTCTTGTAATGTCTTTGGTTTTGTTATCACAGTAATTTTGCAGTCCTGGACTTTTCTTTGGTGAGAGATTATAACGTTTCCATCTCGTTACTTATTATCAGTCTGTTTAAGTTGTCTGTTTCTTCTTGGTTCAATCTTGGTAGGTTTTGTCTAGAAATTTATCCATTTCCTTTAGTTTTTCAAATTTATTGGCATATAGTTGTTCATAGTATTCTCTAATGATCTTTTGTATTTCTGTAATATCCATTGTTATGTCTCCTTTTTCATTTCTGATTTTATTTATTTGAATTCTTTCTTTTTTCTTAGTAAAGCTAATGATTTGCTGGTTTTGTTTATCTTTTCAAAAAGCAAACATTTAGCTTTATTGATCTTTTATATTTTGTTTTTAGCCTCAGTTTTGCTTATTTCTGCTTGGATCTTATTTCCTTATACTAATTTTGTGTTTGGTTTGTTCTTGCTTTTCCAGTTCTTTGAAGTATAATGTTAGGTTGTTTATTAGAAATCGTCCTACTTTTTTGATGTAAGCATTTATTGTAATAAACTTGCTTCTTAATACTTTGTTTGCTATATCCCATAGGTTTTGTTATTTTGTGTTCGTATTTTCACTTGTTTTGAGGAATTTAAATTTTATTTTCTTAATTTTCTCCTTCACCTATTGGTCATTCAGAAGTGCATTGTGTAATTCTCATGTATTTGTATAGTTTTGAATGTCCCTCTTGTTTTGATGTCTAATTTTATTTCATTATGGGCAGACAAGATACTTGATAGAATTTTGATTTTTAAAAATATTTTGAGATTTCTTTTGTGTTTTAACACATGATCATTCTTGGAGAAAATTCTATGTGCTGATGAAAAGTATGTGTGTTCTGCAGCTATTGGGTGAAATGTTCTGTAAATGTCTGTTATGTCCATTTGGTCTGTGCTGCAATTTAAATCTGGTATTTCTTTGTTGATTTTCTATCTAGATAATCAGTCCAATGCTGAGAGTGGGGTGTTGAAGTCCCCAACTATGATCGTGTTCGGATTTCTCCCTTTAGTTTTAATAATATTGGCTCCATATATCTGGTTATACTGGTGTTTGGTGCATATGTATTTACAGTTGTTACATTTTCTTGCTGAATTGATCTCTTTATTATTATATAATGTCCTTCTTTGTCTTTTTAAAATAGTTTTTAACTCAAAGTCTGTTTTGTCTAAATACAGCTACTCCTGCTCTTTTCTGGTTTTCATTTGCATGAAATACCTTTTTCTACCATTCCCTTTCAGATTGTCTTTATTAGTGAGGCAAGTTTCTTGTAGGCAGCATATAGTTGGGTCTCAAATTTTTTTGTATCCATTCAGTCTATATATTTTATTAATAAATTAATAAAATATATTAGTATATATAATACTAATAGTATATATAATACTAATATATAATTCCATATATATTATAATTATATTAATATAATATATAAATATAATAATTCTCTCATGGGAATCCAAGCTATTTTCATCTAAGATTATTATTGCTATGTGAAGTTGTGTTCTTGTCACATTGTTAACTGTTTTCTGGTTGTTTTGTATAGTCTTTGTTCCTTTTCTCTTAGTGTTTGTCCTTGTGGTTTGGTGATTTTCTGTAGTGATAAAGTTTGATTCCTTCCTCTTCCTCATTTGTGTTTTTGCTTTACTAGTGATTTCTATACTTTTGTGTGTTTTCATCATGGTAATGTTGTCCTTTTGTGTCGAGGTTTAGGTTTCCCTCAAGCACTTCTGGTAGGGCCAGTTTGGTAGTAATAAATTCTCTCAGCTGTTGCTTGTCTGGGAAAGATTATTTCTCTTTTGCGTATGAAGGATAATTTTGCTGGGCATAATATCCTTGACTGGCAGGTTTTTTTTTTTCCTTCAGGATTTTGAATATTTTATCCCAAAATCTCCTGGCCTATAAGGTTTCCACTGAGAAATCTGATGTTAGTCTAATGGAGATTCCCTTATATGTGACTTGATGCTTTTCTCTTGCTGCCTTTAAAATTCTTTGTCTTTTGACAATTTGACTACAATTTCCCTTGGATAGAACATGTTTGGGTTGAATCTGTTTGGCATTTTGAGATTCCTGGACCTGGATGTTTATCTCTCTACAATACTTGGGAATTTTTCTGCTTTGATTTCACCAAATACATTTTCCTCACCCTTCCCCTTTTTCTCTCCTTCTGGAATGTCCATAATACAAGCATTTATTCACTTAAAAGTATCCAATTTATTCTTTTTTTGGTCTATTTGTGTTATTTCAAAAGACTTGTCTTCAAGATCAGAAATTCTTTTTTCTGCTTGTTCTAATCTCTTCTTGAGGCCTTCAATTGTGCTATTTCATTCATTGAAATCTTCAGCTCTAGGACTTCTGCTTTGTTTTATTTTATGAAATCTATCTCTTTTTTGACTTTCTCATCAAAATAATGAATTGCTTTTCTGATTCATTGAATAGACTGTCTGTATTCACTTTTATCTCCATATGTTTTAAGATTATTATTTCAAATTCTTTTTCTGACATTTCATATATTTCATTATGACCAAGGTCTGTTACTGGATAATTTTTGTTTTCCTTTGTAGGTGTTATATTTCTTTGCTTTTTAATGTTTCATGTGTCCCTATCTTGATTTCTATGCATCTCATGAGAAAGTTGCCTCTTCCAATTTTATGGAGTAGGTCTTGTAGGGAAAGTGTTTTTCATATGAGTGGGTCTTGGGATGTTGGCCTTGCTTCAAGGTTGACACAGTAGTGTAGTACCCATGTAGTTTCATTAGCTGTAGTCCACACTAGTGGCATTTGTGAATTTCTCAGTGGCCTAGCCTGAGAGTTTATGGTGAGCGTGGTGTGGCTTTGCCAGGGGTGGGCTCAACCTATTTGTCAGGTGGCAGACACATCTGTGCATGTGGTGGGTCAGCCAACTTGGGTTCTGGTTTGCTAGGATTGGGGCCATGAGGCTGTTACTCTGGCCAAGAACATGGGCACATGCTTTCTCAGTCTGCCTGTGAGTGCACCTGCCAGGATCAGGACTGTTTCTCAAGCCTGGAGCACAGCTGCATGACTGCTCAGTTGCCCTGAGAGTACATTTTCTGAGAGT
Source organism: Homo sapiens (assembly GCF_000001405.40). Classification (NCBI taxonomy): domain Eukaryota; kingdom Metazoa; phylum Chordata; class Mammalia; order Primates; family Hominidae; genus Homo; species Homo sapiens. The sequence goes on along the minus strand of NC_000008.11, from coordinate 89,650,655 downwards.
GATCCGCAAGGTTGTTACTCTGACCTTGCTTTGAGGTGGACACAGCAGTGTAGTCTCTGTGTAGTTTCTTCAGCTATAATTCACACTAGTGGCATTTGTGAATTTATCAGTGGTGTAGGCTGAGAGAGTTTATGGTGATAGTTGCGGCTTTTCCAGGAGGGCGATTTCTGGGCTTTTTATCAGATTGCGGCGTATGCTTGGCAGGCCTGGGGACGTATCTGCTAGGAGCAGCCCAGGAGGCTACTTCTCAGGCCCAGGATGACAGCATATGGCTGCTCAGCTGGCCTGGGGGAGTATCTGCCTGGGGGAGGGGTTATGGTTGTTTCTCAGCCTGGGATGCAGTCATATGGCTTTTCACCTGTCCTGGGTGCATGTTTGCTGCACCCAGAAACACCCACAGGGATGTTTCTCAGGCCCAGTTTGTGGCCATACATCTGCTTCACTGGCCAGGGGGTGTTTCTATGGGAGTGGCCTATAGGATTGTTTTATAGGCCTAGGATGCAGGTGCAAGGCTGCTTGGCTGGCCCATGGGCCCATGGGAAGTGGCCCATGGGGTTGTTCTTAGGCCTGATATGTGGGAGCATGGCTGCTCAGCTGGTCTTGGATATGTCTGCTAAGGTGGCTCATGGGGCTGTTTCTCAGTTCTGGAATGTGGGCTCTTGGCTGCTTGGTCAGTCTGGGGGAGTATTAACCAGGGGTGGCCTGCTGGACTGTTTCTTAGGCCCTGATTTCAGGCACAGGGGCCTTGGGCAGACTAGGGCATGTCTACAGGGGGAAGGGCCCTTCAGGGCTATTTCTCAGGTCCTGAGCAAGGGTGCATAGTCACTCTGCTGGCCTGGGGACATGTCAGCTGCTTGAAGGCTTGGAGACATCTCCCATTTGGAAAAGAGCATATAGCAGTTTGGTCAGCTCCAGGGAGGCTCACCCTGGGTGGAACTACCAGACTGTTCCTCTCGCTGGGAAGTATGGTGGTGAGAGTTGGTTTCCCTGCAGTGCAAGAAGAGAGTCATAGCTGATCCTGGATCGTGGGCCCAGGCTCAGTATGGCTGGGGTTGTGATGTTCAGCCACTTATGTGGGCTTGGTGAAATGAAGATGGAACCCAGTTCTGGAGAAATGCATTGGATACTGACCCACCAAGCAGGGCACCCTTCAGATGTGGCCCTGGTCTCAAGATGATGCCATGCTTTAGCAACTTGGCTCAGAAGGAGTGGGTGGGGGTGAGGAGTGCACACCTTGTGCTCCTTACCTGGGTGTAGTACAGCTGCATGAATTCCTGGTAGCTCTCTAAACTGAGCTTAGGGCTTGCAAGGTATGGGATTCTCCAGTTGTAAGGACTGTAGGTGTAAGTTGTAGGCGTTTGTGGTGGCAATGGGGGCTGGTGGGGATCTTCTGCTTATCTTTTCCCCACAGTGGGAAGCCCTCCCTTATTCTGGGCAGGTCTGATCAGGGCAGGGAGACATAGCTGCAGTGACCAGGTATCTTCATGCTGCTTTCCTGGACTTTCAATCATCAAAGGTGCATCTTCACTCCTCAGCTGCACTCCAGTGCTCTCCCTTTGACACTCCAGTCAAGTCTTAGCTAATTATTAATTGCCTTGGTCCTTTATTGGGGAAGAGGGCACAAGTGCCAGGCATCTCTAATCTTGCTGACATCACTCTTCTATTATTCACATTTTAAAGAACAGTAGGATATAGAGTTACTGTATAGATGTGAGCAAGATGTAGTCATCATTTTAGGATGTTAGTGAATAGTCTAATACTGCTTGAAGCAATTGAAAAGCTACACATTTTCAGAGAATATAATTCTTAGGAGATAATGGAGGCTTGACTCTCATTTCTCAGTCACTTGCATCTTCTTCTCTTTTAGACACAGAACACAAAGTGGAGGAGCTTGAAATACCAAAATTTAATACATCTACTTCTTTGAATAAATCAAAATTCGCTGGCTTAAATATAGTCTATCATTTGTTTCTAGGGAAGGGTTCAAATGTGAGATTAATCAAATGACACTGGAACTCAAATATTGTGCGTGTTTTTTTAAGGTAGAGGAGAACGTCGCAGAGAAAAAGGGAAGGAAAATACACCTTTGGATTGTTGGCATGCATTTGCACACAGTAGGTGCTCATTAAATATTTAATAATGAACCAATAAATAAGGAAAAATGACTTTGAAGTTCTAGAACTGGGGAGCAAGTTTCAAGTCCTGAGCATGCTTCAAACACCTTCTTCACTATCACTTTCTTGAAAGTGACAAAATCCGTTGCTCTTCTGGGCTTTATTACAGTGGACCAGAATACATATTGCAGCAATTACATAGGGTTGTATAATTGGAAGAACTCACAGGACTCCACAAAGCTTTCAAAAGGTTTTAGTAAAGACAAAGGGCACAAAACAGCAGAAAGAGAAAGAGCACAGACAAATATCAGGAAGATTTGAGACATTCATGTGCAGCTTTCCAGGATCGCCTCTCAGTTGCAAAGGGCACATCTAGTCTCTGGATTACAATCCACTAAGATATGTGAAACCAAGCAAAAGTTTACTGAGGGGTGTTTTATGTCTCACTGGTTATGTAGCCAAAATGAGGCTGTGTAACCCAGTGAATCAAGTCTACGATATTAGTCCATATATTTTCAGTAAACAGTGTAGACAAGCTAGTATTCTTAGGGGTCTCTCAGACTTTAAAGAGCATTATTAATAACCTAGTATATTTCATCCCTATCTTGGCCATGGGAGGATCCACGGTTCCAGGAGCCTATAGAGATAAGCATAGAGTTGCAAGACAAGCTGCAAGTGAACACTATTTTTACAAATGTATCTATTTTTTAGGAGGAAAGACCAAAAAAGGATAAAACACACCAAAGTTTGTTCAATCCAGCCAGTCCCCAGCAAAGCCCTAAAATAATGAATTTATTTTCTGGTAAGTTTTTATTCCTGTTTTAAAGTTTAACTATGGAACAGAGTAAGGAGCTCTCCATGTAATTAAACGTCTGGCAAGTTAATGTGGATAGAGAAATCTGCAATCTTGGATACTTTGAAGTGAAACTGTGCAACTCTAGGCAGAAGTCCAATTTCATTTTGTTCTACATAGGTACTGTAGAGATAGAGCACATGAGAAGTCAGTCCCCAGGCAACCGGTGAGATAGCAGGAGGCAGAACAAAGCACTTTTTCCTTATTACTCTCAGCTTGATCTGTAAGGAAACTTCATGATTCCATAGCCAAATTGTCACCAAAACAAAAAACAAAAAACCTCGGCTCCTTCACTTAGACATGTGTTTCACCTTAGGCAAGTTACTTGATTCTTCTGAACTACAGCCTTCCTATATAAAAAAATGGGAACATTGATACTAACCTCATGGGGATGTTGCAAGAATTGAATGAGTCAATGTACAAAAAACATGTACTACAACACATGGAGGCCTTAATTATAATTCTAAAATGTCCTTGTCAGAGAGGTGGGGATTAATATTTTTCCCTGCAGCAATCTTCTAACAATATCAAGGTCCTAAGCAATTAATCTTTTTAGGATAATATTATATAGTTCAATAGTTGATGGCTTGCTCCTTTGAACATAGAGATCCCTTTATACTTTTCCCTCAGACAAGAAACGCTACACATGATTCCAGTATACTGCTTCACGGCTAAACCAACTTGACTCACTGTATTACAGTCTTATTGCAATTACTACCATAAACTTAACAACTTAACACAAATTTATCCTTTGACAGTTCTGGAGGTTGGAAGTCTAAAGTCAGTGTCACCGGGCTAAAGACAAGGTGTCAAAAGGCTGGTTCCTTTTGGAGGCTCTGAAGGGCGACTCCATTTCCCAGCCCTTTTCAGCTACTACTGGCTGCCTGTATTCCTTGGCTTCCTACCTCTTCAACGTGCATCACTCTAATTTCTGCTTCCATCATCAGATTGCCTTTTCTGGCTCAGATCCCTCTTCTTAAAAGGAACCTTGTGGCCGGGCACGGTGGCTCACGCCTGTAATCCCAGCACTTTGGGAGGCCGAGGCAGGTGGATCACGAGGTCAGGAGATTAAGACCATCCTGGCTAAGGCAGTGAAACCCCGTCTCTAGTAAATATACAGAAAATTAGCTGGGCGTGGTGGCGGGCACCTGTAGTCCCAGCTACTTGGGAGGCTGAGGCAGGAGAATGGCGTGAACCCGGGAGGCAGAGCTTGCAGTGAGCCAAGATCTCGCCGCTGCACTCCAACCTGGGCGACAGAGCGAGACTCCGTCTCAAAAAAAAAAAAAAAAAAAGGAACCTTGTGATTAGACTGAGCCCACATGGATAATCCAGGGTAAGTTACCTGTTTCGAGATCTTTAACTTAGTCAAATCTGAAAAGTCCTTTTTGCCATTTAAGGAAAAATTCACACATGTTCCAGGGATTAGGACATTGGGATCGGGATCATTATGCAGCTTACCATACATACATTATTTTATTCTTCTATCAGGATTAGGTAGGCTGGCTCCATTTTAAGATGTACAGCTGTAGTCTACAAAAGTCAAGTGACTCATTGGCAGTGTTACCAGTTACAGTGCAGAGCTAGCAAGTCTTCATTTTGCTTTTTGTAAATTCAGGAAGACTTGGTTGAAATGTTTGGTTAATAATGAACTTTTTTGCTAAAACGGTGAAACCCCGTCTCTACTAAAAATACAAAAAATTAGCCGGGCGTAGTGGCGGGCGCCTGTAGTCCCAGCTACTTGGGAGGCTGAGGCAGGAGAATGGCGTGAACCCGGGAGGCGGAGCTTGCAGTGAGCCGAGATTGCGCCACTGCACTCCAGCCTGGGCGACAGAGCGAGACTCCGTCTCAAAAAAAAAAAAAAAAAAATAATGAACTTTTTTTTTTTTTTACAATAGTTTATGGCTTACAAAAGAGCTGGCACTAAATGATCTTGTTTAGTTAAGATAATCTTATGAGTTAGAGTTTATTTGTAAGATTTAAGTCATTTTTTCAATATCATTAATGAGCCTCTACAATAAGCCAGGCCCTGTGCTAGGTGATAGGGATACTGTAGTGACTGATACAGGCAACATCCTTATCATTATGCAGTTTATATTCTATTAAGGGATATGGACAAAACCACAATAAATTGAATAATTGCAATTGTAATTAAATGCTGCAAGATAACAGAGGAGGAAATGGAAGCCCAGAGTGATGAAGGGACTCTCCCAATGTACATACAATAGTAAATGGAAGAACTAGGTCTTGAATTTAAAGTTTTTAAAACTTTTGTTTCAAGATTGTAGGGCATACATATGGTATACCCTGCATACCCAGCATTTTTTTTGTTACTAATTTTCCCTAGGACATAATAGAGTCTGTTCCATTTTTTTTCCTCATGGCTCATGATTAAGACAATTTATATTAATAGTCATCAATGTACCATTGTCTCTCCTTATTTGCAGGGTATTGGTTCCAGGTTCACCTGTGCATACTAAAACCCAGGCATACTCAAATCCCAGAGTTGACTCTGAAGCATCTGAGGATAGGAAAAGTCAGCTCTCCTTATACAGGTTTTTGCCTCCTGCGAATACCGTATTTTCAATCTGGGTTTGGTTTGAGTTTGGTGTGGAGGGCCAACTGTACTTACTGAAAAAAATCTGCATATAACTGGACCTATGCAGTTCAAATACCTGTTGTTTAAGGGTCAACTGTGGTTGGTTCCCTTGTGATAATTGTACTGCTAGTGCATCTCGCTCTTGTGTTTAATGCTGAGCAGACTTGGTTAGTATCACAGTAAGCCTTTATTTTTCTTTTTAGAATCATGCACTCAATAGTGTCTACCTGTCAAGAAGATCCACAGCTAAATTACTAACATAGTGCTTATGTAAGCAAATTCTTATGAATTGTGCTTTCAGAATGATTTATTGCAGCTTTATAGCTTTTGCTATGACATATTTTATCTACATTTAAAATTTTATTTAAAATAATAGCAAACTGGAATGCAGCTGTAGTTAAGAATTGCATTTGGCCAAGAAGACAATTTTTAATAAGTTGTCTGTGTGCATGGATTCACCCAGTGTTTTTTTAAAGTATTGATTTTTAATTGATATATAATAATTGTATATACCTATGGAGTACAGTGTGATATTCTAATACATGTATACAATGTGTAATGATCAAATCATGGTATTTAGCATATTCATCACTTCGAATATTTATCATTTCTTTGTGTTGGGAACACTCAAAATCCTCTCTTTTAGATATTTGAAAATATACAATAAATTATTGTTAACTATAGTCAAGCTTCAGTGCTATAGAATGCTGGAAATTATTTCTCCTATCTAGCTGTAGTTTTGTATCTTTTTTTTTTCTTTGAGATGGAGTCTCACTCTGTCACCAGGCTGGGGTGTGGTGGCGTGATGTCGGCTCACTGCAACCTCCCACTCCCTGGTTCAAACGATTTTCCTGCCTCAGCCTTCCTAATAGCTGGGATTACAGGCATGTGCCATGACACCCAGCTAATTTTTGTATTTTTAATAGAGACGGGGTTTCACCATGTTGGCCACAATTGTCTCGATTTCCTGACCACGTGATCCGCCCACCTTGGCCTCCCAAAGTGCTGGGATTACAGGAGTGAGCCACCGTGGCCGGCCGGTTTTGTAACTTTTAATCGGCCTTTCTTTATCCCCTCTTTCCTTTACCTTGTCCAGCCTCTGGTAATACTATTTTACTCTCTACTTCTATGAGATCAACTTTATTAGCTTCCACATATGACTTAGAACATGTGATAATTATTTTTTTGTGCCTGGCTTATTTAATTTAACACCGTGTCCTCCAGACATATCCATGTTGCTGCCAATATTAGAATTTCCTTCTTTCTTGTGGCTGAATAGTGTTTCATTGCATATATCTATCACGTTTTCTTTTTTTATTCATCTGTTGATGGATATTTGGGTTGATTCCATATCTTGAGTGTTGTGAAAGTGCTGGTATAAACATAGGAGTGCAGCTATCCCCTCAACATACTGATTTCCTTCACTTCGAATATATATCCAATAGTGGGTTTGCTAGATCCTATGGTAGTTCTGTTTTTTAGTTTTTTGAGGAAACTCTACACTTTTTTTATAACAGTTGCATGAGTTTGTATTTCCACAAACAGTGGATAAGAGTTCCTCTTTCTCCTCACTTGATCATGGTGTCCAATCTTTTTGATGTGCTGTTGGATGTGGTTTGCTGGCATTTTGTTGTTTTTTGTCTTTTTAATAATAGCCATTCTAACGGGTGAAAATGATATCTCCCTGTGGTTTTGATTTTTATTTCCCTGATGATTAGTGGTATAGAGCCCTTTGAAAATATACTTTTTTGCTATTTGTATGTCTTCTTTTGGTAAATATCTACTCACATAATTTTGCCCATTGTTTTCCTGAAATGCTTTTTAAAATTGAAGTATTATAGTTGTATATATTTTTGGGATTTGCTCATGTTTTAATTGGGTTATTATTATTATTTTTTGCTGTTGAGTTGTTTAAATTCCTTGTATATTCTGGATATTATTCCCTTGTTGGAGAAATAGTTTGCAAATATTTTTCCCATTCTATAGGTTGTCTTTTCACTCTATTATTGATTGTTTCTTTTTCTGTGCAGAAGTTTTTAAGTTTGATAAAATCCCATTTGTCTATTTTTGCTTTTATTGCTTGTGATTTTGAAGTCTTCTCCATAAAATCATTGCTGAGGCTAAAGTCCTGAAGCATTTCCCCTACATTTTCCTCTAGTAGTTTTAGAGCTTTGGATCTTACATTTGGATCCATTTTGAGTTGACTTTTTTTTTTTTTTAATACGGGTCTAGTTTCATTCTTCTTCATATGGATATCCAATTTCCCAGCACTATTTATTGAAGAGACTCTCCTTTCCCCAATGTATGTTCTTGGCAGTTTTGTAAAAAATCAATTGGCTATAAATACATGCATGTATTTCTGGGTTTCTGTTCTGTTTCACTGGTCTGTGCATCCATTTTTATACCAGTGCTATGCTGTTTTGGTTACTGTAGTTTGCAGCATATTTCGAAGTCAGGTAGTGTAATGCCTCCAGCTTTGTTCATTTTGCTCCGTATTGCTTTGACTATTCAGAGTCTTTCGTGGTACCATATACATTTTAGGATTGTTTTTCTATTTACGTGAAGAATGACACTGATAGTTTGATAGAGATTACATTGAATCTTAAATTGGTTTGGGTTTCATAGTCATTTTAACAATATAATTCCTCTGATCCATGAGCATGGGATGTTTTTCTATTTGTATCCTTTTCAATTTCTTTCATCAGTGTTTTATAGTTTTTATTGTAGAGATCTTTGACTTCCTTGGTTAAATTTATTTCTAGGTACTTTGTTTTTTTAAATAACTATTGTAAATGAGATTGCTTTCTTGATTTCTTTTTCAGCTACATTATTATTGGTGTATAGAAATGCTACTGATTTTAATACTTTAATTTTGTATCTTGCAACTTTGTAGAATTGGTTTATCAGTTCTAAGAGGTTTTTGGTGGAGGTTTTTCTATATGTTAGATTATGTCATCTGCAAACCGGGACAGTTTGACTTCTTTCTTTCCAACTGTGATGCTTTTTATTTCTTTCTCTGAACTACTTTCTCTGTGTAGGACTTCCAGTACTATGTTGAATAACAGCGCTGAAATTGGGCAAGCTTGACTTATTCAAGTTCGTGGAGGAAAGGCTTTCAACTTTTCCTTGTTCAGTATGCTGTTAGCTGTGAGTTTGTCACATGTGGTCTTTATCGTATTAAGATACATTCCTTCCATACCTAATTTATTGACAGTTTTTAACCATAAAACGATGCTGAATTTTATGAAGTGCCTTTTCTGTTTCTATTGATATGATGATATGATTTCTGTTCTTTATTCTGTTTATGGGATGTATCATGTTTATTAATTTGCATATGTTGAATCATTCATACTTCCCTGAGGTAAAGCTCATTTGATCTTAATGTGCTGTTGGATTTTGTTTGCTAGTATTTTCTTGAAGATTTTGGCACCTGGTGTTCCATTGGGGGAAATTAGCTTGTAGTTTGTTGTTGTGTCCCTTGCCTGGGTTTTGGGTAACAGGGTAATGCTAACCTTGTAGAATGAGTTTGGAAGAATTTCCCTTCTTTCAACACTTTGGAATAGTTTAAGAAAAATTAGTGTTAGTTCTTCTTTAAAAGTTTGGGAGAATTCAGCATTGAAGCCATCCAATCATGGCCTTTTGTTAGGAGACTTTTTATTACTTTTTAAGTCTCATTACTCATTATTTTTCTGTTTATGTTTTCTAATCTTCCTAATTCAATCTTGGTAGGTTGCGTGTGTCTAGAAATTTATCCATTTCCTCTAGTTTTTCAATTTGTTAGTGAATAGTTGTTCATAATAATCTCTAAGGATTCTTTGTATTTCTGCACTATCAGTTGTAATGCTTCCTTTCATATTTTTGATTTTATTTATATAGGTCTTCTCTCTTTTTGTCTTTATTAGTGTACCTAATGGTTTGTCAATTTTGTTTATCTTTTCTGAAAACTGACTGTTTGTTTTGTTGATCCTTTGTAATTTTTTTTAGTGTCCATTTCATTTATTTATGCTCTGATTTTTATTATTTTTTTCCTTCTACTAATTTTGGGTTTGGTTTATTTTTGTTCTTCCCATTCCTCGATGTGCATTGTTAAGTTGTTTATTTGAAATATTTCTATGTTTTTGATGTAGGTGCTTATAAATTCCCCTCTTAGTACTGCTATTGGTTTGTGTATAGGTTTTGACATATTATGTTTATATTTTCATTTATTTCAAGAAATTTTAAATATTTTCTTATTAAATTTCTCATTGGCCCATTGGTCATTCAGGAGCATGTTGCATAATTTCTGTGTTTTTAATTTGTTTCAAAAGTTCCCTTGTTTTGATTTGTAGTTTTATTCCATGGTGGTCAGAAATTATACCTGATATGTTTTCAATTTAAACAAAATTGTTGAGACTTGTTTTGTAGCCTAACATATGGTCAATCCTGGAGAATGAGAAGACTGTGCATTCTGCAGCTGTTGAATAAAATATTCTATAAATGTCTGTTAGGTCCATTTGGTGTACAGCACAGTTTAAATCCAATGTTTCTTTGTTGACTTTCTGTCTAGGTGATCTGTCCAGTGCTGAGAGCAAAGTGAGGACTTCAGCTGTGATCGTATTGGGGTTTAACTCTCCCTTTAGATCTAATAATATTTGCTTTGTATATCTTGGTGCTCTGGTGTTGGGTATATAGATATTTACAATTGTTACATTCGCTTGCTGAATCAATCCCTTTGTCATTATATAATAATTTTCATAGCATTTATATTTTTGACTTAAAAGTCTATTTTATCTAATGTAACTACAGCTGTTTCTGCTCGCTTTTGGGTTCTGATTGTGTGGAGTATCTTTTTTGCCTCTTACTTTCGGTATTATTTCTGTCTTTATAGGTGAAGTGAGTTTCTTGTAGTCAGTATATGATTTGGTCATTTTTTAAAGATCCTTTTAGTCTGTATCTTTTAGCTGGGGAATTTAATCCATTTACATTCAAAGTTTTTATTGACAGGTGAGGACTTTCTCTTGCCATTTTAAAAATTGTTTTCCAGTTGTTTTGTATATCTTGTTTCTTTGTTTTTCTCTTATTGTTTATCTTTATGATATGGTGGTTTTCTATAGTGATCAGGTTTGATTTCTCTCTCTTTCTCATTTGTGTTTCTACTCTTTCAGTGAGTTTTATACTTTTGTGTTTCTCATGATAGTAGTTATTGTCCTTTTGCTGCCAGATGTAGAACTCCCTTAAGCATCTGGAAGCCCTGAAAAACTATCTTTCTATTAAGAATTCTTTCCTAAGTAATGATGAAGATTGACTTTTAGTATGTATTGGTCCATATTCACTTTTTACCTCTGTTGGGAAAATAATATTCCTACATTTTTCCCTAATGCATAGATACATAAGATGAAAATTACTCCTCTTACGCTTTGTCCATCCTCATGACACTTGGCAGAAAATGCTAATGATTCTGCATGTCTACTCAGGGTATTCAGCACACTTGTGTACTCTTTTTAAAATTTATACATATTGCTTACTTCAATCACTCCTCTTGATAGTCTATTCCCTTTTCAAATTACTGTCATGGAAAATAAATGCCTTAACATTAATTTTAACCTTCTTCATTAGCAAAATCAGAGTGCAGTAAATAATTCCCTTTTGGAATTTAAACAGACTTTTGCTATTATACTGTTGACCTTTTTATATGCTTTCATGCTGTGGTCCATATACCACCCATATTCCCATGTAAGTTTGGATTAAAGGAGTGACTAACCATTTTTAAGCCATTATCTAGGGCTGAGAAGTCACTTTGCTGAGAACGTCTGCTTTTATCTGCTTTAAGAATTGGCCTTCCACATAAGATTACATGAACAACAAGGTTATATGACTATATAAAACTTGAACAACCATAGGCTTAGAGTTTTTGTTTGTTTGTTTCCTTTTTCAGGTTTTGCATTTAGGGTTATACTAGCTTCTAAGTGGGCCGGATACTTTATCATTTTTTTTTTTTTTTTTTGAGACGGAGTCTTGCTCTGTTGCCCAGGCTGGAGTGCAGTGGCGCGATCTGGCTCACCGCAAGCTCCGCCTCCCGGGTTCACGCCATTCTCCTGCCTCAGCCTGCTGAGGAGCTGGAACTGCAGGCGTCTGCCACCACGCCCTGCTAATATATATATATATATATATATATATATTTTTTTTTTTTTGTATTTTTAGTAGAGACGGTTTTCACTGTGTTAGCCAGGATGGTCTCGATCTCCTGACCTCATGATCCACCCCACTTGGCCTCCCAAAGTGCTGGGATTACAGGCGTGAGCCAGCGCGCCAAGCCCTTTTTCATATTTTTTAATGCTCAGGCAAAGTTGTCCTGACATGGAGAGTATGTTTCTTAATAATTTTATAAAAATTCAACAGGCAAATTCTCTACCTTAAAAAGCACTTTAAAAAGTAATTCCTCGGCTGGGTGCGGTAGCTCACGCCTGTAATTCCAGCACTTTGGGAAGCCGAGGCGGGCGGATCACGAGGTCAGGAGATCGAGACCATCTTGGCTAACACGGTGAAACACCGTCTCTACTAAAAATACAAAAAATTAGCCGGGCATGGTGGCGGGCACCTGTAGTCCCAGCTACTCGGGAGGCTGATGTAGGAGAATGGCGTGAACCCGGGAGGTGGAGCTTGCAGTGAGCCAAGATCTTGCCACTGCACTCCAGCCTGGGCGACAGAGTGAGACTCGTCTAAAAAAAAAAATAAAGTAATTCCTCAATAACTTTTTTATGTTTTTCAGTTTTTTTTTAACTTCTTGAGTCATTTAGTTGTTCATATTTTCACAGAAATAGCTCCACTTTACCTAATTCTGATTTTCAAAGTGTATTTTCCAGACCAGCAACATCAGCATCACCTGGGAACTTGTTAGAAATGAGATTTATTTTGCGTGCATGTACCATTCCAGGTCTACTGAGTCAGACACTCTTGTTTTAACAGGCTCTGTAGGTGATTGTGGTACATGTTAAAGTTCTAGATCTTCAAATTTATTAGATCAAGTGTAACATTTTTACCTAGGCTTTAAAATTAATGTAAATCTCTTCCACATTTCTAATTGTATCCTCTTTCTAAACCTTATTTTTTGGTCTTTTAAATGACTAGCTTGGTAAGTGTTTAATCTTTTTCTTGACTCTTCAAATAATCAGCTCTTGGATTTATTTATCAGTTGGCTTTATTACCTGATGCTACAGAGAGAATCATTAATATCAATATGAAGTGAAATTATTTTGTAATTTAAAAAAATAACGTGAGTGTGATAATAATTTTCCGTAAGTATAGTAATTAATTCTGGTCTTTAAGATTTCTGGCTTTGAAATAAAAGTGTTTATATGCTATATTTTTAGTTCTAATGTCTAGGTCACAGATGAATAAATCCTTACACTCTGGAGCATACTACATAGAATTATCCACATGAGAATCAATTTAATTGCACATGTCTGCCTACTGTTTGGAGTGTCTGCTTTCATTACTTCTATTTGGGCACATATTTTTGGAACCCTTGTTGTTTTCTAGTGTCCACTATGTCTTAATTCAAATTGTAGTCACATAGACTTGCCATAATATCTAATTTCTGCTGCTACTTAAAATGTCTGGCCAGGTGCAGTGGCTCACACTTATAATCCCAGCCCTTTAGGAGGTCGAGGCAAGAGAATCTCTTGAAGCCAAGAGTTCTAGACCAGCCTAGGCAACATGGTGAGACCCTGCCTCTATAAAAAAAAAAATATATATATATATATATATATATATATTTTAAAATTAGCCAAGTATGGTGGCACATGCCTATTGTGCCAGATAGGAAGCTGCAGCAGGAGGATCCCTTGAGCCTAGCAATTTGAGACTGCAGTGAGCTGTGATTGCACCACTGCACTCCAGCCTGGGCAACAGAGCAAGACCCTATCTCTTAAAAAATAATAATAAAAAATGTCTGCATGTGTTTTTGTGGTGCCCCAGACCCCATTCATACACCAAATTATTTATGCTCTTACATAGGTTGTATATTAAATTAGATCATCCCAAATGTACCTTTATCCCAATTTGGTGAAAAATGAATTTAGCTTTTTTTGTGTGTTATGCAGTAATAGAGGAAATGGTCAATAATCAGAAACTAAACTTTATTTATAGACTCTTGTATCTATTTTCTAATAGATTGATGATGGCTTTTATCTTTATTATTTCCATTCTGTAATTTTCCTTAGAATTACTTAGTTGTTCATTTTGTAACTTCATGAGGGAAACTCCCAGTTTATTAATTCTTTTTCTCCTTTTTCTTTGGCACATTTTTCTTATCCTTCTATTATTGCATTTAAAGAAGCTTTAAAGTTTTTTTCAGGTTTTAGAGGCCAGTTCTCTTTTCCACTTAAGATTTATTTTTTAAAAAAATTTATTGAGGTATAATTTAATACTCTACAATTTACCCATTTAAAGTGTACAGTTCGCTGACTATATATATATTCTCAGAGGTGTGGCATCCTAAGATTTCTCAGTCCTCAGTGTTACTTTTTCCATGTTTTGCAGCATTTTTACCAAACTGTTTAGCTGTGTGTTCTGATTACTCTTTCTTGAAATAGTGAGGGATTTATTTACACATGTTGTTACCAATACACAGGGTAAGTGAATTGTCCTTGGACTCTCTGTTCATTGTGTCATGGACAAATACCCTTCACAAGTAAACATTGAAATGATAGGTCTATGTGTGTAACTGTCAGGCCTGTTGCATTTTCTGAAAGACATTCATTCAGCACGACCCTTCTGGACTGTGGTAAGATCTTCACCATCCTGTCTTATTCTTAGACACTTGAACTCATGAAATACATGAAAATCCATATCCCCAGTCAGTATATACTGCCACTGGATAGCTCCTGTGTGACCACACTTGGGCAGGATGGGTCTGACATTTTACCCTGTGAAGAAAAGGAATTCTTTTCCCAGATTTACTTCTCCCTGAGCTCCATCCTGATTTCTAAGGGGAAGGCAGAATTAGGTAGGTGTCTTATGCCATAATGATTTTATAAGATTTAGAGTGACTATCTTGGACTGCCCAGGAATTTTAATGCTAAAACTGGGAAAGTCTCAGACAAACCAGAACAGATTGGTCATCCTAAGAGTAGCCACCACAAGGAAATGATCCCAACAAGAGGGGCGGATCCTCCATCAAAGAGCCTCTGACGTTTTTACTTTGCTCTGAGAGATGGCCACTTCGTAGCACTGTGGCTCACAGAATAGCCTTTGCAGAGCTCACTCTACCTGGGAATGGGGTGAGTGGGGCAGGATATTGTGTACTATCTGTCCTGACTATCTTCTCTGTCATAAAGGTTGTCGAAACACCTCCATTTTCTTGCAAAATAGAGACATGAAGAGGTGGTACCCCCAGTTCCCAGGTCTTTTCTAAAACTCTCTTCTTCAGGGTGTGGAGCTGGGAAGCCTGGCTGGGAATCTCTGCTCTGTGGCTTGGTGGCAGTATAATGGAGGACAATTTACTTTACCTCTCCATGCATCAGTTTCCTCACCTGCAAATGGGCATGCTAATAACTCCTACCTACAAAGCAATTAGAATAGTGCCGGGCACATAGTAAGTACTCAATACATGTTAGCGTTACTATTTGTTTTTTTCTTCTGCTTATATTATGTATGTAGAGTCTCTTGCCTTGGCTTTCCATTCATCCTTTGACTCCAAGTTCCTGGTACCCTGATTCTGAACTGAATGAGGATTTTAAGCTACTGCTACTAAAGATAATGGCTTTAGTTTTGCTGAGCACAGCACTTCATGATTAAAACTGGCCTTGAATTTTGTCTGTATTTTTAAAAGTTCTTTCAAGATCTCAGAGCTTATTTACTGCTTTGCTGTGGATGTTGGTAAGGGGTTCACAGAAATCCTTTATGTCGTAGATACTCCTTGGAAATCTTACCCTTTGAAAGCTTTTGCTTTCCATTGGTCTTGTGTAATCTATTCTACTCTGGTATTAGTATTTTTTTCCAGTGACTTTGCCTAAGATTCTATTTTCTCTAAAATTCATATGCAAGTCTTTCAGCCTTGACTGGAACAGAGAACAAAAAGGGAGGGAAGAGGATAGGGTAAAAAACCTCTACATCTGGAAAATACCTGAAATGAACTAAAACCAGAAACCTTTGTATACAAACTCTTTCTACTCTGAGGCCAGCCTGTCTGGGCCCCAGAAGTGAATTATTACAAGGACCATTTTTTGCCTGCTCCATTTGAGATGCTGCCATCATAAGATTCAAGTCTTAACTCTTAGCATTAGGATCCCAAGTGAACTTTCTCTGAATTTCACAATGAATCTCTCTTATTTTTAATTGTAAATGACTACTATAGGTAGAGCTCGAGATCCTCTCTAATTCAGGAGATTTGCCCTGCACGTGGGATTTTGCTCACAAGAAGGGCAATTTCTGTTTGAGAATCACACTGTGAGGCTGCCATTTTCCCTGCACACATTCTTCCTATGTTCTGTTGATCTACACTGGATGTTAGTCGGCTCCAAAGAGAGAGAACAGTTGAGTTCCTCACACGTTCTCTCCTGCTACCTTATGCAGCACTGGAATCAAAGGAAGGGGTTAGTTATCTATTTCTCCAGAGAGAGGTAGCTAGGGCTTTATTTGCCTGACTTATCAGTGTTCCAGGGCTGAAGATATCCCCATCAAGTTTCTGAGGATTATTTGAATATAGACAAGATTAGGCAAAATTACCTTTTCTTACTTAAAAAATCTGGCCAGACGCAGTGGCTCACGCTTGTAACCCTGGCACTTTGGGAGGTTGAGGCGGGTGGATTGCCTGAGCTCAGGAGTTTGAGACCAGCTTGGGCAACACAGTGAAACCTCATCTCTACTGAAATACAAAAAATTAGCTGAGCATGGCAGCGTGCACCTGTAGTCCCAGCTACTCGGGAGGTTGAGGCAGGAGAATTGCTAGAACCCGGAAGGTAGAGATTGCAGTGAGCCGAGATTGTGCCACTGCACTCCAGCCTGGGTGGCAGAGTGAGAGTCCATCTCTAAAAAAGAAAAATCTTTGGTCTGAAATTCTTACGTATTATCTCCCCTGGACAAACTTGAGCTGCAGGGAGTTCTTTTGCCAGGGTAAAGGTAGGTCATGGTCTCTACTACTCCACACTGAGGCAAGAACTTGTGAACCTCATCATTCCTTCCATTGACAACTCCCTTCCCTAATAACAGTCCAATATTCTTGGTATTGACTTAGAGCAGTGCTTGAATTCACCCTAGAAAATGTTCCCCAGAAAGTGTTCTGAGGAACATTACTTTTGAGAGATCCTTGAAAAAGAGCTCCATGAAGCCATGTTTAGGAGATGCAGCATGCTATAGTCCTCTTAATACACTTAAACTATAGCCTGTGGAACTAGTGTTTTACATAAGATACTTTGGGGAATGTTGAAATAAGCAAAATAGGATATATACATAAATGGGAATATTACACAGACTTTAAAAATGTTACCTGTATATTATTTTTTTGTAGGAAAAGGTGTTCATTATGAAGAAAAACATATAAAACAATATGCATGGTCTGATCCCATTTTATTAAAAAAGTTGTAAGATGTATAAAAAAGAGTGGAATATATATCAACATGTTACTAGTGATTGTCTCTGGACAATGAGTACATGAGACTATATTTTAGATTTTTTCTTTTGCTAAGCTGTGTTTTCTAATTTTTTTCTATAGTGAATGCATATTACCTAGATAATGAAATAATACTACATTTTTCAAAAGAATGCTTTGCTTAGCACATTAGCTTTGTTTCACTTTTATTTTTAGGTTTTAGCTAAATTATTATCTCTCCACAAACTTTGTTTGACACTAAGAAATTTGAATTCCTGAAAATATGGAGTAGCCTTCTCTGCCCATGCTTTTGTTTGTAGCTGTTGGGTATCAACTCAAGCAGAGCTCTCTACTTCTTTTTATTTTTAGCAGAATATTGGGAAGTATATGTAAGGGCCTTGCCACACTCTAAGGAGGATTCCTGATAGGCATTGGAGCCTCCAAGCCCAGTACTTTTGCCCTAACTTTATTCCATTTTGACCACAGCCCTCGAAGGAGATGAAAAATGCCAGGAGCCACATGAAGATACTTTTCACTTGAATCTACAACTGAGGACAAACATCCTTTCTTCCTCACAGCAAAACTTGGGAGAAAGTTCTTTTCTGCAGATTTATCTGGCACAGTAGTCAATCCAAAAATTGAGCTCCTATGCCAAATTCTTTCATTTGATAAAGATTGGATTGCTGAGTAGCAAGCAATGATGCATTTTCCTAATTCTTATCTGCATCAGTAAAGCTTGTGGGGTGGAGGATGGCTTTTCTCATCACCTAGAGAATAAACCAACATGTGATTTTCTGCTTCTCACATCACACTGTTAAAAAAGAAACAAGGGTGCATGCATATCAGGCTCACATAGAGAGAGTCGCTGAAAGCAGAGTTGCCAAATCTTTTTGGAGAACATTCTTGTTCTCCTTACCACCCTGGCATCCTTTGTGGTGAGTAGCTTCCTGTACAAAGGAAGAGAAGTGAGCCTGACAGAATTTAGATTCTACATGAGGTCCTGTACTTTGTTAGTTCCTATGAGGATTGCCTTTACCAAAGCTTTACGGATTCAATTAGTTTTCATTTCAGCAAATATTTTATACTTTGCAGTCTAGTGATTAACCCATTGATTGTCTTTTTGCCTTTTCAAGTGCAGCAACTTAGACATTTTTATTATTACCCTGTAAATTCTTCAGACTTGCATTCTGTGGCATTGGCTATGTAGTCTACATTTTGTAAGCTCTTTTAATTGCTTCTCTGAAGTGTGGACTTATTTTGAGAGAAGGTCACAGTAGTTTTCATTAATCCAATGTTACTTTCGTAGTCCTATGACTTTGATTTAAATACAAAATTCCATTAGGTTTGCCTATTTCATCAAATGAATGTTTTCCATTTTGTAAGGAGTCTTTCCTTTATAAAAGGTCAGCCCCATTGATGTAGTTTTGGTTACATTGCTATTTTTGTGGGCCATAAGTAGACAATTTCATAGCCCACTAAGGATGGGTAGGGGTGGGAGGGGTGATGACTATGCAGTCTGTAAACCAAACAGTCCCCTGACTTCTTATATTTCTTGTTCCTTAATTATTGGACATTTTCTTCATCTCCTGATTTTTTTTGGAAAAGGATGAGGTCTTAGGGATCAAGTAGAATTTTAAATAGTTAACTTTGCTATAATTGACATTTTAGGTTAAAATGAACCTTTCAGATAAGCATAGAACAAGCTGTGCTTGTTTCAAAATAATATAATTCAACTTTAACTTGATAAAAATATATTGAGACTAAACTATGAACTGGAGGTTAAAAATATACATGGCTTCTTTTATTCAGGAGTTTACGGTATAGCAGGGAGATAACTTCTAACAGAGAAGATCTGTTTGTGTTTTGAATATTTTAGAATAACAGAATGTGAATACTTACTACAGTGGTAGTAAACAATCTTAATTATTTATTTAGGTCCCTGTCTTCGTATCCTTTCTAAAGTTCTTTGAACGTTACTCTAGCTTAAATAAAAACTGGAACTATGTGCATTTGGAAGGACTTGTGTAGGGTAGCTTCCACTTTAAAAAGACATACTAGTACAAGAAATGCTTAGAGAAGAACCAAATCAATCAAGGTTAGAGTGATTTCCACAAGTGGACTGATAAAATAGTGATGACTTGGAGGAAATATGATTGCAGTCTATATACTTGCTGAATACACTCCAAATTGGATACAAACTGGCACACCAAATACATGTAATTTACATACAAATGAGCACACCAAATTTTAGAATACTGATGTTTGCAAATCTTAAAGCTTGAAAGAGGTCACTTTAGGACAAATAATAGCAAGTGCTGCTTTACACAATAGATAGTTATACGAATCATTCAGGCTGAGACAATAAGTGAGCCTTTTGAGGCTGATATGTAGGGCAACTTACCATGCTCACCCATAAAATATCTCTTGCTCATATTGCTAGTGCCAGGATATGGTACTAAATGAATATTTTTAGTCTCATTATGGTCTCACATAATATCATTAATTCTTAGAGTTCCTATCTTTAAATGAGTTAAAAGACACCTTTGAAAAAATGTTCCTAAATGTCTCAGTGTGTATCGCACATGTTTAGGTACAAAGTGCGAAAGAACCACATTAATTTTTCCTTTGTATATTTTACACTCAGAGATGGCCAAGGAAAAATGCTATTTTTGCCAAACACAAACTAACCAACAACTGTTATGTTTTGCAATGTATGATACTGCCTGAGTGTCTAATAGAGGAATTACTTTTCCCTCAGGCACTTTTAAAGTAATTCAAAGTGTTATGTTTCATCAGTGGGTAATTATGTTCCTCCACTAAGCTTATAATAACAGTGAAGTCAGATATGTTCCTCTTGCTTTTTAGTAGTACAGTTCTAGTAATATTTGCTGAAAGAATGAGAAAATTCAGCAAATCTAGCAAGACTTGCTGAATCAATGAGTGAATGAATGAACAAATATGATTTGAGTCCGTCTTTTTGTCCTTTTCTGCTCAGAGCAATGGGCTAATCACCATGTGTGTAAGTGCATATTGGACCATACATGAAGTCATTATTCCTAATGATATAAATGTGATTTTTAAAGAAACTAAATTCCAACTTGAGATGATTAAATAATAAATATATAACAACTATATACCTTATAGATGGTATTAAGTCAGCATCATATTTAATTCCAAGGAGTGTTGAGATGTTTGCTAATAGTTTTTGGGATTTTCCTAGGAATTGTATACAATGTCTGGTTGAAGCATTTTCAGTAATATACATTCACCCCACCGTGTATTTTTGTGCAATGATATACCAGAAAGGCATTTTGGTAATTAAATGTGATAGTATATGTAAAGGCTACAGTGCATGGGACAAATTGATTGTTCAATAAACATTAGCCATTATTATGTTCTTATCATTGCATAACCACTAGCTTCAGGCTTACTATTGTGAAAAGGTAAAATTACCACAAATTTAGTGTAAAGATCTTATTGGCTTTTGTTTATAATTCTAAAATCAGGCACACCTCATTCTATAAAGTAGAATGAGTATTTTGATGAGCTGGGCAGAGGAGGTTGGCTTTACAGGCAGAAAAGGGCTGAGGAAAGCAGGAACAGAGAAGAAAAAGTGGATTGGTCATTTCAAAGTTACTTTCTTTGTAAAGTTCAAACTAGAGGGGACTTCCTTACCATGCTGGCTAAAACCCACCTGTTCTTAGGGTTTTGGATTCTCTCTCCCAGGTTCTTGGAAGGTCAGATAAACAACTTATTTTTGGTGTGGTTGTGTGGAACTTCAGGATGAGTAACTAGATTTGGTTTGGTCTGTTTCATCTAGTGCAGGAGCTCAGTCCAAACCAGTGGCCTCCTATAAATTTTATTTAACGCTACTTAATAACCATGGAGATATTTGATCTCCCTATAAACCTTAGAATGCTACACCAGATCTTCAGTTCCTCATCTGAAAGGGTCTTCATTTTAATTTTCCAAAATGATTGAAATACAGTTATATGTAGTCTTCCATCAGCTTTCAAAAATATAGTTTCTCAAAAGCACTATGGCTAGATACATTCTAGGACAAGTTAAATTAATTTAGAACCTGTTTGGTAGTTTGGAGAGTGGGGTCATATAAAGCCTTAAAGGTATTACCCAGATCCACATGGGCAAGAGTACTCCACTGTGGTCTGTATGTAATGTAGTTTACATTTTCCCAATGATGTGCTAATTACACTGATAATGGCTTTATGGTTTTGTTTTTTTTTTTTAATAGAATCTCTCTCTGTCACCCAGGCTGGAGTGCAGTGGCGTGATTTTGGCTCACTGTATCCTTCGCCTCCCTGGCTCAAGTGATTCTCCTGCCTCAGCCTCCCAAGTAGCTTGGATTACAGGTACCTGCCACCACGCCTGGCTAATTTTTGTATTTTTAGTAGAGATGGGGTTTCACCATGTTGGCCAGGCTGGTCTCGAACTCCTGACCTCAGGTGATCTGCCCACCTTGGCCTCCAAAAGTATTGGGATTACAGGTGTGAGCCACCGTGCCCAGCCAGCTTTATGTTTAAAAAAGGAGTTATTGTGTTTTATAAACATGAGCAAGATAACAGATAGAATGCTTTCTTTACTTTCTTGCCAAATTCATTCCTGTCCAGGACCTACCTCAACAGTCCTATTGCCTTTTGCTCTCTCCTTGTTCACTGTGCTTTCTTTACATTCTTGCCAAATTCATTCCAGGGACTCAGAGGTTTAAAGTCTAGATTCATATAGCTTGTAAATGGTAGAGCTGGGATTCCAGATTTTCTTTAAAATGCTACAGTTGGGGAGAAGGTAACAGATAAAACAGGATTGATCATGAATTGGGAGTTCAGGATACTATTCTCTTGTCATATATGATTTGCAGGCTTCCATAATAAAAAGTTTAAAAACAAACAAATATAATGAGAACCCTCCCAATAGGTCGGGAAGTAATTAGAAATTATTTAATCAATGGTGCATATTTTGTGATATGCAAAAGTCCCCAGCTGCTTTCTTTCTCAAGACTGTGATCCATGTTCGGCAAAGTGCACGTTCCAGTTGTGATCACAGTACTGTCATTTGCCTCTGGGCCTGTGATTCTCAATCCTGGCTACAAAGTGGCTTTGTTCAAGAGTCCTAGGAACTTGACTCTGCTTGTGGGTGTGTAGCTACAGAACTAACACTATCAGATTCTTAGCCTTTATCCCCCTTGCCTGTATTCCATTTTCTGTAGAGGTTGTTGGCTTCCATCAGGGGTGGTCATTTCCAATCAGACACCTAAGAACTCCTGCTAATGGGCAATGATGGAGGCACATTCTAGATGGAGGCACATTCTAGAAACGCTTGAAACTGTGTGTTGCTTTGGACAGCTGTTTCAGGTACGTGCTGGAGTGGGAATGGGATCAACCTCTCAACATTTTTCTTGTATGGTGATGTGTTGTTAATGTAATAGCTTTGATTTTAAAACTACCCTTATTTCCATACTTTCAAATCCAACAAATTAGGTAATTTGCAGTTGGTTTCCTATTCATTGATGCCTGTTATTAAGGCCTATGGTTTTCTTTCTTTAGTTAAATAAAGTGTATCAAGATTATAAATTTATTCTAAACATTTGAGAATTCAAAATCATGCAGCATGACAAACTTCTTTCATTTTACTTCTCCTCAGGTAGTAAAGATATATTTTTGAAGTGACAAACACACATTAAAAAAAACTGAAGGAGTCTATTGTACATGTGTTTGTTAGTATTGTTGCAGATTTCATTAGAATTCTTTCACATCAGTCATTTAATGGAGTCTCAGCATGTAGAAAGAGTGGATGAAAGACCATGATTACTTATTTACATTTTCAAAAATTTGTTTTCTTTAGGTGTTTTTTCCTGTTTCCACTTTATGTTGAGTATTATTTACATACAGTATACGCAGCATCATAAGTTTATGAATGCCGGGTTTAATGAATCACCTAGCACAGACCGTATATTTAAGTAGAACACACTTACAAATGCCTGATATAGAGAGCAATGATGTTAATAAATGGTTGCCACTTCCAAACTTTGGGTACCCTGCACAGATTTCAGAACCATGCACAGGAGAGTTAGGGTTAATGGTTGATAAAACTGTAATTCAGGGAATGTTCCTACCCACACAACCTCGCTCCTCTGCTTACAGCATGTATTGGTCTTCACATCATTCCTCGACTATCATCCAAACCCTTTAGGATGGACCTTTATAACCTGTCCAGGACCTACCTCAGCAGTCCTATTGCCTTTTGCTGCCTCCTTGTTCGTTGTGCTTTCTTTACATTCTTGCCAAGTTCATTCCAGGGACTCAGAGGGTTTAAAGTCTAGGTTAATATAGCTTGTAAATGGTAGTGCTGGGATTCCAGACTAGATTTGTTTGATATCTTTCAATTTGTCTAATTTAAAATAAAATATATTATTTCTCTTCGGGAAAATGGAGGAAGGAAGGCTTTACTTTCTGTAGAACATTTATATAGGGGAAGAATAATAATTTTTTTCTCCAACATTCTTAGACTTAGTTGAAATGGATCCCTGTAATGAAAGACTGATTAAAAAAATAAAAACAAACAGAAGTTCATTAACATGTATATTTCTCATATACATGGGAGACACCCAGGGAGTGAGTAATTCTCAACAAGATAGCTTGTTCTGAAAATATTCCAAGGCTGATGTTTCCTTTAAATTAGTCTAGAGATTGAAATGTTAAGCACATTGTCTCTGGATTGAATGTAGTCATTAGATGTGTTTAGTTTGATTGCTAGTGTAAAAAATGTTGAATTTGAATGTCTTTAGAGAAGACTCATACTCTAGTTCTGCCACAAACCCTACCATTTTCTATTCTTTTAACAGCAGACATTCATTTATATATTTGAGTGACCCCTGACGGCCTTTCAGATTTGATCTTTGCTTGAGCATTGAGGATGAACTGGCTGTCTAAATGACAAAATGATACTCATGTTTTGATTAGTAGTTGTACCTTAACTTTAAAAATTGAAATTCAATTGGATTTCACCACTAGCTGTGAAGACGAGCTACGTATCTTCTGTAAGTCTCAGTTTCCTTATTTGTAAAATGGAAAAAAATAATAATCTCTAACACTGGGGTTGTTGTAAGGATCACATTAAAAGATATCTGGTATGTAATACTACATGTTCAATAATTGAAGATATTATTGTTGTCTTCTATAGCCTTACCAAGTAAGTCTTCAAATACCCATGGTTGATATCAATACTAATAGAAGTAACCTTATAAAAAATAAACATTTATAGTGTAATGTCTATGCTTGTTATAGTTATTAACCTCAATAAGTAAAGATGGCAATATATTTTAGATTACTTCCATTTTGAAAAACCTACTTTCTAATAAGTTTCTGGGAGTGATTTTTCAGCAAGGAATATGGTGCATGGTTTTTGGCCATAACTCCTTTTCTTAGGGTGTTATCTGTCATTGGTAAGAAGTGCCTAGGACCCAGACACATGGGATTCCCTTAAGCATTTGAAAGGACTAAAGGAAGGTAATTTTTTGGTGGCTGAAGAGTGGAAACAATTACCATATCATTATTACATGGTATGGTTGATGTACGTTTTGGCCCAAATTTCTGTGGAAACATGACTTACCAAATGACTTTACCACTGTGCCCATTTGTGTAGCACAGATGGGGATGCAAATAGCAGTATGAGAGAGCGAGTTACCATCGTGCATCTGCCTTTAGTGACCATGGAACATCACATAAACAAACACATAGGCAGCAACCAGTCTACATTTTAAATAAAATATCTTTGCCTTTTAAAAAATAAATAACCTTTTATTTGTTGGTAGATTTTAGTTACATTTAATAATAATATAAACACAGAAAGCCTAGGAGACCAATGAATTTTATAAGCACAACTATCATCTTTGGGGCAATGGTTTGTAATATAATAAATTCTTCCCATTAAATTGCCCTGAGTATGCCAACAATCTTGCCAAATATGTTTATCTGGGTATACAATAGCAGCATATTTGGCATATGGACAATAGAAACTTTCTAATCCCACATTCTTGCAGGAAAGAAGGTGAAAGCTAGTAAGGTATAAAATAAAATTTTATAATGAGAAAATTTTGTAATGAGAAAACCTAGCTTTAGGGGCATAGTTCCAATACGTACTATCTGAATCTTCATTTAACCACTCTCCTTATAGATACAGCTGCAGTATCCCCATTTTTCAGATGTAGAAACTGGCAATCAGGAAGGTTAAGTAAATTTGCCAAGGTCATTCATCTAATTAGGGCCTAAGTCAAGATTTTGAACCCTTGCTTGACTTCAAAGCCTGGGCTCGGTACCTCATGATCCACCTCCTCATAAAGAAGTGCTGTCTAATTATGAGTCATTATTCACGGGACTGGAGAACAGGTGTTCACCCTAGTCCTTGGGACCAGAAAGGTGAGACCAGGAGAATAAAACTCAAGAAATGACAGAAAACTCTCCCTAGGGCTGCCTCTGAGAACAAATTAGAAGACAGGACCCTAAGGCTGAGTCAGAGGAGTAGCTACCAGTAATTAATCAGTTTGACGAATGGCTGCACGCACAAAAGGAGACCAGCTGAATTGGGAGGCAAGAAAACAAGGGAACCTACAATGCCAGTGTAGATTTGGCCAAAGCAGGAAGAAATTTGGAAAAGGAAGAGAAGGCAGAGGCAGCATGAAATAGGCTACAAGATTCTGATTCCTGTTACTTTTTCACATGTCTTTGGGAACTTCCTGCTGGGAGGACAATGCACTGCCCAGGGGGCTGGACCCTTTGCATTACAGGCATGGGGGATGGCAGGGGAACCCCACCAGGAATAATTTAACAGGGGTTTGGGAGGAGGGAAGGAGGAAACGAGAACCACACTGGACAGAGAAAAGCCATCAAAAAGTGAGCTGAATTTTCATTTTTATATGCAGAATGGTACAACTTAATTCCTCACTCTGTATGGATATTGCCAGGGAGTGATGGAGGGAATGCCCAATGAGACAGGTCATCTGTTTCAGTCTTGCTAGAAACTCATCTTTGATTGGGAAAAAAAACTCTCTTCTGTGAATGTGACATTCCTGGGTTTTTAACAACAGATGTAGGGGGTGCAGGTTAGGGCAACAGAGAGAAAGGCCACTGGGGGATCACAGACAGGTCTGGCCACACCTTGCCTCACTCTTTTTTCACCCTCAGTCTACACCCTTGAATGACCTTTTCCATATATGCGTAGGGAAGAAACAAATTTTGCAGTGGCAGTATCCTGAAAATGTCATAACAATATGAAAAATGGTAATTTCCCATAGGAAATTAGGTTTTATGGGCTTGAAGCTTTCATACACTTTTGTATTCTTCCTTTTTTTTAAGTGACATTTTCTCTTCTTTGTACTTGTTAGCATTATGGAACCAGCCATTGGTGTGAAACAGAGCTGCCAAACATAATACAGAATTCTATAAGACTCAGAAAATTGAAACTCTTAGTCACTACACAGGGCCCAATTTCAGGTGCATTACATGCTCTGTCATATCGAGTAAGACTGCTTCAAGCTCTGTCACTATTACAGCCGCACATCCCACATATCATTCAGTTGCTGCAATATTTTCACTTTTTTTTAAACTACTTTATCCATTGACATTGGTGCTGAATACTGATGAGAATGACAGAGCTGCACAATGCCAAAAGCATTCAGGGAATTTAATCTCAATTCTAAATGCATATGCTCGACTTCTGCAGAGACACTTAGAATATTAAAGGGCTGGGGGAAATGGTTTTGAAAGATTTTAATCATACAATAGCTAGGTACAAAGAGGCTTAGATATAGATAAGAGAATTATTTTTAAAAGCTTCATACAAAGATATGAAAGCAGGGAGTGAATTTAAGGGTCTTTCCTTTAACAACTTCCAACTTTTCAGTACCAATTGAACACAAGAGTATACTGCCATTTACTTTGGGAAATGAACTAATCTGGAAATCTGATGTTGCTTTTGTTTCTAATTATTGAATAAAATACATTTACTAAGAACCACTATGCACCAGAAAGTTAAATCATAAAGTTCCATGGTATCTGTGCTCTCACAATGTAGAGGTAATGTTCTAGAATATCTATGTGATATGGTTTGGATCTGTGTCCCCACCGAAATTGCATGTTGGATTGTAATCCCTAATGTTGGAGGTGGGACCTGGTGCGAGGTGACTGGGTCATGGGGCAGATTTCTCATGAATGATTTAGTACCATCCCCTTAGTACTGTCCTCATGATAGTGAGTTCTCTCAAGATCTGGTCGTTTAAAAGTGTGTGGCACCTCCCACCCCGCTCTTGCCCGTGCTTTCACCGTGCAATGTGCCTGCTCCTGCTTTGCCTTCTGTCATGATTGGAAGCTTCCTGAGACCTCCCCAGAAGCATATGCCACCATGCTTCCTGTACAGACTGCAGAACTGTGAGCCAAATAAGCCCCTTTTCTTATAAATTGCCCCATCTCAGGTATTTCTTTACAGCAGTGTGAGAATGGACTAATACACTATGCAACCTTTTTTAGCTGAGGGTGCTATGGTGGTTATGTCCCTAACTCTTTATGACTTCTTCTTGGGAAGTCTCATTTAATTGGGTGCTTTCATAATCTTTTATTCTCTTCTACCAGTGGTTCTGTGGCAGGACTAATCATATTAATTTGATGTTGAATAACCCCACCTTTCAGGATGCCAACCCGGTGTAGAGGGTATGCATAAAGTATATTTGTACTAAAAAATGATCTATTATTTATCTGAAATTCAAATCCTATTGGGCATCCTGTGTTTTTAATTGCTAAATTCGGCAACCCTACCTGGGAGTCCTGTATTTGTATAATCCACATTTCTTTTATGAAAAAATGATGGAGTTATTCAACGTGCATGCATGTGTGTGTGCGTGCATATATACACACATGCACACAGGCTCGCATTAGTTAATCTTTCAGGAAAGCAAGTTCTAGGGCAATGCTGGAGTTAGCACTCACTCAGCTCTGTTCTGCATTTCTGAGCTGAAGAACCTTCTACCAAGTGGTTACCTCATCTTCTAGAAAACCCTTTTTTTTCCTCTTCAGTATAGATGCCCGCATCTTTTCATCTCTTAACGTTATCCAACTCTATATTACTTATTATTAACTAATTCAGAAATTATAATTTATTTCATTAGTCTGTAGTTTATTGATGGGTGTGAAGGAGGAATAATCCTTATCATTTTAATGTATATGCCAGAATGCATTCTTTAGGAGAACTCAAGCATCAGTTGAGGAAAGCCTAAAAATTCTTCATAATCAGAAATTAATAACAATAGTATTAATATTCATAATAGCATTAATAGTATTAGCTGAATACATATTGAATGCTCTATTTCACATGTATTACCTAATTTAATTAGGAGGTCAGTATTATTATTTGATTGCTGTTTTAGAGAGATAAAGTTCAAGTTACATACCTACAGGTGGTAGATTCAAGCACAGGTATGCCAACTTCAAAGCCTGTGCTCGTAACCACTCATTATTCTATACTGACAATTCTGCAAATGTGACCTCAGGTCATACTTTCCTCTAAGTTTTCTAAAACACTTGACTCTGAATAGAATCCTAGGTATAAGCAGTATCACAGAAATTGCATCTTTAATATTGTAATGAGTTTAGAGCTCTTCTGATATTTCTTCAGGTGAATCAGCTTCCCTCAGAACTCTGCTTAATAACATTTCATATTTTGAAAAACATTCTGGTTCATTAGTTGAATCAATGAGGTAACAATGGAGAGAGGAAAATGCTAAAAATATTAACAGCTAGTAACCCTGCTTCCTCAGGGTGAGTTCTTCAATATTATAGCAGTAGAATAGCTTTGCTGTCTTCAGCTAAGCATATAGTTCAGAAATTAACCTTCACTAAATGTATGAAATGATGATAAAAATACAGAAAGTGTTTTTCATTCATCCATGAATTAGCTCAAATTCTGTATGTAACAAGGAGAAAATATCTTTGGAAGCTTTAAAATGATGGTATTTTCTAAGTTATAAGAAATTTAAGATTTGCAAATACTAGAACAATCAATTCCCTTTTATTCCCTTAAAACCTAGGTGAACTTGATTCACTGTCTAGATAATGGCAGGTTTTGCCAAAGTAGACTCTTATGAACAGCAAGGTAGAACCCTTCAAAAAGACTGGACACCTTCATTTGGCTGTCGTTTTCACACTGTTCATCTGCCTAGTTCTAGGGTTTGTATTAGGTTCTAGGTTTACAGGGATGTGCTTTTAAGAAGGTCACAATTTGGCTGTTGGGGCAATGGAAGTAAATGGGGAAACATAAGAATTACTGTACTGTGGAGGGTGCTATAATAGATTTAGGGACAAAACATGATTGAAAGGAAGATCACCCCTCCTAGGGGAAGGTACCAAGAAGGCATCTTGGAGGAAATGACATTTGACCTGGATTTTAGGGGATGAGTGAGGTTTTGGCCTCAATCTGGATCTATTGGAAAAACTCTATAGTTCTTTGCCTTCAAAGTTTTCAGATTTTCTTTCAAGTTGCTGTTTGTCTTCTCTGATGTGTTCTATTTTGAAATATCAAATTAATCATCAGAAAATGCTTGTCAATGAATGAATTGCATTTGCTCAATATACACATATTTATTTTCAGGTAGCTTTGAACACATGGTAAGGAAATACATTCATCTTTTCACTGAGAACTGCTCACCTAATTGCTTGGTACAGTCATGTTCAATGATATGTAGTTGATTAAAAAATGACAAATACTGTGACCAGCTGCCCTTTTGATGTCAAATAATGTGGAAGATTGAACACCATGCTGATCCATTAGCCATTTCCAGGTCTGGCTCTTTTCAAGTTATGTACAGTCATTTTCTCTTTCAGAGAGAATATAACTTTTTAAAGCTTTATTCTTTGCTCTTAGCTTATGAAAGAAGGAATTCACACTTCAAGAGGTTGTCTGTACCTAATTGTGATTTATTAATTGGGTAGATTAGTTCAGGGTATAAATAGACAATGTTCCTGATGTTTCAAAGATATGCCATTGGCCCAGTGAATCAGGCTAGGGTCTTCGTGGCTCTCTCCATGACAGCATCAGTGTATACACTTTGCTGTGGCTTGAATATTTATATCCTTCCTCTCCAAATTCATGTCTTGGAATCCTAACCCCAAGATGATAGTATTAGGAGGTGTTAGGGGATTTTAGGAGGTGATTAAGTTACAATGGTAGAGCCCTTAAAAATGGGATTAGTATCCTTAGTTCACTCACCCTTTCTACCATGTGAGGACACACTAAGAAGGTACTCTCCATAAGCCGGAAAGCAGACCCTTTCTAGAAACTGAATTTGCCTTGATTTTGGACTTCCCAGCCTCCACAACTGTGAGAAAGAAATTTCTGTTGTTGATAAGCCACCTAGTTTATGGTATTTTGTAATAACAACCTCATTGGACTAAGACATGGTTGCAGTATTATATCTCCCTAATTGTCCATCAATCAGCCATATTTCAGTACTGTAACTGAAATGAGATTTTCTTGATCTCTCACAATTTTCACTAACCAGACTCTATTGCAAGTGAGATAAATCCAACTCAAACTAGCTTAAATAAGAATTTTGATTGTCTCATATTCATGGAAAGTAGAAAAGGTTAAAATTTTGGCATCTTTGGATCTAGGGATTCAAACCATGTCATCAGAAATTTTTTTTCTCTCTCTGTCTTTTATTTAACATTTCTCAGCTTTCCCTCCTAGTTGAATTCTTTTTCTGGCAGCATCTTCCTATGCAGTAGCAAAAATCAATGCTGGTTGCTTTACACTTACATTCTACTTCTAGAGACCCCAGAATACAGACTGATTGGATAGCTCTGGAAAAAATCCTGGGGATGAGTTTGAATTGACTGGATTTGGGTTCAAAGATAATCCATGAACAATCCACTGTTACCAGGGTGATTGTGTTCTCTGAGCAACACATCCTGTAATAGATGTCACCCTTGGTGCTGGAAGTTGGGGTCAGACTCCTGAGCCACTTGGACTGAGACTGGGGATGGGACATTTTCCAAAATATTCTGGGAAGAAAGAGTGTCTACTATAAACCTATAGACAGCCAAGTCAGAGTTTCAGCCAGTTCCGTGTGATCTTAGAACATCAATGTGAAAATATGGTCATCCATTCATTCAACAAATATTTAGACATTTTTCAATGCTATAGAATGCAATGATAAAAAAAAAAAGACAGAAATGTGCCTGCTTATATGGAGCTTACATTCCAGGTCAAGGCAGAAAATAAAATACTGAAAAATAAGGGCAAAAATATATTTTCAGGTAGTGGCAAGTTCTCTAAAGAACCTGTGTGGGGAAGTGGTCAATTTAGCTGGTGAAGTCAAGAAGGTGATATTTGTGCAGGGACTAACCATGGGGAAGTCTAGAGGAATACATTTCCATAGGACAGATGGCAAGGGCCTTGGGAGATGACTTACATGGCTTGGATTTTCTTTCCACTAAATTTTTTTCATTTCCCCATTCCTAGATGTCTATATCTCTAGCATTCTGTCTGTTGCATTCAGAACTAAATCTGAACTTATGACTACATGGGTTCTTAATTTTTGTTCACGTAAACAGTCATCATAATGATGATTAAATGATACCCATTTAATTTTGTAGTCGTGCTAGAGTTGAGAGTTGTGCTAGCATCTCTCTCTCCATTGCTAACTCTGTTCTCTTTTGTCAAAGTGACAGCTGTTGTCACTTCCAATGCTTCTATTCTCCCCTGCCACTTCTGTTGCTTGTCATCTTGGCTGTTTGCCATTTGCTTATTTTTCCTTTTTCTTCTCTCTCTCTCTGTTTTTTTCTGCTACTTGGTCCAGACGGCTTGGATTTTGCACAAATTGGCTTGGCTCTTACAGTCATTACTAACTATTTAGAGAGAGTATCCTTTCATTTAATGTAACAAATCGACCAATCATAGCATATTCTATGTAATTTTCAGCTCTTCTCTTCTTAACAATTTTGGTGTGATTTTTTTTTTCCTCTTCTAGAGGTACTTACCCTTCCTCCCCATTGGGTGCCATCCTGAAAGGTTGAGACTGCAGGACAGCTGATCTATCTGAGTCATTATTCTATTTGCTTACTTGCTTTTTGTACCCTACATCTACACTAAAGCCAAACACCTGTATTCTTGCTATTTATCAAATCCTTTGAACTTAATCGTGGCAACATTTCTCACATTTATGCTTTTTCCTTACTGCCTTCAACAAAACCAGCCTATTTCAGATTCTTACAATCTCATCCCTGTACAGCAACCTTCAGCTGTTCATATTTCTCTCTATCTTTCATGATCCTTTATGTTTTCACCCAAGTTATCCCCCAAATGCTACTTTCATAGTATCATCCTCGTGATCAAAATCTTTCAAAATCTTATCACTAAATAGAATGAAAGACCAAGTCTTTAGCCTGGCATTCAGCACACTTCATGATAAGTTATGAATCCACTGTTTTCAATGCTCACTCTAGAAGTTCTCTAGGATCTCAGCTCTAAGCAAATTAATCCAAGCATGGTCTCTAATGCATACTGAATAGTCTTGACTTCACACTTTTGTTTTGAAACTTGACTCCTCTCATCGCCCAGAATTTTCTCCCTGTTCTTCTTTGTCTCTATAAATATAACCAAAAATATGGTTCATATTTCTTAGCTATTTTTGAGTCCTGTGTGATGACCAAAGTTGCAAGTTGTGATTCCTTTCAAATCATTGTAGAATTTAATATATGAAACTCATATTCTAATATTGTTTTTGCATATGTGTAGAATATCTGCCAACTTGCTTATTATATATTTCTCTCTATCCTTTTATTTCTTTGTGTCCTTCATAGTGCCATAGTCTAATGTTCTCTTCAAAATATGCATATTGAGTGATTTTATTCTTATTATTGTAGTTTTATGATAATATGGAAGACCATGTAGGAAAGCTAAACTCATATATAGATATCGATATCTATGTAGATCTTATCATACATTATTTTATATTTCTATCTATCTATATCTATCTCTGTATCTAGATCATCATCTATCTATATATATCAAGAGTATTTCTTCAGATGGATGAATGCTGATAGCTATAAAGTCTGTATTTTCATACAGTCAAGTTCCCTTGAATCTTTACTTTTAATATTTCATTTCTGAGATGCTAGAAAAGATCCCTAACCACTAAAATAAAAATTCATATTCACAGCCTTTTGTTAGAGCTTAAATGTATTGTTATTTTTCCACATATTTTTCTTAAAAACAAAGTACCAGCAATAACAGTAGGTGTCGCTATAGCAAAAGAAAACGGACATTAAGAATGATGTTCTTTTTTTTTCTTTTCCTTTTTCTAGGAAACATTGCAGCGTTATAAGAGAAATTATAGACTATTTGTTGAAGCTCAGCATGTCCATCTCCCTGCTTTGAAGAAGGCAAGCTTCATTAAAACCAACATCTTACTTGGCCTAAAACATCTTTGGAGTAGGAGATTTATGGCCTTTCTGGGAAAGTAGTTCTAATTTTTATAAACCTTAGAATTAAGAAGTTCTTTTGTAAATACAATTATAATTCTTTCTTCTCGATTTTGAGTCATTTATTCTTATTCAATATCCATAAAAGTAAATAATTGAAATACATATTTCCTCACCAAAATTTTATTAATTACCTACATAATTTATCTATTTAGGAAATGGAATTAGAAACCTGTACCTTATAAAATTGATGGTGAACATGAAATGAGGTATTATATGCATTAATTCACTTATTTATTAAACAAATTTAGTTGAGTACCTGCTGTGTACCAGGCATGGTGGTTGTAATACGGATAATGTCCTTGCCCTTATGGTGCTCATAGTCCAGCACATTTATAGAGGTTCCTACACATCATGAAGTTTAAATTACTATTCAAGAGTAAAAGACATAAATTATTATTATTGAGATCTCAGGCCTAGTCAATTTCTAGGAAGCCATTTTAGTCTTCCATTTAGGAAAAATATTAGTAGGTATTATCAGCTCTTTTTCATTTGGCATCTATTCACTCTTCTGTTAATAGCTCCCAGATAATCCTCCAGGCATCAACCCACTCACTTTCAGGTCTTGTGGTTTGAGTGACACTGATTCCTCTCCAGCCTCCACAGGCGTCCATGAGACTCAGATCTAGTCAATTAGGGTTTTATATCCCAGTTATCACAAACCAGACCCTCCATGGTCCATCTGCTGCTTCTCTTTGGACCTGATCTCCTATCACTGACTGTCTCACATCACACCTGTACATACCATGGTGGTTTTGCTTATGTTATTTGCTTATTTATCTTGCTTATCTTGGCCTCTTTTCCTGGGATACCCTTCTCCTGCCTCTTCCTTTGTCAAGTCTGTCCATCTTTTAAGACCTAGCTAGTCAACTCTCCTTCAAAAGGCTTTCCCCTCCTCAAGTTGGATAAAGTGTCCCTTCTGAGAGCTTCCTCAATCTCTGGGCAGTTCTCTATCTGCAATTATGCACTATTTTCATAATATGCTGCCTGTGTCTCTGTTTCCACTTAGATGGTGCACTCCTGCTGTCTGAATTTTACTTCTCTATGTGTTCCTAGCACCTCGACTGATGCCTGGGACCCTGTGGTCACTTGATCTAGGCTTGTTGACTGAAAGTACTTAAGACGACTGTGGCAGAAACCTGTCTTTCTGTAACATGCCTTTGCTGAATTGCGCAGTTCTGAAGAAGAGTAGTTCAAATGACTGTGTATTGAATCATTCGAACACCCCAGGCTTTATGTCTCTGAGAGAAGGAAAGTTACATTCATTAGCTTCCTTAGGTTTGCCTTAGGGAATGATATCAGGACTTCATTCAACAAGTATTTATTAAGTTATGTAGGCTTCCTGGATCATTCAAGCTTGCTGTGTTTTTCTCCTCTGATCTTCAGCATGTACAGCCTGGGCTATTAATTTGGCGATTAATCATATACTATCTTGTGACTTTTTTTTGTAATGTATTTTCAGGTAGTACTTAGCCTATTAAACATTTTACACCCTTACATATGAGTAGGGATTATTCATTCATTAGCATATTGATTATTTCTTCATTAAATATGTTTTGAGAATTCATTATGGGTTCATATTATTTTTCTTTTTGCATATTGTATCAGTTGAGGTTCTGTTTAGACTAGCAACAGAAACTTGCCAATTTAATAACAAAAACAATTTATTGAAAGGATGTTGGGAACTGACTGTAAGGAAGACAGGATTGGAGAACCAGGTTTAGAAGAGAAAAGGCAGTGCCAGAAGTTTTTGATTGGAGAAAACTACAGGGTAATGTTGCACAAGAACCATTGCTGGTAAGAATGAACTCTCTTTCTTTCCTCTTTCCATTGTCATCCTTATCAAGACTTAATGTTCTGAGAGAACATGGCCAAATTCAGGCCAGGAGTTTGTTCCTTAGTTGTGCTAGTATCGTGGGTGGGAGGACTTGAAAGAAAAAGTCTGAAAGGATTTTCTTAGCTTCAAGTAAACACCAAAGCAGTTGAGGAACTCTGAAGAAATGTCTGGATATTGCGTAGTTTGAACAAATGATAAGTATCAGCAGTTACACTTACTTGTTCACACAGATGTGCTATCAAATCCCAGCATTGCCAGTGACTAAGTGTATGGCTTTGTGAACATTTCTTACCTTCTGTAGGTGCCATTTTTCTCATCTATAAATGGGGATACCAATATATATTCTTACATGATGGTTTTAAGGATTACATTAAATAAGATGTGTCCTATAAAAGGTGCTTATTACAGTGTCTGTCACATAGTAGCTACACGATAAATGATGGCTATTATTGATTGACCTATGTGCACACAGCATGAGGCTATTCTCTATACATTAGGCAAAAAAGAAACAACTGGTATCTCAGACCTTGAACTGTTTGCAGTTTAATGAGAAGAAAGGGCTTATGTGATTTAATTTAATCCTCACAACTACCCTGGAATTAGGCAGAGAAAATTTTATTATTTCTGTTTTTCATATATGCAATCAGAGAGAGTCAGAGAAGTTTAGCTACTTGACTATGGTCACACAGCTCTTATTTGACAGAGCTGAGGCTGGGGTCAAACTTACTAGATCAAATGCTCTTTAAATTTGGAGAGATAAGCATAGCTCAGTGAAGGACAGAGTTACTCAACTCAATTCCAGCCAGAAAACTTACTGAATACCTACTATGACAATTTGGGATATTGCTGTGGGGGAATATACATATAATTAGTACATAGTCCCTGGTTTCAAGACGATTACAGTCTAGGGAGAAAGACATGTACACAACTTACTGAAAACGAGATAATACATGACAAGTGCTGTATTTTCCATTTAATTATTTTAATATACACTCATCAAATGTGTCATGGTCTGTATTAGGTGCTGAGGATTCAGTGATGGACAAAGCCATAAGCAACCTGTCCTCAAGGGGCTTACCTGTTGTTGGAAGGAGACAGATGAGAACATAAAGGAAATATACACATAAAATAATTTGAGATGTTGATAGTGACGGGTGCTAGAAAAAAATTTAGGAAGTTTTTTGGCAGTGAGTTGGTGTTGGCTATTTTCAGTGGAGTGCTCTTCTGAGGGCCTGAACAAGTCAGTCATGTTAGTTTGTGAGGGAAGAATAATCCAGGCAGAGGGAGTAGGGCAGAGCAGGTAGGGCAAAGACCATAGGGTGAGGATGACATTGGAGTTTTACAGAATAAAAATGAGATTGTATGACAGGAACATAGAGAGCGAGAAGAAGAGTGGTACAAGTGAGATCTAGAGATGAAGGCAGGAGCCAGAAAAATGCAGAGCCTTGTATAATACACTTAGAAGTACCTAATCTATCATTCTGAATTTAGAGGAAGCTCACAAAATTTAAGCAGAGAAAATATATTATTTGATGGTTTTGTAAAAAAGATCACACTGGTCGCTATGATGAAATGTAATGTGTACATCATGCACAAAGAAGAGAAAGAGTAACATTACTTTGAAAAAGTTAGGGGACGGAGCCAGGCGCAGTGGTGTGCACCTGTAGTCCAGGTTGAGGCAGGAGGACTGCTTGAGCTCAGGAATTTGAGGCTGTAGTGCACTATGAGTGTGCTTGTGAATAGCTAGTGCACACCAGTTGGGCAATATAGCAAGACTCCGTCTTTGAAAAAGTAAAGTTGGGGAAGCATTGAGAAGGAAGAAGTGCTCTGAGCAATGAGATGGGCATGTTTGGGCAACAGTGAGTTTTCCAGTGTGGCTAGAGCATCCAAAATGTGGGGAGGATGTAATGAGAGGGAATCAGGAAGGAAGGTGGCTATCAGGTTATGTCTTGATAACATTCTGTAGGCAGCTGGAAACTGATCTTTGTTTTGGAAAGATAATGTTGGTGAC
Source organism: Homo sapiens (assembly GCF_000001405.40). Lineage (NCBI taxonomy): Eukaryota > Metazoa > Chordata > Mammalia > Primates > Hominidae > Homo > Homo sapiens. Next base: position 89,613,131 of record NC_000008.11, on the reverse strand, counting down.
TCTGTGAAGGATATTAGAGGAGGCAAGAAGACCATTGATGAGGTTCCTGCAATAGGTCATTTGAGAGGGCCAAGTAGTGACAATGAGAAAGAGAAGACAGAAACAAGAGCTGCTGACATGGAGAGCTGACAGCACTTGGTGATGAACTGGGTATCTGTGGTGAGGGGAGGGAGAACCTGAAGACATCTGCAAGGCAAGCTGGGGGCGCCCTTTTCTATGAGAGGAAAGTTGGAGGATAGGGTAGAGCTTTAAGCTTTGAACCAGCTGAATGTGAGTTTTTGGCAGGACCGCCACATGATGCTGCTGGAGAGACAGCGGGAAAAGCAGAGCCGGAGCTCAGGTAGTTTGGCCTTTAAGAGCACACCTATTCCAACTAATTTCTTCTAATCTGTGAAAAATTTTGTGAATTTTAAGATATTCGCTATTTTCAAGAAGACAGAAGTTTCACGAGTGTTTGTCATAATCAAGTGGCATTTTCTACCAAAGGAAAGGTTTTCTTCTTTAAAAAAACAGAACATTCGGTAAAAAGAAAGCTGGTTGATGATTTTGGCTTCCTTTTCTTACTTTGGAAATGGAGTTATCAGACTTGTTCAGCCCCAAGGAATAAAATTAGGGAAGATCGTTATACAACCTTAGTGTTATAAGGAAAAGAAGCCTTGTTAAAATAATGAAGAAGTAGACAATCTCTTATATCCCTGCAGGAGGTATTAGGAGAGAGTAGAAGAAAGCAACTTTTTTCTTAAAGTTTATGTTTGATTATTCTGATAGTTCTTGCAAAATACCGGACACAAAAGACTAGGTCTGGGGGCAATAAAAATTGCTAGATGAGAAAAAAATATGTCAGTAAGAGAAAAAGAGACTTAAAATGTTTGAATTGGAAATCATTAGTTGTCTGCAGTGCCAAGTTGAATAAACTAAAAAGCAAAATGGAAGACTTATGTTCAGTCCCAATCACAGCATGAGTAGGAGCCTTATTCTCTCGGTTTCTTCTTCTCAGTTGTATAATCATGTCTTTGTTAACAGTTACATTTCCTACTCACGAGCCAGGAAATACCTTCTTTGCTGATACTAATGTGAAAGTATGGAGCCAGTCGTGTGGAGACAACAAAGGTCATTTTTAATTGCTATCTCTCATGTCTCAGGACTGCATCATTGCTTACCCAACATGACTCAGCCTCGGTATTGCCACTGACTCACGGAGCTCCTAATAGAGGAGAATTAGTGTCACAGATCGACTGGAAAACCAATCCACATGAAGCCAGGAAGAGAAATGAAGCTGCTGTTGCTGAATCCATAGCTGGCCTTAATGATGCTGGCTAGGAAAGACGGCCCATTCTGGGGGAGATAAGTCAATTTTGCAGTGTCTGTTATTATCATAGTGACTATTGTCTTCCTGTTTTATATTTATTTACCTAAATTGTTTTGGAAAGACTCAGAGGTATAGAGACATGCCTACTTTTTGCAAAAATCATCACACTGTCATGGAGGTAGTCCAGGCTATGGGGCTCTTATTTGTTGGTGTCTTGGGCAAGTTGCTTGACCTCTGATCATTGTTTGCTTATTCTTATATGGCCCCTGTATTTCAGACTCACTCTGTGTCAGGCATTTGTTTACCTTTGTAGCAAGCTCAGGAGGAAAATACCATTGCCCTTGTTTTACAGGTGATGAAACTGTACGTTTTCCAAGGACACAGTGCTAGTAAGTAATGAATGTGAAATTTTAACTGTTTCAATCTCTTCTCAGAGCCAGTGCTAACTACTCTCCTAAACTTCCTCTCATCTGTAAAATATGGATGATAATAACACCTCTTACAGAGTTGTTGTACATATTAAATAATAGAACTGTGAAATGTGTAGTACTTCATTACGCATTAGGCAATCAATAAATGGTTGATAGTATTACTAAAAATAATGAAGAAAAATCTTCACTAAAGCATCCATAGCAGGAAGTCCTTGCTAGAACATAACCCTTTGTCCTTTCAGTGTAAATTAGTGTGATGTTACCAGCACTTACAGCAGATGGTAAGGAACACAATACAAAGGAATGAATCTCTAGTAGTGAAATGTCAGATACTATAACATTTGGATGGAAAACAAGCTTTTGTACATGTTTGAATCATCTTGCTAACTACCGTATCATTTCATGTTGACCTAGCATCCTTTTCCTTTAGTAAGATTGCCCTAATAAAAACAAAGCAATCGAGTTCCAAAGTAAGTGGAGTCTATACGGATCTGAGGGAGGCTGAGGTACCAGAATAAGTTTGTGAAACACTAATTTAGGATAACAAAATACAGTTCCTGATAGCTGTTGTAAATTTTATGTAAACAAATGCAATTAACATGAGAAAAAAACAGGAGTAAGCAGTTTCTAGGTTTTTACAGAATAGCAGCTACAGGGCAAGTATTGTTCTAGAAAAGTCCTGGTCAGGACACCTAAAGCGGAATAAAAAGGAGTGTGGTTTGGCCATATAGATCACTTGTGCTTAGACATTTATAAAGCCAACAAAACAGAAACAAAGATATGTTGCTTCTAATGAGAAGGGGCATCAATTTATGGCTTTGTGTAAGAAAGACTAACCATATTAGATTGTGGCCTTGAGAATAGGGAGAGTATCTTATTCACCCTTTTTTACCTAGAAAGATGTTCACTTTACCATCCCTGTCAGGTGCAAAGTGAACAACTAAGTAATTCTAAGGAAAACTACAGAGTGGAAATAATGAAGATAAAATGCATCATCAATCTATTAAAAAATAGATACAAGAGTTTATAAAGTTTAGCTTCTGATTATTGACCATTTCCTTTATTACTGCATGACACACAAAAAAGCCAAATTCATTTTTTACCAAATTGGGATAAAGATACATTTGGGATGATTTAATTTAATACACAACCTATGTCACAGCATAAATAATTTGATGTATGAATGGAGCCAGGGGCACCACAAAAATACACGCAGACTTTTTTTTATTTTTATTATTTAAGAGATAGGGTCTCACTTTGTTGCCCAGGCTGGAGTGCAGTGATGCAATCATAGCTCACTGCAGCCTCAAATTCCTAGGCTCAAGGGATCCTCCTGCTGCAGCTTCCTGAATAGCTGGCACTTCAAGCATGTGCCACCATACCTGGCTAATTTAAAACCAAAATCTTTTGTAGAGACAGAGTCACCATGTTGACCAGGCTGGTCTAGAACTCTTGGCCTCAAGTGATCCTCTTTCCTTGACCTCCCAAAGTTCTGGGATTATAAGTGTGAGCCACTGCACCTGGCCAGACATTTTATACAGCAGCAGACATTAGATATTATGGCAAATCTATGTGACTACAATTTGAATTAAGACACAGTGGACACTAGAAAACAGCAAGGGTTCCAAAAATATGTGCCCAAATAGAAATAATGAAAGCAGACTTTCCAAACAGTAGGCAGTGATGTGCAGTTAACTTGCTTCTCATGTGGATAATTCTATGTAGCATGCTCCAGAGTATCAGGATTTATTCTTCTGTCCCCCAGACATTAGAACTAAAAATATGGCACAAAACTCTTATTTCAAAGCAGAATTTTAAAGACCAGAATTAATTACTATACTTGTAGAAAATTATTATAACACTCATGTTATTTTTTAAAATTAAACTTTTGTTGAAGGTATGAATGAATAATAATGGGGTTGTCTATGAAGAGGAGAGAATGAAAAAGCTCAGCTTACCAAGATGAATGCTCCTCTGATCTTGTCTTGATGGGCTAAAGCCTTGAAGATTGCTATTGGGAAACTTGACCCAGTTGGCTGCCAAAGGACAACACATCAGGCTGCAGATCATCAAACAGGGTTCTGAGCTGCATCCCCTGGGGCATCCCCTAGTGCACAAAACAATAAAAATCAAGGAGGACAGATGCCCTTTGTGTTTTGTATCTGGTCAACAGTGGGGTATCTAAAGACAGATGAGTATCTTGGATGGAAGCAATCACAAGATTGAATTCCAAATCTTAAGGGAACAGAGGAGAGACAGGAGAAAGTTAAAGAAAGCAGTTGCATTTTTCCAGGTTCACAGCACAAATAGAAAGAATTTGATTGCAGTGAAGTTCAAGGAAAAAGGAGTTTAGGGAAGCTGGTTAGTGTATGGAAATATCATCTCTTAGGACTAGGTACAAGAGATTCCAGAGTATAGAATGTAAAGGAGCATAACAACACCAAATGGCTTTTGTTGTTGTTGTTGAGACAGGGTCTTGCTGTGTTGCCCATGATGGATGGAGTACAGTGGTATGATAACAGCTTACTGTAGCCTTGACCTTCTGGGCTCAAGTGATGCTCCTACCTACCTCAGCCTCCCAAGTAGCTGGGACCACAGGCATGCACCAGCATGCTGGCTAATTTTTACATTTTGTGTAGAGATGGGGTCTCACTGTTGTTGCCCAGAATGGTCTTGAACTCCTGGACTCAAGTGATCCTCCCACCTTGGCCTCCCAAAGTGTTGAGATTGTAGGTGTGAGCCACTGTGCCTAGTGGCTTATTTCATTCTATTACTAGCCCAGGCAGATAGGAACTTTTATTATACTCATGCATAACTGTTGGGACTGGGGTTCAAAGAAGCTAGAAAACTTGTCTAGGGTCACATGGTTAGAAGGGGCTCGACTCCATCAGTACTCTTAATTGCTTAATAATACCTACCTCAAAGATTATGAGGTTTAAAGTGTTATCAATGTAGGAAAAAAATCACCATTTTTTAGTTCTTTACAATAAACAAGAGCTCAATGGTTAGGCAGTTAATTGGTGTCTCATTTGTAAACCTTGGCTTTTTGAGTAGTTTTCTTTTGACATTCTCTAATAGCATATGAGAGAGTTCATGAGTCAATATTTATAAACTGATAATCTTGTTGTGATAAGTTTTGATATAGATTAATCAAATTCATTTTTTTTGATAATCTAATATGTGCCTAGTGGGTATTCAGATCCATAGATTTCATGAAAAAACTAATATTTGTTTTACATTAAGAATATAATATAGACAAGATTACATATGTGAGCAGGAAAAAGGAAAAAGATAATTTTTGCTGAGTATCTTACATTCATTGAATGAGACTTGATATAAATGGCCTGATGTATGTATGTGAAAGAATAGAGGACTTTTAAAGAACCAATTCTATGCTTTATGCTGAGAGAGGAACTTTATTTATAAGGTATACATTAATAAAGATGTATTTATCTTTGGAAGTAACTATGATCCTCCTTTACTCTAGAAATAAGGAAACTGAGGCTAGGAAAAATTATGTGACCTCACATACCAGGGTTTGAATTCAATTGTAAAACATCTCTTTCACTGTATCACACAGCCTACTTTGTAAACTAGATAAAGCAACAAAAGATAAGAGGCCAGTCAGGGTTCATTGCATGAAACAGAAACCACTCTAGGTACTTTAAGCAGATAGGGATTTAATTCAGGGATTTTGAAGCTTGCAAATGTATTGGAAGGGCCAAAGGAGCAAATTCTAGGATGAGCCTCCTAGATGATTCTCAGAAATATGCAGAGGTGATACCTTTGGGCCACCATTAGACCTATGTCAGAGCAAGAACTACATCCAATGCTTCTCCAACTGTCTGAGAAATCTGGAGAATGGACAATTAAAATTGTTCTCCAGGGAAGTTAAATCAAAAATCTGCTATTACTACTATTACTTCTGGATGCCCAGGAAGCTGGAGAGTGGATAATGTAAAGTTTCTGCAGGGAAGTTCCATGTTTCCATGACTGTGCTAGCCAGCAGCAACAGCCAAGAGTCATAGGAAGATGGTCTTTGCCTCAATTTTCTCTTCCACATATCACCTGAGCATATTAACAAGGTAGAACCTGATTTGCACATAATACCCTAGTTGCAAGGGAATCTGGGAAATATAAATTTTAGATTTCCAGCTTCTCAACTAGAAAGAGGAGAAAATGGAGGTTGAGTAAGCCATTCCAGAAAAGATAATATTATTATTAGTTAAAAATGTAATAATTATTGCCATCTGAATATTCTAACTTAGGGCACCACAAAATGAAAACCTGATACACTTTACAATGGTTACTCATCTTTCAATCTTTTTGCTGCTCTTGGTGTCTGTAGGACACTCCTAACTGAGTAGGACCTTTGCTTTAGACACAGCTGTTCCTTTTTATCAGTGTGGTAAGCAGTTTATGTCTAACAGCAGTTTTATGGTCCACTGACTGTACTGAAAGGCAGCGCTTTACCAACCATGAACTTTGACATATTTATATCCGGTTTTTAATCTGAAAACATGCAAAAAAGAGTCTTCTAAATATAATTTATTATCAGAACAACTCTCATGTAGGTGTTGAACAGCATATAAAATTTATATTTAGGCCTTAGATTTTGTCCTCCTTCAAGAGACATAGTGACATCAGTAGGTGAACTGAAGGTTGAAATCCCAATTGCTTTGAGGGGACATCAAGCCTTATGAATTTGTATTAGTACTAAAAACAGCAGGGGAATAGTATAATTAACATGTATAAGATTCCATTTTTAAATACAAAGCGAAACCTAGAATGAACCTTACAAAGGACCTTTGGATAAACCCTCTGTTATGTCATAGCTAACAATGTCAATAGCCTTAGCTATTATAGATGAAGATCTTTGTTTCTGCAAGTTTGTGGGCTTTTCCTGAATTCCCAACATATACTTTATTATGTTAGATCTTTTATTCTTTAACTCTTGCAATTATGTACTATTTAATACCAGAGTTTTATTTTTTTTCCCAAAGTACTCAATTCCTAAAATTGAATAGGAACTTCACATGCCTACACTTAGTCTGAAGTGTTTATATGCTTTAATTAGAGTAGAAATATTTCCTAGCTTTCAAAGTACTTCTATGCAGACCATAATCCAAAGCAAAGGGGAAAATGCTATTTAAATGACTGCTCTGTTGTAAAAGTACTCAAGAAAATTCAACTTTCAGCTGAGTACCAGACTAAATTTCGTAGTAGTAAAAGATGATTCAATATTTTGCACTCAGCGATTTGAAGTGTGCTTCAGTTTTTATTTTGATTTTTCTTGTGAATATTTCATCAATAAGATTGTCAAAATAAGTTTCTAGGAACTTAGCTGTTAATCAGTGAAAAGAGACAAAATACTTAAGGATAAAATTGATCGCATTACATTACAATTACATTACAGATAAGTGCATATAACAGAGGGTGGACTTATTACATGGCTAAGGGCTTCTGAATGCTAGCAGTGGTGCAGTTGTGGAATGTTTTTGTGAGTGTACACTGGGGTAGTGTGGGCCTAAATATACATGTATGTTTGTGCTCTATCTAGGGGATTATCAGTCTCAGACATCTGCGTGAGCTGCATCTGGGAGATCTATGTTTCTGAATCTTTCTTGGTCTATCATATATCATATATGAATGTACATTAGTCAAATGGTGTGAGTATGATTGAATATGACTTTGCGTTTATGTGTCTATGTCAAAGAGCATGCAAATTAGTATGTTTGCATTTGGATGAAGGTATAATCTATTTCTGTTGTATTATTGTTTCTAAAACATTTGATTACCAATATTGATTACTGGTGTCCTACTTTGTTTTCTTCCATCCTAGTCACTCACCATCACCAGGATGGAACTTTAATGCTATCTCTTATGTCATTGCTGTTTCAAAAACCTCAGACTCAGGATCAGGAATCAGGAATCAGAAGAAAATATTAATGATAACTTCATCCTCAAGCACAATGGACAAAGCTATAGATGTACCTAATTCTTCAGCAAAAATGTACAATTATGAGGTCATTGCTATTTTATATTTGTATCCACTATCTTACAAGTTGATTTTAGTCTTCAATAAGCAAAATAATTCCCCTCTGCATAGTTCTCCCATATCGCCTCTTTCAGCAGATTTGAAACTTATGAAAACACTTTGCAATTTCTAGTCTTTTCTCTTTATCTTAGGGATAAATGAAAAGAAAACCAGAGTGAGTTGCATATCATCCTAGCTGAGAGAAAAGGGGCCGCAGATATTGGATTGGAAGATGTAGCAGTTATCATTAAGGGTTAAAAGAGGAATCAGGAAAAATAATAAACAGACAAATTCAGGCTGTGTTTACATGAAGACATCAATGAAAATTTCAGTCATTAATTTGTGATACTGATGTATTTTGAAGCACAACTGGTCACAGCAGTGGCAAATGATTCCATGAATAACATAATAAGGGAGTTGCAGTCAGGGTGGAAGGTGCTGATTTCTGCAGATATATAAGAAAAAATGGTATAAAACTTAAAAATAATGTTAAAAATTATTCAGTGGCTTTAAAGAGTCTTAAAGACAGACTTCCCCCAAGAAGTTCATGGACATTAAAGCCAATATGGGCAGCAACACAGTGCCCAGAGAATTTATAAAAACAAGAGCAAGGGCATTGCCTTCCAGAAACATATACATTCTTTGGTCTGTAACTTGGTTTTCTGGAAATCAGTCCTAGAAACTCTTCAACAAAAGCATATTTTAACTTTAGGCCTTGGAGCTGCTTTTACTTGCTTCCTTGGGCATCCATAGCTGGATTTTCTCCTAGATATGTCCATGGACTCCATTCCAGTCAGGTCTTATCATGCAGGGCATGATAGTTGAGGCACAGTGAATTGGGAGCCATGCGATTCTTAGAAGATACATAGGAGAGAACAGCAAAATTTGAGTGTAGGCTAATAAAACACGGTCTCACCAACAGCAAATTGTTCAGCATATTTGCCAAAGATTCACTGTGTTTGAAAAATGCATCCTCTCCTTACCCAACTCCATATGATATCTCATTCCCTTCCAGCTTCATCTCTGGCTCTAGGTTTGATCCCACCTGTGGAATATTGCCTTCTCTTCTCCTTTAGATTCTTGACCTAACTACTCCCCAGAATTACTGTGATAGCTTTCTCCCTTAAATTGGCACCGATTTCTTCATGCTACTTCATTTTGCTGACTAAGACTCTCATGGATAAAGGGGAAGTCTGCCATCATAAGATAAATATTATATTGAGTGTCAATCTGTAGACTAAGTCTGAGACTCAGTTGTTCCTGCTATTGATTGATTCTTTCAGTCAGGCTTCAGTCTAGAAAATGGAAGTCCCCTATATATTCCAAGAATGGAGGGTCTAGTAGGAAATTTGAGGTTTATAGAATCATTGACAGACAGGAGAAAAAAAGGCAAGAAAGTCACCATTAGTACATCACTGAAGCAGTGGTTCTTCAAGCTCACTTGGAAGCCACTGCAAATCTCAGGCTTCTCCAGAAATCTCTTCTGCAACTGTCCTGATATGTAGCATTTAAGTGAGAGGTTTGCAAAGGGCCACTTTAAAGCTGCAGTGAATCTCATGTCTGCTCATGCATATGGCTGCATCTGCCTCTGGGAAATTATGATCTTTCCTTGGCACTTGTGGTCATCTTGTAAAAATGAGATGATCCTCCACCCCAAATTTGATTTGAATATCAAGACTAATGATATCCATGCAGGTATCAAGAGAGTATAAAAAGGTTTGTTACATAATGAGACTTTGTGGAGAGAGCAGGGCATGCTTCCAAGCAGATCCAAAAAATTGCTTGAAGGAGAATAGAGACTGTTTGGCTTTTATTGTGGTTAGGAGGTAGAGTTGTCATGATTTTTGCACATCCATAGGCCAGAGCTTGCACAGTTTAAACTTTCCACTGGCACAAAGGAAGCTGTTACCAGGCTTTCTCAGCTTTCCCAGATGCGGTACAGAAGGCAGAAGGGGAGTCATGGAGTTTGAAAAACTGTCAGTAGTCAAATGTCAAAATTGGAGTTAACTCTTCACTATTACACTATCTTGGAACTATGTAGGGAAGGGGATTTGGAGATATTTAGAGGAGGTATGGTGATGCTGAGTTAAATAGCCACACATCTCATAAACTGAGCATGGTCTCAGACTTCTTTATCCCATGGTACTCAGGTCAACAAGGTGCCACTGTGGATGTGAGCAGTATTTTCTAAAAATAAAACAGTCACTTTTGAAGTTAAAATAATATCCACTTTAAAAATCAAGATGAAGACCAGAAAACCCTTTAAAGTATGTAAAGAGAAAAAAAAAGTAAGTGACATAAGCCTTAAATCATAGTAAATCATCAACTAAATATGGCTAGAAGGTTTCCCCTGCCAGATATCTTGCCTGTGGAATATTGCCTGCTCTCCTAACTACTCCCCAGAATTATTGTGATAGAGAAGAGGATTGGTACTTGAAAATTATATATATATATATGGTTGTCTTCTTTAGATAGTTCACACTATTAAACACAGGACCACACTTTCTCAAAATTTCTCAAAGACAAATGGTGTATATAATATAATGAATGTGGATATTCACCTCCAGCACACACATGAACTGGAAATTTCAGCTTAATTAGGAAAAACATTTTTAAAAATTGGAATCATGCATATGGTAACTGTTTAGTTTTAGTGAGAGTTGCTTGACAGTAGGGAATTCAGTTCGTGAAATACTGTGGTTTAACTCTGAGAGGGCAGAATATTCCAGAAGCTTAGATTGTTTAGAAGTAGGTCACCTTAGTGATTAATTTCAAGGACTCCCTGAAATCCCTGATTATATAAGAATTACCAATGGGTGCCAGTTGATGTGACAAGCATGGGGTTAGGTGTTGGGGATAAAAGCTAGATAAAATATGTTTTTATTTCTTTTTTAAGAACCTCATAGTCTATTGAAATCATTTTTAGTATTAAAGGATTCTAAGGATTCAAGGAATAAAAGTCTGCAGTTAAAACCAATGCTTAGCCTACTAAATAGCAACTTCTGCAAAACATAGCCTACCACTGCCTAACATTTCAAAATAAAAACACAAATCTGTGAAAAACAAGTCCCCAGCCTCAGTGTTATTTTTTTTAACAGATTCTCTAAAATAAGAGAAAGATTAGCCAGACAAGGACAAATTCTAATTTAGTCTTGAATGTTGTCCATAAAAGACTGATGATAACTGACAGTATTGTCCAGCATTCTTAAGGCAACACTGATTTCCATTTGAAACAGAGAAAACAGTGACTTGCTGCTTGTTGAAGTCAGGCACCTCTGAGAGATGCTTTATTGTGTATTCTGAGGCACATCTTTCCAGGTAATGAGGTGTGAGAGTGACTGATAAGCACTGAGAATGTGAAAGAGAATAAAATAATAAAACAAGCAGGTTCACTTTTAGTCACAATTGCATATGGTAAATAAGCAAAAATCTTCCACTAAAAATGTTGAGTATTGAGAGCTGGAAATCTTTTAAGGTTTTTTTTCTTAAAGCCAACAGTCTAGAATTGGAAATGAATTTAATTCTCTAATCACTCTGCCCTAAGTAGTGGAGAACTTTTAAATGTGTCATGAGATATAAATGCATAAACTTTATAATTTAGTGCACAACTGCTAATTTTTGTAGGTGAACTTGAAAAAATATTTTAGTATGTTTTCTTTTTCAGCTGGTGATGGGCCAGCACTGATTATTTTAGCTAATGTTTTTAGGGAGAGATGTGTGTATGGGAGGGGGAAAGTTATTTTATTTTAATTGGGTGGTACTATATTTTGAAAACTTCCAGTTATCATTTCACTTGATCCACACAACAATCTTGCAAGGTAGAAAGAACGAATGTTTTTACACCAATTTTACGAGTAAAAAGCAGATTTGAGGAGGTTAATTAATTTTCGAAGGTCTTTTTTTTTTTTTTTTTTTTTTTTTGAGACGGAGTTTGCTCTGTCGCCCAGGCTGGAGTGCAGTGGCGCGATCTCGGCTCACTGCAAGACGCGCCTCCCAGGTTCAGGCCATTCTCCTGCCTCAGCCTCTGGAGTAGCTGGGACTACGGGCACCCACCACCACGCCCGGCTAATTTTTTGTATTTTTAGTAGAGACGGGGTTTCACCGTGTTAGCCAGGATGGTCTCGATCTCCTGATCTCGTGATCCGCCTGCCTTGGCCTCCCAAAGTGCTGGGATTACAGGCGTTAGCCACCGTGCCCGGCCAGTTTTCCAAGGTCTTATATCTGGCTAGCGACAGTCAAATGAGAAGCCAAATCTACTTACTCCCAGTCTAGATCTTTCTACTATAAAGTACCATCTCCTTGGAAGTGGTACCCTCCTAGATCTTTTGATTTTGATGTTCTGAATTCGTGTTTTCGACATTTTTGATTTTGTATATAATAGTGTGTGTGGTTTTTTTTCCATTTGATGACAATTTCTGATACCCATCCAAAAGATTTAGACTGGGGGATGAAGCACTATATATGTATATGTGTATGTATATGTATATGTATATGTATATGTATATGTATATGTATATGTATGTATGTATATGTATATGTATATATATGTATATGTATATGTGTGTGTATATATATATATATACACATTCTAGACTATCTTAAATGTCACATTAAGGTTTTAGCATTTAAGGTATTAAACTTTTTAATAGACTTTTTCAAAGAGATGTTTTAGGTTTACAGCAAAGAAGTTATCTTTTTACTCAAGACTTGTATATTTATTCTTGTGTCACTGGAAGGCAAATAATTTCATAAAAATGCTTTGAGGGACAAAAACTTGCAATTAAATATCAAATACGGGCCTTAATTTGGATACATGTTATTTTCTATTAAAATGATTTCATATTGATTAAAATTGAAAATTTTAGCTCTTAATTGGAACATATGATCAATTTCAATACTGATTTTTTAAAAAGATGGTAGATAAGAATATTATGTATAAGGTGTAAGGAAGGGATCCAGTTTCAGCTTTCTACATATGGCTAGCCAGTTTTCCCAGCACCATTTATTAAATAGGGAATCCTTTCCCCATTGCTTATTTTTCTCAGGTTTGTCAAAGATCAGATAGTTGTAGATATGCGGCGTTGTTTCTGAGGGCTCTATTCTGTTCCATTGATCTATATCTCTGTTTTGGTACCAGTACCATGCTGTTTTGGTTACCATTGCCTTGTAGTATAGTTTGAAGTCAGGTAGTGTGATGCCTCCAGCTTTGTTCTTTTGGCTTAGGATTGACTTCGTGATGCGGGCTCTTTTTTGGTTCCATATGAACTTTAAAGTAGTTTTTTCCAATTCTGTGAAGAAAGTCATTGGTAGCTTGATGGGGATGGCATTGAATCTATAAATTACCTTGGGCAGTATGGCCATTTTCACGATATTCATTCTTCCTACCCATGAGCATGGAATGTTCTTCCATTTGTTTGTATCCTCTTTTATTTCATTGAGCAGTGGTTTGTAGTTCTCCTTGAAGAGGTCCTTCACGCCCCTTGTAAGGTGGATTCCTAGGTATTTTATTCTCTTTGAAGCAATTGTGAATGGGAGTTCACTCATGATTTGGCTCTCTGTTTGTCTGTTATTGGTGTATAAGAATGCTTGTGATTTTTGTACATTGATTTTGTATCCTGAGACTTTGCTGAAGTTGCTTATCAGCTTAAGGAGATTTTGGGCTGAGACAATGGGGTTTTCCAGATATACAATCATGTCATCTGCAAACAGGGACAATTTGACTTCCTCTTTTCCTAATTGAATACCCTTTATTTCCTTGTCCTGCCTGATTGCCCTGGCCAGAACTTCCAACCCTATGTTGAATAGGAGTGGTGAGAGAGGGCATCCCTGTCTTGTGCCAGTTTTCAAAGGGAATGCTTCCAGTTTTTGCCCATTCAGTATGATATTGGCTGTGGGTTTGTCATAGATAGCTCTTATGATTTTGAGATACGTCCCCTCAATACCTAATTTCTTGAGAGTTTTTAGCATGAAGGGCTGTTGAATTTTGTCAAAGGCCTTTTCTGCATCTATTGAGATAATCATGTGGTTTTTGTCTTTGGCTCTGTTTATAAGCTGGATTACATTTATTGATTTGCGTATATTGAACCAGCCTTGCATCCCAGGGATGAAGCCCACTTGATCATGGTGGATAAGCTTTTTGATGTGCTGCTGGATTTGGTTTGCCAGTATTTTATTGAGGATTTTTGCAACAATGTTCATCAAGGATATTGGTCTAAAATTCTCTTTTTTGGCTGTGTCTCTGCCTGGCTTTGGTATCAGGATGATGCTGGCCTCATAAAATGAGTTAGGGAGGATTCTCTCTTTTTCTATTGATTGGAATAGTTTCAGAAGGAATGGTACCAATTCCTCCTTATACCTCTGGTAGAATTCGGCTGTGAATCCATCTGGTCCTGGACTCTTTTTGGTTGGTAAGCTATTGATTATTGCCACAATTTCAGATCCTGTTATTGGTCTATTCAGAGATTCAACTTCTTCCTGGTTTAGTCTTGGGAGGGTGTATGTGTCGAGGAATTTGTCCATTTCTTCTAGATTTTCTAGTTTATTTGCGTAGAGGTGTTTGTAGTATTCTCTGATGGTAGTTTGTATTTCTGTGGGATCGGTGGTGATATCCCCTTTATCATTTTTCATTGTGTCTATTTGATTCTTCTCTCTTTTCTTCTTTATTAGTCTTGCTAGCGGTCTATCAATTTTGTTGATCCTTTCAAAAAACCAGCTCCTGGATTCATTAATTTTTTGAAGGGTTTCTTGTGTCTGTATTTCCTTCAGTTCTGCTCTGATTTTAGTTATTTCTTGCCTTCTGCTAGCTTTTGAATGTGTTTGCTCTTGCTTTTCTAGTTCTTTTAATTGTGATGTTAGGGTGTCAATTTTGGATCTTTCCTGCTTTCTCTTGTGGGCATTTAGTGCTATAAATTTCCCTCTACACACTGCTTTGAATGAGTCCCAGAGATTCTGGTATGTTGTATCTTTGTTCTCGTTGGTTTCAAAGAACATCTTTATTTCTGCCTTCATTTCGTTATGTACCCAGTAGTCATTCAGGAGCAGGTTGTTCCGTTTCCATGTAGTTGAGTGGCTTTGAGTGAGTTTCTTAATCCTGAGTTCTAGTTTGATTGCACTGTGGTCTGAGAGATAGTTTGTTATAATTTCTGTTCCTTTACATTTGCTGAGGAGAGCTTTACTTCCAAGTATGTGGTCAATTTTGGAATAGGTGTGGTGCGGTGCTGAAAAAAATGTATATTCTGTTGATTTGGGGTGGAGAGTTCTGTAGGTGTCTATTAGATCCACTTGATGCAGAGCTCAGTTCAATTCCTGGGTATCCATGTTAACTTTGTGTCTCATTGATCTGTCTAATGTTGACAGTGGGGTGTTAAAGTCTCCCATTATTATTGTGTGGGAGTCTAAGTCTCTTTGTAGGTCACTCAGGACTTGCTTTATGAAACTGGGTCCTCCTGTATTGGGTGCATATATATTTAGGATAGTTAGCTCTTCTTGTTGAATTGAATAAATACTTAAACGTTAGACCTAAAACCATAAAAACTCTAGAGGAAAACCTAGGCATTACCATTCAGGACATAGGCATGGGCAAGGACTTCATGTCTAAAACACCAAAAGCAATGGCAACAAAAGACAAAATTGACAAATGGGATCTAATTAAACTAAAGAGCTTCTGCACAGCAAAAGAAACTACCATCAGAGTGAACAGGCAACCTACAAAATGGGAGAAAATTTCGCAACGTACTCATCTGACAAAGGACTAATATCCAGAATCTACAATGAACTCAAACAAATTTACAAGAAAAAAACAAACAACCCCATCAAAAAGTGGGCATAGGACATGAACAGACACTTCTCAAAAGAAGACATTTATGCAGCCAAAAAGCACATGAAAAAATGCCCACCATCATTGGCCATCTGAAAAATGCAAATCAAAACCACAATGAGATACCATCTCACACCAGTTAGAATGGCAATCATTCAAATGTCAGGAAACAACAGGTGCTGGAGAGGATGTGGAGAAATAGGAACACTTTTACACTGTTGGTGGGACTGTAAACTATTTCAACCCTTGTGGAAGTCAGTATGGCGATTCTTCAGGGATCTAGAACTGGAAATACCATTTGACCCATCCATCCCATTACTGGGTATATACCCAAAGGACTATAAATCATGCTGCTATAAAGACACATGCCATGTATGTTTATTGCGGCACTATTCACAATAGCAAAGACTTGGAACCAACCCAAATGTCCAACAATGATAGACTGGATTAAGAAAATGTGGCACATATACACCCTGGAATACTATGCAGCCATAAAAATGATGAATTCATGTCCTTTGTAGGGACATGGATGAAATTGGAAATCATTATTCTTAGTAAACTATCGCAAGAACACAAAACCAAACACCGTATATGCTGCCTCATAGGTGGGAATTGAACGATGAGATCACATGGACACAGGAAGGGGAACATCACACTCTGGGGACTGTTGTGAGGTGGGCGGAGAGGGGAGGGATAGCATTAGGAGATATACCTAATGCTAAATGACGAGTTAATGGGTGCAGCACAGTAGCATGGCACATGTATACATACGTAACTAACCTGCACATTGTGCACATGTACCCTAAAACTTAAAGTATAATAATAAAAAAAAAGAATGTTATGATAGCCTTAATTTGACTTCATGGGTGCTGTGTTACCTATTGGTCACAGTTTGTCATTTACTAAGTAAAAAGAGAGAGATTCCGATAATGGAAAGAGTAGAAGACTGAGTTTAAGTTTTCAGCACTACTGTTCACTAATTGTGTGAATTTGTTGTTCCTTCTCCCCATAATCTCATTACCCCAGATCTTGACATCTATGGTTCTTCATTGTTCAGGACACAGCTGAAGTATTACCTTTCCCAAGAGATCTTACATGACAATAACCACCCCTGTCCTATGTAAGTACTACATACTTCAGTTGCTTTCACACATCACCCTGTTTTACTGTGTTTATTGCAGTTGTCATTGTGTGAAATGGTCTTGTTTCACCATTATTGTATTTTGCCAAGTAGAGCACTATCCAACAGCAAGATGACAGTGTTGAAGTTTACTTAATGTTTCCACAATTCATTGCATCATTTTAACTACATGGATATCTTAAGTCCTCCAGGTCTACTTCCTGTCCTTAACAGTGAACTGTATTATGACATCATGCAGAGCCCATGGTGCCAGCAGTAGCCCTGCTGGTAATGCTTGCTTATGATTGCCGAATTGGGGGTCAGCCTGTCCTGTGTTTGTGTTTTATTTATTATCTTCTGCGTGTAGCTAGGGGATCAATGTGTGATCTTACTCCATTGTAAAAGAATATAAACTGATGCTGTGTAGTACAAAACTTCTCATTCAGGATATTGTTTTTCTGGTATCAAGCTGAAATGTAAATGCTTTGTTTTATGGAGATTAATTTAAAAAGTATTTGTCAGAAGTATTCAACAGTGACCTTTAGAGTTGAAAGGAACTCAAGTATTTCAGAGGGATAAAGTTGAGTATGTTATTTTCTCCTTCCACAATTCAGAAACTGGGTAAAATAACACAAAATTTACTTGTCCGCCAAGTCCTGATTTTCACATGTTAGGGTTAACTTATCTCAAGGTCTTTTTTGAATGACATGCTTGCAGATGTTTTTCACATTTTTTTCTTCATTCCTTTGCAAGCTCAGCAGCTGTACACTTGCAAGCTAAGCCTTGTTCCCTGAATATGCCAAAGGGCTGCAGAGGTAGAATCAGCTCTAGCTAATCTAACCTCCAGTAGGAATCATTTTGGGGAACTTGACACCTAATGTTGCTCTGGTGGTGTTTAGTTCATGTCCATGACATCCCTGTGACTCCCATTTTCCTATCACACTCTCTGGACACAATAGGCCACATTTCCTATCTCCCCTTTTCTTCAGTTTCCTTCTCATGACTCCTTTGAGGACTGGGCATGGTCTCAAATGGAAGTTTGGCAAAACCAGATATGAACCTTGTAAAATGGATGGGTGGTCTCTGGAGTGATCAGTTTACAGTTTCAAGCTGCTCTGAATTGAGAGCCAAAGCAAATCTTATGACACAGAGAAGAAAAAATTACTTCATATTTTCCATCTCAGTTCTAGTTCATTTCATAATCATCAGCAAAAACAATCTACCTCACAAAGATAAAAGTCTGCATTTCCCTCAAATATTATCTTTATCAAAGAAATTAGAAAAAAATCTGAGGCCTGCGTCATAGGAGAAGTGACTGAGGAACTAAAATGATGACTAGAGTTAATATTGCTAACAAATAAAAACACTGTTAAAACTTTAGACTTCAAATAGATAATATTGTTTGCAATAAATGACATATGAAGTCACAATAAATACTTATGTTTGTTGCCTAGTGCACTTCACTTTTCAATGCTGAACAAAAATGCTACTTGTTATATGAAGGTTTCCACCATCCTCAGGCAGAATTAATTACTCCCCCATCTGTGTTTGTAGCACTACTTCAGGCCTCTATTACTGCATTTATCATTGTAATATCTTTATTTTGTTGGTTTGTTCATTAATGCACTTACTCAATAGAGCAGAGTGGTTAAGAGTATGAACTCTGGAGCTAGACTGCCTGGATTTTAGTCTTAGTCCTGATTCATTCCTTCTTTCTTTCCTCCCACCTTCCTTCCTTCCTTCCTTCTTCCTTCCTTCCTTCCTTCCTTCCTTCCTTCCTCCCTCCCTTCATCTCTTCCTCCCTCATTCCTTCCTCTTTTCCTCCCTCTCTTCCTTCCCCTCTTCCTCCCTCCCTACCTTCCTTCTTTCCTTCCCCCTTAAAATAAATTATATATATATAGCACACAACATAATCTAGTTGGATACATATAGATAGTAAAATAGTTACTATAGTGAAGCAAATTAGCATCTCCATCATCTCACATAGTTACCCATTTTTTTTGTGTGTGTGGCAAGAGTAGTTGAGATCTACTCATTTTGCAAAAATTCCTGAATACAATATTATTAATAATCATCCTATTGAACATTAGATCTCGATATTATTCATTCTACATGTCTGCTACTTTGTATCCTTTGATCTACATCTTTCAATTTCTGCCTCTTTCCAATACTGGCAACCTGGTAATACTGTTTTATTATCTGTTTCTGTATACTTGACCTAAAAATTTTTTTTTTAATTCCACATGTAAGTGAGATCATATAATGTTTTTCTTTTATTCCTGGCTTATTTCACTTAGCATAATGTCCTGTAGTTTCATTGATGTTGTGGCAAGTGGCAAGATCTCCTTCTTTTTAAAGGGCAAATTATATTCCATTATACACATCCACCCACACACACACACACACATATGTATATATGTTAATCACAGTTTTTTATCCATTTATCCACTGAGAGACACTTAGGCTGTTTTTATATCTTGGCTATTGTGAATAACACTGCAATGAACATGGGGGCGTAGCTATCTTTATGAGGAGTGATTTCATTTTCTTTAAGTATACACTCAAAAGAGGGATTGCTGGGTCAGAAGGTAGTTCTATTTTTAATTTCTTTAGGAACCTCCATACTGTTTCCCATAATGGCTGCAACAGTCTACATTCACCAACAGTGTTCAAGAAATCCCTTTTCTCCACACCCTTGCCAATACTTGTTATCTCTTGGTCTTTTTGATAATATTGGCTCTACCACTTTCAAGCTGTGTGAACTTTTGCAAGCTATTTCACACATCTGTGTCTGAGTTTTCTCATCTGAAAAATGGGCAAGACAATAGTAACTACCTCCTAGAGTATCATGAGGAATATGTGAGTTAATGTCCATAATAGACTTAGTGCCTGGTGCTGAGTATGAATTATTTAACAAATACTTATGGAATGTTTGTATATGCCATAATCTACCCCAGGGCCTGAATCCACAGATATGGGAAAGCATGTATTTTCATGGAATATGTATACTGATGACCCAGACATTGAGCAATTCAAAAGCAGTGATAGGTTCTATTAATTCATTCTACACATATTTATTAAGCACCCATTTTAAAATGCCTGGCACTGTTCTACATGCTAAGAACACAGAGTGAACAAGACAGAAGTCCCTCACTGAGCTCCTGTTCTAGTGCATGCAAGGGCTGTATGGACTTATGCACACGATGTTGTAGGAAGACAGATGGACCTGTAACCTAGTCTGGGGTGGGGTTAAGGATGAGAGAAAGCTTCTGAGATGAAAGGATGCTCAAACTGAATTTTAAAACACACTTAATATGTAGCCAGGAAAAGAGGTAGAGGGGCTGGGGTTAGGCACAGAAGTAGCAAGGTCATTGATATTTATTTCCTTATGCAAACACACCTGTCCTGTGAAGCTGTATATTTCCTCTGTACAGATGGAATGACACTGCTTTTCTGCTTAGAGAATCCCACAGAGATTGTATCAACAATTTCTGGTAGTGGAAGTTTTCCTTTGATATTGCATGCTGTAGATCAGCTTCTTCTGATAGAACCTAAGTTCTATCTTTATATCTTTATTGCATTTCATATGATATAGCCTCATTGCAACTGTGGTGATTTGGTGGAAATATCATAGAAGTTAGGTTCAGATGATTTGGATGCAAGCCTCAACTCTTTTACTTACTGGCTGGCTGGCTTTGTACAAACTCCTTTACTTCTTTGAGCCTCAGGTTATCTATATATTAGGGCTATTTATACTGAGTCATACCTAACAGAGTTGTGGTAAGACTCAAATAAAAAAGTTGTAAAAAGTGCTTTTTATGCTGCAAATGCTATAGAGTGCTACTGTTAATTATATTCCTGAAATACACATTATTTTCAGCAATTGACAAAAAGCTCAGTGAGAAAATATGGCAAAAACAGCAATTAATTTTGCTCCAAGCTAATAGTATAAGGGTATCTTTATTGACAATTGATGCTTCACGATTAGAATTAACAGGCTTTTAACGACAACCTGAGTATGAATCATGCTCTTTCTATATAATATTTCAATTGTATATATTTGGATTACATGTATTTTGATTGCATAACCTCAGTATTATCTCTGGAGGAGGAGAGTAACATGCTCAATGTTATATAATGAGTAGGTAGGAGAAACAGGTTTGAAACTGAAGTTTATTTGACTTCCTATCATGGATTTTCTTTCTGTAATATAATGCTGCCTCTTCAGAAGTCTTGTGGAATGTACTTATCCTGAGGAATCTTGATTATATAAACCCTCTGTTCTTTATTGTTATGCATTGTAATCCTTAAAAGGTGGGCTTCACAGTCCTCCAATCTTAGAGTTCTTTATTTGATTTTCTAAAAACTGTGAAGGGACTGGGTGGGGAAGAATAAATAGATGAGAATAACACTTAAAAAGAAAAACCATTCTCTCTTATCTGTTTCCCTTACACATGAGAAGTCCTATGCCTCATATCCCAAATTGTCTGATAAATTCCACCCCTCCCAAACTTTATAAGCCTAGTTTCCCTCTGCCTCTCCTCATTTTTTGCTCAGTTTCATATTACAAAGCCTGAAAGAGTTGATCCCTGGAGAAAAGGGGTGGGGAGCAAAATACATCTATCAAATGGGTCATTCCAGAAATCTTTTTAGTTAGCTAAATAAAAAGAAAATCTGGAAATACTCATACATTAATTTTATTCTTTTAAAAAATGTATATTAGGTAACATGAACTGTTGTGACATTTCTTAAATTTCATTTTAATGGAATGACCTGAATAACATAGTAATGGGTAAAATTTCAGCCACATCCTTGAGTATGTATGCAGAATGCCCGTGTTCCTTTCTGAGAATGATAGGTAGGTCTGAGTGCACCTGAAACAAATATTTTCTAAATTGTGCTGACTCTCTGGCAAGATCTCACTGACTTCATGTCATGGCTGTTACTTACATTTGAAGTCATGCTTTCAAACCGTGATGTGTAGTAATATAATCTCCCTGACTAGGCCTTTACTGTGACAATATACATATTTAATTTAGTTTACTAAGAGAGACAGATTGATTAAGCTGATTAACTCCACATATATATTAATTTTATTAATGCTTATCAACATGACCCACAATATGTCTTTTAAAGAAATCCCTGTATAGCAGTGTGGAAGCAAGTTGTGCTACTCTAAAAGGTAATCGATGTTGTCTTTTTTATATTGCTGATTACATTTATGAAATTTAAATATGCAAACAATAAAAAGTGGCACTAGAAATAATTGTACTTTCTATTACCTTTCAATCTACTAAATTTTGTAAGTTTTGGTGAAGCCAAAGCATTAAGAAACTTTGTGGCATGTGTTATGGATACAGCAATCTTAACAATAACATACTTCCATACAGACTATCTTATCATGCCTCTTTGTGTCAGAATCTTGCTCTACTTCACCACATTCCATTCCATTTCCATATATTAGTGTCTTCTCTATTTCAGATACAGTGTTAGTTGCTATAAGTACAAGGATGACAAAAAAATGTGTCCCTGTCCTAGATAACTTCAAATCTTGCTGAGACAGACAGACTGTTTATATCATGGACTGTAGTTCAGTGTGACCTGTCTTACAATATATACATGGGAACAGGTTGTATAAATAAAAATGTAGGAGCCTGGTAAGTAGAGGTAGGTGAATTAAGGACTTGAGAAGGATATCTGAGAAAGTTCACAAATCTAGGTTTCAGTAACAGTGACCACCATGTTAATTTTCTTATTATACCTGGACTTGCTGGTGTTATGTTTCCAAATTGATTTTTTTTTTGGCGGAAACCTGGAGATTCTCTAATTATATTTGGTAGTCAGGGCATTTATTGTAAGAAAATGTTATTGTATTGTTTTAGGCACTGTCTCAATTAAAGCAGCACACCCTTCCTTATAAAGCACGGGAAGACACTCAACAGAAACTTAATAAACACATGTTTCCATTATACAGCACTTGATCTCAAGAGTACTAACTATCATAACCATTATAACAAATCTGTCAGAAAGTTGAATAATCTTCCAAATGCTTGTCCACCCTTAACTACTTAGTGTTTTGCTTTCTGAAGGTATTAACTCATGAAATATGGCAATATACTTTGTTATGTTTTCTAAATTGAAGTGTCATGCCAATAGATGAACTTAATAAATAGCCAACAATAACATTACAAAGCATAAGGCATTGACTGTTTTGGAAATCAACTTAGATACAAACCATGGGATAAAATCCCATTTTACTCAAAGAGAACTAATTTCATCTAAATCATATTTGTGAAAAATTAATTTCTTTAATGAAATATTTTAAAAGTTATTTCTGATATATAGAGAAGGCAAATTCTTTTAAAGATATTTGAAAGATTCAAAGCATGTAAGAGAAATCAAAATAGGTAGTGACTAACTAATGATTAAAATATATTAAGAAATAAGCCTATATAATCTAAAATTCAACCACTGATATGGAATCTTAAACCTTCAAACAATTACCTAACACATTGAGCTTGGCACAATCTACATGCCTTCACAAGCCAATAAAATGCTACAGTGATGACTGAAAAAAAATCTTGAATCTGTAATATTTCTGTCATCGCTAACATAAATAAATTTACCAGATTGTCTTTAAGTTTTTTTCTATTATGTAATCCATTAAAATCTATGCTCATATTTTAAAAAATTATACCTTTTATGGTCAGCACAAAGCAGGTAACCTAATTTCAGTTTTTCAATACTAAACTTGTGGAGAGTAGCTTCACAATTTTAGGACAGGTATATTAAAAAATACTGAATTGAGTGAATTTTGACGACAATCTGAGCAATCAGGCCACAGAGAGGATGTAGGCTGTCTGTACGTGACAGTAGACAAAACCCTTGGAATGACATAAGTGGGTTGTTTTGAGGAGGACAATGTCAGGACTTAAAAAAGTTCATAATTTTCAACTTTGTTTCAAAGGAATGATTTAAAGAGAAGCACTTGGCTGACTGTCAGTGAGTCTGGTTTCCATGACACTTTGTTTTCAATACCCTGTCTATATCTGCATGCCTGTTTGGACAAACCAAGCAGAAAAGGAAGATAATAATGGAATGAAATATACAGAATTATTTGAAAGCATCTTGTAGAAATGCTTCTGTGTTATAAATATAAAAAGCTTAGGGAAATCTTTTAGAGAATAAAGTATTTAGACAGTATGCTTCAACTTTTTAATAGAAAGAATGACAATGGTTCAAGTAATGAAATTTTATTTTCAATGTGGGTTATTATAGTCTAGCTAAGTGTAGCAGTCTAAGTGATAGATCAAGTTTTCATGACATTGGTTCTGCCTTTACAAAGTTTGTGATCCCCAGTGGGAATAGGTGAAATCAAACCTTAAGTATAGGAAATAAAAGAAATGCATGACATGATATAGAAATCTATGGCATTTCATTAACTGTATCTTCAGCATTTGGGTTAAAAGTTGAAATAAAGATGATCACGATCATAATGATGCTGCTGTTTTTATAATGGGAGGAGGTAAGAGGAGGATAAGTATCAGTTGTTCTCGAAAGGAATGCTATTTACTGAATTAAAAGTTTGATTGTGTTTTGAGAGTTCAATGTTGTATTCCTAGGTATTTTATTCTTTTGGTGGTAATTTTGAATGGAATTACCTTTCTGATTTGGTTCTTTGGTTTGACTGTTGTGGATATATAGAAATGCTAGTGATTTTTCTACATGGATTTTATATCCTGCAATTTTGCTGAAGTTGTATATCAGCTGGAGGAGCTTTTGGGCCAAGATTATTGGGTTTCCTAGATATAGAATCATGTTGCCTACAAACAGAGATAGTTTGACTTCCTCTCTTCCTATTTGGATGCCCTTTATTTCTTTCTTTTGCCCAATTGCTCTGGCTAGGACTTCCAATACTATGTTTAATAAAAGTGATGAGAGAGGGCATACTTTTCTTGTGCTGGTTTTCAAGGAGAACACTTCCAGCTTTTGCCTATTTAGCATAATGTTGGCTGTGGGCTTGTCATAAATGGCTCTTATTATTTTGAGGTATTTTCCTTCAATACATAGTTCATTGAGAGATTTTAACATGAAGAGATGTTAAATTTTGTCAAAAGCCTTCTCTGCATCTATTGAGATGATCACGTGGTTTTTGTCTTTAGTTCTGTTTATGTGATGTATCACATTTATTGATTTGCATATGTTGAACCAAACTTGCATCCCAGGGATGAAGCCTACTTGATCCTAGTGGATTAACTTTTCGATGCACTTCTGTATTCAGTTTGCAAGTAATTTGCTGAAGATTTTTGCATCAATATTCATCAAGGATATTGGCCTGAAGTTTTCTTGTTTCTTGTGTCTCCACCAGGTTTTGGTATCAAGATGAAGCTGACCTCATAGAATGAGTTGAAGAGTAGTCCCTCCTCCTCACTTTCTTGGAACAGTTTCTGTAGGAATGGAACCAGCTCTTCTTTGTACATCTGGTAGAATTTGGCTGTGACTCCATCAGGTCCTGGGCTTTTTTTTTGGTTGGTAGGCTATTTATTACTGATTCAATTTTGGAGCCCATCATTGGTCTGTTAAGGGAATCAATTTCTTCCTGGCTCAGTCTTGGGAGGGTGTGTGTGTCCAGGAATTTATCAGTCTCTTCTAGATTTTCTAGTTTGTGTGCATAGAGGTGTTTTTAGTAGTTTCTGATGGTTGTCTTTATATCTGTTGGGTCAGTGGTACCATTCCTTTCATCATTTTTAATTGTGTTTATTTGGATCTTCTCTTTTGTCTTATTAGCCTAGCTAGTGGCATATCTATTTTATTAATTTTTTCAAAAAACCAATTCCTGGATTTGTTGAGATCTCTACAATAAGCATTACAAAACACTGCTGAAAGAAATCAGAGAAGACACAAACAAATGAAAAAAACATCTCTTGCTCATGGATAGGAAGAAACAATATTATTAAAATGGCTATACTGCCCAAAGTAATTTACAGATTCATTGTTATTCCTATCAAACTGCCAACAATATTCTTCAAAGAACTAGAAAAAACTATTTTAAAATTCATATGGATCTAAAAAAGAGCCTTAATAGCCAAGGCAATCCTAAACAAAAAGAAAAAGCTGGAGGCATCACACTACTTGACTTTATGCTGCAAGGCTACAGTAGCAAAAACACCATGTTTCTGGTACAAAAACAGGTGCATAGACCAATGGAACGGAATAAAGAGCCCTGAAATAATGCCGCACATCTCCAACTATCTAGTCTTTGACAAAGCTGACAAAAACAAGCAATGGGGGAAATGACTCTTTATTCAATAAATAGTGCTGGGATAACTGGCTAGTCATATGCAGAAGATTGAAGTTGGACACTTTCCTTACACCATACACAAAAATCAACTCAAGACAGATTAAAGACTTAAATATAAATCCGAAAACTATAAAAACCTTGCAAAACAACCTAGTCAATACCATCCTGGATGTAGGAATGGGCAAATATTTCATGACAAAGACACCAAAAGCAATCGCAACGAAAGCAAAAATTGACAAGTGGAATCTAATTAAACTTAAGAACTGCACAGCAAAAGACACTATCAACAGAGTAAATAGACAACATACAGAATGGGAGAAAGTATTCGCAAACTATGCATCTGACAGACAAAGGTCTAATATCTAGCATCTATAAGGATCTTAAGCAAATTTACAAGAGAAAAGCAAACAACCCTATTAAGAAGTGGGCAAAGGACATGAACAGACACTTCTCAAAACAAGACATATATGTGGTCAACAAGCATTTGAAAAAGAGCTCAATATCACTCATCATAAGAGAAATGCAAATCAAAACCACAATGAGATACCATCTCATACCAGTCTGAATGGCCATTATTAAAAAGTCAAAAAACAACAGATGCTGGTGAGGTTGTGGAGAAAAGGGAACACTTATACACTGTTAGTAGGAGTAGACATTTGTCCAACTATTGTGAAAAGCAGTATGGTGATTCCTCAAAGAGCTAAAAGCAGAACTACCAGTTGACTCAACAATTCTATTACTGGATATATACCCAGAGGAATATAAATTGACCTTACGGTGTTTCTACCATAAAGACACATGCATGTGAATGTTCATTGCAACACTATTCACAATTGCAAAGACATGGAATTAACCTAAATGCCTATCAATGACAGATTGGATAAAGAAAATGTGGCACTTATACACCATGAAATACTATGCAGCCATAAAAAAGAACAAGATGTCTGTGGACGGAACATGGATGGAGCTGACAAAACAAAAAAACAAAAAAATTTTAGCAAACTAACACAGGAACAGAAAACCAAATACCACATGTTCTCACTTATAGGTGGGAGCTAAAGGATAAGAACTTATAAACACAAAGAAGGAAACAACAGACACTGGAGTCTACTTGAGGGGGAGGGTGGGAGGAGAGAGGGGAACAGAAAAGCTAACTATTTGGTACTGGGCTTAATACCTGGATGATGAAATAATAAGTTCAACAAACCCCCGTGACACGTGTTTACCTGTGTAACAAACCATATGTACCCCGAAACCTAAAATAAAAGTTAAAAAAAAGAAAGTTTAATGTCATCTTTTGATTTTAGATTTTTATTTCTGATTATTTCAACTATCTTTCTTGTGAATTTCAGTACCCCTACACATAAAATGAGATTTCTATGTATTTTGTTAGGGAGTTAGTTAAGTTTGTAATGAGTCCTGAGTACTGTGGACTCAAAAGACACAATGTAAATGTAAAATATTGTTTGTATTTATTATTGCTTCATTCCTCTCAGATACCATTTCTGTCATTAACGTGTGTCAGTTTCATTTTGAGAAACTTATCTCTTTTTTTCCATATTCTTAAATGTGGGGAAGTAGCTTTCCCCGGTGTTGTGGCTGCTATTTTTACAAAACAAATCATCGTGAAATCTAATCTTAAATCAATTTTATATTTTGTTAACAAATTCTGTAGGCCAGGAATTTGGACAAGTCACAATGGGGACAGCATGTCTCTGCTCCATGACGTCTGATCATTTGTGAAAAAACTCAAAGGCCAGGAGAGAGACTCAGTTGCTGAGGGCTTAAGTCGTGTTCACTCCTTTGTCTGGTTCTGGGGCTGGAAGAATTCGGATTAGGACGCCTTATAGGAGCGCCTCTCCATGTGGCATCCTTGTAGAATGGTGGCTATAGAGTAGTTGGATTTCTTACTGGGTAACCCAGGGCTCTAAGTGCAAGTGTTCAGGCAAACAAAGTTGAGGCTGCATTGCTCTTGCTGACCCATGTTTGGAAATCACACAGTCCCTTTTGCTGAATTCTGTTGGTAACAGGGAAGACACGACGAATCTGCTCAGGTTCAAAGGGGAAGGACATAGACGTCCCCTGGGATATCAAAAAATTAGCCACTATTTTTTTTTTTTAAAAAAAACACTACAACTAAGTTTTAGTTTTTATGGCATATAATATTAAAAAATTGTTTAATCAAGGGCAAAAAAAATAACTACAACAAAACTGACAAAAAACAAAATTAGCAAAATGCAAATTTAACAATTTTGTGTATATTTAAATTTTTTTGGCGGAATATTTGTTTTCCCTTATTTAAAAAATCTTTATTGATGTATAAGAAAAAATAAAGATTTTAGTTTAAACATTTATATACATGTTAATGTAAAGAGAAAGATCACTCATTTCCTGTTTGTTTTGTTTTAATGCTACATTTGATTACACATAAAAGGGGGCCAGGCGCGGTGGCTCATGCCTGTAATCCCGGCACTTTGGGAGGCTGAGGCAGGTGGATCATTTGAGGTCAGGAGGTCTAGATGAGCCTGGTCAGCATGGTGAAACCCCGTCTTTACTAAAAATACAAAGTTAGCCAGGCATGGTGGCAGGTGCCTGTAATCCCAGTTACTTGGGAGGCTAAGGCAGGAGAATTGTTGAACCTGGGAGGTGGAGGTTGTAGTGAGCCGAGATTGCGCCATTGCACTCCAGCCTGGGTGACAGAGTGAGACTCTGTCTCAGAAAAAAAAAAAAAGAAAGAAAAAGGAAAAAGAAACCTGTTTACAGTGACTTAAGCAAATAGCAGTTTAATTTTTCTGATGCAGCAAGAAGCCATTTAAAAAAATCATCAACTTTCTAGGATCCATTTCCTTCTTACTCTGCTGTCTTTGGCATATGGCCTTAGTCCTTATGTGCAAAGGATGGCACTGCATTCAAATTCCAGGTAAGAAGTAAAGGGAGAGAATGAAAGTCAAAAGTTGCTTCCAACACTTTGATTAAAGCAATTATTTTGGTAAGACCCATTTAATTAACTTCAGCTTTTAGTTCATTGGCTAGAGTTGAGTCAGATGCTCACCTCTAGCTACTTGGGAGACCGACAGATGAGTATTTTTAACCTAGCACATGTATATCTGATACAAAATCAATGCTAAAAAAGAAGAAGGTGAGAATGGATGGTGAGTAATCCCTAGCACTGTCTGCCACTTGGTGAAGGGAATGAAATATGGTAGAGGGACCAGAAGAGTTAGGACAGGAATAGGAAAAGGTGGGGAGGAAGTGTTATGAAAGGCTTAAAAAAGAGATGGGTTAAAAGCATGAATTATCAGCTGATGAGGCTATTATTCTTAAGTGGAAGCAAAAATGGGAGCTGTGTGACTGATCAAAAGACGCATTAAACACAATAATTTGTGTTTTATTTATTCATTCAGTAATTTCTCCTTTGAGGATGCATATGTAGTGTTTAAGAAATAGTATAGAGATATAATAGTTCTTGGCATACCTACTTGAATCATGAATGACCTTGAACACTTTGGAATAGAATTTCTAAATTTTTTGAACATGAAATTTTCCTCACTGGAACAGTTCATATTTTCATGTGTGGTGTGGACTTTATCAATAATATATCATGTGATTTTATTTCTGTGTTTTGACTTACAGTTTCTACTGCCTGAATCCAATTAAACTTCAGCAAAAACATTCAAGCCAAGTGCCATGAGCCAGTAAATCCAACACTCTAACACAGTTAATGAAAATTAGAATTGCATGAAAGAGGTTTCTGCCAGACATTTAGAAATCATGATTCCTCAGTCATTGAATATACAGTATCTCTGTCAGCCTTTTACTATAAGACAGATAAAATAACAAAATGTTGTTTATAAATAATATGTACCCTTTCTTTTATATTCCGATATCTTCCATTTAGTCTACTGAACCAAGTCAAACACGAAATTCAGATAACTCCAAAAGGGAAGGCTAAGAGTTTCTGATAATACTTCTAGTAATGGAATAGTTTGAAGATGAAAATATTTGGATAGATAAATGGTTCTTAGAAAAGCCTTTTGGAGCTTAGTATGAACATGACTCATCATTTGGCCAATGGGTTAATTCTCATGCTCTAAGGTCTGATTGCCACCATTTTTTTTTTTGGCATTTGACTGAATGATTTACCTTATCTTTCCATTTGTCCTCTATGACTGAAGAGATACTTAATTATAGCTTTAATCTGACTCCGTTTCCCTCACAGTTTTGTGTGACTCCTATGATCTGATCAGCATGCATTATCCTGCTAGTGACTGAATTTGGCAATTTATAGTGCAGTTAATTAAAATGAATAAAATTATCACAGCACATGTCAAGCAATTTTGTGAACCACTTATTTAAAAAGTTTAGTTAAATGTTCCTTTTAAATATTGCTCCAGTATTGACATTTGAGAATTCACCAAATCCTATAAAAGCTCATGAATGAATATCTTATTTGAAGTTAAAACAGAGAAGCATATTTCAAAGATGCTTTTATAATGTTGTTTGTAAATGTGAACTCTAAGATGAGAAGCTAATTGTTCCTGGAAATACTTTTACTGCTGTAATAAGAAATGGACTCCAAGCTATCTGAAATAACTCCTCTTGTGTTGACATTCTGGAAGTGAATTTTTAAAAACTAGCTTTTATCACTCTGAGCATTCATATATTCCAATAGCAATATCCCCATCTAACAATGGTACCTACCTGTTTTTTTCCTTAAAAAGAATTTGACTTAGCTAAGTAAATAAAAATAAACTATATAGTTTTGAGCATGATACAGTGTTATTAAATAAAAAATTCAATAAACACATTTACAAATTATCTAAAATCAATTAGGGAAATCATTAAAATAGCAAATAGAAAAGATTTACAGGCCGGGCGCGGTGGCTCACGCCTGTAGTCCCAGCACTTTGGGAGGCCGAGGCGGGCGGATCACGAGGTCAGGAGATCGAGACCATTCCAGCTAAAACGGTGAAACCCCGTCTCTACTAAAAATACAAAAAATTAGCCGGGCGTGGTGGTGGGCGCCTGTAGTCCCAGCTACTTGGGAGGCTGAGGCAGGAGAATGGCGTGAACCCGGGAGGCGGAGCTTGCAGTGAGCCGAGATCCCGCCACTGCACTCCAGCCTGGGCAACAGAGCGAGACTCCGTCTCAAAAAAAAAAAAAAAAAAAAAAAGAAAAGATTTACAGCAATGTATAAATGAAGGACTTAAAATCCAATTGCAGTACACAAGGGAGGGAATTATGTACATAATCATTATTTAAGAAAATATTTATTTTTAAATCCTATATAATCAGACATTTTCCATGGAACAGAATACCTAGTAGATATCTTTAGTTCACTAATTCTAATCTACACTTGATCTTAGCCAGAAGGCCAATAAGTGTTAGTTCACTAATTCTAAAAACCCACTGGTTTTAAAGTACCTGAAACAAGTTTGTTTAAATTAACATTGTGTTCTCTATCATGCTTTATTTCTTGCATATAGTAGGCATTCAAAAAATACTGTGACCGGGGGCGGTGGCTCACGGCTGTAATCCCAGCACTTTGGGAGACTGAGGCGGGCAGATCACCTGAGGTCAAGTTTTCAAGACCAGCCTGGCCAACATGGCGAAACCCTGTCTCTACTAAAAATACAAAAATTAGCTGGGCATGGTGGTGCACACCTGTAATCACTACTTTGGAGGCTGAGGCAGGAGAAGCACTTGAACTTGGGCGGCAGAGGTTGCAGTGAGCCAGGATCGTGCCAGTGCACTCCAGCCTGGGCAACAAGCAAGACTCTGTCTCAAAAAAAAAAAAAAATATGGATGGAGGAAAAAAATAAAATTATTATTTATTTTAAAAATATAAAACAGCAACATATTATATTAATATTTAAAAAGACTTCATTAAGATAATAACTTCTAGTGCTGACATTTAAGCTAATTATTCCAAAATGAAGCTCCAGAGTTATCACTGATTAGAAAATAGCTTTTAGCCAGAGATGTAAAGAGCTAAAATGTATTGTCTTATTTTAAGTAAGAAATGGCTTGTCTCTTTGCTATAGGTCTCACATTAATACCTGATAAAAATGCTGTAAGTTTTTAGGCTATTTTTCTTAAAGAGTTCTCTTGACTGTCTGCATCAGTATTATCTGAGTGCTTACTAAAATGAGAGACATAAATCAGGCTCTCTGGACTGGAGGCCTGGGATCTCTCTGTCTTTTTAGCAAGCACTCAGGAGATCCTTAAGGATCCTGAATCATGAGAACCACTGCCTTGTGACCTCCAGTAGAATGAGGCCCCAGTGTTGACTGCACTGGAAGAGTCCAGGAGCTTGTTAAAAGTGCAGATAGACTGATTCCACCCCAGAATGGACACCGAGAAATCTTGGATCCCAAGAGTTTGGTTGGCTTTATCATGCCCCTTAGTCATTTCTGAGTGGTTCCTCATACTCTGCATCCATGTGATGAGAGGCAAATTTCCTCATGATCTGCTTTGCTTCCTCATCAAGCTACTATGCCCCACCATTGCTGGCTCTGCTTATGGTTGCTGCAATGTAGGCAGCGCTGTTTCTTGTTCTTACCACTTTTAACTATCTTAAAATAGAACCTGACTCTGATTCTCCATTAAGAAGTGGAAACTGGCTGGGTGTCGTGGCTCATGTCTGTAATCCCGGCACTTTGGCCTCCTATCTGAGGCTAAAGCAGGGGGATCACTAGAGGCCAGGAGTTTGAGACTAGCCTGGGCAACATAGTGAGACCCTGTCTCTATCAAAAATTTAAAAAGTTAGCTGGGCGTGGTGGTGCACACCTGTCCTCTGAGCTCTCAGCTACTTGGGAGGCTGGGGCAGGAGGACCGCTTGAGCTGTGATCATGCCACTGCAGTCCAGCTTGAGTGACAGCACAAGACCCTGTCACAAAAAAAAAAAAAAAAAAAAAAAGTAGAAACCATCAGCTAACTTTAGAAACTTTCCCTGTAGGGTTAGATTTCCTTACAAGGTAAGGTACTTTCTAACACGTTCTCAGCCCTCCATTAGCAATACAGAAATCCCCACCAACCCCACCCTCACTTCCTTCCCTCACCCCTAGGAATACTCAACAATTCCAAGGTCCAAGAAAGGAATTTATTCCTGTCACCTAAATCCCTACAGAAACATTCTCACTCTTCTCATAAAAGCAATAAAATCTGCAGGTTTAAGGCTTAGAACTTTGATCCAATAAAAGTTATATTACTATACCAAAGAAACATTTAGCTTCCTTGTCTAAAATATCTGCTTTCAGATTATGGGTAGTTTTATTATTTTTTTTTTCCACAGAAAAAATGGGCAGATACTTTGGTTTATCTTTGCATAACTTAGGAGCCTATTACCTGGTTTTCTTAGGATGAAAACAGTTTTTCAAAGCAAAAAACAGTATTCTACTTTCTGAGATAGAAACTGCATGTGACTTTTAAATGTCAACCTTTTTTTTTGTTTCTACCCTTCATGACCACAAAATCGTTTTGCCAAATTTCAGACATGACACTGATATATAGCATATATACTTAAGAGATTTGTCTATTGCTTTATGTTTCCTAAGAATTCCTAAGGTGGAAAAAATTACAGGCTTAACAGTTTTTTCAACTATTCATTTCTATAAAATGGTAGGACAATTAAAGAATGACAGATGTGGATAGTAAATTAAAAACCATATTTGGCTTATTCATTATTCTAGTTTTATTATATTATTCTAAAACAGTTTAATTAACATGACTACCTATCTATATCTCATTGGTAATAAATAAATGAGAATAGATTTTGGTGTTAATGACACCTTACCTGAAGTGTACCTATGTGTCTGTCCTATTTTAGTCCCTTTGAGTTGCTATAATAAAGCATAAACTGGGTGGCTTACATACAACAGAAATTTATTTCTCACAATTTTGGAGGCTGGGAAGTCCAATATCAAGGAGCTGGCAAATGTGACCTCTGGTGAAAGCCCTCTTGGTTCACAAAACAGCTGCCTTCTCACCGCATCCTCACAAGGCAGAAGGAGCTAATGAGCTCCCTAGGGCCTCTTTTACAAGGGCACTAATCTCACTCATGAAAGCTCTACTCTCATGACCATTTCACCTCCCAAAAGTTCCACCTCCATTAACACTATCACCTAGGGGGTTAGGATTTCAGTGTATAAATTTTGTGGGATACATATTCAGATTATAGATAGCATGGCCTATTAGTAAGTGTCAGATATAATGGAAGCAAACCAACCTTGATGCTTTTGTTCATGTTGGAGCTGTGATAAACTCATTATATCAGCTTTGTTGTTTGCAGCCAGCCTCTACTTCCCACTTTCAAAACTGCCACAAGACTTATAACAAAATTAGCCATAAAAGAACATTGGTAAACTTAAATTTTTCTGCATACCATTATAAAATTTTAGGATTGAGTTAAAAAGGCATATGGCAGACTTTTTTGGCATTGAAACCATCACAAAAGATTTGCTTCATTAGTTTCAATGATAGTGGAACTAAAAGAATAGAACCTGATCTGGAAGCACCTATTTGTAGTTCTTAATACTTAAAGAACACATTAAGTAGAAATATGAGTAAATAGAATAGAATCTCTTTTTCTATTAAATTTTCTAAGTTTTACAGTTGAAGCAAAAATTATAACACTATCTGAAATGATTCTAAATACAGATAGAGGAAATCATTAAGGCAATTATATTTTAAATGGGTTAGGGCAAAGGGAGACATAAAGGAAGCACAAGTTTCTATACTTCACTCAAACTAAGAAAATGGGGACACCAGAAGACTGATGTTAAGTTAGATGTATATAATGTAACAATTAAAGCAATCAGTCAAACAGCTGTACAAAGATGTGCACTTAGAAACACTGTAGATAAATCAAAATTGAATTTAAATAATGTTACAAAATATAAAAATTTAAAAATGTAGCTAAAAAGATGGCAGAAAAAAGAAAACAGAAAAATGTAAAACAGAGAGAACTAACAGAAAATAAAATGTCAGACTTAAGTCTTAACAAATCAATAATTACCTTAAATGTAAATGGTCGTCATGCACAATTAAAAAACAAAGCCTGGTAGGGTGGATTAAAAAATCATCCAACTATATGCTATCTACAAGAAACTCACTTCATTGCACAATAGAGGCAGATTGAAAGTAAAAGAATGGAAAAATACGTATTATAAAACATTCATTAGGAGAAAGCAGAAGCTGCTATATTATACGAAATAAGTTTTAGAGCAAAGAAAATGATTAGAGACAGAGAGGGATATTATATAATGATAAAAGGTTCTATCTACTAAGAAGATATAGTAATCCTAAATATTAGGTTTACTAACACTTAGTAAACCTGTATTTACTGATACAGGTTTATATTTGCACCAACCTATGTATTCAGTGATCAACAGAATTGCAAAATATGTAAAGCAAAAACTGATAAAACTGAAAGGAGAAATCGACAAGTCAAAAGTTTTAGTTAAAGTCTTCAATATCACTCTCTCAACAATTTATAGGGCAACTAGACAAAATGCCATAAAGGATGTAAAGGAACTGAAAATCATGTCCACCAACAGCATGTAATTAATATTTATACAGCGGTCCACCCCAATACAGCAGGATACAAATTCTTTTTACATGCCCACAGAACATACACCTAGATAGGCCATAAAACAAACATCGGCAAATTTAGAATTGGTATCATATAGAGTGTGCTCTCCATTCTTAAAAGAATTAATCCAGAAAGGATAACAGGAAGATAATAGGAAAATCTCCAAACACTTGGAAACTAACAGTACACTTCTAAATAATCCATGGATCAAAAATGAAGTTTCAAGATAAAAATAAAAATACATTTAACTGAATGAAAATAAAAAATACAACATATAACAATTCATAAGGCATGGTTAAAGCAATGCAGAGAGGGAAATTTATACTTTACACATTAGTTTTTACTTTATCTGTTTACTTATCTCTTTGTCTATTAGAAAAGAGTAAAAGTTTCAAAATAATAATCGAATCTCCCACCAGAAACTCAAAGCAAGCAGAAACAAGAAAATAAAGTAAGAACAGAAATTAGAAAATAATTAAATTTAAAACAGAAAACCAGTAGAAGAAAATCAATAAATCAAATACCTGTTTCTTTGAAAAGAACAATAAAATTGACAAACAAGATGGACAAGGGAAAAAAAGAGAGAAGATACAAATTACTAATATCAGAAATGAAACAGAACATATCACAACCTACCTTGCAGACATCAAAAGAATAAGGGAATGCTATGAACAGTTTTACACACATAAAATTGACAGCTTAGACAAAATGAACCACTTCCTTGAAAAACACAAACAGCTATAACTCACCCAATATGAAACAGGTAATTTGAGTAGCCCTATGACTATAAAGAAAATTCAATTTGTAACTTAGAAACACCCAAAAAAGAAATGCCCTAGACAAGATGGTTTTACTGGAGAATTCCACCAATGTATAAAGAAGAGTTAACATCAATTCTATATAGTATCTTTCAGAAAATAGAGGAGAACACTTAATAAATTCAATTTAGGAAAGTAGAATTATCTGGTTACTAAAACTAGATAAATGCAGTACAAAAATTTAACTACAAATTAATATCTCTTATGAACATAGGCACACATTTCTTCAACAAAATATTTGCAAATAAAATGCGACAATATATAAGAAGAATTATATGTCATGACCAAGTGAGGTTTATTTGAAACATGTAACACTGCTTCAGTATTCAAAGACCAATTAACCATATTAACAGGCTAAAAAAATCATATTACCATATCAATTGATGCAGAAAGAGTGTTTGACAAAATTTAACACTTGTTCATGTTAAAAAGTCTCAGAAAAATAGCAAAGAGTAGAGCTCCCTCCGCTTCATAAAGTGCATATATGAAACACCTATAGCTAACATTATTCTTAATGGTGAAAAACTGAATGCTTTACCCCTAAGACTGGGACAAGACAAGGCTACTGGCTTTTACTACTCTTTTTAGCATATTACTGGAAAGTCTAGCAGCCAGTGCAATAAGGCAAGAAAAAGAAATAAAAGGAACTACAATAAAGGCAATAAAAGAATGAAATAAAATTTTCTGTATTTTTATATGATTATCTATGTGGAAAATCTCAAGGAATCTACAAAAACTTTGAAACTAATACATGAGTTCAGAAAGGCCATGGGATACAAAATCAACAAACAAAAATTAATTATATTTTTATATAATTACAGTGGACACCTGAGCAAAAAAATTAAAAATATAATATTATTTGCAATTGTTAAAAATAAAAGATTTTAGTTAAAAATATACCACAATATGTACAGGACTTGTATGATGAAAATTACAAGTGTGATGATGAAAAAAATTATATGAGATCTACATAAACTGAGAGACATACCATGCTCATAGTTTAAAAAACAATTATTTCCAAATTGATACAGAGGTTTAATATAATTTTTATCAAAATTTTGACAAGACCTTTTTGTGGATATAGACCCAATTATTCTAAAATTTATATGGAAAGGCAAAGGAATAAAATAGTATTGAAAAAAACAAATAAAATGGGAGAAATCCATTTATCCAATTTGAAGTTCTGAAATATAGCCACAGTAGTCAATTCTGGGTCATAGTGGCAGAGGATAGACACTTAGATTAATGGAATAGAACAGAGAACCCCAGGAATAGACCCATACAAGTATGCTCACTGAATTTTTGACAAAGGCGCAATAGCAGTTCAATAGAAAGAAGGTAGCCTTTCAACAAATGTTGCTAGGACAATCGAACATTCATGGGCATAAACATGTACCTTAACATGTCTCACCCATTATACAAAAAAAAAGTCAAAATATATCATGGACTTAAATTATAAAATGTAAAATACTGTTAAGACTTTTAGAAAAAAAGACAGGAGAAAATTTTGGGGGACCTAGAAGTAGGCAAAAGGTTCTGAGACTTGACACAAAAAGCATTGTTCATAAATAAAAAATGAATAAATTGCACCTCATCAAAGTTAAAAGCTTTTTCTCTATGAAAATTCCTATTAAGAGGATAAAATGAAAAACTACATAGTGGGTGAAAATATGTGCAAGGCACATAATCTAATAAAGAACTCTCAAGATTCAACAGTAAAAGTAAATAAATAAACAAAATAAATGTGTGTGTATATGGTTGGTGCAAAAGTAGATGCAGTTTCTGCCATTACCTTTAAAACCGCAATTACTTTTGCACCAACCCAATATATACATACATACACAAACCCACAACGAAATGATTTAATCAAAAATGGTCAAAAGACACAAAGACAAATTCTACTGAAGAGGATATACAGATGGCAAATAAACTCGTGGAAAAATGTTCAACATTATTAGCCATTAGGGAAATGCAAATGTAAACCACAGTGACTTATCATTATATGCCTAACCAAGGGGCTGTAATAAAAAATATTTACAAAACCAGTTGCTCAAGAGGATGTGGAGAAAGTGGATCACTTATGCATTCCTGGTGAGACTGTAAAATGATACAGCCCTTATGGAAAATAACATGACAGTTTTGTAAAAATCTGAACATGCAACAACCATATGACCCAGCTGAGCATTTATCCAAGATAAATGAAAACTTAATTTTATATTAAAACATGTACATAAATATTTATAATAGCTTAATTCATAATACTCAAAATATAAAAACGACCCAGATTTTTTTTTTTTTTTTTTGAGATGGAGTCTCGCTCTGTCACCCAGGCTGGAGTGCAGTGGCACAATCTTGGCTCACTGCAAGCTCTGCCTCCCAGGTTCACGCCATTCTCCTGCCTCAGCCTCCCGAGTAGCTGGACTACAGGCATCCGCCATCACGACCGGCTAATTTTTTGTATTTTTAGTAGATATGGAGTTTCACCATGTCAGCCAGGATGGTCTCGATCCCCTGATCTCATGATCCACCTGCCTCGGCCTCCCAAAGTGCTGGGATTACAGGCATGAGCCACCGCACCCGGCCAGATGTTATTTAATGGACGAACGGCTAAACTATGATATATCTATATCATGGAATACTATTCAGTAACAAAAAAGTAACATTGGTCCAGACAACTCAAAAAAATCACTGCAGAATTATGCTGACAGAATAAAGCCAAACCCCAAACAGTGACATACTGTATTATTCTTTTTATATAACATTTTGAAATAAAAAAATTATAGAAATTGTAAATGGTTAAAGTTGTTGTCAGAGATTAAGGAAGGGATGAGGGTAAAAGGGAAACAGATGTGACTATAAAAGGCAATGTCATGGAAAACTAGTGTTTTTTTTAGGTGAGGAAAACACTCTCTATATTGACTATATCCTTGCCAATATCTTGGTTGTGATATTGTGCTGTAGTTTTGCAAGATATTATCATTGGAGGAAATGGCAAAATATACATAGAATCTTATCTCTTACAACTACATAGAAATCTTCTATTATCTCAAAATAAAAAAAGTTCGTTTAAAAATACCACTGCTGGGGTCCCATTCTAGACTAATCAAATCAAAATCTCAGAAGGTGGGGCCTGGTCATATCAGGGACCTTAGCTTCATCGTAGAGAAGTTTATATTCTCAAAGAGAAATCCACTAACCTGGCCTTAGTCACATAATTCTGATGTGCCCTCCCTCTTCCAAGGTGTCTGAGTTCATTTTTTGCTGCTATAACAAAATACCACAGTCTACATAATTTATAAAGAACATTTTATTTCACTCACAGTTATAGAGGCTGGGATGTCCAAGAGCCAGGTGCTGGCATCTTGCGAGCCATGTTATCCCATGGCAGAAGGGCAAACAAGTGCCTGAAACAGAGAGCAAATGGGGACCAAACTTATCCTTTAATCAGGAGCCGGCTCCTGCAATAATGGCATTAATCCATTCATGAGTGCAGCGCCCTCATGACCTAATCATCTCTTAAAGGCCCCACCTCTCAATACTGTTACATTGGCAATCAAATTTCAACATGAGTTTTGGAGGGAACATTGAAACCATAGCAGAAGGCTACTTCATTGACAACCAGTCCTGGAATCTTATGCCTTTAGCACCATGTACCCCATCTTCCTTTGGCCCACTGCTTTGGGTCCAACCTTCGTAGTTTTTGCACAGTTGCCTCACTGAACCTCAGTTTCTGCTTAGGGCTGAGGTGTTTCCTTGACAATATGCCTATAGCCTTGCTTAGTCTCTGTCACATCTCTTTTAGGGGTTTTAGATCTTAATCTCGTTCCTTTTCCATCCAGACAGATTTTTCTGTGTTCTTCTGATTCCAAGTATAGTTGGCCTTCTAGATTTCTCTTCTAACAGGTTTGTCTTTCATGTGGGTTTCTTTGCTCTGTTGAGTTTCAGCTCTGTGTTTTGTTTTGTTTTTTTTTGCTTTTCTCACTGGCCTGTATTGCTGATGTCCCAGCATTGGCAGGACCCTGACCGGATAGCTAATTCCTGATCACCCTAAAATCACCTGAAAAATTCAGGTCTCCCATTGTTATTCTCTATCTTACCTTCTTGTTTGTTTGCTTCTAGCATTTATTACGGCTTGTGATTATTTTGTCTTTCTACTTTTCTTTTTTTATGTAAATCTAAACTATAAGTTTCCTGAGAGTGGATGCTACACCTTGCCCATTGTTGTATTTACTGTCCCTACCACGGTATCTGATATGAAGTTAGTAGGAGCCACTCAGCCACTCAATAAATAATAAGTAAATAAAATTATTGGAATAAATTATAAAAGGTCAGTTGCAAATAATATTTTCATAATTCTGAGCACCTTCCAATATCTAGAATCCAGATAACTAGATTATGAAGCAACGTGATGTACTGGGAATAATACATTTTGGAAAAAGGCATAACTGCTTCTTTCAGTTGTTGGCTGTGGACCTTGGCAAGTTAACTACACTTCCTGAACCTCTATTTCCATTTTCGTAAAGTTGGAATGATTATTCCTATCACTAAGTTTTCTTGTGAGGATTAAATGAAATAACATAACACATAGGTACAGCGGCTATCATAGAGTTTAATTGGAGTTAGGATCCCTTCATAAGCCCCTCAGCTTAATGTATTTTTGGGCAGAGCTATTTTATTTTTAGAGTTAAGCAAGTGGAAGAAAAAATAAGTTCAGATCAGGGAAACTATTTTTAAAAGACATTCAGCATTTGTCTTGGAGTATAAATTTGATTCAGTCTTTAGCTCTGTCTTTGTCTTCATCTACAATTATTTTTCAACAAGAACTGATGTATGTAATCATCTTCTTTAGGGGTTATAAGGGCCTTAGTTATCCATAATGCTATGAAAATTAATCTATTGAGGTGTGGAGGTTACTTGTTGAGTTAAGTTTACCAGTACATTTAAGAAAGATTTTAAAAAGCATTAAAGATTTTAAAAATGCTAAATGATGAGTTAATGGGTGCAGCACACCAACATGGCACATGTATTCATATGTAACAAACCTGCACATTGTGCACATGTACCCTAAAACTTAAAGTATAATAATAATAAAATTAAACAAACAAACAAACAAACAAAACAACCACCACCACCACCACCACCACCAAAAATTAGCCGGGCGTGGTGGTGGGCGCCTGTAATTCCAGCTACTGGGGAGGCTGAGGCAGGGAGAATTGCGTGAACCTGGGAAGCAAAGGTTGCATGAGCTGAGATGGAGCCACTGCACTCCAGCCTGGGCGACAGAGCAAGACTCCATCTCAAAAACAAAAAACAAAAACAAACAAACAAAAAAAAACCAAACTTAAGTAGAATGACAAAGAAATGAAGGAAATGAAGTCTATTAACTGATTTCTTAACCCAAGAAAGAGAGGAGTTAGAAATGGTTTATAGTTTAATACCCTACAGTCTTTTTATATTTTCAGGCCAGTGGACATCTTGAATATTTACAGGTTATGTTTGTCACAATAAAATAATCTCACACACAAAAAAGCATAAGAGTTAAAAGTGGAGCAGTTTAATCAAGAATGTTTATATTCAACCACGTTTGACTATTTCTTGCTTATGAAAGTGGGCATTGTGGGGAGCATACATCCCTTGGCATTACATTTAGGTAATGCTTAATTTGTTTCTTTTACTATAACATGACTTCTGAGTAAACACAAATTTGGAGCCTATCTCGAATTCTTTAAAAATTTACCCTCTGCTACCATATGTGGGACCTTGCTAGAATGTTCTTTGCTGTAGAATACAACATATGTTTCCATATCAAGATGCTGTATCTTGACTACTCTCCAGGAGGAATTGAGTTACTAAATACTCTTAAGGACCTTTTGATGAGATTTTCTTAAGATATGGTGGTCTCATATTATAAATAATTGAGCGTGGTCTTAAGATGTTGTTCCAAAATATATGGTTTTACCTTAAGAACTTAGACATTAAAAATGAGGAAAATTATCTTCCTTAGACGTTGAATTCACACAAAATGGTGCATACTGATGAGTGATAAGACCTTTATTGAAATTTGAACTGAGGTGCACTGTTTGGAAAACCATTTCTTTTGAGTTCACGTTTATTTAGTAATCACTATTTGAAAACATATTGCAAATGATGATTACCTATGGTCAAAACCTTTAACTATATTGCACAATGTTGTTTGAGGAACCTACCCAGGGATTTCTTCCTTCTTGTGTCTTTACTAATACAGTTGAGAAAAGAAGCTTTCTGTTTTAAAATACTCAATCTATTTTAAGTCAACTTATGGAAATTCATGGGAAAAATAGGTTTTAAAAAAACTAATTTCATTGCTTTCAATTTTTCAGGGGCCTGAACATCAGCTTGAAAATGACTGACCTCTTTGATTATTAATTTAAGCAGGACAGTTTCGTACATAGGAAGGAAAAGCATTAGGAGTGGCTTCAGAGCCTTTTTGTTTTTCTTTTAGATTTACTTCATTAGGCTGCTTTCCTCTGATGTACAGTGACTGTTGTTTGTTTTAATGTCTTGGTGCATAAATGGAAAAATTTTGAATGGAAATGAATTTCGAAGAATGAAGAATGCAATAGAATATTAGGTTCACCAATCTATATGAAATGAACTATTATGGCATTTATCTTTGTAGCTAAGCCATTTGTAAGTTATCTTTCTCATTTGAAAAGATATACTATAACTCAATAATCCATCATGAATTCTTTAAAAATTTACCCTCTGCAGAAACACATTGCTCACACTTCACTGACATGAGACAATTTAAAAATGAATTATTTTATATGCTTATTAGAAAGGTGGTGATAGTCTATAAACAGCACTGTTAGAGAAGGTCAAATTGTGATTGATGTTCCACCCAAAATATGACTCAGCCAGTCAGAGTGATTTAATTTAGGAAATTCTTTCTCTCCTTACTAAGAGGATCATATTCATTACTACGTAATCACCAAGGTAATAGGTTGGGATGAAAATAACCCCTGCCAGCAGGTATCCTGAAAAAAAAAACACATCAATTCTCTGATATACAGAGGAATATGTCATATTTTAGTGTCACATCACAGAAAGCTTCCTCTAATTGTTGACATTTTTCTGAA
This sequence comes from Homo sapiens, assembly GCF_000001405.40. Lineage (NCBI taxonomy): Eukaryota > Metazoa > Chordata > Mammalia > Primates > Hominidae > Homo > Homo sapiens. The sequence goes on along the minus strand of NC_000008.11, from coordinate 89,569,589 downwards.
AAGCACTCAGACATCACCAATACCTCATTTCACATCACACATGTAATTACAGAATGATTTGTTTTTGAAGATTTTACATAGTGATAAACCAAGGTGATCTATACTCTTCGAGCCAAAAGCAAGTGCTAAGGAAGGAATTCTAAGATTTATTTGACAACCTAGAACCATGGAGTATTGATAGTCTTCAGCTTCCTTGAGCGAAAACATTAACTCCAGATTTTTAAGATAAGGACATTACCTTGGAGAATTCCAGTGAATTTGCACAATGGGAGAAAAGTGTAGTGCCATGCTGTGATTTAATTGGGCTGTTAATGCTGTCATCTTAAACTGGTTATCCCAGAATCATATTAGATTCAGAACAATAGATTTCAGGCATTGAAATATTTGCTGGAATTTCTGATAAAGCTTTCATGCCTATAAGAACATCAGTACTTATAATCAAGACATGGTTATCTCAAAATAGTTTCTGTACTAAGGCTTCTATTAATATTATTGTCGTTTCTAATTTAAGGTCAGGCAACAATTGTTTTTGCTATAGAGTGCTTCAATAAAACTTCCTCTTATATTAGAATGCCTCAAAATGGGAGTCAGGAAGTAAACAATACCAATTTATTCTATGCATATTCTGCTTGGAACTTTAGAAAATTCTATAATTTCTCAAAAGACTGAAAATATGGGATTTCAAGCTCTTTTGGTACTCTCAAAGGAGGTAAAGAAGTAGTGCTTCCTGCAGCCAAAGGTTTATCTGGATTGCTCTGTAGACAGCATGTAGTATTGCTGGCAAATCAGGGTAAAAAATTCTCAGAATTAAGCTCTCACATTTCCATCTTGATTGTGATATGACTGACAGAGTCTTTGGATTCTAGATCAGCATACACCACATTGAGGTACATTGGAGTGTGTGCTGCTCTAATCCATTTCCTGAATAACTGGTAAGATTTTCAGCTTTGATTAGTGCGCAGAACAAAATGAAGTTCTGCAACCAGTTCAGGCAATGCAATGGTGTACCACTTAGCCTCATGACCCAACAGATCTACTGGCACTTGAAATAATGGTAGGTAGAAATGCAATGTTCACTGAATATTAATCAGCACGTGTGTGTGAGGAAGCTACCTACGCCCCAGTGTTCACTGAATATTGATCAGCATGTGTGTGTGAGGAAGCTACCTACGCCGCTTCTTCCAGAGTTTTGAAGCAACTGGAACAGTTTAATCATGAACTGAGAATGATCTAACCTATCCAGCTATAAATTCAGATTCAGCCCTAAATAGTTGCATTGTGTCCTCCATGATGCTGAGCTTTGGCAGATCCCAAGATACAAGCTAAGCTGCTTGAGCAGGTGGCTCAAACCTATGTGACACCTCCTTTTGTGGCATTGCTGCTTTTTCTTCAACCCTATGATATCATGGGGAGCAAATAATGTACCAAAAGTGATACATTATTCTGTCCTGACTCAGAGATAGCCCTGAAGGATAGTGGGTAAAGAAAAATCCTCCTAGAAGGCAGAAGTGTAAACACAAATCTGGATTTTCACTTTGCCTAGAAGAAGAGATGGTCTGAGGTAATATATATCTCTATATTATGTCATTGGTAGGTAGTAGCTGAAATTTTGGTTAAGTGATTAGGGACTTGGAAGGAATAAAACTGAAAGATTGTTGATTAGAAGATCTCAAGAAGACGTATGTGAAGATGAACCACTCAGAATAGCCACAGAATGGATTATTTTTGTATCTCATGATCATAAGGATCTACTGCATATAAGTCTGTCAGTAATCATATAGACCAGAAGATCCAGTTTATGGGCATAAGTTAGCTTCTCTCTCCAGTCACCCCAGTGCTTACTCAATAATTGTGTGTTAAAACTGACCATTATGTCAGGGATGTAAGCTATGCAAAGACGGAATATGTAGACTTTCCCTTATCAAGCCTGATCTTGCTGCCACCACTGGTGACTAATCAGCTTATTAACAGCAACGGACAATACTGGGCTTCCAATACAACACTGTTCCCTAGTGGCATCTGCTAGTCACCTAGTCTTTCCTGAAATAGACATATATTTTGGATACAGATTTGTCTTTCTTGTGCACATTGCTTTCGTCCTCACCATCATCCAATGTTTTATTCACCACCTTGCTTTTGCACGCAAGATTTCCTCTGACTAAAGAACCGCAAAAGAAATGATGTATAGGTGTATGTCCATGGAATTCACTTGTGTTTCCATATGCTCAATTCCCAGAAACAACTGGCCTGATAGAATGATGAAATTTCCTACTGATGACTGGGATGATGAAATGATCTATTAAAGCCTCAATTACAGTGTTGTATAGGTCATAGCACCTTATGGAACCAGGTTCTGGAACTAAAGAATAGAAATGGAAGTGGCTCCTCTAATCCTTAGTGATCACTTGTAAAATTTTGCTTTCTATCTTGAGCTCTGCTAGTTTGTGGTCTTAATTACCAAGGGAAAAATATTTCTACCAAGGGACTCAATAGCGACTCCATCAAACTGGAGGTTGAGACTATCACTTGGCCACTTTGGGCTTCTTATACCATTGAACCAAGAAACAAATAAAGGGGTTAATAAAGTTGTTAATGTGGCTGATCTTGTCTATCAAGGGGAACGAGGGTGCTACTTCTTAATGGAGACAGAGAGGAGTATGTTGAGAATCCAAAAGATTTATTGGGTTGTCTTTTAATAGTTCCACATTTTGTGATAAAAGTTAATGGGAGACTAGCTATAGCAACCCAAAAACACAAGACCGCACATCGCTTCAGGAATAAAGGGCTCTTCAGGAATAAAAGTTGAGGTCACTAGTATAGAGTCTTGAATGTCAAGAGTTGGAGAAGCTGAGACTTTACTGCAAGTTAACAAGTTAGCCTGTCACAGTTTAATGAATGTTGCCAAATGGCATGAGATTCTTGGGATAGGCAAAAAAAAAAAAAAAAGAGACTTTACTTTTTACCAATAGTAATAGGCAGAGTGTCAGCATCTGTGCTAGTTCTCAAGTACCAATTCCCACATGGTGGTAGAGAATGTATACACACACACTGAGTTGCATTACAGAAGAAGGACTCTGAGCTTAGGAAACCTCAGTCCTTTATAAAGGGCTGTAAGCCTGCCTGGCCATGTGTCAGTGAGAGATACTGTCTTTATTATACTGGACAATAAATAAATCTACCTTTTGCTCTGCAGGGATACCCTATCTCTGTCTTCAAAGGTGATTCGCTATGCAACTATCCTTTAAAAGAATCCTGGAACAACTACTTTCAGTGTCCGTTCTCAAAAGATGTATAGCAAAGTGAGAGATCCATGAACTGCCTTCTGACAATGACAAATTTCAGTACTGGTTAAGGCAAAAGGCAAAATGGAATGTAGTAGAAGAAAATTTAACAATTCTGACTTTGGGAACAGTTTCAGAATCAAGGGCAACTATGTATATTTTTTAAATCCTCACTTTGTTTTATATATATATACACTTCTATATATTAACTGTTTGTCTTTCTCCCCCTTTCTCTACTGTTTTATATGATATGTGTTGGTTGGAATTAACATTATCATTTATTGTTTACATTATAAATTATCTATCAAAGAGGGGTCATGCCTGAGCTACAAAATAAATGAATATTACTCAGACATTGATACAGCAATTTATGGGAATTTTTGTCTTTCTTTTTTGGGAGAGAATTTGCATGTGTCTTTGTTAGTATAAGATATAGTTTTATTATGTTATTTGGAAGTGCATTTTTGATATTATTATTGTTTGGAAGGTTAATGATGGGCCAAAGATTGTGAATGGACACTGAATATCCAAAGAGTAGAAATTACCAGATATTGTTACAGTTCCATCCCTGACATTTTAAACTTTCTCTATACTACAGCAGCACTGAGCCTGGAAACTGCTTTTTCCCTTGCCAGCAGAGTGCCAGCTAGATTCTGTCAATGGAAGTCTCAAGCACACAGTTTAGAAGGCAGCAGAAGCCTGCTTTAGAAGAGCTGCTACTGTTCTTGCTTGCAGCTGTGGGCACTTCCTGAGAATCTCTCACTTTGGCATTGCAGGCAGTTGAGACCATTGGTGGAAGCTTTTCCCTGCATTTGGCCTCTGTTCTTTTGAATTTCCCCAAAGAGTTCTTCCTAACATTTGCCCCTCCCACTTCCTGATGGTTCTGTAATAATTTTTTTTGTGTGTTAAACCTCTTCCTATACAAAATAGCTGGAGTGGCTTTAAAAAAATTAATTTATTTTAATAATTATTATTTTTTAGAGATGGGTCTCGATATGTTGCCCAGGCTGGACTTGAACTGAATTTGAGTAAGCCTCCTACCTTGGCTTCCCAAGAAGCTGGGATTACAGGTGCCTGCCACTGTGCCTGGCTTGGAGTTGACTTTTATTTTCCTGGCTATACTCTGACTTATACAGAGAATGATTCTCTAGAAAATAGACACTGACTTTCTTTGAAGAGCAGTGTTAGAAGGATTAAAATGAATAATCAATCTGTGCAATATTCTTAGAGGTAAACAAATGCTTAAAAATTTCTTTTTCTTGTACCTATGAGACATATACATGGAAGATAACATAATTTTAAGTGATATCTAGTATCCATTTTAGAATTAACCTCAAATCTGCTTTTAGGTGGTTGTTTACTTTTCACAACCTGTGCATCAGTTTCTTGGTAGTATGGTTATGAAGAGTAAGTGTAAATAATTCATATAAAGTACTAGGTGCGTAGTTAAGTACTCAATAAATACTACATACGATAGGAGTTCAGAACAATTATCCTGTAAGGTGTAGTGTGTTATATCCTGAAAGATGTTGCAGAAAATAATATTGATCTTAGATTTCATCTCTCATTTTTCCCCATTCAACCCTCAGAATTTGAGTGAACATTGAGGCGGGGGAAGCCGTCCTTCATCTATTGCAGCAAATCAATTGAACTTTCTTGAGGGCTCATTATGGTCAACGTACTTATTTGACAAAGTGGTGGCAGGGCCTGTATCTATGTTGTCTCGGTCTGTGTCCCAGCATCTAACAAGCAGCCTGATACATAGCCAACTGTCAGCAAAAATTTGATAAGTGAATGGAAAAAGACATTGCATTGAATACTGTATTGGGAAGGAACCATGTAGTTCAATGCACACAAACAGGAGTAAAATATAGTCCTTATATACAAAGAGTTTATAATCTCATATGGGTGACAGATGCAGTCACAGTTTACCATCACTCAGGCAGACTATACACAGAGGAGGATGGCTCATTTTATTTTGGGGGTGATCAGGGAAGATTTCAACAAAAACTAAATAAGTGAGCTGTGAAAGGTGAGTTGAATGTGTCAGGCTGAGAATGGCAAATGGAGAAAAAATTGAGAGGAGCAAAAGTTTGAAGCACGAGGGCCTGTTGGGGTTTAGGGGGTGCAATAAATGATCCCCTCATCCCCTCTCCTGAATTTCAGAGTCAGTTGAGAAGTAGAGCAGGGATCTCTCAGACACCAACATGTTCAGCTTTATTATAGATAAGGCTGAATTGATTTCCTGGAATTGACCTTACTTCCCCACCTCCAAACTGCAGGCCTTCCCCTTGCAGGTTCAGAACATGTTAAGGTAAGTTCACTGCAGAGATAAACAGGGTGAGGACAGGCCAGTCCTAAAGAAAGAAAAGAAAAAAAAGTCCACATACACTCCCTTTCTTTTCAAACTCATTAGTCGCTGAGGAGAAGTAAGCTAGGGAGCCAGAGAAAAAGAGGCTTAGAACTCCTCCCAGATTTTTCCGTCCTGGAGGTAAAAATTCCTGTACTGTATTATGGACACATGAGAGTTGAGAGTTAAGCATTTCCCAAGCATAGTCATATAGCATAGATTTACATAGCTTAATTTTAAATACATTTATCTCTTCCTCCATTTACAGAAATCTGTAATGTGGCTTTGATTCACTGAAATGCAAAGAACAGTAGTATGACTTTGGTAAACAGGATGTGACTGTTAAGCCTTTGCATCAGTCTTCAAATATGAACTTCTGGAAAATGGAAATGGGAGTATTAGTTCATTGAGCAACTCACTTCCTTTAATTTAATTTTTTTTCCTTGGGGTCTGTCAAAGGTATGTCTCAGGGGCCCTCACAAGCTTCTCTACAGAGGAGGTTCCTAATATCTTGCAAGGCAATTGAAACCTCCCAGGTACCCTTTAAGCCATTTTCTCAATCAGCAATTCCAACTTGGTTGTATTCAAGACCTCAGTAAGTGTTGACATAGAAGCAGGTGCATGTGTGTGATGGGGATGAAGGATCTAGGAAGAAAGGGAAGATGGGAAAAGGGAAGAGGTGACAGAATTCAACCTCTGTCACATTCAGTTCTATTCCACTCATTTGTGGATTTTTCAACTACAGGTTAATGCCAAGGCCCCCCAGTAACAATATTTTTGGTCCTAGAATGGCTGCATTTTCACTGCCTTTCAGGGTTTTTAGAACTAGAGTAGTTTCTTTCCTTTCCATATTCTTCCTTCTTGCCTCTATCTTTAGTGGTTTTGTGACCTTGGGGAAATTACTTTACGTGTCTGAACTCCATATTCCTCAACCCCAAAGTGGGTACTTGTTTTTAAAAAAATTATTTGTTGTTGAGTACTTTACAGGTACTTATAGGATTTACTCTTTTGCTGGAAATAATGTGTTTAAATATTTAATTATAATAAAGTGTGATGCATACTTTGCAGTTACAGTTAACCATAATTCAAGGCAAACCATACAGAGGAGGATGATTCATTGTTGGGAATGATCAGGGAAGATTTCAACAGCAGTGAAATAAAAGTGGGCTGTGAAAGGTGAGCTGGATGTGTCAGGCAGAGAACCTAGTGCTTCTCAATGCGTAGGCCTTAGACAATCATTATCAGACTCACCTGTGAGCTTTTTGAACCACAAATTTACTAACTCCATCAGATGGACTCAATCAGAGTCTGGAAATGGAGCTCAGGGAACACGCCTAACAAAGCCTCCAGGTGATTAAAGTTTGAGAAACAATGCATTAGGTGGCCCTAATCTAGGCCAATGAGTCAGAGGCCGCTGAAGGAGGTGGTATTTAATCTGAGGAGTGAGGGATAAATTGGGGTAATGGGTAGAGGCTGGGAGATTCTCAGGCAAAGGAAACAGCTAATATGGAGGCCCAGAGAAGAGCTTGGCATATTCAGGTACTAAAATTTTCTGTATTAGCTGAATTAAAATGTGTTTTCTGGGGACCACATGTGAAGCCCATTTGTAAGAGAGTCAGTCTTGGACTCTGTCTAACAGAAATGCCTCAAGGGCTAGAGGGATGGCTATGCTGGTGAAGAGACCCAGTAGAAAAGTGGGTTTGGGAATGAAGGATAAGCAGCATCATGGAGTTTCAGTCCCAGGCCTGGGACAGATCACCCATGAAAGTGCTCCATGTGAGAAAGCCAGGGACTCTTCACTTATCTGATAAATACTTATGGAAGACTCACATTGTGTTAGATGTTCTAGGTGCTGGGAATAGAACAGTGAAAAAATGGGGAGAACAACAATGAAAATACACATGATGTTGGGTGACGACAAGTGCCCTCAAGAAAACTAAAGCAGGGTAAGGGGGTAGAGGGTAAGGGGTGCTGTTACATATGAAAGTTGTCATAGAAGGCCTAAGTCTGTAAGCAGAAACTTGAACGGAGATCTGAAGAAACTGAGGGGCTGTTTTGTAGATATCATTTCCTTCCAATTTGGTCTCAAGGTCTCATTTGAGAGTGGCTATAAATTCTAGCCCTGAACAGAAAAGAAGTTAGATTTGGGTGTATCAGTCAGGTGAGACACAGAGGAAGCAGCACAACAAAACCCATGAAATGGCAGAAGCATTTTGATCACTTACAGCCCCCAAAGAGAAGAAAGCAGCAGGCTTCACAGGGCCAGAGGGAAGGTGAGGGAGTGAGGAAGTTGTCCCCTACAAGCCTGCTCAACCAGTGAGTTGGGAGCAAGAGAGGATCTGTGGGACCAAAGTCTTTACTGGAGTTCAGGGTGTTACCCAAGCAGGCTTCCTATAGGGACCTTCTAATTGGTGGGTTTAAAGGCAACAGGCATGAATTCCAAGGGGTCACACAGTGACTGAGAGGTGATTATTGCAGCACTTCTATGCAGTGCCTGTAGAGTGTGGGGAATAAGAGGGGCGAATCAAGTAGGAGTATCTAGCTGAGCCATAGGGAGGTTGGAGAGTTGGTCACCAAAAGGCAGTGGTAAAAGGTGATATCTGGCCTGACCACATAGAGGAACTGGGAGGGGGGGGTGTAACTGGAAACTGTGTCAAGGACAAATGAGTCCTGCTTCTGGTATGAGAAAGTGAAACTTATATTCAAAATACATATCAAAGCAACATAAAATTTGTAAACCAAGAATAAAATTCTAGTCCCTACCCAACTGAATGGACCCCTACTCTAAGCCCAGGGCATTTCAAAGTTAACCTGAAAAGCTAGTTCAGGCCATGATGGGAAGAAGGGATTGGACATGCCTCATTATACCCTGCTCCCTTTAGTATTTAGGCACAACTGACCAGCATTAACATTACAACAGGTTATTTGTAGCAATAAGATACCAACACCACAGATTGCAGGCCCTGAAAGAAGTCAAAGAAAGTATTTTACCCCAAAATATATTTCTTTGACATATTTTGAAATGTCTTTGCAAAACTGTCTATTATGGGGAAAATGTACATTCTGTAGAGCATCCCTTTCCTTTCCAGGTCTTTTCCCTGATCCAGGAGACAATTAACTAAGAATCTGGCACCTTTTTAAGTTGATAAGAAACATTTACAGCCTATTCTCTCTGAAGCCTGCTACCTGGAGGCTTCATCTGCATAAGAAGCTTGTTCTCCATAATGCCTTCTTCTAACCCAGACACTCCCTTCTGTTGATTCCAGGTCTTGAAATAATAACTTTCAACCAATTGCCAATCAGAAAATCTTTGCATCCACTTATAACCTGGCAAGGCTCCTCCTCCACCCATTTAGAGTTGTTCCACCTTTCCGGACCAAATTGATATACACCTTACGTGTAGTAATTGATGCCTATGTCTCCCTAAAACGTATAAAACCAAGCTGTAGCCTGACCACCTTGGGCACATGTTCTTAGAACCTCTTGAGACTCTGCCTCAGGTCATGATCACTCATACTTGGCTCAGAATAAATCTCTCCAAATATTTCATAGAGTTTGACTCTTTTTGTCGACAAATTATAGGAATTCACTATAGTGAGAGCCATATGAACAATCTTGCAAGTAGAAACACAAGTTCAAAGGCTGCCAGGTAAGACGTGTTTGTCTAGAATGGAGTGAGGGAGGGCAGAGAGTGATAGGAAATGGAACCACTAAGATCAAAGGGGACCTTGTGTAGCAATGGCCAGGACTTTGGCTTTCATTTCAGAAGAGATTGAAAGGCACTGGAGGGCTTTGAATAGAGCAGTGTCATGATCTTGGTTTGAGTTTAAAAACACAGGGGAATTTTAGACCCTTGGAGGAAACATTAGATGCTGGGAGGCTGGTAAGGAGACCAGTGTGAGTGAAGAGGTGATCATGGTTTGGACAGGGGTAGTAGTGGTGATGGTGGTGAGAAGTGGTCAGATTCTGGATATACTGTACATCCTTATTAGCAGATTCTGTATTTGCAAACCAGCCTCCTTGCTAAAGTTTATTTGTAACCCCAAAATCAATACTCAATGTCTCTTACAGTCATTCACAGACCAGCATATGCACAAAGTAGCGAAAAATCTGCCTGCTGTGCATGTTCCCTGCTGAGTTCTAATAAGATGATGCTCTGCCTTCTCATTTCAGGTCTCATGTTGTAAACAAGTTTCCTTTTCGTGGTATATTTAGTGCCCATTTTTCTTCATTTTTGTCCCTTTTGTTGGTAATAATTGCTATTTAAAATAGCCCCAAATGTAGTCCTGAAGTATTATATAGTGTTCCTAAGAACAAGAAGGCTGTGATGTTCCTTACAGAGAAAATACTAAAGCCAGATCAGCCTTGTTCAGGTGTGAGTTATAGTGCTGCTGCTGGCCGTGAGTTCTTTGCTAATGAATCTACAAAATAGATCACTGTGTCTTTAAACAGAAACACACATTAAACAAGGTATACGTGGATCAGTTGATGAAAATTTTGTGAACAAATACGTGTCAGAACATAACCCTGTATTTCCCCTAGGGGCAATGATTCCATATTAGCTAATTCAGTATTTATAGTGACTTTATAGAACATAAGTACTGTTAACAATGAGAATCACTTAATTTTAAAGACAGTGACAGGATATGTTAATGGCTTGAAAATGGGTTATGAGAGAAAGAGGACTTTAAGGTATTTGGCCCAAACGACAGAATGGAGTTGCCATTTGCTTATGTGGGAGGAGCATTTTTAGTGGGTGAGAGGAAATCATGTTTGATCTAAGTCACACTAAGTAAGAAATGTCTTTAGACATCCGAGTAGAGGTCATAAGTAATCAGCAAGACATATGGGTCTCTACAAGAGGGTATTGATCCCACATTTCAACTCTATCAGCTACTTCAACTGTATGCTCTTTCTTTACTAATCCTCTGGGTTCTCACCAGGAGGAATCAACCACAACAGCCAGTGAGTGGATAGAGAAGGAAGTGGGGTGAGGAAGAGAAAAGAAACCAACTGTATCCCTCTTTATCCTGGCAGGCCAGAGTTGAGGAGTTTGGAGTTTTGGTCATTACAATGGATTTGACTATTTAAGCTTATAAGCAACTTTTTATTACTCATGACTGATAGAAAAGCTGTGGGATCTGCCTGAGTTTTTATCACAAGGTTGGGGAAGAATGGGCCCAAAGTGTGAGTTTCACAGGAAAAGATAATGCATCCTAGTAAGTACAACTATGTCTATAACTTTAATTATCTTTCATATGCTTTAGGCTTTCAGATTTACATCTTCAAACAAGACCTTTTTTACAGTCTTTAGACCCATATATCTATCTGCCTACTTAATATTTCTATTTGGGTGTCTCAGAGGTTACTCAAATTCAACATGTGTGGCATTGAACTCAGAGTCTCCTTACCATACCCACCTTCCCTTTACCTCTCAAAAAAAAAAAAAAAAAAAAGCTGGTCTCTTTTCACTTTCCTATTTTGGTGAAAGACACCATCATCCATCCACCTGGATATGTCAGACCCTTGGACATTATCCTTGATGTCTCCTCACTCTAATTGATATTACTTCCTCATTCTCGATAACCAATTCATCATTACACCCTGGGATTTCAACTTCCAGATTATCTTTTGAATCTGTATACTTCTTCTCAACTCTGCTGCCATCACTTTCTGGGCAGCGTTAGAGAACATGGGATATGAGCTAGACTGCCTGGCTTGGATTTCTTTCCCATTGCTTGTTATTTTTATGACCTTGTCAAGTCACTCAACAGCTCCAAAGTTCATTTTCCACGTTGTAAAGATATTTACAATCTCTAATACATAGTATTATTGTAAGTATTACATGGGATATAGTATATCTGGTGGATGAATTCTAAATGAGCTACTGTTTCAGATCGGCTTAAAAAACGGTGCACCACGAGACTATATCCCACACCTGGCTCAGAGGGTCCTACGCCCACGGAATCTCGCTGATTGCTAGCACAGCAGTCTGAGATCAAACTGCAAGGCGGCAACGAGGCTGTGGGAGGGGCGCCCGCCATTGCCCAGGCTTGCTTAGGTAAACAAAGCAGCCAGGAAGCTCGAACTGGGTGGACCCCACCACAGCTCAAGGAGGCCTGCCTGCCTCTGTAGGCTCCACCTCTGGGGGCAGGGCACAGACAAACAAAAAGACAGCAGTAACCTCTGCAGACTTAAGTGTCCCTGTCTGACAGCTTTGAAGAGAGCAGTGGTTCTCCCAGCATGCAGCTGGAGATCTGAGAACTGGCAGACTGCCTCCTCAAGTGGGTCCCTGACACCTGACCCCCCAGCAGCCTAACTGGGAGGCACCCCCTAGCAGGGGCACACTGACACCTCACACGGCAGGGTATTCCAACAGACCTGCAGCTGAGGGTCCTGTCTGTTAGAAGGAAAACTAACAACCAGAAAGGACATCTACACCGAAAACCCATCTGTACATCACCATCATCAAAGACCAAAAGTAGATAAAACCACAAAGATGGGGAAAAAACAGAACAGAAAAACTGGAAACTCTAAAATGCAGAGCGCCTCTCCTCCTCCAAAGGAACACAGTTCCTCACCAGCAACGGAACAAAGCTGGATGGAGAATGATTTTGACGAGCTGAGAGAAGTCTTCAGACGATGAAATTATTCTGAGCTACGGGAGGACATTCAAACCAAAGGCAAAGAAGTTGAAAACTTTGAAAAAAATTTAGAAGAATGTATAACTAGAATAACCAATACAGAAAAGTGCTTAAAGGAGCTGATGGAGCTGAAAACCAAGGCTCGAGAACTACGTGAAGAATGCAGAAGCCTCAGGAGCCGATGCGATCAACTGGAAGAAAGGGTATCAGCGATGGAAGATGAAATGAATGAAATGAAGCGAGAAGGGAAGTTTAGAGAAAAAAGAATAAAAAGAAATGAGCAAAGCCTCCAAGAAATATGGGACTATGTGAAAAGACCAAATCTACGTCTGATTGGTGTACCTGAAAGTGATGTGGAGAATGGAACCAAGTTGGAAAACACTCTGCAGGATATTATCCAGGAGAACTTCCCCAATCTAGCAAGGCAGGCCAACGTTCAGATTCAGGAAATACAGAGAATGCCACAAAGATACTCCTCGAGAAGACCAACTCCAAGAAACATAATTATCAGATTCACCAAAGTTGAAATGAAGGAAAAAATGTAAAGGGCAGCCAGAGAGAAAGGTTGGGTTACCCTCAAAGGAAAGCCCATCAGACTAAAAGCGGATCTCTCAGCAGAAACCCTACAAGCCAGAAGAGAGTGGGGGCCAATATTCAACATTCTTAAAGAAAAGAATTTTCCACCCAGAATTTCATATCCAGCCAAACTAAGCTTCATAAGTGAAGGAGAAATAAAATACTTTATAGACAAGCAAATGCTGAGAGATTTTGTCACCACCAGGCCTGCCCTAAAAGAGCTCCTGAAGGAAGCACTAAACATGGAAAGGAACAACCGGTACCAGCCCCTGCAAAATCATGCCAAAATGTAAAGACCATTGAGACTAGGAAGAAACTGCATCAACTAACGAGCAAAATCACCAGCTAACATCATAATGACAGGATCAAATTCACACATAACAATATTAACTTTAAATATAAATGGACTAAATTCTGCAATTAAAAGACACAGACTGGCAAGTTGGATAAAGAGTCAAGACCCATCAGTGTGCTGTATTCAGGAAACCCATCTCACGTGCAGAGACACACATAGGCTCAAAATAAAAGGATGGAGGAAGATCTACCAAGCCAATGGAAAACAAAAAAAGGCAGGGGTTGCAATCCTAGTCTCTGATAAAACAGACTTTAAACCAACAAAGATCAAAAGAGACAAAGAAGGCCATTACATAATGGTAAAGGGATCAATTCAACAAGAGGAGCTAACTATCCTAAATATTTATGCACCCAATACAGGAGCACCCAGATTCATAAAGCAAGTCCTGAGTGACCTACAAAGAGACTTAGACTCCCACACATTAATAATGGGAGACTTTAACACCCCACTGTCAACTTTAGACAGATCAACGAGACAGAAAGTCAACAAGGATACCCAGGAATTGAACTCAGCTCTGCACCAAGCAGACCTAATAGACATCTACAGAACTCTCCACCCCAAATCAACAGAATATACATTTTTTTCAGCACCACACCACACCTATTCCAAAATTGACCACATACTTGGAAGTAAAGCTCTCCTCAGCAAATGTAAAAGAACAGAAATTATAACAAACTATCTCTCAGACCACAGTGAAATCAAACTAGAACTCAGGATTAAGAATCTCACTCAAAGCCGCTCAACTACATGGAAACTGAACAACCTGCTCCTGAATGACTACTGGGTACATAACGAAATGAAGGCAGAAATAAAGATGTTCTTTGAAACCAACGAGAACAAAGATACAACATACCAGAATCTCTGGGACTCATTCAAAGCAGTGTGTAGAGGGAAATTTATAGCACTAAATGCCTACAAGAGAAAGCAGGAAAGATCCAAAATTGACACCCTAACATCACAATTAAAAGAACTAGAAAAGCAAGAGCAAACACATTCAAAAGCTAGCAGAAGGCAAGAAATAACTAAAATCAGAGCAGAACTGAAGGAAATGGAAACACGAAAAACCCTTCAAAAAATCAGTGAATCCAGGAGCTGGTTTTTTGAAAGGATCAACAAAATTGATAGACTGCTAGCAAGACTAATAAAGAAAAAAAGAGAGAAGAATCAAATAGCCACAATAAAAAATGATAAAGGGGATATCACCACCGATCCCACAGAAATACAAACTACCATCAGAGAATACTACGAACACCTCTACGCAAATAAACTAGAAAATCTAGAAGAAATGGATAAATTCCTGAACACATACACTCTCCCAAGACTAAACCAGGAAGAAGTTGAATCTCTGAATAGACCAATAACAGGCTCTGAAATTGTGGCAGTAATCAATAGTTTACCAACCAAAAAGAGTCCAGGACCAGATGGATTCACAGCCGAATTCTACCAGAGGTACAAGAAGGAACTGGTACCATTCCTTCTGAAACTATTCCAATCAACAGAAAAAGAGGGAATCCTCCCTAACTCATTTTATGAGGCCAGCATCATTCTGATACCAAAGCCGGGCAGAGACACAACCAAAAAAGAGAATTTTAGACCAATATCCTTGATGAACATTGATGCAAAAATCCTCAATAAAATACTGGCAAACTGAATCCAGCAGCACATCAAAAATCTTATCCACTATGATCAAGTGGGCTTCATCCCTGGGATGCAAGGCTGGTTCAATATATGCAAATCAATAAATGTAATCCAGCATATAAACAGAGCCAAAGACAAAAACCACATGATTATCTCAATCGATGCAGAAAAAGCCTTTGACAAAATTCAACAACCCTTCATGCTAAAAACTCTCAATAAATTAGGTATTGATGGGACATATTTCAAAATAATAAGAGCTATCTATGACAAACCCACAGCCAGTATCATACTGAATGGGCAAAAACTGGAAGCATTCCCTTTGAAATCTGGCACAAGACAGGGATGCCCTCTCTCACCGCTCCTATTCAACATAGTGTTGGAAGTTCTGGCCAGGGCAATGAGGCAGGAGAAGGAAATAAAGGGTATTCAATTAGGAAAAGAGGAAGTCAAATTGTCCCTGTTTGCAGACGACATGATTGTTTATCTAGAAAACCCCATCGTCTCAGCCCAAAATCTCCTTAAGCTGATAAGCAACTTCAGCAAAGTCTCAGGATACAAAATCAATGTACAAAAATCACAAGCATTCTTATACACCAACAACAGACAAACAGAGAGCCAAATCATGAGTGAACTCCCATTCACAATTGCTTCAAAGAGAATAAAATACCTAGGAATCCAACTTACAAGGGATGTGAAGGACCTCTTCAAGGAGAACTACAAACCACTGCTCAAGGAAATAAAAGAGGACACAAACAAATGGAAGAACATTCCATGCTCATGGGTAGGAAGAATCAATAGTGTGAAAATGGCCATACTGCCCAAGGTAATTTACAGATTCAATGCCATCCCCATCAAGCTACCAATGACTTTCTTCACAGAATTGGAAAAAACTACTTTAAAGTTCATATGGAACCAAAAAAGAGCCCGCATCGCCAAGTCAATCCTAAGCCAAAAGAACAAAGCTGGAGGCATCACACTACCTGACTTCAAACTATACTACAAGGCTACAGTAACCAAAACAGCATGGTACTGGTACCAAAACAGAGATATAGATCAATGGAACAGAACAGAGCCCTCAGAAATAATACCGCATATCTACAACTATCTGATCTTTGACAAACCTGAGAAAAACAAGCAATGGGGAAAGGATTCCCTATTGAATAAATGGTGCTGGGAAAACTGGCTAGCCATATGTAGAAAGCTGAAACTGGATCCCTTCCTTACACCTTATACAAAAATCAATTCAAGATGGATTAAAGACTTAAACGTTAGACCTAAAACCATAAAAACCCTAGAAGAAAACCTAGGCATTACCATTCAGGACATAGGCATGGGCAAGGACTTCATGTCTAAAACACCAAAAGCAATGGCAACAAAAGACAAAATTGATAAATGGGATCTAATTAAACTAAAGAGCTTCTGCACAGCAAAAGAAACTACCATCAGAGTGAACAGGCAACCTACAGCATGGGAGAAAATTTTCGCAACCTACTCATCTGACAAAGGGCTAATATCCAGAATCTACAATGAACTCCAACAAATTTACAAGAAAAAAACAACCCCATCAAAAAGTGGGCGAAGGACATGAACAGACACTTCTCAAAGGAAGACATTTATGCAGCCAAAAAACACATGAAAAAATGCTCATCATCACTGGCCATCAGAGAAATGCAAATTAAAACCACTATGAGATATCATCTCACACCAGTTAGAATGGCAATCATTAAAAAGTCAGGAAACAACAGGTGCTGGAGAGGATGTGGAGAAATAGGAACACTTTTACACTGTTGGTGGGACTGTGAACTAGTTCAACCATTGTGGAAGTCAGTGTGGCGATTCCTCAGGGATCTAGAACTAGAAATACCATTTGACCCAGCAATCCCATTACTGGGTATATACCCAAAGGACTATAAATCATGCTGCTATAAAGACACATGCACACGTATGTTTATTGCGGCATTATTCACAATAGCAAAGACTTGGAACCAACCCAAATGTCCAACAATGATAGACTGGATTTAGAGAATGTGGCACATATACACCATGGAATACTATGCAGCCATAAAAAATGATGAGTTCATGTCCTTTGTAGGGACATGGATGAAATTGGAAACCATCATTCTCAGTAAACTATCGCAAGAACAAAAAACCAAACACCGTATATTCTCACTCATAGGTGGGAATTGAACAATGAGATCACATGGACACAGGAAGGGGAATATCACACTCTGGGGACTGTTGTGGGGTGGGGGGAGGGGGGAGGGATAGCATTGGGAGATATACCTAATGCTAGATGACGCGTTAGTGGGTGCAGCGCACCAGCATGGCACACGTATACATATGTAACTAACCTGCACAATGTGCGCATGTACCCTAAAACTTAAAGTATAATAAATAAAATAAAATAAAATAAAATAAAATAAAATAAAATAAAAAAAGATACCATTATCTCTTGCCTGGACTATCACAATATCTTTCTGACTGGTCTCTGGGCATCCATTCTGTCCATTTCCACTGCAGCCCTAGTCTGCAGTCCTAACCTTTTGAGGGTTATCTCTGCAAAGTTCACATATACTTGTATCTTTCTTAAAAACTTTTAAGCATCAAGGGAAATACATAATGTAGATGACGGGTTGATGGATGCAGCAAACCACCATGGCACGTGTATACCTATGTAACAAACCTGCATGTTCTGCACATGTACCCCAGAACTTAAAGTATAATACTAAAAAAATTTCCTAAAAAAAAACTTTTAATGACTTCAGCTGCTCTAAGGAAAAAGACCTAATCTTTAACATGACCTACAAGGCCCTGTCTCAGCTGGTGGTTGCCTCTTTCTGCACTCCTGCCATGCTCACTTCTACAGTTTTTCAGGTGGTCTGTGCAACCCTGTCCTTACCACTTCCCTGCTTCTCTGATGTGATAGTCTCCCTGCATAGACTGTTTTCTCTATCTGGAATGTTTTTCCAGTGTGCCTAATTAATTCTTTTTATCTATTATATCTCAGCTTGAACATCACTTTCTTTGGTAAGCCTTCTCTTACTCCTTTAGCGAGGTGAAATCCTTTGATATACTCTCTTAATAAAAAACAGCTTCTTTTTTCACAGCATCTGTATGTGTTTGTATTCATTTATTCTTACTTTGTTTATATTCATGTCTTATTTCTGGTAGGCTGAATGGGAACAAAGAGTTTTGTCTGGATTGAAGCTTTTTTCTTTTATTTTTTTGTTCTTAGCAAATATAATAGTAAGCTTGGTATGTAGTAAACAAAAAATTTTGTTGGATGAATATGCATGTAGAGCACTTATACTCCACAAATATTAGCCATTATTGCTACTGATGCTTAATGAGAAGTGATACAGGGTAACAAGCAGCCCTCACTCACTCACCAGGAGGCAGACTGGAGCCCTGAAGTAGAAACCCAAGCAAAGAAGTGGTAGACTCGTTATTATCACCTAGAAGGTCAGAATCTAATGGCCAGACAAAAGGACAAGCAGGAAAGCTCAGAAGACAGCCTGGACTTGAGAATGAAGCAAGATAAGGAGAACATCTGCTCAGGGGCCTCTTGATTTCTTTTTTTTTTTTTTGAGACGGAGTCTTGCTCTGTCGCCAGGCTGGAGTGCAATGGTGCGATATTGGCTCACTGCAACCTCTGCCTCCCAGGTTCAAGCGATTCTGCTGCTTCAGCCTCCTGAGTGGCTGGGATTACAGGCGTGCGCCAGCATGCCTGGCTAATTTTTATATTTTCAGTAGAGACGGGGTTTCACCATGTTGATCAGGCTGGATAGTTATTACTCTTCATAAAAACAAAAGGAAAAGAAAAACTTCACCTCCCGGATTCAAGTGATTCTCCTGCCTCAGCCTCCCAAGTAGCTGGGACTACAGGTGCACACTACCACGCCCAGCTAATTTTTGTATTTTTAGTAGACACGGGGTTTCACCATGTTGGCCAGGATGGTCTCGATCTCTTGACCTCGTGATCCACCTGCCTCGGCCTCCCACAGTGCTGGGATTACAGGGGTAAGCCACCACCCAGCCTGTCCCCTTGATTTCTTAGAGGTCTTGTCTTGAACATTTTTAAAGGGACAGTAGGTAAATGGCGGAGCTTATGGAAGTGCTTTGCCTAAGACGACAAGCAATAAGAGAGAGCTCTGCATTCCTAAATTTGGAGCCCCAAGGAAAAAGCCCAAATCCTCAAATGATTATTACAGCAAAGTGGAAATGACAGGGAAGACAAGGAGGCTCTATTGCTTCAGATTACAT
Source organism: Homo sapiens (assembly GCF_000001405.40). Lineage (NCBI taxonomy): Eukaryota > Metazoa > Chordata > Mammalia > Primates > Hominidae > Homo > Homo sapiens. The sequence goes on along the minus strand of NC_000008.11, from coordinate 89,550,482 downwards.
TCTCCATTCCTTCCCTCATGTCTTCTTTCCAGAAGGCATACTGTGAAGAAGGAAAAAAAAAAACTATACATGTAAGCTATGTGTTTAGTTTCAGCCAACCATTTAGTTTCCACTAATCTATACACTCTTCACTATTTTGTTAATAGTAGCAAAAATTGCAAACCTGCATGACATTTTCCGTTAAAAAGCAAGTATAATATTACTAAAATAGCTGACTCATTCTGTTTGAATTTATTACTTATGCTATTATTTTATCGTTGTAATTAATAAGAATGAAACAAAGCCACAAAATAAAAAAATCTCGTACATTAATAAGGACACTATTCAGTTTACTTTCACATTTATTACTTTTTCCTTAAACAAGCCTTTATTAGGTATAATCACTAGGCTTTTTTATTCAAGAAATAGGAGCTTCTGACTAGTTTTTCCAATTACTTCCCAAAGATAGATTGGTCAGCTTTCTCATTTTGGCATAAGTGATGCAGTTTTTTGTTTATTCATGGAGTTATTCTTTTCTCTAAGTTTTTTTTCCTAATACATGATCAGCTGGTCAAGTGATTTATAACAATGATGTTGGCTTTCTGCACTATTAGTAGAATACATTTTCTAAAGTCTAAAATATTTGGTAAAGAATTAACAGTGAAATTAAGACCAAGTGAAACTGACTTTAAAATTTTCAAGTTCTGCTTAAATGATCTTATCTATAAAGAAAATGAGGTGTTTATGTCCACTTGATGTGGCTTTACAAATAAACATATATTAATTTATTTCAAAAGTAGTAGCTCATTATATATGACTTTGGTGGATGTATAGTGTATTGTTCCGTATATTTTAATTTACCAAATATTTTTATGCTTCATTCTCTCCATACAAAATGAGATTAATATGGAAAATAAAGCTGGTAGAAAAATGAAAGCTACCAATACTGTAACCATGAGCTTAGCATCATATTTTTGTAGTTGTACTTCAGGTTTGACTCTGATGTTCCTGGCTATCAGAGCAAAAAGACAGATTACTCTCATCACTGGAAAAGAAGACACATACCTGTTCTTTAGGGGAGAGTTCCCTAATTGAAAATTCTAAAATAAACTTATCATATGGGGCTTTATGTGTAGTATACTTAATAATTTAATGGACAGTATCTTCTAAATGAGAAATCATATAGAATGCAGAACAAAATTTCATATCTGGATTGGTTATTTTATGTATTAATTTGGATTTGGGATCAGAGGTCTTATATTTTTGCAGGATGAAAGTTCATCTGAACATTTTTACGAAAGCATCGCCAAACAAATCAACAAAGTGAATAGCCTTTAGAAAAAACTACCTAATGAGAGAGAAGGTACTGTTTTTAGAACTTGAGAAACATCTTTTTTATAAAGAACTGGAATAATTGCCAGATGATCTGAGCTGGTGCCTTGATATATTGATGAACATTAATTTCTAAGGCTTATTAGAAGAGAATACTTACTAGAAAATACTTAGACTAATTAAAGATACTATATATTTGAAAGCTTAGAGAAATACATTTTTGTTATTCATTAATTTGCTTATGTCAGAATAACATTTGTACACTGTTCCTCCCAAAGTAATCTTGCCAAGTGAAGGCTTACTGCTTATGGAAAGGCATTATCGTGTTTTGTACCTTTCAATATATTCATTCATATGCTATTACACTGACTGGTTCTTTGACACACTAGTGTATCCTTCACAGCACATAGCAAAGTATTTTGTCATAAAATAGAGTAGTAAACTGATAAATAAATAAATGGCATATCTGCCATAAAGGCACCATCATTCTCCTCTGTCTATGGTGGTAATTGTAAGCGTTCTAAGTGCTGGGGTTCAGGAGTGCTTTTTGTTCTTCTTAAGTTTTTTCTGCCGAATTGTGAATACTCTCTGGGAACTAGTTCATTAAAAGCTTTTCTGTCGATCCTCATGCACAAGGTAGCTAATAATTAAGGCAAAGATGTACATGTATAAAAATTAAACTAACTTATGTAAAGCACATCCAGTAGTACTCATGGTAAACTGGCAATAACTATCAGTCCTTTTCCTGTAAAACACATTTTAATTGTGATAGATTCTCTTGAAAACCTGAAGAGCCTTCCTGATCTTAAGGAATTATATTAAGATGAATGAATCTCAGACACTGGCTTCTATATTTTGGGAAAAGCCTTGTGCCTCCTCTAGGTATGTCACGTTAATTGCTACTTTTTTATCTACTCACAATTGTAACCTTGACAAAGTTACCAAGTCAAACAAGTAGACTTTCCTCTCAATTTACAAAGCCTTACTCCTTTTTGATGGGTAGTACAGATGGTCTTTACTCCGGAAAAGATTATTTTTCTCCTCTTATCATGATGTATGAGCATTAAACAGATAAAAGATAATGTAGTCAGATAGAGCCCATATCTGCTATATAAACCTACACAATGAAAAAGCTCATGTCAAGAAATCAGTTCTTTTTTATAGGTCTAATGTATACAATGTTAGTTAGAATTTGTGCGGGGGCATAAGAAAGCTAGATTCAGAATGGGAAAGGTAATAAAATTAATTTTCCCACATTTGTTTCAAAAATAACGAATTCTAAAGCAATTAGAATTCATTATAAATATTGAATTCATTATAAATATAAATATTCAAATATAAAACAATCTCACAAAAATTTCTAAAATTCTGTTTTCATTGAGTTAACAGATGGTGTGTAATAAAACAAATAATTATTTCTGAAAGCTTTCATGGAATTAAAAATATGGCGAGATGGCTTTATTAGCTTTTTTTTGCAATTTAATAAACTTCATTTTGGAATTAACTTTATCATTTTAAGATTTGAATTGATATTGGAAGGCTGACACAGTTTTTCTTTGATCTTGGGCAATTTCCCTCTGCCATTTTTCAAATCAACAGGCTCTTTTACAAATAGCTCTATTCTGCATATAGGTGTATTTGTGGGCTCCTTTGTGTATGAACGTGTATGAGAATGCCAACTGCAAATCACCCTTTAAGGTTCTATCCTGATATAAAACAAAGCATGAAGTTTGGAAATGATTACAATTTTTTTCAGGAACTGTCATTAAGTATGTAGCAAACATAGAGCAATTTAGTACTAGACAAATGGGCTTTTATTGACCAGATTCCACTATAAGGCAGAAACTTATAATCGAAACCAGCTAAAACCTATATGGATAGTCCCAGGGTTAGCACATTGTGTTAGACTGTTATTACAGACTTTTAAACATCCATTGTTTGCTATGATTTTTTGACAGGAATATGTTGAAGATACAAAATCCTAATAACTGAACTCTCTCCCAAGTTGTATAAACAGTATCTACTATTAGCAAAAAATGATTTGCTGTTAAGATAGATAGGTACCCCATTTGCCTGCCTATGTTTATTGCAATTGCCAAAAGCTATTGTGAAGCAAAATTTTGAGTTTATGTAAAGCAAAGCACCTGGCCTAAATCTTAGAGAAAGACATTACAGTTTATTTTGGTTGCCAGCATGTGCCAAATATCTGCAGCACTTTTAAGAAGCAACTTTTTTACTGAGAAAATTAATTCTATGACCTAAACTTAGCAAAATAAAACCTGAGTAGCTTTAAAAATTTTAATGCTTTGCCACTGCTCCTAGGACAACTAAACCTTTTGCCAACTTTTGCTTTTTAACAGTGCACACTGGATATAAAGTGACCAAATTTTCTGTAAACCTTAGTAACTTTCTTAGAATAATTCTGAATAGCAGGTATTATAAAATGTTAAAGATCACCAAGATTTAAAAGTCGCTTTTGTTAAAAATGACTCTTAATAACCTCTGACTCATAGCATTACTCATCTACCCTTTCTTTTAGACTTTATGAAAAACTACAACCAGTGAGCCAAAAGGAGATTTCAAAAGGGTAGTAAGATTCCAGGGTGAAGCATCTTTTGAAAAGTCATTATTTAACACGCTTGCCATTGTTTTTCATAATAATCCATTTTGATTAGTCTACCTTCCTTCCTGTAACCTTGGATTTTGGGGCCATTTCACTAAATCACCAAAGGCTCCCTACTCTCTCTTTGTAAAAGATTTGCTTCCATACTGCAGTCATATTTTCTATATAACTTCTGAGTTTTGCACTCTGTTCTATAACAGATAAATCTTCATTTCTACATATTTTCTTTTTGTCATTCGACGATTCAGATTTAAATACAATTTTTAATATATTATTTTGGCTTTCTTTAAAAATCTGCCTTTTTCTAGTATGCTTAAATTTTAAAATATGTTGTCTCAATGCTCTTGATTTCTTTTCTTTTTAAATTACAGTTTGGTGGGGCACAGTGGCTGAATGCACGTAATCCCAGCATTTTGGGAGGCTGAGGCAGGTGGATCACTTGAGGTCAGGAGTTCGAGACCAGCCTAGCCAACATGGCAAAACCCCGTCTCTACTAAAAATACAAAAATTAGTCGGGCATGATGTTGCACGCCTGTAGTCCCAACTACTTGGAAGGCTGAGGTGGGAGGATAGCTTGAGCCCAGGAGGCGGAGGTTAGAGTTAGCTGAGATCGCGCCACTGTACTCCAGCCTTGGCAACAGAAAATTACAGTTGACTCTTGAATAACACAGGTTTGAACTGCGTGGCACCACTTCCATCTCAGCTACCCCTGAGACAGCAAGACCCTCCTCTCTTCCTCCTCCTCCTCAGCCTATTCAACATGAAAATGAGGATGAAGACATTTATGATGATCCACTTTCACTGAATAAATGATAAATATATATTATCTTCCTTGTGATTTTTGTAATAAAATTTTCTTTTCTTTATCTTATTTAAGAATACAGTGTGTAATATTAATACATATAAAATACAAAGATGTGTTAATCATTTATGTTTTCTGTAAGGGTTTCATCAACAGTAGGATGTTAAGTTAAGTTTTAGGGAAGTCAAAAGTTATGTGAGAATTTTTGATGCACAGGAGTTCAGTGCTCCTAAACCCTATATTGTTCAAGGGTCAACTGTATACACTAATCATTATTTGAAAGCTTAATTTATATGAATCAAAATAAACTATGTTTATGTTGATGTGTTGTCCTTCCATTACTTTGTGTGTGTGTGTGTGTGTGTGTGTGTGTGTGTGTGTGATGGAGTCTTGCTCTGTTGCCAGACTGGAGTGCAGTGGCGCTATCTCGGCTCACTGCAACCTCCACCTCCTGGGTTCAAGCGATTCTCCTGCCTCAACCTCCTGAGTAGCTGGGACTAACTACAGGTGCGTGCCACCATGCCCAGCTAATTTTTCTATTTTTAGTAGAGACGGTGTTTCACCATGTTGGCCAGGATGGTCTCGATCTCTTGACCTCGTGATCCGCCCGCCTCAGCCTCCCAAAGTGCTGGGATTATAGGCATGAGCCACTGTGCCCAGCCCTCCATTACTTTTGTATAAATCTTAAAGTGATCACATTTTAATTCTTCAGTTTTCAAATAAAAAACATTATGTTGCCTTATAACCTTCTCAATCAGAATTGGATATTTCAAATCCTTTTATCCTACTCTGACCTAGAATCTAAAAGAATGTATAAGAAAAATACTTCTACTTTGGGAGGCCAAGGCAGGCGGATCATGAGGTCAGGAGATGGAGACCATCCTGGCTAACATGGTGAAACCCCATCTCTACTAAAAATACAAAAAAATTAGCCGGGTGTGGTAGTGGGTGCCTGTAGTCCCAGCTACTCGGAGGCTGAGGCAGGAGAATGGTGTGAACCCAGGAGGCAGAGCTTGCAGTGAGCCGAGATCACACCACTGCACTCCAGCCTGGGCGACAGAGCAAGACTCCATCTCCAGAAAAAAAAAGAAAAAAAGAAAAATACTTCTATCTTCTTTTTCCTCCTCCTCCTTTTCCTGACATGCATTGAGAATTTATTATGCATCAAGGTCTTCATGTTCATTATCTAATATTCATACCCAATAAGGTAGCTGCTATTGTTCCTCTCTTGCTTGTGAAGTACTTGAGGATTTGGACTTGAAAGGAGTTTACTGGAGATCACAGACCAAGGAGTGAGGGTGCACTCTGCAGAGAGTTCTACCATCACTCGATGCTTTATCTGTGAGAAAGCATGTGTTTTTTTCCCCCAAAGTTCATATTTTAGGTTGAAAGCAATTAATGATAAAAGGAAATTATAAAAGAAAACAATCTATTTAAAGAATTCCTTCAGTGATCTTACCAAATTGATATTTTTAATAGCAAGATACCCTGATTTCAAAGCTTAGACACAACCAACTTGAAAGACTTGGAGTCTGCCTTGAAACATGCTGACTGCATTCCCTACTTAGAGTCCTTTGGATTCTCTTTAGGTACTGCTTTCTGCATTCTTCCTCACTTCCTTCTCCTTCCTCAAATTGTTCATCTTATTTCAGGATGTTCTGGCCACCGCTCCCTCTGTCCACAAAGCTTTTGGTAAAAGGTACAAGAGGAGGAAGGGCAAAGGATGTGCAAAAACAGAATCGCCAGCTGAAGTCAGCACCCACCTGGGAGAGGCTCTCTACCAGGAGGACCATCCTCCAGGCTGAAGGAGGGCGGTAAACAGCCAGTACTTATAATCTCTTGCATCACAGGGCCCATTAAATTCAGCCCCTAGGTCTGTCTCAGATCTCTGGAATTTGTAAAATGAATGTGTCAACAGAGATATATGAAATGAGAAACAACTTACTTACTGCTATTAGCAATAGGGAAGAAAGGATGCTGGAGAGCAGGGCATTAGAAAGATGTTCTGTGTTTCTCTTGCACATTGGCTTTAAAAACTTAATATTGAAAGAAGTTGCTAAAATTTTAGGTATTGACAGTATTCTTTACTTGTTTTGATGCCCTAATTTTGAAAATTCCTGTAGTGAAAACCACTTATATTTGTATTTCAACATCTTATTATATTTTATTTAAATGTGTTTTAAATCTTTGGTTCCGATACTCTTCTATTTTGTAATTTCAGCCTCTGCAGAAAGTAATCTGTATAAGATCACAATTATGTGACACTGTGTAAAATGATTATTGTGGAAACTACTGAATATAGACCATAAGTTATTTTATTTATTAGGTAGGACTAAGAGAAACTTGGATCAATTCATAAAATTACTGTGAGACAAATTTTCTTTTACTGGAAATGAGTCAAGTAATGGTATTATGCCAGAAATGTACAGATAATGCTTGGAGTGTTTTAGCTTATGGGTACTGAGAAAGGAATACAAGAACCTATAGTTTAGCTACAGATCTGGGAGAATAATTCAACATTATGTCCATGTTTGGTTTGCCGAGTAGTCTGTTTACTTCTGATGTAGGATGGAACAAATGCAAGTAGTTGTGGTTAGGCCAGCTTACAGCAGGACTAATTGTAAAGGATATGACCTCTCTAGTCCAGGGGTCTGTATCTGAAACTTGGTATTGCCTATTACTGGTTATGCGACCTGGGGCAATTTATGTAAGCTCTTTGTTCCTCTTTTCGTTTTTACAGAGCATGGGAATAAGTACACTAGCATATACCTCATATGAGTTTTGTGAGGATTAAAATAATATGAGTAAAGCACTTTGAACAATGACACCCCGTGAGAGCTCAGTGAATGTTAGTGATCAGGTGGTGTGGGTTTAAATTCCAGCACGACCTTTTATTTATTAGCCATGCGATTTTGAGCAAATTGCATAATATCTCTGTGTGTCTGTTATTTTTGTTGTTGTTGAGACAGAGTTTCCCTCTTGTTGCCCAGGCTGGAATGCAATGGTATGATCTCGGCTCACTGCAGCCTCCACTTCCCAGATTCAAGCGATTCTCCTGCCCCAGTTTTCTGAGTAGCTGGGATTACAGGCATGTACCATCATGCCCGGCTAATTCTGTATTTTTAGTAGAGATGGGTTTCACCATGTTGGTCAGGCTGGACTTGAACTCCTGACCTCAGGTGATCCACCTGCCTCGGCCTCCCACTGGGATTACAGGCATGAGTCACTGCGCCCAGCCTGAGTGTCTACTTTTTAAAGTTTGTAATGTCTACTTCTGGGGGTGGTAATGATGATTAATTTAGACGATGTTTGGGAAGTGCCTTGGTAAGTGTAAAAGCAAGTGCAAGTGGGCTACGAGCATGACTGTAAAGGTAGGAGAGTCAGTAGAATTTTGCTATTTTCTTTACTGTCTAGTATACAAGCAGCTAACAGGTAATTAAAACATGGGTAGATGAGTTTTAGTCTGAATGAGGTTTGCATATAAGATTAGAGTTGGAATTAGCTTATGAGAGAAAAGTAAAATTTTATGAGAAGGTCATCACATGAATCTTAAATATTTAATAACTTAATTTGGAAGAATTATGCATAAATATAATTATTGTTAATATTAAGCCCATTTGTGTCAATAGAGTCTAATTTTAATGATGATGTAACGATATTACACTTGAGGAATTTATAGGAACCTAATACTCTTAATAAAACAATTCTTAGAAGTTATTCACTGAACATAATTTAAAACTTTTTCTCTTTGTTTTTTATTCTCACTGCTATTACATTTGCTCAGGCCCTTCTCCCTCTCACCTGATGATTACAATAAGTTTCTTAATTGGCCTTTTAATTTAACTTAATTCTTCTTGACCTATAGTCTGTCATTTCCCAGTCCCGCCTCCACATTGTCGTGACGATACTCTCTAATACATAATTCTGGTCATGTAAGCTCAACTGTTTAAAACTCTTCAATATTTCCCATTTTCCCACAGGAGAAAGTCACAAATCCTTATTGAGGCCCTCTGCATTCTGATCCTTGTCTATCTACTGATTCTGCTTCATCAAAGAGCAGTCCCTCTTTCATCTTTCTCTCCTTGCTCACCCAGTCCTATGCTTCTCCAGACTGGCCTCCCTGTTGCACACAATTCTGCCTTTGTTCATTGAGTTTCATGTGCTTGCAAAAGGCATAATTACATTTTAGGCCCTACCTTATGTGTTATATTCCTTATGATCATTGCTCACTGCCCTCCATCAGAGCACCTAGCATAATTGCTGAGCTTACTGATATATAACGTTGTTCTTTTCCCTTTTTAGGCCGGAAGTGATAGGGAGAAGGAATCATATCTTTTTCATCTTTATATCCCTAGTATATTACACAATACTAGGCACATAGTTGAGGATTACATTACTGCATATATTAGTTACTGTATGATGCTTATGTTTCAAGCCAAGCAAAGCTTGGTGGTATTATCTATAAATTCATTTTTCCTTTTTTTTTTTTATTATACTTTAAGTTTTAGGGTACATGTGCACATTGTGCAGGTTAGTTACATATGTATACATGTGCCATGCTGGTGCGCTGCACCCACTAACTCGTCATCTAGCATTAGGTATAGCTCCCGATGCTATCCCTCCCCCCTCCCCCCACCCCACAACAGTCCCCAGAGTGTGATATTCCCCTTCCTGTGTCCATGTGATCTCATTGTTCAATTCCCACCTATGAGTGAGAATATGCGGTGTTTGGTTTTTTGTTCTTGCGATAGTTTGCTGAGAATGATGATTTCCAATTTCATCCATGTCCCTACAAAGGACATGAACTCATCATTTTTTTTTATGGCCGCATAGTATTCCATGGTGTATATGTGCCACATTTTCTTAATCCAGTCTATCATTGTTGGACATTTGGGTTGGTTCCAAGTCTTTGCTATTGTGAATAGTGCCACAATAAATATACGTGTGCATGTGTCTTTATAGCAGCATGATTTATAGTCCTTTGGGTATATACCCAGTAATGGGATTGCTGGGTCAAATGGTATTTCCAGTTCTAGATCCCTGAGGAATCGCCACACTGACTTCCACAATGGTTGAACTAGTTTACAGTCCTACCAACAGTGTAAAAGTGTTCCTATTTCTCCACATCTTCTCCAGCACCTGTTGTTTCCTGACTTTTTAATGATTGCCATTCTAACTGGTGTGAGATGGTATCTCATTGTGGTTTTGATTTGCATTTCTCTGATGGCCAGTGATGATGAGCATTTTTTCATGTGCTTTTTGGCTGCATAAATGTCTTCCTTTGAGAAGTGTCTGTTCATGTCCTTCACCCACTTTTTGATGGGGTTGTTTGTTTTTTTCTTGTAAATTTGTTGGAGTTCATTGTAGATTCTGGATATTAGCCCTTTGTCAGATGAGTAGGTTGTGAAAATTTTCTCCCATTTTGTAGGTTGCCTGTTCACTCTGATGGCAGTTTCTTTTGCTGTGCAGAAGCTCTTTAGGTTAATTAGATCCGATTTGTCAATTTTGTCTTTTGTTGCCATTGCTTTTGGTGTTTTAGACATGAAGTCCTTGCCCATGCCTATGTCCTGAATGGTAATGCCTAGGTTTTCTTCTAGGGTTTTTATGGTTTTAGGTCTAACGTTTAAGTCTTTAATCCATCTTGAATTGATTTTTGTATAAGGTGTAAGGAAGGGATCCAGTTTCAGCTTTCTACATATGGCTAGCCAGTTTTCCCAGCACCATTTATTAAATAGGGAATCCTTTCCCCATTGCTTGTTTTTCTCAGGTTTGTCAAAGATCAGATAGTTGTAGATATGTGGCATTATTTCTGAGGGCTCTGTTCTGTTCCATTGATCTATCTATATCTCTGTTTTGGTACCAGTACCATGCTGTTTTGGTTACCGTAGCCTTGTAGTATAGTTTGAAGTCAGGTAGTGTGATGCCTCCAGCTTTGTTCTTTTGGCTTAGGATTGACTTGGCGATGCGGGCTCTTTTTTGGTTCCATATGAACTTTAAAGTAGTTTTTTCCAATTCTGTGAAGAAAGTCATTGGTAGCTTGATGGGGATGGCATTGAATCTGTAAATTACCTTGGGCATTATGGCCATTTTCACACTATTGATTCTTCCTACCCATGAGCATGGAATGTTCTTCCATTTGTTTGTGTCCTCTTTTATTTCCTGGAGCAGTGGTTTGTAGTTCTCCTTGAAGAGGTCCTTCACATCCCTTGTAAGTTGAATTCCTAGGTATTTTATTCTCTTTGAAGCAATTGTGAATGGGAGTTCACTCATGATTTGGCTCTCTGTCTGTTGTTGGTGTATAAGAATGCTTGTGATTTTTGTACATAGATTTTGTATCCTGAGACTTTGCTGAAGTTGCTTATCAGCTTAAGGAGATTTTGGGCTGAGACAATGGGGTTTTCTAGATATACAATCATGTTGTCTGCAAACAGGGACAATTTGACTTCCTCTTTTCCTAATTGAATACCCTTTATTTCCTTCTCCTGCCTCATTGCCCTGGCCAGAACTTCCAACACTATGTTGAATAGGAGTGGTGAGAGAAGGCATCCCTGTCTTGTGCCAGTTTTCAAAGGGAATGCTTCCAGTTTTTGCCCATTCAGTATGATACTGGCTGTGGGTTTGTCATAGATAGCTCTTATTATTTTGAAATATGTCCCATCAATACCTAATTTATTGAGAGTTTTTAGCATGAAGGGTTGTTGAATTTTGTCAAAGGCTTTTTCTGCATCTATTGAGATAATCATGTGGTTTTTGTCTTTGGCTCTGTTTATATGCTGGATTACATTTATTGATTTGCGTATATTGAACCAGCCTTGCATCCCAGGGATGAAGCCCACTTGATCATGGTGGATAAGCTTTTTGATATGCTGCTGGATTCGTTTTGCCAGTATTTTATTGAGGATTTTTGCATCAATGTTCATCAAGGATATTGGTCTAAAATTCTCTTTTTTTGTTGTATCCCTGCCTGGCTTTGGTATCAGACTGATGCTGGCCTCATAAAATGAGTTAGGGAGGATTCCCTCTTTCTCTATTGATTGGAATAGTTTCAGAAGGAATGGTACCAGTTCCTTCTTGTACCTCTGGTAGAATTCGGCTGTGAATCCATCTGGTCCTGGACTCTTTTTGGTTGGTAGGCTATTGATCATTGCCACAATTTCAGCTCCTGTTATTGGTCTATTCAGAGATTCAACTTCTTCCTTGTTTAGTCTTGGGAGAGTGTATGTGTCCAGGAATTTATCCATTTCTTCTAGATTTTCTAGTTTATTTGCATAGAGGTGTTTGTAGTATTCTCTGATGGTAGTTTGTATTTCTGTGGGATCGATGGTGGTATCCCCTTTATCATTTTTTATTGCGTCTATTTGATTCTTCTCTCTTTTCTTCTTTATTAGTCTTGCTAGCGGTCTATCAATTTTGTTGATCCTTTCAAAAAACCAGCTCCTGGATTCATTAATTTTTTGAATCCAGGTTTTTTGTGTCTGTATTTCCTTCAGTTCTGCTCTGATTTTAGTTATTTCTTACCTTCTGCTAGCTTTTGAATGTGTTTGCTCTTGCTTTTCTAGTTCTTTTAATTGTGATGTTAGGGTGTCAATTTTGGATCTTTCCTGCTTTCTCTTGTGGGCATTTAGTGCTATAAATTTCCCTCTACACACTGCTTTGAATGAGTCCCAGAGATTCTGGTATGTTGTGTCTTTGTTCTCGCTGGTTTCAAAGAACACCTTTATTTCTGCCTTCATTTTGTTATGTATCCAGTAGTCATTCAGGAGCAGGTTGTTCAGTTTCCATGTAGTTGAGCGGTTTTGAGTGAGATTCTTAATCCTGAGTTCTAATTTGATTGCACTGTGGTCTGAGAGATAGTTTGTTATAATTTCTGTTCTTTTACATTTGCTGAGGAGAGCTTTACTTCCAAGTATGTGGTCAATTTTGGAATAGGTGTGGTGTGGTGCTGAAAAAAATGTATATTCTGTTGATTTGGGGTGGAGAGTTCTGTAGATGTCTATTAGGTCTGCTTGGTGCAGAGCTGAGTTCAATTCCTGGGTATCCTTGTTGACTTTCTGTCTCGTTGATCTGTCTAATGTTGACAGTGGGGTGTTAAAGTCTCCCATTATTAATATGTGGGAGTCTAAGTCCCTTTGTAGGTCTCTAAGGACTTGCTTTATGAATCTGGGTGCTCCTGTATTGGGTGCATATATATTTAGGATAGTTAGCTCTTCTTGTTGAATTGATCCCTTTACCATTATGTAATGGCCTTCTTTGTCTCTTTTGATCTTTGTTGGTTTAAAGTCTGTTTTATCAGAGACTAGGATTGTAACCCCTGCCTTTTTTTGTTTTCCATTGGCTTGGTAGATCTTCCTCCATCCTTTTATTTTGAGCCTATGTTTGTCTCTGCCCATGAGATGGGTTTCCTGAATACAGCACACTGATGGGTCTTGACTCTTTATCCAATTTGCCAGTCTGTGTCTTTTAATTGGAGCATTTGGTCCATTTACATTTAAAGTTAATATTGTTATGTTTGAATTTGATCCTGTCATTATGATGTTAGCTGGTCATTTTGCTTGTTAGTTGATGCAGTTTCTTCCTAGTCTCGATGGTCTTTACATTTTGGCATGATTTTGCAGCGGCTGGTACCGGTTGTTCCTTTCCATGTTTAGTGCTTCCTTCAGGAGCTCTTGTAAGGCAGGCCCAGTGGTGACAAAATCTCTCAGCATTTGCTTGTCTGTAAAGTATTTTATTTCTCCTTCACTTATGAAGCTTAGTTTGGCTGGATATGAAATTGTGGGTTGAAAATTCTTTTCTTTAAGAATGTTGAATATTGGCCCCCACTCTCTTCTGGCTTGTAGGGTTTCTGCCGAGAGATCGGCTGTTAGTCTGATGGGCTTCCCTTTGAGGGTAACCCGACCTTTCTCTCTGGCTGCCCTTAACATTTTTTCCTTCATTTCAACTTTGGTGAATCTGACAATTATGTGTCTTGGAGTTGTTGTTCTTGAGGAGTATCTTTGTGGCATTCTCTGTATTTCCTGAATCTGAATGTTGGCCTGCCTTGCTAGATTGGGGAAGTTCTCCTGGATAATATCCAGCAGAGTGTTTTCCAACTTGGTTCCATTCTCCCCATCACTTTCAGGTACACCAATCAGACGTAGATTTAGTCTTTTCACATAGTCCCATATTTCTTGGAGGCTTTGCTCATTTCTTTTTATTCTTTTTTCTCTAAACTTCCCTTCTCGCTTCATTTCATTCATTTCATCTTCCATCGCTGATACCCTTTCTTCCAGTTGATCGCATCGGCTCCTGAGGCTTCTGCATTCTTCACGTAGTTCTTTAGCCTTGGTTTTCAGCTCCATCAGCTCCTTTAAGCACTTCTCTGTATTGGTTATTCTAGTTATACATTCTTCTAAATTTTTTTCAAAGTTTTCAACTTCTTTGCCTTTGGTTTGAATGTCCTCCCGTAGCTCAGAGTAATTTCATCGTCTGAAGCCTTCTTCTCTCAGCTCGTCAAAGTCATTCTCCATCCACCTTTGTTCCGTTGCTGGTGAGGAACTGCGTTCCTTTGGAGGAGGAGAGGCGCTCTGCTTTTTAGAGTTTCTAGTTTTTCTGTTCTGTTTTTTCCCCCATCTTTGTGGTTTTATCTACTTTTGGTCTTTGATGATGGTGATGTACAGATGGGTTTTTGGTGTGGATGTCCTTTCTGTTTGTTAGTTTTCCTTCTAACAGAGAGGACCCTCAGCTGCAGGTCTGTTGGAGTACCCTGCCGTGTGAGGTGTCAGTGTGCCCCTGCTGGGGGGTGCCTCCCAGTTAGGCTGCTCGGGGGTCAGGGGTCAGGGACCCACTTGAGGAGGCTGTCTGCCCATTCTCAGATCTCCAGCTGCGTGCTGGGAGAACTACTGCTCTCTTCAAAGCTGTCAGACAGGGACACTTAAGTCTGCAGAGGTTACTGCTGTCTTTTTGTTTGTCTGTGCCCTGCCCCCAGAGGTGGAGCCTACAGAGGCAGGCAGGCCTCCTTGAGCTGTGGTGGGCTCCACCCAGTTCAAGCTTCCCAGGCTGCTTTGTTTACCTAATCAAGCCTGGGTAATGGCGGGCGCCCCTCCCCCAGCCTGGCTGCCGCCTCGCAGTTTGATCTCAGACTGCTGTGCTAGCAATCAGTGAGACTCCGTGGGCGTAGGACCCTCCGAGCCAGGTGTGGGATATAATCTCGTGGTGCGCGGTTTTTTAAGCCCGTCGGAAAAGCGCAGTATTCAGGTGGGAGTGACCCGATTTTCCAGGTGCCGTCCGTCACCCCTTTCTTTGACTCAGAAAGGGAACTCCCTGACCCCTGGCGCTTCCCAAGTGAGGCAGTGCCTCGCCCTGCTTCGGCTCGCGCACGGTGCGCGCACCCACTGACCTGTGCCCACTGTCTGGCACTCCCTAGTGAGATGAACCCGGTACCTCTGATGGAAATGGAGAAATCACCCGTCTTCTGCGTTGCTCACGCTGGGAGCTGTAGACCGGAGCTGTTCCTATTCGGCCATCTTGCCATTTTTCCTTTTTATTTTGGGTAAGTGGCCTCTTAAAAACTAAGCCACTAGCTAAATATTTAACGTGACCACAAATTTCAGCTTGTGTTTGTTGATTAAACAACTGCTAAGTAGCCTCTCCTTTGCTTCTAGTCACTAGAAAAAGTTAATGCAGCTTTTAAACTGCATAATTTATAACTTGATGTAATAGGTTCAAGCCCATAAATGACATGTTTAATTAGTGTGAATTATGTACAATCTGGTTAAGGATTGTGCTCATTTTTCCAATGGGATATCCTTAGAGAAGGAGGTGCTTCAGAAGAACTAATTTAAAAGAGGCTGCACGTGTATTGTATTTTGTTCAAAAGCTTGCACTTAATGAAGTCACTTTGTTTTTTTAGTAAAACACCCAGCACCTGGCTGTTAATTAGTGATCCAGAGTCACTGAGTCAGAGGGAGACCAAGCTTCTATAAATCCAGAGAGTAAAATATACCTTCCATTTTCCCATGGGTCTATGTAAAGGCAGTGTTATATGAAATAGTAGAAAAGGAAGACTCCAAATTTTAATAATGTCAACAAGACATTTTTGATTCTTATCTGAAGTATGTGAATATATGAACAGTTTTCACAATTATGTGCAGGTTTGGGATTTGGGATACAGCATCACTGAAACATCTCAATCAGTAACATCCAGAATAAACTACAGCACTGCCAAAACTCCAAGCATATTAATCTACATTCTTGTGAACATACTCCTGTGCCAGAAATTCTCCTGAAGGGAACAAAATATACCTGCTGCATGCACTTCAGTAAGGTCTGCAGTGATGTCCTCTCCTATTCAAAACAAACATTTAAGATACATTTGTTCCTTTGTCCTTACCCTTCACTCTACCATTTATTAGAGATTATGATAGGCAGAAAGGTTGTCTTAAATGTGATCAACTAGGAGCAATGTGGAGTTTGTAAAACTCCAGCTGATTCAGCTAAATCAGGTTGGCTTATCTCGTGAACTATGCATTATTAGTTGGAGATATAAGCATTTTCTGCAAACCTCAGTTTCTATTTCCGGGCTGCTGTTTGACCTTGCATATTAGAATTAGATTTGCAACTTTTGCAAATATACAGGCATTTCTCTTACTGTGTGTAGCATGGTGACAAAAAATAGTTTGTGTAGTGCTAGGCACAGAACCCATATGTTCTGCTTATAAAAGCAGGAAGTTTGTATGTGCTTTCTTTTTATTTATAATGGGTCCTTCTACATTTGCTTATAATATACTTCATTTTCCTTCTTTATTTTCACAGTTATTACACACATAGTTTATTAAAGCAGAGTTTTAGCTGTTCTCTGGTGCCTTAAATCTGTATTAGAACCAGGTTGGGTATAAATAATAAAACCCAAAATCGGCTGGTTGCTCTGTTTAAGTGTTTTTTCCCTTCTGATTATTCTGCTTATGGTCTAAAATGTTTCTTTATCTAGGTATTTTTGGTTCTAGAACCACTTATTGATTTATATTGCTTAGAATATGGAGTTGACTTTTCATTTATGCATTCATTCACTCATCCATTTCCTAAAGGTCTAGAGACAGCCCGCTATATACCAGGCACTTTTTTTGGTCCTAAAACAGGTCATGCAAAGCGCCTACTCCCTTCTGAGATGACTCCAGACATTTTCGGGATTCGTTGAGGGTATGTAATATTCCATTTTATGTCAACTTGGATTGCTGGCTGTATAGCTCTTTTTCTGGTGTGATTGCTGTAGGGTTTCCAATATGCACACTTAACTTAATCACAAATAGTATTAAGTTACCTTTAAATAATCTTATTTAGTGGATAATGAAAGAACTTTACAAAGTATACTTCTATATTAGTTTTCTATTTCTGCTTAAGAAATTACAATGAACTTAATGGTTTTAAAGAACACCCATTCATTAGCTTACAGTCATGAAAGACGTGCAACTGGGTCCTATACTCAGATTATCATATAGCTGAAATCAAGGTGTTGGCAGCTGAGCTTTTATCTAGAAGGTTTGGCAAAGAATCTGCTTCCAAGTTCATTCAGGTTGTTGGCAGAATTCAGTTCTGTGTCCTGGTAGCCCTGGTGGTGGGTTGCGCTCAGTGTCGAGTGGCCTCCTATATTACTCGTCACCCCGACCCCCATTTTATAGCCCCAATACTTCACCTAATGCAGATGGTTCGTGAATTATGATGGCTCGACTTAAAAGTTTGCAACCCTAGAATGGTGTGAAAGTGATATTCATTCAGTGCACTCCACGATTTACATGGGATTACATCCACATAAACCCATACTAAATTGAAAATACTACCATCTCACACCAGTTAGAATGGCAATCATTAAAAAGTCAGGAAACAACAGGTGCTGGAGAGGATGTGGAGAAATAGGAACACTTTTACACTGTTGGTGGGACTGTAAACTAGTTCAACCCCTGTGGAAGTCAGTGTGGCGATTCCTCAGGGATCTAGAACTAGAAATACCATTTAACCCAGCCATCCCATTACTGGGTATATACCCAAAGGATTATAAATCATGCTATAAAGACACATGCACACGTATGTTTATTGCGGCTCTATTCACACTAGCAAAGACTTGGAACCAACCCAAATGTCCAACAATGATAGACTGGATTAAGAAAATGTGGCACATATACACCATGGAATACTATGCAGCCATAAAAAATGATGAGTTCATGTCCTTTGTAGGGACATGGATGAAACTGGAAATCATCATTCTCAGCAAACTATCGCAAGGACAAAAAACCAAACACCACATGTTCTCACTCATAGGTGGGAATTGAACAATGAGAACACATGGACACAGGAAGGGGAACATCACACTCTGGGGACTGTTGTGGGGTGGGGGGAGGGGGGAGGGGATAGCATTAGGAGATATACCTAATGCTAAATGATGAGTTAATGGGTGCAGCACACCAACATGGCACATGTATACATATGTAACAAAGCTGCACCTTGTGCACATGTACCCTAAAACTTAAAGTATAATAATAATAACAAAAAGAAAATACTGTAACTCTAAAATGCACTCTAAACTTACAGTGTTTTCAATTTAGGATGGGTTTAGAGAGAGGTTACCCTGTTGTGAGTCAAGAAGCATCTATGTTTTTCATGCTTCAAATGTCTTTGGATTCCTCTACTGAGAAAGTCTGAGAAAATTCTGCTTTTATGGGGCTAATGTAATTATATTAAACATATCCAGATAATCTCGCTATTTGAAGGTCAATGAATTTAGTACACTTAACTACACCTAAAAAATATCTTTTGCCAGGTAACATAGATAATCATGGCTGTGATAGCTTATCATTTTAACAATCCTGTTTGGGGATTAGGGCAGGAAATCTTCGGGTCCATTTTTGTAATTAGGCCTACCACAATTTCCACTTCACTTCAATTATTCATTGTGCTATTGTTACTATACATTTTCTACATCTGTTACAACTCTCAAGATACATTGTTATTCATTTTTTAAGTTAGTAATTGATTAGCCAAATTTTATTTAAGAAAATTTTAAAATGAAAAAGACATCTATATATGCCCACGTACTTAGAATTTCTAGTACTCTTCATTCTATTGTGTGTATCTGATTTTTCATCTGATGTTATTTTCCTTCTACCTGAGGAACTTCCACTACCATTTCTTTAAGTACAAATGTACTGGCCACAAATTCACTGTTTTATTTGTCCGAAAAATGTCATTATCCTACCTTCATTTTTGAAAAATACTTTTAGTGGATAAAGACGTCTAGGTTGACATTTATTTTCTTTTAGCTCTTCAAATTTGCCATTCCACTGTCTTTTGTTGAACATTGTTTCAGATACGATGTAAACAGATATTCTTATTTTTCCCTTCTATATAATCTGATCCCCACCTCCCACCCCTTGCTACTTTTAAGATTTTTTTCATCACTGGGTTTCAGCAATTTGATTATAATAGGTCTTGTTGCTGTTTTCTTTGTGTTTATCTTACTTGGGGTTTGTTGAGCTTCTCAGATTTGTGCATTTATAGCTTATATCAAATTTGGAATTTTTTCAATACTTAATTTCCCAAATATTTTTTCTGCACCTCTGTCTCACTCTTTCTGGCACTCCAATTACATGTATGGTAGTCCTCTTGTTATTGTCCCAGATGTCACTGGAATTTTGTTTTACTTCTCAATGTTTTCTTTTTTTCTTTTCTATACTTCTGTATAGATAGACTCTATTACTCTGTCTTTTCTTTCATAGTGTCCATTCTGCTATTGAGAAAAATCTAGTCTTTTTCTTTAATTTCAGAAATTTTTAGATATAGAATTTCAATTTTGTTCTTTATAAATTTTTATTTTTCTGCTTAGGTTTCCTATTTGTTCACTTATTTATTATGTCTATATATTTAAGTATTTGAATACATTTCTTATACCTTACTTGTTAATTACAACACTTTTGTCATCATTGGTTGTGTTTTTACATACTTTATTTTTCTTCACTATGTATTACATTTTTCTGCTTCTTTGCATGTCCACTAATTTTGATTACATGCTGAATATTGTGATGTTACATTGTTGAGAGCCATATTTCATGGTCTTTATTAAAGAGTATTGAGTTTTGTTCTAGCAGCTGTCTAATTTACTGGCTGGTAGGTTTTATGCTGTTGAGGCCAAAGTAATACTACTTTTAATGTGGGGCCTTTCTAGACTTGTAACTGAATGCTTGTGGAGTTCAGTGAAGCCACTCATTCTGGATAATCAGAACATTAATATCTGTCAGCACTGTGTAATCTCTGGGGCCTCCATTCAGTACAAGTCCCCAGTAACTCTTCTCTACCATGCCTCATGAAGTCTTGCCCTGTATAGACGCAAGTTAATATTGTACCAAAATCTCAGACATCTCTGCAGATTTCTGGAGATCTTTCTCTGTATAGCTTGCTCTTCTCTGGTTTCAAACCCCAAAAGTTTCTGATGCCTCAGCAGCCATTAACTCTGGTATTTTTTTTTCCCTACCCAGCAAGACTATTGCTTTTTTTCCAGGATACTTTTCTATGCTGCACTTTGCACCTCATTTCATCTGTATCCTTTCTGTAAAAAAATCACAGACCTTGGATTGTCTGGTGTCCAATTTTTAATAATGATTGATTCACATATTTCTAATTGTTCAAAGTGAGATGGTAATCCAATGCCCATTCTTCTGTCATGGCTAGAACTGAAATTTGGCCATTTAAAAATTTTGAAGTTATTTATTTGATAAGAACATACTTTAGGTATTAAACTCATTTGATTACGTGATTACTCAAGTTCCTGTATGTCATAAGAGATTTTATCTGGGATATGCATTTCAGAATACTCTATCGACTCTGTGTGTTAAGGAGACTACAGCATTCTTAAATTGAAATATTTCATGCCATCTTTAGTTTTATTTATTTTGCCTTGGGGAACTCGATTTCCAAGTCTTGCTCTCCACTTGTTTTCCCCTTGTGGCTTAATGTTGAAATTTAGATTAGGTTTCCTAGTAACATCTTAAAAATGCTTCATTTTACTCACCATTATTTTTATCTTTTGTGACCTTTCACTTGCTTGTAATTCTCCACAACTCTTCTCTAGTTAGCTTATTGCTAATTGCTAAAGTGGACCCAGTTGTAGAATGACTAATGTAAAGCTAGTTACCTATGAACATTCTTCTACCAATTTTAGGGTGTCTAGAGATTATTGTTCTATATCTGTATTCTCTAATGTATTGATTAGCCAAGTCCTTTTAGTAAGTGGTACCTATAGTAACTCTAATGGAGTTTTGTGTCTCGTGATGCACTCATTCAATTGATTAAACTCATAGCCAGTCACTTAAATCTGTCTTTCGTTTCCAGAATGATTTCATTTCTGTGTCATTAGAGTGGATGTGTTAGCTATGGACATACTATTTGCCAGGCTGCAAGTACACAACACAGTTATGAGGCTTCCCCTCGTTTAACCAGATCTCTAAAATGCCTTAAATACCACTCAAGACTTGTATCATGAGAAATCGCTTTTAGCATTCTAATTTTATCTTTTTATTAATATAACAGTATCTGCTTCTATAGTATAAATTCTGTTTAGTCAAGCAAATCTAACTTTTTTTTCCCTTGTGAACATATTCCTCCTTATGTTTTATAATTTGGACAAGATGTAAATTCTTCCTCTCCTGCATTTTCTTTCTATTTGCTATCTATCATTATATATTATTCTTAGTAGGTGGCTCTCTCTTAGGGTATCAACTTTGCTAAACTCTCCTGGCAATGAGTTGGCAGATGAGGGATCAAAAAGAAGAATTACTGTTTTTCCAACTATTTATCTTTGGGACTTTTTTATTTAGCATGATTATCTTCCCTTCTTTTCTCTTACTGTATTTGACAAATACTTAGGTACTAAACATGAAAGCACTTTTTTTCTGTCCTTTCTCTTAAGATAGTTAAGCTCAGCTGATAATGTCTCAGTAGGGACAGCAGTCTCGCTTCAACTGCATTGGATTTTAATTGCTCCCATCTTATGTTTTCTGTAATAGTAGCCATAGATGTGTTTTTAAATAGATTTATGGCTTTCTTTCTCCTTCACACAATAAAAATTTAGAGAGAGACGAGTTAACAGCTCTCTGCTCCCTTATTGTCTTCCGTGCTCTTCCTCCTACCAAAAAAGGTCTTTTCTATTTCTGTTTAAAATATGGGTAAGTGCAACTATGGTACTAATAAAAATTAAAATTATAGATAAATAAAAATGTGAGTCACTCAAGTCAATTTCTTCATTCAGAGAATGTCAGAATCTTGTTGTTGTTTTAGAGGTGGGGTCTTGCTGTGTTGCTCAGGCCATAGTGCAGTGGCTAATCACAGTTGTTGATTGTAGCCAACTACAGCTTCCAACTGTTGGAGGCTACAGCTCTAGCCTCCAACTTCTGGCCTCAAGCAATCCCCCCACCTCAGCCTCCTCAGCAACTGGGACTATAGGTATGTGCCACCATGCCTGGCTACTTTTTGGTGAATATGCTAGCATCTGGTGTTTATAGACCACAGTAGTGTATAAGTATTTCCACCCTGAAGCCTCACTCTAGATGGTCAGTCACAATGAAAGAAAATCTAACACCAACTGCAGCTTCATATATATTTATTACCAAGCAGGTACAACAGCCATACAACTTATCTATAGTCCTGTCCCAAGTGTACTCAACATCTTTCTTGAAAGACTTGCTCTGTGACTAATGTGATGATATTCTTATAGCATACTGGGCAAGCCTCATGTCAAAGCAGGAAGCAGGATCCTCCAAACTCTGTATGTAAGAAATATCATCTTCCTTTATGTTCCTAAATCGAGGGTATTCTCTTTTGAGTTCCCCTCCTCTTCTTTGTCTTAGCAGGAGATGAGACTGTATTTTGTCTACTCTCTAGATAAAATTAAGATTCCTTGGGTCTTAAGCAGATGGAAATATCTGGGGTTGGAGCTTGGCATTCAGTTCACATTTAATAGGCCTTCTGTCTAAACTTGCTCACAAGGGTTGTGAGAATGGGTTGCTCTCTGTGCCAAATTTTGAACCTAGGAACTTTTCTTTAACATCACCACAGTATTTTATGATTGGTACCAGGCTTCCTTAGATCACTTTATCAGGGGTGTACTTCAATCATTCTTGTATAGGAGCTAGTCTCTATCTTTATCTGGTACTAGGTAAGTCATCAAGTGTTAGTCATCGGAACCCTCCACCCCAACCTGCCTGTTTTCAAGAGCACAAAAATGTGAAAAAAATCGAAACCTTGTTAACTTCTCCAGGATTTTATAATCAATAATTATAATTTCAATGGGCCTGTAAAGTTTGTGTTTTACCATGTTGTTTTATTTTGAATTACGTGAATGGGTGAGCAGGGACACTTAAATCTTTTAAAACCTAGAAAGATCTTCATCTGGCCCTAGTACCCGAGAATAAACACCCCACTCTTCCCAGCTTCTGTAGTGTGATTTCACCCTCATTTCCCATCTCTCACCCACTAGGACCACCTTTCATTCCAAAAGGAATGCTGGCTTTTGGTTCTGGGGCAAAAACTGTCAGTTTTCTTCCAATTAATTAACTGTTAAAAACATGTAAGTTTTTGTGGTTTATTTTCTTGAAGATTTTGACAGCTTTCCAGCTTGTTCTGTGTTGTGAGGTACATTGCATGTATCCTTAAGTGTATTAGCATGGGCATATTTTTATGTAGTTTTAAAATTTGTCAAGTGAAAGTCAACAAATATTTTAATTAACTAAAATTTTAAAAGATCTATGAAAGCTACTGTTTATAATAGCTTTAAAATCATGGAATTTTAACTTTTAAAAAAGTTTAAATCCTACTTTTTTCTTAATTATTGTTTTAACCCAAGTAGTGTACTTAATTCTATTTGTTTTAATTATAAACATATTATGAATAAGAGAAGTTTAAACCCTCAGTACCTTGCCTGATCGCTTATCATTATTTATGTTGATATTTAGATATAAATACTTTGAAAAAAGAAAAATAAGTTGAATTTAAATGCTCTGAGGCTGAAAAGAATGAGTATACTTTAAGTTGCTAAGATTTTTTTGGGCAAGCCATGGTTTTGTTATTTTAACAAAAAGTCCTTAAAGCAAAAGTAGAAGTTCATATATTTTTAAACTGTAATTTATGGAGAACTATTTTGTCTGGAGCTAAAACTAATTAATACTTTAATAACTTTTTCTATGATTTTTTTTTTCAGATAAATCGTAAAGTTAACTCGATCATTTTATATTCTTACGGAAGGAAAAATATCATGTTCATCAGATGTTTTATAAATATTTTTCTATGGAAAGATAGAACTTAATTAAATTTTCTGTTCCATATATGATCCATTTCAGGGTGTCCAATCTTTTGGCTTCCCTGGATCACAATTGGAAGAAGAATTGTCTTGGGCCAAATACAAAATACACTAACACTAACAATAGCTGATGAGCTAAAACACACACACACACACACACACACACACACACACACATCTCATAATGTTTTAAGAAAGTTTGCAAATTTGTGTTGGGCTGCATTCAAAGCTGTTCTGGGCTGTGTGCAGCCTGAGGGCTGCGGTTGGACAAGCTTGGTCTATATCTTGCTGTCAAATATGATAGCCACTAACCACATGTGGCTATTTAAATATAAATTAATTAAAATTAAGTAACTTTTAAAAACCAGTCCTTCATTTGCATTACCTACATTTCAAGTGCTCAATAGTAGCTATGTTTGAATACCACAGATAGTAAATATTTCCACCATCACCTAAGTTCTGTTGGTCAGTGCTGATGGCCAATTATATGAGACTATCAATTTATAATTAAATGCATAATAACATAATTTTTGTTTGTTAGCATCTACTAATACATTACAACATGTTGTATAAGTACAAATATCTGTTTAATTAGATCTCAGATGATGAAAGCAAAACCTTGTAATTGTTTTCTGGAGTTTTTTTGATTATTCATATGTCATTTCTGAGTAGTCTGTATTTATATATTAAAAATGGAAAACATAGGCAGATATCATCAGTGTTTGTTTATGTTTAAAAATAACTTCTAGCATATTTAAAATACGACAAACATAAGTATTTAGAAAGGAAAAGTCATTCATATGAAAATGGGAGAATATAGTGGTTTTGATTGACATTGTTTTAAAAGCCAAAATAGATTCTCCAGTAGAGCCATTTTTTTTTTTTTTTAACCCTGAAAGAGCAGGTTCTACAACACTGGCCAAAATTTTGTTTAGCCATTTTTTGCATAGATTTCATTATGGACTCAACCCTTCCAGCAACCTGTAGAATGGAAACAGTTTTCAAACCAAGGCCAATGAAATTTGAGGAGACCAGCCACTAACACTGCATGTTTAAACTCAACTTGTATTCTAATTTCTAGAATATCAGTATCTGAGCTCTGACTGGATTGAACTTCAGAGGTCATTTAATGTCTCATCCATAGATCTTGAAGTGGACAGTGACTTGCCTAAGTGGACATAAGTGCACAGTGGCAGAGCCAGAGCTGAACTCAGATTTAGTGACCTCTCATCTCAGGCCATTCTCTGATTTGGTACTTGAGGTTGGTATTGCTTCTCTGCACCACACTTGACTCCAGTGTGTGATAATTCTGACTGATTTTGATTTTATAACTGTTAAAAAAGTATGCACTATGGAGTGTAAATGAAGAGGAAAAAGTAGAACCACTTAAGTAATACATTACATTTGAAGGAAAAATTTATGTGAATAAGTTTTAACATAAAATCTTAAAAATTTATGGGTCTTAAGTATATATTTTTGGATATTTATGATAAATTGATACAGAAAACAGGCAAAAATAACATATATAGTATGATTCCTTTTAAATAAAATGAGTATCATATAGAAACTAGACTAGAGAATATATTCCAAATTGTTAATAATGGCTGGGTCTGAGTATTATGGGTAATTACAATTTTTTTCCATTATATCTGCCTTCTATTCTGATAACAAAAATAAATTTTAATTTGTATTGCATTTTTATTCAGGAGTGAATAAATAGTTTAGATAAATTTTTGAGCAAAATTAGAGTATTTTGAAAATAGCTAAAATTTGTTAGATTTTAAAGAGAAGACTAAACTGTGATTAATACCTTATCTCTTACTAATTTAAAATATTCTTATATATTCAGGTTTATAATTTATAAAAATACCTTAAGAAGGTTAATATTCTCTAAGAAATACGAATGAAATTTACCTAATTAGAAATTGTCTTTAGCTGTTTATTTAATCTTCTGGTATTAATAACAACACTCAGAATTTTTATCTTAAACCTTTCTTAACACCATAATTATCTTCTGAATTTAAATAATATCTAATAGCTTCTACCTTTCTTTTTAACTTGGTTTGAAAGTATTTTCTATGTATATTGTACTTGTCATATTCATGTATATTCACTAATTATTTCACATAATTTAACCCTTAAATTGCACCATTATGTATTGAATATATTATCCTGCATGGTTCATTAATTGTTTCTTGTTCACATCTTGTTCTTCTACTTTTTGTAAAGTTTTCAGGGTTTTGATCCTATGTGACAGGTATTTTATGCCACCCAGGATTTTAATATATCATGGTAGGGTCTGGACAAGCACTTGTTGATGTAGTGCTTACCCAGCTCTGAGACGCTGAGGAACTGGATAGTTAGATTGTAGGGAAAGGTTTTCCTCTAGTTGGTACTCTTCCCACTGGATCTGGGAGCTCTGCCACAGTGTCAAATAACACAAAACCTTTGGGGTGTTTGGCTATTGGGTAGGATTTTAAAAGTACCTTTTCTTAAAATTCTTAATGTAAAATTATTTGAAATTTACCTATTCAAGACTTAGGATAAAGTGGACAACTACACAGAATGGTCTCTGCTTTTAGAAGTGATATGGACTGTATTAGTTAAGGTTCTTCAGAGACACAGAACCAATAGACAATACATAGATATATAAAAGAAGATTTATTACAAGAGTTGCCTCGGCTGGGTGCAGTGGCTTATACCTGTAATCCTAGCACTTTGGGAGGCTGAGGCAGGCAGATCACCTGAGGGCAAGAGATCAAGACCAGCCTTGCCAACATGGTGAAACCCTGCCTTTACTAAAAACACAGAAATTTGATGGGCTTGGGGGTGCATGCCTGTAATCCTAGCTACTTGGGAGGCTGAGGCAGGAGAATTGCTGGAACCCGCTGCAGTGAGCCGAGATCACCCCACTGCCCTCCAGTCTGGGTGACAGAGCGAGATTTCATCTCAAAAAAAAAAAAAAAAGTTGGCTCATGTGAATATGGAGGCTGAGAAATCCCATGATACACTGTTTGCAAGCATTCCTTGAGAACAAGGAAAGCCAGTGGTGTGATTCATTTCAAGTCTGTAGTAAGCCTGAGAACTAAAGGAGCCAATGTGTAACTCTCAGTCAGAAACCAAATGCTTATGGGCAGAAGAAGATGACTGTCCCAGCTCAAGAAGAGAGACAGAGAATTTGCCCTTACTTGGACTTCTCGCTCTCACCTGGCCCTCAATGGATTGGAAGACGGTCATTTACATTGGTGGGCATGGGTCTTCTTTACTCAGTCTACCTATTCAAATGATAATCTCTTCTGGAAACATCCTCACAGACACATCCAGAAATAATGTTTTTCTAGTTATGTGAGCATCCCTTAGCCCAGTGAAGTTGACACATAAAATTAGCCAACACAGAGACAAGTGAACAAAAGGTGACCATTTGTGACAGGGAGATAGCGGGTGCCTCCCTGGAGGGTAAGAGAGTCCTCTCTGCTTCTCGTCCCAGTACTTCCTTCCTTCTGCCTTTTCTTTCCAGTCTGACCAGCCTAGCTCCCAATAGGAGAGAATGGAGGAGAATAGGCCAGGAAATAAAAAATATGGGATTAGCCTGAAAATGAAGACAGCGGGTGAACTGGAAGAGGTAATCTGAGATGATTTCTGGTTGCTCTGAAGGGGAATTAGAGCTCTAATAGGACAGGGAAAGGCACTTCCTTGTTTCACTTCATCTCAAGCCCTAAAAATCAAAACTCCCTGGAAACATGAAAACCAGTAGATTCAACGTGTAATCATTCTCACAGAAGAGTCAGTGCATACCTCCTATCTTTTTTATAGGTTGCTTTTTTCTTTTCAATATCTGGTTTGATTGAGCCTTCCCTACTTTGCTGCCACTTCCCAAATTGGCCTCTTTGGATTGGTATAGATTCTCTGACAAGGTGTTTATTTATGGCTACATAGATTTTCTGTCTCTTGCCCCTCTGGGTGTGCAGTTGTGTTTTATTTTCCCTTTTTCTTCTTTTGTTTGCTTGCTTGTTTCACTCCTTGATATTTCCTCATAAAGAAAAAAAATGTTTTCTCTTTTGCTAGCTTACTTTTTTCCCCCAAACATTTCGGAGCAACTTTTTTTTTCAATATTTTACCTCTCATATGTTTACCCTCTGTGATAAAATACACTGCCTGCATGGGGAAATTCCTATATGCAAAGTAAACAGTTGTCTTTATTTTTAAGTCATGAAAATAATCAACGTGTTTTAGAATTCTGTTACAATATACCTCACTTACCAAATTTGGTAAGAAACAAATGTGTGCTTATTTTGGGGTATTTCCAATTTTAGATGTAACACTTTATGTTGAGGAATATTAGTAAGTTAAAGTTTCAGATGTCTCATGCAACAGAGGCTTAATAATAAGCATAAAGAGAGATATTATTTAAATAAAACTGGAGTGAATTGAGATGGAAAGAGCAGGTTTTTTTTTTTTTTTTTTTTTTTTTTTTTTTGTCCCTGTCCAATACCCCCTTCTCCGGCAGGTTTTTTTTTTGTCCCTGTCCAATACCCCCTTCTCCAGCAGGTATCTTTCATTATTTCTCAAGGCACAATAGCTATGGATGACTAGAATTTCTGTAATTGTTCTTCTCTTATTTCTTTTATTCTTATAGTTTCCAACTAATTGCCTTATAACAGTTGTTTCCAAACATGGAAATCCTGATTTACTTGATCTTCTAGGCAAACAAACAAACAAACAAACAAAAAAGTCTAGTTCTTGGATAACTGACTCATTAACAATGAACAGTGTCTCAAGTCAGCCCTCTCAACCTCCCATCTTCACAGCTGTGTCCTTGCTGTTAAGCCAGGCTTATTGCCCAAAATAGGAATTGTCTGTTTGCCAATAAATAAATAACTGTGGTATTAACAAGTATGCTATAAACTCTAATGCAATGGTCTATGAACTGGAGTTTGAGAACCAGTGCTTTAGGTGAATTTTTAAAAACTTTTCTCATAGAGACCTTTCCTCACTGATATATAGAATTTAGCTAGCAGGGTCTTCATCAGCCAATGCTGAATGCATTAGAGCTTTTAACTTAGAAAATGGAGGAAAAATATTCCAGAATAAGATAATATAAGAAACCTTTTACTTGGGCCGTCTTGTCATGAGAATGCCATGGTGGTGGGTGTGGGCATAGCTTGAAGGGGGATATAGAAGAAATTAGAGTCTTACAGAACTGTGGCTTATAATTGTGGAAGTTTTCCTCTTTGAGTTCAGCTCTGACTGAGACATTGCCTAACTCCCAAGGCATGCTGACTTCCACATAGTCAATGACATTGTGTGGGTGTGTGATTTTGAAAGCTAGTGTTTTCCTCAGTATCTACAAAGATGATGGCTACTAAAACAGAAAAAGTGACCTAGAATAAAGAACATCGCAGATAGCATGTAGGGCCATCATAGGGGCCCTCTAAATTTGGAGATAAAAATCAGTGACTGATAATAAAAATGGAAAAATGACAAAGATATGATCTCTGTACAAAAGAATAATTTTTAAGTGTATTGCTTAGGAGACTAGAATAGTCTGATGCTATCTAGGATTTATTCTCAGGACCGGGACACAATGAAGAGGGAAGTACCAAAATCACTTGTGCTATATGATTATATAAGGCTGTGTTAAATGGAGCATTGTTCTTACGTGGAGCATAGGAAAATTTGAATCTTGAAGTATACAAATATTTCTCTTTGTCCCTGTCATATGCAGGGGTATGGTTCCTAAAAAGACAGCATGGTGAGTCCAGTGGCTTCCTTGTCAATTTTACCCCATGGTAGAGATGGGTACATTAGGCTATCAGAGCTTAATAGCTCCATACAATAGAAAATTCCCAGATAACTCAATTTTCTCTGATTCAGGGTCTACCAAATGACCTACTTAAAGTAATTGTCATTCCACTTACATTTTCTGATAGGAGATGAAAGGTTCTGATCAGATGAAAAGGATCATTTGGCCCACTTGGCTGTTATCATCACAAGTATTGAGAAATAACTTTCTACTCAAGTTTATCAGTCTTTTGTGACTTTTGGTTATCGTGAATTAGTCTTCAGTTGCACTGAAAACAAACAAACAAACAAACAAACAAAAAAACCAAAATGTTGCTGAACCAAAAAACAGAACCATGTCTTGACGTTTGCTGAAACTCTTAAGGTATGCTCCCTGTCGGTTTTTGTCCTGAACAGTTGAGAAGCCTAGACTTTTGATTTGAGAGTGCATCCTGGGTTTGCTATAATCTAATAATAATTATATTACTGATGCAAATAATAATAATACCAATAAATATTATCTTACAACTACCTCACACTTAAAACTGATCAATCCTGGACTGAGTGCCTTGTACACATTTTCTTACTTAGTCCTCATGAGACTCTATGAACTAGACACTGTAGAAATCCAATATTCAGATGAGGAAAGGGAAGCTTAGTGAGATTAAGTAACTTGCCTTAATGCCATATAGCTAGAGAGTGATGGAACTCTGACTTGCTTATTTCACCTAGAAAAAGTTATATCAACTTAACTAAAAATCTAAAACTTAGTACTCAGCATCAATTTATCTATAATGCTCATGGATTTTCCCAACTTTGTGTTAGTTTAGTCCTCAGGCTGGCTTCTATCACAACAGTAAAATAATTGTCAGGAGCTTCAAGGGGCTACAAGTCTGGGTCACTTCCAATGAGAATGGAGACTCTCTTCCGGGAGTTCTTTTAGACTAGTGAAGAAGCTTCTTTTCCAGATATCCTCAGCAAATGTCTCATTGCCCCCAGTTGAGTGATGTGTCAAGGCCTGAATACATTTCTATAACCACGGAGATTAACTCAATCAGGGTTAAGCCAGAGGTACAGTTAGCATCTCTTAAGCCACAAGAATTCTAGCTACATGCTAGAAAGACAACAATAGTTATATACCACACACATTTATAGGTATAAAATCTTGTTTCAACAGTGTTATTTAATGAATATTTAGGCTGGAGTCCTTCCCTCAATAGAACAATGTAATTTATGAAAAAATCAATTATTTAAAGAAGGACATTTTATGAGGTTGAATAGCATCCTCCCTTTTCTCCCCAAATTTATGTCCACTCAGAACCTGAGAATGTAACATTATTTGGAAATAGAGTCTTGGCAGATGTAATTAGTTAAGATGAGGCCATTCTGGGTTAGGGTGGCTCCAAATCCAATGAGTGGTGCCCTTGTAAGCAGGCCATGTGAACACACAGATACACAGAGAAACACAGAGGGAAGAAGGCTTGTGAAGATGGTGGCAGAGATTGGACTTATACTGCCTCAAGCCAAGGAACATCAGAAGCCACCAGAATCTTGAAGAGGCAAGGAATAATCTTCCCCTGAAGACTTAGATGAGAGCATGACCCTGTCAGAACTTGATTTTTGTAACCTTCAAAGCTACAAAGAATACATTTCTATTTTTTATAGTCCACCCAGTTTGTGGTACTTTGTTATAACAGCTCTAGGAACCTAATACAGATACCATGGACAGATCTATCTGACAGATATGCAATGGGAGAATATATCTGAAGTTTAAAACTGACAAACACAACAAATCAATAAGAAAAAACTAAATAAGCAAAAAAAATGGATAAAAGATTTAAAACAGGCAATTTATATAAAATGAAACTAAATCAAATACCTGGAGATGCTCAAAATAATTATCAATCAGAAGTGCAAGTTAAAATATCACTTTTCACTGATTAGCCTAGCCATAATTTAAAAAGATAGATGTGTCAACTCTTGATTGATATTTGAGGATACAAGAACCCATATGTCTTGTGGAGGGAGTGTAGACTGAGCCAGCCATTCAGAGAGCAATGTGGCAATCTTCACTGAAATTAAGTATATGCATACACTTTGACCTATCGATTCTGCCACCGAATGTATAAGCCAAAGAAGTTCTTACATAAGATCATAAGGGGACATCTGTGAATGGAAATGTTATTGCAATATTATTGTTGTTGGTCAGAGTTGGAAGCAACCTGGGTGTCTATCATGGAGAGAGTAGATAGGTGCTATGGACTGAATGTTTGTGTCCCTCCAAAATTTATGTCTTAAAATCTTAACCAGCAATATGGTGGTATTAGAAGGTGGGGCTTTTGTGAGATAATTAGGTCAGGAGGGTACTAGTGACTTCATTAAGCAGACTTCAGAGAGCTTTCTGGCTCACCTTCCACCATATAAAAACACAAAGAGAAATTGGAGGTCTGCAACATGAACGAGAACTTCACCAGAACCTAACCATGCTACCACCCTAATCTCTCACTTCCAGCTTCCAGACCTAGGAGAAATCAGTGTTTTTTGTTCAAGTCATCCAGTCTATGGTACTTTATTATAGTGACCTGGACTAACTAAAACAATGGATAAAGTGTGATGATTGTACATCATGGTAACTTACCATGTAGCAATTAGAAACAATGAATTAGAAACACAACAATGAATGGATATTAAAAAGATGCCTGTGAAAAAGAAAGGAACATAATGAAATATATCACACAGTATTACTTATTTAATTAATAATAGCTTTCCACTAATCAGAGCACATTTTACAAGAACACATAAAAAAGGATTCACTAAACACAACAGAATGATCACCTATTAAAATGGTGGGTATAGCTAAGAAGGAAATAAGAAAAGGCCTTACATGGATCAATAGTAATGTATAATAAAATAAGAAGCAAGATTTACTTAACTCTATTTACTTAAGATATAAAAACACAAAGTTCACTTTATAAAAATTGGTCACCAAATTATAATTGACTTTTGAATAGCATGGAGAATAGGGGCACTGACACCTCGAGCAGTTGCAAATCCATGTATAAATTGACACCCACCAAACTTAACTACCAATTGCCTACTGTTGACTTGAAGCCTTACCAGTACCATAAAGAGTTAACACACAATTTTGTGTGATATATGTATTATGTACTGTATTCATACAGTAAAACAAGGTAGAAAAAGGAAAATGTTATTAAGAAAATTACAAGGAACAGAACGTATTTTACTATTCATTTAGTGGAAGTGAATAATCATAAAGGTCTTCATTGTCATTGTCTTCGTGTTGAGTAGGCTGAGGAGGAAGCAGAGGAGGGTTGGTCTGGCTGTCTCAGGGGTAGCAGAGGCAGAATAAAATCTGCATATAAATGGACCCACAGAGTTCAAACCTTTGGTGTTCAAGGATCAACTCTACTAGGCATTTTTATTTTTATTTTATTGCCATTGTTCATTTTTTTTGAAAAGATATTTAGAACTGAGCTCAGTGTATAATAAAAAGCAATGCACATTTTTACCTTATTCCAGGGTTCAAATATCGTTTTTGGTTTTCCCTTTTCTCTGTTGTTCTCAGTCTCCTTTACTTTTCATCTTCTGTCACCCCTACTTCTTAAATGTTAATATTCCTCAGGATTCCATTCTTGGTCCTTATTTCTTTGTTCTACAAATATTTCCTGGGAATTTGAGTCGTGTCTATGACATCTATCTACCTCTAGCTTCCATCTTTCCCAGGATTACTGATCTGCAATATCTCTTATGTACTCTAATCTCAGCAGGTGTGATATTGAACCCATTTTCTCTTTGTCTTTGCCCCACAAATGTGGTCTTTTAAAATGATATTATCTCAATATCTCAAGCTAATTTGAAAAACGTCTTAGAGTTGCCTCTTTTTCGCACTCCATATATCAAATCCTATTTATTGTACTTCAGAAATACCACTAAACCCAGCTTCTCTTAGTATCTTTATAGCCACAGAAGGTCACTGAAAGGCTTTAAGCACAAAAGTGGTACAGGTAGAATTGTTTCAAGAATGATTACTATGCTTGCAGCAAGAGGAATCTGTTGAAAAGTTGGAAGTACAGAGACAGGCTGGGAGTTATTAATGAAATCCAGGAAAGAGACTATGGATGCTTGAACTAAGGTGATGGCAGTGGAGACACAGGAAAATTAATTCATTTCATAGATAAGTTAGTAATGGACTTGATATGAGTGGTGCTGAAGCTAGGAAGAGCTGTGAAGGGTGAGTCTCAAGTTTCTGTCATAGCAACTGGGAGATTATTGTGCAATTTTCTAAAGAGAATCGGGAAGGAGTAATGGTTGCTTGAGGGAAAGATTGTATGCCTGCAGTCATGGATATGTTATATTGAAGGAATTTTGGCATAAAACTAAAAGTGTTTATAAATAAATTGTATAAATAGATCCAATTAGAAGAACTGAGGTCCAGGCTATTGATGCAAATTTGAAAGTGGTTAGAGTATTGACGCAATTGATGCCATGGGGGATGGAGCACCCATGAAGAAAGTGGAGTGTAGGGCACAGTTCTGAACAACACTTGCATTTAATGATTGGTAGAGGAGAAGTCATTCGCAAAAGAGACAGTGAATGAAATACATTACAGAGCAAAGCCAGAGGAAAGAGAGGAAATAGTGCTTCAAGTCTGCAAGCATGTCCAGGAATGTCAAATGTTGTTGAAGGGTAGCAGGATGAGTGCTGAAATGAGGTCCATGGGATTTGCCACTTATGGGTCACTTGAGTGAAGCTGGATGGATAGAATTTGGGTATAGGACTGAGAGGGAGGTGAGATAATGGTGGCAGCAAGTGTAGACAACATTCAGGAAGTTTGGATAAGGAAAGGGGGGAATATATATAAAAGGTAGTTGGAAGGTTATGTAGGATCCAAGGAGTGTTTTTGTTTCATTTTGTTTTGTTTTAAAGATGTGAAGCGAGCTGTTTAAAATGCTTATGGGTAGAATAACCTAGGGACTTTTTTTTTTTAATCTAAGAATTTGATTGCTACTTACGTTTCCATGTAGTATGATAATAATACACTTACAAGTAAAACTCTGCCAGTAGATGTTGATTCCCTTGAAAGGAGGGATGATGTCTTCTTTGCTTTTTGTTATTCTCATTGCTTAGCACCAATTCATACCCATTATATACAGTCAATAAATATTATTAAAAAATAATCCTTGAGTCTAACCAGTTCCAATTAGTGATCAGCTCATCACTTTTCCAATGAGCCTCTAATGTGAATGAAAACAAGTGAGACACACTGGTAATTATTACATTAAATTAACTGATATCACAGTTGTTAGTTTAAAATAAAGCATACTTCTTTTAAGGTATTAGTTTCTTCGAATGTGAGAGAACCTTTTCATTATACCGGTAGAGTTCCTTCTTTTACCTGTGAAAATAAGTAAACTAAAAAAAAAAAAAAAAAAAAAAAATCTAACAATGGGAACTGTAGGCTGGTAAAAAAAGAATGAGAGAGAGACAGAGAGTAGGAATTTAAAAACCTGAACAAAAATTAAACAGTTAAAGAATAAGAAAAAAGAAAAACATATATCTCTTTGTCTGGAAAGAGATTCCTTAAAAATAGCCATCAACAATATTTAAAAGATAATTATTCTTCATAGAGTCATTTTATAAAATGTTAATTACTTCTTTCCAGCTATCTTTGTGACTTACTATCTTAGTTATACATCTTCCTTGTTATGTTTTTCTCTCCGTTTAACCATTTTTTTGTATCTTATGTAAACATTCTAAAATATTATATGCCTCTTTTATAATTTGATTGCATTTTTTATGTAGTGACTGCTTCATGATATTTAAAGGTTACTATGTGATTTAAACAAGACAAATGTTTCCTAGCTTCTGCTGATTGCCATTTTGAGTTTAACTTAGTCATTAACATGCAATTAACTTAAAAACTTTTATCACTATTATTGCTCAGTGCAATGCTGTAACATGCTGGGCATCTTCCTTATTTAAAAACAATCATTTCTGTGTTCTCTTAAGAATGAAATATAGTCTTTGTAATTTAACCAGATGTGAAATGACATTTCCTCCCTTCCTAAAAACTTTCTGATTCTTGCAAATGAACTCTTCATTACTCAGGTAATTTCTTACAATCTTGACTTTAAGAAATTAAAGTTAGTTTTACTGAATTATTCTAAGTACCACAATTTCAGCATGCAGAATTTACAAGTATTACAAAATGGTCAAACAGCTTAAAATGCTTTTCTTTAAGAATTTCCACCTATATTGATTTTTTGTACCTTGTGAGTATGATATTCAAATATGAAATATGTCTTTTTTCCTTTTGTTGACCATTTAAAATTCTGTTTTCCTCTGTAATGTTTTGGAGCCTGGTTCTGAAAGATGGCATTTCCTTGTGAGGTACAAAGGATGCATTAGCTCTTTGGCTCTATTTCTAACTGCTTTTCCTTCTGGGTCTTAAAAAAGACATTTAAAAAGTTTCTCATAACATTTATTTGAAATATAAATCATAATTATTTCAGCTTGTAGTTAACATGTAGTAATAACTGATAGATTGCAGTCTGAATTGTGTTAATAAATTTCATTTTTCCTGAGAAATTTCCTAAGAACAGCTTTTATTCCTAAATTATATATGTATAGAATTGTAATAATATATATTAAATATATATTGTGGCAATAAAATGAAATGCATAGTAAAATTCTTATTGCCTCGACTGAATCATTTGTCCAACAAATACTTATTAAACATTTACTATTTGCCAGGCATTCTACATGCTGATGAAATGGTGGTGAACAATATAGATATAGACAGATATTCTACCCTCTTCGAGACTTTGCTGTTAGTGAAGAGAGTAAGACAATAAATAGGTGAAAAAAAGGAAATGTAATTTCAAATAGTAATTGGTGAAGAATTTATCGATTTCTTCTAGATTTTCTAGTTTATTTGCATAGAGATGTTTGTAGTAATCTCTGATGGTAGTTTGTATTTCTGTGGGACCGGTGGTGATATCCCCTTTATCATTTTTTATTGCGTCTATTTGATTCTTCTCTCTTTTTTTCTTTATTCGTCTTGCCAGTGGTCTATCAATTTTGTTGATCCTTTCAAAAAATCAGCTCCTGGATTCATTAATTTTTTGAAGGGTTTTTTGTGTCTCTATTTCCTTCAGTTCTGCTCTGATTTTAGTTATTTCTTGCCTTCTGCTAGCTTTTGAGTGTGTTTGCTCTTGGTTTTCTAGTTCTTTTAATTGTGATGTTAGGGTGTCAGTTTTGGATCTTTCCTGCTTTCTCTTGTGGGCATTTAGTGCTATAAATTTCCCTCTACACACTGCTTTGAATGAGTCCCAGAGATTCTGGTATGTTGTGTCTTTGTTCTCGTTGGTTTCAAAGAACATCTTTATTTCTGCCTTCATTTCGTTATGTATCCAGTAGTCATTCAGGAGCAGGTTGTTCAGTTTCCATGTAGTTGAGCAGTTTTGAGTGAGTTTCTTAATCCTGAGTTCTAGTTTGATTGCACTGTGGTCTGAGAGACAGTTTGTTATAATTTCTGTTCTTTTACATTTGCTGAGGAGAGCTTTACTTCCAAGTATGTGGTCAATTTTGGAATAGGTGTGGTGTGGTGCTGAAAAAAATGTATATTCTGTTGATTTGGGGTGGAGAGTTCTGTAGATGTCTATTAGGTCTGCTTGGTGCAGAGCTGAGTTCAATTCCTGGGTATCCATGTTAACTTTGTGTCTCGTTGATCTGTCTAATGTTGACAGTGGGGTGTTAAAGTCTCCCATTATTAATGTGTGGGAGTCTAAGTCTCTTTGTAGGTCACTCAGGACTTGCTTTGTGAATCTGGGTGCTCCTGTATTGGGTGCATATATATTTAGGATAGTTAGCTCTTCTTGTTGAATTGATCCCTTTACCATTATGTAATGGCCTTCTTTGTCTCTTTTGATCTTTGTTGGTTTAAAGTCTGTTTTATCAGAGACTAGGATTGCAACCCCTGCCTTTTTTTGTTTTCCATTGGCTTGGTAGATCTTCCTCCATCCTTTTATTTTGAGCCTATGTGTGTCTCTGCATGTGAGATGGGTTTCCTGAATACAGCACACTGATGGGTCTTGACTCTTTATCCAATTTGCCAGTGTGTGTGTTTTAATTGGAGCATTTAGTCCATTTACATTTAAAGTTAATATTGTTATGTGTGAATTTGATCCTGTCATTATGATGTTAGCTGGTTATTTTGCTCGTTAGTTGATGCAGTTTCTTCCTAGTCTCGATGGTCTTTACATTTTGGCATGATTTTGCAGTGGCTCGTACAATTTGTGCCTTTCCATGTTGAGTGCTTCCTTCAGGAGCTCTTTTAGAGCAGGTCTGGTGGTGACAAAATCTCTCAGCATTTGCTTGTCTGTAAAGTATTTTATTTCTCCTTCACTTATGAAGCTTAGTTTGGCTGGATATGAAATTCTGGGATGAAAATTCTTTTCTTTAAGAATGTTGAATGTTGGCCCCAACTCTCTTCTGGCTTGTAGAGTTTCTGCCAAGAGATCCTCTGTTAGTCTGATGGGCTTCCCTTTGAGGGTAACCCGACCTTTCTCTCTGGCTGCCCTTAACATTTTTTCCTTCATTTCACCTTTGGTGAATCTGACAATTATGTGTCTTGGAGTTGCTCTTCTTGAGGAGTATCTTTGTGGCATTCTCTGTATTTCCTGAATCTGAATGTTGGCCTGCCTTGCTAGATTGGGGAAGTTCTCCTGGATTATATCCTGCAGAGTGTTTTCCAACTTGGTTCCATTCTCCCCGTCACTTTCAGGTACACCAATCAGACGTAGATTTGGTCTTTTCACATAGTCCCATATTTCTTGGAGGCTTTGCTCATTTCTTTTTATTCTTTTTTCTCTAAACTTCCCTTCTCGCTTCATTTCATTCATTTCATCTTCCATCGCTGATACCCTTTCTTCCAGTTGATCGCATCAGCTCCTGAGGCTTCTGCATTCTTCATGTAGTTCTCGAGCCTTGGCTTTCAGCTCCATCAGCTCAGGCCAGGGCAATTAGGCAGGAGAAGGAAATAAAGGGTATTCAATTAGGAAAAGAGGAAGTCAAATTGTCCCTGTTTGCAGATGACATGATTGTATATCTAAAAAACCCCATTGTCTCAACCCAAAATCTCCTTAAGCTGATAAGCAACTTCAGCAAAATCTCAGGATACAAAATCAGTGTACAAAAATCACAAGCATTCTTATACACCAATAACAGACAAACAGAATGGGAGTGAACTCCCATTCACAATTGCTTCAAAGAGAATAAAATACCTAGGAATCCACCTTACAAGGGATGTGAAGGACCTCTTCAAGGAGAACTACAAACCACTGCTCAATGAACTAAAAGAGGATACAAACAAATGGAAGAACATTCCATGCTCATGGGTAGGAAGAATGAATATCGTGAAAATGGCCATACTGCCCAAGGTAATTTATAGATTCAATGCCATCCCCATCAAGCTACCAATGACTTTCTTCACAGAATTGGAAAAAACTACTTTAAAGTTCATATGGAACCAAAAAAGAGCCCGCATCACCAAGCTAATCCTAAGCCAAAAGAACAAAGCTGGAGGCATCACACTACCTGACTTCAAACTATACTACAAGGCAACAGTAACCAAAACAGCATGGTACTGGTACCAAAACAGAGATCTAGATCAATGGAACAGAACGGAGCCCTCAGAAATAATGCCGCATATCTACAACTATCTGATCTTTGACAAACCTGAGAAAAACAAGCAATGGGGAAAGGATTCCCTATTTAATAAATGGTGCTGGGAAAACTGGCTAGCCATATGTAGAAAGCTGAAACTGGATCCCTTCCTTACACCTTATACAAAAATCAATTCAAGATGGATTAAAGACTTAAATGTTAGACCTAAAGCCATAAAAACCCTAGAAGAAAACCTAGGCAT
The DNA here is from genome assembly GCF_000001405.40 of Homo sapiens. Lineage (NCBI taxonomy): Eukaryota > Metazoa > Chordata > Mammalia > Primates > Hominidae > Homo > Homo sapiens. Next base: position 89,510,701 of record NC_000008.11, on the reverse strand, counting down.
TACCATTCAGGACATAGGCATGGGCAAGGACTTCAGGTCTAAAACACCAAAAGCAATGGCAACAAAAGACAAAATTGACAAAGGGGATCTAATTAAACTAAAGAGCTTCTGCACAGCAAAAGAAACTACCATCAGAGTGAACAGGCAACCTACAAAATGGGAGAAAATTTTCGCAACCTTCTCATCTGACAAAGGACTAATATCCAGAATCTACAATGAACTCAAACAAATTTACAAGAAAAAAACAAACAACCCCATCAAAAAGTGGGCGAAGGACATGAACAGACACTTCTCAAAGGAAGACATTTATGCAGCCGAAAAACACATGAAGAAATGCTCACCATCACTGGCCATCAGAGAAATGCAAATCAAAACCACAATGAGATATCATCTCACACCAGTTAGAATGGCGATCATTAAAAAGTCAGGAAACAACAGGTGCTGGAGAGGATGTGGAGAAATAGGAACACTTTTACACTGTTGGTGGGACTGTAAACTAGTTCAACCCCTGTGGAAGTCAGTGTGGCGATTCCTCAGGGATCTAGAACTAGAAATACCATTTGACCCAGCCATCCCATTACTGGGTATATACCCAAAGGACTATAAATCATGCTGCTATAAAGACACATGCACACGTATGTTTATTGCGGCACTATTCACAATAGCAAAGACTTGGAACCAACCCAAATGTCCAACAATGATAGACTGGATTAAGAAAATGTGGCACATATACACCATGGAATACTATGCAGCCATAAAAAATGATGAGTTCATGTCCTTTGTAGGGACATGGATGAAACTGGAAATCATCATTCTCAGTAAACTATTGCAAGAACAAAAAACCAAACACCGCATATTCTCACTCATAGTTGGGAATTGAACAATGAGAACATATGGACACAGGAAGGGGAACATCACACTCTGGGGACTGTTGTGGGGTGGGGGGAGAGGGGAGGGATAGCATTGGGAGAGATACCTAATGCTAGATGACGAGTTAGTGGGTGCAGCGCACCAGCATGGCACATGTATACATATGTAACTAACCTGCACATTGTGCGCATGTACCCTAAAACTTAAAGTATAATAAAAAAAAAAAACCAGTAATTGGTGAAGAAAGTAAAAAGGGTATATAACAGAACTTGCCTATTTGGGTGGGGAATGGTGTATACTACAATCAAGCAAGCTCTCTTCTGTAAAGAAGGGACTTTTAAAGTGAGACCTAATTAATGAAAAGCAAGCAGTCATGCAAAAAGCTGAGGAGGAGCATCCTACGAAGAGAAAACAGCACGTTCCAAGGCCAGCTTGACTGGATCCTGTTTGGTAGGAGGAATAAGGCCAGTGGTGTTGGCAAGACACAGAGTTAAATTAAGAATATTTTTTCTTCTTTTTTTTTTTTTTTTTTTTTTTGAGACGGAGTCTCGCTCTGTCGCCCAGGCTGGAGTGCAGTGGCGGGATCTCAGCTCACTGCAAGCTCCGCCTCCTGGGTTCACGCCATTCTCCTGCCTCAGCCTCCCAAGTAGCTGGGACTACAGGCGCCCGCCACTACGCCCGGCTAATTTTTTATATTTTTAGTAGAGACGGGGTTTCACCGTTTTAGCCGGGATGGTCTCGATCTCCTGACCTCGTGATCCACCCGCCTCGGCCTCCCAAAGTCCTGGGATTACAGGCGTGAGCCACCGTGCCCGGCCTATTTTTTCTTCTTAACTGAAATAAATCACAAATCAATTCCTCAACCAATGTGCAATTATTTATTTTAAACTCCCTATGCATTGAGTGAGTCCCTTGGGAGACAGAAAATAGTAAGTTTCTTTTAAAAATAATTTTCAAATATTTCAAATCTATAGAATGTACAGAAACTAATAATATAATTAATGTTCACCAGATTTAAGAGACATAACCTGTTCATATTTGACATTACTTCTTCAGATTCCTTTTCAGAAATAAAATGTTACAGATATACTTGAACTTTTTTGTATGCCCTTACACTATTCCCTTTCCTTTTAAGAGGTAATTACCATTGAGAAGTTTATATTTTTATAAACTATCCCTTCATAATTTTATAAACCTTTCTTTGTGGTAAGATATAGACATAGAGAAATGGCAAAACCCAAAAATATATGAATCATATTCCAAAGTGCCATTTAATCATCATTCAAGCAAAGAAAGAAGAATGTCAAGACAGAGAAGAACCCACCATATACTTCCTGAACATCATTCCCTCCTTTCACCCAGAAGTACATTATCCTGACTTTAATAATCCTTGCTTTCAAGCTTCTGTAAAGTATTCTCACCAGTAAGTTACCTTTTCCTGTTTCATGTAAATGTAATTGTATAGTTTGTAGAGATTTTGTCTGGCTTATTTTCTTCAACATATTTGTGAAATTCGTCTGTGTTGTTACATTACATGTCATTGCAGTTTGTTAATCTTCATTGCTGTAAATATTTGTTTGTATGCAATAACACTAACCTTTCTAATGTTGATTGACATTTGGATTTCTTTCAGTTTTTTGACTATTACAAAGAACACAGCTATACATATTCTTGTACATAACTCTTGGTTGCATAGGTGCTCTCATTATTGTTGGATATACACCTAGGAGTGAAATTGTTAATTTATAGGATATGTCTATCCTGAAATTTAGTAGAACCTTCTGAATTGTTCTACAAAGTGGTTGTGCACATTTATATTTCCACCAGCAGTGTAAGTAATTTTATTGTTCCATGTCCTTACCAACTCTTGATATTTCAGTTCTTTCAATTTCAGCCATTCTGGGGGGTGTTTTTTTTTTATCTCTCTCTGGTTTTAATTTGTATTTCTTTGGGACTAATGATCTTAAAGTCATTTTCATATGCTTATTGACTATTTGGACATCCTCTTTTGTAAAGTGTCTGATTGAGTCTTATTATTTTATTGTATTTATGTTATGTTATTTTATTATTTTTTGAGACAGGGTCTCACATTGTTACCCAGGGTAGAGTGCAGTCATGCAATTATTGCTCACTGTAACCTCAGATGCCTGGGCTTAAGTGATCCTCCTGCCTCAGCCTCCCAAGTGGCTAGGAGTACAGGTGTGCACCACCACACCTGACTAACTTTTTAATTTTTTGTAGAGACGGGGGTCTCACTATTTTGCGCAGGCTGGTCTTGAACTCCTGGCCTCGAGTATCCTCGTGCTTTAGCCTCCCAAAGTGCTGAGTTTGTAGGCAGGAGCCACCATGCTTGGTCTGTTTTCTTATTGATGTGTAGGATTCTTCACATTTTGTAGAAAAATTTTAGGTTACTAGATATTGAAACTATTTCCTTCTACTCTGTAGCTTGTCATTTTACTCTCTTAATGGCATCTTTTGATGTTGCCCAAATTATCAGTCTTTCCCTTTATGATTAGTACTTTCATGTTCTGTTTAAGAAGAGTTTTCTTATTCCCAAATTATGAAGATATGCTCCTATGTTATCTTCTATACATTTTTATTGCTCTGTCTTTCACATATAGAACTATAATCCACCTGGAATTGATTTTATAAAATGTTTATTTTTGTGAACAGTGTAAGGTGGGTGTTACGTTTTACTTTTTTCCTTGTGTGGGTAGCCATTGTCGCAGCATTAGATATTGAAAAGACTTCCTTCACTGCTCTGCCTTTACCTGTATTGTAAATCAAATATCCTTATATATGTGTGTTAGTTTCTGTTCGTTCTGTCCCATTGGTCTGTGTATTCTTATGCCCATATCACATTATCTTATTGCAGCTCTATCATTTTTGATATTTGGCAAAGCAGATTCTCTCTTCTTGCTCTTCTTTTTTTAAGATTGTTGTGATTGTTCTCAGTGTATACACCCATACACCAGTACCTCTGCACACACAGATTTTAATTGAGAGACTGCTCTAAAATTATAGGCACATTTAGGGACATCTGATATCTATATAATAATTAATTTTGAAGTTCACAAACATGGTATATTCTTTGATTTATTTAAGCCCTCTTTAAAATTAAAGAATTTCTAAATGTGCCATTATTCTTTTAGAGTTTTCTAGATAGAGGTCTTTTGCCTCCTTTGTTAGAGCTATTCATTCCTAGGTATTTGATATTTTTGATGTTATTGGAAGTGTTCTTTTTTCAGTTCATTTTCTAACTGTTTGTTACTAATAAATAGAAATGTATTCGATGCTACATTGACCTTGTATTCACAAATCTTAGTACTCTTGTTTATTAATTGTAATAGTTTTTTAATATAATCTTTGGGATTATTGACAGATAATATCAGTATATCTTCTTCAGTTCTAATCTTTGAGTGGAGGTTGTCATATCAGATATCCTTGTATTATTTCTGACCTCAAAAAGGAAGTTTGTAACATTTTACTATTTTCATTAATATGAGTTTATCAGAGAAACATTTTCTGAGTTCTTATTTTTCTTCACACATCATTAATATACTTCCATTTTGAAAAACATTTTCACTGGATATAGATTTCTATGTTGGAAGGTATTTTCTTTTCTGTCATTTTCATTTGAACGTAGCATTCAATTGTCTTCTGGGCCCCATTGTTTTTATTGAAAAGTCCACTGTTATTCCTTTGAGGGAAACATTCTTTCCACCTTATCTCCTAGCTTTGGCTACTTAAGATTTCTACTTATGTTTTCAGCACTTATACTATTATGTTATTGGGTACAGGCTTTTTTTTTTTTTTTTCAATTGTGTGCTTGGGATTTATATGGCTTTTTTGATCTCTGGATTAAGGTCTTCAGTTTTGGAATCATTTATATTAAACAGTTCTCCTTTTTTTTCTTCTTTATCTCACTGACTCCAATTACATGTATTTTAGATCATATCACTGTTTTCTCTCTGTCTCAACTCCTATTCTTTATCTTCCTCTCTCTTTTCTTCATGCCTGATAACTCCAACAGCTGTAGTATAATTTGACCTGTTTTCACTACCTGTTTCTACTAGTTTTCATTCAGGCAGTTTTGTTCCCTTTGGTGCCTGGTTACTTTTTATTATATACTACTGTACTCAAAATTGTTTATAGATTTTATCTTTATTCAGAGAGAACTTGTGTTTGTACCTATAGGTGCCTTGGAGACACTAGCAATCATGGATCAACCTAAACAATTTCCAGAATTGACACAATTCAAGCAAAACTGCCGATTTCTACAAGGACCTGTGTACTTTTAGTTTATCTGTACTTTAAGGGTAAAGCACCTGGGGGATCCAGTCCAAACCTAGATAGATCCACCAGCTTTCCTGACCTGCTCTCTAATGGGGGATCCTTGGACCCCAATTTTTGTTTCACTAGCACAGCAAATCTGTTAAGAACAATCTTCTATAATCAGCAAATGCCCTTGACATAAAGAAGCTGAAATTCTGCTTTTTTTTTCCAGACCTCCTTCTTCTTTGGTTCTTGGTCCAGTAACTTTGTAATATTTTCTTATCGTCTCTATTACCATACACATATTTTAAAAATATTTTCTACAGTTTTTCCTGGTTTCCTCAGTGGGATAATTGGTTTGAGGAAGTTAAAGTTTGCTCTATTCACAGTTCATGCCACGTACCATATGCTTCAAAACTTGAATGTCTACTACTTACCAGAACCTAATCTGGAAATTTGGGTTATATCATTGAAAAACTAATTCTTTGTGATTGAAATTTTACAATCTGTTTAACTATTGAAATTATATATTTAAATCATTTGAAATATTACTAAGTGTTATGGATAAATAGAGGAAAATAAGGGAATTTGGGAATAGGCCACTACTTTCACAACTGTTCTTTGAATTTTATGAAAATCCTGGAATATAGGTGAGCATTTGTAGATAGAAACTGATTATCAGAGATCATAAATACTTTAACTAAAGTGACAGATTTAGTGGCTAGTTAGGAATTGGCAGGAATTAGAACTCAAGTCCATTTTTGTCCTTAACATTTCATTGTCTCTCCTGACTTTGAAGATAATTACTGAGCATGCTAAATATCTTTCATATAAATATTCATTCTTCTGCTGAAACCATGACCAGGTAACTGTACTATGGGAGATGAAAAATTATTATTAATTTTTCTAATAAAATTGAACTTGAGGCATAATTAGGTTGTATATTAGAAAATTTTAGAAAGGAAATATAAAAAGAAAGACATGGTTTCAAATCTGGCATTGCCACTCATTAGCTGCATGACCTTGGAAAATTTATTTAAGTTCCCTGAACTTGTATTCCTAAGCTCTGGAGTAACACCACCCAACTCTGCAGGTGAACATATGAATCATAGGAATTATATTAGATAATACATGAAAAGCACTGCAGTGTAATGGAGAGTCTGGCTGATCTTTGTCCACTGTTTCTGAGAGGTGGCCTCTCAATCCTTGGGATTGTTCAAGTGAGAGGAGCATATTTGTTATTCTTGGTAGGTTCTGATAGTTTATACTAACAAGGTGGCTTACGGTAGGCCCCTAGATATTTAAAGCTAATGAGATGACTCAGGATAGGGGCCGATCACACAGAAATACCAACCATGTGATTAAAGCATTGGGGCTTTGAGACAACAAACATACGTGAAAATGTTCACCATCACTAATCATCAGAGAAATGCAAATCAAAGCCACAATGAGAAACCACTTCACACCAGACAGAAGGGTTTTTGTGTCAGCAAGGCTACACTGTTGGTGGGAACGTAAATTAGTTCAGTCACTGTGAAAAGCAGTTAGGAGATTCCTCAAGGAACTGAGAGTTGAACTACTCTTCAACCTAGCAATCTCACTACTGGGTATATAGCCAATGGAAAATAAATTATTCTACCAAAAAGACACGTGCACCCGTATTTTCATCACAGCATTATTCACAATAGAATATTACATGGGTTGACATGAAATTAACCCAGTTTCCCATCAGTAGTAGTGGATAAAGAAAATATGGTACATATACACTGTAGAACACTATGTAGCCATAAAAGGGAAAAAAATCATGTCCTTTGTGGCAACATAAATGCAGCTGGAAACTATTATCCTAAGTAAACTAACACGGAAACAGAAAAGTGAATACCCCATGTTCTCACTTATAAGTGAAAGTTAAACATTGGGTACTCATGGGCATAAAAATGGGAATAATAGCCACTGGAGAATATAAGGAGGGGACTGGAAAGGAAGGGGATAAGAATTGAAAAAAACTACCTATTGGGTACCTATGCCGGCTACATGGGTGGCAGTTTCATTTGCACTACCAACTTCAGCATCACACAAGGTACTTTGGTTATAAACCTGCACATGTACTTAACCCCCTTATTCTAAAATAAAAGTTGAAAAAAATAAAAACAAAAACAATTGGGATTTTGAGTCACATAATGTTAGCCTAATCTCCAGGGAGAATTCAGACTGGAGACTGAATTCAACCTCATGGTCAATGATTCAGCCAATCCTACCTACATAATAAAGCCCCAATACAATCTCTAGAATCTGAAGCTCAGGTGTATTAGTCTGTTCTCACGCTGCTAATAAAGACATACCTGAGACTGGGTAATTTATAAAGGAAGGAGGTTTAATGGACTCATGACCGGGGAGGCCTCACAATCATGGCAGAAGACAAAGAAAGAGCAAAGGGATGTCTTACCTGGCGGTGGGCAAGAGAGAGCTTGTGTAGGGGAACTCCCATTTATAAAACCATCAGATCTCATGAGACTTACTCATTACCATGAGAACAGCATGGGAAAGACCTGCCCCTTGATTCAATTACCTCCCACCAGCTCCTTCCTACAACAAGTGGGAATTATGGGAGCTACAATTCAAGATGAGATTTGGGTGGGGTCACAGACAAACCATATCATCAGGTGAGATTTCTGTGCTCTGTATTGTATTGTACGGTGCTTTTGGTGGATTGCCACACATTGATGTGTTGGGATGTGTCCTGACACCAAAAGGAAAGACAATGGACACTTTGCATTTAGGATACCCCAAACTTTGCCCGTCTCTCGTGTTGGCTGGTTCTGATTTGGCTGGTTCAGTTTTGCTACAATAAAACTGTAATTGTAAGAATAGTACTTTCCTAAATTCTATAAATTATGCCAGCAAATTGTTGAAACTGAAAGGGTAGTGAGAACCCCTGAATTAATAGCCATCTGGTCAGAAGTGAGGGTGGCATATGGACCTTTGAACTTGTGCTGGTGTCTGAAGTGGGGATAGTCTCATGTAGGACTGTTCTCTTAACCTGTGAAGTTTGGCCTAACTCTGGGTAATCTGTGTCAGAAGTCATTTCAATCACTTATTATAGTGTTCAGAAAATAATAGGTGGTAACTTAGTAGGTACTATAATTGGTAATCAGAAATTAATATAAGAATAGATGCACAGTCACTGCCACATAAGGGACATTTAAGTTTATAAATGCATTTAAGTTAGTGAATAATTAATGAATTTACTGAAAATAAATTTCATAAAGTTAAAACATATAATCACTGAATATTTTAAAACCTGTACTCTTGGGTGGTTTGAGTGACAGAAGTTTGAAAACTGATCTTCCATTATGTGATATCATATTTATTACAAGAGCAATTCTTCTGGGATTGCCTTCTTGTAAACTATACTTTTAAAGTCTTTATTTGAATTCTTGTCAGGTCCTTAACATTCATGGAGAAACTTCTCTGTGTTAAGCATAATGCTTAGACAGAGATGTAAAGTCAAATAAGACAAGATCTCTTCACTCCAAGGCTCATTATTTAGTGGGAGAAGCAGGCATATTAATTTGCAACTCTAATAGGGTGGACTGTAATAAGTGTTTTAGCAGTTACAAGCAAAATGCTATGGGAGTACAGGGGAAGAAAATAATGTCAGATAATAAGACTCTACTAAAACAGGCTTATATTTTTGACGCAAGGCAAACATTGCAAATGAAATTCTTCTTCTTCTTCTTTCTTTTTGAGACGAAGTCTCACTCTGTTGCCCAGGCTGGAGCGCAGTGGCATGGTCTCAGCCAACCTCCACCTCCCGGATTCAAGCGATTCTCCTGCCTCAGCCTCCCGAGTAGCTGGGATTACAGGTGCCTGCCACCACGCCCGTCTAATTTTTTGTGTTTTTAGTAGAGACGGGGTTTCACCATGTTGGCCAGGCTGGTCTCGAACTCCTGACCTCATGATCCACCTACCGCAGCCTCCCGAAGTGCTGGGATTACAGGCATGAGCCACCATGCCCGGCCCAAAATTCTTCTTTAACATGCTTTTGAGATTTTCTTCCCTTTTCTACTGTGCTACACATGTTCAAGTACATCATGGATTCTTAATCTGTGGTTCTCAGGTAATCTGTGGTCCTTTTTCCTTCTATTTCTTTTCTCTTACTTTGAAAGTCGAGGTGGAAAGATCCTTATTTATTCTAAATTATATATATATATATATTTATTTATTATACTTTAAGTTTTAGGGTACGTGTGCATAACGTGCAGGTTTTTTACATATGTATACATGTGCCATGTTGGTAGGCCGCACCCATTAACTGGTCATTTACATTAGGTATATCTCCTAGTGCTATCTCTCCCCCCTCCCCCCACCCCACAACAGGCCCCGGTGTGTGATGTTCCCCTTCCTGTGTCCAAGTGTTCTCACTAAATTATATTTTACAACTATAATTTAACTTTCAACAAATGATAGGAGAAAGGAATATAGGAATGATGCAATGGATACTAGTTATCCATTCCATGATTTGTGTCTGAAACACTTTGTTGTTGAGGAAAATTGAACATATTTGACCCCATCATTATAATTGGGAACATAGATCTTTGTTTACAACAGGCTAGTTTAAGATGGAATATGTCAAACTTGAGAGAATGGTGGTCAAAAGCTGCAGTGCTTCTGGTGTGACCATATTCCTCCAAATAAAAATAGGAAGCCACAAAAGCTAGAAAAATGTCTTACATTGACCATCTGAAAATAAACTCAACTATACTAATCAGTTTTGTAAAAAATGCTGTCAATTCAGTGCATCCAAGCATAAGGATCAGACGGTATCATATTATGTTGTTACGAACTGAATGTTTATATCCTCCTTAATTCCTAATGTGATGGTATTTGGAGATGGTGCTTTTGGGAGGCAACTATGTCATCAGGTGGAACTCTTGTGATGAAATTAGTGCCCTTATAAGAAGAGACATGAGAGGGTTTGCTTCCCCTCTCTCTCTCCACCACGTGAGGATATAAAAAGAGAACCATATGCAAACCAGGAAGAGTGGCTTCACCAGACACTGGATCTGACAGTGCCTTGATCTTGTAAATCCCAGTTTTTAGAACTGTGAAAAATAAAATTCTATTGTATAAGCCCCACAGTCCATGGAATTTTTTATATAGGAGCCAAAACTGACTAAGGCACAGGCCTATAATTGGACTTTTCTCTACATCTCCAGATTTGTCTTTCAGGAGCGTTCTAATCATGGCCTTCACTTTCTAGTCCTGCTTTTCCCAGAAGGGAAGAGGTGTTTCCAAGGGTGTTCTGCATTCTTTGTCTAGAATGTCCTTTACATGTTGGTCTTCCTGACGAACACCTACACATGTTTCAAGACCCATAGATGTTGGCTCCTCTTTGAATCTTTCCTGTTACCTCTTAGAATGAACTCTGCAGTAGGCAGCTTATGAAATGGCTCTCAATGGTACCCACCTTCTGGCATGCACACTCTTGTACAATCCCCTCTCCTTGAGGCTGGATTAGTAACTTGCTTCCAACAAATAGAATACAGGAGAAATGTTGGGATGACATATTCGACATTAAGTTTATAAAACTTGGACTCTCCTATCCTACTTAATTCTGATCCTACTCCTAGCAGTTTCTCTGGAGTATGGAGATTTTCTCTGGGAGAAAACCCTAGAAAATCCATTTTGAAAGTTCACATGTGCTAGAATATTTCATTTCCTTTAAACTTTTCTTGAATTCATTTATTTTATTCATTTTCTGTTGTTCTCAATTAGTCCTGTGTTGCTTTCCAGACTTTTGACTATTTGGGAGTTCTCTTGTTCTTGGATTCATCAGGCATCCTTTTGTTTCCTGCTTTCTCCTGCAAGACCAATATCATGCAGGACTTCTGGCTATTGAAGGTTTGTCTCCACTTACTTTCATTTTGACAATGGATACCTCATCCTTTAGATTTTTTTTTGTAATTATTGTCCAGTAGTTTTTGGTTTTGCTATCTAGCTCCCTGCGGATCTTGGCAGATCCAAAAATGACAATGCTTCCACTGCTGCCAGCAATCCAGAATTTCCCACTGGCTTTATCTTTTGATATAAGTACCTCAGTTTTATTCTAGGTAACTAAAACTCTTCCTTACTCTCAGTCCACCTGCTTCTGAAGGTATTGGCTCCATTCCCAGTCTCTAGAGCTGGGTATATATTTCAAGCCTGGCAAATTAAAACAAAATTGTATTTTCTAACAGTGACTGGTTCAATCGCAAACAGGTAAACCCAAAAGGCATAGGACTTTTATTCAAACTATTGAGAAACACATATATTCTATTTGATTTTTACAAATTTGAATTAGTTGGCAACCACGTGCAGTCCAAGAACGATGTAGAGTAGTGCAAAACTAGGGGCAAAGAAAGACCAACTCCTGGCAATATCCTTAGGACCTCTTGATCAAGCTGTCACTGAAGAAATTATGCCCCTATGTTTTCAATTATCTAAGCCAATATATACCTTCCAAAAGTAAATTTGATTGTGGTTTTCTTTCACTTATAACTAAAATGGTCCTGAATGACATGAGCTTATATCATTCTATACCTCAGAATTTGGAATTTTTCCTGTGGTTTATGGGATGGCATGTAAAGATTTTCCCATAGGGAAGGAGCCAGATTACATTTAAACTTTAGAAAACCACATTAATAGTAGTGCAAAAGTTCTACGACAGTAAAATAGCTACATACAGAGAAACTAGTAAGGATGTTAATTCAGTCATCTAAAAAGCAGAAGATGAAGATTCAAAGGAAGGCCCTGACAATAGGAAGGAAGAAAAAAGCAGAGGTGAAACATTTCTGGAGACAAAATTCACAGGACTTAATGAGCAATTGGATGATGAAAAAAGCAAAAAGGAGGCATTGAAATTGAAAAATACTTGGCAATGTTTAAATGGGGGATGGGATAAATACCCGTTTTTAACTAATCATGAAATTGTTGAGTACTAAGAGAAACAGAAAAGGGAGGGATAACTTAAGATTTTTCTTCTTCATAGGTGAAGCAATATTTAGCTGACAATTTATTTATTTCTATATAAATTTATTGTAATTATTATTTTTGAGATGGATTCTTGCTCTGTCACCCAGGCTGAAATGCAGTGGTGCAATATTGGCTCACTGCAACCTCCGCCTCCTGGGTTCAAGCGATTCTCCTGCCTCAGCCTCCTGAGTAGCTGGGATTGCAGATGCGTGTCACCGTGCCTGGCTAATTTTTGTATTTTTAGTAGAGACAGGGTTTCACCATGTTGGCCAGGCTGATCTCAAAGTCCTGACCTCAAGTGATCTGCCCGCCTTGGCTTCCTAAAGTGCTGAGATTACAGGTGTGAGCTACCACACCTGGCCTTATTTCTATAGAAATATATTATTATATACATTCTACATTGCAGAAAACTGGTTCTTAGAGAACTGTAGTATCCCAAGCTATTATTATATAAATGTCATTATTATAAATGACATTTAAGGATTCAATATAAATGGAAGAAAACTATGTATAACATGCACGACAGAATCCGGTGCAACCCAGTAAATGATCCAGATAGAGGAAAATCATCATATAAAGAATAGTTGGGAAAAGTTGACGCAGAGGTAGAATTGAATTGACTCAGAAGAACTAGCAGGAATTGGTTGAATGGAGAGCAGTCAAGAGGAGCTTTCAGATTGGAGAGGCCATAATAAAGTGATTATATAATGTATGATTCAATTCAGGCTTCAGGCCACTCTTAAGAGTGAAAGTGGTGCTATTAGTAATTATACTTGGACATGAGGCATAAAATGAGACTGTCACAGGCAAACAGAGACACTGGTTGCCCCATCCCTGAGAAGATGATGTAGGCAATGCATGGAGGCAGAACTGAATCTCCAGTCCTCAAGGCACAGAGAAAGTGGAGTCCATCTGCTTCAAGGGGTCCCAGAAGATGTCATGGTTAACAACATTTCTGATGAGCAAGTTCATGGGCCAGTGGTAACAGGCCTTAACTTCCAGTTAAGGAGTTCTATTTCTCTTTCTGTAGGGTGAAGAACAGATTGGAGGCAGGAGAAATGACTAAGCACACAGTCTGCTTGTTTGATTGAGCCTGAGTGACAAAAAGCATAAACGAACCAAGTATCCCTTCTAGGTATAATCAATTAGGTTGGTAAAGCCTGAAGGAGGCTCTCCAGTGATGCTGCCACCTCCCAGGAGGGATACCATGTTGATGTCTCAGAAGTAATGTGAGCTGGTGGAGAGATCCCTGATGCTATTACTAACCAGCCACACTATCTTGAACAAGTCACTTCATCTTTTTGTGCTTTACCTAATGCTAGCAAGAGCTTGTACTTATTGAATTCTTATTATGATCTAGCCTCTGGATTATTACATTTGTTACTTGCATGAGCTGACTTTCATGAGCTCATGGCAATACTCCTATAAATGCACGTGCTATGATATTTTGCCTATTTTTTTACAGATGGGGAAAGGGTGGCTTAGAGAAACCAAATATGACTTGCTCAACAAATAACTTCTAAGGAATAACATGGAATCAGGTTCAAATCTTCTTGGCCCCCAAGTCCATGCTCCTAACCACATGTGAAGATTTCATCTTCATCTGTGGAAATGGGGATAACAAAGACATGCGCAACCCCCATAGCTGGGCTCTTGGGGGCTCAGTGAGATAATTTATGGTCAACATAGTGTCCAAAATCCAGGATTCCTGTCCCAGAACAAGGGTCTGGGGCTTATTCTTATTCAGTTTAGCCACCGAGTACTGGTAAGGGGATCCTCACTGCCTTTCCCCTGCCGGTCCCGGGGATCCCTCTTTAGGTTTGTAAGTGTTCTGGGGTACTAGGCTTGGAAATGTTCTAGTTGCCGTGTAAAGTCATCACTCCTGGTGGGCAGTCAATAGACAAATCACTTCATACACCTGAAAAATACTTAGGCTTTTTCTCAGGCCAGAGCCTTTCCTTCTCCCCAGACTCCCAGAGCCCCAGCTGATCATCAAATAAACTTGCTCCTCCTCAGTAATTCCCTCACCAAACTCTATTTTTTCACATGAATTTTCTCCACCTCTAAAACCGTCTATTTTCATTTGCTTTTATAAAAGGCCTTGTTTTGCCATTAAACTCAGAGTTAGAACTAGTATCAGGCTAAAAACTGGTTTTATTTCTTTGAAGTTAAGAAAAGCTTAAGCTTCAAACATTCTTAGGAAGTGTGGGGAAAATATATATGTATACATTCTAACTTTCTAATGCAGCACAGAATAGATATATGAGCAAAAGTGTTGTTTTCATAATAAAGAAGGTTGAATGCTCATACCCTGTCACATAAATAACAGTGCTTTGAAAACTGCAAAGTCATCCAGAAATGTAAAGAAATATAAGAACAGTTGAATCACCCCCCCAAGACTTGGTGAATGTTACTGAAGTATTCTCATTTAGTGGTAGTTTCCAAATTTCTTTGTCCATGTGAACCACAGAAATTGTGTTAGGCAGATAACAGGCACACACATCTTGTGATTAACTAGAGGAGTCCTTAATAATGACGTGTAATTCTTCAGGTGAACATACTGGTTAACAAATATACAATGTAGAACGATACTCAATGGTTCACCAAAATTTTACACATATTAACTCTTTATATACCTATTTAGAAACTAACGTATTAGGATAATTGTCCAAATTACATTAATAGTTTCAGTGCATTTTTTTTTTTGTTTTGAGTGGGCATGAACTGTTATCTTAAAAAGAAAAAAGTTGAACTAAAAAGACATTGAAAACAAAATATCCATTTTTGCCATAGATGTTAAAAATGGAATAATCAAATATAAGATGAAATAAATATTCATGAGTCATGATCCAGCTTTTTCACTGTATGGGAAACTGATATATCTCTATGGTAACAATAAAACAGCCATCCAGGAATGAGCACTTGTGTGCCTGTGTGTGTGTGTGTGTGTGTGTGTGTGTGGTGTGTGTTTTCATGAACATATAATTTCAGAAGCATATGATTAGGAATAAGCAAGAAACTGAAATGAGTCGCCTGTAAGATCTGTAAGATCAGCTGAAGTAAAGGAAAACAGTTGAACAAAATAAAAATCTAAGAGGACTGATGAAGAAATAATTTCAGAGGTGACCAAGAAAATGTATATTTATGCAGAAAGAAATGAAAACTTCATCCACGGGTAGGAGGAATTTTCTATTATGAAAACTGGGGCTTCTCTCTCAAGTCTGTGAGGCAGAGCAGAAAAGTTCAAGAAAGTACAAGAAAGAATGATGGGTAAATTGATCAAGGCCACAGAGCTAACAGCAGAGCTTCAACTTTATCCCATGATGTCAGAGAGGAGTTTCTTGGTCCCGGGGTTGCTGGTTTGAGTCAGGCAAGGAGAAGCAAAAAGGTGCAGCAATTGGATTTGGACAGGTTTACTAACCTTTGTAGGTCACCTAGGTTCTGGCTAGCAGGGTAAAGGCAAAGAAGTATTGTTTGTAATTTGAGTCCCTCAGGTAGTATTAGGAAAACAGGGGGTATGGCAGGCTTGAGAATCACATGGCCATGTAGCAATACTCTCTAGTTGCTGCAAGGGAGTTCAGAGGAGGTCAGGCACCTGGAATCCTGACAGCTGTTGGGGGCAATTGCAGCCCTATGGAGGAGCAAGACTGGGCTCCCGTTCTGCACTCATCTTCCCAGCCAGCACCTTTGGATTTGAGGAACTTCCGAGGTCCTTTCATCGGTAGAAACCTCCACTAGACAGGTAAGGAATTCAAGAAGATCCAAATTTTCTGGGCAGCATAGTGAAACGGGAGAGGTCCCTTTTTCCCCTCACAGGGCATGTGACAGGGGTGTAGCTGGCTTCTTTGGTGCCCTGCTGCTCATACCCCTAGGGGAGCATGCAGATGGGCAGCTGCAGAAGTTGTGGAGAGCGTTTTTGGGCTCTGACCCTATGGCAGCGTCTAGGAGTGAGTGTTTACAACTCCTGGAGCCCAAGTGGATGTGTGTTGCAGTATGTCCTTTCAGCCTTGCTGTCTGCAGGCAGCTTGTGTTAATCAGCTCAATTAGACCCTTTGCCTTAGCAATGACAGAGGGCTTTTTTTTATCCTGGGTTCTTGCCCTAGTATACTGGAAAAATTGGATCACACATGGGCTTGGAGGATGAGTGCAAGGTTTTACTGAGTGGTGGAGGCAGCTGTCAGTGAGAGAGACGGGGAGCCAGAAGGGAGATGGAGTGGGAAGGTGGTCTTCCCCTGGAGTTGGGCTGCTCAGTGGCCAGACTCACATCTGACTGCTCCTGGCTGAATTCCCCTTGGTGTCCACGTTGTTCCACTGTTGCTGGCCTGCCAGTGTCTGCTGGTGTCTGTAGATGTGTTCTGTTCCTCTCAACAGCTGCTTGTGTCTGTGCTGGCTAGGTTCCTGGGTTTTTATGGGCACAGGGTGGGGGATGTAGCAGGCCAAAAGGCAATCTTTTGGGCATGAAAACAGAAACACCTGTCCTCATTTAGGTCCATGGGCACAGGCCCAAGGGTGGAGCCCTTGCCAGGGACCCTGCCTTTCTCTACCCAGCACTTCCGTGCCCCCCTCCCATATTAACAGGATTTCAGTCCTTGCTGGCCTTTGTGTTACCACTGATGGTTCTGAAAGAGTTGTCAGGAAGCATGGTTGTAGAGATTCCAATCTTACTGCCTTGTTTTCCTTCACTTTTATTACTATCCAAGTGAAGAGCATTGCCCTAAGTTATAATAGCATCACAGAACATGGATGTTTTTGCATATTTCTTCCTTCTTAAAAAAATAAAAAGAATGAGAGAATTACATGAGGATGATTTGATAGTCTTTTATTAGACAAATTTACATTTTTATGGAATCGCCTCTACATTACTTAAAAAACTAAAATTATGCTGGAAAGTTGATAATAAAATGCTATCCAGAAATGATGTATTTGCATTTAATCCTTCTTTTTCTTTCATCACGATTATACACTGTTGTTCTTGGTGTCTCTAGTCCAGAATTTCTGTGGACTAATTTCTCAGAGACTAGACATCTGGTTTTCTGGGGAAGTTGGAAATGGGTATTAACCTGGCTGTGCAGGTCAAGGAGAGGGACAGGAAGCAAGAGGTCTGGTTATGTATATTTTTCAACAATTTCCCAGCTCCAAAGCTCACTATGGCCAACCAATGTGCCTGGTGTTGTCTCAAGTTCCACATTTTTCCAGTGATCCAATGGGAAAAGCCCACTTTTCAGCATCGTCTCCCACTGTAAGCGCCTAAGTTTCAATTTCCATTTACCTACAAATTCAGTTGCCACTCCACGATTTGCTTTCCACATCTTAACATTTGGTGATACTTTTCACTAACTCTTGTCCCCTTTCATTTTTCCTTTGTTTTTAGGATTTATACCTTTTTGTATAGTATTGACATTTAATATTATTTCCATTGGGAACATAGATGAACGCAATTTGACTGGAAGTCTAAACGGATGTTCTATATACTATATTGTGGAATAACAAATTAGAAAAGCTAGGAGAATATTTAGGAAAATATTTGCTAGATTTCTTTTCTCTAGTCCCTGAATTTTGCAGCAGGTAGCATTCATCTCTCAGTTTTCCATTACCAGTCATTTATTTGTCCTTATATTCTGTCACCAATCTTTTTCTTCAGCTAGGGAAAATCAGGAACCCAGTTCAAATTTTTCTCTTGATCTCTAGAGTCATGAATATCCAACTATCTTCAGGCCTTTCCACTTGGAAGTCCCAGAGGACATTCAGAACTAAAATATTCCAGTTTGGCTCACCTCCATTTAATTGTCCCCCAACCTGCTTCTGTACTCTTGCTTTGTTTGCTTCCTAGGCAAATGGTGCGATTATTCATCCAGTTTTCAGAGATAGGTAACTGGGACTTATCCTTATCTCCTGTCTCACTGCTGACTGCCCTCCCTTGTCACCCTGCCCCAACACATTCAACCAACCCTAACTCCTCCTATCCATTTACTTTCTCAATATTGCTCAATTCTCTTTGTGCTCTTTGCCTCTACTTTTCCAGCCTCCTCCATTTCTTAGATTCCAGCAACTGCTTCTTCCTAACAACTAGTATCTCCATCTTTAGGTTGTTCCCACTCCTGTGAATTATCCATATTGAAATCAAAATGAGCTTTCTGAAACATAAATTTGACTTTCTCTTTCCTTATTTGAAATTCTTTAATGGCTCTCCACTGTCGTTGGAACTTGGCCAAGCATGCAGCCTAACTTTTCAGCACTTTTCCTCATCTAACTGTACTCCAGCCTTTTAGTTCCCTGCTTGTGCCATGTTTTCTTTCACTGCTGGGATTTAACATGAAATTTTTCTCTCTTCCTGGAAGCTTGCCCATCTTTCCTCCCTCTTCCACCACAACCCAGACCGTAGTTGTTGGGTTAACTTCTACTTAATCTTTAAGACTAAGCTTAGAGTCATATGATCTGGGATAATTTCCCTGCTACTTTCTTATATGAGGATAATTATTCTTCCCATTTGTTTTCACTAACTCTCTATTTATTTGAGAATGTAACATTTTGAATTGAATCTCTCCCATTAGACTGTAAGTTCTTTGAAGGCAGGGACTGTATCCTGTCCACTATTATGCCTATGGTACCACAATTTGTAGCATCATGATAGGTCCTTATAAATGTTTACTGTATAGATTCATAAAACAACATGAGTGTATTAGTCTATTTTCATACAGCTATGAAGAAATACCTGAGGCCGGGTAATTTATAAAGAAAAAGAGGTTTAGTGGACTCACAGTTTCACATGGCTGGGGAGGCCTCACAATCATGGTGGAAGGTGAAGGAGGAGCAAAGGCGTCTTACATGGTGGCAGGCAATAGTGTGTGCACAGGGGAACTGCCCTTTATAAAACCATCAGCTGTCATGAGACTTATTCACTATCATGAGAACAGCATGGGAAACACCCTCCCCTATGATTCAATTACCTCTCACCAGGTCTGTCCCACAACATGTGGAGATTATGGGAGCTGCAATTCAAGATGAGATTTGGGTGGGGACACAGCCAAACCATATCATACTGCCACCAGACCTTCCCAAATCTCATGTCCTCACATTTCAAAACCAATAATGCTTTCTCAGTAGTCCCCCAAAGTCTTAACTCATTTCAGCATTAACTCAAAAGTCTAAGTCCAAAGTCTCATCTGAGACAAGGCAAGACCCTTCCACCTATGAGCCCGTAAAATCAAAAGCAAGTTAGTTACTTCCTAGATACAATGGGGGTATAGGCATTAGATAAATATACCCATTCGAAATGGCTAAAACAAAGGGGCTACATGTTCCTTGCAAGTCCAAAATCCAATAAGACAGTCAACAAATCCTAAAGGTCCAAAATGATCTCCTTGACTCCATGTCTCACATCCATGTCATGCTGATGCAAGAGGTGGGCTTCTACAGCCTTGGGCAGCTCTGCCTCTGTGGCTTTGCAGAGTATAGCCCCCCTAACAGCTGTTTTCATGGCTGGCATTGAGTGTCTGTGGATTTTCCAGGTGCATGGTGCAAGCTGTCAGTGGATCTACCATTCTGGGGTCTGGATGACAGTGACTCTCTTTTCACAGCTCCACTAGGCAGTGCCCCAGTGGGGACTCTGTCTGGTGGCTCCAACTCCACATTTCCCTTCTGCACTGCCCTAGCAGAGGTTCTTCATGAGGACCCCACCCCTGCAGCAAATTTCTGCCTGGATATCCAGGTGTTTCCATACATTCTCTGAGATCTAGACGAAGGTCCCCATACCTCAGTTCTTGACTTCTGCATACCCACAGGCTCAACACCACATGGAAGCTGCCAAGGCTTGGGGCTTGTACCCTCTGAAGCCATGGCCTGAGCTGTACCTTGGCCCATTTTAGCCACAGCTGGAGCGGCTGGGACTCAGGACACCAAGTCCCTTGGCTGAACACAGCAGGGAGGCCCTAGACCTGGCCCAGGAAACCATTTTTTTAATCCTAGGCCTCTAGGCCTGTGATAGGAAGAGTTTCCATGAAGGTCTCTGACATGCCCTGGAGACATTTTCCCCATTGTCTTGGTAATCAACATTTGGCTCTTTGTTACTTTTGCAAATTTCTGCAGCAGGCTTGAATTTCTCCCCAGAAAATGGGTTTTTCTTTTCAATTGCATCATTAGGTTGCAAAATTTCAAAATTTTTATGCTCTGCTTCCTCTTGAATGCTTTGCTGCTTAGAAACCTCTTCTGTCAGATACCCTAAGTCATCTCTCTCAAGTCCAAAATTCTACAGATCTTTAGGGCAAGAGCAAAATGCCACAGTCTCTTTGCTAAAGCATGACAAGGGTCACCTTTGCCCCAGTTTCCAGGAAGTTCCTCATCTCCATCTGAGACCACCTCAGCCTGGATTTTATTGTCTATATCACTATCAGCATTTTGGTTGAAGCCATTCAACAAGTCTCTAGGAAGTTCCAAACTTTCCCATATCTTTCTGACTTCTGAGCCCTCCAAGTTTCTAGGAAGTTCCGAACTTTCCCAGATTTTTCTCTCTTCTTCTGAGCCCTCCAAACTGTTCCAGTCTCTGTTTGTTACCCAGTTCCAAAGTCACTTCCATATTTTGGGGTATCATAATAGCAGTGCCTCACTCCTGGTACCAATTTACTGTATTAGTCCATTTTCATACTGCTATGAAGAAATACTTGAGACTGGGTAATTTATAAAGAAAAGAGGTTTAATCAACTCATAGTTCCACATGGCTGGGGAGGCCTCACAATCATGGTGGAAGATGAAGGAGGAGCAAAGACATGTCTTACATGATGGCAGGCAAGAATGTGTGTGCAGGGGAACTGCCCTTTATAAAACTGTCAGCTCTTATGAGACTTATTCACTATCAAGAGAACAGTGTGAGAAAAACCCACCCCCATGATTCAATTACCTCCCACCAGGTACCTCCCAAACATGTGGGGATTATGGGAGCTACAATTTAAGATGAGATTTGGGTGGGGACACAGCCAAGCCTTATCAATAAGTACCTGAATCAGCATCGTCTCCTTTGTTACTGATCCTGCTCTTTCTTATCCCTCCTTTCCTTCCTTTTTTCCTCCCTTCTTTCCTTCCTTCCTTCTTTCCTTCCTTTCTTCCTTCCTTCCTTTCTTCCTTCCTTCTTTCCTTTCTTCTTTCCTTCCTTCTTTCCTTCCTTCCTTTATTTTTGTGTTTTACCTTCAATCTACTGTGATCTAGTTCTAATTATTTGCTTCTCAGCTTTGAGTCTTAAACCTGGGTTCTTGTCAAACCTCAGAAGTAGGCTCTGCCTGTTTGCTGAAACTTTAACTATACATTCCTTATTCAGCCATATTTATTTAAGCATTTACAATGAGTTAGGTATAGTGCTCACCCTGAAGATAAAGCAGTGAATTAAATTGACTTAGTCTCCACTTTTGCAGAACAAAGATTCTAGTTGCGGGGTCTTGGGGGCAGATAACTTGTCCTTTTTGGTTTCATAGGTCCACAGACAGAAATTGTGTCCTAGCAGCCTTACTTAATGTATCACACCCATATCTCTCATCCTTGCCTGAGCCTGATTTAGATAATGAGATTTTGGACACTGAATTGATGTTACATAGAATGCCATAAAAGGATGCTATAATAGAAAGCTTGAGAGGAGGATGAATGTATTTTACATGTGGGAGGGGCATAAATCATTGGTGGTCAGAAGGTAGACTGTGGGAGGCTGCCTTTAAGACAGCCCCAATTATCCCCACCTCCTAGTGTTTATACCCTTGTATGATCCCCTCAATTGAGTGTCACTGGGACCCGTGACTTGTTTCAAACCAATAAAATATGGCAAAAGTGATACTCTGTAATTAAATGTTCTGGTGGAAAACTTCCTTTTGCTAGTAGCCTTATTCTAGGAACTGTTTCCTTACTGGCTGTGAAGAAGTAAGAGGCCATATTAAGAGTCCCATGTGACCAGGAGCTAAAGGAAGCCTTTAGCTGGCTGTCCTCAAAAGCTAAGGTGCAGTCTCACACTTGCAAGGACATACATTCTTCCAAAAACATAAGTGAGCTTGGAAGTAAACCCTGCCTCAGTCAAGCCTCCAGATTTGACCCCAGTCCTGGCCAACAACCTTAATTGCAGCTTTGCAGAAGATGGTGCTATGCCTGCTTGGATTCCTGACCCACAGAAATTGAGATAACAAGTGTGTGTTGTTTTAAGTTGCTAAGTTTGTTGTACAGCATTAGAAAACTAATACAGGGAGGCAGCTAACATGCATATCAACAAATAGATACACAGTTTTAAATTGGATTAAAATATATGAAGAAAATAGAGTAATATTATAGATAGAAAGTTGAGACAGTGGCTATTTTAGATGGACAATCAGGAAAGATGTCTCCTGAGGAGATGCTATGTTGGCCAAACCCAAAGAGTGAGAGAGAGCTTGCAATCTCGAGGTGGAATAGAAGGCAGAAAGATGTTTTAGCAGAAGGAATGTTTGATGAAAATGCACTGAGATAGGAAACAACTTTCCACATTGGAAGAACAAAACCAGGCACTGTATCGGCAAGAAGGAAAGTGATGCCCTGAGCATGTAGATTTTTGGGCCCAATAGTAATGAATCTGAATTTCATTGGTAGAGCATTAGGAAGTCTTTGAAGGATTCTTAGCAGGGAGTAGTATGACTTATCCTCTAGCTGCTTTGTGAGAAATGGATTAGAGTTGGAGGCTAGGATGGGGCAAGAATGAAAGAGAGATAGATATTTAGAAAGCTGTTGTAGATGAGAATTGATTATGACCTGTATGGATGGGACAGAAGAAGACATAAAGGTGTGGGCATGAATACCTCTGATATGGCTTGGCTTTATGTCCTTACACAAATCTCATCTCAAATTGTAATCCCCACGTGTCGAGAGAGGGACCTGGTGGGAGGAGACTGGATCATGGGGGCAGTTTCTCCCATGCTGTTCTCATGATAGTGAGTGAGTTCTCATGAGACCTGATGGTTTAATAGTGTTTTGCAGTTTCTCCCTCACGCTCTCCCTCTCCTGCTGCCATGTCGAGAAGGTCCTTGTTTCCCCTTTGTCTTCTGCCATGAATGTAAGTTTCCTGAGGCCTTCTCAGCAATGCAGAACTCCGCGTCAATTAAACCTTTTTTCTTCATAAATTACCCGGTCTCAGGTAGTTCTTTATAGCAGTGTGAAAAAGGAGTAATACAGCTTCTGAGAGATCAGGTTGAAGTACAGACTTGTGATCATGATGTACAGGGCCCTTTCTAGTGTGCCACATGATTCTCTCTCTATCTTCAGCTCCCTCTGTCCTCCCCTAGTGAAGTTCTGTCCCTACATATTGAACTTCTGCCAAGATTTCAATGCCAGCTCTTTCCGAGGCCAATGAGGTCTGACTGAACCTCCCTGTTTTTTTTTTTTTTTTCTATTGCATATAGTACCCTTCCTAGGCTCCCTCTGTGCACCTTTCAGGTCCTGGGTACCCACTGTCCCTGTCTGTCCAGTCTGCTGCTTTTTGAAGCCCTAGCTTGTTGAAATGACAGCAAGAAAAGAAAAAAGATGAAAGAGACAAGGGAAAAATAAAAGTCATCTTGCAAAACATTATACTAGTAAAAATATTCAAGTCATATGTTGCATTTGTCAGTTTCTCTGTTATTCTGACCCCTTCTCCTTGTGATGAATTCTGAATATCCCTATTTATTATGTTTAGTAAGAGGCAGGGGAAAGTGGAGCAGCCTCCGTGCCAAAACAAAGACAGGGAGAAGCCCGTTAATTGATCACATTTACATTCCTAGAAAGAACACATTTGCAATGTAACCTGGCCTCTGGAACATGAGAAATGAAAAGGATAAACAACTCACTGATGTACATCTACAAGGGCTATTTTGTTTCTCATTTTGTTCAGCATATTTCAGGGCTTTTGAGGAATAGATATCAATGAACATGGGGTGAATAATCATATATAATCAGATAATAGTTTTTATCTCAAATAGACAAAAATATGGCCACTTTTTAAAAGAATGCATTTCTATTTATTAGTATTTGTTAACTTATTTGATTTTGTTTGAAATAATACAAGAAAGTTTTTTTACTTTTTTAAAATATTGAGTTTCACAGATGTGTTACTTAGCCATTGTGAGGCAGTTATTATGCTGTGGCAAGCTGGGAACATTTTCTCTGGACAAGATGCTCCAGACTCTTAATCATGGTGCCCAAGGCCCTTCTCAATGGGCCCAACCTAACTTTCCAGCCTCTTAAACCTCTATGCCCACTCTCACCTGATCCCTGGGATCCAGCAATGCTGGGCCAGTCATTATTCCCTCTCACCCACTGTATTAATTTGTTCTCATGCTGCTAATAAAGACATACCTGAGACTGGGTAATTTATAAAGGAAAGAGGTTTAATTGACTGACAGTTCAGCATGGCTGGGGAGGCCTCAGGAAACTTACAATCAGAGCTGAAGGGGGAGCAAACACATCCTTATTCACATGGCGGCAGGAGAGAGAAGTACAGAGTGAAGGTTGGGGAAAGCCCCTTATAAAACCATCAGATCTCATAAGAACTCACTTACTATCACGAAAATAGCATGGGTATAGCTGCCCCCATAATTTAATTCCCTCCCACTTCTCTCCCGTGTCACGTGGGGATTATGGGAACTACAATTCAAGTTGAGATTTGGGTGAGGACACAGACAAAGGATATCACCCACCATCCTTGTCGTGTTTATAATTCATCTGCTAGTCTTATTTAGAATGCACGTTATAATTCAGTAGATCTGGCAAAAAGCCAGAAATAACCACATTGTTGACAAACTGTCTTGGTGCTGCTGCTGGTGGTTTGGCAAGGATAAGGGAGTCTAACTATTTTTATTTTGGACCTTACCCTCCAACCTGGCAGATTCCTTCTACGTGGAACCTCTATTTATGGGATGACTCCAACTCATTCTTTTTTTTTTTTTTTTTTTGAGACGGAGTCTCGCTCTGTTGCCCAGCTTGGAGTGCAGTGGTGTGATCTTGGCTCACTGCAAGCTCCACCTCCCAGGTTCACGCCATTCTCCTGCCTCAGCCTCCCGAATAGCTGGGACTACAGGCACCTGCCATCACGCCCGGCTTATTTTTTGTATTTTTAGTAGAGACGGGGTTTTACCATGTTAGCCCGGATGGTCTCGATCTCCTGACCTCGTGATCCACCCGCCTCGGCCTCCCAAAGTGCTGGGATTACAGGCGTGAACCACTGTGCCCGGCCGACTGTAACTCATTCTTATACTTTCAGGTCAAATCTTACTTCTTCATGTGGAGAAATTTTTCCTGTTAAGTGAAAATATCTTTCTACTTTAATGGCTTTATCTTACACTTAGCATAAGGTGCAAAGTCCTTACCAGGCTTATAATGGCCACCTCTCCAACCCCTTTTCATGTCCCTTTCCCCTTCCTTGCTCACCCCATCACATTGGTCTCTTTGCTGTGCCTACAATGTACCAAACATGCTCTAGTCTTAGGATTTTTTTTTTAAATTGCTCTTTACATCACATTTCCTTATTTCATTCAGGCCTTTGATCAAACATCCCCTCCTCAAATAGGCCGTTGCATCAGTGAACTCTACACAAAGCTGCAATTGTAAGATTAAAATGGGGGCTGAAATCCAACATCTCCTTGGTTTGCTAGGGTAGATTAATTAAGATTAATTAAAATTAATCTGATAGCAGTGGTCATGAGAGCTTAAGAGAGGAAGAGCCTAAAGGTAGACAGAGAAATCAGAAAACTTGCAGTTAACAAAATATGAGAAAATGAGAACCTGGACTGTGTGGTTGCCGCGGAAACAGAGAGCCATGCTGATGGCCAAGAAAAGGGTGCATACGCCTGGAGGAAGATGTGCCTTTTTCTAATGTGCCTAGAGGTGTTAAATGGGCTAGCAACTGCGCAGCTCTCAGAGTGGTCTTCCCTGACTACTCAATTTAAAATAGCAGTCTCCTCATTATTTCTATACCCCTACTCTGCTTTGTCTTCAAAAAAATAATGACTCATTTTATTATGTATCTTATTGACTTTTGTTGTTTTTTCTTTGCAACCTTGAATGCCAGCACAATAAAGAGAGAGACATTTTTTGCTTTTGTTTACTGCAATATGCCAAGTTCCTAGAATAGTATATGGTACAAAATAAGCACTCACATAAATATTAATTGAATGAATCAGTACTCAGCACTACCATGAAATGGAATAAGATAAATATAAGCTCAAGTCCTAATTTCTCACTTACTAGCTGTTTGAAATTAGGTGAGTTACTAATCTTCTCTGAAAATATTTTCTCATCTGTAAATGGGAATAACAATAATACATGATTCCACTGGATGGTGAGGACAATTACATGGATAATGGACATAAAGTTCTCAATTTATTGTCTTGTACACAGCATTTTATCATACCCCATTGCGGTTGTATTCCTTTTTGGATTTTTCCCCTTGGCTATGAGCACAATATATACTTAAGAAAACCTATTTTTAATAATTCTTTCAGAAATATTTTAATTGAATGACTGTCTGTGCCAGGTGCTCTGCTTGGATATTGGGGATGCACAATAAAGAATGCAGACATGACTTCCGTGCAGTGAGTGAGACAGACATAAACAATCAAGGGAGCAAAGCAAATGAAAACACCTCTATAACTATAGTAGCTTGTAATATTGCAAGAAATAAAATAAATAAGGAACTATGATAGAATGACCATTAAAATATTGCTTGACATCTTTGCAGGGTAAAGATATGGGTAATATTTGTATTTGTTTGTTTTAAATATCCACCAGTATCACATTGTACATTCTTAGTAACCTCCTCTTCTTTGTCAATAACATGTGGGATATATGCTGAGGGATCTTGCAATCATTTCTGGCAAATATCTTGAGTAGATTCATCCTGGTCAGTGGAAGAAGTGGGGTGATGTTCATAGAGTGGTCATTTCCAGTTCTGCCCTTCCAGAGTGACCCCTTGGCATTCTGCACTCTGGCTTTCCCAGAGCTTCTTAGGGAAGGAGTATGATGTGTGATGTCAGTGAGGGTCCTGACAGCAAAAGATGGTGCACTCAGGGGGTTTAATTGGAGAGACATTTATGAGTAGAACAATCACTGTTGTGTGCATAGAGTTAAGTAAATGATCAAAGACTACTATATCAGAGACTGGCTTCAGGGGAAACTGTTACTGCCCCTAGGCTTGAAGGGGCAAGAGGAAAGAATTGGTTGTTGGAGCTGGGAGACAGCTTGGATCCAGGGAAGAGTGGCTGCTGTGATGATGGCAATGTCTATTGAATGCCAGCAGCAGACTGATAAATCAGGTGGGATGTCAGTAACGCCCAATCAGTGTCTCATTTTCTAACTTCCAACTTTTGTCAGCCATTCTCATTAGCCAAAACAAAATGAAAGCCAGAGAATAAGGAAGCCTGGGTAGTGCAATACTAAAAGGTAACTTCTTGTGGAAAGAACATGATGGAAAAGAGGAGATAGTGGATCTGGTGGCTGGAATGAACACAGACCTTCTTCCTCCAAGGAAGGTCCATGCTTCCCCATGATGTCTATTTGGTCTGAATCATCCATCTTGACCATCACCTCAAGTCTGAAAGACTCCTTAGTAAAGGAAGGCATAAAGATGAATCCTCTTAGCTATCCCTATGATGACCTAAGAATTCTGAGTCTTTTTCCTTTTTTGTTAGATTTTTGTAGGCATGAGAAGCACATGTGTGGAGCACAATTAGAAAACTTTGAGAGCCACTGGTAGGGAAGTACTCTAGTGGATATCAGTGGAAATGGGAAGGGCAAAGTCCATAGGATGGAGAAGGTTGCAAAAGCTTTAGATACGTTAGATGGGATGATTTGTCCTATATATAGGATGGTAGGGTTCTAGGAGGTGTAGAGAGAATTTTCTGAGCACCCTGGCTAGATCCTTTTCCTTTTCTGAGTAATATTTACTTACATCATTACTTCTTTCCTTTCTTCATTCTCGTTGTTCATCTTACCACTCTCTTCAGCGTTACACCTGTTAAATCACTCCTGCTCCTTCTTTTCTTTGTACCTTCCCTATGTATTCTCAGAAAGCACTGTCTTCCCTATTTCTCTTTGTTCACTGACAAGAAAATATATTATTTTAAAAACTCATGCCGTAAACTACCTCTGTCATCTAGTCATTCTTTGACCACTCTTTATATACTAGCTAGCAATTTTTTATCCTTTCTTTTCCAGACTACTTATGTTCAATATTATTGAAATGATCTAAAAGATAGAAGGAGATTTTTGGTTACATGTTTAAAATAAAAAATGAATTAAAGTGATGTTCCTCAATGCCACCAATACAATAAACACACAATTTAAAAGTCAATTGCCACAAAAAAATAGAAAATGAATTTAAGTGATGTTCCTTGATTACACAAATACAAGGAACACACAATTTAAAATCAGTTATTATAATCTTTTTCTTAAATATGCAATTTTAATAAAACAAGAATAAATTTAGATTTATTTAATGTTTGGGAACAATACAGAGAACAAAAAATCTTATGGCATTCATTAGTTCTGTTTTACTAATGTGGCTTCTTTAATTTGTTTTCTAATTTTAGAATATATATTCTCTGTATATTAATTTACGCATTTTCTGGTTAAGTCTTTTCATTACCTTGTGTAATGATTGAATTACTGCATTGATTATTACCTTAATTTGTTTATAAGAAAGAAATGTTCAAGATACTATTCTACCCTGTATAACAGTTGAAAGAGTTGCTCATTTAGAGTGACAGATCAGTTCTGTTTTGCTCTCAACATTTAATGAGAGGCAGTCATTTGAATAACTTTCATCAGCCTGGAGCCTGAATTTCCAAATGTTGCATATAAGTGTTCATTGAATTTGTGTTTCATTCTGGTAGAGATGTTCCTCTCATGGATTTTGCCTGAAGCTGGTCGTATTCATTGAGCAGTGGTGGAAATCAATTAAATTATCCTTCCTCCCCATAAAAATGGATGATTTCATAAACGTACACATTTTTAAAGCAAAATATATTTTAATATTAATGTTTAACTTGAATCCACGTACAATTTATTCTTAATAAGTGGCTTATTCTTTAGGAAGGGAGATGCAATGATTTCACCAGGTATAATAAATAAAATTTCATTTAGGCCAATTCATTTGGTGCAATGGAGAATCTTAATTGTTCGGCACATTAAAAATCTTCTATTGCTTGAGGCCACAGTTAGGAATGAGGCTATGGAAATTCATTCTTTTCCTTTTTCTCCCCCAAGAATGCCATATTGTCATAGTACATTATGGATAAGCAAGACATAATAAAATAAATGGATTTGGGAAAGTATGGTCTTACAGTGCTATAGTTTTTTATTTTGTTTGTAGATTTCAATATAATGAACTTTTCCATGGTAAATTCTAATTATTGCTACAGACTATGCATAGCAAAAAAAAAAAACATCCAAAAGATTTGAACAGTTCAGTTTAGCAATTATTTTTTAAGTCTTCCTGTTAAGTCATATGAGCCTCATTAGAAAAAAATGCTGAAGAATTTTTGCCTCAAAACCTTTGATTCAAATTAAATCATATTTGCCTCATTTGTCAAATCTATTTAAACTAAAGTAATTTTTCACATTAGTGATTTTTATAGGGTAACTTTGGAGAGTCAGGGTCACAGGATTAAGCTATTCTTGTATGATCAGTGATTCAGCATCAGCATGTAACAGAGCACT
The DNA here is from genome assembly GCF_000001405.40 of Homo sapiens. Classification (NCBI taxonomy): domain Eukaryota; kingdom Metazoa; phylum Chordata; class Mammalia; order Primates; family Hominidae; genus Homo; species Homo sapiens. The sequence goes on along the minus strand of NC_000008.11, from coordinate 89,480,854 downwards.
TCCTACATATCATCCAAATCATACTCCTGATGCATTTATGACGTGAACAATTTGACTGCCTGTAAATGTCTCCTGTTCCAGTCCATTCTTTGTGTTTTTATCAGATAGCGCTTTCAGTATCATTTCTCTTCTACAGAACCATTCATTTGATTATTCATTCAAGCAGCAAGCATCTATTAAGTGCCTGCTGTGTGCTAGACATTAAGATGAATGTTAGGATACAAAAAACCACATATAACATATTTCCTGTCCTCCAGTGTTTCCACAACTCACTGGAGAACACAAATAGTTGAGAAATCATTAGATTAATGGGAAACTTGCTGCACTCTCCCTGTTAAGCACCAAGGGAGAAAAGAAGATGGTGTGCTTAACTCTGCCTGAAGATACTGGAGAAGACATCCTGGAGGAGAAAGCAGTTCAATTGAAATTTGAGGCATACCTGAGAATTGCTATGAAGCCAAAGGGAATAAGTATCATATCTGTAGAGAAAATAAAATGTTAAAAAAAATCACCAAAAAGAAAAGGTTGTTTTTATTAATTTCAGAATTCATCACTTAGTTTTTATGGACATTTACAAACTGGCCCATTTTAAGATCTAGCCACATCTCCTATAGCTTCTCAACAGTTAGCTTTTGCTCAGGTAGGTACTCTTTATTGTGCCCTGTATTTATCACTTTTTGTTTTCAAGTTCCATGTATTTAGGCAAAGCCATAATTAATCTGCCAGCTCACCAAACCTCTCTGTCAGGACAAGCTCATATCTTGCTTTCCCCTTGCAGTCATTCTTAAAAAAATGTGTACCTTCACTGAGCTTCTCTTTTTAGGATCACATTTGCACTCAGGTCAAGCCCTCTTCATTTAGCACTTAATTATTATTTTTAGTTTATTTTGTAATTGTTATTTATTCAGAGTAACTTGGGAAGTAGCATAGTTTTGGTCTGAATCTTGGTGAAGACTTTTAACACAGTATTGGGCATATATTTGCCTTCTTTGTAAAATGGGCATAATAAAATATACCTTGAGGATATTTATGAAGTTAAAATTAAAAAGGTATACGTTAAAAAATTTGCTGCCCATGCAGAGTTGGAATCACATAGTAACTATGGGAAATACAGGTGAATAATCTTTACATTATAAAGAAATGCATCTAAAAATAGGTAGAGATCCAAATGAGAGATGCAGAGAGTTAATTTAATCGGTAATACAATGAAACAATAAGTAATCTTTTTATGGAATATGTTGATTATTTCAGTAACATAGGCAACAATGAGGCAATATAGATAAGCAATTAAGAGAATGTCTAAAGTTTTGTAATTACAGCTAAAAAGGTTTGTGCAAAATGAAATGGGTGTATGTTTTAGTACATAATATATTTTCTGTGTATCAGGCCTGATGTAAGCACTCTAGTGTATACATCACTTGATCTTTATTGTGATCCTATCTTATCACTACCATTTTGTGCCTTTGGTAACTGAGGCACAAAGAAATTGAGTGTGCTGCGTGAAATTTTACACTTATAATGTAATCCTACCACAATTCAAAACAGAAGCTGTTCTCTTAATTCTGTAATACATCTACAATCACACCAGCACACACAGCAGTCAGGAGAGGTTAATTTTTGAATATATAAGAATCTTCTGTGGTTAGGAAATTTGAATCCTAGCTTCTTAGAGTTCCAAACTATGAGCCTCTAAGTATAGCAGGCATAATGGTACTACTAAACCAAGCAAGCGCTGTGAAGCAGAGGATCAACCGTATTCAAAGTCCTAGCACATTGCAGGTATTAAGGCTAATGGGATGTGGTTCCATTAAAGATGGCATTGATGTTACTAGACCATGGCCCTAGAAATCCCTGAATCCATGTATCTTTTCCAGTAAAGCCCCTGAGGAAGATACATAATGAAGGAGGGAAGGCCAAGCAACATAACACATACTAATGAGGATTTAGTCCTAAATTCCAATAAAGCCTTCCAGTGAGTAAGTCTTGAGCACATGGAAAGCTCTATTTCTCTGTTTCATAGGCATCAATTTCTTGACACTTAACAATCTGGATTGTTTGCTCTGGTTCTTCCATCAGTGTTCAGCCTGAGATGGGAAACCAGCCACTCTCCTGGGGTTGCAGCCTCATCTCTGCAAGTACGACCTTCTTAGTGCCCTGGAGCCTACACAGGCCGGCTCTGTATTCATATTGTTGGGTGTAGAGCAAGCAAGTGAGGGTGGTGGTGGTTTAAAGAGGAGGGAAGGCTTCTTTGCCTTAGGTAGGGCAAAGGATAGTTACAGGCTTTCAACAGATCTTAATTCCTTCTCCCACATTTTCCTTCTTAGGCTGGATTATCAACACTTTAAATAAGTTATATTCTTTTTTCATCCTTCATAGTTTCTAGGCAGCCTAACTTCATGGTTAACAGCAAAAATTTTGATGTATGATGAACTGTATTAGAATCCTCTTTCTGCCACTCCTTAGCTGTGTGCTTTTAGAAAAATTATTTAATTTCTCTAAGTCTCAGTTTCTTCATTTGTGAAATGGGGGTTATAATAGTATTTACAGACTTCTTATGAAATTCAATCTAAAACTTATATGAGAAAGCATTGAATATTATGTCTGTAACTTAGTAAGCCCTTAATAAAAGTGATCTATTATTATTGTTATCCATCAAGTTTATGCTCAATAAATGCTTGTTGAGCTCAGTTACTAATTTATTCTTTCTTATGTAAAACAGCTGTCATTGCAGTTAATTTGGAGTCTGTAAAATGACAGAGACATTAAGAATATTCAACAGTAAAATGAGAAAATGCATATATTTTCTTGAATTTGAATGCCAATTTTTTAATTCATACTTTGCTCACAGAAATGTCTAGAGGTAAATATATGTGTTCATTTTCCTCCAGTTCAAATATAAAATGACTTTAGAATTTGAATAAATTTGTTTTGTCTTCTGAGTTTCTTCAGGGTAGAAAGACACAGCAGGGTAAAGGGGGTTAAATTTAGAGGTTTATCCCTACATTAATTGTAAAAATGGACCATGGTATCGACAAAAATAATAATAAGATGGAAATGCTGCTAACATTAATCTCAGAATACGACTGAAGTGGTGAGAACATTTTGAGCTTCCTCTGTGGTTTATATTTTATACCAATTAATCAAGTACCTACTTGACATCTCTACTTAAATGTCTCAGAGGCATGTCCTAAACTGAACTCTTGTAATCTCCTCTACTTCCCAGCTTATCTCTCCCTCAGGCTTCCTGCTTGCAGTTGACGGGACTATGAAGCTTTCAACTCAGAAGCTTGACTTCCCTCCCCGCTAACCCCACCTTGACTCCCTCTTCTTGTGGGGTCAAGCCCATGGGCAGTTATTGTTGCTATAATCTCCAAAATATACCTCAATCTGCCCATTTCTCTTAATTGCCAACATCAGAGTCTACCCTCTCATATCTGAACAACTGCAATATCCATCTAATCCCTTTGTTTAATACTCTCTTCCTTTTCTAAATTCAATTCTCTATACTTCAGAGAGAATGCTCTCTTAAAAATTAAAAATTAAATTATATGTCAACCCTGTTTAACCCTGGTGTAACTTCCCATTGCTGTTAGAGGAACATTCATATTCTTTTACTATGGCTGGCAAGGCCCATCCTGACCTGACTTGATGCTGTGGCTCCAACCTCATCTTGGGCCACTTCCCCCCTTGCTCGTGATCCTTCAAATACCTTGGGCTTTTTTTAGGTCATGAATGCCCAAGTTTCTGTCCCAGGGCTTTTGTACTTATTGTTCCATCTGTCTCTCATTGACGTTGACGACTTCACTTATCCTTCAACTTCAGCAGAAATGTTTTTCCAGGGAAGCCATGGGTAGACATTAAATAAGCCCTTGATCTTATTATTCCCACATAACACCCCTTTTTATTTATTTCCTGGCACTTCACATTTTGTGTAATGCATACACATACACACTTCCTCCACCAACACATATATTTGTTTGTTTATCTAATGCTTGTGTCCCAATAATAATGTGCACTCTTAAGGGCAGGAACAACTACTTCTCTTTTGTTTACCAATATATATGCAATACCTAACATTGTGTTTGACACATAGTATGTGCTCTCTAAATATTTGTCCAGTGAATGAATGCATGAATCTTAGAAATAAATATAGTAATATCTTAGGTATCTGGAATATCTGTAGACATGTTAAGTGTAAAAACTATGCAAGTATAACTTTAGCAGAGCATTTTAAATTAAAATTTTAAAAATGTTTAGAAGTCACACTTTCATGTTAACAAAAATATAAGGTAATTCTAGAAAACAGAATTTGTTTTATAATTTCACATATGTTAAGTAACAATTAGAAATAAAGCTTAAGTAGAAACATGTAAAAAACAATGATTGGTAAATTAGAAACACCTACAGTTTAATGATAAATTCATAAACCTCATGTTGTTTTCATATTTTTAGTGAGCCAATTAAATCTAGGCTTAGTCTTGGTTGAGTTATGAAGATCAGGTTTGTGGAGATATTGACCAATAAGTCGCAAATGGTTAAAATATCCATAGTTCTTTCTTGCTCCAGGCACCGTGCTAAACAGAAGAAGATGCACAGGAAGAAAATACTCAAGCCCCAGTCTGTCTCCAAGAGGACATGCAGCCCTATTGTAATAGTTCCTCAAATGTAGTAGGATTAGAATTACCTGAGTAATTTGTTTAAATATGGAGTCCTGGACCTTACTCCTAGAGATTCTGATTCCATAGATCTAAAGTGGTATTTTAGGATGTACAATTTTAACAAGCTCCCCAAGTGATTCAGATAAAGGTGCTCTTTGGACCACACTTTGAACAATGCTGATGTAACTCGAGAGGCCCACAACAAGGAGGAAATTACCATCTTGTGCAATGAGAGTTATGATATGATGGGCCAGCACAAAGTGTGAAAGCTTGAAGGAAGAGGGCCTCACTCATGTTTAGAGACAACTGTTAAACCAAGTCCCAAAAAATAAAGAGAAATTAGTTGGGAGTGGGAGCCATGAAGTCAGAATATTTCAGGCATAAGGAGATATAGTGAATCTCTGCAATAATGAGAGAAGTGTGATTCTGAGAACAATTAGATCTCAATAGGCGCTGTAGGTGAGGTTGGCAGTGATGAAGCTGGAAAGGTTGGCAGGACATATTAAGCCTTGGTATTCTATGCTCAGAATATGACATAAACTAGTGGCTGATGATGATTATGTGACCACATTTGAATATACACACACATGAACAACTAGATTGCTGTATTTACAAAACTGTAGATGAGGAGCAGAGAATAGATTGGAGATGTGCAAAATAAGATTCAGAAAAGTAAGTTAGGAGGTTTTCATAGTTATGCAGGTGAGAGATGGCAGAAATGTGAAATAAGATATTGTGACAATGGAGAAGCCAGGAAATGAACAGATCTGAGAGATATTGATGAAGTAGAACTGACAGAATTTAATGATTGCTTGTAAATGAAAGATGAGAAAGACAAAGGAGCAGGATTTCTTCTTAATCCTTAGGTCGCCTGGGTAGAAACATTGCAGATATTAATAATTAATTAAGAAGTAATGAACTAATTATCACTAAAGATAAACAGTCATTTTAACACCTACTGGTAGTAATACAGATGGGACATTGGGGCTCTTTGAAAGGGAAAAAGATGCATTGCAAATAAATGTATCTCTATTAACACTGGTTTTTACATTTCTAGATGAAATTTAAAAGTAATGTTTTGTTTAACTTTTAAAAATCTAAAGAGTTTAAAAATAATATATGAAGGCCCTGAGCGGTGGCCCACACCTGTAATCCCAGTTCTTTGGGAGGCTGAGGTGGGTGGATCATCTAAGGTCAAGAGTTCAAGACCAGCCTGGGCAACATGGTGAAACCTCTAAAAATACAAAAATTAGCTGGGTGTAGTGGCGAATACCTGTAATCCCAGCTACTCAGGGGGTTGAGGCAGGAGAATCGCTTGAACTCGGGAGGTGGAGGTTGCAGTGAGCTGAGACTGTGCCACTGTACTCCAGCTAATGATGAAGGTTCAAATTATATAAGCTATTTAATTACCTAACTCAATAGTTACACTTATTTCATTAAAACAAACAAAATCACTTCAATAAATGGTGATGTTTCAAGCGCTCTTTTCACTTAAAGAGTCAAAAGAGATTGACTCATAATTTCTTAGGCAACTAGTTTTATGGTGGCAAAGTAGTGAGTATAACAATAATTCTACCAGCAGACAGACACCCTGGGCCACCTTCCCTGGTTGCAGATCCCATAAATGTATGACTAGTTCTGACCAATAGACTGAAAGTACAAATACCTGTATCACTTCTGGGCCAAAGCACAGAACAGTAACAGTGTGATCTCTAGGTAATCTCTTCCACTATTAATGCTGAGATGGCAAAGCCATGGGATAATGTAGCTGGGTTACTGAGTCACTGCCTGGAGGCTAGATTAGATGCCTTGGAGAGTCACCTGATTTCCACTAGACTTTATATGAGTGAGAAATCTATCTTTGTATTGTCTAGCCATTGAGATTTTAGCCTTAGTTTGTTATCACAGCCCAGCCTAGCCCATCCTGACTAATAGAGCAGAAAACTCTATTGATGGAGAAGATAGGAACATGGCATGTCACAAGAGCCCAGGAGGCAGGCCCTGAATTAATGAATATGTGAATGAAGCATGGAGATGGCTTAAGCCAAATAAATCATGTTTTAATGCCTAGTTGATCACAACAAATACCTAATTTTATCCACTGTTAAAAGAAGTAAGTGGAAAGAATTAGTGTGGGATCACCTGACTTCTGGTATTGCTGTGTATTTCAACCTTCTGTTTCACAATCAGGAATATCATGACTCATTTGTATTGCTTTCAAGCATAATACATCTGCGGAGAAAGTACCTTGGGCACAATTTTAATCTCTACAAGAGGATGTGGTTGGATATGTCTATGATAAGGCTAGTAATGCTCTGTAATTAAAAATCCTCCAGATTGTGTGAGAGAAAACACAAGAAAGTTGTCTTTTTGGACTTAAAAAAAGTCTTGTTTCCCTAGCAGTGTTATTCACTGAAGGCTGGGCTAAAATGTGGCTTTTAAAAGATGGATTAAAAAAGGGGAAAAGGGAGTTCCTTCAGTTCAGATGGAGAGAACTTTACTGCACAAAATATTCCTTTTGTATGCAAAGAGGAAAATTGGTTGGGTTATTTCACATAGCTAGAACAAAAAAAACTAAGCCAAATTGTGAGTGTATACCACTACAGAAAAACCGAAACATACCTATTTAAATACTATTTGCATTCAGCTAGAGTCCCATATTAATTGTGTTTTCTGTTATTTAATTATTGCAATAATATGACTTTTTTAGGTCTTATGAAAAATTAATAGTTTAATTCCCTATGAATATTATTAATATTAATGTAATGACTAAGAGTAATACATATCATACAATACTTGCCTGTGGCCTGTTTGTTTTATGTGTCAGTCCCAACTTTGTTATTTAGATAAGAAGTTATATAATTTTTAAAATATTAAAACTATTTCAATAACCATTTTATACACAGACTTCATGGTATAAAGTTTTAACAGGATATAAAATGCTTCATTAAGTGTTATCCAACATGTGTATAGGAAAATCTCTGTGCTAGAATTCTTTTCTTGAGAATCTTATGTTTAATTACAGTCCGAAATGATCAATTTCCATGCTTAATAGAAATTAAGAAGAACTTTATGGCCCAACTGTGGTGTGGAAGTGAACTTCAGACATAAAAATTCACAAACCACAAAGTAAAAGTTATAATTGATTAGGGAAATATTATATAACAAATACCTACTTAATCTTAGAGTAACAAAATATTAGGTATTTATTCTTTTTCTGAATCCCTATTGGGACAATAATGGGCATTCTCATCTGCTGTGCTGTGAGAAAAAGGCAAAAACACCAACTGAACTGAAACATTAAATGGCTGGGTATAATCAGAATCCTCCAGGGTGAACAAAATTGCCTAATTATGGGTTATATGTATAACATGCTAACCATTAAAAAATATCTGTCTGGGTCTCTGGGAAATAAATGCCTAGCAAAATAGTAAGAGTGAATTGAAAGGAATCATTAAGGAACTGCTTGTCACGTATTTTTTTTATTAGCAAAAACAGAAAACATCACAGGCAGTACATAAAGTAATCCTTATCTCATGTAAATAATAAAGTCAAACAGACCTTTTCTAAGATAATTTTGGCTAGCAACTTATAGGTATGCTTACATTTAGGACCTTAGGAGACTGATTTGAGTCTGTAAAAAGAAAAAGATACAATGGTAGGAAGGAGAGAGAACAAGGAAATTTTAGTAGTCAATAAGTGGTTTTGTGTGTCTGGAAATTGAAAATTAATTTTAAAATTCAGCTGAAATACAGAATATAGAAATAATGTAGTTCAGATCATGGTCTCCAAGGAAAAATCATCTTTATAAAGTGCTAGACTATTGACTGAGAGATTTCCACCCTGCACTTGCTACAGTTTTCTTTGGAAAATGACTGAATATATTTTGAAAAGCAGAGGAATCTCCTCAGTTTCACCCTGCTAAATTCCTAATTCCACAATTTTACATGCAAATCTTGGATTCACTTGACAGAGACTTAATTTGCAACATTTCTGAATAATATTAAGGAATAACATTATTTCCTCCATAAATTCTAGAGAAGAAAAGTTAATGACTATATCCAAATACAACTGGGATTGCCACATGGCGGCTGTTGGCATTTGTTTTCTCTATTTTCTCTTGGACCATTGCACTTATTTGGCATTCACTATTATAAAAAATATTTAATTGCAGTTAAGGGAAAACACGTATTGAGCCAGCCTATTTTCAAGGTAATGGTAGTTGCTTTTCTACGTTATGCATTTATTTTCCTTCTGTTGCCTGTATGGGAATGCAAGAACAAGTGTAACAGAGCTTCAGAGCAAAGGTAAACAAATCCTTCAATTGCCCACAGAGTTTGCCAAGCATCTGCTATCAGGGGACGGAAATCACAGAATGTAGTTAAACAGAAATAGAATATTCAAAACAGGACAGGAGCAGCAGGGCTGGCCTAGTAAAATAGGAAGGAATAGGAAATTTGAGTGAAATGCTCTCTCACTCCCTTAGGTGACTTTTGCAGTTTGTCATCTTCTAGGGTAGCCATGGCCCTCAAAATGCCCTTTGGTGAAACACAAGCCTCCATTGTCATTTTCTAGTGAGAACACACATTTGCAGCATAGTCCATCTAAATATAGCATTACCTTTATTCTCTTCTCAAAAGTGGTCATTGGTACCTTTACATCAGTGCCTCACAATTTTCAAGGGACATGTTGACATTTTAACAAGGAGTTTTGAGAGCCATGTGATCTTGATTCAGAAGAGACTCACATAGGAGAGGGTGATCAGAAAGATGCTTTCTCTCTGCTCTCTCTGCCACTCATCTTGAAATTGATCCATCAACTAAGGCTAAAGGATTCTGGAGCTTAGAATGCTGTTCTAAATTTTACGTTATTTCTTCATGTTGTTGTCTGTAGTGGACAGTTTAACATGCTGCCCAGATTTGCCTCTTTAGGATGATGATGTTTATACCACTGGCTACTGGGAGTACTGGCTGCAGAGAACTCATAGCTGAGTCTTTTCCAAGAACTGCCCTTGATCTGCAGGGAGCTGCTTCACCCAAAATTGTACACCCCACCCCACCAAGGTTATACACTCCACCCCAGGGACAACCTCTATCATGACAGGTCTACTGTGGTAGTTCAGAGATCCCATTGCTTCACTGAAGAACAACTCTGAAGGATTGTCTCAGCCCCAGAGCATTCTGCAGAATTGGCTAAGGGCTCTGTTGCAACTGCAATGCAGGTTAACTTCTCCCTCTGCACCATTCTGCTTTCCTCATTTCATTGCAAATGTTGTTCCTGAGGGCATGCCCCAATAAAATTAATGCAAGCAAATCTCATGTTAAAGCCTATGACCTAATATATTATACTTTTCTACCTACATATATGAATTGTCAGGGCATATATTATATTCTATCTTTTTATCCATTAGAACTAGAAGATTTTCCAGATTCTTCCAATTGTTCTGCATTCATGAATTATGAGTATTTGGAAATCATTCTTAAGTCTAATGAACAGAACATAACTACTACTGGCTTACCTGCCTATACCACTGAGTTCCTCAAAACAAGGAGAGAGAGAAGTCTTTTCTTCCTTGATTATGCTACTTTTTAATTTCTGTTAGTATATAACTGACTTGGACATACATACAGTTTTTCATTGGAATTGCATTCTCCATTTATTCTTACATACTTAAGGATTATTTTTGGTCTCTTGATGACTGTTTTTATTCAGAATGTAGATTGAATCTCTATAGATTACCTCCAACTCACTTCACCTATATTCTGTGATTTGGATTGACTTTTCAAAGCATGAGTGTTAAATATCTGGTCATATAGTATCACTTTCCCATGTGTCCTAACAGACATCACTAATTTTATCCTGGCTTCCAATAATCTCACTGCATTTTGCAATTGGCAATAGGCAGTAGGCTCTAGTGCAAGACAGTGCTCTGGCCCCTTTGAAAGTATCCAATGATAGCCTAGTCTTGCTCATTTCCTATTTTTCTGTCTGGGAAAAAAGCTGTCTATTTTCATATTGTCTTTAATGCAAGATGGAGGCAGTGACTTCATTCATCCTACATTTAGGAGCTGTTGTAGAAACTCCTGGACTTTGCTCTTTCATGTGATTTTCCAGTTTCAACTTCCAGTGTCTTCTTTTAGAGCCATAGTCTAGATTTGTGTTCTGCTCAGGCTGCTGGTCTGGGGGCCAATTGGAGGATAAAGGAAGACGTGCCATAAAACCAATGAGACATAACCCTCAGGGGCACTTACATGGTGCCTTCCAAATCCCTGAGAAAAGTCTTTTTTTTGTGTGAAGTTTTATCAAATTTTAAAATTACGGTGTTTCTAGCCACAATTTGTTAAGTCTTCTATATCTTTCTACTTCTGCTTTTCCTGCAAAGCACTCTTCCTCCTGACAGGTGACTTAGAATGAGCATAGACATTATTTGAATTGAGCTAATTGAATGTTGAATTAGGGATACATTTAATTTGTGTCCAATGAAACATATTTATGTGATTTAAAGCCACTTTCATGTATAATGAAGTTATTGTTAGCTATCCTAATAACAGAACTAGCTTGCCGAGGTACTTCTTCAGTTCATCAGATGAACAAAGCTATAATTGGAGTATTTGGTTCTTATCAAAGCCTTGCCACAACAGAAATGTATGCAGCAATGTAACATTCATAGTAATAAACCATAAAGTAGAGGTTTTCAGAATCCTTGCATTTGTAGGGCACACACTGATAATAACAGTACTACAGAGAATATATCTGTTTGTGAAGTCACATGTTTTGTGCATGTCAACCATCAATAATAAAAAATAACTTTTTATTAGCTGTGAGAGAGAAAAGATTGAGTTATCATTATAATGTCTTCATGTAAAATATTTTAAATACCACTGTCACACAAAGAAGGAAACAGCATAGTGTCAAAAGGGTAGGAAATAGTATTATAGAAGTAGGTTAGCAATTAAGTAATAAAATCATTATGATTTTTTCATTTTATGATGTTTGCTTTATTTTCCAACATTTTAAAACTGATAATTTTTTGTGACGTTTTATCTGTCATTCTAAATAGATATTCACCTCTGTATTTAATTTTGTATTCAAAATATTGTATGCTTTTTCAACAAGAATCTTTTACATCAATGGTATAAACTTCGGGCCCCACAAAATTTGGGTTTCTTCCTGGGAGAGACTCAGAAGCTTCCTTACACAGTGTGGCTCTGATGATCTGCAGGGTTCACAAGACCATTTCCCACATGGGGCCAAAGAAGCCTTTTTTCTTTCTTGTTGGTTCTAAATATGGGTATGGAATTTTAAGGAAGAGACTAAAGACATATTCCAACTTATTCTCATTTTTCAGGTGAGGAAGTTAAGGTCTAGAGTGATGGTGTCCTTCTCAAGCGTCTAAGTCCTGTCCAGGCTACTGACACATGGAGAATTGGTGGGCTGCTGCTGTGGTGGCCTAGAACAATAGATGGGACATCCACATTCTCTAGAGAGTGCGGTACAGGAAGAGAAAGTTATCAAACTGTATTTCAATTACTCAGCTGAGATGAGGAGCAGAGAAGCAGAAGCAGATTCCTCTGATCAGGGATAGCACTCCTCCAGAATAGGAACCGATGTTTTTTAAGAAGTTAAATTTTTAACAGTTCCCCACAACAGAAGTCATTATATGAAAAAGACACATGCACACACATGTTTATAGCAGCACAATTCACAATTACAAAAATATGAAACCAGCCTAAATGCCTATCAACCGATGAGTGGATAAAGAAAATGTGATATATATAATCTCATATATAATGTATATTATTATGTATATGTCATATATAATGTATATTATTATGTATATATCATATATAATGTATATTATGTATATATCATATATATATAATGGAATGCTATTCGATCATAAAGAATGAAATAATGGCATTCACAGCAACCTGGATGGAGTTGGAGACTCCATTCTAAGAGAAGTAACTCAAGAATGGAAAACTGAATATCATATGTTTTCACTTATAAGTGGGAGATAAGCTATGAGGACTCAAAGGCAAAAGAATGATATAATGGATTTTGAGGGCTCGGGGGAAAGGGTGGAGGAGGGTGAGGGATGAAAGACTACACATTGGGTGTACTGTACACTGCTTGGGTGATGGATGAACCAAAATCTCAGAAATCACCGCTAAAGAACTTATCTGTGTAGGTGGGACATGGTGGCTCACGCCTGTAATCCCAGCACTTTGGGAGGCCGAGGTGGGCAGATCACGAGGTCAGGAGATCGAGACCATCCTGGCTAACACGGTGAAACCCCTTCTCTACTAAAAAATACAAAAAATTAGCCGGGCATGGTGGCGAGCGCCTGCAGTCCCTGTAGTCCCAGGCGGGCGCCTGTACTTGGGAGGCTGAGGCAGGAGAATGGCATGAATCCAGGAGGCGGAGCTTGCAGTGAACCGAGATTGCGCCACTGCACTCCAGCCTAGGTGACGCAGCGGGACTCCGTCTCATAAAAAAAAAAAAAAAAAACTTGGCTGTATAACAAAAAACCACCTGTTCCCCCAAAAAGATTGAAATAATTTTATATATATATATATATTAGGTGGGTTCCTTTGCAAAAAGATGTTAATCTTTAGATTACGGATACATTTTTATTTCAGTCGCCAGGTTTATTGTGTGGTGCAAATAGTTCCAGAATGTAAAATTATAATCTCACTCTTGAAAAATTCTACTATTTAAGCACTTTCATGTTAATTTCATTTGATATTTCTGTCTTCTTCCCTCCCTCCGTCTCTCTCTCTCTCTCTCTCGCACACACACCACACACACACAAACACACACACACACACACACACACACACACACACTCTGTCTCTCTCTTTCTCTGGAGTAGGTAGGGCAAATGTAACAGGTGAAGAAATTCGAGGTCCAGAGCAGCTAATAACGGGGCAGAACTGGAACTAGAAAGAAGCCCTCCTGACCAGTGTTTTTCTCTTTGTATCACATGGTCTCCAGAATCAATAAAAGACTCCTTGTTTCCTTTGCTTTCATTAACGTGACAAAAACAGTTTGTAGCTTTATGTAAGAACATGTAACTGCCTACTTGGTGTAATTGAAACAGACCAGTCTTTCCCAGATGACAGAAATCTGCCATTAACAACTCATTGCTTTTATACATGGTCTTAATATCCTTTTAATGACCCAATGGTACCCTTTGGGGGATAAAAAAATTCCCAATATCTTTGTGTGAATGAATTTGAGGGGTTTTTTTTTTTTTTACTTTTTAGTAAAGGAAATAGGAGGGGTCTCATGACTTCAATTTTCCAGTCATAATTTTTGGCACTTGCAAATTATTTAATTTTTTGATACCTGCAAATTATTTTTGATACCTGCAAATTATTTAAATTAATGTACTACACTATACTTTATTTGCATTTTTCCCTTTAGTATTGAATATTTTATGATTGGAAGAAGGCATTTTAATAGTCCTATGGAAGATTTTCAGAATCACAAGATTTGATCCATGTAGCAAATCAACAAAAACATTACATAATGTTTTTATCAATATAAAAATAGTTTTTCTTTAATTTTTATTCATGTCAAGAATTTTCTTTTGTAGTCTTTATAGCAACTCTCATTTGTGTAGTTTTTAATGTAGTGAGATTACAAAGTGTTAATGCCACTACAATCTCATTTTATCCTCAAGACAACCCTGTGGAAGGAGCAGGGAAGGGATTATTATCAGCATCTGTGAGCCAAGGAAACAGGCCTAGAGAAAGCAAGGTATTTGTCCACAACAAGGAAGTGGCAAGATCAGTACTCAAAATTCTGACTTCAAGGCACACTGTTCTTCAGGTGTTGTGGGTTAATTGCCATGCCCTTTGCACTTCCGATAAAAACCATGGGCTCTACATAGCACAACTGTCATGGAATTACAAAACACTCATTAATTCTATTTTAAATGAGAACCAGAGTGATTCAAAATAGGATACAGGACTCAGAAACTTCAGTGGCTACCTGAGGAGAGCACAGATCATCAACACATGTTGTAAAAGGTGGTAAAGCAACTATGTAGAGCTGGTCTTACCTCTGAAACATAAAGTTAAATGAGAGGAGGGGGAAGCTCCTTATCTATGACATGTTGAAAATAGTCCTACAATACAGCTTGCTTCATTTTGTCTACACCAAGACTGTTGAACAGGAGCGAGCTTATTCCTGGTAATGAGATAATGGTTCTTATTTTCCTTTTACAACACACAAACGCCAGAAAAGGCATCACCATTGATCATCTGGCACTTATATATTTTGCTATATTTTGTTGTAATCAGTATGCTGACTTCAACAGCAGATAGTAATAGGATCTTGCTATATGGTGGTTTACAGCTGTAACATTTTTTACTTATTGCTACTATTTTGAAATAACTGTATCAGTTTATTATATTTTTTATGTTATCCTTTACCACTATTGTTATAGATAGACTCTAAATCAAAAGCAGAAAGAAATACAGCTGCATTATTTTTTATCATCTTTAAAAATGCCCAGGTCCCTTATATTAATTTGTTATTGTCTAGGACCCAAATTTTATGCTGCAAACATTTTTTTCCCATATCCTAGACACAAACAATTTCTATTTTATCTACTTGGCAAATTTTGCCTTTCTTTTTTCTAGAGTAGGGACTCCGGATTTTTGTTTTTATTATCTACAATTTATTTGCATATTTGTTTGACCGTGGTATACATATAAAGTAGTTGCAGAATTGCTAACCAATACCCCAGTGAGAAATAAATTTACCAATTAGTGTGTTGTATTTGTTGTGTACAGTTCTTTGTTTTTGGCCTTATGCGGTCTAATCGCTATTTCCCAAAGTTACTTAGATCAGCTTCTTTCTTCCCCACTAATTCCTGTGTGCTTGTGTTATTAATTTATGATACAGTTAGATTCATTTCTCACAAATTGCATTCCATCTCGGGTTCTCCCTCTATCTTGCTTGATTTATGTAATTTACATACAGTAGGAATTTCCTCTTTGTGGTATACAGTTACATGAATTTTTACAAATGTATGGAATTATGTATTCACCTTCACAATTCCTTTGTAGTTTTCTGTCCCTTTTACTTTTCAAGACCCTAGCAACCATTGGATGGATCTTCTTATCCATCATCAGAGCTTTGCCTTTCCTAGAATGTCATATAAATGCATCCATATACATAGTAGCCTTTCACCTAGCAAAGTATATTAAGGTTCATCTTTGCTATTTCTTGAATAAATAGTGTTTTCTAATGCTGAGTAGTATTCTACTATATGAATATAACCCAATTTACTCATCTCCTCACCCACTAAAGGGCATCTGGGGTGTTTGGGGGCATTTATGAATAAAGCAGCTATAAATGATCACATTATTTTTCCCTTTTCTCTAGAGTAAATACCTAGTAGTAGCATTGCTGGAACATATAATAGGTGAATATTTAACTTTATAAGAAAATTCCAAAATGTCTTCTAAGTGGCTGAACCATTTTTTACTCATGCCAACGTACACGAGAGTGTTCATTACCCTGCATTCTCACCAGTGCCTCCTGTTGTCAGTTTTATTTTCTTTGCCATTGTAATAGATATACAGTGTCGGGAATTTTTAATAGATTAAATCTATATTTTTCCATGATTATATTGGGATAAATTCTTCCCTAATACATGCCTCATGTGATTCTGATGGTGAAATAAACTTCCTGGGCTTTTCTCTGGCCATTTATGTTTTACAGGTGTAACTTATCTTGAATCTAATAAGCAAGTTATCACATGTAAATGGAATACATTAGTTTCAGTGCACAGAATTATGCCCTTTATAAATGAAGGTGATATGAATATTAAATCTGAAAAAGAATACAAAAACTCTTACATTGAGAAGGATTATACAAATAAATGATTATGACTCCAGTTGGTCATTCTATCTTCATATCCTTATAAACTGGAGTCAGGTAAGAAAATACTAACTAA